>NC_000013.11:20908106-22158106 GCF_000001405.40 Homo sapiens | reverse complement strand
TACATTTCCTACTATCTTTTAAAAGCAACTGACCAAGTATTTCCCCACCTAGATGTATTGTTTCACTATTAAAGATGGGTTTTCCCCACCAAAATGATTTTTTCCTCATTATATCCATCTCTTTATAATTATGTTCTGTTTGAAATATTTTGTCCACTTGAACTTCTAGTTCTCAAACTTTAGTCTCAACTATAACTATCTCATCTTTAATTCATCAGTCAATTATTTGTTTGGAAAATCATGTGACATAGCTTGGCAGTTTTGTCCCTTGTGAATCTCATGTTAAAATTTGAACCCCACTGTTGGAAGTGGGCCTGGTGGGCGGTATTAGGGTCATAGGATCAGATCCCACATGAATGGCTTGGTGCTGTCCTTTCAGTAATGAATGAGTTCTCACTCTACTAGCTCACAGGAGAGCTGGTTGTTTCAAGGGGCCTAGCACCTTCTCCCCTCCCTCTTGCTCCTGGCTCTTTCCATGTGACATGCCTGCTGCCCTTCTGCTTTCCACCATGATTAGAAGCTTCCTGAGGCCTCCCAGAAGCAGATACTGGTGGCATGCTTCCTGTACAGCCTACAGAACCATGAACCAAATAAATCTCTTTTCTGTATAAATGACCCAGTCTCATGTATTTCTTTATAGCAACGTAAAATGTACTAATACATCATATTTTCAACTTTAGAAAGTTAAGTACTTTTTAAAATGTAGTATTTTGTTTCTGCCTTTTGTTCTTTCTGTTTAGGTTTATGTTGTGTTTCTTCTGACCACTCTTCCTTCTCTGGATATTAAAAGGGACTTGTATTTGGACAGGAATGTGGTTCTATAGAGTCCAGGGGATAGCACAGCACCCTTGCATGTGATGGAAGGGAAAGTGGTGTCTCCCCTTTTAGAATTGTGTGTGGAAGCAGAAAGCCTGCCAGTCCCTGTTGAGGTCCTTGTCAGCCTCAGGATGGTGAAAGACCACTACCTGTTTAGCTCTTTGTTGGTCTCTTGGAGGCCAAGGGGACGTGCCACAAGCTCATGGAGCTGGGGTTGGCACAAAGATCCTCCTATTTCTATGAGCCTAACTCTGCTCAGGTTCTGCTGTTTTCTGGCCTCACCCCAGGCTCCCTGTTGCTCTTTTCCATACATTTGACCACCCCACTGGGAAAAACCCTGCAATCATTCTCTACCAAGATTCCCAGGAATTAAGACTTTACCTGTGCCCTGATCCCCATAAGGGCCTGCAACCACCAGGAGAGGCACCTACATGATGTCTGGGTATAGAGTGGAAGGATCTGCATGCAAGGCCGCCATCAGTTTCTTGCTCTACCCATGAGTGTATCCTGAGCCAGACTTTTGAATATTCATTTAAAAACCCTCGTGCCTTCAAACTGGCTTTGCAGATTCTAATCTCCTTCCTGTAATCCAGCAGTCCCCAAACCTGGCTGCACACTGGATTTCTCTGGAGATTTCCTGAACATCCTGATTCCTGAGGCCCAACCTCAACTACTAAATCAGAACATCCGGGAGCCATGTAGTACTGCGTCATTTATCACACTATATGTACTAGTTGTCATTAAAATGTAAAGTTCCTTGAGGCCTACAACAATGTAGTATAACATTTTAGGGAGTCTCCTTAACACCTTAGCAAGCCTAGAACAATGCCAAGAACAAAATATAAATTTTGGTAGGTAATAGGGATTGAAATAGGAGTAAATCCTTAAGAAAATTCTGGGTAATGTGAAGGATTGTTACATAGGACAGAAAGCAAATCCATAGAAGCAAGCTAAAGATGGATGATGACCTAGGGGAAGAGGTGGCTCTACCTGGTACAGGTGTGTCAGGGATGGCTTCCAGAGAAGGTGATAGGCCAGGGCCAGGAGGTGACAGGCCAGGACCAGGAGAAGGAAGGGAGCATGCAGCATTTTCTAGATAGACAGGATTTCAGTTTCTGCATCTGCAAAAAGTGTTACTATGAGTATTTTGATGTTAAAGGGGGGCTTTTTGTGCACAGAGACCATAAACCGAAGTCACCAGATGTTTTTAACTAATTCAAATTATTAAATTGCATATGCAAAAACCCAATTTTCCATAAATTTGAAGTTCTAATTATAAATGTTATATGCTAATTACAACCATGACTTTAAAACATCGTGAAATTCTTCTACACATTTCTATATCTGAAGTCTAAAATCAATTGCTGAATCATCTTTTTAAAATTTTAAACATAAGATAATTGATTGAATTATCTTACATAAATATTACATATACTTTTTTTTTTTTTTTTTTTTTTTTTTTTTCTGAGACGGAGTCTCACTCTGTCTCCCAGTCTGGAGCACAGTCTCAGCTCACTGCAACCTCCACCTTCCAGGTTCAAGCGATTCTTCTGCTTCAGCCTCCGAAGTAGCTGGGATTACAGGCACTTGCCACAATGCCTGGCTAATTTTTGTGTTTTTAATAGAGATGGGGTTTCACCATGTTGGCTAGGCTGGTCATGAACTCCTGACCTCAGGTGATCCGCTCAACTCAGCCTCCCAAAGTGCTGGGATTACAGGTGTGAGCCACCGTGCCCGGCCAATATTACATATACTTTAAGTACCAAAAGTATGCAGATTATCTCAATGATAAAAAATTGTCCCTATGCTTAAAAGTGTGAATTTCCATAGGTTGATTTATTTACTTTTTTCTTTTTAATTAAAACCTCCAAGAATAGGACATCTACTCACCTTTCAGGGGAAGAGATTTACCTTTGCAAGCAACATGGGTACCTTCTACAGGTGAGTTCCAAAACTCGGGACCAGAAGCCAGAGAGCCACCCAAAATGATTTTACCAGGACCCCAGATGCACAGACCGAGCTTCCTTCACAAGAAGAAAAGTAGATTATTCCTATATACTTATAAACAAATCATTTGATTTTAGTTTCTAGCCCCTTCTTGGTTACAGGGAATTTCCTTCAACCAATCTTTCACTGCTGGAAGAAAGTTGTATTCTTTTCATATATTTGCTGTCTGGCAAGGCCATACCTTGATTTGATTGATTCTGCACAACACCAGTGTTTCGCCCAGCTCTGGGGTTGCAATACTAAGTCGTGCTCATCACAAAAATAACAAGTGCAGCTTCTGTTTCAATGAGTTTAGCCTGAGGAGCATGGAGAAGAGTCATATGCCATCCTTTGGGACTCTAAACCCCAGCCTCTCTGGGATTGCTTAAAAGCAGGTGACTTCAAATGACAAGTCATATGACAGGGTGCCAAATCTTATTCTTCCATTTAAAGTGGTGAAGTTAGTGCCGCCTCCACTCCAAGAAGCCAAATTACATGGGAAATTATATTATTGTAATGAAGAAAGTATTTTGAATGCTGCCAAATGTTGATCTCAGATATGAGTTTCTCCAGTTCCAAGGAATGTCTGAGATAGGAAAGTTCAAAAGCCCCAACCCCTATAAAATTAGCTTTCTTACTTAAATATAATACCAAATGAACATACTACCTTGAGAAACATTTCGAACTTCAGCAGGTTTTTCTAACACTAGTGAGATGTTAACTTTGCCTATGACGGATTTATTTCTGCAGGAGATCTAAATGAATTCAACATTCACATCTCAAAAGGCAATTGAATTTCTCTCTTTTAAAGGGCCTCATGGAAAACACTAGTTAGAAATGTTTTCAGATACTGGATTAATTATTATTAATAGATAAAACTATACAAAGTCTCAAATGTTTATTCCCATGCCATAAATAAACAAGGACCAGAGAAATGTGTGTTTAGAAAATAAATAATCACTCAAGTATTGCCATGTTAGAGTAGTTACCTAACATTACGAACCTTCCCGCTGAGGCAAACTCCTCCTCCAACCTCATAGACACAGGAGGTATTGACCAGCCCTGGTGGTGAAACTAGATTTTAGCAACTGGAATTTATCTTACACTACATTGAAATACCAATGCAAGACACTGGATGTTTTTCTATCGTTATGGGTCTTTTTTTGTTTTGTTTTGTTTTAATTTCCCCAATAGTCACTAAAATCTCCAGGTAGACTTCTCCTCCTTTGATTCAACTGACCTAACATTTATTAGGGAAAGGGATCCAAAGTCACAAGTTTAATAATTAAGGGAGTATCTATTGTAATGTTCAAAGTGTATGAACAGGAATATCCTTAAATTGGTATTAAAATTTTTATGATAATTCTAATTTGAAAAATTACTGCACTTGCCAGACTTAAGGAATTCCTTACATAGTGACTACCACACTGTGGGAAAAAGAGAAAAAGGATCCATGGAAACTAGAAATAAGTATCAGTGGAAAGAGGCAGAAAATAAACAGAATGCCCCAATGATCTGAGGAGAGTGACAAGAATGTACTTTTTCAATCCTCTGAAAAGCGATTTTAATCAACTCTATCTCCTGCTATCACACACCAGATAAAAATGGTGCTAATGAGAATCTGGGCTCTCTAGCTATTTTCATTGCTCAAATTCTTATCCTTTAAAACAGGATAGTCTCCCCTGATTTTCTCACCTCATATAACCTGAAGGCAATGAATTTCTTTTTCGTCTATTTGAAAAGAAATCATTTTCACTTGAAAAGAAAGAAGAGTTTTGTGGTCTTGTGAAATGACTTGGGCATTTAGAAAAGGAAAAAGTTACATTGACATCTACATTGCCACATGAAATTATATCATAAAATACACACCCCAATTCTTTCCTTTTTCTTAGCACTTAATTTTCAATGTGATAAAATTACTTCAGTTGGTTATATGTTGATTGCCACAAAACAGACATTGGAAAGTTATAATCTTCTATGAGCATTTATTGAGGTACTATTAGCTCCATCACACCACAATAAGTGCTAAGAGATTGTTTATAATTTGAGATAGAAACTGTCTTTACACACATAGAGTCTCAGCAATCTGGAGTGAGTCAAGATGGATGAATAAATATTATCGCTAGCAGAGGTATCCAATCTATACAAGTTCATATCAATTTCTTGCCAACCTTTCATTTTTATACATATATATATATATAAACACACATTCTTGTGAGAAACACATTTGTCACATGAGCGATAAGAGCACTGAGACCAAATCTACTTGGCCAGGGAAAGTTGCAGGGATGTGAAGTGAGTTCTGTGTTGTGCTCCACAGATAAAAATGTTTGGCAGAAGGGAGGATACTCATGGCACCAGAGATGGTCTCCAACCATCCAGCTGCTGTTATCTAGCAGACATTTACTGCTGAAAGTTTAAATTCTTTCTACATCATTAGCGCCACAGAGTTTGCAGTACACAGCAAGTGCCCTGGATAAATGATGTGAGGCTGATGGAGGAACAATGGGAAACTAGTGTAATGGAATGATTTCAATCCTGTGGGTCTGTTGGCATCTTTAAAAAACCAGTTACTTATCAAATACATACCAACAGAAAAATACTGCTCAGGACTGGTGACCAGTGGTCCAAGCTACATGGCAAAAAAATCATAGTTGTTTTCAAGATAAGGTCACAGGTTGTACCATCTCCATTAATATCTGTGACTTTTCTCTAGGCTTAGGACATTGTCCCTCTAGGAGAGGGAGGGGTCCTAAGAGACGGAGCCTCTATCACTTTTGTTCCCTACCATATACCCAATGCCTTGCACATGGTACAAAGTTGAGCCATTTGAAATTGCCATTTTGCAAGTTAAAATATCTAAATTTTGGCAATGCCATGTTTCTTGCAAAAATTGAATGAAAAATACCTCTCTTGATTGGGACAGGAAGAACAGTGATGATGTAGAGGTAGATAATCATGTGTGCATAATAAGAACATTTTCTTATACAAAAATGGACTTTTTTTCTGCTTAAACATGTTAAATATTTTCATTTTCAACATCTTCCCCAATCTTGCCTATGGGCTTTCCTGACCATTGAGAGTACAGCAGCAAAAAAAAAAAAAAAAAAAATTTGGTTCCTAGATTTCTGTCTTGATTATAACTAATCATTCAAAGGCATCATCCTAGGGTCTAATGCAATTGATTTTCAGTGAACTTTTAAATAATTATGGAACTAATAAGTAAAAGGAGGACTGAAGATGAATAAATGTTGTAATGTTCAGAAAGGACAAGAACGTTCATAATACAAACTGTACAGGCTGGCAGGTTTGGTGTTCAGCCAAGAAAATGTTTTGAACAAATTGGTAAGCAAATAATGTGTGAAGAATTTAATTCTGAAGTAAAGAGACAATCATTAGGAGTCAGGAAAGATTCACAATAATCGTATCATGAACGTTCTTCTTGCCTGGAAGATTTTTTAAAAATGCACCATTAAATACACATCTGTATTTAGTGGTCAATAGACAAAAATATTCGTGATACCTTTCTGGTGGTATAACAAATTATTGCTTGAGTTTTAATGTATTTAGACAGAATCATGACTGACTGAATATCCTCTTCACCATTGTGATGGATCAATTTAACAGAGGAAAGTCTTTGAAGTCACAGGACTCTCAGCCGTATGCACAGTCCGCTTCAACAGCATTACCAACGACTTCAATGAAAACATGCCTGCAAGCTCATCAAATTTGTTTTTATTCTTTCTTTTGTTCTGCAAAATAATACATTTAAAGCTATACATTTTCCTCCCAGAACTGCTTGAGCTGTGTCTCAGACGTGTCAGTTGTCTTCTTTTAACATTTCTTTTATGATTTCTTCGTCAAGTATTCAGATTTTTCTTTCAGTTTCCAAACATATGTGATTTCTTTGGGTTTTCAATTTTTTTTTAATTTCACTACATGTATGGTCAAAGTATATACCATGTATGACCCTGGTTATCTAAAAGTTGTTAAGGTTTACTTTCTTGGTAATGTAGTATGTGGTCAATTTTTGTGTTCTATGTGTGTTCAAACAGAAAGTATGTTCTCTATTTGTTCAAAGTAAAGTAATTTATATCTACTAGATATTCAACCCGTTTATTTTTTCTGATCGATATATCAAAGCCTAATCATTGATTTATCTATTTCTTCCCATAGTTTTTTCAATTGTTTACTTTTTGAAGGAAATCTTAAAAAGTATACATATTCATGTTTATTAGACTTTCTTGAAAACTATCATTTTTTACTAATATATAACATTCTTTTAGTTAATATTTCTCTAGTAAATCATTTTATACCCCTTTAATTTTATTGAAATTGTTTCTATTACATTTTGGTTTTCATCCCATCTGAATATCTTCATCAGATAGTTAAATCCCTAGTCATTCTAGATTATTTAGTTAAATCCCTGGTCATTCTAGGTTTTGTTTCATGTATGTTGTACTTTGTTCATTTTCCCCTATCAATTTCTTAGGCTTCTCAGTGCCTAAAATCTGCCCCCTTTCCCTGATCCAGTTCCTCCACAGGACAGTTATTAATAATCAATAGCTCCAATTTTCCTCAGCTCTTCAATAATTTCCACCACACAACCCACCATACACTCAATTCAGTCTTTCCACTCACCCCCAGCTCTGCTGATACCATCTAAAAAATTATTATGAGCATTGAGCATATTTTTTTTAAGTATTATTTTGACAACAGTAATCTTGACTTCATTTCCAAGTTAACAGTGCCCTCCTGGACTTAACAGTTTTTTTGGAGTATTACCTCAATGGAGATTTTCAAAGAAGGTAGTTGGTGAAATTTCTGATGCTTTGCTTGCCTAAGATTGTCTTATTTATCCTCGCATTTAAATTGGCAGTTTAGGCCAGGCGCGGTGGCTCACGCCTGTAATCCCAACACTCTGGAAAGCCGAGGCGGGTGGATCACCTGAGGTCAGGAGTTCGAGACCAGCCTGGCCAACATTGTGAAACCCCATCTCTACTAAAAATACAAAAAAATTAGCCAGGCGTGGTGGCATGTGCCTGTAATCCCAGCTACTTGGGAGGCTGAGGCAGGAGAATCACTTGAACCTGTGAGGCAGAGGTTGCAGTGAGCCAAGATCACACCACGGCACTCCAGCCTGGGCAACAGAGCAAGACTCAGTCTCTAAATAAATAAATAAATAGTTTAGTTAATATAAAATTGTAATTATGCATTCAGGGGTTTTGTTTCTTTTAATACTTGAAAATGCTACTCTGTTGTGTTTCTTACAAAATGGCTGATACCAGTCTGATCCCTGTTTCTTTGTATAAGAATTTTTATCTCCAAGTTTTTAGAATTTTTTTGTTGTCTTTCATTTTCCCACATTTAATTACAGTGTATGTGTATGTGGGTTTTTCATTAGTATATGGCACTATGGCAGTCTTTATAATCTGAGGTCCTCTATCATCTTATGGTAGAAATAATGTTGCTGTAATTTCAATTTTTCTCAGTTTCTTTGACTTCTATTATATTTTAACATTTCTATATCAAGACATCATATTTTTTAACAAGTCCTTTACATTTTCCCTCTTTATCCCTTCCTGATGCTTACCAGAAGAATTCCTTGGCAAAATATTCCAGCTGATTAATTCATTCTTAAGACTTATTAATTGTTCTTTTTGGTTCATCTGCCGTGTTCTTTGTTTTAGCTATTACGTCTTCATATTAGATAGCTCTTAATGATTCTTATTTATGATTTTTAAAAATTCTTGCTCCGTGTTCCACATAGCTTCTCTTATCTCTTTTAAAGTATTTCTTATACTTACTTTTTATGCTTGTTTTTTGTCTGATTTCTTAAGTTCTGCTTAATTACCATTGTTTGTTCTATGTGTCACTTGTGTCTTATAGGGGTTTTAATTCTAAGATATTTCCCTATCATCCCCTGTGAGCATGTATTTCCTGAGGGCCTTCTGTGCCTCTGAAGGTCACGTGTACCTAGAGGAAGGCGATCTGGGCTGCTGTTTGTGCACTTCTGATGACTTTGAGGCAGAAGGAATTCCTCAGAAAGGAAAGCCTCTGAGGCTTCAGCCTAAATCCCAACACTGATTCGTATTGGGTGCTGGGAGGAGTGCATGTGTGAAGTCAGCACCCACCTGGGCAGGATGGTGCCCCTTCCCCACCAGGGCATCATCCCTCCCTTACCATTGTGCCTCCAGCTCCTGGTTTTCTACTTTGCAATGTTGACAGGTGGGCAATGCCTACCTAGACATATTTAAAATGTGCCTCCTAACCTATCTTGCATCCATGGGCCCTGTCCTTCTTCTGCTTTGGGCTGCTTTTTATCCCCCATACACCAGGGCTCAGTTGTCAAGTTCCCAACATTACCTGCCAGAGCCATCACGCCTCCCCTCACCACACTGGATCCAGGGTTGGGTTCCAGATGTGAGTCAACAGCCTGTGATTACTGGCTCTCATGTAAGACACACACGGATCCAACTAGCAAATTACAGATAGGAATGTCAAAGGGGATATCAGAGACAAAGTCCTGAATAATCTTAGCAGTGTGGTAAGATGGGTCAAATCTAGCTCAATAAACTATAATAGGCATAAACACTGTCCATTTCAAGCTTCAACAAAAAAGAAAAAGAGAAAGGAGAGAAAAGGAGAGGAGAGGGGAGGAGAGGGGAAGGGGAGGGGATGGGAGAGAAAGCGGGAGGGGAGGTGAGAGGAGGGGAGGGATAGAAATGCAGTACTGTGGAGACATAACTAATTGTAAAAAAAAAAAGACTCAAGAGATTATGATTACCATTGGCCTCAACAAGAGTCAACAGTTCAGTAAGTGGCCAGGAAGGCTTATACAACCGTAAGCAGCCTGTTCTGGAGGGATCAGAACATGCAGCACTCTGGCCTCATCAGTGGAGACCACACTGGAGAACTGTCCTCAGTTCTGAAAAATAGTCTTTAAAAGAAATGTCAACAAGCTGGCAAGTGTCTACTGACCATTTCTTTTAAGGGTCTCAAAAGGAGAAGGCTTTAAGCGGATAAGGATCGTCAACCTGAAGAAAAGTTTCCAAGAACATATTATATGAAAATGATATTAGAAATTAAATGTGGCTTCAGAGGGTTGAAATCAGAGAAATGGATGGAAGTTACTGAAAAAGGATTTTGCTCTATCTAAGAACACATTTTTCTAGCCATTAGGCCATCTGAGACTGTAACTTTTACATGTGCAATAATAAGTTTTATATCACTACAGATGGTCAAGATGAGATTGGAAAAAAAAACAAAAAAACTAGGTATAACCATAGGTGGAGTTGGACCATAGAACATTTGAGATCTCTTCTAATCCCAAGTGTCTATCATTTCTTTGTCACTACAGTTTATCCTAAATGACTGAATATTTCAGTACCTGATTGATTTTCCATCAAGCTTAGATTCACACTATACAAAATCTCTTCTGGATCACTTTATGAAAACGAAATTTAGAGACAGAAAGCAAGCAGCCCAAATTATATCGCCCCATTTGTTTCCTACTCAGATTTACAATAACTCCATGCTGACCTGGTGTTTGCTGAGAACTCCTACTTCCAATTATGCTCTTAAACCATACTGTCCACTCCAAACTGAAGCAACTTTTTAATTTAATATATCCAACCAACAACTTCAGGTAATCAAGAACTATGAGATTGTGACTCTGCCTTAAGTGTATTATCCACCAAACTGACTCATGTCATCCTAAAAACAAAGCCTACTAAAAATAAGAATGAGGAGATGGGGGTTCCTGGAAACAAGACAGAGACCATTTTGTTTTAATTAGCACCTGTAATGTATCGCTGTCACTTTATAGATATAGTTTTGTCATTCTCACCTCATTTCTCAGCACACACACTCAGAGAACTTCTCTGCCACTGACTCGCACACCTGAATTTTATGAGACCAAGCACTGTGCTAATTCATAATAATTTCAGTTTCCATTTCAGCAGTCTTTGGGTGAATCCTTGACTTAATCATTTCTTTTGAGATATTTAGGAAAACTCACTCCTTAATCCATCACTTAGTCAAATAAAAATAATTTTTTATTTAGAAAATTGAGATTGTATTTGTAAGTGTCAAATCACTGTTTTTACAAACTTTATTTAAATAAACATATGAGCTTTGGCATCAGATAAATCTCTGCTCAAATCTCCAAACTATCAATTAATAGCTTGTGTATGGCCCTGGAGAAGTTATTTTGTGTTTCTGCATTTTGAGTTCTTCTTCTATAAATTCTGTGTAAAATACCTACATAACAATGTTTGAGGAAGGATTAAATGATATTATGGTCATAAATAATAGTTAACATTTATCAGATAGATATTCACTATGTGCCACGAACTCCTTTTAAAGCCTTACATTTATTGACTGATTTGATCCTGGAAGTCTGATTAATAAGTACTATGATTATCCCCTTGTACAGATGAGAAAATTCTGATGCAGTGAGGCTGAGACACACACACACAGTCATGGCCTACTCAGGTTGCAGCTGAATTGGACCCAGGCTGCCCAGCCTCTCCCACTTCACCAGGGCCCTGGACTTCATCTTGATAAAGTACATTACAGTAAGACTTCAGGAATCACCAATTTTCACAACCTCAAACTCCATTCCTTCTGTGGGATAATTTTTAATTAATTTCAGAAAACTACATTCTTGTATAAATAAAAATAGCAATAAAACTTTCCTAATGCACAGTGCTTTATGCTTCACAGTGTCCACTTGGGGAGATTAGAACTTTGCCAGATCCTTCTCTCCCTTTTACTTTTCTAAGCCTCCGTTTGCAAAGCATCCTAGGGTGAAAATTCAGGACACTAATGCTATTGGGTGTTTTGGTTAATCAATAATCAATTTTCTTAATATTCACTTACTCCAATTATGGAGAGTTGAAATTTTCCCTATATTCCTTCTCTTCTATCAACTCCTATAATACTAACTGACCTTCCTGAAAATATGGTATTCTTTGAACTTTCTCCCATCTCACTGAATGGGGCACATTTAGGAGCATTTATATGACTGGATTAGAAATATGCGTCAACACAAGGACACATATCTGAACAAAACTGGTCATCTCATGTACAATTCAGTGACTTGCTGTGCAGTAAGAAAGCTCAGCAAAAGTTGTCAACCAACTTCAGATTGACACAGCTCGGACCTGATCCTTGTACAGTTTTTGCATATACTTTTCTGAGCATTAATAAAATTGTTTAAAATGTATATTTAATATCACTAGGTTTTCCAAAACATACCAAAGAAATGTTAATTTCAATTAAGCAAAAAGATTTCAATTAAGAAAAAGTCAGATGGGTTTTTAAATGAAAAATAAACCACCCAAGTATAAACAATAAAACCCACAAGGTCCAAAATGCCAAATTCAAACTAGAAATTAGGTATGTCAGAGAAAGTTTCAAGGAATACCTTACAAGGGACTCTGAAGCCAATAATTCAGGTTTTTAAGATAACAAAGGTAGATGTTCAACAGGAGAATCAATGCAACTACTTTTGATCCTAAGTGCAAAGGATTTGCTTAAGAATTAAAGGAAAAAGAGATAATTAATTTCCGATTTTGGTTTACTTTGAGGAATATATTAACATAATTCTCAAATCTAAAAACGAATGTGTGGTTTCAAGGGAAGAGAAAGTGCTTGGGATTCAGACCACCTGAGGTCCAATCCTTGCTCAATCACTGTGATATTAAGGACTAACTATTTTGGCTTTTTTTTTTTTTTTTTTTTTTCTGAGAAAGAGTTTTACTCTTGTTGCCCAGGCTGGAGTGCAATGGCACAATCTCGGCTCACTGCAACCTCTGCCTCCCAGGTACAAGCAATTCTCCTACCTCAATCTGCAAAGTAGCTCAGATTACAGGCATGCGCCACCATGAACCGCTAATTTTTTGGTATTTAGTAGTGATGGGGTTTCACCATGTTAGCCAGACTGGTCGCGAACTCCTGACCTCAGGTGATCCACCCGCCTTGGCCTCCCAAAGTGCTGGGATTACAGGCATGCACCACCGCGCCCGGCCTAGGACTTGAGCTTTTCTATGCCTCACTGTCTTTATCTGCAAAGTGGAGATAGTAATGCCTATGTCATAGCTTGTTGTATTTTATAAGGTATAAGGAATGCCTGGTACATAGTAATTACTAATACTTCTCACCCTCACTCCCTATTATGAAGTAGAAAGGCTGATATTATTAAAAAAAGAGAATGTTTCAAAACACCTTAAAATTTTTCAAACTTAATTCCAGAAATATTTTCCTAGTATGCCTACTCTAGGCAATCAGGTGGCGGAGGGCCAAATGGGTGTTAGAGAACAGACCAGCATGGACTGATACGATCACTGGAGCCTTGGAGGTGAGTTTGAAAGATGTGGATGAGATTTGTTGGGGAGAAGGAGTGGTATGCAAGGAAAATTTACATGGTGATATAAAATAGTCAAAGGCCTAATTAGGCAACAATGAGAGAGCATATTTAGAAAAAAGGAGAAAATTAGCCTGCTCTAAGTATATTGGAGAAAAATAAACCAATTTTTGGATATTTAAGATTGGCCCACATCACAGAGAACTTTGAAAAACGTTGAGATACACAAAATTCTGAGGCCAAAACAAATGTTAGTAGGATGTTAGATGATTAGCTTGTACTGAAAAGAAATGTTTTATTTAGTATTACAAAGATCACAAGACTGAGATATGGCCAGGGTAATTTCTGCCCATGAGAAATATTCCTGATAACTCAGAGACTTGCAAATAAATAAATCATAATCTGGACATGGAGAGTTGGTTGGTATTAGACATAGAGAATACACCCATGAAACATTTACACGAGTGTCCCTATTAGGTAACAACAAAATTTCCATAAAAATTTATATGATGCTCATTAATCTAGTATTCCTTGAAGAGATAAATAACTTTGAGAGCATGGAGAATTAGAACACTTAATTTACTTAAACTTGCGAGAAACCTTTAATAAGTTTCTCATCAAGCAGTTTTTTGTTGTTGAATATTATCACATATAGATGTAAAAGACATGGTTAATTCATTGACCCAATGTATCACTTATCTATTGCTGTGTAACAGATTAGCCCAAAATTAGCAACTTAAAACAAAAACTTATTATCTCACAGTTCCTGTGGACCAGGAATTGGATGCAGTTTACTTGGGTGTGTCCAGCTCAAGTTCTGTCATGAGGTTGCACTCAAGCTGTTGGCCAGGGATACACTCGTCTGAAATCTCAACTGTGGCTGAAGGATCCTCTCCCAGGCTCACACACACGGTTGTGAACAGACTTCAGAAGATCTATTCCTAAGCTCACTTACATGGGCCTCTTCTTAGGACTGCCACACAGTGTGGCAGCTGGTCACCCCAAGCCAAGCAATCAAGGGGGAGCAGGAGAGGGCATGCCCAAGACAGAAGATATGACACAGTCTCTTTGAAACCTAATGTCTAAAGTGACATGTCATCACTTGCCATAGTGCATGCACAGAAGTGAGTCACTAGGTCAAGTGCACATGAAAAGGAAAGATGTAGGCATAAATACCAGGATGTAGGATAATGGAGGCCATCTCAGAGAGGCTGCCTGTCATGCCCAGCCTCCATTTATAACCTCCTTCCTCCAAAGCCACATTCCAGCTGGGATTGGCCCTGTTAAAAAGTTCTGGCTGATGAGACATAAGCCGTGTCTTCTCTGTATCCCTGAGGAAGGTTTTGCTTTGTTGATTCAGTCCTTTGCTCTTCCCCTCACTCAATTTTAGCCCATCTGATGGAATGTGGACATGATGGCTGAGTATGCAACAGCCATCTTGTAACCATGAGGAAAAGGCCAGAAAAATTAAATCATTATTGTCTCTGACACTGCTAAACTGCTGAACAAATGCCAGCAGCAAGTTACCTCTGGGTTGCTTGTTTTGTGGGAAAAGCTCCTATTTATTTAAGTCACTCTATTTAGGTTTTTTTCCTACTTGAAGTAGGAAAGTATTCCTGGTTTACATGTTAGGACACTGTCTTATATTAGGAAACAAGCCCTGCGTATAGAAGAGACTTTGAAGAGGGGACATGAACAACCTGGATTAGAAATTACATACAACCCAAAATTTTAATTTCGGATTATTTATTGTGATAGTCATTCTTATATATAATTTTTTTCTTCCTTCTGAGTAGACCAGTAGGGTTATAAAGCTTCCTTCCCCTCTAAATTGACATTCAGCCCATCTCTCTGACAAATATTGATCTCACCAAACCTCCAAATATTAATTAACAGAAAATAAATGAATAAGTGACATAAAACTGACCCAGCTGTTGTGGTGGATGGATGACCCATGGAGAGGTGCAATCTATGTCCTCACTTCCTTCAGGTCTTTCCTTGAATGCCAACTTCTCAGTGGGACTTTCTCTGGCTATGCCACCTAAAATTACAGTTTCCGTGCAAACTTTCTACCCACCTTCCCTGCTTGACATTCCTCCCGGTGTTCACCACCACCTCATATATCATAGCTTTGACTCATTCATTGTGTTGATTGTCTGTCTTCCCCCAGGCTTCATGACAACAAGAATGCTTCTATGTTTGGCTCAGTGTTATGTCCCCAGCACCAAGAGCTGTCCCCGACACATAGGAGGCATTTGATGCCTATTTGCTTACTGAATTCATCACTTCATGCACTGAATATTGTTTAAGAAGATACAATGTGTGAAATCAATAGAGCACCTGCCTTCTCAACTCACAGCCTACTGATGAACCCTCCAAACCAGAAATACGATTGTGTGTGTGTGTTTAGAAAAGGTAGTTCACATCAATTTCTATAAAAGAGCCACCACCCCAGAAATAGTGAGGAACTCCCAGAGAGCCCATGCCACACAGCCTCTGTGCTGCTCTCAAAGCAAACATAGTGAGGGCCCCTGCATTTGAAGGCTCACCCACTGCAAATCCAAATTTCCCCAGTGCACCAGTTCATTAAAGCCTATTTCCTCTGGCTGTCCACCCCCCAGGCTTTTTAGAAGACACCAATTATTTTAACCTTACCTTACCTAAACATAAAACTCCTGCAATTTAACATACTCTAAAAATCTTCTGAACTTACCCTTGACCTGAGAACAATTTAAATATATAATCTATGCATACTATTAATTTGGTGTTTACTACACAACTGTGTGTGTTTCTCTCACTTAACCACATCTTGTGCAACAAGTTTTGGTTCCAAACCTCTACAGAGAAGGCAAGTGTCAAATTTATTTTTACTGACTTAATAAATATTGCTTAATATTGTTTAAGATGATGACTGCCATATGAACACAGATTGAGCTTTGTAAACAATCTTTCTCCAAAAAAAAAAAAAAAAAGGGGTGGGGGCAGAGGAGAACTGAGGAAACTATCTGGTTAATTGAGGCTTATAATTCTGCACTGTGAAGCATCCAAATACATTTCAACACATCATTTGTGAGTCAACTCTCCATTTGACTATTCACAGAGAGTCTTGGATCTGAAAAGTACCAGTAAGAAAATTTAAATATTTTATTTTTGACCTTTTCTTCTGGCACTGTGGCTTTTCTTCCTGGTTGAAAGAGTGGCTCTCAGCGTCCCCTTGTCCCTCAGGACTCCATTTCCAGCTCTTCCTTCTTCTCCTTTCTGCAGTGAAGCCCGCTCGATGCTACACACACTTCAGAGATGAAGAAAGAGTCTGGGGCTCCAGGGGCTTCTCCCAACAGCCCTGTTGAACAGCAGCAGGTTCAAGATTTCCATCTGCATGACTTTCATTCTCATCTGAGTCCGTCAATGTGGACAACAACAAAAAAATCTTTTGTTTCTGACAATGGAGATGGGACACGGGGCATTTGAATTGCAGGAAAATAATATCTCACAAATTCTTCCTCAAAAGCATTTTATAAAACTCTTTCTTTACAAAAGTTAAAGTCCCAACCAGTGCACTTCGCAGGTGCTGTTCATATATCTTCATTGTGCCATTTTAATTTGTGTTCACACTTAGAAAATACTCTATCTCCCTGCTTTTAAAATCCAGCAGGAGTACAAGATCCTTGACAAGATCCTTTGTACTCAAATTCTAAGATTCATTGCAAAAAATTAGCACCTATGCAAACCTTCTTGGCATTCCTGCATCAAGGTGTGGGCTTGAGGTGGTGGCAGTTGAGGTTTTTGTCTTGCTTCCTCTCCTTTTCAGGTCCCACCCTGAGAGGGTTGTGCTCGGAGTTGTACCACTCCAGGAGCTGTGCAGGAGCAGTCATCTGAATCTGAGAAAAGCCATGTCTCTGGACAGAGGAAAAAGGAAAAATAGCCTCCGTAGTTCAAAGGAGCTTAGGGGAAATTTTCTCTCTCTCTTTTTTTTCCTTTCTCTTTTCTCTCTCCACATTGACCTGAGGACAGCCTGAGACAACCAAAACTGGGCCAAGGGGAAAATCTCTGAAAGGAACCTAACTTTTTGGCAGTAAGATCTGGGAAAATGGTCCTCTGGGAGCTCAAGCATATAGAAAATCCCCAGATAGCAGAGAGCTGCAGAGGAGTATCTCCAAACTCTGTGTATCCAAAAGATGTCCCAGGCTCCACCAAGCTTCAGGTGCATGGACCAGACACCCAGATGCATAGCAGGAGTTTGAAAAACCAAATACGGCACTAACTACCACCCAGATCCCAAACCCACACTGAGGGGAGCCTGTGGCAACCCTAATATCACAGAAGTCTTTGCAGACTGTACTGACGTTTGCACCAACACCCACAGCAGGTGAGATAGAACTGTGGTCTGCACTGAAACAGGCCGAAGGTCTACTAAGACAAAGAAATCAATACTCTTCAGAGGATTTTAAAGTCTCCCAACACAACATTCAAATGCTCAGGAAACAATTCAAAATTATTCAACATCCAAAGAACCAGGAAGATCTGAAAAATTCTCAGGGAAAAAGACAAGCCACAGATGCCCAGATGTTGGAATCATCCAAGATGTTAGAGCAGTTTTTTTTTTTTTAAATCATCTCCATGAGGTAAAAGTGAGCAATCTTCAAATGAACAAAAAAAAAAAAAAAAAAAAAAGAAGATCTCAGAGGGAAATAGAAACGATGCAAACAATGGACAATTCTAAACTAAAAAATGAAATACTTTAAATTTAAAAAAATCATTGGATGAGCTCAATTGCAGAACGGAGATAAGGGGAAAAACTTGAAGATAGACTAACAGAAATCAAACACAGAGAAAAAAGCTGGAAAACAAATAATGAACAGAGCATGAGGGATCCAGAAGAACACCTCCTAAATATTTTCTCCAAGTGAAATGAAAATCTACATTTGCACAAAATCCTGTATGCTAATGTTTATAGGAGCCATATTCATAATCATCAAAACCCAGGAACAATCCTTCTGTGCCCTAATGAGGGAGTGGCTAGGCAGGTTGTGTTACATCCACACAAAAGAGTACACCCAGCAACAAAAAAGAACAAATGGCCACCAAAGGCACCCGCACTGATCAATTTCAAATGCATTCATCTAAGGCAAAGAAGCCAGACTCAAAGACTGCATCCTGTATAACTCCATTCATCTGACATCCTAGAAAATATAAAATTAGAGGAATGGAGAATAGATCTGTGATTGATAGGGGTTTGGGATGGGAGGAATGTCTGACTGAAAGGCGAACAATGGAAATTTAGGGAAGGGGGTGAGGAAACTATTTTATATCTTGACTGGTGGTTATTTATACAACTCAATGCATTTGTCAAAATTAATAGAACTGTACACTAAAAAGAGTGGATTTTGCTATATATCAACTTTAAAAGAAATTATGAGTAAACAGCAGTGAGCTCATAGTCATGGAGTGGTTTCTGTTACTGGGGGATGAAATGATATGACAATTTCTTTTGTCCAAGACACCCATGATAAGCTAGCCATTGCCTATACCACGGCCAACACTGCTTGAAAAATCTGTAACATATGAACCTCATTGTAACATAAAAATAAATAGCTCAAGTGCTATCGGAAACCATCACGAGCCTCAAAGAAGCAATCCCGTAAACCCTGAACACCTGAATGAGATTTCAAGAGCAAGTGACTTATCTTCTCTGACTCAGTTTCCTTTTTATAAAAGGAGGATATGAATCACAAGGTTATCGTGAAGATTAAATGCCTGCGGTATTTAACCCAGTACAGTATTTAGCAAGTAGATCGATTCAGTAGGTCTCAGTTGTTTTGCTGAGATAGCTCTGAACTCATTCCCCCTACAGTTCTCTGAGGCTTTTCTCCTCCCAAAATGCCAGAGCATGAGCTTATGCGTCTCTACTTATTATTTTGTAGCTCAGAATGGTCCCAGGAGCAGCAGAGACACCTCAGGGCATGCTAGATTGGAGATCCCCGACCCCCAAGAGGTTAAAACAATTCTAAAGACCTGAACTCCTCTAAATCAGGTCAGCAAGACTAGGTCTGATTAGATCCATCTGAATGTACGGCTCTAGAAGACAAGGACAGCTCCTAGCATTTTCCAGCTTTACTTAGGTAGAACTAATATACAATAAATTGTACATAAAGTGTACAATCTGATGAATTTTACATACAAAAAACCATCACCACAATCAAGCTAATCTTCCCTTCAGCTTCACTAGTTCCCTCATGCCCCTCTGTAACCCACCCTGTCCCCACTTCTGTCCTCAGGAAATTACTCATCTCCAGTCTATCCTCCTATATCCAGATTGGTCCACATTTTCTAGAATTTTAGATGAATGGACTGTTATGTACTTTTTGTTTACATGGCTTTTAAAGCCCTACTCGTGTTGTAGCAAAGACCAATAGCCTTTATTGCTGAGTGATAGATAGGCTACGTGGGTTGTTTGCAGATTTGACTGCTACAAACAGGGCTATGAACATTCACTCATGTGCAAGTCTTTGTGTGAGTATTTCCTTACATTTCTCTTGGAGAATTACCCAGAGTGGGATGGCTGGGTCATATGGTAGGTATATGTTTAACTGTTTGAGAAACTGTCAAATTGTTTTCCAAAGAAATTTTATATTCCTAACAGCAGTTTATGAGCATCCGGTTGCTCCACATTCTTGCCAACAATTGCTATGATTAGTCTTTTAAATTTTAGCCATTCTAGTGGGTGTGTAATTGTGTCTCATTGTGCATTTCATTTGCAGTTTTTTAATGACTAGGGATGCAAACTATCACTTCTTGGTAAAGTGTTTGTTCACATCTCTTGCCCAATTTTTCCTAGGTTGTTCACATTCTTACTGACTTGTAACAGTTCCTTTCGTGTTTCAAAACAAGCCCTTTGTCAGACATGTGATTTGTAATATTTTCTCCCAGTGTCTGGCTTGACTTTTTATTTGCTTAACAGTGCCTTTGAAAAGCAAAAGTTTTGTTGTTGTTTACGAAGTGCCATTTATAGGTGTTTTATTTTGTGCTGTTGCTGCCCAGTTCAAGGAACCTCTGCCTCACTGATAGTCACAACCATTTTCTTCTGTATTTTGAGAAATTTTATAGTTTCAGTTCCTACATCTAGGTCGATTATATTTATTGAACCCCCACATCTTTACAAAGCTAAACATATGTTTAATATTCAACAAAACTGTATTCATTTAAAAGGCTTATAAGGGTTATTTGGGTTCAGGACATAAAGAGAAATGAAAGGTAGAATGAAGTAGTTAGGGGAGCTTAAGGAGGGAGGATAAGACAAATGTTTGCTATTTTCAAGACTAGAGTGATAATCTTGTATTGTATACGGGAAATGTGCTAAGAGAGCAGATGTTAGATGCTCTTACCACAAAAAAAGGGTAACCATGTGATCTAATAGATATGTTAATTTGCTTTACTATAGTAACCATTTCAGTATGTGTATTAAAACATCATGTTGCACACTCTAGATACAAAATAAATTATTTTTTTAAAAAAAACTCACTCCAGAACTAAACTGACATCTTGGGAATCTTCCAGCCCAGGAGCCCAAGTCCGCTGTCACCAAGAGGAAGACCCAGAGCAGGGGAGTCTTGGACCCAGGAAAGACCCAGCAGCATCAGCTGTTTACTTATTCACCCAAATTTCAGGAGCCAGAACTGCACTTGTGGGTAGGGGATTTGAGTGCTGAATATGTGGTATGATTTAAGGCCTTACGACAATGAACTTCCCGGCCCACACCCCTCCTCTGTCTGTGAAAGGTCCTGAAAGGGGTGCTGTACCCCCTTCCCTCATTAGGGTTCTGCCAGCAGCAGGGTGTTTTCCAGAAATAACACACAGCCAGGCATTCCTTTATCTAGTAAGCCAAGGCCCCAAAGCTGAGGGCTAGGAAGAGTCTGCGACATACCTCTTTTTACTCTTAGGATGAGGTTCAAAATCCTCACTGTGGCCCCAGGGTTCTGAGCCTCCCAGCTTCTCCCTTCCCTCTGCAAGCTCAATCCACACAGCCCGTCCTTCGGGTCCTGGAATAGGCCATGTTCCCTTCTGCCCCCAGTCCTTGCCTCCACTCTTCCCTGAGCTAAAACATGCTCCCCTCATCTATGAATCTCAGACGCCCTTCAGATCTCAGCTCCGTGGTCACTTTTTCATGGGAAACCCTCTGGAGGCCCACTTAGACTCTGCCAGGCCTCTAAAGGGGCCCACATGCTCCAAGGGCACCTTGCTGTGACTGCTGTGTGAGCAGCTATTTGGTTGTCATCTGCCTCCTCCTCAGACTATAAGCTCCATGCAGGAAAAAATAACAATGTCCACTGTGCCCCCAGCACACTCCTGGGGCCAAGTTCATAATGAAACAATCGTTGCAGAATTTGTTGAATACAGAACCTAAAATTGTCTGACATGGCTAACAGGAAATATCCAAATTGTTGCCCCTGGCAATTTGCATTGTTTTGAAGATATTTATTATCATATTTGCCATTGGTCTTAAAATTCAAGTCCTTGAAAATTGCTAGCTGCAAATATGGATCTCACAGAATCCTTGGATTTTTATGTGTGCTGTAAAGCCCAATCATTATGAATTATCATTGTGGCCATCAATTCAAATCAGCCATACAAGACAGCTTGAGAGGCCCCAGGGAAACCAGAGGACAGTGGATGAGAATAGCTGGAAGTCAAAAGAAGGTAGAAATGTTGACAGAGATAGGAGAAGGAAGCTGAGGTGCCCAGAACTAAAATCAGAGTAATGTCAGGGCTCAGAAAAGCAGTGAATTTAATTCTTAAATCATTTCTAGGGTGTGTGAGCACTGAATTATGTTCTCTGAATTATACTTTGTGTAATTTGAAACTGAACTAAAAAAACAAAAACACACCTTAGAACATTCTGAAACTAAACAGTCATATTTGTTTAGATTTTAGGTAAGTAATTTCTTCACCACTCAATCCAGGACAAAGGAATTTCACCTGAGTTTATCTTTACTACTGATCTAAGCCTTGAGTTGTAAACACCAGAGAGAGAGAAATGCTTTCTTTGCAGTATCCCAGAGTTATTTAGTCGGGAAGAGGTGGTTCCTCTTGGTCCTTTTATCATTGAAAAGCAAAATGTGTGATAACATTTAACGTTTAGCATTTTCTCAGCAAAAGCTGAGCACTGCTGCCTCTGAACTGAGAATAAAGCCAGCTCTCATAATAGCAGCAGAGAAGGCGCAGTCCAAAATCGACAAGGTTATCATGAGAGACAGGAGTAGCCAGTGGCCACAGTCCACACAACAGAGAGAAGATATCCTCTGGAGGATCAAAGAGAAACAGCAGAGCTTTTGTACAGAAGTGAGTGAAAGGAATTTAACTGGAGTGTAATCACCTCCCATGTGTGGTCCCGGTATGTCTTGGGGAGATTGTCCTCAAAGCTATGTCAGCGTGCATTACTCCTTTTCCAGCGTAACTTCCTGCTGTCATTCCATGTCATGAAAAAATTATAAGCCTTTCTCATAATTTTTCTTTTACGAATTGCACAGCAATGTGTCGAAAGTGATCTTCTTCTCGCCAGTAAAAATAAAGTGTTCTCTTAGGACTGCATAGCTTCACGGCTTTCAAGAGGTGGATTCAATATTGGGTGCCCAGAGCAGCCTCCACAGAGGCCAGTCCCGAAAGGCACCCCTCAGCAGCTGCACCGCAGATCCTGCGCAGAGTAGCAGAGAGCACGGTGATGGGGCTTAAGTACATCCGGAAAAAGTAATTATACACAGTGTCAGTGAGAAAAGAGCTTGCAGGTAGACTTTCCAGATAAATGAAGAGGTCTCTTCTTTCAGACACCAACACGCTTTCACTACATGCATGTTGAGGTAAATGTATTTTTGAGGGAAGGCATTTCAGGCTTCCTGGAAGTGAGTATTAAAAAAAGAAAGGTGGAGGCACCATGAGAAACTTGTAGGATTGAAGGAAGGGGAACCTGGATTCCACATATGCTCCACCACTCCCTGGTGGGTGGATGTGGGTGAATCATTGCCATTATTTAGAGAATAAAAGTAATATCCGATGCACAACCTTGTTCCATAATGAAAAATAACTGGCTGGCCTTGAGCACTGTCCTGCATGTTAGGCATTCTTCTGCATGCTGTGTGCAGCTTACCCCATTACTACTCGGAATGGCGACAGCGGGTGCAGTAATGAACTGAGGCTAGAGGAGTGAAGTGAGGCCACACACACCATGAGGTCTGCAGCCAACCTGAGCCCGGCTCTAACCAGGAAGGCAGCCTCAGGCACGTAGGTGCCTTCACGCATCCCAGGCCTGAACTGTTTCATCTGTAAAATAGAGTTGATAGCAGACTCTAAGTTATTTGGGGAATGGTTATGTCCTAGAAGGCACTCAGTACTGCTAGCTGTGTTCTCTTTCCTTGTGAAGTGAGACAATCCTGGTTTTGAGTTCAGCTAACATGTGTAGCTCAGCGTCAGTTACGTCAGACATGATGTGGGTTATTGTAAGGATAAATAAATAATGCATATAAAGCATGCGTCATGAGCATTTGAGAACAAAAAGTCTTTCCTATTACTTACTGAACATCTGCAAATTGCATGTGCATTTCACATCCATAGTGTCCCAAATCCAACTAAGTATCTTTCTTCCCAGCTTCATCTATCTTCTGTATTTATTGTCTTAATGGCACCATTCTCCATCCCCAAATTTAGGAGGATTGCTTTGCGACTTTCCCGTGGTGATCATTCTTCATATTCAGTTTGCTGTCATGCCTGTCCATCCTGCCACGGTTTATTTAACTTCTTCATCCTTCATAACCACAGTATTGCATGTTCTAATGTGCCTTCCTGCTTCGAATATTTCTCCACCTCAACTCACCCTTCAGATGGCTTCTGGGAAATTCAGAAACTCTGCCCAGAATCTCAGGACCTCTAATAATCTGGCCCAATCCTGGTCCTTGAGTCTAAATTCCTGTCCATCTCTCACCAGTGCAGCCTTCCACCAAAAGTGTCCTGCTCTTTTCTAACTCCTTGCTATTGATCATCTGTCACCAGATAATGAATTATTTGTTCCCCAACAGTTAAACTGTGAAAGTTTCCTTTTGTACCCTCCCTTCTTTACACCAATACATATGGAATTTTCATCTCTAATACATGTCATTATGAAATGTTTCAAATAAAGATGAGGAAATAGCATAACACATGCTCTTGTATTCCCTATCCAGATTTAACAGAGAACAGCTTATCATGTTAGTTTAGTTTTCAATCCCTTTAAAGAAATAAAATATTATGGATCCAGTCCAAAGTTTCCCACCTTCTCCCTCCTGCCTTCCTCATAGATAACAACTGTTCTGAAGTGTGTGTCAGCCTGACTTCATGCATCCTCAGTACTTTTTCATTTGCATGAGCCCATTTAAATGAATTAAACAATTATTTATCACTTTGGAGTGCAATTAGGCCATATCTCCTAAAATCGGAGATGCCGATCACCTGAAACCCTACAATTCTATCACCCAACACTCACCCAGAATTAGCTCTCCTGTGCATATGAAAATACGCAAAGTGTATACTGAATTATTCTAATAGTGAAAAAAATAGAAAAAACATAACTGGCTTTGAATGAGGATAATAAGTGAATGAAACGCAATTTATTCATACAAGGTATACCTTAGAGCAATTAATATTGCTAACCTGGCCAGGCGCGGTGGCTCATGCCCATAATCCCAGCACTTTGGGAGGCTGAGGCAGGCGGATCACGAGGTCAGGAGATCAAAACCATCCTGGCTAACACGTGAAACCCCATCTCCACTAAAAATACAAAAAATTAGCCGGGCGTGGTGGCGGGCGCCTGTAGTCCCAGCTACTCTGGAGGCTGAGGCAGGATAATGGCATGAACTTAGGAGGCAGAGCTTGCAGTGAGCTGAGATCGCGCCACTGCACTCCAGCCTGGGTAACAGAGCGAGACTCCATCTCAAAAAAAATAAAAAATAAAATAAAATAAAATAAAATATATATATATAGAGAGAGAGAGAGAGAGAGCGCACTAACCTAAATTGTATTGTATCAAAAAACAAAGATATACACAAAAAACATGATATTAAATGGAAGAAACAAGTTGAAAAGGATACATGGTACAGGATACCCTGTTCTTTTTGACAAACATGTTCACATTTAGATAATTACTAACAGGCTATCCATATTTTCCTGCCATATTTAGGAGGAGTGAAAGAGGTGGCTATTTTTTCTGTTTTCCATCATCCGGTTTCTGATCATTATTTTTGAGAGTCTTTTTTGTAAACTGATCAATTTCCCACCCAAATTTTCTTATTCAGTTAGGATATGCATTTTAATCATATTTGGAAGGGTTGTCATTAAAATGTTAGCATGTATTTATATGTGGATTTTTTTGTTGCTGTCTAGAATTACTCTATATACCGCCTCGCCGCAAACAGACTAAGGACCTTGGCAATGTTTCACAAGCTTTCTTTTCTTATTTTTCACTGTTTCCCATGTTGAAATTATATGGAGTTTACATTTCTGAATTTTTACCAAGGGAGGAGGGGCTTGTGTTCTTTCAAATCATACATCAACAATTACGGAAATTCAGCTAGGCACTACACTGATTTCCTTGTGTGCCACCCTTTCTTATAGCTCATACCATCATCTTTTTTATATTTTTCCTTAATCATGTTTGGATACCTCCTTGAGTGATTATTTTATAAAATGCCTATTGTGGGTAATTTTTATAAGGCTTTCATTACTTACAAGCATTTTTATTTCACCTTCACACTTGAATGAAAAAATAACTCAGTATGAAACAATTCTACATTCCAAGTTGTTTTTTATCAAATGACTTTAAAGACACTCTCCATTGTTATCTACATTGTTTTCTATCAATGATGAGAAGTCTGATGTTGAGCTGATCCTCTTTAATTTGTAGTTAACTGATTTTTCTTTGTGTAAAGTTTTATGATTCTTTTTTTGTTTGGTGCTTATAACCTCGCTAGCCCATGTGCAGTCGTGTATCTTGCTTGGCAAACCTTATCAGTTCTAAGTCTCCCTTAGTCTCAGGAGTCATGAGCTTCTTCAGCTTTTGGGAATTCCTGACTCTTCATTCTGTTTGTTCTCTCCTTCTGGGATCCACAGCTGGATATTTAATCTCTAGATCCATCTTCCATATCCGTTAGCTTTTTTTCCCCCATACTTGGCCTGTTTCTTACTTTTTGTATTGCATAACTCAGACTCAACTGCCCAGTTGGATAATTCAATCTTTAGCTGTATTTATTCTGCGTTCAACATATCTAATTTTTTTCATTTTGATGGACATATTTTGAATTTCCGAGACATATTTTTGATACAGCCTTTTCATCAAAGCTCCTCAAATCTCCCTAAGGTTATATTTCAAGTTTTCGTCTACTGGCACTACCAATTCTGTCCCCATGGTGATTCTCTTTTATGTGTATACGTGTGGCGGTGTTTTGTTATTTTTTATTTTACCACCAATCAAATACTGGTGGTTTGGGTGTCTGCTTTTACTTGTAGCTGAGGGTTTCAGCTGACTCTAGCCCAAATGAGAATCTCCATCCACATATTGACAGATGCCCTGGGTGATGGAGAGAACAGACCTAAACAGCTGACCTGTTCCTCCTGCATCTTATCTGCTTCTCTGGGCCTGGTCCACTGCAGTAACTTCTCATATCTCAATTTCCATTTTGGAGAACATTCTCAATTTTAGCTGTGGACAAATATTTGAGTCAGCGATTACATTTTCTTCTTCCTTGTTTGCATTTTTTCATGTAGGTACTGGTGAGCCCAAAGTTCCCACAAACTGGGATCTCGTTCTCTTTTCCATTTGTGGGGTTATTTAATTTTTAGGTTTTACCCTGGGTGTGAACACTGCTGCTGCCAGATGCTCAGCACCGGAAGGAAAGCCAAGTAGAGCTCGTCTGGCACATCTGCTACAGACACAGAAAATTAATCCATTGTCTGACAATCGCCCCATAAAAATCCTTCAGAGTTCATGATTTACTCACTACGGGCTTAAATTACCTCTGGAACTGATCTTAAAAAAAAAAAAGATTGCTTCTGGTTACATTTGGGGGTATATCTTCCCTGTTTCTACTTTTTCTATCCATTTCCAGCTGCTATCCTTCTTTCTGAAATTCCTCAAAATTTCTAGATTACTCATAATCATGGCACCTATTAAGTTCTCCAGTGCTCTAATTATATCATTTCAAAGGTTTTTTTCTAGTGTTCATGGAAATTTTGATGTGGAGTGGGAGCATAATACAATACCATTTCATTGTTATCATTTTAAAAAGGACATATACCATTGACTTTTATATGTCTGTTTCTCCCAGTGAGCTTAATAGAGCCTTGAAATCAGTAATCTTGCCATTTATACTTATACCACCATCATTTTGGGCATGCAGTAGGCTCCTAATAAAGTTTTTTTTTTTAATAAATGAGCATTAAGGTTTTAAATGTATCATTACTCAGCAAAAAAAAAGCACATTAGACAGCAAAAAATACCCTCTGAATATTTTTAATTTTGTCAATCTCACTTTAATCTCCTGCCCCTTCTTACTGTAATCTCAGAATATAACCCATTTGATTATGTATTTGCTTTGGTCTTTTCTTCTTCAGGTTCAACGTGGTTAGAACAAAAGACACACCAGATTTGAAATCTGAAGATGTGAATTTGAGTCCCAATATTGACATTTATGCAATCTATGGCATTCAAAAAGTCATTTAAACTTTTTCAGTTCTCAGCTTCCTCCTCCTCAAAATGGAGAGGCTTATGCCTGCCTTTCCCACTTCACAAGGCAGTTGTTGAGTCACTTAAGTTAGACAATGCTATGAAAGTTTATTATCAGATTCACAGTAATTCAAAATGTGTCTCTGAATTTCATTTCTATTCGAAGGCATAGAAATGATATCACCACATCAGGACTTCTGCTCCAGGGGCACCAGGGTATGGGCAAAGTAAGAGCTGTGTGTGTTTCCATCTTCCTACAGACCTACTAGATGCTCCTTTCATGGACCCTCTGGAGGATTTTCCCAAAACTGGGGTGCAGCAATATTTCTAGTTCCATCTCCTCCTCCAGAAACTTACCAGTCCCCATCAAGATGTGAAACCAATTTCTGCTCCCCTTAAACCCAGGCCAGATTTTGCAAGCACTTCAGAACGGAACCCACAGGAAGCACTGTAATGCTTCCTGGCTTCCAAAGCTTGGGTCAGAAAGGTGATATGCTTCCCCTAGTCGTCTTTCTCTCTCTCGCAGGGTTGTTGCCCTCACAACCCAGCTGCCATGTTGTGAGGAAGCCCAAGGTATATGAAGAGCCATGTGTAAGTGTTCTGGCCAACATCAGTCAGTCAGCATCAACAGTCACATGAGTGAATGAGGCTTCAGACGATTTTAGCTCCAGCCTTTGAACCTCCCAAGCTGAGGCCAAGCAAGGCAGAAATAGGCTGTTGCTCCTGAGCCCTGCCCAAATTATAAATCTATTAGCAAAATAAAATGTTGCCATTGATTTAAGCCACTTCATCTTGGAGTAATTTTTATACAGATGTAATAAATGGAACAGGCTTCATGGGTCCTCTCTCCCTAATTTTCAGATACTCAATGCACTCACAGCCTTTAAACATTCTCCAAATGTCTGTCACACTAGCTATGCCTGCCTCATGCGCACCAAGAGTAAATATTATCCTCGCGTTAAAATAAAATGCACACTTGTGAAATCATCAGTGAAACGTGAGGGAAACAGCTCAGTGGGCAGAGAGACGTCTTGTTAACTGCAGGCCACCTTCCAGCCCTTCCTGCAGTCCTACCTCATCTCACTATAGACCAGGAAAAGAGGCAAAGCTTCCCCTGCCAGCATCTCCAAGGTTGATGGCCTTCGATCTCAGCAGTCTCCAGCCAGTAACAAGCTACAGCCACAGAACCCTTCCTAATCCAGGGGAGGTTACTACATTTTCTTCTTAAATCGTAAACTGTTTATGATACTTCATGAAACGCCCATTCCAGTGTTAAGGAAACAGAATGCCTTCTTTAGGAGATAAGCCCTCATGAGAATGTTTAATTCAAGTGTTTAGTAATTCAACCATGTTAAAAATTAAGCTCCCTTTCATGACAAACACATTTTGTCGGGAGAGGAGACTGGAACACAGAGAGGTCCACTTCCATTGTTTAATCATTGTCCTTCAGGACTTGGGATGACCGTCTAAAAGAGGGAGACGCAATCAAACTGGTTATCTGTGATCGTCTCAGTAAAAACAAATGTTTGCTGGAATGCAACCGTCCTGTTTATCCTTTTGGGTTTACTTTACTGTATTTTTACTGAATTCAGTCAAATGGTTTGTGTATGTCATCACAATCTGAGAATGTGTCTTCACAAGACCAAAATAAATCATGAATCACTAATTCAGAGGGGAAAAAAGAGAAAACCAGCTGTTCATCGGCAAAACACAGTCGTTCCATTGAATCCATTTTATGCTGAGGCAAAAACCTAGCAGGGTGGAAAAGCATAAAAATCTTCCAATATAGAAATCCACAAATCACTTTAATTCCTTCCCCTTTCAAATATTTCTTCTCAATTTTTGGGAGATCTCAATGATGAGACTCTAAGGAATTACACCCAAGCCTCAAATTGATCATGTACTCACTTTGAAACAGTTAAATTTCATGAGAAAAGCTTACAACTGGATAGGTCATTTGTTTGTTTGGTTTATATAGGTCATTATTATTTTATAAATTTTCTATACAACAAATTGCCTGGTAAGGTTTCTGGCCTAGATTTAAAAAAATTTGTAGAACTGGGCACTTGAAAGTCTCCCCAAATCCTGGGTATAAGTTAACTCTAAGAGAGCAGCAGATGCTCATTGATTCTATTCCACCAGAATAGAAATACACGTCTTGAGTTCGTGGCCAGACACAAAATGAGGAGAAGCCACCACCTATCTTGGCAAGTTTCCCCAACTGTGAAACAAAAATAACATTTGCTCTGCTGACCTAACAGTGATATGAGAAAAAAATGAATCATTCAGAGTTTGTTGCAAGACAGGTATTTTTAAGATTAAAAAGGAAAACAAACTTTTGTTCACTGTGTGCAAAGAACTACGAATTGTGGTCATCTGTGTTTTAAAATAAGCCCATGACCTGCAATCTCTCTTTGCTTGTGAGCCCTGGGATTTTTGATATATCAGGTTATGTGTGTGGTGCATGTACATGTGTGTGCACATGTGTATGTGTGTGATGTGTGGTGCATGTGCATGTTTAGTGTGTGTGGTGTGTGTGACATATGTGGGGAGTGTGGTGTGTGTGAGTGGCATGTGTACCACGTGCAGTATGTGTGTGGTGGGTATGATGTGTATGTGTTTGGTGTATATGTGTAGTTTGTGTGCACACGTGTGTTGTATATGCATTTGTGTGTGGCATGTGTGGGGTGTTAGGGGTGTGGTGTGTGTATGAGTAATGTGTGTGGCATGTATGGTGTGTATGGGATGTGTATGCTCTGTGTGTGTGTGTGTGTGTGTGCATGCATAGGTGTGTAGTGTATGTGTGGTCTGTGGTGCATGTGTGTGTATGGTATATGTGTGTGGTGCTTGTAAGGGTTTTTATTTTCTTGGCTTGCAGAAGCAGCAGCAGCTGAAGACTATCCACATTGTTTAGGTATGTGGACCATCACCAGAATTCTCAGGCTCTCATTACCTCCTCTCATTAGAAAAACACCTAAGAAATGGGAAACATTCTTGATTTGGCTTCCAGAATAAAATCTTAAGTGGCTGCAGGCACCGTAGGAACCATTACTCAAAAGAATCACACATCCTCAGGGATTGAAGGGACCCCTGGATACCTGCCACTTTCGAGCAGGTTCCTCGAAGGCTTTCTGGGATGGAGAAAGAAATGTGCTGGCCCTTTCTGAAAGCCAGATTCTGCTGCCTGCCTGAGGAGTTACTGACTTGAGCAATGAGGGCCTCCATTTCTCCCATCTGGGAAGACCCACGGTTTTCCTGCAATTGAGCCCATCCTGGTTCCCAGAATTTTAGGGTCCTGGACCTGGAGCAGCTGTGATCATTAAAAATACTGACAAATTATTCAGAGGAAGGAAGATGGTGAAGTTGGGGGAGTGCTTACCAGAATTAGAGTAATAAGGGGAAGTTGAGAGAGAGACAGAGAGAGAAAATGTGGTCTATCAGGCTAGCCATACCACAGAAGTGGGTGTTAACTTAGAATCTGTCTCTGACTTGAAATTACTCCTCTCCTTCCTAGAAATTACAGACAATATTACATACCTCGTTGGAATGCTGAAACTGCATTGAAGATGAAAACTACTTTGTGAGATTTTAATACTGATCACCACAATCAATTTCACTATATATAAATGAAGGTATGGTAAGCTATATGCTTCAAATTGACAGTTTCCATTTGTGTGAACTTTCAACCTCATCAGATACCCACATTTTACCTGCTTTTCATTATGAGTTAAAGTGTGAGATCTGACTAAAAAGGCAAAAAATTCCAGGAGCATATATAATGTTGAAGTGTTAACAAGGCAGTCCAGAAATATCTTAAATCATTTGAGTTTATCAAAAATCTTCTTCCCCGACCACCTTATATTCCCCTTTCCTCATCCTCAAAGGTATGCCCTACTGTTTTCCTTCATTGCTGTGTATCTGCAATACCTCAGACTTCAGTGTTTTACTCTTTGTTATTTACCAATAATTCCCTGTATCCCGCTAATTCTCTGTCTCCCGCTCTAAACATTAAACTCCATGGAGGCAGGTTATATGCCCGCTTTGTTTCACTGGGCATACTACACAGTAGGTACTATCTGTGGGATATATTAGTTGTGTTTGAATGGTGAGTTTGATCACTGGTGTCCAGGGAAGAATTGAAGGGTCTCATTCTTTGTCACACCTTGAAGAGCCACTCCGGCCTGGGCAGTTATCAGAGCCAGGTTGGCTTCAGGGAATGGGACAGAAGTCTCAGCCCCCTTGCATTTTTCCAGGCATGGCTGATGAGAATCCACCCCACAGTGAAGAGCAGCAAAGGGACCTGCAGGAGATGTGACATCTTCTGCCTCAAAAACAGAGCATCTGGCCCATTATGCCAAGGATTTCTAGACGTATCGAGGAAAGTATGTTCCTTTTACCAGCAACTATAAAGTGAAAATGCCAATTATATTAGCGCTGTCATATGGAATATTTAAAACATGGAGATAAAATCACTATTTGTTTTAAGTCAGCCTTCTTCCCTCAATTTTGGTAAAAGATTTTTTATTCTAGGTTTTTCCTTTCACCTGCCTATGAGGCCATTTGTAAGACCCAAATGATGGTGTTCCAGATCCCATTTGAGTAGGTCCTGTTTTCTTCTGTTTTTCCATGCCTTTGCCTCCTATGTTTGGATACCCTACTGTCCTCTGGCCACATAAAAGTTTTTAACCACAGCAATGGACTGAATGTTTTTATCCTCCCAAAGTTCATATGCTGAAGTCTAAATCCCAATGTGATGGTATTCGGAGATGGAGCTTTTGGGAGGAAATTAGCTCATGAGGATAGAACCCTCATGAATGGGATTAGTGGCCTTATAAGACACATGGCTGAGGGTGGTGGCTCACACCCCTGTAATCCCAGAACCTTGGGAGGCTGAAGTGGAAGGACTGCTTGAGCCCAGGAGTTTGAGACTGCAGTGAGCTATGATCATGCCACTGCATGCCAGCCTGGGCAACAGAGTGAGACCCTGTCTCAAAAAATAAAAGGTAAAAAAAAGAAGAGACATGACTGCTCTCTGCCACATGAGGACACAGTGAGAAGATGACCACCAGGAAGCAGCCCTGCGTGCAGGCTCTCAGCAAACAACGGATCTGCTGGCAAGTTGATCTTGGACCACTCAACCCCCAGAACTGTGACAAACAAGTGTGTTGTTCAAGCCACCCAGCCTACGGTAATTTGTTGCAACAACCCAGGTGACTAAAGTCACTATGATTGTCTTACCAGACTACAGCAGCTACCCAAATAAGCCCATTTAAGAAACCAGGCTATTTTTTTTTTTTTCAGAGACCTATTTGTTATTTGAACTAATGTGTTAAACTTTAGCTAAGTGACAGTGATTTTTGTACCCACACATAAACAACAACCACTACTTGAATCATCAGCTCCTTGGGGAAAATCTCATTGTTACAAATGTCTTTCAACAAAAACTTTTAGTAAACATTTCTTGCACATTTTTGGTATTACAACAATGTCTCCCTGGCTTCCCATTGTTACCTAGAAGTAGGAAAAAACCTAGAAGGTTTTTTTAAAGTCACAAGCAATTTTTACACAGCCACATAATCAGATACATCACTAGACTTGTAAGTTCTCCATTTACCAAGTAGCATCTCATGAACTGGCCTCATGTTCCACATCTCATGTGGCTGCTGAATTTTAGGTTTCGGAGATGTCTACCCCTGGATATTTTAAGCAAGAATTCCGGAATAAAAATGGCCGAATTTTAACTCTAACTCTGTCACTTGCCCTAGTTTCATTAAAGAGGCTGTTTGTTTCATCTCGACTTCACAGAGGCCAGACATTTATGGCCTCCTGCAAGGTTCTAGATTGTTAAGGTACAAATTAAACAAGATTGCTTGAAGCAAAACAGCACAGAGAGTCTCCAGAGCACAGAGAATTGTAAACTGCTGGGATTCAGCTTGCAGGCCAATAGTCACGCATGCCCCCTTCACTGGTTTACCCAGGCTTTGGGTGCCAAATCTTCTACATATTGAGGGACGTGCCTTCCTAAGATACATGATGGCCACTCCACAACTAGCCATTGCTTCTTCTAATCTGGCTAGGGTTGCCAGGCTTAACAAATGAAAATGCCATCAAATGATTCGACATGTTAGATTGTTTATGATACATTCAATACTCAAAACAAGCTTGGTGTGAGGACAGGGTGTTGGTTAGAGGGTACAAAGTTTCAGTGATGGAGGTGATGAATACGTTTATGGCCTTGATGGCCATGACAGTTCCACAGGTGCACACTTATCCCTGAACTCATCGAGTTGTACACATTTAATATGTACAGCTTTTAGTACATTAATCATACTTCAATAAAGTGGTTTAAAACAAACAAAGCTAGGTGCATCTCAAACAGAGACCTTGTCAGCATCAACATATAAAAACTAATAAAAAATAAAAATTTCCAGTGATCCCATTACTGGGCATATACCCAAAGGATTATAAATCATGCTACTATAAAGACACATGCACACGTACGTTCATTGAGGCACCATTCACAATAGCAAAGACTTGGAACCAACCCAAATGTCCATCAATGATAGACTGGATTAAGAAAACGTGGCACATATACACCATGGAATACTATGCAGCCATAAAAAAGGATGAGTTCATGTCCTTTGTAGGGACATGGATGAAGCTGGAAACCATCATTCTGAGCAAACTATCGCAAGGACAGAAAACCAAATACCGCGTGTTCTCACTCATAGGAGGGAATTGAACAATGAGAACACTTGGACACAGGGTGGGGAATGTCATATACTGGGGCCTGTCGTGGGGTTGGTGGCGGGGGAAGGGAAAGCATTAGGAGAAATACCTAATGTAAATGACGAGTTAATGGATGCAGCACACCAACAAGTGATGAGTTAACTGGTGCAGCACATGTATACATATGTAACAAACCTGCACATTGTGAACATGTACCCTGGAACTTAAAGTATAATAAAAAAAATTTTTTACTATGTTCTAGTCTGAAGAATGCTGAATAATAATAGCAAGTGCTACTTAATAAGCACTTCGCATCAGGCATTATTTTTACAACAAATTTACAAGGCAAATTTTTATTCCTATTTTATTGAGAGTGAGTATTCAATCAATTTGGGCTCTAAAGATACCATCGAAACCACTGAGCTTCAGATACAGTACTTAGGCAGTCTGCAGCCTTGTGGGCACATTGAAGCAAGGCTGATACTCCCACAGGTGTCCCTGGTGTCATTGGACCAGTTGTGCAAAACCAGCATCATTTGTTTGCTGGCATGATTGTTAAATACGTTTATTGTCATAGCTTCTGGAAGCATCTAGATGTGTAACATCTCACATATTTAAAATCTCAGAAAAATGCACGAGTTTTACTCCTTTATGGGACTCTTTCAGAGCTCCTACATTTCAGCCCCTGTGAATTAAGCAAACTACACCCACATCTACAATTTGAGCTCCTTTGGGATTCACATGTGCTTTTTGATTTAAGAAGGGTAATTCGGACTCTTGGGAAAAATACCAGAAAGGTTGCACCTCCAAACCTCCCCACCCCTGACCACTTGACTAAGAACTCCCTATCCTATAAACTTTTCCTCTATGAATACAGGAAAGTCAACCCAGAGAGATGATGTTAGATAAATGCATATCATCCTCCTCCTCCTGGGAAAGTCTGGTGTTGGATTCTATGCAGCTAGCAGCTGGGACAATGGACAGAAAAGATCGACACAACCCCCAACTCCCCTTCCAGTTCTCCCTTGCAGTCTGACATCATAAAGCAAGCACCAAGCCAGACACAGTGGCTCCTGTACTCCTAGCTACTCAGGAGGTCAAGATAGGAAGATCACTTGTGGCCAGGAGTTTGAGACCAGCCTGGGCAACATAGTGAGACTCTGTCTCTATAAAAAATAAATAAACATTAGCCAGGTGTGGTAGTGCTCACCTGTAGTCCCAGCTACTTGGGAGGGCAAGGCAGGAGGATTGCTTGAGCACAGGAGGTTGAGGCTGCAGTGAGCTCTATGATGGTACCACTGCACTTGGCCTGGGTAACAGCATAAGACCCTGTCTCTTAAAACACACACACACACACACACACACACACACACACACGCGCGCGCGCGCACACAAAGCAAGCACCAAAGTGAAGAGCCAGCCCCTTCATCAGAGAGAATCTTCCCTTTGGGCTGTTCAGGTCACTTACACAGACTCAAGTAAATTTAGAACCTATTTATCTCCTGCAACTTGCAGAGTTCTATGCCATTTAAGAAATAGCAGGTGGTGGACTACCCACTGCTAGTAAACACCACGCTGAGTGCCAGGCCCTTCTTGCGCGGAGGATAGCTGTGTCACACAGTTTGGCCTCTTTCACAGAAGGGGACATTTGTGGGATGAAGTGACATCTTTTCAAAACACCAGAAGGCTTCAGACTGGCCAGAGCACCAGCCGGCCTGCCTGGCCAGCACAGCTTTCCGTGGGTGCACAGCTGTCTAAATGGAGATGGGGAAATTACAGGGGACAGACAAGCAACCAGCTAAAAAAGAAAAAGAAAGAGGCTGAACCATGTCTCCCTGTTTACAAGGCCGCCACCTTGGAGTCCCAGGCAGGAGAAAGTGCAGCTTGAAGACCTGCCATTTGCAAATGAGCGGGCAGCCTTGGAGGAAGTACTTTTTAACCCCAGCCACAGAAACTGTCCGTGGCAAAATGCGTTGGAAACTCACAAGGAGGGAGATCACCAGGCAGCTTGTCAGTTTAACTCTTTATCGGAACGCACTTAATGGGATTTTACGTTCAGCAATATGAACTTTGAAATACTCAAGTTCATGTTTCACCTGCAGAGCTCCCATCTGTTTTCACTTCACCCTCAGAATTTCCATCTGCTCTTTTTCAGGCCTGTCTAATGGGATGCCCCGTTAGGCTCTACAGCTTTTCCAGGTGCTGAAGTCATGGAAATTTTAGAGCATTTTTTTAAAAATAAAACTTTTGGTCCTACAAGTTACCTGTGAAAATTAATTCCATTGTACAACAGCGTTCCTTGAAAGACATTTCCCAGAATGTGCATTAAGAGGTACCATGGCACATATGGTGATGGTTTATTGCTACACTTTGTGATGCCGGGAGCTCACAGGGGACCTTAAGTAATACAGCTAGGCAGAGGGCTGTGCCCAGGCCATGTTTCCCAGCTGATCACTCAGAGCTTCCCAAGTTCAAGGCCAAACCTGCAGCTCTTCCCTCAACTACTCTGGGCTACGTGAGGGCAAGATGAACCTCACAATTTCATTTGCGCATCCTGGCCTGACCTCGACCTCCAAGCAGCTGACCTGTGTGTGAGGTCAGGGGAACAGCCGCACAGCTTTCTGGAGGCATAGGGCTGGCAGCTTGTAGGAAGGTGGTTAAAGCCATAATACTAGCGTTTGAGATGTGTTCGTGTCAGTGACTCATTCTCCTTGTTTCAGATCCTCCAAAAAGAATTTCACACTGGAAAAGCAGGGGCATTCCATATAAAGTCTGAGATGATTACTAGTGGGGACCAAGTGAGAGCGAAACAAAGGAAGGAGCTAAATATGGCCGTGGCAAAGGACTGGAAGATTTGCAGAAAAACATTTAGTGTACCAAAAGGTATTTACTGTTTACTCAGAAAGGTCTCCAAGTTAGACCTCTGGTTTATCCAATATATACTAGAGATACTGATTCATTTAGCATATGATGCTTTAAGGTCAATCAAAGATTAAACAGGTCACAGGGTCACAGGTTACATGAGTACAGTGGGCAAAGAAGCAGGTCCTGCTGTGTAATTTAGACAGATCAAAAACGGACTCAGATTGTCTCCTCTCTGCGGATCCATCAGCTGGAGATTCACTGTTTGGGTTTAGCAGCTACGATGAAGCTGCAACATTTGCCCACTTAAAGCATTTAATTCAAATGTGCTGAAAAGTGATATGCATTGTTAGCAGCCTGGCCTTTCCATCAGATCATTGGAACCTTCTCTTTTATGCAGTCTTCAGTCTCTCCCAGATAGAAACGCCTTGTCTCTACCAGTGGGTCTCTCCTACTCAGCTCCCTAAGACGGCATCCAGGTGTAAAGGGTAGAAGACAACCCACATATCCTCCCATTGGGAAGGGGGACCCTCTGACCTTGCATGGCTCACTGGGTATGCACTGGTGACATCTGCTGGTTTCAAAGGTTCTGTCCCTTGTCCCAAATGGGACCTACATGCCCGGGTAAACTCATGGCGAGTCATGGGTTCCAGCCCTGCTCTGACGGCCTTGAGTCCATTCTCTTTGACTGTCCTCCCTTCAGCCCTCACTGCCTGGAGACCGGGGCCATCCTCAGCAGGACCAGAGCTGACCCACTGACCACCCCTTCCCTCTCACCTTCAAGCACAGATAAGGGTGTGCTCTCCTTGGCTCTCCTCTACTAACACATCCTTTTACCACTGAAGATCCTGCCTCCCCATTCCTCCGCCATCTGCAAAGGGATGTGGAGAACGCTGAGATGGAACATCTAGGCTGACCCTTGATATGCCAGAGGGAGAGGAGAAGAAAGAACTTAAGACAATTCTGTGTCAGGTCTCAATAGGATTTGGAGTTTGGAAAGCTACTTAAGCAGTCAGTGAAAGTAACCAAAGAAAAGTCCATTTTTATGACTAAAAGAATGAAGCGTATCACTTTCTTAGTTTTACTACCTTTGTCAATTATAAAAAAAAAATGCTTATACATAATATTGTCTGCCTAAAGCTGTAGCCATGTCAGATTCCATCTTTTTTCTCCTTCTGTGATAACAGATATACTGGAGAACATGTTCTTTCTGTGGGTCAGGAGCCTGCCTGAGATCGGGGCTAGAATACAGTCTGTTTCAAGAGGTCCATGTTCATTTTTGAACTTGTGGGTTCTTTTCTGCCAGAGAAGCTGAAACACCTCTATGAAACATACTCTTGAAGATTTCTCTGTCTCAAGCTCAGTGTTTGCCTGAAAAATAGCATCAGCAGCAACAACAAGAAAAGGAAAGCAAACATTTGATGTGATTTCAGCTACATAAGCAAAGTGTTTTCTCAAAGTTTGAAGATGCCTTCATTTAGTAAAGAAAGCCATAGCCCTACAGCACACATATGCGTGGATCTAAGATTTTTCATCTGCTTGTAGCTTTCAAGACGAGAACAAAGAAAATGCTAACTTCTGGGGTCAATGCTCAGTGACCCGCAGGGCTTCTGTGGGACTTGGCTAGAAATGGACAAGAGAGTTGTGTGATATCCTAAAGGTAAAGTGTAAATATTCCCTCCAGAAGAACACTCCAGGTATGTCATCAGATTTCTGAGATCCACATAAAAAGAAATCTTGAATTCTTTGTTATGGTGGTGAAGAATGACTAGAATTGCTAATGTTTTCATTACTCATTACTACTTCATTACTCCAGAAAAAATTTCAGTATAGTTCTAGGAAGCTAAAATACAGATTTGCCAAAAGATGCTCTGGATTTTAAATACAATAATTCGGGATTTAGATTTCTACTCCTATCTTCACAACATGGCATACTATCTTTACGACCTGAGATTTACCAACCTCAATCAGTACCTGCCTCATAGGGTTACTCTAAAGATTAAATGAGACGGTGTTTGGAAACATACATTGTAAGTATCACATGCCTGGCATGTGGAATGTGCTCAAAACACAGAGCCTATTATTCTATTATTATTACAAATCGTATTTTAAACCTTAACCAGGTCCTTTTTCATCCAACAAGTTTTATGCAAAAGAAAGCAAGACATGGGTGGCTTCAGCACTAAATGAGGTAATGTTTTTGAAAGAGTTGGCACAGTGCCGGGGCCATCCCAAAGTCTAGCAGGGCCAAGTGACTTGCTTTGAGTCCCAGAGGTATGTCACTGCTTCCCAAAACTGAGGTTCAGATCGAGGGCTGTCTCAGATCCTTTTCCAATTCACTATTCTGATAGTTAGGAGTAGGGATCAGGGAGTGGCTTTCTTTTTCCTCTTGTTCTTGTATAAGGAACATAAATCCTTTAAGAAGGTTATAGTCATATATATTACAAAGCATAGATGTTCACGGCCTATCAGGCACACAAGAGTTTCTATCCTCTTACATCAATTAGTGCCCTGGAGTCCGCCTGAGCTACAGTAAACATCTGGGATGCTGGGGGTGGGGCAGGGGTAGGGCTGGGGGAGGAAGGGCTAATTCAATCACTATATGCACATGATCTTGGTTTTGAGGCTGTCAATTAGGATGGAAACAAGTCACCAATTACTTCCAAATACCGGGAAATTTCGGTGAGATGTTCATCTGTCCATTAAGAGCCCAACTCAGCAGCACACTCCCACCCCATACCCTCAAATGCATTTCCGACCTGCCACAGAGAAGCCATCCCATCTGGCAACACTGAGGTCCCATGGTTCAGCAGGGATAAGATTTTCAGGATGGCATCCAAAGCCTTTATCCCCCACAACTCATTGGCCATAGAGACCTTTATACCTAGGATCCATACGCCCTTGAAAAGCATCCAGGGAGGCATCAGTTTGTTTGGCTCTCTGTTCTTTTATACAGTACTTATTGAAGCTCTGTCTGACCTGCATGATCTCTTCTCAATGCTGCTTCATGGCTTATATTCCACAGAGAAGGGACATGTTGATCCCTATGATACCAGCGGATGTTAAATAATTAAATATTCTTCTCTCTAATGTCTGCCCTCAAGTCTTCCCCATCCTACTGGACAATGGTAAGATAGTTTTTAATTCCACACCCCTACCCAGCCACGCTTTTCTGTCAAAGAGCCCAGTTGTGTTCAATTTCTAAAATAAGCTGCACTGCCCTCCAATCAGTTGGCGATTCACTTTCAGGAACTGCCTGCCCCGTTTCTTTTGGAGTGAGCTCATTACAGTCTTTGCTCCCACCCCCATCCCTGTCTTTCTGGAGCCCTCCAAGCCTGGTGGGCATCTGCATCTGCTCCCATTGGGTCCTGTGCCCACTCAAATCCTCGTCCATTTCCCACTATTAGATAGAGGCCAAATGTCGCCTATTCCAAACAAATGACTCCCAGCTGAGGCGCCTAAAGACAAGAGCCAATTCCCACAAGTGTGTTAATTTATCTGCTCAAGCCCAGCCTTAGATCCCCTGACTTAAGCCATTTTTATTACTATACTATGAAAATCAAAACAAAGAAACTGACTTTGAAAGTTTTTTTGATGGGATCAATTTGTACTGAGCTCAATATTAACATCTACCCCAGAAAGCTTATTCTACAAGGCACAGATAACAGATACTACTGATACAAAGATCACCAGGGCAAGCCACCAAAAAGAAAATGTCAGACACAAAAAATGATAAGGGTGTTGCAAGGCTGTCATCATTAAAATTCTATGGTAACCTTCATTGTTTACCAAATCCTAAGAAATATAACCTGATTTTTCTTCAGGAACAATGCAATATTCCTTTGGAGACAATATAAGTGCAGTTTCAAATGATTTACCTCTATCACAGGAGAAATGGCTTTTAAATTCATTGGAATAAGGATATTTCAACACCCAGTCTTATAGTCAAGCAACAGACCAATAGTCAAAACAACAATTTTACCAAATTGTAAAAGAATCTTCACATTAAATACTCTATATATCAAACACCTCAACTATGTTAAAAAATCACAGGGCTCTGAGTTTACACATCAAAAGCAGAGGGGCTCCGTATCTCCCTTTTGTTCCTTGATAAAAATAGCCAAATGAATTTTGGCAAAGGACAAGCAAATTAGTAACCATACCACCAGCAGCATTACAACTGTGGTAAGAAACTCAATGGAGCACTGTGTAGAGTCAGAATGGCCGGGTGCCGTGGCTCACCCCTGTAACCCCAGCACTTTGGGAGGCTGAGGCAGGTGGATCACCAGAGGTCAGGAGTTCGAGACCAGCCTTGGCCAACATGGTGAAACACCACCTCTACTAAAATACAAAAATTAGCTAGGCATGGCAGTGTGCACCTGTAATCCCAGCTACTTGGGAGGCTGAGGCAGGAGAACTGTTTGAACCTGGGAGGCGGAAGTTGCAGTAAGCTGAGATCGCATCACTTTACTCCAGCCTGGGAGACAGAGCGAGACTCGGTCTCCAAAAAAATAAAAAGAGTCAGAACATGGCTAGAAAACCTCCACTGGCTGAAAGAATGTCCGGAACATGCCAGGCAGTGTCCTTAGCTGCACTGCCTTTAAACCCAGTAAGGACCTTGAACAGTAGACATTGTTCTTCCTACTTTATGAATGTTGGAATCTGATGATCAGAAAGATTAGCCAATCTGCCCAGTTAATACACAGAGGAATGGATCTGATTCTAAAGTCCTTGGACTTTACGCTAACATTTTCCAAATGAATAAACGTCTTAGTACAAAACACCTCCGGGAAAATGTTTAACATAGACTGAAAACATCACACCTTTCCATGATGTAGAAACAGAAGGAATAGGATGTTAGTTATAACAACACTTTCTTAGGCATTTCTCCAGTGAAATATGTTTTTCACTGACAGGTCAATTTCATGAACTAGAGCCAAAAAATCACATGCAATGGATACAAGTGAAAATAGGTATTTTCCTCTATGTGTTTCGGTAATGACAGCACATCTTTTATGTACAACCATGGAAACCATACTCAGATAAAGGAAGAGCAATTTCAGGTTATCTCCATAACCCCAAAGAAAATAGTCCAAAGTATTACTATTCACCTGAGGAAAAGAAACCACTTTAGAACCATCTGAAAAATATCCTCTGACATCTACAAGAAAAACATAGCCCTTGTTGAGCTGAACTTTTCACTTTTACATTCACCAGGTTACCATCTTGCTAAAATCAGATGACTCTTTACCTAAAAAACAAATCAAACTTGGCATCCTTCTCCTAAAGCTGCAGTTGTTGCTGGTGTTTTGATGGGGCGGTGGTTTGGGTAATGAAACAGGGAGAGGTCAAACATTCACACACCAAGAGTGATGACCTATTGGAATAACAGGAAGTGAAAACAAACTCAATTGCACTGGGGAGAGCACATCAGCAAAGGGGAACCGGAGGCCTCGAGGAGCATGCAGGCCAAGGCTCCGCTTCTTAGTCCATCCCTCCTTTGACTCTGATTTCATCACCTTGCCATCTGATCCTCCTGGTTGATTTCAATTAATTTCCAAGGATGAGAAAACTCACACTTCATTCCAATGCCTGAGAACACCCGAGTGACTGATTTATGGAGACTGTTGTTAGAAAGACAAACAATGACTTGAAATGGCCAAAGAGTTAGTGACTTGCACAATGGTTTATGGTGACCTCAGATGTGGGAGAAGGTTTCAGTTCTTACATTCAGGGTTGAATTACCACCACTACCAAAATAGCTGGGGAAATTTCTTTCCATGATGTCAGGCCAATAAGCAGTGTTTCTAAAGGAAACGAGTCACTGTGGTCTTCACTTCCCCTTCACTTAACCAAGGAGGGGGTTAAAATACAAAACATAGAGGTGTTAGGACTGGCGGCACGTTTTGTTATTTTTCCAGAATGCATCTCTTAGTTTTTGTACTCTGCGATTTTCTTTTTTTTTTTTTTTTTTTTTGATACAGGGCCTCACTGTGTCACCCAGTCTGGAGTACAGTAGCATGATCATGGCTCACTGTAGCCTCAACTACCCAGGTTCAAACAATCCCACCTCAGCCCCACAGGGAGCTGGGACTATAAATGTTTGCCACCATGCCCAGCTAATTTTTTTTATTTTTATTTTTTATTTTTATTTTTTGTAGACACAGAATCTCGCTATGTTGCCCAGGCTGGTTTTGAACTCCTGGCCTCAAGCAGTCTTCCTGCCTCAGCCACCCAAAGTGCTGGGATTACAAGCATGAGCTATATGCCATTTTCTAAAGGTTTTCTGTTTCTTTTTCTGTAACAAGTCTGACTTTGTTAAACGTGGCTCATTCAGTCCTTTCTCAAACTTAAAGTGTCATGTAACTTCTGTGACTTCTACTCTTGAGTTCACCACCTTTCTTACCTCCAAATACCCACCCACAAACGGAAAAACAAACAAACAAACAAACAAAAAACAGTGACCTCAGCAACACAAAAACACAAATTGAAAGGCTCCTGTCCTGAATGTAAAGATGTATAATCACTTACCAAAATAATTCAACATTTAGTAAAGCATCTCTATCTATGAAAACCCATTGAGAAAGAATGTTTAAAATGATGTCTCTAATAATTCCTTTTTTTTTAGTTCTTCAGTTTTAAGCTCAAAACAGAGAAAATGCTAAGAGCTCGCATTTCAATTACAATCTCCTAGGGACACAGAGGTATTGGAGTCAGTCTCTCATATCATCAGAACCTGAGAGAATCGTGGAGAGTTAAGTGAAGATGTGCACCAAACCAATCATACAGGAACACAAGGAGAAAAATATTTCTAAGACGCAGAAAAAAATTCAAATGATAACAATTATTTTTCTAAGAGAGAAAACATCCACAAAATGCATTTCAATCTGCCCAGTGAATGATTTTAGCATTGTCAGTAGTCTCTACACATGACTAACTTAGAACAACAGAAGTAATTCTGAGTAAAGAGGAATCAGAATAAGTTTTATATTTCAACAACCCCACTGCTCTACGTGAATTCCTGTTGATGGAACCACTTCACCGACAACATTTACTGCCAGGCAGAGAGGGGGCAAATTCTTACATAGCACGCTCAAAAGGTAAGATGCATCGGGGACTGGGAGTAGATGAGTCAGGCTTTGGGAGAAAAGTCACAGAAGCTAAGCTTGGACATGCACTTGGAGGTTAGATCTTAGTGCTTGCTCCTTCGCTGCTTGTGCAGGGGTGACCTACGTCCAATGTTAGGAAGGTGCCAAAGACCAGGGGTTTTATATAATCCATGAGGTAAGTCAACACCCTACTGGCCCTATCACTAATAATTATTACATTCTGACTTCCACAACTCAATACTTACATAGAAAAGTCTAACCCTTACGAATGCGGGTTTGACCCACTATCCTTTGCCCGCATTCCTTTAAGTCAGGACATTGAGTTCTTTTAGTTTCCTCTCTGTTGATAATTAACTGTTATTGTTGTCATCCCAGTCATGTCTAAGAATGCCTATTCTTGGAAAACCAACAGCTATTATCCCCTCCTGTGAGAGGGCACAGAGAGGGAAGCTTTCCGTTTTGTTACTCACTCCATCAGCTGCGGCTCATTCAGGCAGCAGGTCAAATCAGGAGTGTCAGGACAGGTGAGCCCAGGTGACAGGGAAGCACACAGAGGGTCTCCAACTCAGCCTCAGCCAGGAAAGATTTCCTTGTGGCCACACATACATCCTTATCCATGCGGGGTCCTTGTCAGCAATTCCTGGCTGATCCACTACAGAGAGATGCTAAGGTGCATGCACGGCGATTGTCAATGCTGCCTGCAGAATAAGACATAGGAAATCCTACAAAATTCACAAACACAGGTCAAGTGCTCCTATCTAAGCAAAAAGCCAAGCCATTTTTTTACAACATGAATAAATCCTAGAGAATAAGATGCCTAACATTTCGCTGGGTTTTGTTTTCTTTTGCTTTGCATACTAATGAATAAGTATAATTTTTAATATTTAAAATACAATATGACTATTATATATTCATAGAAATTTTAAAAAGGTTAAAGAATAAAAATACTAAATAAGTGTTTACTGTGCTTGCACTAAGTGTGGAAATAATAATTTCTAGAAGAGACAAGGTAGGTTGATTGAACAGAAGATAGTATGAGGACTAACTAGTGTGACTTTTTTCCTCCTAGACAAAGTTTGGTATATTATAAATGGCTCAAAGAAAAAAGTTTAAAAGAGGCTTGTCTGGGTCACTAAACATTAATACTTACAGGATACAAGAAAATGTCTTGCCTCAATTTTAAGTAATTATCCTGCGTTTTGTGTCTACTATTTCATTAAGCCTGTGTGAAACGCATAATTACGATGCAGGTGAGCTTGCTATACCAGCGTTAGCATGAAAGTCTCCGTCAAGTTTCTGAGAGGTCCCCGAGGGCAGAACCAGGACACACTCCTTCTTGTGCATACCACTCCCAGCCCAGTGCCTACACCGCCACATGCATTCCACAAAGGATCCTGGAATTCGTTATGGAGAAATGTCCTCATCCTGTCAATGTCAGTTTCATTTTTGAAGGGAAGAGTGGTAGCTCCCGGTAACAGTTTCCTCTGGCCAACGCTTTTGATAAGACCCCAACGTCTCTCTATAGGATCATCTTATTAGGTTCCTGGACGGATCCCAAACTCCAGTCTCATCACCTCCAACTCCCAATCCATTCCAATACATCTGTTGATGTCTCTCCCTCCTATTCAGAAAAAACACCAAATTCCCTTACATGCCCTGGAGAATCACTGCTTTTTATGAGTAGAGGATGGCTTTCAAGAACAATGCTCTCCTGGGTGAGATAACACATTGACCTGACATCAAGTGAGGGGGCAGGGAAGGTGACTGGAGAACATCCTAACAATCGTCAAACGGAACTAACTTGGTTCCACCAGTTGTGCTGGAGACATACGTTGCTGGTACTTGCTAAATATGACTTAAGGGAGGCCATTGATTTGGAGTGAGCTCCGAAACTACGCCTCAACAGATCACACCAAAATGGAGTCACTCAGGCTAAAGTTTCATGCCACCAAACAGAAATGAAAGTGTTTATCTGGCCTTCTGAGAAATCAGGAGAGATAACAGCCAAATTTCTAAGGAAGCCACTTTCAGCCAGCATGATAAGGAAATCCCCTCTGCTTTAACCCTTTGGAGAAAAGCAACCTGAAATCACCAGATGTTAGCCCACCTGCTTTTTGTATTATGCCATTTCCTTGCTCCTGCTCAAGCAGCCTTATAGAAACCAACTGTCATGCCCAGTGCAGCACCCGTCTAAATCTTTAGATGGGCTATGACTAATAACAGTCAACTCAATCTGTCAACTCCATTTGTTGAAATTTTGCTTTTGGACACGCCGTAGAGATGAAGTGAAATGTGGATTAGGTAAGAAAGACACCCAGAGAAAGGGGACCCTTGGTAGTCCCTAAGGCTAGCCCAGGCGTGAAACACTGTGTATCCACAGCCAGGCAGAAGAAGAGCCTACAAATCACCAGGACTCAGAGGACGCTGAGATGTCCTGCAGGGCAGAGGGGACAGCTTCCGCAAGACATGCACGGTGAACACCCCAAAGGAGCCCAGCAGCTGTGCCCCGTGCCTGGTCAGGGGCAGTGTTTCAGGGTTCCAGGCTCTTGCTGCCCCTCCCACAGGCCAGGATGCTTGCTGCAGGCACATCTCTGCTGCTCCCCACAACTGCACCTCCATGAAGCCTTGTCTAGCAGAAGTGCCTTAGCAATCACTCAAAATATTTCTTCAGAATGTCCTTATAAAAGTACATGTCTCTGGGTGAAACAATTTAAAATTAGTAAAGTCAATATTTAATTTGGACCTAGTTGGGAAATACGGAATTTTCCATGGAGAATCAGAACTGTCACCAGGATACGGTGAATTGGAACCACAGCCCTGGTTCCTGCATGTTGAGAAGACAGCTGCTGGGCTCCAGGGTGATTCAGGGTAGGGACCGCAGTGGCCCTACCAGCCAATGGCTCTAGCCAAGACCTTGGCTAGACAATCACTCTGCAAACATCATCCCCACCACCGCATGTTCCTCCTAATCTGACTCAGCCCGGGCTCTGCCTGCCAGCCCCCGCCCCAGCTCCAGGCTGCTCTTTTCCACTGTAGGATGGCCTTGGATGTTTGTGTTTCCTTTTTTGTTCATATAAGAATATTTAGGGTGTGGAGGACACACAGTTTTCTTTGACCTGTGACACACAGCCTCCCAGGAAGGGTCTTGGATGCTCCACTACACTCCGTCATCCAAGACAACACTGAAAAGACTCCCAGATCTTTCTGTGAGTGAGAAAAGAGACCAGCCCAGCCCCATCAAGCCCCCAGAATGAAAGAAAAAGACCCTGCCACGATGGACTCTCCTCCTCTTAGTCTAGCTAAAGGCTTGTCAACCCTTTGATCTTTCCAAAAAATCAACTCGTGGTTTTGATTTTCTCTATAATTTTTTATTCTCTATTTTACTTCTCTACACTCTAATCTTTATTTTCTTCCCTGTGCTGGTTTGAGGTTTAATTTGCTCCTCTTTTCCTAGTTCCTTAAGGTGTATGACTAGGTTATTACATTGAGGTTTTCATTTTTCTTTAATGTATGCATGCACAGCGATCAATTTCCCTGTGAGCACTTCTTCTAATGCATCCCGTAAGTTTTAGTATGCTGTGTTGACTTCCCTCTTTATCCATAAAAATAATCACACTACCCTGGGGACCACAGAAGGTGTAAAGCAATACAAGTGGTCATTGAGCTTTGATTTTCCTATTCAGAACAGGTTAATCTACTTGTAAATTGAGTTATTCTTTTGCCTAAAGGATAAGCTATTTTTGCTAATCAAATTTTGGTCCAAAAAGAGACATTTTTTCTGGCTCTTTTTCAAGATCTGTGGCCCATCAGAGTAGATCAGTATGAAGGATGGCATAGACCAGAGGTTAATGAATTTGTGGGAAAGATTTCCAAAGTTGGAGAACACACTTTACAGTAACCAGAAAGAATTGGATGAATCTCTGCTTTCTATCACCCAGGACCATTCCCAGTTCCAAATCTTGTTGCAGGGGTCTGCCCACCCTGTCTCTCATGAAAGGCCACCTCTCCATACTGCCCAGCCCCTCTGTCAGCTGGTATCAAAAACTGGCCCCATTTCAGAGGACTGTCCATCAAGTTACATACAGTCTGGGACATGGATGATTTAACAGGTGAGCGTGATCCAGGGGTGCTGAGCAGAATGGAGCCTACTTTCCTAAACAGACGTCAAACTAATGTCCTGGCCTCCTGCAGTTACAAAAGCTCCCTTACAGCACAACTAACTCAGCCCAGAAAACTTCCCAGGTGATTTGAGTTGGATGCAAGTTTGCCCCTTACTTCCAGGCCTCCATTGTTTTGGAATGTTGCTATGCATTATTAAACAGCGGCCACATTTTGTCCAAGAGGTGGCTGCATTTCAATGGCGGTGAAGTAATGCCTGTTTATATGTGCGCTTGCAAAGGGTTTTGGAACACTTTGACATGAAAAGCATCTTACAATACATCATTAGTGATTTCTAACAATCACTAATTGAGAAGTATGAAGGCTCTCTCCCAATACATATTCTTTGAAAGGTGATAGTCAACCAGAAACAGCTTCTGATGGGTTCTCTGCTTTTATCCAGTTGATTGGAGTGCAGTTGAGAATGTCAGTTTAATGGTGAAACAAATCTTAATTTCTTGGAATGCGTATCTGATGAGACAAGACCAAAAAAATAACAGTGAAGCTGAACAACCATCTACATATTTAGCTGCCTGGAACAGTGGGAGCCAGCATGCTAGAAAATAACTTGTATTTTACTCAGACACATAGCTTTTGTGATCATTATTTGCTGGTAAGCCCAACTGATTGTGAAAATCAAACTATTTCCTTCAGAACACTGGCCAAAAAAATATTGCTAAACTTGGCCCCTTAGTACACAATCAAAAGCTACAGATTGCCTAATCACATATTGTATTTTGATAGCTCATTTCTTCTGAGGGGATAAAGTTATTTCACAGGCAGCAATCCCGAGTATTATTAAAATTGTTTTACAAATGGAGAAACTAAAGTAAAGAGAAATTGAGTCATTCACTCAGGATCTCGGCTGAGTCACAGCAAATCTAAGAAAAGAAGCCCTTTCTCCTCACTCTGTTCACTTGTCCCCTTCAAGCTCTGTGTCCTCAGGCAAAATAGCTCCTTGGCTTTATTTTGAATAAATTATCAGATTTAGGTCAATTCAAAATTTTATTATGAAGTAAAAAGAAAAAAGAAAGAAAAAAACATACAAACTCACCAAAAATCAGCAGATTAAGCCTTTGATAAAATGTGACTGAAATGCTCTCCCAGAAACAGACAGGAAACAGTATCACATAGAGACATTCCTTTTGATGTTAAGGTCACTCAGCCTCTCCATCAGTCCTAACTGAGCAAATTCCCTGACTTCCCATTTTCACAAATTCCTTAATCTTTAATCCGCGTTCATTTTCTTCAAAGCATAAATGTGCATAGTCTTCCTAATAAAGTTAAGAAGCACAGTTCTGAAGTTCTTCGAAACCAAAAACAGACTATCTTTAAAGACTGCCAAATACTGGGGGCTTAAATCTGCACCCCATTTACAAATGCAATGAAAGGCAGTAGGGAAAACACAACAGTGCAAAAACACAATTTTCCATGCAATTTACAAATGGTTAGTTTTGCATAGATCTGCTATGCTCCTTCCTTATCACATCTCTGTATCTCTTACCCTCACCCACAACTCTGCAAGCTGCAATTTGAGAGTTCTCAAACCAACACTGGGTTCACGCCAACTTACAAACTTTATATTTGCTTAGCAAACATCAAAGGATGAATAATGTGTTGTCATTCCCTGACCTTACAAGAAGGTTGAATATAAAATAACAACCTTGGTCACCGTGTAGAATGACAGCACTGAAGCAGCTTACCCCTTGGCCTGGATTCTTGCCTTCTTCGTCTAAAGGGAACAGGCTGTTGCTTTGCACAGGGTGGGCACTCCACGCATATTGATTCTTTCATTCTCCTGACAAGGCGGGCAGCAAAAGCAAGAAAGGCAAAGGGACTAGGAATGCACGAAACTGAGCTCAAGTACTGGCCTGCTCCTCAGAACCAGCTGTGTGGACCTGGGCTCAGCACCTCACCTTTCCAACTTTCAAGCTGTTAAAGGGAAAGCTGGTGACTATCAAGGACTTCTCCTAAAACTCCAGGATTCAAAGGCAGTGGATCAAAGCATCACTGTTCCCAAAGCAACAGACGCCTGAACCCTGCAGGCCAGGGCCACTTCCCGCTGCCTCCTTTGGGGCTCCATCCACTGGCTGACCCACTCATCATCTCTTGCCAGATGCATTCCAACCTGTGTTCTCCTTCTTAAATTGCCTTTCCCCACTCAGCTGACTTAGCTCTCTTTTCCGGATGTGTCATGAGTGGCGCAAGGTCAAACATAACCAGGTCCACACACGTTCGTGTCTTTCCACAAGGTCAGACTTTTATGGATGCTATTTCAATCATAAAAGCCAGGAGATACATGGCGTTCCCAAGGAGGCGATTCTCCTTAGCGCCATTCACAAAGCATTCACAAGGCAGTCAGACCTGGTGGCACACAGGCTCCAGCCACTCCACAAGTCAGTTAATACTGCAAGCCATACATAGTAGTATACTTAATATAGAAATGTTATAGGTTAAAGCTTTCACATCAAAAAGAGTAAAATTTAACATTAAGAGGAAAACAGGGTAGGGAAAGGAGTTAATGAACTAGTCCAAGGAAAGCGATGTGACACTCTCCTAGGCTGAGTGTCCTAGCTGATCCAGATGGTCACCAACATTTTGCAAGGAAGAGTTTTTGATTTGGGCAGAGACTTCAGGGGCAAATGCAGGTGCTGACCACGAGTGACTGCAAAACAGAATTAGCAGGATGGCCGCGTCAAACTCATGATGCTCCTGCTCTTCTGATAGCCCTGGAGTCCTCTGGTGAGAGCTGACAGGAAAGAGAGGTTCTGGTTACACCCTCCTTTGGTTGGGTGTCGCCTCTACTGATTAGGTGAGTATCAGTCCTGTTGGCATGACTGCCTTTTGAGCTGTAAGGAGTCTTTTCCTAAAATGGAGTTACTTCTGTCAAGGGTGCTCTATATAAAAGGCGGTCCAGCCACTCCCCAAACCCTGAACAGGGTGTCATAATGGGGGCCCACCTTTCCTTTCCCTGAGCTCCCCAGGCACCCTGCTCTCCCCTACCAGGGCCTAGCCCCAGTCCTCCTCCTGGCCATATCGGAAGCTGGTCCCGCTTTGCCAAGGCAGAGTAATGATCATGGCACTCATTTCCTTACAACACTTCACACTCATTTCCTTACAACACTTCACACTCATTTCCTTACAACACTTGACTTTTTCACTCACAACTCACAAATTGTAGGAGGTAGATACAACTATGAGCATCCTAAATGAAGGAGGTAAGGTAGAAAGAAGTTAACTCATCCCAGATTTCCAGGAGCAATAAGCCACAGAGCTGGAATGTGAATTCAGTGCACCCTGGAAGGCAAGATCATGCTACCCGCTGCTTCTCTGATGCACCCTTGGTGTGCATCCTCGATCCCCTGAACACACCCGCCTGCTGCCGGGGCACATGCTGAGCACTGATGGAGGCTCCACCATTCCCACATGGCCCTGCCTGCAGCCGCCTATGCCCTGAGCAGCCTCTATGCTCTTCAGATGACCATGGCTCACAGGCGTCTTTCCCTCCACCAGTATCTTGCACTTAATAGACATTAAGTGGCCACTTATTGAATGAATACAGGCATGAATGAGACTTTAGTGTTCATTTAATTAATTATGGATGTGCTGTCTTGGGGAAAAAAAAGACACATCCTGAAGATATAGTAAAATTGCCCAAGAGAATGCAGCAGGCTATGTTAAGATATATAGATATAGATAGATGATTTTCTGAGAATATTAACATCACTCAAACTAAATTGAAAGACAATTACATGCCAACAAAATCTGAAATAGAAGATTCAAGTAGAATACCTGATAGGATGTTACATAGAAAAGAGACCAGTAGCTGGGGGAAACAGTTAATCCCTGTTCACACAGGGAATGGCCTCCAGGAAACACAAACGCACGCTTGGCCTTTACAGATTTTAGCCCCTGGGACTTACATTCATTGCTCTCAGAAAACGTATTTCTACCTGCTGGTTTGCAGTGGGCTGTCCGGATTTACATTTAGACATGTGCACACTTTTGTGACTGTGTGTGCCTTTGTAATTCTGTCCTCTTCCGGTTCGTGCTATTCCCCAAGTTTTCTCTTTTTCTGTCCCAGGTAGTATTTTATTTTCCCCAGAGCCAGCTGCATTCCTCCATCTTTTTTCCCTCAAGTTCTTACTCAACTCAATGACACTATTTGGAAGTTGTTGTTCTAAAACAGTTCCCATTGCTTGCAGTGAGCCGAGATCGCGCCACAGCACTCCAGCCTGGGTGACAGCGCGAGACTCAGTCTCAAAAAAAACAAAAAACAAAAAACAAAAAACAGCTCCCATCTAGATGTATCTGTCATTCATCCTTTCTGTGCTTCTCTGACACACACCTTCTCTGCCTCCCTTGTACAACAACTACGCTCAATGACAGAAGCACCTTGATATTAGCACTACCATGGATTCACTCTACCAAATCACTGTTAAACACAATCGGCTCTTCCAAAAAAAAGTCAGTATTAGAGGTATTTGTCTGAGTAGGGATTATGTGCAAGGAGATGGGCCATGTGTACATTATTGATAAAGCTGGGTGTCGGTACACAGGAGGTCCATTAGTCTATATTCTCTCTCATTTTGTAACACTTGGAAATTCTTCATCATGAGAAGTTAAAAGTGAAATTATTCAGCAAAGAAATAAGAACCTGTTTTAAAAAACCAAAGGTGGCTGGCCGTGGTGGCTCATGCATGTAATCCTCACACTTTGGGAGGCCGAGGCAGACGGATCACCTGAGGTCAGGAAGTTCAAGACCAACTTGGCCAACATGGTGAAACCCCATCTCTACTAAAAATACAAAAAAGAAATTAGCCAGGCGTGGTGGCAGACACCTGTAATCCCAGCTACTTGGGAGGCTGAGGCAGGAGAATTGCTTGAACCCAGGAGGCAGAAGTTGCAGTGAGCCAAGATCAAGCCACTGCACTCCAGCCTGGGTGACAGAGCAAGACTCCATCTCAAACAAACAAACAAACAAACAAACAAAAAAACAACAAAGGTATAGACAACCACCAAGATCATGCCACTGCACTTCAGCCTGGGTGACAGAGCGAAACTCGGTCAAAAAAAAGAAAAACACAGGAAAACAAAACAACAACAAAACAACCAAAGGCATAGACATCCTCTAAGTATCTCTCACATTAGACTCAAAATGCTCCTATCTTGATATTGGAGATCCAATTCAGTTGCTAGCACTAAAGGCTCTATCTGGGGATTTTCTTCAGACGTTTAGCTGCGCAAACTTGTAGTGCACGTTGTAAGTAAACGCAGAATCCATGATGGCTACTCTCCAAGCCAAGCGGCCAGGAGACAGAAGTCAGGCCAGAAAGTCTCCACAACTGCTGCCGGAGAGCCCTGTTGGTGCTGTAGCTGCAGGAAGGCTAACGAGGAAAAGTTAGCAGAGCTAGCAGGGCTATTGTCACCCATGGTTGAGCCTGCACCAGGCCTGCACTACCAGGCCACTCCCTACAGCCTCCACAACTAAGTACCGAGTCATACACAGGGCTCACTCAAAAGAATCATCTCTATCTTTTGTTACTTCTCCTTCAAAAGGAATTAGTCATTTTGGTAAAATAAGATGGCAGTTCACCAAAAACATTCTGGACAGAAGGATCAGTCATAACCTCATTGCAATAATGAGATAACCAAGACTTTAAAAAATAGAGGATAACTTGGATTTGTTGTTACCTAGAATCAATATTACATTAGTGAGACAATTGTCAGATGGTATTTCAGAGATTCAGATGTTTTCTTTGGTTGTCCATTCTTCCCACTTAAGTCTGGGTGAACCTCAGAAAAATAAAAGCCATATCAGTCCACGTCATTTGGGAGGAAACCTAAAAACTAATCCCCAAATCAGCATACCTCGCAGCAGTGGTGTTTAGCATTTAGCATTCCTAGGGATGAAAAATAACCCTGCCTGAATTGACGTCAGAAGTGAAGCAGTGATTGCAATGCGATCATCCAGTATCATCCATTCAGCCAGTAGGCACTGGGATGGCTGTACCAGGTGTTAAGATATTGCAGCACTTCCGTGCTGGCTGGGAAGTAGCCACTGACCCTAAATCACAGAGTGCCCGCCTATCACCCTTGCTGCCAAGCCACTCTTCTAGGAATCCCAGGGCCCCAGCAGGGGGCCCTCATGAGGCTTGCCCCAGCACTCTGACTTGTGTCTTTTTACCGACTGGTTGGAGATTGATGCTGTCCTGATTGACAAACATTTCACCTTTTACCCTGGGCTAGATCTGAGCTACTATCTTTGCTACATGTGTAGGCAGCATCAGCAGCTGTGCTCCTGGGCAAACATTATGTTAGCAAAGTTTTCCAGAAGAGAAGGCTGCCCAAAGGGAGCAGAAGCAGAATGAGGCAGTGCTCCTAGGCACCTTGCTCATCACCCCATTGACCGTAAGGGGATCCTGGTGCACTACGAATATACATCAGGGAAGAAAATGCCACAAGTCTGACATAAAACCAACATGTGAATTATTGTTTTAATTAATAAAAAAAATTGTGCTTGAGTTTGGCATTTGGAAGGAAAGGAAAGGAAAGGAAGAGACAGAAAGAAGAAAGAGAAAGAAAGAGAGAGAAAGGAAGGAAGGAAGAGAGAGAGAGAGAGAGAGAGAAACTGGTGATGAGTTGGACATCTTGAAAACTTAAAATGAGCCAGTGTAAATTTGTGAGTTTTATTTATGGACAGACTTCTTGGCAACAATCACAAGCATTCAAAATCATCATCTTAGAATGGGCCAAATTTCTATAACAGAGAGATGATCAATATAAGTTCTTGAAGATGATGATGTCTTAGTCCTTTTTCTGCTGCTATAAAAAAATAGCACAGACTGACTAATTTATAAGTTTGCTTGGCTCACATTTCTGGAAGCTGAAAATTCTACAGCATGTTGCTGACATCTGGCGAGGGTCACTCCACAGTGGAAGACAGAAGAGGGAAATATCCTCAAGACAGAGAGAAAAAGACAGCCAAACTCATCCTTTTATTAGATGCCCACTCTCAAAAAATTGGCATTAATCCATTCATGAGAACAGAGCCCTCATGACCTAATCAGCTCTTAAAGGCCCCACCTCCCAACACTGTTGCATTGACAATTATGTTTTAACATCAGTTTTCAAGAAGACATTCAAACCAGAGCATGCCTCCCCAGCTCCCCCAAAACTTATGTTCTTCTCATATACAAAATACCTTCATTCCATCCCAATAACCTCAAAGTTCTTATCTTTTTCCAGTATTATTTTAAAAGTCTAAAGTCTAGAGCCTCATCTAAATCAGGAATGGGTGAGACTCAAGGCATGGTTCATCCCGAGGCAAACTCCTCTCTAGGTATGAGCCTATAAAATCAAAACGAGTTATCTATTTCCAAAATATAAAGGTGAGATGGGTATAGAATAGACATTCTCATTCCAAATGGGAGAAAAGGGCAGAAAGAAAGGGGTAACTCGTTCCAATTAAGTGTAAAACCCAACAAGGAAAACAACCCCAAGACTTAAAGCTCCAAAATAAGCTCTTTTGACCTTATTTCCCACATCCTTGGCACGCTGGGGTGGGAGTTGGGCCCAAGACCTTAGGCAGTCCCTCTCCTAAGGCTTTGCTGGACTCAGTCCACCCAGTAGCTCTCACGGTTAGTTTTACGCCAGGCAGCTCTTCCAGGCTGAAGCTGCATGCTAGTAGCTCTGTAGTTCTGGGGGTTCGAGGGCAGCCCCACTTCCACAGCCCCACTAGTAACTCTGTGGTAGCCCTAATAGTAACTCTGTGGTAGTTCCAACCCCAACTACTACTCAGGATTGCCAAAGTAGGGGCAGGAGCTCGCTGCTGTGGCTCCAACCCTGTGGTGTCTCTGACTGGGTCTCCAAGCTGTTGACCACATCTTCTGAAATTTAGCTGGAGGCTGCCTTGGTCCCATAGTCCTTGCGTTCTGCCCATCTCCAGAGTCAGCAACATAGATACTGCCAAGGTTTATGGCTTACACCTTACAGGTTGGTGGGTCAAGCAGCACCTGGACCCACTTGAGCCATAACTGGGATGATCAAGGAGAACTGTGACAGAATGCAGGGAGCAGAGACCCTAGGGGGCTCTGGGAAACAAGCTCATGCCAAAACCAGCTTGTTCCCCAAAACCATTCTGCCCCTATAGAGCTCTGGGCCCGTGATGGGGGTGCAGTCCCAAAGCGCTCTGAAATGTGTCTGGGAACACTCTCCCATTGTCTTGAGATCCTTTCTATCTATACTAATCTCCTTAGCAAAGGGTCACTTGGCCATATCCTTGGTTTGCTCTTCTGAACATGCTTTTTCATTCTTTACATGACAGGATGAACATTTTCAAAATATTCCTGTTCTGCTTCTTTTTAAGTTATAAATTGCTTCTTTAAGTCATTTCTTGCCTTTTGCATCTTACTGTATGGGTTGAATATAGCCACTCAGCTTCTTTAATATTTTGCTTAGAAATGTCTTCCACCAGATAGCCTACTTTATTGCTCCTACATTCTGCCTTCCATAAAACCCACAGGCATGGACAGAATTCATCCAAGTTATTTGTCACCTTATAACAAGGATGGCCTTTATTCCAGTTTCTAATACTTTGTTCCTCATTTCCATGAGACCTCATCAGAATGGCCTTTACTGTTTATATTTCTACCAACATTCTAGTCACAACCACTTAAGTAATCTCTAAGATTTATACTTTCCCTACAGGTCTCCTCTTCTCCTGAGCCCTCACCAGAATTACCCTTAATGCTCCATTTACAGCAATTTAGGCTTGTCTAGCCTGCACCTCCAAATTCTTCTAGCCTCTATTCATTAACCATTGCCAAGGCCACTTTCACATTTTTAGGTATTTGCTACAGCAATAAGCCCACCTCTCAGCACCAATGTTTTGTCTTAGTCCATGTTCTGCTGCTATAAGAGAATATAACAGACTGGATAATTTTATAGAAAATAGAACTTTATTTGGACCATGGTTCTGGAGGCTGGAAAGTCCAAGAGCATGGTGCCAGCATCTGGCAAGAGTCATCCTACGGTGGAAAGCAAAAGGGGGAAGCACAAGCATGAGGCTGAGAGAGAAAACTGGGCCAAACTCATCCTTTTTGCAGGGACCCACTTTTCCAATAACCCACTTGCACAATAACATTATTAACCCACTCATGAGGGCTCTAATCACCTCTTGAAAGCCTCACCTCCCAATACCATAACATGGGCAACTAAATTTCAACATTGAGTTTTGGAGGGGATATTCAAAGCATAGCAGATGATATTTGTGATGATGACAATAATGATGATGGTCTTTGTTCTAAATTAAGTGTGTTAACCCAATATTTTCCCCTTTATTGTTCATTGCCTCCTAATTACATTCAAAGCTATGCATATTCCTCTGTACAGCAATTTAAACAATGTTCCCTAAGAACAAGTACACTGCCTTGCCATTGTTGACAGCTATCAGAGCACCTCACACTTCATTAGAAACATATAAAAACATACTTGGCTATGAGAAAACACTTTTTTAAATGAAGCTAGAAACAGCTCTTACAGAAATCCTAAGATAGGCCTATACAGTATTACTGATTGCTCATGGTTATCTTCTTGGCAGAAATATAGGACAAATGAGTATTGACTGTATGATTTCCCAATGTTGGTGGCAATGCCTGCTCATTCTTTGGGAGCTGTGAGTGGGGATCACCATGGATGCTAGATGGCCACTGCCTGAAAGCATGTAGGGCCAGGGGCATTTTCAGTGCTGGTAGTGGCAGTCAAAGGTAATGCCAAAGCAGCTAGTGGGACCATGGCCAACAGTCAGCACACCTTCATTGCCTTCAAGCTCAGCAGGGTCCAGTGAGGCCTTATTGGGGAGATCATTGAGTGTTTCAAGCAAACGGGATTTGTCTTGTTGGTTTCAAATTCAAATAGGCTTCTGATGACCTCCTCATGCATTCTGTGCAATACTGGCACTCAGAGCCAGTGGCTGCTATAATCTGGGAGGCACTGAATGTGAATACAGGCCACAGAGGAAACCACGGAGACCAACCCTATGGACAGCAAGCCTGGGACCATCCACAAAAGCTTTTGCATTGAAGATGGCAGGAACATTATGTATGGTAGCATGTCTGTCGGGAGTGCAGAGAAGAGGACTGGCCTGTATTTTCACCCCCAAGGAACTGGTGGATTGCAATGTGTGACAGAGGGCAGGCCAGCATGCTTCCCCACTCTACTCTCCTCCCTTCCATGGGCAGGAGACCATGCTCTAACAAATCTAGTTATTTCCATCAACTTCCTTGTAATCTAGAGAGGAACTCTTGGAGCTGGAAGTGCTCCCTGTACAATGTCATGTGCTACTATCAGGTGAAAATATTTCATCCCAATATGGGACAAAAAGGTGTAAGAAATCAATGTTGGCACAATGACAAAAGTTCAATGATGTTGGCAGACAAGGGCTGCCCCCGATACTATCCTCACACTAATGTGGAGCCTCAGACAGGCCCTGCTCTCCACCCTGTGCGGCTACCTTCATCTGAAAACCCAAAGTGTGGTTCAATTTCCAGCAGTTTCCTTTGCTCTCTACCCCTTATCCTGTGCCTTAGGCAGCTGGATTGGCCTCTGAAACATGTCTGGATTTCCCTTGTAATCTAGAGGGTAACTCTTGGAGCTGGAGGTGCTCCCAGCTCCAAGTGCAGCTCAAAGTGCAGCATGTCCCTGCACTCTCCACAGACATGCTGCCATGAATAATGTTCCTGCCATCTTCAATGCAAAAGCTCCTGTGGATGGTCCCAGGCTTGCTGTCCACAGGGTTGGTCTATCTGGTTTCCTCCGTGGCCCGTATTCACACTCAGTGCCTCCCAGATCATAGCAGAAAGCAATGCCCGCTCATCCTTCAGGACAAGCATGCACATGAAGAAGCATGACACTCCCTGCGGTCAGGTGCTGGTAACCAGAGCAAGAACCAGAGGGCCACTGTTTCAGTGGTCAATCCAGCTAGCTAAGGCACGGGGTAAGGGGTAGAGAGCAAAGGAAACTGCAGGCAAATGAACCAAAATTTGGATTTTCAGAGGAAGGTGGCAGCACAGTGTGGAGCACAGTGTGTCTGAGGCTCCACATTAGTGTGAAAACAGTGTCTGGGGCAGGAACGGGTCTGCTACCATGGAAGAGACTAGGTAAGTGGTCATGACTGTCGAAGGTAGGCAGATTATGTTTCCCATTCAGGGATGCAGCAAAATCAAGGCAAGTGTATCTCAGGTGCACATGGTGTGTGTTGCCTTAACCAGAGGGCAGCTATCCCTTGTCCATTTTCAAAGGTTGCACAGAGACACTTTCGCAACTGTAAAGGGGCAGCAAAATCCTTCCTGGCTTTTCCTTCCTGTCACAGTGCACAACTGGGAACCCACAGAGAAGTAGTCAAAACAGCCGGTGTGCATGCATCTCTGCCGGTCACGGCCCCCCAGAGGTTCTAGAGGTGACTGCTTCAACCCAGAGTTTCCCCTACACCATCGATAAGCAGTATATAGTCACAGAGAGAACAGTTTCCAGGGGATTGGAATTGTACACCGTAGCCTATTAACAGGTTATGAAATCAAGTTAGTGCCTCATAGATAACATTTCTTCAATGAAGTAGAGTAGAATAGAATGAAACAGAAAATAGAATAATAGTAGTGCATGTGTCACATTGGCATGGGTATTGGATTACGATGTTAAATGTAATTCTAACTTTTAATCAAAATCAAGCATGTTTGAAAACTGCTGCTTTAGAGTTTCTTTCACAAAGCATGAACGTGTTAGGTGATGTGCCCAAATTCAGAAGCAGAGTTGTTTAGTCAAAGATGAAACGATGTTATTTGCATTACACACTTAACTATGCAAATAAAGAACATTTACTTTTCCTATACCGAAAGCACAGTTTGGCCGAGGATAGAGAGCTGGTCTCCTATATGAGAATGATGATGAAAAGCAAGTAGACACAAACTGCATATGAGCCACCAATGTAGAAACTCCGCTGTTTGCGGTCTTTACACGGTCCCACCTCCCAAATCACGAGTGATGGTCCCACATTTCCTCATTCTATGCAAAAGGAAAATTAAAATGGTTGTCATGTTTTAAACTCATAGCCCAAAGGCATTGCTTTTGCTAAGTTTTCAGGAAACTGGAATACATAATTTTGTGCATGTAATTTTAAAATGTGTCCTAAATGTGTCTAGCAGCTAAACTCAGGTTGTTCCCCTCCTAGTTTCTGTAGGTTAGTTCCCTGTTATAGTGTCCAGAGAAGCAGTTCACATTAATCTTGAGCATAAAGGGCCTTCATGAAGCCTGAAGCCAGAGATGACAACTGAGACCAGGTGGGGCATGCCATAAAAAAACATGGCAGGATGGGAAAGGACACTGGGGTTGGGCCACCAATCAGAAGAGAAGGCATGGAGGAAGCTCCCCTTTTCCTGTCCGAAGCACTCTCCACCAAGCAATACACTCCACAGACTTGCCCAGGAGTGGGCTCTGAGTGCTCTGTGTGGATGGCTCATACTGCCTCATAATTTGATGTAGGGAGAAGCCTCAAGAACCCATAGCTATGGATTTGACGGAATAAATTATCTATGGATATCTGAAGTTTCTGCTGCCCAGAAGGAATCACACTACAATTAAATGTATGTTGGGAAAAAAATGTCCAAGTGACCCATGAAGAAAATATGAAGAGCTGGGTTTAGTGCAGGAAATCAGAGTAAGTTCCATCTGTAATATCTCCAGTTCATTTGCCGAAATGGGCCACTCTAGAGCCAGATTCCACCACACACACTGAGGGGCGCTGATATGGTTTGGATCTGTGTCCCCAACCACATCTCATGTTCAATTGTAATCTCCATTGTTGGAGGTGGGGCCTGCTGGGAGGTGATTGGATCATGGGGGTGGATCCTTCATAAATAGTTTCACACCATCCTCTTGGTGCTGTTCTCGTGATAGTGAGTTCTTGTGAGATCTGCTTGTTTAAAAGTGCGTAGCACCTCCTACCACCCCTTGCAGCTGCTCCCATCTTGTAAGATGTACCTGCTTCCCCTTCACTTTCTGCCACCATTGTAAGTTTCCTGTGGCCTCTCCAGAAGCCAAGTAGATTCCAGCATTACGCCTCCTGTACAGCCTGCAGAACTGTGAGCCAATTAACCTCTTTCCTTTATAAATTACCCAGTCTCAGGTATTTCTTTATACCAATGAAGCACGGACTAATGCAGGTGCTGACAACAAAGTCAAGCAAGCATCACCTGGGAACTGCAAGCCAGAAGTGTCCTACACCTACCACCTGAAAGCTAAGGAGGCAGAGATTAACATCTGCCATTTGTTTGCATTTAAACTTATCTTCACTGCCAATCAGATTGTAACTTGCATAACGTAGGTCATTAAAACTGATTATGCATTTACCCTCCTTCAAATTTTACAACAGAGTGTAAGTCAACACAAGTATAAAAGATTGAACAATAATCTCAGTCTTGAAAACAAAAAAGGTGCTCTCTGTAAATCTGTTAAGTGCAATAATGTACGAAGAACTGTCTATAATAAAAAATGCTATTGGGTAGACCTGCTCATCCTGGCTAGGGTGAATGGACACCAGAAAGTACCACAAGAATAAAAAGGGAAAAAAGCCTTTGATCACGAGCGGTTAAATAGTAGGTGGCTCCGAAGACAGAGGACACAGAATTTGCTGCAATATCTTATACTTGGCATCCAAAATACTACCTTTTGTGTAACAGTGTATATCAATATAACTTTCTTCCATCTCCTGATGACGCTAGAACCTTGCTCTTGAAAGAAGCCCCAACATTGGACAGTCCTGGGCAGATCTGCACTTACACATCTGCAAAGACAGAAATCCACAGACTGGAGGGGCCAGACATATTCCTTACCCCCACCTCTACTGTTTCAAATCACCTCCATTATTCTAATGTAATGAATGCTCAGAGACACTGTTTTAGACTTGCCTCTTAACTGAATGTTTTAAATGTTTTTAAACAAACAGTTTGAGCAACATATAATTTCAAAAGTATGACTGAGATTGCCCTAGGAGCAAATATTGATGGGAGATGGGGAGAGCAGACCCATGGCTGCACCAGGTACCTCTGGAAAGTGAGGATGAGTCATTGCAGAGAAAAGATAAAAACTTTGTCTGCAAGCCAGGATTCTGCATGAATTTGACTTTAATCTGTGTGACCACTGGCCACATAGTAGGACTTGCCAAAAACTTGTTGGTAGCATGTTGAATGAAATGGGCATATTTATGGAATGGATAAATCTTAATCAAATAGTCACTTGGTTATAGAAATAGCCCAAAAATAAGACAAATGTAAACACGATGAAGAGCCACTAAAACAAATGTGGAAACAGCAAGATGTCCAACTAGAACTAGTCCTAATATGAACACTGCATGTCCAGTGAACACGGGAAGCGCCGCTCTGTTAGTGCTTTTGATACTGGGCACAGGTCCGGGTGTCTGTCCTCTGCACTCTGTCTCTCGGTCAGGAGTGTCCCCACTGCTCGTGTTGTGTGTTTGATTATCTGTGGTATCACAAGAGCAGTCTTCAGAGCCCTGTGGTGGTGTTGGTGGGTCAATGACATTCAAAGGGTAGAAGAGGTGGAAGGGGATGCTCAGCTGGCGATTTTTTAAGTGCTGAAAAGTCTGTGCCTAAGAGTTGACCTATAAACCAGCACTCTCACTAGCACATGCAGAATGGGTACCCCTTCTTTATTCCAAACAAGCAATTTAGTAATAACAAATAGCCTTGTTATTACTTTTCACTTTTAGAGTTGCCTTTGATGTTCATCTTAAGGGCATTTTTATCCCATGAAAATATTGTGCAGGGGGAGGTAGCGTGATTTGTTTCAGTCCTTTAACCCCACTGTCTGGCCTGGATCCTGGACTCCCAGGAATGGGCAAGGGCTCAAGTCAAAAAACATGTATGGGGCACTTCTTACAAGGACTATATTGAGGAATTATGGGAGACCCTAGGAGAAAACTGACATGGGCCCCACCAACGAGCTGAGGCTGTAGCTCAAAGACTATGTGCATTACTATAAAACTAGCTACAGTATGGTAGGTATAGCAAGAAAACTTCAAAAAAGTTTCAAAGGCCAAAAGTATACTGTTGCTGGGATCAATCATGGAGGCCTTTGTGGGGGAAGTAGTCTATAAATACTCTAATTGAAAGCAGATTAATCTAGTCAACGAAAATACATTCCAAAGACAGTGTGCCCCTGCTCCAGGCTTTCGGGATGTGTGGCACCTTTTCTCTTAAGTGCCAAGGGGCTCCTTGCATGTCTTAAATGACTCTATCCACCTGCCCACCTTCCCTCCAGCACCATCCTCTCTCCACCCCCATGCCTCCTTCCCTTAGTCACCCTCCCATGTATGAAAGGCAAGTCACAAATCTACTGTGCTTGGCCAGGCCTGTAATCTGAACATTTTGGGAGGCCAAGATGGACAGATCACCTGAGGTCAGGAGTTCAAGGTCAGCCTGGCCAACATGGCAAAACCCTGTCTCTACTAAAAAATACAAAAATTAGCCAGGCATTGTGGTGGGCGGGCCTGTAATCCCAGCTACTCAGGAGGCTGAGGCAAGGAGAACTGCTTGAACCTGGGAGGTGAAGGTGGCAGTGAGCCCAGATCACACCAAGGCAACAGAGCAAGACTCCATCTCAAAGAAAAAAAAAAAAAAAACCTACTGTTCTTTCACAGCCTAGATCTCAAGTTAATACCCAGCCATAATCATTTTTCTGACATGCCTTCATAACATGGGGCCTCTCTCGCACACTCAAACACCAACTTTTGAATTGCCTTGGGTTAAGGAATCTCTCAGGAAGACCAGCCTCTTTGAATTAACAGCACTCTCTTTGAGCAAACTATCTAGGTATGGTTTTCCTCATGAGACCCTGATCACCTCTCTTCCTTCTTCTCTGTTGTAACCACCAGAGAATTTGTCATGCAAAGGAATTCAAAACCTCAACATGCAAAGAGTCATAGGTCCCAGAGAGGCTAAAGAAAAAAAATGGTTTAAATCGTTGCGAATTTTCCAGAGCTACTGAGAAATTTGCCTAAGTAACCAGACCAGAATCTTGAAGATGCAGAGGATAAGGATTTGAAGTCACAGGCACCCAAAAGCAAGCTTCAGCAAAATTCATTTTCAGGAACTATTTTGACCCTGAGGAGTTTTAGATGAATTGGGATTGAATTTCCAAGGAGCCAATGGGCATGAAGCAGTTGTAAATTCAGCAACAGAAAAGGGCCTCCTCTGCTAGGAGGCTGACCAGATGGAGTCAGGTGATGCCCACATCTTGACGACTTGGGGTAGAGTCACTGGGGTAGAGTCACAGGGATTCTCTTTTATCTACTTGCATACTATCCAGGACTCAAGTGTCTGCAAGGACCATGTACCTCAGCAGGGCTCAATCCTTGTCAGTTTACCACAGGAATGACCAATGTAGTCAAAATACATGCCTTCAAATGTCACAATTATCTAGAGCACCTGTGCGTAACTCTAGCTTAACATTTGCATCATGTATTGATATACTTTTGCAAATGTCTGTCCCTTACTGGACTGTGCACAGTTAAATTGGCTTTTATGCCTCTACATGACCTAAGTCCAGCACTGTACTCAAAAAGGAACTTTGAATTGACCTGATAGATGCACCTGGCTTTTCCTGCACCTTGCAGAGCATCTGCTATGTTTCTACTCCATGTTACAAATAAGGGAAACCACACATATCCACAGGTGGACAGTGTTAGCTCTGGGTTCCAGTTCCACACCAGGTTAAACAAATTTCTACCAAAATAACAGGATAAAATCCAGTCTTGGGAAATGTTTATTAAAAAGTAAAAATGGTTGGTATATTTTAATCAAGGTAATTACTTAATTAGAACCTGTTTTACTAAGCTGACTTGTATGTGGACAGACCTCTCAATTAGGGTGGGCCTGCTGCTTCCTGGGATAACTTAAAGTAAATAATAACAAATATAATCATAGGATGTGAGGAGGGTTCCCTTGGTTCTGCTGGAGAAGCTGAGAGGCAGACTGTAACGCGCATTAGACCAAGACTGAGGCATGGGAACCCACTCTGGGAAATCAACAGCAAATCTACCCCGCTACCCCCAACAAGAAAAATTTAGAGCCTTTCCTCTAACCCTGCCCTCACTCATTCTACAAGTTTCTCCCAGTTGACAATGGCTCTGCCCTGAGGACATCTCTGGAAGGGGCGTGACTTTCCAAGGTCTTTATTGAAAGTGCCACCTGGAAGAAGTGATTACCTAACAATTTGCCAAAAGGGAGGGCTGCAGAAACCTCGGCATTTTTGAATTGCAACTGTTTTCTGTCATCGTAAAGAAAAAGTTAATCATTTTTTCCAGCAAACCACCGCCCCCTCTGTCTCCTGCACAGACTATTACGAAATTGCTGAAGACCACACACTTGGCTTTCGCTGTTTTCACAGTTTTTAAAGCCATCATCAAAAGGCAAAAGGAGCCCAGGATGAGGATTTCTTTCCAGCACAGCATCTGAAGTGGAATTCCATCGGTAGAATGCTATTTTCTTCTGGCTACTTTCCATAAGTTCCATCTTCTTATTAAGTGTTTATCATCTCGCATGAAGAAAAAGGAGACAAAAAAATCTCAAACCGTGTCCAGTTGGGAAAGAGCCATCCAGCCTTAGAGTCATGCTATCGAATATTCTGGAAATAAATTTTAAAGACCAAAAAATTCAGCTCATAATATAAAAGTTCAAATTTATGATAGCATTTATCTCCATGTTAATAAGGAATTTGCAAACAAAGATGATTATCCAGGTCTTTGAAGATGTACATCATGAATCAATCCAGCTACATATTAGTGATACAAGGCAGTTGGTTTCAGCAGAGTTGGCCCAACGTAAGATGTTTCTTTTTTATGTGAAATTATGTTGAGAGACTTTTGAAATGCACGCCATCTGAGTCACAGGCACTGGCTTCGAGGCAGGAATTTTACACAAACATTTTTTAGTGGCAGATCAATGATGTAAAGTTTGTTTTTGAAGGAGAATAAAATAAATGTCTCACTTCTAAAACCAACCTGACCCATGGGGCAGGAAAGAAAATGTCACTGGGCCCAAAATTTAGAAAAGTAATTAGAGCTGCCCATCAGTTCATAGCACATGGCCCTAGTTCTGGGTCGTGTCCCCTGTGCTGTGCTATGCTGCTGAACAGAGACCTTCCCTCTACCTACCTGCCCAACGCCACACCCTCTCTCCAAACAGGCATCCCAGTTCTCCCAGGTCTCCAGTGCTGCTTCCATCCTCCCTGTCATCCTACCACAGGACTGCTCTCCACCGTAGGCTCACCTTCTCTCTGGCCACCCACATGGCAGCATACAATTCAGGCCTCCGTCACAGACACACACTGGTGGATCAACGCAGATAAGATATTCTTGGAGTTTCTGTTTATCTTCCCAGTTATATTTTTAACAGCTCAGAAAAATTACACCTATTGTAGAGAACAGTATCCTTAGTACCTTGGGTTGCTTATGACAGAGTGTACCTTTGCTTAGCCCATGCCTACTACATGAATTTCCATCCTGCGTCTGACTTTCCTAACCTAAATCATGCTTCCAGATTTAATTTAAGCATTTTCTTTTTTATGAAGCCACCTGTTCTTCTCCTGCTCACTTGGTGTAATTCTTCACTTCTGTTTCTACTCCACCTAGTACCTGTTGCCACAACTCAATATGTATTTTCTACTTGGATATTTGTTTTTGTTTTGTTTTTTGAGACAGGGTCTCACTGTCCCCGAGGCTGGAGTGCAGTGGTGAGGTCATGGCTCACTGCAACTCCTGCCTCCCGGGCTCAAGCAATCTTCCCACCTCAGCCTCTCAAATAGCTGGGACTACAGGTGTGGTCCACCATGCCTAGCTGGTTCTTGTAGAGATGGGGTTTTGCCAGATTGCTCAGGCTGGTCTCAAACTCCTGGGCTCAAGCAATCTTCCTACCTCAGCCTCCCAGAGTGCTGGGATTGTAGGCATAAACCATGGCACCCCACCCACGTTTTTTATTACTTTTGAATTGTTTCATGGGTGTACTTTGGTCTCCCTTGTAGACAGCTCGGGCAATCTGAAGAGAGGCTTATTCATCTATGACATTCCCCATCAGGCTTGGCTGCAAAGCTTCATTCAATAAGTAGTAACGGATGGGTGGAAATACACCCATCAAACTTTGGGGGAGATTATAGCTGTAATAGTAATATATTCATACAAATAACCGCCAAAGCATTGTCTCAACTAATATTGAATTGTTCCATTTTGAGACATATTGCTCTCATCTTGAATCATTTGTTTTACATGGGGGAAACAGGATGAGTTGGCAAAAGGAAAAAGACTGAAAAAATGTCTGAGGCTAACATGCCCTGTTTGGTAAAAAGGAACTGTCTCTAAATATTGCAGTGTATTGGAATTGCCAGAGTAGTTTATTAATAAAAAGCCTTAAAAACTCATCCCAAAACCACTTAAAAGATATTTTCAAAGGTAGGATCAGGAACCGATCACTATTTTAACAAGCTCCCTCAAGGGTCTGGGCAGCCAGCTTGGTGCAAGCCACTGGGTGGGCATTTGAAAAGCCCTCCCATACACACTGGGTTCAAATCCTGACCCTGAAGCTTAGAAGCCATGTAACATAGGATAAGTTGTTTTAACTTTCTGATCCTCATTTACTCATCTGTGAAAGTGGGAGAATTAAATCCACTAGCAGTGGGAAGACCCTGCTCTGATGACCCCATATGGTGTTGCTCTATCTTCTGGGCCTGTAAACATAGGGCTGTTCCTCCGTGACAGCGAAGGCCAGTCATCTCCTGGGAAGAGAAGAAGCTGAAAGCAGAAGCTGACTCTTCCAGGGTGGTTTTAGGCTGGAAATTGATCTCAAACTCCCTCTTGGGCCTCAACTTCTCCCAATCTAGATGTGTTCTGGAGTACTTCTGGGTAGGGGGTAGGAGAGATGAGATGGCCTCTGCCATAAGGAGCTCAGAGCTCATCATAAGATTCCTTGCAGGGAACCCTATGAGGTGGGTTTTTGCTTGAGGGTTTGAGAAGAATCATACCTAATGGCAAGTTGTATATTACTCATTATACAAATTACTCTTTCTATTATCCTGAATATTTAGCAAAACCTTGTTAACTGTTAAAACCTGGTTTGAGCTGCATATTAGAAAATTGTCTATGCCTAGATTAACATAGTAAAGGGGAGGCCAGAATAATGGCTAATGTTAGTGGCCCCCTGTGGGGAAGGTAGGTCACAGGAGAAAATGATTGAAATTATGAGTTTTAGACTACACAGTGAGTCTTTTCTTATGCCAATAAAGTAAGTTGGCATCTTTTTATACAGCAACCTGTATTTGTTAAAAATGCCTACTGACTAACCTTAATAATACCTGAGCCCATTGGTACTGATTAAGAATATATGGTGAGCTGCTGTAACAAAGATACCCCAAAACATTACAGAGTGGTTTAAACAAGACAGTAAAAACCCAGATGTCAGCACTGCAAGGGAGAGAGTGCCCTGGTTGTCAGGAAACAGTAGGAAGAGTCTAGGTCCTTAATATCATCACTCTTGCCTGAGTCCAAGTCTTTACCCACCATCTGTCAATGGATTATTGCAGTAGGCCACACAGGAACACTCAGTCTACTTCAGTCGTATCTCTCTGCATATTCCCAGGCTTCTATTCTGGCCAAACATGGGCTCTACCTACCCCACTGAAGCCCACAGAAAGAGGAAGATGAGGAGGAGAAACCATGCTCCTTTTATTGGGAATTTGCCCATGTCACATCTACTCACACTCCATGGGCCAGAACAGTGGCCACAGCTCAGTATAAAAAAGGCTAGAAAACATCCTTTTTAACTGGGGTCTAGAACTTCTAGTACTAGAGCTGAAAAGGAGGCCAGATACTGGAAGTCAATTAACTGTTTTTGCTACACCACCACATAGAAACTGATGCATAAAATATCTTCCATTCTCCTTTCCAGGGCCTCTGTGCTGTCTACTGTGGAACCAGGTATACAATGGGTGTCCCATTCAGAAGTGGCTGAGTTCTTAGGGTGAGTTTAAGAGTGAGCCTTTAAGGTCCTACCTCAATCACTGATTTCTTCTTTAAATGTAAAGTAACTTGATTAACTAGGGACATGCCTCCTTTCAAGTGTTTATATGTTTATCACCAGAAGTGCTATATATCAGATTAGGCTAGGAAGTAAGAACATGGATCATATTCATTCCCTGCCCTTGGGGAGTTTGCTTTAGTGAAAGGGACAGCCCCAGGAAGAAGACAGCAAGGGCTAAACTCACAGCATGAATGGAGTGAGGTGAGAGGGAAGAAAGAGCAGGCTTCATGAAGAAGGAGAGAGGAGCTTTCCTATTAGTGGAAGAAAGGGTGGGCCTGGGTCAGGAGGCCAAGAGTGGAGGAACAGTGAGATGAGGTGTGCCTGAGGTAGAGGCTGGGGGAGGAGTGGCAAGAGAAGGGAGTGAGATCCCAGCCACTAGGTATGGGCCCAAGGAGGCCTTCTATGCCCACTCAGGAGCTGAAACATTTTCTTCTGGGCAGTACAGGCTCAGCGTGGGGCATCAGCAAAGCAAAGTCCACGTTTCAGAAGGATCACTATGGCAACAGTGTGAGGCTGGTGGATTCGGGGAGAAGCTACAGTGAGATTAGGTTGGAGGTTCTTGCAGTTGTTGCAATAATCCAGTGAAGAGATGATGGATAAAGCCTTGAACCAAGGTGGAGGTGCTAATCACACAGAAGGAGGAGGCTGGAGACCCCACATATACAGGACCGGTGGGATGTGTGAGGAGCAAAAGCGGGAGGTGCACAGGACGGAGGGGAGTTCACCAGCTCGAGGCACTGAGCAGGGAGGGAGGCTGTCAGCGGAAGAGGAGAGGTGGATCCTGCTACCTTCTTCCATTAGCGGCAGCAGGGGGTCCCACCCTGCTCCAAGTTCACAGGATTCACAGGAAGTGAAAGATGCCTCTAGTCTTTGTAACCAGTTTCAGAAAATTATTCCTCAACCTTTTTTAGCCTCACATAAAAACCCTTCCTTTGAGACACTTTGTCCAGCTGTTTCCCCTTCTCGGCCTTCTTCCTGCTGCCCCATCTCCATCCCCGCAGTTGTTCCATTGAAGATATTCCACTTGGGTCATGACCTCCCTCTCCGAATCCACTTGGACAATCCAGACAGCATTCCAGATTCTTGCACTTTTTTATACCTTTGCAATTTCACTGACCGCCTCGGCTTCACTCAAGGGGAAAGGACTTTCTGTCTATAGCCTCACATCGGCCCACTCACATAGGGAGCCAATCAGCTGCACAGTTGTGAGAGATCGTAACATTAAAACGGTTTCTAAGTTAAAACAACTATTTCCAGCACTGAGGAAGGGCGAAATCCTCCTATCAACCCCATAAAAAAGACATGAATTGAGAAATGAACCAGATTCTTAGTATTTGTGCAACAAACACCAAAAAGTTTCATCAGTCTTTCTCCTAAGCTGCTCTGAGCATGTGCCAAGGGCTCCACTCCAAAGCAGAATTCCATACAATCAACTTGGCAGGAGACAAAGTAATGCAGCTCTCCTACCACCACCACTCCCCGCCAAAAAAAGAGTTCTTTGGTCAAATATTTGGAAAATAGTGGGCTCCACTTTTTATAAATATCCCATAATGCAATTTGGGAAAAAGTGGTTTAGAAGATCTAGCCTAGTGTAAATATCCTCAGGAGAATGAAAGGATATTCTATGCCCTCCTCCAGGCTCATCATTTGTCTCAACCAAACTCTAGATATGTATGTCTTGATCAGGACATTTGGGTTTTGTTCACTGATACGCTTCTGGATCACATGGATCTCATGTTGTTGGTCATAACAGGATGAAACTGCTCTCAACTGAAAGCAACATCTTAAGGTGGCAGCTGTGACTGCCGCCTTTCTGTCCATTGAGGAGCCTGGCAAAGACACCCATCTGAGCTGTATGCCAGCCTCTTCTGCTGTGGAGCTGAATCTCTAGTAGAGAGTTCAGGAAGTGGGACCACAATTCTTCTCCATGTGCAGTTAGAGCACATTTCAGCGCCTGGTAAAAGGAGCACTCAACCTCCCCTGCCCACCCACCTACCCAGGCTCTCCTCCACAGAAGGTGGCTGCAATAGTTTTAGTCTGAAAAACTAAATAAGGTGTTCTCCTTAGCTTACAAAGAAAATCTCAGTCAAGTGACAACAGCATATTTAATGCTGCTCTCTACTACAAAAGAAACTGATCATAAATAAAATGATAATGAATAAACTGATTGCCTATGAAACTGACTTAATTTGCTATATGGAGTCACTGACCCTAACTCAGTGGAATGTTGAGGGCTTCTGACAAAAATAATGACTTTACTTGTTTAATGGTTGATTTGTAGCCCTTTTTGAGAGTTAGTAATTAATTAGTTAACAGTATTGTTCATTATGGTTATTAACATTTAATCACAATGCACTTCAGCTACTCTCTAGAGCCTTTCAAAGCCATTTCCTGACGTTCACATGGACACAAACAAGTTGATCTGGCTGGAAGGGAGAAGCACACAGACACAGAGCAAAGGCAGTATTCCGACTGCAGCAGTAAATGAATAAAACTAGTAAAGGTTTCACTAAACACAGCTAAGGACACCGCCAATCTATAACAGGTGAAACGCACTCGCACACACACCCCCAGAAGTCTCCAGTGGTAAGTCAGACACCTAGTTGCTCTGTTTGGGGCTGGGATTGTATCTACTCAAGACAATAATTCACTGTTTCCTCTTTCTCTCCTTCCTTGCTATACTTCTTTGTCCTTCTTTTCTTTCTGTCCTTCCTTCTTTTCTTCCTTTTCTTTTTTGCCTTCCTTCCCTTCCTTTCCTTCTTTTTTTCCTTCCTCTGTCCTTCCCCGCCTCCCTCCATGATGCTCAGAGAGCATCTATATAATGTATTAGCTGCTGTGCTCAGCACTAAGGAGAAAAATAAGACATTATTTCTGCCCTCAAGGAGCCAGCAGTCTAATAGTGAGCCGAAATGCTCAATAACTGATACTAGCTGTTTATGCCTTTGATGTTAAAAAGGGAAAACTAAACAAGCAAATTAACTGTTACTTAATACACTCCATTTGGGAGGCAAAAATCCTTCTGATCTAGAATAAATAGAGCAAAAACTAACAAAAGTGAACTTTATTGGTGAAAATGCTGGAAACTCGTGATTCTTATGAAATCAAATACATACACACTAAGCATCCATTCAGTTGTTTTTTATTTAAATTTCTGTACAAGTCAAAATAGCCTATTAATGAGAAAAATAGAATTCAAGTTATTTGTGCTGTTAAAAATGTGTGCAGATAATACACATTTTTCTAAATAGGCTCTATTATTAGTGAGATATACTTTAACTTATAAATAATAAAATGTGCCCTTAAATATTCAAAAAACAAGAAAATGTTTACTATTTGGTGAGCATCCAAAATTGTTTCTCCATAAGCTTTAGTTTCACCAATCTTTCCAGGAGAGATTGTAGGAAATCTCTCTGATCAGCTGGAGAGGAGACCCCCCAGGTAGGCTGCTCAGAGCCTCTGTGCTCGTCATTCAGAGGCAGGATCGGAAAGTGCCTTCTCCCGGTCATCTTCTGTGAGCTGAGCTCACCCAGGGAAAATGCATCCAAGTGAATCATAGAAAAGAAGGTGAACACCTGTGTTTGGTGGCATTTAGGGTCTCCATTAGGGGAGAAACCACATCTAGGTTCATGACAGAGTTCAGCACATCACTGCAGCTCAGAAGCTGTTATAAATGCTTTTAAATCATCCTCACTTCATTTGCAATGGAAGAGGCACATCTCTCTAACAAGCGAGCCACTTAGTGAAACCACATGGGACAGAGAGCAAGAAGAACATCCTGTTTGACCAAAATTGCAGGAATAATTTAAAAAGTCACAAAGTCATTACCCTACTTGGATTCTGATCAGGAAACCAGGATTAACACCCTGAAGCCTTTAGGTAAAGTGCCAAGAGCTCTTTAATGACCTAATGGCTTAGGGTGTTAGGGAACTGATTAACAGAGGAGCTAAGCAACCTTAGAACATCCTTTGGGATAAAAGCTACACATAAATTACTGTCACTACTTGCGAATAACTGTGTGAATAATTTTGATAGTTAATTTCTTAACTGTTTATATAGAGTCCACTTTGAAGAAAATATGAACACATCATCATAAATTTAATAGTTAAGTAAAATTTAAACTCAAAAGAAAATAAATGTAGGAAAACACATTTCCTTCAGTTCAGTTTAGCTCTTAGTTGAATTTCACCTGACAGTTAAAAAAAAATAAAAGTAGCCGGGCGTGGTGGCTCACGCCTGTAATTCCAGCACTTTGGGAGGCTGAGGTGGGTGGATCACGAGGCCAGGAGATCGAGACCATCCTGACTAACACGGTGAAACCCCATCTCTACTAAAAATACAAAAAATTAGCCAGGCGTCGTGGCGGGCGCCTGTAGTCCCAGCTACTCGGGAGGCTGAGGCAGGAGAATGGCATGAACCCGGGAGGCAGAGCTTGCAGTGAGCCGAGATCACACCACTGCACCCCAGCCTGGGTGACAGAGCGAGACTTGGTCTCAAAAATAAGAAAAAATAAAAATAAAAGTACCAATGACAAATAGCACCCTGGGAAATGTTAATTGGCACTCAGTGTGTAGACTAGAAAGAGGTATGGATACATATTCAAGAACTGTATGAGGCTGTGTGGCTTTCCATGCACTAATACTCTGAACATCTCTAAAGCTGAATTTACTTGGGATTTCTTTAAAGTTGGGCAAGAAACCACATGAGAACAGACATGCTATGACAACCTGAATTATTGATCCCTCTATTCATTTCCCTCCCATAAGATGTCACACATCCTGCCTGCTGGCGTGTAGCTGGCAGTGCCTCCCTGTCGGCAAAATACAACTCCCCATGCCATTGTACAGCCTGGCCGTGTGGCTTTATCAGACTGAGGGAGTGGGAGTAAAGGGAGATTGTGTGCCGAGGTACTGCATGTTTCTCCCAGATTTCTTACATTTGTCTTTTTCTACCAGCATGGCTTTTCCCCAGTAAATATTGTGTCTTTAGCCTAGGCAAGGATGAGAAGATGCTTAGTGCAGAGCCAACAGACCCAAGCGGAACTGTGGCTCCTACCATCAACTGCAGTCACCAACATGAAATGGCAAGCAATGAACACTCTTGGAAACCACAGAGACTTGGGGGTTGTTTGTTACCATGGAGAAGCTGCCCAGTACATTTTGTTCCCTGATATGAGATCAATGAAAATAATTTCATAGAAAAGCATTGTTCAATTAAAAATTGATGACAAAGACCTGGTGAGAAGATGCATGCTGCTTCCTCTACATACATGTCTCCATATTATCTGATGTATTCATTGCTGTACAATAAAACGGTTTCCCCAGTAGCTTGTGGTCATAGCACACAGAAGAGTGATAAAAATCAAGTTTCTATTCTGTGCTTTCACATTTCTCCTATAGTTGTTTTCCAACCTCCTCCCAGGACAATCTTCCTCCAAATAATCCAGGCCCTTCAAAGTGTCCTGGAACCCTTGTTACACAATCCTATATAGACTACAATCAACATCCTCACTTCCTGTGTTCTACATCCTGCACCCATGCGACAAGGCACAGGAAATGCAGGATTCTAAGACAGTCCTCAACTACCATGGCAATACTACAAAACAAAGGCAGAGTTAAGAGGGAGTTACTTTTATTGGAGTGACAAAGATCTCTGGCTCCCCTACAATCAGACTCAAGACCACAGAGATTATTGGCCTGTCTTAAACATAAATAAGCCTGTCTGAAAGATTCAAGATGCTGGGGCAATTCCATAGATATGAGAACGATAAAATGAACCCAAAAGTCAGAGGCACCCAATAGCCAGGTGGAAAGCTCCTCTGGTCCTTTGAAGAAGGTGGTAGGGGAAGAACAGGAATGAGGACATTCTTCCCTTCCTCTATTCATATAAACATTAGCAATGGTTTTCCGAACAAAGAAGAGCAGCTGCTTTCCAGCCAGTGGATCAAAGTGTGAGCAGGTGACGATGCCTGCTCTCTAAGAGAAGCCTATCAGGCACCAAAGTGCAAAGGTGACAATTAGAATGGACAAGGTGAGTAGGTGTTGAAATATCCACACAATATTTCCAAAAGTTCAGAGATTACTGTAGATTATGTCCTGGAGCTGGGAAAATGTTTGAGTTGGGAGGGTTTTCATTTTTGCCTGAAGTGATTCTCCAAGTTTAAATGTATACCTTTATAACTATGACATTTCTGTAAAACAAAAGATCTCATTGTTCCTCCTTTCATTGGTGAACTCTTATTCAATTCACATAACACACTAGAGTTCTTTCATTTTTCTTTGGTTTCCAGCACAAAACTCTGTGACATCTTCCTAACTGACAGCCAAATGTTTATAAGCCTACCTATCCAAGACAGGTACTTTTTATTTGAAATGCCATTGATAGATTTAATTATGTTCAACTTTCTCAAAAAAACAATCCCACTGGCGCAGTGAAATATATTGAGTTTGATGTGTTTGGCTGCAAAAACTTTCATTTGGCCAAGGCTACATAGTCTGAAGGCTCCAAGTGTAAATTATAATGTTATTTGAGATGAAGTATAGAGTCATTTGTGGTGCTCGGGCACGACACATGACGTAATCTTACACTCTATCTGCAGGTGTGATATTGGATTCTGCTAGGACAGGCACCTGGTATCAATGTTCAGTCTGGCATTGTTTCAACACAGTCTACCGTGGATGAAGATGACTAAAATAAAATAGCACCCAGCTACAGCAGGGTCGTTTTTTTTTCTTTTTTTTTTTTAAAAGGAGGACTGATAAGCAACAATTACCAATGAGTTAAATGGTATCTGATTACTCTCTTTCCCGGAGCAGCACAAAATTCTTGCTCTTTACAGTAATAGTCTCAGGGCTATAAGAAGACAGAAGTAAAATAATGTATTATGAATAACCAATATAATAATGCATATGCATGGATTATTAATATGTAAACATATTATAACTAATAATAAATACACATGAAAAGAATGCAGATATTGATGGCTTCTTTTTCAAACACAGTTGATGGACGTATACTGAGCCATGCATTTTCTCCTTATGACATTCATCACACTAGTAGTTACTTATGGAATGCCTGTCTCTACCTCTAGTCTCTAAGCCAAGCGAGGGGAGGGACCTAACAGACTGCCTGGCACCTAAGAGTGGCTCAATACATCTGCTCAGTGAATGACTGTGTTCTCATGTTCTTTCTCATGGCCTGATCTTTGCAGAGGCATTCACTTACAAATTAGGCAGCTGCCTGGTTGGGGGTTTAAAGGTATGGCCTCTAATCATGGAGTAGAGAAAACCAGCTACCCTATTTGAAAACAGTACCTATGATCTTAACATCATTGAGATGTCTGTGAGATGCTCTAGCATCCTCAAAATGCACTGCCATGGCCAGATGTATCAGCAGCTGAAAAGATAATCTTTTGGGTATTTTGGGAGGAGATAGGGAAATATGATTTTCCAAAGTGATCTCTAGTAACCTAAGCACCTTGAAATTTTTAGATATTACAAACATTTATAGAATTTATCTTTTTAAAGTTAATGGGAATTCAAATTAAAGGGTTTGATGGACCTTAATCCAGGCATAGGATGGATGGATCAGCATGATACATTTGATGGGCAGTTATGTGAGAGATCAGTTAAGGTGTGAGAACTGAAAGAACATGGTAGAATCTCAAGCCGAATTTTGAACCATTCTAGGAAAATGAAAACTATTCATTTATTGATTTTATCCCCTCCCTAAGGGGAAGAATATGATTTCATTAGTTTAAAATTCAAAGAAAGATCCCAAAATGATTCTGTAGTCATAATCTCATTTGATCCCCATAACACCCCCCAAAAGGCAGGCAGGGGTCTCGAGTCACCTTCCCTCTGCCTGGGTGGGTAATTGGCTTGGCCTTGGTGTCCCGTTTCTCCCTCCACATCAGGCTGTCTCTCCTAAATGTTCAGACTCACTCAACTTGCCGCCTTGTCCTACTCAACCAGAGCGTTCACATTTAGAAGCGACGTGGCTGGCAATTGGAGCCTTTGCACTCCCACGTGGCTCTTCTTGTTTCCCTCGTGTGCTGGATGGCTCAATCTTGCAAAACGTGAACTCCAAGGAAGTTAATTCTTTCCACAGGCCCCACCACATTTGACAATCGAAGCTGGCATCTCACCCTCTCTCCTGTTTATGTGCCAGTGGCAAACAGAGGTCTTCCGTTAGAACAGACTATTTTGGTGCATAGCAGTCTACTAGGGCCAGTTCTCAATCAGGCAACCCGACAAGCAGAGAGCGGCCTAACACCACTGCAGTCAATCAGGGCTTCCTTGGCAGGATTTTTCTGAAGTGCTGGTGCATATCACATAACATCTCAAAGCATTTTTTTTAAAGAAGTCAGGGAAATGTTCCTGCCTGTGTTTGAATTCGCACCCTGTTGTTTAGCAAATCCAAACCTAAAAAAGGTTTCAACAACTTTTGAGAAATAATCTCGAAGTCTTTTTACACATGTACATTGAGGGGTTTTTCTCCTCTTTTTAATTTGCCTGGAGGAATAAAAATGGTATCACCCATTGAAAAAAAATACTTATTCATCCATGCATTCATTCATCACAGTCAAAACTATGTAATTCAATAGTATACTTCCATATAATGCAAAACTATTGAAAGTTAGAGGGAAGACAAGACAGAAAGGGAGAGAGGAATTTCCATTCTCTCTTCTAAAGTTCTTAAAGAGATACATGAAAGTCCCAAGATGAAGATATGCTTTTGTGGACGTCCATAGGGCCAAGCTAGGACTGTTGATTCTAAAACCATTAGAAGAGAGAGAAAGGGTAAGGAAGTTTGTGAAGAAATGGCAAGAGGCCACTTAACAGGTTTAGTCAACCCTCCTGATGAGGCCAGCCATTTCCCGAAAGGTTCAAGAGACACGGTCAAAGTAAGAGGCAGGTGAGAGCCACAAACGAAGACCAGAAAGGTTTTAGAAAATATAAATTTTCAAAAAATGCAAAATGACACACACAAGACTGGAATATCGAGTACGGTTGTGCTTGGCATCTGCAGGGCACTGGTTTCAGGAGCTCTGAGGCCAAGCTTGCTAAGTTTTCTGTCCCTGGAAGCAATTGAGCCAACTCAATGCTACCTTTCATGATGGATCAGGAGATTCTGAAAGTGAGTACAAGGTTGGATCTGATGACTTTTGTGGACCTTGCCAACTCTACAGAATGTGTGACTCTAAACTACAGGATAAATGAATCTCGACTACTACTTTCTTCCAAATCCATGAGAACAGAGTGTTTCAGAACAGAATAAATGTCACTGGGAGTAATTCTTCCTGATGCTGGATTCAAAGGTCTTCCTGTCCTTCCATACCACCACCACAAATTCATCCTGCCATAGACTCACAGAATCTTAGAGTCAGAGAAACCATTTTAAATTATTCATCCACATTTCCACCCAAAGGGAAAATCTCCCTGGCATCAGTGTGAGCCAAATGTCAATCAGCTTCTGCTGGGAATCATTTAGACCAGGAACACAGGCCTCATGAGGCAGCCACATTCTTTCTAGAATGTTCCCATTCATTAGAAAAGCCATCCATACATGCAACTAAATGTATCTTCCTGTGCAACTCACCTACTGCTCCCAGATTTTGCTTGCTTTTATTTTAGTAGCTTTCCAACTCCAATTCTTGTTTAATTTGAAGTCCAGCTGGGCCTCAGGGCAATACTTTGCTACCATGCTCTTATTAGTTCACTCTCTGAAGGTGAGAGCTCTGAGGAGGAGGAGATTTGGCCATGCATGATGTATGTTATCATTACTATTAAGGACAAGAATAACTGCCATTTATCAGGTGCCTTGTCATGTATATGCATATTGCCAGTCCTCTCAACAATCTTTATAGTATGTATTATATCCATTTATAGTTGAAAAAAAAAAACAACACTCAGCACAGGTTAATGACTCACTTAAGGGCAAAAAGATAATAAGGAGTAAGCCAGGATCTGGAGCCCCACAGCATGCGTGCTTTCCATTAACCCTCCAGGTTGTTTGTTTTACCTGTCCAAGTGAACTGTATTTTTAGCCTATTTGGTTTGTCATCACCTTTTTTTTCCAATTTGTGGCAACGGCATTATCTTATAGCCTAGACTGCCTGAGAATCAATGACTTCTGACCAGTAAATACTCAGCAAAGGTAAATATAATGAATGAAACTATCAATTCCCAAACTATGTAAAGGGTACTTATTCTGGGTTGAGTCAAAGAATGAAATGAGTCAAACAAATGAAAGCACAAACTTCACAAGAGAATGCATATGTATTTACTTTGGAGAGTTGCAGCTTAGGAGACAGAGCATTACACTCTATAGACATTTAAGCATTGCAAATCTCACTAATATGTATGGTTCAGAAAAATTAAGAGAGATACCTGTGAACAACATCACCCCCCAAATACGTTCAGTAGTGCTTAAAATGTTTTATTAAAACTCAAAAAAAAGACGTGCAAAAAAAGTTGAATCAAATGACTGATGATGTTCAAAGTGTTGAAAGAAACATTTTTTCCTGAACTGTTATACAGTGCCACCCACGTGGGAAACTCAACAGACATATTAATTATACCTAGCATGTAATCCAAAAGATCCAGAGAATGTGCTTTATTTATTTTTTCTTTAGGGAATGGGAGGAGAGTAAAATAAGATGATAGCTGCAGATGATGTGGATATATGGGTGTGCTGTTTTCATCTGAAAAATCTTAAGTCACACTGATTCCTCCCAAAATTGTTATCTCCCTCTGTAAATAAACCCAAACCTAATTACTACACTGAGCTCTGATACAGATTCTATTGCTCAACCTGGGAAAGACTTCCAAAATGACCTACGTCTCTGAGGGTTTGGTTTTTGAGGTTCCCCCCCTCCACACACACACACACAAATTCACTCTTACACACTGATAATCACTTTTGTTTATCACTTTTTCCACCTCCTGCAAGGAGATGTGCGTCATTTCTGGACTTTTTCCAACCCCTGTTTATAAAAGCTTGAGCAATCTCAAAACACCTGGTTTGCTGAAAGAACTAAAGAGGGGCCAAAATGTGACTAAAGTGTAGACCACCTAAAAAAATCTGAAAACAGCGGAACCCTGAGCCAGATATCAGAGGCTGGTATTTCATTAGCACTGGCTTTATTTTGGTACATGCTTGTAAAATGAACTAAAAAGCTTTGAGGTATAATACCAAATCCCTTGAGGTGATGAACTTAGACTGAGCTATCCTGAGCCTTGATGTTGTGGTCTGTTGGTTTGTTTGCTTAGGTAGCGAATGCAGCAGCTGACTGCAATGCTCATTTGCAATCTGCAGACGCAGGTCCCTCCAGGAGGGAACTCAGCTCTAAAGAGGCCCCCATCTCTCTCTCTCACTCACTCTTACTCCTTTGGGCACACCCAACTTTCCATGCTTCCTAGATAAACCCACTCTTTCCCACCTCACTTCCCTGGTGCAAGCCATTCCCTCTGCCTGAAATACTCACCACCCCCTAACTCCTGATCTTAGCCCTGACTATAACTCTTACTTCAGAAATCAGAGTCAATAATTCTTCCTTAGTAATCCCTTCTCTGGCTCCCCCAACAAAATGTCCCTATATCCAACCTACAGGGCCATGTTCCTGTCCTGCTTGGGACTCAGCACACCTGTTTCTGTGTTTAATGGTGGCTTCTCTGTCCCAAGCTTCATGACAGCAGAGACCATGCCCAGCTGGCTCGCTGCTATGTCCCCCAAACTTAGTCGAGTGGGCAGCACAGACCATGCTCAATGAGTATTGGCTGACTGATTACCAAGCTCACTTATCTTTCAATCTCTTTATTTCAGGGTACGGACTAAGTCTCAGTCATCCTCACTGTTCCTGAACATCACACAATTTCCAACAAGTAGTATTTCATATGCATTTCTTGAAATAAATGAATAAAAGGGGTACATACTTCCAATTTATAACATGATATAAAAATAGATAATTATGTAAGGAGCTATGCACCTTTGTCCCTTAAAAAACAGTTGTGTTTTCAAACAAAATGCCCCAATAATAAATAACTCCATCCAGCAGTAAACTCACACTGTGCCCCATCCTCTGCTTTTTTCTTGAGGATTATCTGCCAAAAACAAAACAGTCAGCTCTAGCATGACAAGTTCTATCAGCCAAAGTTATCTGGGATTCTTTTAAGCCTGTGTGGTTTGTTTCGTTTTATTTTAACTAAACCCAAACTTAAAAAAAAAAAATCAAATTTGAATCTGGGAAGCTTTAAAAGATAAGGGCATTGTTGGATATTTTTATTCCCAAAACAAAATTTATTATAGGATTGTGTTCTGCTGATATATCCAGAGGCATTCAAACTAATATAGAATGTTGAAGAAAATAAATCTGGATGTAAAGATGAGAAATAGTCTAGATAGAATATTGTCTTTCAGCATCTAAATGTGAGCTTATGCCTGAGGAGTCTCCCTCTATAGGGAGAATAATCCAATCCAGTGAGGATGGGCAGCGGGGAGTGGGGAGGAGGGAAACGTCTCCTGGCCATATTGGGGTTTTTAAATGAATGAAATGCTGACAACTTGATCATAACCAGGTTGCTTTCTCACCATTACCACAATGAGTAAAATTTACTTAGTCAATACTCACAAGTGAGAGTTTTAAAAAATGTATTCAGTTTAAGCTGTTTGTTAAAACATATGACCTATATTGAAATGCTCAGATGTTAATGATAATAAAAATCAGAAATATTCTGGAAAGGATAAAGAACATTTTCCCAATCTGCTTGCAATTGTTTCTATCCTTTTTTTTTTTTTTCATTTAATCACCCTGTAAATCAGAAAATTAATGGCAACCTTATTTCACCTTGGATAAATGTACACACTTTCCCTAGTTAAGAAGCCCACCAGGTTTTAACTTGTTGAATACACACTGTAGCTGGTCTGCAAGGAAGACAAGCAAGCCAATAGTTTCTGTCTACATGTGGAAATTTTACAATATCTGGAGAAACCAGTGACACAACTAAGAATGCTAATATTTTTCTGTATTCAGTAAAAGCTCTGGAAGTCATGATGTAAAATCCTTCCCTATGCTTAAACTACGTACCTGCCCAGAGTTCATCAGCTATAAGAAAATAAGGCCATTCAAACATTTTACCAATTCATTACATGCTATCACTGCCACCTCACGAGCCAATAAAAATGCAGAATTCTCAATGTTTGTGGGGATGGCAATGCATCCCTGCTATGTGAGGAATCTCAGCCTGGTCTGGGATCTGCCAGGTAAAACTTTCCTGTTGGGCTGTGTTGAATTTTCTTCAAGAAACAAAACAAAAAAGTAGAGAAAAAATACAAAAATAAGAAGAAAAAAGAGAAAATACTAGTGCACAATAACGTGCATGGAAAGGCAGACTGACATGATTGTGCACCTTTGCCCAGGTCATCCCACCTCTGTGGGACTCAGTTTCTTCACCTGCAGAATCCTGCAAAGGCAATTCTTCATAATTCATTACCAAGATCACATAATTCTAAACTGTTGAGACACAGCCTCATTCCCATAAGATGAGCTCCTAAAGCCACCACCCTCAGATGGGTTTCTCTTTCAATTTGACCCATTGGTGGACTCAGTGGGATGAGTGGTACTTTAAGACTCACTTCTGACATTTTAGTGACAGTTATTTTCCAACTAATTTTACACCACTGCCTTCCTGTACATTCTTGAACTTCATTTTGGTGTCTCTTTGATGACCACATTTAAACTATAGTAAGGATAGGAATGAGAGAAAATGAATACAAAAAATTCCTTCTTTTTTCTCAATTACAGTATCTTTTTAATCATCCCAGGATATTGGCTAATATGGTGCTCAAATGGTATCCACTTAGTAAAACCAACTCTAGAAGAAAAAGTCAAAATATAATGAGGAATGGAAAGTAAACGGGCCATCCCATCTTCCCTACCTCATTTTCACAAATCTCAATCTCAGAAGGATAGAAAGTTTCCACACTCACCTCTACTAGAGGACATGCCAGCCCCCCATGGGAGGGGCAAGACCAGTCTTTGGACTTTGCTGTAAAATTAAGGTGGAAATTTCTGAAACTTCTATTATCCACTCAATATATACTATTGAAAGCTTATTATGTGTCACTATCTTGTACCTCTTAAAATTACTGAAATAAGGAAAGTGCATTTCATAAGACGTGTGCTTCTCTATAAACCAAATTGAAGACAGAGCAACGTGACCTCACATCTATCACTTTCTAGTTGTGTAAACTTTAATACTGAGGCTTAGTTTTCTTATTAGTAAAATGGCCACTAAATACCTGTTTCGCAGGATTGCTAGAAAATCAAAGTGACGTAAATGCTTCAGCAGTTCCCCTACCCACCTTTATCTGAGGTTTCACTTCCTGAGGTCTCAGTTACCCAGAGTCACCCGTGGTCTGAAAATATTAAATGGAAAATTCTGTAAATAAACAAGTCATATGTTTTAACTTGTGCCCCATTCTGAGTAGCAGGATGAAATCTTGCCCTGTCCCACTGCTCTCCATCCAGGGCGTGAATAATCCCTTTGTCCCAGGGATCCACACTGCATGCACCACCCACCCACCCATCAGTCACTTGTGCCCAGTTGGTCATCAGATCTACTTTCGCAGTATCACAAGGCTGAGGTTTAAGCTTTATTTGACTTACTCATGATTCCAAAGTGCAAGAGTAGTGATGATGGCATATTGTTATGATTTTCTATTATTAGTTATTATTAATCTCTTACTGAGTTTAATTTATAAAATAAATTTTATAGATATGTATGTGTAGGAAAAAACATAGTGTATATATGGTTTATTACTATCTGAGGTTTTAAGCATCACTGGGGGGTCTTAAGACTGTATCCCCACAGATAAGTGGGGAATACTGATACGATTCCTGGTATAGTATGCATATTAAGTATGCATACTTTAGTATAGTATAGTGTGCATACAGATGCATATTAAGTGTTAAACAATATCAAGAAGTACTATCATCATTGCCATAAGCAATGCTGTTATCCAGAATGGTTGTTTTTATAATGAAAGATCAACAGAAGGGCAGCTAGGTTGCATCTGGTTCCAGACAAAGAATGGAGCTGTGACCCTGCATGAAGTCAGGATATTGTCGGCCAATAGAAACACTCTGAGGACTTCTGTAAGTTTCTATGAAGAAGACAGTTGCTCACTCTTCGATCAAGTAGACTTAGTATTTTCCAAAGAAAAAGATGAAAAACTATGGGAAAACCCACTGGAAACCTTCATGCTGAGAGTGAGATAAGCAGAATGCAGACCTGTCCTCTCTAGCCACTGTCCCTGGGGCTGCCCTTGCTGCACGCCGGTGGGCTTGACAGAACAGCGCAGACAAGACCAACAGCTGCTCAGCAGCAATATCTGATTCAAAGCTTTCTGAAGCGGTGAGGACTGTGGACTCCTGGGGTCAAGAGGCAGCAACATGTCAGTGTGAGCCAGTGGAAGGAGGCCTGGGGGTCTGGGATGGTGTTGTGTGGGCCCTAGAGCTTCTGCCAAGCCCAAGTCCCCTACGATAACTAAGCCATGGAAGGAAGTAGAACCAAAGGGGATGTGATGGTGCAGGAAGTCCCAGGAGGGTGCAGAAGAGACGACATTTCTTTAAAAATGCCCCCACATAAATGGGAGATTTCACCGCTTTAACTCTAAAATAACGTTCAAAAGAGCCAATTTCTGTAAGCAATCATGAAACAGAAGCTGAGAAAGTTTCAACGCTCAGAGAATAAAGAAAGGAGTAGTCACTGCTGCAATCTCCAGCTTGAATTTTTTTTTCCTTTGCAAATGCAGGTTTTAACAAATGGAAATATTACATCTGTATACTGTGAACATCTTTCCTTGTCAGTATGTTTTCTGTTATGGCCCCTTTTTTCTTCACAAACGTATTTTTTAATAAAAATGGGAATATTGTATAAGCTTATTGTGACCATTTTTCCTTGCCAATATTCATCTTCAACCTGATTTTACGGACCTAGCTGAAGTCTGAACAAACCACTGTATCTCTGACTTTCTACTTTTGACGGAAGTTCTTTCACTAAGGTGTCCTGTGCTGGGACCAAGGTAATTTTTCTCACCAAAATTACTGACCATGTTAATCTCATGATAGCACTCCTTCAGCTAAGCCCTTAACTTCTGCTTAAATCTTCCTAGCGCTCCCCAGCCCCTCCAGGGCCCCTACATGGCTTTTCCCTCCACAGCATGTTCCAGGTGAGTCCCACGGGTAGCAATCCACCTTGCTACAGAGAGCTTCCTGCACCTGTGACATCCGCCTACTCTGTTACATGAAACTTCTCTCTCTGTGGACTTCTGGAGTCCCACAGCCCTTGAATCCCTTCTTAACTAAAAGACATGTGATCCCTGCCTGTACCCTTCCCCAATGTTTTCTTGGAGCTCTATGCCACTTATTTAACTCTACGTATAATGAATGTGCCCCACTTTTCTTGTAACCCCTGTACACAGTTTTCTAGTCTATGTATTTTGCTGAATGTTTTTATTTGCTGACTGCTCTTAGTTTAGACTGTCAATTATTCTACCCTGTAAGTTTCTTCAAAGTTCAGAAACATTGTATTAGTACACTCACAATAGAGGACCTGGCCCCAGGAAATGCCAATGAGAAAATAAAAAGAAGGAACTGATTAATCAAAAGTTTGTTTTTATCCCCAAGGAGGCATCTCTTTGTTCCAAAGTAGAGTGACTTATCAAATAAATCACATTTTGCAATGATTAGTCTACAGTACCCCTAAAACTCAAAATAAATTAGGAGAATTTTTTTTCCCAGTTTTGACTCAAGGTAAAACAAAACAGGGCTGTGAAGGTAACAACATCCATGACTCTACAGAGCAACACAAGCTTGCAGGAATTTGAGAGGTGTGGTAAAAAATCACAAAAATCCCACCTCCGATACGTTTCTTTTGCTCTGAGGCAAAATTGTAAAAACTTTTCTTTTGATTTTTGTTATCCAAATAATTCTAGCTTAAATTGGAACTCAAATATTAATCTGATAATGACACCGTTGAGACACATTCTCTGACGATTGATCTCAAATGACTTACAAGGCTTTACTTTACCCCATTTTCTGCATTCCTTTCCAGCCAGAGGTTTTGCCTGTCTTTAACACCCCTGCCCCCACCACCACCACTACCATCATCAGGGAGAAAAAGAGACCCTGAAATGTACGTATTAAGATGATTACTATGTGCTTGGGAATATCCTTTAATTTAAATTTCGTTTTATTTTATTTTTAGCTTCAAAGCTTTTGCAGGAATGAACACCTGTCTTTCAGGGCATTATAAGAAATTGTCAGGTACCTGATATTCTTTGTTTTGTCAAGTCCTCCCACAGTGACACTGGATAGAAGTCACATTTTAATTAATGATCAAAGCAAAGGACACCTGTAAGGCTGGGCTAGACTTCTGAACTCTTTGATATTAGGTTTACAAATCTGAAAGAGCCCTTTGATTCTCCCATGTGTTTGTCCTTTCTCGGAGATCAACTTAATTCTTTTTTTCAAAGGCAACATATTTTGCTAATCTGAGCACTGAAGTTATGGGTGACAATGTCCATTCACACAGCAACTCTTAACACCTTATAAAAGTCATACTCCATTACACAGGACGCCAGGGCCCTCCCTGTCCAAAGGCCCCACTGCAGTGGAGATTTGTGGTGGCACATGCTGTTTGAAGTATGAGAGCCCCCAAGTGGGGCTCGGAAATCCGTGAGTTTGACATTAGTTTAAGGACTTGTACTTGCTGTGGTGTGTCACTATGAATGGAGGAGAATGCAGCAGCCATTAAGACCACCCTGAATTAAGTTCAAATGTAATTAATCCTTTTTTGTAGGCAGAAATAAATTTTATATAACTGAAATACATATTGATATATGCTGAAATTATGTAGTATGTATTTGCTGATATTATGCAGCTTATATCAACTCATGCATATACTAACAAAATGCAAGTTAACAAGTACAAATATATTAACACATTAAAATAAAATGTTTATATTACATAGTATAGGTGCATTATAGTTTATAAACTATATGTAGTAATAATATATAGACTAATTTTATATACCACACACTAATTCCCATGATGAAAATGAGACAATTGAGACTGACATGTAAAAATAGCTTGGGAATGCTAATGGAAACTACTAGAAATAGTACTTTAAGTACTTCACAATAGTGGAATTGTAAGAAGTATAAAGAATAAAATCCAGAAACAATCACCACATTTTGGTATATCTCTATGCAATTTTGAATTAAAATAGAATTTTACACATCTAGGCATACTGGATATATAATTTTGTATTCTTTTTAAAATTAACATGAGTATTTTCTTTTATTGCTAAAATTGTCAGTGAGTATCCTTTGATAACTACATAATTATAAATTTTCTTGATCAATTGATTATTTCTAGTTTTCTGCAGGCAAAAAAAAAACATTGCAATGAATGACTTAATGCTTGAAACTGTTTGGTAAGGTTCTAATGCATAATGCTAAATTATTTGTTTTTTTTTTTTTTTTTTATCAAGACAGAGTCTCTGTCTCCAAGCCAGAGTGCAGTGGCACAATCTGGGCGCACTACAGTCTCCGCCTCCTGGGTTCAAGTGATTCTCCTGCCTCAGCCTCCTGAGTAGCTGGGACTACAGGCATGCGCCACCACACCCAGCTAATTTTTGTATTTTTAGTAGAGATGGGGTTTCACCATGTTGGCCAAGATGGCCCGGATCTCTTGACCTCATGATCCAACCACCCTGGCCTCCCAAAGTGCTGGGATTACAGGCGTGAGCCACCGCACCTGGCCTGCTAAATTATTTTTCTAATAGGGCATATCGGTTTATTCTACTAGCAATATATAGAAATGCCCAATTACTAAATTCTTGCCAGTAATTAGCATTTCATACAATTCTTTGATATTAGGTGAGTTCTTTAAAGTTTTAAACTTTTGGGATTACTAACAACACAGCTGAATTTTTTGTTGTTGTTTATCAGACATTTCAATTTCCTCTCATTATTTGTATAGTCTTACTGACTGTGCACTCAATTACTGATTTGCACGAATTCTTCATCTTTCATTGAGAGTAACCCCACACCCTTAGGTTTGGTGAAAATCCTTTTCCTTTTTTTATTGTTTTGACTTTATCAATGTAGTTTTAAATGCATAAAGATATATAAAGATTTTAAAAGTCTTATTATGCAAGCAAATCTGCTAGTTTTCTCTTTTGTGGCTCCTTTCTTTGCTTATTATTTTAGAAAGTCTTTTCCCATAAAGGGATTACATAAATATTGGCCTATGTTTTCTTATTATTTATTTTATCTTAAATTAGTTCTACCTAAACTCGTATTTCTTTAAGCAATTATTTACAGCAAAGCCAAGCTTTTGTTGTTTATCACAACATATTTTGCAAATATTCCCATTATTTATCACAAAATCACCAAGAAAAAGCCAGGTTATTCCAGAGCTAAAAAAAAGGATATGGAAGACCTGAGCTACTCTTGATGGGGTTTCTAAGGGGTTCCAATTCCTTTCTGCGCAGACTTCATAAAGAACCAATGTAATGGCTTAAGTCGCAATCTGTTGCACAGGAATTGTAATTTCTCATGGAGAAATAGTCTGAGCATAATTTTTCATTTTATAAAGGAGATGGTAATTGCGATGGGCTCTGTTTTTGTAATGGGGTGATCTTCTGGTTTGGTGTGACAATTTGAATAAGGAAAAGTTTTGAAGAGTTGCATATGCTCCTTGAAGAGGAAATTTGGTAAGAAATAGCAGCTTAGTCTTTGCTATGAAGTCACTCAACTTAAGGCAGCTTTCAACATCTTTTGAAGAAATCACCCTTTAAAGTTTAGCTGATCAAAGTGGCAGAATGTACAGAAGTCAGAATCCCTGGCTGGCCTATCCATTACAGAGGGTAAGATGCAAAGGGTTTTGAGCTGGAGGTTAGGATAGAAGCCAGGAGTGAAGTGTCTGCCTCGAACTTACCCATCAGAAAGAGAAAGACACTCACTAAGGCTTCACACTGAATCTGAGCACCCATGCAAACAGGCTCAGGCCTACCTGATCCTCAGTCAAATTAAAAGAAAGCTGTTTCCTTTCAACAGCAATCAGACCAGAAAAGGTTCCTCCTCTTTGTTTATAACTTTTTATTTGTTTTTTTTTGTTTTTGTTTTCATTTTTTTTTAAAGACAGGGTCTCACTCTGTTGCCCAGGCTGGCACTGTTGTACAGTGGCACAATCACAGTTCACTGCAACCTCTGCCTCTTGGGCTCAACGATCCTCCAGTCTCAGCCTCACAAGTAGCTGGGACTACAGGCACATGCCACCATGCCTGGTTAATTTTTTCATTGTTGTAGAGATGGAGTTTTGTTTTGTTGCCCAGGCTGGTCTTGAACTCCTGGGCTCAAGTGATCTGCCTGCCTTGGCCTTCCAAAGAGGTGGGACTACAGACATGAGCCACCTCACCCAGCCTGTTCACAACTTTTGATTTTAAGGACAGAAAGACACATGGAAATATTCTTCATTCAAACCTTTCATTTACTTTGAGACCAAACATTAAGGTCCAATCTGTTGTTGTTTTAAATCAAAACAATTGATTTAAACCTACTGAGAGAAAGGAACTCAAGCAAGACCTCATCTCTACAAAAATAAAAATAAAAATTAGTTGGGCTTGGTGGCACGCTCCTGTAATTCTAGCTACTTGGGAAGCTGAGTCAGGAAGATCACTTGAGTCCAGTAGTTTGACGTTACTATGAGTGAGCTATGATTTTGACACTGCACTCCAGTCTGGGCAACAGAGCGAGACTCTGTCTCTGAAAAAATAAAAAAAGAAGAAGAAGAAAATACTCGCTCTCATATGTTTATCACAGCGCTATTCACAATAGCAAAGATACGGAATCAACCTAAGTATCCATCAATGGAAGACTGAATAAAGAAAATGTTACACATATACACAATCGAATACTATTTGGTCATGAAAAGGAATGAAATCATGTCTTTTACTACAACATGGATCGAACTGGACGCCATTATCTTCAGTGAAACAACTCAGAAACAGAAAGTCAAATACCACATGTTCGCACCTGTACGTGGGAGCTAAACAATGTGTACCCATGAAAGTAGAGGGTGGAATGATAGACATTGGAAACTTGGAAGAGTGGGAGGGGGTGAGGAAAGAAAAATTACTTAATGGGTACAATGTACACTATTAGGGTGATGGCTACACTAAAAACCCAGACTTCACAACTATGCGATATATCCGTGTAACGAAACTGTGCACTTGTTCCTCTTTCAGTGATATAAATTAAGAAAAATTAAGTCACTGAAAATGAATGAGCTTTGTTTGGAAAAAAATGTAGGGCACGTGGAGGCAGAGAAGGAGAAAGAAAAAATGGAGGTGAGGAGGACTTTCTCAAGCATCCCACTCACCCCATCAATACAGTAACTCAAGTTAATTTTCTGTGAATGTGGAAACAAATACGGTTTTAATGGATTATAATCATTTTGTTGCATAGTGTTTGCCTAAACTAATGCTGGTGCAAATTATAACATACCAGACCTTGTTCAAGGCATATGTAATACTAAAAAAAGGTTCAATCGCCATAGATTATTCAAAATATTCTTAAATGGGATCACAAAGTCTGAGTATATCAATAGTAGGAATACTTCACATTTTAGTCTACACAGACTACAGCTACTGGTTTTTTTTTTAGCCTCAATATATTGCCACTTTACTACTGCTTTTTATTATCTAGCTTGATTAAAGATCAAAATTATTGCATACAATTGTCTACTATCTTAAAAATAGTATTAGCATGAGTAAGGCAACTGAGAACTGGTAAGAACCTTTATTCTCAGGGGAAGAGAGGACAAGAATTATAAATTATTAGGAGGATACTTTTCCTGGGTCTACAACCAGATTAAATTGGCCATTCTCTTCCCTCTTGTTTCCACTCCCAACCTGTAACCCCTTAGGTGCACAACTAATTTTGCTGTAATTTAAGCAGAGTTGGTTGTTTTTTTTAAGGAAAGTTAAGTGAAAGCACATCTGTAGGCAAGATCATCTTGCTCAGCTTCTGAGCCAAAACCCAGCAGAAGTATTTCACCTACACAAAAGGGGATTGTGGATGTAGATGAGGCTGACAAGGGCAATGCCAGGAAGCCAGGTCTTTTAAAGCACTGTCACCTCAGATGAGCCGCTCAGGAGCGCTCACACCTCAGGACCCAGCCCTATTCTTCACAAGTCTTCAAAGGAGGATCACATCTGACACTGTCCAAAGATTCATGCTTATTTTTCTCTTGATCTTCCTCCTCAAAATCTCCCTTTGAACAGGATTTGCACATGCAGAATGAATAGAGATTAGGAGCAATTATGGTTTTTGTTTTGCTTTTAATGGCCCATGCAACCCTGAAATTTGCTCGTGAAATCTACAGCTAATACTGTAGTATTGCCTGTCTCATCTGTCGAGTGCCATATTTCATGGCTTCCAAATGCCATTTCTGGTATTTTCTTTCAACTTCAATCTAAAGCTTTACTTTTCATGTGCTTTAAGTGCTGGGCACCAAGGCTAAGAATTAAAATATCCCAGGGCTTTGAGAAAGGGAGTGCTAAGCGATCCCCCAGTAAGTTCCCTTGCCCACCCAAGATCCTGCTCATTTCAAAAAACAAAGGCAAGCAGCAGAGAGAGGAGGAGTTGGAAGCACATTCCTGGGATTTAATAGTGACGCCTTGCACAGGGGATGGAGTCCTGGCAGGCTGTTATCTTTGTCTGCCTTGTCAGACTCAGGAGGGGAAGGGCCTCCAAAGAATCTATTTCACTGACATAGAAATGGCAGCTGGTGCTATTTCACTTTAAATAAATGTTTGGTACTAGCGCTGTCTATATAATCTCCCCTACAGCTAAAGCCTCGCCAGAACAAAAGGCACAACAAAAAAAATTAGGTGCATGCCCAAGTGTCCTGAAGTGGGAAGGTGTCAGACATTTCCTGGTCCAGGCCTTCCACTCCCACCCTCACCCTGGCTCCTTCCCCAGGGGGCACATGGTCAGGTCAATTGCCCACCTTGTTTCTCCATGAACAAACGAGGATTGTTCCGTCTGCTCGCGGTCAGCATGTGAGCCTCCCTGCACAGGCAGATTCTGTGACATAGGAACAAATAAGTGGCTGGGGAGTGAGTCATAAATAACCGATGTCGAGGTACATTGGTGTGAGTGGAGGCATGCTTACACTTGGGCTACAACGCTGGCACCACGGGAGTGTGCCGGACTCCAACCACAGCCCTGGTTTTCTCTTAATTTACATAAAGATCATCTGCCACCACCAACAAAACCACAAAACCTAAAGTAATATTAGTCCTCAAATAATTAACTGGTGGGAGATTAGGAAATGATAAAAAGAGCAGGTGAAATTTAAATTCCACAGAGCAATGTATCAAATATATACACACGCATATGTATTTGGTTCTAGCACTAGTGCATATTTTATATATATAGACACACATATATATATACAGACATATACACACATTTTTAAATTTACACATATGCATATTTGTATGTATATACACATATACGAACTTTTAAAAATATATGTATACACACATATGTATACCCATATAGATGTATTCATTTTTTAATTTTAGAGACATTTTTCAAGTGCCTAAAATATGTAGGACTGATGAAGATAACATAATGTTAGACAAGTGGTCTCTACTCTCAAGTATGCAACCTGTCAAGTAAATCTAATTGATATGCCTAAATATACTCATTAATAAGTACAATAATACTAGCTACCACTTGTGGAATCCTCCTCCATGTTGGACGTCACACTATGGCCTAATCTACTTTATAGTTAATTCTTCATACCAACCTTCCAAGGAATATTTCACTTCCATTATCTATGAAATGAAAATAACAAAATAGTAAGTTAGCTCCAGGAGATACACTAACCTCCTCAAGGCCCAGGTGCATGTTGAGCCCAATCTGTCTGTCTGTGAGGTCTGTGCTCCTTTTTCTCTGCTGCGCAGATAACTGTGACACAAGATGAGGCACGCGATGAGGGCCACGGGGAAGTTTCAAGGAAAAGCCACAGGGCCTCGGTGGGCACAAGAGAGAACGGGAAGCATCATGGGAGAAGTGGCACTGGCGTTGGACTTTAGTCGTGTCATGGAAAATCTGCCCATCGTTACAGACCTGAAAACTAGAATTCTGTTGAGAAATAAGCCCTGAGACTGGTCATTATTTAAATGATGATGCAACCAGTGAAACACGTCATCAAAACAAGTGCTTCAACCCAGAGTATTCCCCGCTTAGCAGACCAGGCATTTCCAGCCAGGGCGTTTCACCGAGGCCCAACTTCCCATCCTCGTGCCTGTCGATGGCTCAAATGGTAAGTGGGCAAACCCTGAGTGCCACGTGCCCTCATCTGGGAGCCTTCCACAGCCTCCACACGCGGTGCCCAAACACATGTGTGCTTCACACGAACAAGAAGCGAAGACATTCAGTTAATCATCGGAGTGTTCCCCAACAAGAAATCACCAGCGCTGGGCAGCCCAAGCATCTGCACGGTACCTTGAAAGGCCCGGCATCTCAGTGACAGAATCAAAACAGAGATAAGCACAGGCAGCACGGGTTGCCAGAATCTCAGGGTTAAAATCCTGGTTGCACTACCAGTCATGTGGCCTTGGGCGAATGTTAGCCTCCTTTGAACTTTTTAAAAATATAAAATAGTGACAATAACAGCACTTACCTCAAAGATTCCTTGTGAGGTCTAAATGAGATACTGTATGGTTAACCACATTACCTAAAATCCTAGCACATAGTAAATGCTCAGCAAACATTATCATGACCAGTACAGTTAGTTAGGAACAAGACAGGGCCCCCAGTGCCTGGTCAGGAACACTTCCCTACATCTTCTCTGGCTATTAGCTTTCCTTTACTTAGCAACATCTCAGAAAGCGTGGAAAGAAGAATATTCTAAGTTGTATGATTAAAACCCTTTCTCCTAAGTAAGTTTAAATTTTGAATTTCCATTAAGCTTTAAACTTTTTATGCATCTTCATTTGCAAACATCTCCTCTACGAGCCTCTGCCAAGTCCAGGCCAGTCCACATTTGCCCGGAAAATAGGCCAGGTTGCAAATGTGAGTCATGATAGCAAAGCTGATAGCCACAGATGACAGAAGCCTTGAGAAATGATGCCTCTGCTTGGTCTGCAGCAGAGAGCCTAACCAGCTCCATGCAGCTCCCTGGGCCTGGGATGCCCCCTGTGTAAAATGACGCAGAACTGGAAGGTGTCTATGGATTCTTCAAGGTCAAAATTTGTACGTTCACGTGACAAGGCTGCAGCCAAAAAAATATTCTCAGTTCTTCTTCCAACATGGAATGAATAAGTGACTGCATAAAACATCAGTCTTCTAGACTATGATTGCCAGTTTACAAATAATGAGAGAGAAACTGAGGCACCACAGATGATGTCAACCGTTTCTGGTCACTTGTGGATTGCTAAGCAGTCAAGAAATTGAAGTAGCTACTGTTTAGTGTCCCAGTCCTGTTTTCTCTCCACTCCTTCCCAATGACAAAGGTCTTATTTCAAAGCACAATTTGGTTTCATGCTGGCCAGTCCTTCACAAACCATCGAGGTAATGTTTATTCAACCTCACACTTTAGCGACTATTTATGAGCAGTGTTTACAAGTTCCAGAGATTGCCCCAGCAGTTATTAATGCTATGCAAATCAAAAGCCGTCTAAATTTGTTAATCTAGACAAAACACAGGGGCAACTCCAAACCAACGTGTGATATTCTGTCTCTGGGTTTATTCAAGTGTAATGCACCTTTAATGTCAACTTAGATTTTTCAACTCTTCACCAGACTCGCAGTAATTATAGTCAACAGGAAAGTCGAACTCAGCCAAAGAGGCAAGGCAACAGGAAATTGTGGGGAAATTTTAAAAACAAAACCAAAACAGAGACAAAAACCCCTGTCAATTTTAAGAACAGTTTATAAAAAAATAAAACTTGCCCTTATGTAATGAAGTAAGAAGAACGTGAGGTGGTGTGTTAGGGGCAATTGTCAATGCCCCTTTGGCTGTGAGAGTCAGTGCCATCCTGGGCTAGAACCAGCACCTGCCAGAGTTGGGTCCACGGTCTCCTCAGAGCAGAGCGTGAGATCCAATCATCAGCCTATTTTTGGCTGCACAGTTAATGATCTGTTGGTACCCACACTTTTCACTTTGTCACAACAACTGGGGCCTGCAGCTGAAGCACAGCTGGCCTCTCATTCTCCCAGCCCTATAATTTAGTTTAACAGCTTTAGGGAAAAGAGGAAATGGCGGAGTGCCCTGGAGCCCCCACACTGGCTTCAAAAATTAGTTCCTTACCATGCTGTATATATACTCACAAGTATTTTAGGCTAACAATGTAGGCAGGTCAGGCCCAGATGGGTGCACGGCGCTGTTCACTCTGTGCTGCCGGCAGGGTAGCTCGGTGTGGGGAGGGGAGAGAGGCATGATGAGTGATATGTGTGAGTCCCTGCGTGCATGTGCGTGTGTGAGAGAGGAGAGCATGCCTCCATGGGGGAGTGTGAGTAGGTGTATGTGTGATGCCTCAAAAACTGTGGGAGGCCTTTTTGACAAACACGCATGAGTTCTGCCCTCATACCTACGTTGAAAAGCAGCATTTCTCCCACACTCAGCAGATGCCTTGCAGGCTATTGTGGCTGCCTGGTGGGGGAGACCCAGCCCTGCAGGTGAGTTAGTTCAGCTTCTCAATCTCACTCTGGAATTTTATAAATGCCCCTGGGGGGTTGGCAGAAGGAAAAGGGCTTCTGTGAAATGGTGAGGCATTTCCCAGAGCCTCTGATCCCTCACTCCTGAAAGCATCTCTGCTGACCACCATTCATCCCTCTGAGATGGAGAAGTTCTGGGCCTTAGGGAGTCTTCCCATGAAATGGATGGAGGTCTGTCCCTGACCCAAGGCTGGGAAACAAAGGGCAGTGAGAATAGAGCCAAGCAGCCTGTGGAGCAGTGGCATAGAGGTAGAGCCCAGGCAGCTGGCAGGACTGAGGTTTGGGAACCAGGGAAAGGCGTGAAGTGGCTGTCCGGGGAGACTTCCAAGGGCTCTGGGGCAGTTTCACGGCATCCTGTGCCATGTGACTTCTCCCTCCCACTTACTCCTCAGCAATGCCTGGTGGGTTTGGAGTTGGCCTTCATGGGAGGATACAGGCAGAAGGCATGCCCAGGCTGCGAGCAGAAAGCTGGGTCTGCAGGCAGCGGTGGGGCAGGAAGGTATGGAGGTTCAGGGCACCAGGAGCCCTGCTTTGACCTTCATCAGTGGCATGATTCCTTCCCCCATTCACCAGGCAAGGACGTGGAGCACATGGAGCCACAGCAGCACCTGGAAATCTAAAATCCCCCAACCCTAGCAGTTTATACTTTGGCAGAGATCACTGACATTAAGCAGCTCAGCAAATAATTTTTCAGTTACAAATGCAGGGTTCACATTCTCTCTTCTCTAGATCACAGTTACAAATGCAAGGTTCACCTTCTCTCCTCCTAGGTCATTATTCTTTTCCTTTTTACCCTTTCAGTCCCACCCATCTACAAACATACCATAATTTCTAACATTCTTCCTAAAATTCCTCTTTGATTGCACATCTCCCTGTAGTCTTCCTAACGTTTCTCACTCCCCTTCACAGCCAAGCTATTCATGAGAGTTGTCTCTGGCTGCTATCTTCACCATCTCTCCTCCCGTGCCTCATCGACTGCCCCTAATCATTCTATCTCCTCCAGGACTCACTCCAAGCTTCTCTTTTAAGCTCACCGAAGATATCCACAGTGCTTCGTCTCAGCGCTGAGCTTTTCCACCTGCACCTGCAGTGTTTGGGCACACATGATGTGGTGCTGAAGACCAATGACCCTGAGACTAGATGGTCCAGATTCAAACCCCAGCTCCAGTGCTTGTGAGCTATGTGACTGGACAAGTTTATTTACCTCTGGGCCTGACTTCCCATTTGCAAAGCAGAGATAATAAAACAAAATACCTCATAGGGATTATGAGGATGTAACGAGTTAATATACATACAAGACTCAGAACAGTGATGGGCACATTGTAAATACATGTGCCCATGTACATGATGGTACTAATTAATAGTAGTGGGTCACTTCCTCATTCTTCCTGTGGTTTCCAGGACACCAGACCTACCTGGTTTTCCTCCGAGCTATTCTTCAGTGCCTTTGCTGGTCCACTATCATCTTCTGAGTCTAAAGAACTCAGGTGTCCCAGAGCTCAGCCACTGAACATTTAGCCTCCTGAGACTTCCTCTAGTCTCCTGTCTTCAGATGCCATCTGTAGGTGACAACTCCCAATTTCCAGCCTGAAGTTTCCAACCCTAAACTCAAGGTCATGCATAAATTGTCTACTGGATATCTAGACCTCTGTGCTTCACAGGCATATCAAACTCAAATTTCTTGGCTGTTCTGGAGCTCATCAGGCACGACCTCTCCCTCAGGCCTCTGCCTGGAATGCTCTTCCCCTCCTACCTGCATGGGTTCTTCCTTCCCCTCCTTCAAGTCTTTGCTTATGCATCGACCTTCTGAATGAAGCTTTCTCTGATCAACCCACGTAAATGTAAGACTCCCCCAACTCCATGCACACCTGTTGGCCTCCCCTGCCTTTTTCCTCCACAGTATTTATCAGCTCCAGATATACTAAATATCATATTTATGTATTTGCTACATGTTGCGTATCCCTTATCCAAACTGCCTCGGACCAGAAGCGCTTGCGATTTCAGATTTAGGAATATTTGCATACACATAAATGAGACATTTTGGGAAAGGAACTTAAGTCTAAACACAAAGTTCATTTGTTTCATATATATCTTCATATTAAAATATGTTTAATATTTTGTGTGTAAAACAAAGTTTGTGTTAAGTAATTCTGTGTGGAGTTTTCTACCTGCGACACTGGCACTCAAAAAGCTTGATTTTGGAGCCTTTGAGATTTTGGATTTTCAGATGAATGCTCAACACGTTTTCTGCCTTCCTCATCGGACTATAAGCTCCAAGAGGAGGGGGTTCTTACTCTGTCATTTCATTGCTCTATGCCTAGCGCCTTGAACACCCTCTTAGTATACAGTTAAATGCTGAGCAAGTATTTACTGAATAAATTTTAAATAGAATCAACAAATTGAAAATATGGGCCCATTTTCTCCTAGTATGGTGTGAGAATCTGTATTGAGGATCATACTTGACCATGGAGCAAACAAGTCTTCCCAAGGCAGTGACAGCAAAACAAAAATGGAAAGAAGTTAGTCATACCAGGTAGCCAGGCCAGATAAGGCAAAAGCATCTGGACAAAGGCCACATCCTCCAAAGGTCCCACTGCAATGCTTGATTGAGGAGTGATGGAAGATCTTGCTGTGGGATCTCAGGTTACAAAAACAGAGAGTCAGGTAGACAGGTTGGTGAGGAAAAGATCACACCCAGCCCATCAGCCTCAGAAGGCTTCACCTTAAACTCAATGGGAAGCCCAATGGCCTTGATCATGGTAGAGAATACCACCAGAGGTGGCAAGGCTGCTGCAGGGAGAAGACGCTGCCAGGGATGTTGGAACTGGTTTACCCACCATTGAAGGTACCTGGCCAGGAGATGTGGCTCTGGACAGTGGAAGACAGGTTTAAAAATTATTGGGAGGCAGAATCAAGAAATATTTTTCACTGATTGCATATGAGTGGAAAGGGAGAGTGAAGTAAAGAATAGCTCCCAGGACTTTTGCATTAGCTAATGGGTAAAAGGTGAAGCTATTGTGAAGAAAGGTGATGAATAAATGGGTTGGGGGATGGGATAATATTACACTTCAGTCTGGACCTAAAGCCTGAAAGATTTATTTCACCAGTGTAAATGCTTCCATCTAGGTATATGCTCTTCCCCACATAGAATTCATTTTCTTCATTCTCAGGATACTTGCTTATGCCAAGCTTTCTACTCCAAATGCCATTCCTGTTCCTTTCTATTGTCCACTGTCCTTTAAAACCCAGCTTACACATTCAATGCCCAGATCTTGGTTCCTCACACCATTCTCTAATAAAAGAAACTGCAGCTCCTTGGAAATATGGCTGATTCTAAGGCTGGAACAGGAAATATGCAAGAAGGGCCTGGAGCATCTCTTAGTACCTGTAAGTAAGGAAGTGCCGAGAAACACACACAGTGATGAGTGCGTATGTCACAGGGAGCAGGAGTCCATTGAGTGGGCTCCCAGGTCCAAAGCTGGAAAAATTTGAGCAACCAAATAAATGATGTAGCATTGAAACATAACTAAAAGTATAGCATATATATCCATGAGCCCATACTGATATAAATAAATGATTGAATTAACAAATAAATAAATGAGAGAAAAGCAGAATCTTCCGTGCAGAAAAATTCCAAATAATTTATGTAAATAGTCTGTCCTCAGGGAGGTGGAGCATCACACCCCATCCCTTAAGTGTGAGCTGGGCAGAGTGACTTCCTTCTAAAGAATACAGAAAAGAAAACGGGGAAATTAGAGTTACTTAACAGTGGAGAAACCTGACAAACTACCTCAACCAGGTGATCAAGGTCAGTATCAACAATGATAAAACATGTTGATAGTATGGACCCTTGATATGTGCTGAGAGGGGCATTTCAACTCTGTGGTCTTCCAAAACCCCATCATACCAGTTCTATCACGAGAAAAACCTCAGACAAATCCAAACTGAGAGACATTCTGCAATGCACATAACCAGCACTCTTCGAAACTGTCAAGGCCATCAAAAGCAGGGGGAGTGCCTGTAATCCTAGCACTTTGGGAGGCTGAGGCGGGTGGATCACAAGGTCAGGAGATCGAGACCATCCTGGCTAACACGGGGAAACACCGTCTCTACTAAAAAATACAAAAAATTAGCCAGGTGTGGTGGCAGGCACCTGTAGTCCCAGCTACTTGGGAGGCTGAGACAGGAGAATGGTGTGAATCCAGGAGGCGGAGCTTGCAGTGAGCCAAGATCATGCCACTGCACTCCAGCCTGGGCGACAGAGCAAGACTATGCCGGAAAAAAAAAAAAAAAGCAGGGAGAGTTTGAGAAACTATCACAGCCCAGAGGAGCCTAAAGCAACGTGATGACTAAATGTTAACGTGGTCTCCTGGATGGGATTCTGGAATGGAAAAAGGACATTATGGAAAAACTAATGCAGTCCAATAAAGAAGGGACTTGAGTTGATAAAAATGACTTGGTGACAAATGTACCCCAGTAATGCAAATGGTTAACTGTAAGGGACTTCTGTGGCATATGGGAACTCTCTGCACTATCTTTACAACCTTTCTGTAAGCCTAAAACTATTGTGAAATTAAAAGTTTATCTGATGGGGGACAAGCTTACATCCCACCCCTCCAGAAAGTCTTTCTCACTCTTCACTTCTCACAGGGAAGCCTATGCCTCCTCCTTGCACGTAGGCACTAAGTCTGCAAAGCTTATTGTCACTGGCATTGTGTTGCATTTAAGTGGTCCCCTCACTGTGTGCAGGTCTGTGGGTTCTATCTTTCCTACTGAAGGACAGACTTCCTAAAAGCAATGGTGCAGCCCTATCTGTCCTGGGTTTGTATCCATGGCAGTAGTCCAGGGCTTCTATGCAGTGGACACTTACACATCGGCCTTGAAAAAGTCACTTCTTCCTCTTCTTTAGAAGTAGAACAGACATAAATGACACTGACCTAGATTAGGAGGAAGTTTTCTTAGAAGTAATGAACTACAGAATGGTTTTATAAGTTATTGCACATAAACAACTAAACACTATACGGAAGACATAGAAAATAATAGATGTCCGTTGTGGCTACTACTACAACACGGTTGGCCTTTCATCTCCCCTTTGTCTCCCCAAAGACACATACTTCTGCCATCCAACAAAAGCTCTCATCCCTGCATCCAATCAATGGCCAAGTCCTATCAATTCTGCTTCTTAAATATCCCTTGCATGCGCCCATTTCTCTCCACCCCCATGGTCAACACAGTCATCTAAGTCAATGGCATCTCTGGCTAAAACATGACCATTTGGGGCTCTGGTTTGTCTTCTTGCAAACACTCTCATCCTGTCCACAATAATTTTTCCATGATCTTTTTAATATGACCATCTTATTATGGAATTCCCATGCTCAAACCCTTCTGTGTCCAATCCAGCTTCAAAATCCTTTCCAGGGCCACAAGGGTCTGTGCCTCTCTGGCCCCAGCCCTACCCCTCATCTTCTCTTCAATCACTGTGATCCAACCTATTGGCCTCTTGCCACCTCTGCCATGTTTTTTTTTTTTTTTTTTTTTGTCCAATCTCAGGGCCATTGTAGATGCATAGATGTTGTTTCCTTTGCCTAGAAATCCTTCCACCCTCTTGTCCACCACCCTGTTTTTGCCTGAGTAATTTCAATCTTTCTCCAGATCATGAATACAAATAACCTCCTCAGGGAGCTATTTCCTGAGGAAGTAATATGTATTCAACCCAACTTGGTCTATGTGCAGGAGCATACTGTGAACGCACTTTGGCAAAGCAAAGGAAGACCCATTCGCCATATGTTTAATGTGACCCCATGCAGGACAGAAAGCTCCACATCACTATTATCTGCCCCTCCGTCCCTAGGACCAGCCTAGCGACTGGCTAGAGCAGGGACTCTGTGAACATGAGCAGACTGTTGGATGAAGGGATCTATCCACTGATTCCTCTGTCTCCCTTCCAAGCACAGTGCAGCATTCCTGACATTCTTCCTGGTTCTCCTCTTTCATAATGCTTCTATTCCCCGTTTGACATGAATGACCAATGGCACAAATGTCAAAAGTCTCTTTCCAGAGCACCTGGGGGAGTCTTTGAGGATGTTTGATTCACCTCATTTGTCTCTACTGAATTTTTCCCAGGTGGGAGTATTTTCCATCTTTATCACAGTGATTTGTTCATCATCATACAAATTATGATAGGGAACCACATCAAACATGACTCAAAACAAGGAAACGAAATATATTTTGCACAGCTAGTTCATCAAGATTGAAGCCAAACAATATTCACTGTGCATAAAAGGCACATCAAGCCTTAACTTGGTCCCTTTTAAGAGGATGACACAATTTCTGGGGTAGTAAGACATTAGGGAAGATCATATGATGCTTTAGTGAAAATGTCCCTTTGGTTTTTCCTCAGCCTGTCCAAGCTCCCATGATTCACTGAGGAAACGGCCTTATTAAGGGATAATAGGTTATGTGGTCCCCTCAGTTGAGAAAAAGTTTCTGCAAGTTAATTACTCTTTCTGGGCCTCTGACCTATTTGAATCTGGCCAAAATGCCTGAATAGGGTTTTCTTCACACGTCTGACTTAGCATCAGTGAGAAAGAACTGGAAACTTCTCAAGTAAGATGTCCTCATAAGAATTTCTACAACCCTGCCTTTGTGGTCTGTCGCTTCCAATAAAAAGAAGGTTATGCTGGGCTGGGCATCTCATGATCAGTGAGAACCACTCTAAGAATCAGCCAGTCCAATAAATGTGGGTTTGGAGTGTGCACAGTGCTCATACATGTGTGTGCATGTGTATGTTTGTGTATGTGTTTTTATGCCTGTGTGCACGCATGTGCATGTGTGTATGCATATGTGTGTGTGCGTGTGTGAATTATGTCAGTCACACAACTGTTTTCAAAGAAAGAGGTGAGTCTGTTCTCACAGCACCTCACCTTTTCTTCCAAAAAGCTGTTGGAGGGGTTTTAAGTTAATTCCACCCTTCAGCTCTTAAGTCAGAACACAACTCTATCTACATCTTGTTTTTAAAAGATCAGTGAACTCTTTGACATTGTCTGTAATTTGTGTGTGTTTGTCCATTTACACATTGTTCAGGAGAGGGGGTCAAAAGTTTACCTCAGTTTCCTTTTTAAAAATTTTATGGGTACATAGCAGGGTCTTTATTTATGGGGTACAAGGAATATTTTATTTTATTTACGGGGTACAGGCATGCAATGCATAATAACCACATCAGGGTAAATGAGGTATCATCACCTCAAGCATTTATCCTTTCTTTGTGTTACAAACAATCCAATTATACTCTTTTAGTTATTTATAAATGTATGATAAATTATTGCTGACTGCTGGTACCCTGCTGTGCTATCAAACACTAGATCTTCTTTATTCTACCTAACTGTATTTTTGTACCCATTAACCACCCCCCTCCCCCTCCCACTACCCTTCCCAGTTCCTGGGATCTGTCATTCTACTCTCTCAGACTCTTAAAAAGGTCAGTCTGATTTAAATAAAAGGAAGAAAAAGTAGAAGAAGCCCAACCTCTGGTCGTAGACTGACCTAGATATCCAGTTTCTCTAGACCTCGTACAGGGGAGTAGTTCCTCACCCAGAGGACATGGTGGGCATCCGTATATGATGCATGCAGAGGCACAAACAGAACACTTGTCAAATGACAGATACTCTATAGATACTGTGATGTTTATACACTTTAGTCCACCCCCAAAGGCACCCATCCTCCTCTTTCCAGACTGGAGATGAAGCCAGCGAGGCAATTCTCCCAACCACGGCTCTGGCACCAGCTTCTGCGGCCTGTTGCGTGTGGATGTGCCATAGACCCATCAATTGGAAGACAAGGATGTGTTCCCAGCACCTTTCATTTCAGAGGTATGGGTATGAGGAGAATGTCCTCCAGCGACCAAAGTGCAGAGAGAAACTTCAGTAAGAAAATCCGTTTGCTACAAGGCAAAGTATTATCCGACCTCTCCTGGGGGTGTTATCATAAAGTCAACACAGAGAGCCCCTGGAAATTACAGTGCATTCAGGATTTCCCAATTTACCACAGGCCTTCAGAGCCACATTTGGCAACAGCCTATTTCCAATGTATTGAAAGAGAGGTAGAGACCTCAGCTCTGACCTAATTACAGCCCTTCTGTTTGTCTCCTCCTCCCTGGAGGGAGGGGCCGTCCTCCTCAGCATCTTAGTCTATCTCCAGGTGGGCCAGGTGGCCTGTGGTTACAAACTTGTTGGGTATTTTGCTGTGGCTGAATTGCCTATGATTTGGGTTTTCACTTAGAATATCATATGAAAATCACCCGAACCTATCTAGCTAGCTAGCTAGCTAGCTAGCTAGCTAGCTATCTTTAGAGACACCTCATTCTGTCGCCCAAGCTGGAGGGCAGTGATGCAATCATAGCTCGCTGCAGCCTTGAACTGCTGGGCTCAAGCGATCCTCCTGCCTCAGTCTTCCAAGTAGCTAGGACTACAGGCACGTGCCACCATACCCAGATAATTTTTCAAATTTTGTAGAAATGGCGTCTTGCTATGTTGTCCAGGCTGGTCTCAAATTCCTGGCCTCAAGTGAGCCTCCAGCCTCAGCCTCCTAAAGAGCTGAGATTACAAGTGTGAGCCACCATGCCTGACTACTGCATGCCCATCGTGTGCAGAATAACGCTGTGATTCTTTCCTTCAAGGCATCTACTGAATGTTAATGTGCACGTTTGAAAGCTATCTGTGGTAGGCTGTACACTATTTCCTCACAATTTTCCCTTCTCTCTCACCTCTGCCATGCTTCACTTTCACCCCAGAATAGGCATCCCTGCTCTACTGATGTTCAACTTGGCCATGTGGCCGTTTTTGGACAATGGAAAGGGATGGCTAGGCCAGTTCCAAGCCAGAGCCATGGGAGGATCCCCTGTCGCCAATGATCCTACCCCACACCCACCCCTACCACGAGAACTCACCTCGTCTAAGGGCTGCTTCCTCAGCCCGAGTTTCAAGACAAGACCCACACAGAGAAGCCCTGAACCAACAGCAGGAGCCTGCAGCGAGTGCAGCCTTGCCCAGCTGAGTTGTCACTGACCCACAGGCCCAACTGTGAGCAATCAATGCTTGTTGTTTTCAGCCAATGAGACATTGGGTTGTATGTTACATACCATTATTTGACAGAAACCTGGGTGTTTAACTCAAGGCCTGCTTTGGTGATCTCCTCTCTCAACTGACTGCCAGACTACTCATGAAGCATTCTATCATGCACTGTTTGCAATTGTAAGTTATCATCTTATGCATCATGTTTTCCCAGCAGGACTGGGAACCCCAGAACCCAGGAAGTGTGTCCTCTGCTTGTTTGCATCTCCTACTCTTCCCACCTTATTACCTCTAATATATGATAATTTAAAAGTTTTCATTAATAACTCATATTTCTTCAATGTTCTGTAATGATTATTCACGACTAGCCACTGTAGCATATTACATTATAATCAAACACAAAAGGAGTTGGAAGATGTCCTTTATAACTACTAACATTTGAGCCGGGTGTGGTGGCTCACGCCTGTAATCCCAGCACTTTGGGAGGTCGAGGTGGGTGGGCCACGAGATCAAGAGATCAAGACCATCCTGGCCAACATGGTGAAACCCCGTCTCTACTAAACATACAAAAACTAGCTGGGCGTGGTGGCACTTGCCTATAGTCCCAACTACTCGGGAGGCTGAGGCAGGAGTATTGCTTGAACCCGGGAGATGGAGGTTGCAGTGAGCCGAGATCGTGCCACTGCACTCCAGCCCAGCTGCAGGTGAGACTACATCTCAAAAACAAAACAAAACAAAAAAACAAAAACAAAACAAAAATAACTACTAACATTTATTGTTGACTTACTAAAAACTGTTCCAAGCACTTCGCCTTAACCCACTTAGTCCTTTCAGCAGCCAAATGAGGGAAAGACTGTGAGTTCCCAAGTTCACACTACGAGCCAGTGGTGCAGCCAAGATGAGAATTCAGGTCATCTGGCCCCAGATCACATGATCCTAGCTAAATGAAAGGACAGTGAATCCTGCTGGTATCCTCTCCCCGGTCACACTGGTTACTCAGCCTAGCCAGCTTCTTAGCTGGGGAGCTGCCAGTGTCATATGCAGCCCGTTCTGTTGCTGGACACAACAGTTGTAAGAAAGGTCTTCTCAATGGTGCAAAATCTGGTGCTTCTACTCCTTTGAGCCAATGCAGAGTACATCTTCCTCAAGCAGCCCATCAAATGACCGCAGGCTCTGAGGACACCCCTGACAAAGCCTCCAAGCCAGAAGAGGTAACCAGCCCTTTCCTGTGGTGGCCCTTTCATGCCACATCCTCTCATCCCTGATCTTCACAACACACAGCCTTGCCTATACTGTTTACAAAAGTGCTTTAAAATGAGGAAAGCTTGAACAAAAATGCAGGCACTGTGATTACTGATAGAATGGACACTCGACAAATGCTAGTTGAACTGAATTAGTCACACCCACTGAGAAATGGTTGAGATATCTAAAAACATTGTTTCTTGAAATCTTTATTTCTTTATTGAATTTCAGGGAAGGAAAGCACCAGACACATCGTCCTGAGATCTGTGATTCTGGAGTGTGCGACAGAAGCTTTTGACAAAGAGGTGAAAGCAGTTAGTTAAAACCTGGCCCAACAAGTGGAAGAACAAGTGATACACTCTAGGAACGGTCACCACAAGGGATAACCTACACGAGGAACCTCCCTCGAGAGAACCCAGAAGAAGCTCTCACCAGAACACCAGCAGGAGAGCCACAGTTCAGAGGGCAACCACTTCAGACACATGCCCTCGCTGTAAGTAGGCCTCGGTCTATATCTCAGTGGCTGATGGTGATATCAAGTTCATGCTCAGTTTTTACAAGCTAACAAAAATATATATAAAAGCTCTCCTCAAATAAATGCATATTGTACTCTAAATACACAAAGATCATTTCATTTTTATTTTAAGCTTTTATTTTAGGTTCAAGGGTACATGTGCACATTTGTTATATAGGTCAACTGTGCCACGGGGGTTTGTTGTACAGATTTTGTCACCTAGGTACTAACTAAGCCTACTACCCAATAGTTATTTTTTCTGCTCCTCTCCCTCCTCCCAGCCTCCACCCCCAGGTAGACCCCAGTGTCTGCTGTTCGCCTCTATACATCTATGTGTTCTCATCATTTAGCTCCCACTTTAAGTGAGCATATGCGGTATTCGGTTTTCTGTTCCTGCATTAGTTTGCTAAGCATAATGACCTCCAGCTCCGAAGATCATTTTCATGACTTTTTTCCTGTCTCTAGGGAAATTCACGTGTTCTTGTTTGAAATACTTCCTCCTTACAAAGAAATAGGGTATGTGGCTCGGTGGTCAGACATGTTCTTCGGAGCCAGACCACCAAGGATACTAGGTCTGGATCTTCCCCCATGAGGTAAGGTCCTGGGCAAGTTAGGAAAGTGCTCTTGGTCTCAAGACTCCTCATGACTAAAAAGCAGATGACAACACCACCTATATTGCAGGACTCTCCCAGTGATTCAATGAAGTAAAGCAATTAACATGATACCCATCCATGGATATAGCTATCATTATAGCCAATGCTTCTAGATTAGATCAATAGATGAGGAGGGTGGATCCTTGTAGTCAAGGTACTTTTTACTACTAAGCAAGCAAAGGTTGATAATGTCATATAGCTTGTTTTCATATTATGCATATGGAAATAGCAGAGCTTTCCCTCTCCCACACTGTGAATAGACTCATGGGCCTCAGTGCTCTCAGGGCCTCAGCTTTTATTTAGAAAGCTAAGTTGTCTGCTGGCAAACTTTCAAGCTCCATTTCTTCATGCTTGATAGACCACAAACCAGCTCCATGAGCCGGAGAGAAGCTGCAATTAATAAGCAAGTCGAGGCACTCTCTCTCCTAAACATGCCATGCTCATGTCTTACTGGAAAGAGAAGTGACCCTCCAGGAAGAATATGACTTAGTGATTGAGTGTCTCCATTTGATGGGCACAACAGGGTTGAAGAAAATGTAGTAAAACTCAATTAGCGTTAATGCTTAGGAACCGGGTAAGTGGGTTGGTTTGCTTCCATTTTCTGCCCCCTGTGGCAGTCTTTTTTCCTTATGCCCTCCTTCTTGGCCTTGCTTTTTCCTTATATTCTTTCAATATTTTTTGAGTGTCTACCACCTGCCTAAGTATGGAAATTTCAAAGGTGAAAGGGTCCCAGCCTTTGCCTTCAGGAAGGTCACACTGCAGTGAGGAAAACAAGACACTTCCAGAGAAAAATCGCAAAACCACAGAGAAGTGCAGCACTAAAGACAAACAGACAACGTGGGACTCCACTCTCTGGATATGAGAAGTTTACAGTGTAGGAGACATGAGAGTAAAGCTCGGTTTTCCAGGAAAGGCATTCTTTCCATCTTTATTGGATTCGAGTTTTAAAACTATATACTGGATTTCTCTCCTGACTTAATTTTTCCTAAAGTAAAACAAACATAATGCAAGCGAGTCTTCATGGGCTGCTTGAGACTCATACAGTACAAATAAAATTGTATTTTACAGTAAAACAAAGGCAGATGTTTGGGAAGGCTGTCTACCTCGATTGTTAATAAAAGAAACTTATGTTATCCATCATGTTTTGTGTGATTTGTCTGTTTCTTCTAAGCATTAAGGGAGGGGCAATTTGAGTGAGGTGAGAAGTTTGGTGAGCTAGATTTTAAGTGGCCCCCAACCCAGGGAAACATACACCATGTGCTCCAGGCTTGGTGGGGATGGTGCGTGGATGAGAGCAGACAGGTGCATCCACACCTCAGGTGCACCCTACTCAGCTTCTCCAGCACTTGGGAGCACCCCCAGTTTGGTGCAGTGAAAAGGATGTCTGGCTTTGGTTTCAGAACACTTTCACCTCAAATTCCAGCACTGGCGTTTGCAATCTCTATTACTACTGGCAAACTCTAACCTTTCAATTCCTCATCTGCCAAATGGACATGGTGAGGCCATGCTGTAATGCAGGTGTGATGGCTAAGTAAGGTGGCCCGGCCGCCATTCTCAAGGGAGAACATGCCGTGAGCCAAGCTTCTAGAGCTCACGAATGTGTATGCCTCCCCCCATTTCAAGTCTGTGAGATGCACAGGTACTGCTCTTTTTCTCAACCTACCTATAAGAAAACTCAGTCTTTTTTTTGAGACAGGATCTCACTCTGTCACCCAGGCTGGAGTGCAATGGCACAATCACAGCTCACTGTAGCCTTGAACTCCCGGACTTAAGTAATCCTCTCACCTCAGCTTCCTGAACAGCTGTAACTACATGCAGGCACCACCATACCCAGCTAATTTTTGTATTTTTTGTAGAGACACGGTTTTTCGTGTTGTCCAGGATGGTCTCGAACTCCTGGGCTCAAGTGATCCACCCGCCTTGGCCTCCCAAAGTACTGGGATTACAGGCACAAACCACCATGCGTGGCAGAAAACTAAATCTTGACAAGATCAGACAAGTCACCTAAGATCAAATAGATAGTGATGGCGGAACTGAGACTCAATCCCCAGGCTTAGCTGACTTCAAAGACAGGGAGTAGAAGAACTCAACAATATCTCTGGAATTTGTGGTTGATACCATTAAAAGCAAGTCTGAACACAGAAGGTGATGGCTAATTTTGTGTGTCAACCTGGCTAGGCTACACTGCCCAACTGTTCGGTCAAGCACTAGTTTAGATATTGCTGTGAAGGTATTTCTTAGATGTGATTAACATTTACAAAATACTATTGCCAGGAGCAGTGACTCACTCCTGTAATCCCAGCTACTGAGGAGAAAGAGGTGGGAGGATCACTTGAGCTCAGGAGGTCAAGGCTGCAGTGAGCTGTCATCAGGCCACTGAACTCCAGCCTGGGTGACAGAGCAAGACCCTCTTAAAAACAAACAAAAATACCATAAATGTACTTAAAGTCAACTTTGAGAAAAGCAGATGACCCTTCATAATGTGAGTGGGCTTCATCTAATCAACTGAAGATCTTAAGAGTAAAGACTGAGGTTTCCAGGGCAAGAAAGAGTTCTTCCTCAAAATTACAACCTAGAAATCATGCCTGAGTGGAGAGCCTACCTGTAACCCCACAGATTGCAGGTTCAAGATTGCAACATCAGCTCTTATTGGAGCTTCCAGCCTGCTGAACTGCCCTATGGATTTCAGACTTGCAGCCCCCCGTGATCACATGAGCCAGTTCTTTAAAATAAATATCCTCTCCCCTTCTCTCTGCCCCTGTCTCCCTCTCTCTCTCTCTCATAGATAGATACATTGATAGTATTGGTTCTGTTTCTCTGGAAGGCATAGACTGAAAATACGATGTGCCGAGTATGAATCTAAAACAGCTAAGATGGCCAAACTGGAACACCTTCTAGTTGTAATGAGGTGGCGCTGGAACTTCACTAAGAGGTCAAGAATACACATACACCCAAATTTGAGATTTGCCTTCATGGTCATGACATCTGAAGCCAAGGGGAGAAGGAAAACCCTAAAGAAGAAAGTTCAGGGACGGGCATGAGATGTATGAGGCAGGTCTTTGGTAGCCCTTTATTTTGGGTGTGGGAGAAGAATATAGAGACAGAAGAGCTGTGCAGAGGAATCAGTAACAACGAATACAGTGGGAGGGAGGAGGATGCAGAAGCAGACTGAAGCTGAGTAGGCCTGGGGCTTGGAGAGGCTGGTCAGATGACTGGGGCTTGGCTTGGAGATCAGAGACAGTGCGAAGAAAGCACACATAGAAGCAGCAGCAACACCAGCACAGGTGTGAGTGAGGAGAGAAGGGAGAGCTGTTTTATCTTAATGTTTTAGTATACCGTCAGTCCTTCAACATCCTGGGAGACAGAGGCACCAACCCCACAACACAGTTGAATATCCACGTATAACTTTTGATTCCAAAAATGTAATTACTCATAGCCTACTGTTGAACGGAAGCCTTACTAGTAACATAAACAGTGGATGGAGACATATTTTCCATGTTTTATGTATTATATGTTGTATTTTTACAATAAAGTAAGCTAGAGCAAAGAAAATGTTAAGAAAATCATGAGGAAGAGAAAATATATTTTCTATGCATTGAGTGGAAATGGATCATCCTGAAGATCTTCATCCTTGTGATCTTGGTGTTGAGTGGGCTGACAGGGAGGAGGAGGGGTAGGCCTTGCTCTCTCAGGGGTGGCAGAGGTAGATGAAAATACATGTGTAAGTAAGTGACCCGCAAAGTTTAAACACGCATTGCTCAAGGGTCATTTGTACTACTAAAAGACTTAGAGTAACATGAAACGCAATTCCTTTATCACAAGCTGGTTACCAAAGCTGAGTTTCACCTTTTGGTAACAAAATTACTAGGACACAAACCTCTGCCAGCTCCTACCAGGACCCCTGGCTGCTTCCAAGCTCCCCAGCATGACACCTGCCTTGGGCTCCTCTGCCACATCCTGGCCTCCCTGGCTTCTCTGCCTCTGCCTACTGATTTTTTTTAAATAATCAGGAGGGCTTTCTGCTTAGCTCTTGACTGACCTCCACAAAGCAAGAACCAGGGTGACTCCCCAAGTATCATCATGCCTTGAACAAGAGCAAGCTAATTTGAGAATTTGTTTTTGAACATCTAAGGCCTGCGGTGTTTTTTTCTTTTCCCAAGGGTTAATCCCCTTACATCCAATTCCAAATTGTGAGTAATTGTGCTCATTCTTTTTCTTAACCATACTGTTAGTATTTTTATTCTCCCTTAAAAATGCAAATACCTGTTTTTTTCTCCTTTTTACTGATGTCCCCTCGTTCATTCTAAATCACCCCACACATTTATCTCCCTATCAAGCTTCCCAGAATCAGGATCTCTTACCTATGTCATGTAAACCTCCAATTTCAGCCCATCTTCCTCCACTCATTGGTCCCCATTGGTTCCTGAATAAAGTTTACATTCACCTGCCTGGTATTCAAGGGCTCCATGATCTCACCTTATTCCACATATTCTAATCTTCCACTGGAGTCCTACTGGTCTGTGTCCTCCCTCCAAAGTCTCTATTGCAGCCATTTCACTCAAGCTCCTGCTTTTGATGGAATGATCATTCTTGATCTTCACTGATTCCTCCAATAATCAGTCATTCAATAAGTAAGTCTAGTACTTGAAGTTAAGCTGATAATATATATATATATATAAGACACACACGCCTATTTAGGAACACACCAGATAACTGACTCTCTTCTTTCCCCTTGTTCCCAGTAACGCTGTCATTTCTTGTTCTGTTTCCTTCTCCTACCTTATCTGTACAATGTAGCATGATATCCTCCAAAGTGTCTCAAGAGAATCTTGATGCTTTATCATACTGTCCACACCAAAGGTCACATGGCCATTGTAATGTCAAGGATTTGGTAAGAAAGCAGAGCTTCAGGATAGAGTCAGTCAGGAGAGTCAGTGAGATAAGACAAGAATTCACTCCACAAGCACCCACCAACCCCATCCTGTCCCCCCAAAAGAAAAAAAAAGAAAAACAGAAAAACAAAAAACATTCACAGTAATTTTTGGTACTTTCATAAGTGTTGAAGCAAAGAACATTATATTACATTACATGGGTAGAAAAAGCCTGTTTCCTAGAACCTGTATTATCTCTATAGTAGGCAAACTCATTCTGAGTAATGAATGAATGGGTTTTGACCATATCTGAAAAATAGGATTTAAAACCAGAAAATATTGAATGATATAAAATCAAATTCAGAAATATCCCTATGCATCATATCCTTACAACCAAGGCATGTTTTCTTAAGAATCACCAAACATGGAAATATACATGTTTCAAATCAACACAATATTACACAGAAGTTCCATTTGGCCATTATTATACTCCTAAAGTTCCTCATTCTGTCTCTGAAAAATTCCAGCTACAATACAAAGCAACACCAGCCAGTCGTGAGCAAAGGACTTTCAGAGACTGTTACTCAGTTGTTTTCCATAACAGAAAGGCATTTCTATGAAATATTCAAGATTTCACAAGGACAATCCAGTTCCTTAGCATTAACACAAAAACTGAAAGGATAAAGATTAGTATGGTCCCCACCAAATGATGGCACAAAAATCAGAAAGCACTCTATACTAAAATAGTAAGCAAAGCCTTTCCATAGCTTGTAACATGGATAGCTAACCCAAAACGTCTTCATTATAAAACACCCAGAAATGCTAGATAAAATCAACATTCTTTTAAAATATATAGTGAGATCACAAAACATGATCAATGTTTAGGCAACAAATAATAAGTAGACACTAGAAACAGATAGACACGTGAGCTGATAGACACAGCAGCAGATATGGTTGGGCTATCATTCTTGCTAATAAAGGAGGTTGGGGCTGAAGATTTAATGCCCACATGGGTACAGAAGAGTTCTTGAACCTAAGGGAGGCAAGACATTGAAACTGAAAATGCTTCATAAAGGAGAATTCTCAGGGAGGGAACAAAAAAACAGACTAGAAAAATGCATGCATGATCAGAAAAAGAAAATAAGAATGCTCATCTCTTGGTACAGGAAAAAAACAGTGTCCTTTGAGAATTTGTATGATGGGCTCACACTTCATTTGACTTTGAGGTTGGAATTTATAACAGTTGCATGGTAAGAAATTCCAGACCAAGAAATTAACATAAATTGTGATTCAGTGATATTCTTAAATGATTTGGCAGAAGCAAATGGAAAAAAAAAATCTTTCAGAAGGCATCCAGGCACATTCCCTCTGTACATAAGTTTGAAATCAGAAATAGCAAAGGTGTATAAAAATAATTTGCTGTAATCAGCAGACATCTGAGAATGTGATTAGACTCCCAAAACTTCAGATACCAGAAGATTCAGATAGAGGCTGAAAGAAGAGTATATTTTTAAATATTAAAGAAAAAATTTAAACATAAAGATTAAAATACAATAAAATAAATCTCAGAGGTTTGAAAATTAATCAAAAGTAACTTCTAAAAATTAAATATATAATCATTAAAATTAAAAATTCAAAGAAAGTCTGATACAGTAGATTAGACACAGCAGAAATGACTTAGTTAACTGAAAAAATAAGATTAAATGACATTCCAAAACACATATTGGAAAAGTAAATATAGAAAACTGAGAAATTTCCATTTTTGATAGGATCTCCCACTGAACATAAAGAAAAATGCTGCATAAAATAATTTTAAAGTATGTAACGTTTAATTGATTTGGAGATGGAAAAATGTAAGCCTGCTTAAGAAAGCCCAAAAAATTTGAAGCGATAGAAGAGATACAGAGAAGTATGAGTCCTGGTGGCTGAATTAAACTTAATGCAACTACAAAACACAATTTCATTATGGGTTTAGGGGCCAGAAGAAAAATTAGAAGGGCACAACAGAGGTGGAATCTAATCCAAGACCACCTATATAAAAACAGAACTCTAATCAGTTAAATTCCCAGATTATAAATCAACCATAAATGTTGCACACACCGCCAGCACCCCTCTTAAGAAATACTAAAAAATATCTGTAGCAAAATAGCACCGAATGGAGAGAAAAAAGTATTTTCCCTGACAATTTGTAATCACAAGCTAAGTATAATGCAAGTTTGTTGCCCTAACTGAATGAGTTAAAAGACCTCAAATTTAAAAATGTAGATGGTAATTCTAGGTCAGTAGTGTCCACAAACCTAGCAAAAGTAAATGCAAATTTTCTTTGGAAAAATATACGGTCATCTCATTTTCAAATAATTTCCAGTTAAATTTCAAGTAATATGAACTCACAGTGAAACATCACAAAATACTTAAGAAAAACAAGGCAAGTATGTATGAGCAAGTGCCAACAGAAATAACAAATAGCAGAATCAGATCCACAGTGGCTTTAATCATTAGAATTACCACACACAAACAAATGTAAGTCATATTTAAGATTCTTAATAAAATAAGAAATGGAAAAATGAGCAAAAAGCAAAAAATTTTCATTAGACAAAAAGAACTTGTGGAAATAATCTAATTAAAATTAGAAACTCAATAAATGGATTTAATAGAGGCTTTGATTCCACTGAAGACAAAATTAGTGAACTAGAAAATAGAGATGAAACAATTTCTAGAAAAGAGCACAGTATTTCGTTTTTTTTATTTTATGATGTTTTGACATCTTAGAGTGGGAGCCTGCCAGCTTCAGAGAGACTGCAGCTTCCAGGGCTAATTACTAGAGATAATCAACAAGTCACCTGTGAACATATCTTTTATCTACAAACCAACCAATCCCAACTTCATACCCCCAACTTTCTGCTTTAACTCTCACAATCCAAGCCAATATTTTCCCTGCCCCAAATCAATGTGGCCAATGACCAGACAATTACAGACAGCCGCTATGCCCCAAATCCTGCCAGAATTACTCAAACTAGCCAAGTTTACTCTGCCCTGCCTTGACTTTCCCACAGAAACTCCAAAAACGGCTATGGCCTGTGCTTCTCTTTCACTCCTACCCTGCCTCCTGACCAGCTCTGGGGCTGCCCCATGTGTTTCTGCATAGCAAGCAATGCCTCTCACTTCTAGGAAACTGAGTAATAAACTTTTCTTCCCAGTGGCACTGACTGCTCCATGTCCTCACTCTGTCACCTCTACACATTAAAATCCTGTGGATACATTTTAACATAAGCACAGATACCAAAAGATAAATATGGTAAAAAGAGTTTAAGACACATGAAAGACGGTATGAGAGGTTCCAACATCTATCTACTTGGAATTCATAAGGCGAAAATAAGAGAAAGCAAATATGAAAAAACAATAGCTGAGAATTTTCCAACCAAAACTGTTAAAGGACCTAATTCTTATGATCAAGGAGCCCAAGAATCCTAGAAAATAAATGGCTAAACACATAGGAAAACCACCAAATATCAATGATTAAATGAACATTTCTAAAAGCAGTCAGAAAAAAGAGAGAGATCATTTACAATAGAACAACCCTATCTTGACTTTTCAGCAGTAACTATAGAACGAAGAGGAAAAAGGGGTGTGAATCGTATTGTCACAGTGAAACAGGAAAAGTTACCTTGTCCTACTCCCATGGCGTGCAATGGGGGTGTGACTTGCTTCTCCAGTGCCCCGCTGCTCAAACCTCTATGGGAGCATACAGACAGGCAGGCTGTGGAGCTCCGACGCCCTCCGCAGTGTGGGTGAATCTTACCCACGTGGGCTTGGAGAATGAGTGCAAGGTTTTGAGTACAAGTAGCTCTCTGCCGATAAAGGCGCCAGAAGAGAGATGGCTTTCCCCCGAAGTCTGGCCGCTTGGCGGCCCAGGTGCTCCTCCGACTGCCCCAACCAAACTCCTCCACGTTGCACTGGGGTCAGCTCTCAGCTGACCTTGCCGGCATGCCTAGTGCCTAGCTAGCGTTCTTCTGCAGGTCAGGCCACTTGTGCGTTCCTTCGCGGATACACTCCTCTCCACATCCAGTCACTTCCGTCTGTGCCTAGCGACGGTCTTGGGCTTTTAAAGGCACATTATAGGGGCGTGGCAGGCCAGGGCGGTCTTGGGAAATGCAGGAAATGCCTGAATTGCCTGTCCTCACCTAGGTCCATGGGGGTAGAGCCCTAGCTAGGGACCACGCCCTACTCTACCCAGCACTTCCCTTCCCCCCCTCCCATATCATTTAAAGGGACCAGGCTCTTTCCCTCACAGCACTTTCCTTACGTATCAAAAGTGCTCAAAGAATTTGTCGGCCAGGCACAGTGGCTCATGCCTGTAATCCTAGCACTTTGGGAGGCCGAGGTGGGTGGATGACTTCAGGTCAGGAGTTCGACACCAGCCTGGCCAACATGGCAAAACTCTGTCTCTAGTAAAAATACAAAAATTAGCCAGGCGTGGTGGCGGGCGCCTGTAATCCCAACTACTTGGGAGGCTGAAGCAGGAGAATCGCTTGAACCTGGGGGACAGAGGTTGCAGTGAGCCGGAAAGGTTGCAGTGAGCCGAGATCGCACCACTCACTCCAGCCTGGGCATAAGAGTGAAACTCCATCTCTGAAAAAAAAAAAAAAAAGAATATGATTGTCAACTTAGAATTGCATACTCAGTAAAAATATCTTTTAAGAATGGGGCAAAGTATTTTCAGAAAAACAAAATCTGAGAGTTTGCTATCAATGGGTACTCACTGAAGGAAATTTTAAGGGCAGAATAAAAGTAATCCCAGATGGAAAAAAAAAAAAGTGTTGAGCAAAGAAAGTGGTAAGTAAAGCTTAAAAGCTTTGTGCTTTAAAAAAAGATTATTTTTCTTTCTTTCCTCTTTCCTTCTTTCTTTCCTCTTTCTTTCTTCTTTCCTTCCTTTCTTCCCTTCTTTCCTTTGGCCTTTCTTAGCCTCAAAGCATATAATCTCAGAGGGTGTTTGAGGTTATTTTCTGTGATTCTTTTACTATTCATGAGGAGGACAAAACTATTGAGTAACATTAACTCTTTAAGATATTATGCAATACAAATTGAAGATATGGTTTCTTGTTGAGTAAAGGGAGAAATGAAATGGAACAAAATGCCCAATCCATCCAAAGAAGACAACGATAAAAGGAAAATTAAGTGCAAAAGTCAAGACTAATAAAAAACATAAGATGGTAATTTAAACCCCAACATATCGGTAGTTACAAAATACAAATAGAAAAACTACTCAGTTAAAAGATAAAGATGGCCGGGCGCGGTGGCTCACGCCTGTAATCCCAGCACTTTGGGAGGCTAAGGGGTGTGGATCACGAACTCAGGGATTCGAGACCAGCCTAACTAACATGGTGAAACCCAGTCTCTACTAAAAATACAAAAATTAGCTGGGTGTGGTGGCAGGCGCCTGTAGTCCCAGCTACTCAGGAGGCTGAGACAAGAGAATTGCTTGAACCTGGGAGGCAGGGGTTGCAGTGAGCCGAGATCACACCACTGCACTCCAGCCTGGGCGACACAGCGAGACTCCATCTCAAAAAAAAAAAAAAAAAAAAAAAGATAAAGATTACCAGATGGGATTTTTTTTTTTTTTCAAACTTCAGCTCTATCAGACTTTAAGGTAAAAGCATTACTAGAGATAAAGAGTCGCATACAATGAAAAATAAGTCATCAGAAATATATAATAGCACTTTAAGGTAAAAGCATTACTAGAGATAAAGAGTCACATACAATGAAAAATAAGTCATCAGAAATATATAATAGCATCAACCTTGCATGAATCTTAAAACTTAACATCAAAATATACTAAGCATAAAATTAACCAATATAAAAAGAATAAAACAAATCTACCATCATATACAGAAATTTTAACACATTTCTCTCCAGAAAGTAATAGATCAAGCAATCAAAAAACAAAAACAAAACCACCAGTAAGTGTATATAGACTTGGGCATCATAATTAACAAGCATGATCCAACAAGAAGAGAATACGTTCTCCTCTCAGGCACTCATGGGTTCTTTCCAATTCTGACCACACACTGGGCCAAAAAGCAAATCTCAATAACTTTCAGAGGGTTGGTATTATCTAGACCATTTTCTCTGACCACAATGAAATTAGGGTAAAAATCAATAACAGAAAAGATAACTAGGTATAGTGCATTTGTTTGGAAATTAAGAAACGTGCCTTAAAATAATTTATGTCAAAATAATTCATGGCTAAATTTAGTTATTCCAGGAGGCAAATGTTGTTTTTAACATCAGAAAATCAATTCAGATAATTTACCAATTATTAACAGATTAAAGAAATTTCATAGAATCAATTGATAGATTTTTTAAATAGCATTTGATAAAATACAACATCTTTATACACAATTTTTAAAGCCACACAGCAAACTAGAAGTAGAAAGGATACACTGACAAAGTCTACATGCTTTTTATAAACCTACGGAATACATCACAGATAATGGAGAAACATTGCACATGTACCATTTAAAATGAGGGACAAGGCAGAAAAATTGGTTATTGCTACTTCTATTTTACTGGATTTCCCAGTCAGTGGAAAAAGAAAAAGAAACAAAAAGTAAGAGGATTGGAGACAAAGAAACAACACAAATTTATCTATGAAATGATTACCATTTAGAAAATATACCAAAAAAGTACAGTTAAGTAATTAACATTATGGATAACAGTTAATGTCAAGCATTAAAAGCAAGCCATAAAATACCTAGAGTATGATTCCATCTACAAGACATTCAAAACCTTGAAAAACTAAGCAATACTCTGTTTAGGGTTACAAACATTTGCGGTAATACTAAAAAGAAAAGTATGAGGATGCTTTCCACACATTGCAGGGCAGCAGTTACCTGGCAGGGGGGCAGGATGGAGACAGGCTCAGGAGGACTTGCAAGGATACTGCTGGGGCCTGGGTGTGCATTGCATCTATTCTTGATATCTTACTATGTTTATCTTTTTGCATCTGTCAATATTTAATAAGAACGACCTGAAAGAGACACAAGGTTGGTTGGAAGCATGAAGTCTAACGTTTGCTTATAAGACTTCCCAAAGTAGAGATCAGAACAAGAATGGCAAAATTCAAAGAGAATACATATGACTAAAGTGTTTCCAGAATTGAAGAAAATCATAAATCCTCGGTTTGAGGAATCAAGGAAGATCCAAAGTAGGATAAATAAAGGCACCCCTAGACCTGTCATAATGCACATATAGGGCATCAAAGACAATGATCTTAAAAGTAATAAAAGAGAAAGCAGACTATTCACAAATAAATACAAGCATGCTGACAGCCAACCTTAAAACAGAAGAAGGAAAAGACAGAAAAAGTGTCTTTGACGTCTCGGAAAAGTAACTAAAACCTAGAATTCTATACCCAGTTAAGCAAGTATTCAAGAATAAAGGCTAAATGAGACAGTCTTTGACAAAAACCAAAACCAGTTCACTAGCTGACCTCCACAGAAAGACCTACTTGAGAAGGTATTTATGACAAAGGTGAAACCAGAAGGATGCACCAATTTTTTTTTTTTTTTTGAGATGGAATCTCACTCTGTTGCCCAGGCTGGAGTACAATGTCGTGATCTCAGCTCACCGCAACCTCCACCCCCCAGGTTCAAGCAATTCTCCTGCCTCAGCCTCCCAAGTAGCTGGGATTGCAGGTGTGCGCCACCACCCCCAGCTAATTTTTTTTTTGTATCTTTAGTAGAAATGGGGTTTCACCATGTTGGCCAGGCTGTTCTCAAACTCCTGGCCCTGTGATCCACCTGCCTTGGCCTCCCAAAGTGCTCATATTACAGGCATGAGCCACCACGCCCGGCCAGGTAGCACTAATATTTAAGAAGAATTGGTGAGAAAAAAGTTGTCAAACTTGTGATTAAATCTAGTTTATCAACATTTGGTATAGAGTCAAAAAAATCAAGCAGAGAATTAAAGTATTGAGGGGAAAATGATATGAAAGCCAGAAATGGTTCATAAGAGTTAATGTGTTGTACCATCCTTCATTATTTAGTAAGATAACAAAGCAATTGGCTAAGCTTAAACTTTACTATTTCAAGGGCACTTCTTAAATTTATAAAGTTTAACTACTAGAAGAATAGAATATAGTGTTTATATAATCTCCAAACAAATAGAAAGAGGGCAGAGGTGATGATAAAAATGACAGAAGCAGAAAAAAAAAAAGGATGGGGAAACAGAAAAAGCAGGCTAAATAGAAAGTGCAATATAAGATGGCAGAGATGAAACCAAATACAGGAGGAATTTAATAAATACAAATGGACTTGCCACTCAAAAGACAAACATTATCAGATCTGATTTTTTTAAAAACAACACTTTTGCAGTAAGTAATAGAATTGAAGATGCGTATACTCTTTTGACCGAGTAATTGCACTTTATATGTGCACATGGGGCATGTACAAGAATGTTAATTGCCACATTGTTTGTAAGCACAGACGTAGTGGAGACCATCTAAATGCTGGTCACCAGAAGCCCTGATTAATACATGGTGGGTTTGTTCACACAATGGAATGCCATTCTGCAATTAAAATAAATGACCTAGCTAGAGCAACATCTATCAACATGGACTAATTTCAAAAAACATCACATCAGTTGAGAAAATCAAGTTGCAGAAGTATACAGAATAACACATCATTTACAAAAAGATAAAACAATCCTAGGTATCATTTAAAAACACAGGGACAAGAAGCCTAAAAACCCACTTGAAAATAAGAACAAGTTCAGATGGTTATTTCTTTGGGAGGGTGAGGAGGAGATATGGGATTAGGGAAGAATACACAAGGCCTTCAACTATATAAGATTTTCTCTTACTGAAATGGTAGGAATTATAAAATATAAGAAAAATTCTATAGGAAAAATAGCAAAACACTTCAGACTAATTTTTAGTTATTTTTTCAATAAGAGTATTCAGACTAAACAAAGTTTGTCGGAAGATGCCTTGTGTTTATTAATACTGAGGTGTTATATTATTTATCTGTACTTTTCTGCATGGTTAAAATTTTTTATACTGGAAAAAAGTAACCAACTAAATAAATAATGTCAGAAGAACGTAAATTTACAAAAAAGGTTTAGTGTGACTACTAAGTTCAGAGAAAGGAAAAAAAATGTATTGAGTACATAGTAAGTGTCATGAATTTGCAAAGTACCATAATACAACGGTACACCCAGCGTTGCTCTTGCCCTCGGGGCCTAAAGTAGTGGGAAAGACATAATTTAATGTGATAGATGCAGCAAAAGAGGTAAGCACAGGGCACTACAAAAGAAAACAAATATCTAATATAGTGGGTACTTAATAAATAATTGATGAATCACTGAAAAATACTGGGTGGGAAGGAAGCTGGTGGAAGTCAAATACAAACTGAAGCTTACACATTCCAGACACTGAAGAATTAGAAAAATCCTCCACCAATGCTGGGAAATCAGAGTGAAGAAGGCTGGTGGATCCTGATCATTTTCTGATGTGGAAATAAAGCAGGCAGGTGGAGTGGCACCTGCATGTGAGAAAGGAAGAGTAAAAAATCATCAAGAATAAAGACCTTATATTGTGGCCCATCAACTGAGACCTAAATAGTAAATGAATCAAAGAAAATGCATTGCTTCAGAAAAGTAGGACAGAGGAAAGACACAGTGCTACTCATAAATTATACAGTAGATCTCCTCAAGTACAGGTTTAGCATTTTAGCTCATCAAAAATGATCACATTCCATCATATTTCTGCCAAGTCACCAGCCAAGTGTCTGGTCCTATTTGACCAGGTGGCAGGGACCCACTGCTACACTTCTGATTTCCTCCCACCCGTAGGGCCCACCAGTCCCAGCACAAGGATCCTAAAGCCTGGAATTAATGGCTTGTTGGCAGTGATACACACCGAGTACATGAGGGCTCAGACCTAGAGTCTGTCAACCACACATCTAAGGCATACATTTATGTCACTTAAAAATCCAACAATAATCTACATTTTAAATGTACATATAATTAGAAAATCAGTTTAGTAGTTTGATGACTACTAATTACATCACTAGTATGAATTTTTAAATGCTAATTTAAAAAAAACAGCCTTTTTTTCTGCCATTTTATTCTAGTATGCACCTCTGCTTTTACTTAGTCTTCCAAGTATCTGGGAGATGCACAATGGCCCATCAGTTGGCTCCAGTTGTCACCACTGGCACATTCACTCACCTGTATCACACTCCCCACTGTGATTGACACCTCAGCAGAAGTGCATACTAGAGTCAAGATGTCCGTTCACCCCAAAATGACACATAAAATCAAGTCATCACAGACAGGATCCTAGCAGGATCTTGGAAGTACAAAAATCCAAGATGAGCCAAAACAATTGTGAAGAAGAACAAAGAGGAATTACGCATATACATACATCACACATATATATGGATTTTGTATATATGGAAAGAGTGGTAGTGATCTAAAAATAGACACATTCAACAATGAGCAAGATAGAGAGTCAAGAAACAACCCACATATATATAGGAATTTGATTTTCAGTGTCAGTGAAATTCAGTTGATAAAGGAGAGTCTGTTCAACAAATGATGCAAACTCAAAAGCTTGTATCCAAAATATAAGGGAAAGAATTTTTAACTTAATAAGACAAAGACAATTCAGTTTTCAGAATGAGCAGAGGTCCTACCACATGCTCACAAAAGAAGACTTACACAGTGAGCAATAAGCTTATCAAAAACTTTTCAACTTCATTAATCATCAGGGATATGTAAACTAAATCATGAAATACTGCAACACATCCACTAGAATGTCCAAACTTTAAAAAATACTAATTCCAAGTATTGGTGAGGATATGAACCAACTGGAAATACCATACCTTGCTGGTGGGAAGGTGAGTGGTATAGCAACTTCGGAAAATAGTTTTCCAATCTCTTAAAGTGAAATAATTCTACTCCTGAGTATTTTCTCCAAAAAAGTACAACATTTTCCTATACAAAGACTTGTGCACAAATGTTCCTAACAGCTTTATTCACATTAGCCCCAAACAGGAAACAATCCATATGTCCAAAACAGGTGAATGGACCAACTCTAGTGTATCCACACAATGGACTACTTGGCGGTATCAAGAAAAGAACTTCTGATGCACACCGCGAGATGGACGAGCCCCAGAAACACAGTGCTCAGCAAAATAAGCCAGAAACAAAGGAGTAGGCACGATGCAATTCCATTTACATGGAATTCTTTAACTGTCAAAATGGATCTGCAGTCACAGAAAGCAGGATAGTCACTTTCCAGGAGCAGGGGCGGCGGGGTGGGAGGGACATGAAGGCAAAGGGGCACAAGGAAAATGAAGGAAAAGCTCCAAATCTTGATTATGATGATGGTTACATGGGTGTACACACGGGTCAAAATTCATCTAATCGTACAATAAAATGGGTACATTATGGTGTATGTAAATTGTAGAGCTGATGTTTAAGTGTCAACCATGGCAGGTGCGATGAAATAAAGGTTGTGTTGAGCTCTTGGGTTTATGGGAACCGCTACAGCAGCTATAGAAAAGGAAGGCAGGAAATGAGTATTTGAGGTATGAAATAAAGAAATTCAACATATATTAGAAGAAAGAGGAGGAAGAAAAAGAGGAGAAGGATGAGTATAAAGAGAGAAAGGAGGAAGGGAAGAAAAGATGCAAGGCTTTTTGACAATGGGGAGAGTATTACTGAATATTCACAATGCTGTCTCTACCGGGAGGCCCTGAATTCTGAACCCCTGGATTTTCTGCTTTCAGGGAATAGCTGATGAGCTACGTAGCCTCGTCTAGCGTCTATTTCCAAAGCTGATACCACCAGGAAGTATTTCCAAACCTGACATTCCCAACCAATGCTAGATCACCCCACACCAACACCAAGTTCACTTGCTAGATGAAGCTGAGATTATGTGGCATTTTTCTTGGCATTGAGACTGGTTATTCCAAACACACTCTTATCAGCCTTGCAACTGAGCCAAGCCGTTTATACATGTCCTCAACCATTATTCGAATCAGAGAACTACATCCATTTTCATAACTGACTCTGATTTTCATCTGAAGAACAAGGAGATGCTCTTGCATTTGGATGCTACACACAAGCACCTCAGATGTCTTTCCTCATTCCACAAATTGTAAATAGCAGTGAACTAGAAATATACACCATAAAGTGGTAAAATAACAATTGAAAATAAAAAATCAGGACTAGGGAATTCAATTAGAATAGAGTGGCAATACCAGGTGGAACAGTAAACTGCTTATATGCAGACCGTAATCTCCTACACTGATGGTGACTTGGGCTGTGAGCAAATGTAGAGAACATAATTGTGAAAGAATTTTTCAATAGAGCAAAACTGAATCAGTATCTCAAAAAGAACAAAGCAGTTCCCAGCATTTACTTTAAAGTAAGTGGGCCTTCACATAGAAGATACTGAGAAATAGTAAACCATGCCTTAAATAGAGTTGCAACCCCAAATGCCATGGGCTTTGCAAAGCTGTTTCTTAAAGTATTGTTTATTTACAAGTCACGCAAGTGATACCAAAGCCCAATTTAATGAATTTCACTGTGAGAAGGGCAAGGCACTGTTGTCCAATAAAAAGTCCCTGAAAGTCACTGCAATAAGCTCATATTTACCTTATACTTTGTCAATTGTTTAGTAAAGAATTTTTTTCATACACCATTGTGATAGCAAAAGCAACTCATTCTCTACGTTTCTTCCACATATTGTTTCCTTTGAGTCTCCCTTAAGGTAGCCCCTCATTCCTGCATGAACAGCCACCCCCGAATACAGTCAAAAAATGCAGACAGAGTTGGTAGCAAAGATAAATCTCAAACCAGATGCAAGATTTTTATGCACGTTTCACTAGATTTTACAATAGGCCATGGTGCTACGAGTCAGTATTTCCATTGGAAATAATGGCTTTCATCCAGGGCTCCCTGTGATGTTTTTCCCAGTAGTTACTAAGAACCAGCTATGTCTCTTTTCCAAGAATCTTTTTCTTCTACAAGAAGAAAGAAAATGTTAGATATGTAGGAATTGGCCAGGCTCAATCCTCGAGGTAGCTCTAATTGTGCCCTTTATTCACAGTTCCTCACACCTGCTGCAGCAAGCTAGCCTGTGGGAATCCAAATCCCACCAATCAGCTGAATGCACCTGTGTTGTCTTATTCTTTTGAAACTTGTGACAAGCTAGACTCATTGGCAACATTTATTTAATTATAGCCTGATAGTTCCAGAATAAACAAACACAAAATTAAACTGTCTAGAGGTGCTCTTACTGCAATGCAAATCTACGGATTCATTACTCTAGCAAAAATGTATTTAGTACTTAGTATGTGCAGGCCTCATGTTAGAGGATTGCATATTAGACACAAACTCAATAAGATCTGGTCCCTATCCTGAAGTTTCTTACAGAGTGTACAGATGATGAGACACATGGTTCCAATGAGAGGTATCAGATCCTTATCCATCATCTTCTTGGATCTTGGTATAGTCTTATTGGTGGAATGGAAGCCAAGTCAGTTTTCATCCTCTTCAGTAGCAGATGTCGGGGACAGCATAGTCTACTTTCTCTAGGGTGTCGTTTTATAAACTTCAGTCCTATAAGTGTGTCACAATTTTGGCAAACCCATATGCCATGTATCGTGTACTGTTACTTAACAATTTATTCTAAATTGACGAATTTTTGGTTTAAATTAATATTTCAAAAGGAAACTTTCTATCATTACAAAAAATGGAAAACAGAACCTCCTGCCATAAATGGAGCCTTATTATAAAAGTAAATATAATGGAAGCCAAAAAAATATTTTATTTAAAAATTAAAATTTTAAAATGAGTACACATAGTAATAAATCTGGTCATTTTATAAGAATACATAGCATAAAATAAATTGCTCAATGTGAAGGATAAAATCATTTATAATCAGCAAGCTTGTTTCTTTTTCCCAATTGCCACTAGTACTCACATTTCTATCACATTATTCACCTTGGTAAACTTTTAAATGTCTTTTTAACTTCTGGTTTATAGTGAGTTCAAAAGAAGAAAAAGATGTTAGAGCTCCAGAAATTACTGACCAGCACAGCCTCTAGACCTCCCAGGCCTGAAAAGAGAAAACTCAGATCCCAGCCGGCTGCTGAGGAGCCCACAGGGAAGTTAATATCCAGGGCAGGGAAAGGTTAGAAGGGAGTTGTAGGGGAAAGAGCAGAAACTGGGAGGAAGGAGCTCAGACCTGAAAATCCCAAATGTTTACCAGGAATGGCTTGAGAGACTCTGTGATTATCAAGTTCCCAGTGACCAGTCAGGCTGTGACACTGTGGCTGATATTGAAATTATAGCCCTACATGTCTTTTAGCAGCTCTCCTAGACAGCAACCTCCTGGCATCCTGACTCCAAATTGTCCGGACCGCACCGTGCTCAAATCACTCACCTGCCCAAGATCCTTCACGGGCTCCCCAGGGCTCACAGACTCCAGGACAAACAGCCCAGCTCGCAACTGCAGCCCTGCAGATTCCCCAACATGGTTTGGTCTTAGAAGGAGCCATGGATTCCCAGGGTCTCAAGGACCATTCCCTCCTTCCTCATGGCACTTGACTTTTTATCCGAGACCCACACAGTGGGCCACATTTCCATCCCAGCCCTGACAGGGAGCATCTCCCTCTCCCTTCTCTACTTGTTCCAGTAGAGCCTGTTCTTTAAAACCAGGTCCCGTCCTGTCTCTTCCATGTGTCTTTCTCTAAGCGTTTCAGCCACAATGCCTGCTCTCTCCTCTGAAACACTAAATAGCTGCTTTGGTTGGTACCACTCGTGAGGTATACAGCATAACTGCTTGGTCTGGCTGCCCTTCTCAGTATCAATGGCCTGACTTTCCAAAGAGGTCGTAAAGAAATCAAGGACAGGGAGCATGTTGTATACATCTTTGCATCCTACGCACCGACCTACACCTAGCAGGAATTGACTTAATGACTGCATGTGACTGCGGCCACGGGGTTTCAAGCAGACTCCAGTTTTCAGTGTGACCTCCCCTACCTGCTCAGACACCAGCTGGCCCGCAGCAACACAGACCTGCAGGGGAGCCCCTGTGGATGTGAATTTCCAGAAGGAGCTGGGAAGCAGACTTCCCTGGCTGGTTCTAATGGAAAAGCTGAGTACATCTTGGGTGGCAGAATCAAAGGAGAAATTTTCAAATTGTCTTAGGAAGGTGAACTACTCAGGTACACAGATCTCAAAAAGTCTGCCAAAAAGTTCCTTAAACCAAAAATATCAAATTGTGAGCTACTCCAGTGCCAAGTTCTTATTTCTTCTGTGAGTTCTTATCAGAGGCACAAGAACCTATGCCATTTTTACAGCAGATAGCCACAGTCCCCTGACCGATGACAGCTATCCTGTGATCACAGTTGCCCACAAGTGCCCTGCTGGGGATGAACGGAGGAAAGTCCAGTGCAGCAAGGGTTTAATAAACTCACCTGAGATAGGTTGGCAACTTACACAGCTAAAACCCATCTTAAGAAGTCATTTAATCATGCCCTGGCGCAAAAAAGAGAAGCTGCTATAATATTTGGTCAGACCAACTCTGAATAAGCTGCCAAAAAGAAAATCAAATGGCTCTGGAGATTGACATATTCTTTAATTTAAAACTTTCCTTGTTTCAAAATCACTATAAAATCAAGTGGCTTTCGTCATTCTGAAAATGCCACCCCTTCCTTGACGTATTGTAGTTGGCTTTCCATTACACCGTAGATCTACGTCTAGATTTTCTTCTCCTCCTTTTAGCTCCTTTGCCACACAGTCCAAAGTACATTGGTCTCCTTGCCTCCTCTGTTCCTTGCAGAACATTTGACTCACTTGCCCTTTCATCTGACCAATCTGCTCCCATACCCAAGCTTTGGCTTCAGCCTGATCCAAACCTCCAAGTACCACCCGCTTCCCTGACAGTGTTCCCTCCTCACATTGACAGGACTCCTCTGAAGCCCGTTCCTCCCAGGAAACCCACCTGGGTGGAGAACTCAGATGGTTCCCCCTGGAAAACAGATATATCAGGGTTCTCTCTAGTACTGAGCATCGTTTCTCGGCTGCAGCACAGGAGTCTTAGGGGCTCCCGCACCACACCCTCCCTCCCGCAAAGCAATGGTCCTGGGGTCCCAGAGCCTGTCTACCCACATTCCTCCCAAACGTTCAAAATGAGAACTAATTAACATGGAAGAAAGTCAGAACAGAATTCTCTTCTAGCTAGGACTTCTTATCACTCCTTTCTGGATCTTCTGAAGTTTTCTTGATTCCCAAAGACTTTCACTCCAACTCTCTTGTGGCTGTTAAACAATAGGAATAAGGCTGAGATAGAAAACAGGCTGAGGGACGAGGAAAGACGGAATGGGGAGAGGGGACTTAAGTGCTTGGCAAACACAAAGAGGCCACCAGCCCTACTCAGGGTTCACGGTCATTGCTCCATCCAGGACTGGTCTGCCGTCACTTAAGAGGCGACTAATAAGGATTTGGGGGGCAACAGAGCTGCCACCATTTCCAAGCATCCTAAACAACATAACTACATAAGATGTTTCACCAATTAAGATTAGCAATTATGCGTGCAGTGAGAGGTTCTAGGGCAATCACCCTAATGTGAAAGGTGGCTGCCTCACAGCTGAGGAGGAAAGCTCTCTCCCAGTTTTGGACTGGGAATAAAAACTCTCTTGGCATCTAATTGGAAGAGCAGAGCAATCAGGGTGGGCAAGACGTGGTTCCCCAGGCTGGATGCAGGCAGGCACACCTTCCTACTCGGGAGGGAAGTGGCTCCCTCATTTTGGAAATGATGTTTTCTTGGTAAGCTCAAACCAAGGAGGCTAATGGAATTAATCAGAAAATATAAACTTTATATTAAAGGCTACTTACTCTGACTTCCTCTTTTTTTTTTCTAAGAACTCATCATTCTCTAACTTTAGTTATGTGCTTTCTCTATGTTCAGAGGAGTAATATTTTTCTTCCTCTGGAAACCAAGTGAAGGTATGGAATAAATGCCCTGTGTAGAGGAAATCCATATGGCATAGTGACTTTGGCACAGCATCAGAAATTCTCTGTGGCTTGATCCCCTGGGCCCTCTGTGCCTATAAAATAACAGTTAAATTTTCATCCTCTTCTGTTAAATTCTCACATTAGGTCACAATCACTATTTCTAAAGACTCTCAGCTGCCTCTCATGGTGACCCTGACATGCCAATCTTCACATAACCCAACCCACACGGTGACCAATAAAATAAGAAAATGCCGGTCATCTGATGTCAACAGTAAGGAATTCCCAGAGCACTGCAGCCGGGAACCGTGGAGACGATGTCATCTCAATCTACGCCATTCCCAGCAAAAGGGAAATTTCATCACCTCAGAGAAAAAGTGAGGGGTCAGAAGAATTTTAGGAGTCCCTCTTTGAAATAGTGCTCCTGAAACGGTGGGGCCACCTCAGGATTTTCGTCACGTCAGTGTCAACCACATCATTCCCCGTCTTGATTGACTTTCTTATTTGGAGCACGTTGGGCAAGCCATGAGTGTGAATCTGGAGAGACAATATGGGCTTTACATGGAGGTTAATAATGTACACTTTTGGAGGTTTTTTGTTTGTTTGTTTTGGAGTTTTTTTTTGTTTTGTTTTCAAATGGAGTCTCGCTCTGTCACCCAAGACGGAGTGCGGTGGCGCAATCCCAGCTCACTGAAACCTCCACCTCCTGGGTTCAAGCGATTCTCCTGTCTCAGCCTCCCGAGTAGCTAGGATGACAGGCACCCACAATCTCTTGAAGAAAACATTAGGTCTTGTAGAACTTGTGGTTTTATAGTATAAATGTAGCATGTATCAAAAATTACCTGAATCTTTCTCTCTCCCACAACATATATTAAAAGATTCTCTTGATATGCATTTGACTATTTCTCACTGAGAAAAAAAAAATAGAGTATGACTAAGGAAATAATGTAATATTAAATAACATATTATAACAATACAAATGCTTAGAGAGGACAATTGTCTCTGTTAACTAAGCAGGACCTTCATTCTCATACATGTGAGGAGTTATAGTTAAAGAGGGACCATAACTTAAAATATTAGGCAGCTGAGACAACATTAGACAACCCCAGACTGCCATTAGTGGCTCCGCTGATCCCAGGAAGCATATGTAACAGTTCTTCTTTCAATGCAATTTCACGAATGTGTATTGTGTTTCTACAAAAATGAGCAGGGCACTGGTACAGCAAGATGTCACAATATCTGAACTGCAGATGTGCACATCTAATGGAAAAACACAGCTGAAACAGATAATCATGGACAAAGTGATCCAGGTTCTTTAAAAAATTGCAAAATCTGGCCGGGCGTGGTGGCTCACGCCTGTAATCCCAGCACTTTGGGAGGGCGAGGCGGGTGGATCAAGAGGTCAGGAGATCAAGACAATCCTGGCTAACACAGTGAAACCCTGTCTCTACTAAAAATACAAAAAAAAATTAGCCAGATGTGGTGGTGGGCACCTGTAGTCCCAGCTACTCAGGAGGCTGAGGCAGGAGAATGATGTGAACCTGGGAGGCGGAGCTTGCAGTGAGCTGAGATCACGCCACTGGACTCCAGCCTGGGCGACAGAGCAAGACTCCGTCTCAAAAAAAAAAAAAAAAAAAATTGCAAAATCTGAGAATGCAGGTGAGGTGAACCCAGGCCAGCCTTTAGCTGGGAATAAGAAGAAGGCAGATTAGAGAAAAGAATATTTGAGTTACAACTCAATCAGTACAAATTCACCAGGAAATTAAGAAGGGATGAGGATAGGGATATTCCAGGCAGAGGAAATACATGTGCAGGGGCAACTCCTAAAACCCCACTGTCAGCACCACTTCTACCGCAACCACATTGCTTGAACAACTGCTATGTGCCTCTCACTGTTCTAACATGCATTTTCTTGCTTTCTCCGCATAGCAACTCTGGAAATTAAAAACGAATACTCCCATTTACAGGTGAGAAAGCTGTATTGAAAGGGTGATGTAATCTGCAGAAGGAAACAGCTAACAAGGAGTTAGAGTGAAATTTATGCTGAAGTCTGCTTCCTGCCAAAATACTCACCACTGTTCACCATGTGGTACTATGGAGAACAAACCAGCAGTACTCAAACATCTCTCAAAATACACTGGGTGGCATTTATTCCTTTTTTTTTTTAATCAGAACTGGTTTACATAATACAACATATAGATGAATGGGTTACATAATGATAGATGGAAAAAGAGATATTTATCATGTGCACAGTGAGGTAGAGTTTACATGAAATAAAATGCACATATCCTCAGTGTCCACTTCAATGAACCTTGAGAGTTGCATACACCCATGTAACTACAAGCCAAACCAAGACATGGAATGCTTCCGTCACCCCAGGAAGGCCCCTTGTTCCCCTTCTGTCAGCCCCTCTGCACCCAGGAACAATTTTCTGCTGTTTGTCGCCACAGCTACTTTGCCTGCTCTTGCATGACATATAAATGGAATCACACAGTATGTTCTCTTTTGTTTCCAACACCTTTTACTTAATGTAACATTTTTGAAATTCATTCGCTTTGTTGAACATTATCAGTAGTCTTCCATTTTCTCGCAGAGTCGCATCTCATGGTGTGGGTACACCACAATTTGATTACCCGTTCCTATTGGGATGGACATTTGTGGTGTGTCCAGTTTGAGGGCATTATGAATAAGGCTTTTGTAAACATTTTGATAAGGACTTTTTATGGGCATATTTCTATTTTTCTTGGGTAAGTATCCAAGAATGGGACTGCTGGGTCATGGGATGGATGTTTAGGTTTGTAAGAATGTATTCGTTTTCTAGTGTGTTTGTACCGTTTCACAATCCCTCAAGCAATGTCTGACAGTCCTGGCTGACCCATATTTTTGTCAACTTTGGTGTTAACAGTCTCTTGATTTTAGCCCTTCCAGTTGTGTGTGAAGTGGTATCTCACTGCAATTTAATTTACATTTTCTTGATGACTATAATTATTGAGCACATTTTCATGTACCTAATGATTATTCAGACATCCTTTTTTATATACTGTCTTCAAATTTCTTGCTTGTTTTTATTGGCTTTTCTTTTTTATCATTGATTTGTAAGAATTCATTACATCTTCTGGATACAGGCCCTTTTAGACGTATGTATTGCAAACATTTTCTCCTAGCCTGTGACTCTTAACAGGGCCTTTATGAGCAAACATGTATACTTTTGATGAAGCCCAGTGGGTTTCTTTTTCTAGTCAGTGCTTTCTGTGCCCTATATAAGACATTTTTGTCTACCACAAAGTCATGAAGATATTCTCCTACGTTTTCATTTAGTTTTGTTTTGTTTTATTTTGTTTGTTTGTTTTTGAGTCACGGTTTCGCTCTGTACCCCGGGCTGGAGTGCAGTGGCATGATCTCAGCTCACTGAAACCTCCGGCTCCTGGGCTCAAGGAATCTTACCACCTCAGCCTCACTAGCAGGTGGCACTACAGGTACACACCACCATGCATGCCACCATGCTCAGCTAATTTTTGTATTTATAGTAGAGATGGGGTTTCACCATGCCGCCAGGCTGGTCTCAAAATCCTGGGCTCGAGCACTGCCCACCTTGGGTTCCCAACTATGTTTTCATTTAGAAGATTGATGATTCTAGCTTTTATGATTAGTTCTATGATCCATTTTGACTTAAGTTTTGTGTATGAAGTAGGGGTTAATGTTTTTCCCACGCAACTATTCACTTCTTTCAGCACCATTTGCTGAAGACTTTCTTTTCTGCATTAAAATGCTTTGAAAATGTTGTCAAAAATTAATTTACCGTATCTATTTCATTCTAATTCTGGTCTTTCTATTCTGTTTCATACATGTCTTTATCTATTTATATGGTAATGAAATATTAATTTTCTAATTGTGGCTTTATAGTACGTCTTAAAACTAGGAAGTATAATTCTTCCAACTTAGCTCTTCTTTTTCAAGAGTGTTCTGGTTAGTCTAAATCCTTTGTATTGCCATTTAAATTTTAGAATCCCACTTATCAATTTTTACAAAAAATTGAAAGCCTGTAGGAATTTTAGGAGAATTATAAGAATTTTATAAAACATTTACTAGAAATATTTATAGAAAAATATTAAAATATTCTATAACATAGAATTTTTTTATTTTGTGGAAATTTTCAGTAGAATTATGGCAATTTTATACATATTGCATTGAATCTACAAATAATTTGAAGGATCTGTACATCTTAATGATATTAAGTCTTCCAATTCATAAACATAATATACGTTTTCATTTACTTCTGTCTTTCTGAACTTCTCTCAGCAATACAGATTGAGTATCCCTTATCCAAAATCCTTGGGACGAGAAGTGTTTTTCATTTCAGATTTTTTTGGATTTTGGAATATATACACATATATTATACATATATAATATATAAATATACATTATACATATATTATTATATATATTATACATATATAATAAATAAATATACATGTATAATATATATTATACATGTATTATATATATTCTACATGTATAATATATAAATATATATTATACATGTATAACATATAAATATATATTATACATGTATAACATATAAATATATATTATACATGTATAACATATAAATATACATTATACAGTATGTTATATATAATATACATATTATATGTAATATAATATATAAGATAATATAATATATATAATATATAATATAATTAATATATATTATGTTATAATACATGTATTATATACTGTATATATTATATATCATATATAATATAATATATTATATATAATACTATATATTATATATTAAATATTATATATTATAAAATTATAATATATAATATAGATATACATAATATATTATTATATATTATATGTAATTATATAATCTACATTATAATATATAATATTATATTATAATATATATTACAATATAATATATATTATAATATATATTATAATATAATATATATTATAATATATATTATATTATAATATATATTATAATATAATATATAGTAATATATATTATAATATAATATCTACAAATCTACAAGTAATTTGAAGTATTTCTACATCTTAATGACATTGTCTTCCAATTCATAAACATAGAATATGTTTTCATTTACTTCTGTCTTTCTGAACTTCTCTCAGCAATACAGATTCAGTATCCCTTATCCAAAATGCTGGGGAACATAAGTGCTTTAGATTTCAGATTCTTTTGGATTTTGGAATATATACAAATATATATTATACATATATAATATATGCTATATATTATACATATAATATATATTATATATCATATATAACATATCTATTATACATATTATATAATACTATAATATTATGTAATATATATTATACATATTATACAATATTACAATATTGTATAATAAATATTGCACAATATTATAATATATAATAAATATTATGCATATTATATAATAATATGATATGATATAATATTATACATATTATATAATAATGTAATATGATATAATATTATACATATTATATAATAAAATATGATATAATATTATACATATTATATAATAAAATATGATATAATATTATACATATTATATAATCAAATATGATATAATATTATACATATTGTACAATAATATAATATATAATATTATCATTTTATATAATAATATAATACTATATAATATTATATTATATAATAACAAAATATAATATAATATTACACATATTATATAATAACATATTATATAATCTTATATCATACATATTATAATATAATATTATATTATACATATTATATATAATATAATTATATAATATATATAATTATATTATATATTATATTATATACATATATGTATATACATATATACATATATGTATATACATATTATTATATACATATATGTATATACATATTATTATATACATATATATACATATTATTATATACATATATGTATATACATGTTATATAATATATATTATATATCATGTTATATATTATATAATATATATCATGTTATATATTATATAATATATATCATATTATATAATATATAATATATATAAAATAACATAATATAATATATAAAACACTATATTATATATAAAATAATATATTATGTATAATATATAGTATATATAAAGAATCTGAAATATATAATATATAATTTATATATAATAGAAAATATATAATACATAATATATAATATATACACATAATATATATCATATATTATGCATATATTATATGTGATATATTATATACGTATATATTACACATATATGATATATTATTTTTATACATATAAAATATATAATATATATTACATATAATATATGTAATATATATTATACACATATATTATACATGTATAGTATGTAATATATATTATATATAATATATGTATAATATATATTATATGTATAATATATATTATACATATAATATACATGTATTATACATGTATAATATGTTATACATTATATATAAAATATATATAATATATATTACATATAATGATTATAATAATAATATATAGATATTTAGATTTGGGTCCCATGCCAAAGATATTTATATATAATATATTATATAGCAAATATATATAATATATAATGCATTATATTACATACATAAAATATAATATATAATATATTTTAATATATATAAGATATAATATATATATATATATATATATATATATACATTTTTTTTTTTTTTTTGAGACGGAGTCTCGCTCTGTCGCCCAGGCCACACTGCGGACTGCAGTGGCGCAATCTCGGCTCACTGCAAGCTCCGCTTCCCGGGTTCACGCCATTCTCCTGCCTCAGCCTCCCGAGTAGCTGGGACTACAGGCACCCGCCACCGCGCCCGGCTAATTTTTTGTATTTTTAGTAGAGACGGGGTTTCACCTTGTTAGCCAGGATGGTCTCGATCTCCTGACCTCATGATCCACCCGCCTCGGCCTCCCAAAGTGCTGGGATTACAGGCGTGAGCCACCGCGAAGATATAATATATTATATGCAATATATATAATATATAATATACTGTATTATATATAATACAATATATTACATATTATATATATTTTATGTACATATAAAATATATAATATATTATAATTATATATTGATATATTAGAAGTATATATTACATAATATTATGTATATTATATTATATAATATGTAAATATAATATAATATAATATATTACATCATTATATATTATATATAATAATATAATGTATAATATATAATGTAATATAATATAATATTATATATTATATATAATATAATATAATATATTATAATATAATATATGTATATATAATATATAATATATGATATAAATATATATAAATATTATATTTGTAGTATATATTATATATAATATAAAATATATATTGCATATATAATATATTATATGTTATATATTATATATGTAATATATGTTTTATATTATATATAATATAGTATGTTATATTAATATATATACTATATTATATGTAATATATTTTATATTAATAGATAATATATTATATATAATATATGTTATATTAAATATAATATATTAGATATAAATATTATGTTTATATATTTATACTATACATTATATATTATGTATGATATTTATATTATATATTATATATTACATTTATATTATATATTATATTTATATTTATATATTATATGTTATGTTTACATTATATGTTATATTTACATTATATATTATATTTATAATTATATATTTATAATTAGATATAATATATATATTATATAATTATACATAATATATATTATATATAATTATATAATTTTTATATATAAATTATATAGATAATTAATTACATTCATTACATATATTATATATAATATATTATATATATAATTATATATTATATATTACATATAATATATAATTATATATATAATATATAATATATTTATAATTATATATAATATATAATATATTTATAATTATATATAATATATAATATATTTATAATTATATATATAATATATTATGTTTATAATTATATATAATATATAATATATAATATATATAATTATAAATACGTATAATTATAACTATAAATATTTATAGTTATAATTATATATAATTATAATTACATATTTATATAATTATAATTATATATAATTATAATTACTTATTTATATGTAATTATAATTATATATATAATTATAATTACATATTTATATAATTATAAGTATATATAATTATAATTATATATAATTATAATTACATATTTATATAATTATAATTATATATAGAATTATAATTACATATTTATATAATTATAATTATATATATAATTATAATTACATATTTATATAATTATAATTATATATAATTATAAATATATATAATTATATATATACTTATAAAAATACATTTATAATTATAATTATAATTAGTATCAGTAAGTATTACATATAATATATAATTATTTTTATTTTTATAATATTAATAATAATTTTTATAATATATATATATAAATACCTTTGGCATGGGACCGGAATCTAAACACAAAATTTATTTATGTATATACACCTATTACACATAGCCTGAAAATAATTTCATATGATATTTTTAATAATATTATGCATGAAACAAAGGTTGTGCACATTGAGCCATTAGAAAACAAAGATGCCACTCCCTCCACCACCTATGTGAATGATTGGTGGTTGTTTGGCATCACCATCATTGCTTACTCTGAATTTAGATGCTACCAATAAGCCATCAGTTTCTTACACTTCTTCACTCATAAGTACTTAACAGTAAAATATATGACAAATCATTAATACAGTGGAAAAATAATATGTTCAGGGCAATGAAGTAGCACAGTGGCATCATCAGAATACCTGTATCAGCTGTTAAACAACAGCAACCACAAATAATGGCAGGCCCCAAGTGTCCACCTACAGTGCTGTGTTTTGATTAAGCAGTTATTATGCGCTGTGTTTTATTTTTATAGTTGAGAAGAAACATGAGAAGCAGTTGAGGGACCAAGAAGCGGATCCTCTAGGGATGAGTAGGCGCTCTGCTGGGTGCCTTTTTAAAAATGTTTTCTCCAGAGTCATCTGCCTCATTAACAACGTTTTATGTCTTAGAAATCTCTCTTTGATTTTATAAACTGACTGGATTTTTTTGTTCTGCTATGGACACACACTGCTCTAGGCCTTCAATGAGCTCATCACACGTTTTCACCATGTCATCTGTAAGCACGTCTTCTGCACTTTCAACATCATCTTCATCGTCGCTGTTGTTATGATCACCTTGATTCACAATAATGTCAGCTATTTTGCCATGGGTCAATGAGTGAACAACTGGAGCCTGTTATCAATGTTCTTTGACATCCGCTTCTTCCAGTTCGCTGACGGACTCGGAAGGCATTTCTTTTTTGCCTATATGATAAGGTCAGACATCATTTTTTCTCACTTGATATACGGAATCCAAAACCACTGTTTCATTACTCATCAACACTGAGCCTAGTCACAGGCTGGGGGTTGTGCTACGCATGCATGGCTGTGTCTTTAGTGACTGTGTTCCAAGCACTGGCAATGGCATATACAGAATCCTCATGCTGAACTCCTTTCACACCCACACTCTTCACTGCTGCTAGGATGCTGTTCCAGAAAGTGTGTTTATATTTACTCTTCATTGATCTAAGCATATCCTGGTCATATGGTTGAATTAATTAAGTCACATTTGGGGAAAGGCACATGCTATAAACATTTTTTGACGACAGTTTCAGCTGGAGGATCAACAGAACAGCTGTCAGGGAATAACAAAGCTTGCAGTCATCATCGAGCCCAGTTTTCTTGCAGTGAGCAGGAACCATGGGTAGAAAGCGTTTGTGAAACCAATCAAAAAAGATGTCCCTCGTGATCCATGCCTTTTGATAGCAGAATAAGAGATTGGTTAGAAAGTTACTCCTTGAACATAGAGAGAACACAAGCTTTTGTCTGTCTTAAGTTTACAGTTATGTGTGCTTGCTGCATTAGCACTTCTCAGCACAGTTGTTCTGTCCTTGGGATCCTTAATTTCTTTAGGTTCTATCTTATCAGTTGTAGTCAGTGTCTTCCTGGGGCAATAACACCAAAGCAGGGATTTTTCATCAGCATCATAGACTTGTTCTGGGGTCAGATTTTCATCAGCAACTACTTTGGCAAACTCATCAATGAATTTCTCCACTGCTTTATGATCAGCAGATGTTTTACCACCAAAAACCTTTAAATATTTAATGCTGTGTTTTTTCTCAAATTTCTGCCATCAGCCTATTGAATAGTCTCTGTTCTCTTCAATTTCCAGTTCATCACAATAGATTTTTGCTTGTTTCATGATCAGCATACCATTAAGCAGCATGTGTTCACTGCAAATACTGACAAATCCACTCTTCTAATACATAATCAAGTTCTTCTATTTTTGTTTTATGTAGTGTTTTTCTATTTTTCATTAACTTCTGTTCATCCTTTTCAACATAGAACTTCAACGATTCAGGTCCTGTGTGGTGGTCATTCCAACACCTCACTCTTCTGTAAGATGTTTCACAATGACACTGCCACCCAGTTTCTCTGACAGCTTCACTTCCTGCACTACAGAGAAATAAAAATGTTTCCTCTTTTTCTTACCACGGTTGCCAGCAGGGGTATCTGCCGTCCTTTTTGACATTTTTAACAATACCTTTACACCACAGAGCAGAGAATAAGCAAAAAAAAAAAAAAAAACAAAAAAAAAAAAACCAGTGAGTGATGCACAAAGGTCTTGGGCCAATATAGGGCCTTGTGAGGAACCTGTCGCTGGCACATCCAGCCCTCACATGCGCAGTCTTGTCACCCTTTGTGGGCATGCTCGTCTGGGGGAATATGAGCTTGTGCAGAAGAGATACATTGCAGCTAAACAGGCCTGGGGGTGTCTTTGTTTCCCTTGGAGATGCTGAATAAACTGCATCTGCTTTTTGATTGTGACCCATCACATAAGGTCAGATGTGGAATTTTCCACTTGTCATGCCAGCATTCAAAAAGTCTTGGATTTTGGAGCATTTTGGATTTTAAATTTTCAGATTAGGGATCCTCAGCCTGTATTTTATAGTTTTTAGTGTAGAGGTCTTAACTTTTTATTACTTTGATTCCAAATAATTTAATTATTTTGATGCTATCATAAAAGGCATATTTAAATTTCATTATCTAAATGTTCATTGCTGGTATATAGAAATATAACTGTTTTTTATATGTTGACCTTGTATAACGCAACAACTTAAAATTTATTAAATTCATTAGATTTGCTTTTTGTAAATTCCTCAGAGTTTTCTAACCCATAATCATGTCATCTGCAAATAACAAACTTTATACTTTTTATCTGCTTTTATCACTTTTTTATGCTGGCTAGAACTTCTAGTACGATGTTAAGCAGGGGTGATAAAATCAATCATCCTTGTCTTGTTCCAAATCCTAGGGAGAAAGCACTCCACATTTCACCATGAAGTACATGTTTGCTGTGGGATTTTTGTAGATAACTCTTTATAAAATTAAGAAAGTTGTCTTTTCCCTAGTTTGCTAAAAAGTGTGTTTTTTACTCACAAAAAATCTTGTCATGTACTTTTTCTTTATCTGTTGAGCTGATCATATTTTTCTGTGGCAAATTATATTGATTAATTTTCAGAAGTTACACCAATCTTACAGTGCTGAGATAAATGTCACTTGTTCATTATGTATCATTCTCTTGTTAAAATATTACTATCTTCAGTTTGGTAATACATAATGAAGGATCTACCTACATTCATGACAAATATTGATCTACAGTTTCTTTATCTTGCAGTATCTATCAGGGTTTGATATTGGGGTTGCCCTAAACTTACTAAATAACCTGGGTGGTGCTCCCTAATAATTTGCTTTCTGAAGTTGTGTAAGACAGGGATTATTTCATATTTTATAAGTTCTAAAATGTACATTTTAACATCTCTGCAATTAGAATGATTCTTAATGCCATAGAGTGTCATAAAGGGTTTTTCTTAATCATACCCCAAATGCTGTTATGCCATAAAAACTGATGGCACCCTAATGGCAGGGAAATATAGTATTAAGTTAGGACATCTATCCATTGAAGTAAAACTTCTTCTCTTAGCAGATATTTTTATCCTTCAAGTTTTGCAGCAGATGGCCAAAAAATAAGATTGACACAAGTACCTGGGAGGATGTGTGTGCATACATACAGGTCTTGTTTAGTAATTTATAAATTTGAACTTCTTAAGAAACATTTTAATAGTATCTTTCTGATAATAAATTGGTTTATGTTTATTATAGAATTTTAAAAATGAGAACACATAAAAAATGAAAATTACCGGCCAGGCGCGGTGGCTCACACCTGTAATCCCAGCACTTTGGGAGGCCGAGGCGGGTGGATCACGAGGTCAGGAGATCGAGACCATCCTGGCTAACACAACGAAACCCTGTCTCTACTAAAAAATACAAAAAATTAGCCGGGCGTGGTGGTGGGCGCCTGTAGTCCCAGCTATTCGAGAGGCTGAGGCAGGAGAAAGGCGTGAACCCATGAAGCGAAGCTTGCAGTGAGCCGAGATGGTGCCACTGCACTCCAGCCTGCGCAACAGAGTAAGACTATGTCTCAAAAAAAAAAAAAAAAAAGAGAAAAGAAAAAAGAAAGAAAGTAAATTACCATATCCTTATCACACAATATGCTATTCTTAACATTTTGATCAATTTCCCTTCAATCTTTTTGACATGTATGATTTGTGTGTGTCTGTTTGTGTGTGTGTGAGAGAGAGGTATTCATGTATGTGTGCATAGTAATTGGAATTACAGATCCATGCCCAAAATTAGGGCAATGGACTAAGAAGAAAGATACCTGGGAAACTGTAGCACGCTCATAAGAGTTATTCTGGAGATCTGGGCATCAGCTTGAAAGAGTGAAGATGAAATGGGACATAGATACGTAACAGTCCCTGAAATAAAAGCAAATGAAATTATTCCGCATGCCTCCATAAAGTGTGTGGTAATGAAGGGTGGCTAGCAATTCTAGTCATTTTTTTTTTAATTTAGTCAGCCTTTGAAGTAGATGAGCAGTACCACCTTGCCAAGGAACAAACAAGGTCTCTGGATTATATAGGACTCATAAACATTAAATACACCTCCAGCATTAAAGCACTCTGTAGGCCTGCTGGTGCTAAATTTTTCCCGTCACAAGTCTGAGTCTAAGTTATGGGGAATTGGAATTGAACAAGGCGTTCCAGAATCTAGGTTTGCCAGATCTGATTCTTAGTCTACGAAGTTCTTGCCTCTGGCTAAGTGGTGGCTGTTCTGACATCCTTTCCAGTGACTCATCCATCACGTACCCCGGGCACCAAGGAGGAGCATGGTTTGTGTGCTGACTGCCTAAACTATAATGATAAATGGGCAGCATTTGCTTTGATGTTCCACTGTTGTGCATTTGTGAGGTTATTCAACACTGCAAGACATAGACTTAAAAGGTAGACCTTTTGAAATAGTTTTAAAACATTCCACAATTTTTGACATCTTAAGAGAATGTCGGTGCAGATATCTGGCTGGTATGAAAGTATTTGGTTTGAATCCTAAGGGAAATTCTTTTTACTTACTTTTCAGTTCTCAAATTAGCAAATAATCATCTTGTAAGGGCGGCCAAGGGAACTTGCTTAACAGTGTGAATTTGGGCAGGATTCTGCAGGCTGAAGATATGTTAGTCAACTGCAGTGCAAATGAATGGGGTATAAAACATCCAATCAACATGACCTACCTGGGCTGAGGGAAGACTTGAAGGGGATCCTGTCTTACACGACACATCAGTAATAGCCCACAATGTCAAAACCACAGACATCATAAAAATTGCATACAGCAAGAGACGTCTAGGTGAACACCCACCCAGCTCCACGGCAGCAATAGCGAGGAAATGGCAGAAGGTTCTAAGGATTAACAAGACCATCTGGGGTTAGAACAGTGAGTGCTAGAGTAACGTCAACTATTTCTGGACCCAACTTTGATTTCTAATTTACTCTGGGCATCGTTTACAGAGATGGGCAATGCACTGTATTATGTGCAATTGGTCTCAGGAGAAAATTAGTTAGTAAATGCAAATAATGTCTTTGAAATTATTTGTCTGATTCAGGAAAACCAGAGTTACCGCAACCTCGCAGTTGTAAAGGCAACACAGATTTAAAGACAGAAAGTCCAAATGCGAAAGGAGACATATTTGATGGGTGGTTCCAGGAGCCCTTTCTCCATCATCCTCAGTATAACAAGCATCACAGGTGAGAGAAACTGCCCTGGGAAGCCCCACAGGAGAAATGGGTTTGCAAGGGGAAATGACACTGGGTGACTATACTTGAGCATCCTTTTGACCCTTAGAGGACTTTTCCTGTGTAGCAGAAAATGATTTGAACAAGAAGACCCATTGAATTCCAATGCATCCATTCGAAGAACACTTACTGTCTCTCCCATGGCTCTGACAGTCTGGAAGGAGATGGGGAGGTGGAAATAAAGAAGAAAAAACCTCCACCCTTGAACAGTTTCTCAGTCTCCAGCAACAGTCAGCACAATGGCCAAAAGCCCCAGTTATTTCCATTTCTTTTTTTCATTTCTAATAAATGCACAAATTTATGATTGGCATTAAACATTAATGAGGTAACTTTAGCCGCAGATAATTAGATCTTTCCACTATATTAACTAGACTATTTTACAGATATGTCTCTGCAATTCTGTTTGATTGAATGTAGAACTTTTACAAATTAATGATATGTTTTCATTTCATTTTAGTCACTTTAGTGTTCATTGCATAGTATCACAGGTCTTTATCTTATTTAATATGCTTTTGTGAGAGAATAAAACTATAAGATGAAGGGAGAGAAAAAGTCTCATCAGTGCTTCCCCCCCCCACACACAAAAAAACTACAAAACATCACTAAATTGTGTACATTTGTGGCTCCTCGAAGTGCTCGAATCATTACTTCCAAATGAAAGAGAAAAAGCTCTTGACTGTTTCAAAGGTAGAATTTTTTTTTTCCAGTAATTCTGTCTGTTTACATTGTCAACAGCTGAAAACCTTTTATGGGGTCATTGCTCCTGTTAGCAGCAGCCTGAAATTACCAACAGCAAAGACCATTTCTCTTCCATGTCACCAGGAAGTGGGACACACTGGAGCATTCTCACCATTTGGCACAGGAAGAGGGGATTTAGTCACTCAGGCTCTTTTCAGCACCTCTGGAGCATGCTCTGGGTGCCTCTGGCTCAACCAGGGATAAAGAGGCATAATTGTCCCAGGGTGCTATAATGGAGCATGGCAAGTTATGTTCCAAATAGCTAAAAACAAAAATAAAACGTGCAACAGAATGTGGTGTCATTCAAAGAGTTTAATGCTTTTTACAAATTTAAATATCATGAGCAAACAAATTTTAATCCTAATGAGTCTAATATTATATTAACGTATACTTCAAACTACTAGGTTCAAAGAAATGTGATATGCCTTTTTAAAACTCCTGAACATCTGTCCAACACAAAAGGTGTGGAATCCTTAACAGAGAAATAAGTCCTTTCAGAAATGGACAAAATTGAACACAACCTAGAAGCTATTCCCCACCCCCAAAGTCCGTTAAATGAAGATTAAAAGAAAGATACTATAAAAATGTTTTTGACATTTCCCATTTTTAAATATAAACACATTGATGTATTTTTAATCCTCTAAAACAGATAAAAGAGAGAGTAATATTTTTAAAGGGTGGAATACTTTCTGCTAAAGTAAACAAAACAAAAGAGCTGTCCAGGAAGTCAAAAGTTATTATCCATGAGAAGCAGCATGTTTTTTTCATTACAGAAACAAGCAGGTCCAAATACATTAGACGTGAGATGTCCAAAGTCTGAGCGAGCACTCATCGCTGAGCTGAGCTGCACATGGCGCGCTCTGTCCGAGGCTGTCCCCACCGCATGACAGCTGACAGTCGACTGCCCTTGAAGCCAAGGAAGGATGTTTGCCACAGGCTTCAGGTGAAAAGAAGAACATTGTCCTTCAGGTCCTTATTCCTGCACTACCCCTAAGCACACATGTGTCTGTGCACATACACACAGAGGCACACACAGATACAGACACACACAGAGACATACACAGACACATGAAAGACAACAGGGACATACACACAGACAGACACACACAAAGACAAATACAGAGACACACACAGACAAACATACGCAGACATGGACACCCACACAGAGACACACACACACACATATACACAGACAGACACATACTCCTTTCCTGACGCCTCCACGATGCATAATAACTAGGTGTTGTTCCACTTTGGGCCTCAGTTTTCTCGCCTGGGAAGTGGGGATGAAGGGTCGCACCTGGCTCTGGCAGTGGCTGTGGCTGCAAATGCTGTGCACTTCTGGACCAGAGTCCGGCAGAGAATGGGGGACCGCAAAGTTCACTTCTTCCGTCCCAGTGTTCCCTGGTCCAGTGTACCGTGACTGCATCATGCTGAAGCAGCAAGGACACGTTCCGCCATGAAACAGGTTCATGAAACAGGTCACCCCGCACACAGAAATGTGGCAGGGGTAGCCTGGACGTGGCACAGGGGTAGCCAGGCTTACGAGCCAGGTAACACAGGACATGGCAGGGGTAGCCAGGCTTACAAGAGGGAACGTCTCGGCACTTTGGGTTTAGCCCAAGGAGAGAACTCTGCTCATTCAGGTAAAACTTATTTGACACTAGCTTGTCCAAGTGAAACTCTTTTCTACAGAGCCAGTACCTGCTATGCCACAGACAACGTCCCGGGGGAAGAACCACGCATGTGTAGCACATTACGTGGTCTTTCGTGGTGTAAACCCACCACGAGGTACTCATTTCTCCATTTCTGTAGCAGGCCAAGACCTAGGTTGGCATGGACTTAGCATTTAGGGCTTAACATTGACATTGTGAGTTGTATGCTTCATAAATAGCCTGCCCTGCGAAGCCTCAAAGTGAGTAAACAGGACAGAATGTGCACACACAAACACATGTGCACACATACAAACACACAGCACACACAATCAGCACTGTGGAGATTTGAAATTGACAGAGAACATCTGACATCATGTCTCATTTTTCAGAGAGTTCATCATTCCTTTCCACCACTAACTGCAGGCCACAAAGTCCCATTACTAAATGTCATCATTTTCTTCATGCTAAACACTACACTGAGCTCTGTATGAAGTCGGGCACAGTGGGTGAGCATAAGAAGCTGAAACACACAGAGAACCGGCAGATTGGCCACCTGGGCTTGGGCAGTCAGTGCCTCTTGCAGCCCTCACCAGAGCTCACTCAGGAAGTTAGATGTTGTAATTAGGCACTAAATAAAATGCAGCCCAGAATTTATTTCAGGTATCTGATAATCCACAAATATACAAAGGGGACTGCACTGTTGATCAAAACTCTGTAGCCGAAACCTTGATTAAGCATTTTCATTCCAGAGAGTGAAGCAGCGGGCTTATCCAGCTGCAGCTGAACGAGGCTCATTACATGTGCCATCTGACAAAGCTTGGGAAAACCGCACCTCAACATCAGCAGTGGATTCATCTTTCCAAGGCCTCCTCTTTCCTCAGAGTCAAGCCATCTGTGAGCTGGCCAGCCTCATCTTTCATTCTCTCCTACTAGTGATCTGCTACTGGTTTTATCTGTTCTCCTCTCTTCTGGACCTCAACATGTTTTCACGCACGATTTTCTCCATGGCTAAAGGTCCTTTAGCCACATTCTACCAGTCAAAAACAATATGCATGGTGGCACGTACCTGTAGTCCCAGCTGCTTGGGAGGCTGAGGAGAAAAGATAGCTTGTGCCCAGGAGGTCAAGGCTGCAGTGGGCTGTGATTGCGCCATTGCACTTCAGCCTGGGCGACAGAGAGAGAACTCTGCCTCTAAAAACAAAGATGTCTTTGCTCAATTACCATCTCAAATGCCACTTTGTCTAACCTATGTCATCTTGCTTCCTTTCTGACAGGACCAAACAGGGAAATACCTGAGGCACAAGTCACCTGGTGTGGGAAGCTGAAAGGCGGGAGGCAGGACCTCTCTTGCTCACAGGAATAATGCAGAACTCAGCGGCCCAAAATGGAAAGAGAGTAGAGCAGAGAAAAGTCCTAACCAAACCACAGAGCATGGAGTTCACAGAGGGCACGTGCCCAGAGCTTCCAGTTTGCTGTAGACTGAACGTGTGTGTCCCCCAAACATGCATATGCTGACAACCTAATCCGCAGTGTGATGGCATTTGGAGGTGGGGCCCTTGGAAGGTAATTGGGGTTAGATTAGGTCATGAGGGTGGAGCCTCCATGATGGGACTGGTGTCCTTATAAAAAGAGGAAGAGACATGAGAACCCTCTCCCTGCACGTAGGCACCAAGGAAAGGTCATCTGAGGACATCACCCGGAAGAGCGCTGTCAGCAGAACCCGATGTGCAGCCTCTCCGACCTCAGACCTGCAGCCTCCAGAACCACAAGAAATAAATGTTCAAGCCACCAAATCTATGGTAATTTGTCATGGCAGCCTGAGCTGAACACATTTGCTTCTCTGTCCCCGGTGCGATGAGGTGAGTGACGTGCTACCAATGTCTTTAGGTGCAGAGACCTGATTACCAAATACATTCAATGAATAAAGTTTCTATTTCTAACTGATAACTATGCTATAGACATCAGGATGATTAAGCACAGTCCTTCCTCTAGGAGAACTAAGTCTAGCAAAGGGATGAAGCATAACCAGGTAATTATGTTACAAGAAGCCCCTGCTACTGCAGGTGTGTAAAGTAAGAGCTTTGAGACCCAGAGAAAAATCGAATGGGGAACAGGTACAACAGTCCTTGGGCCAGATGTCTTAAGTATGAGTAGACTGGTACTGGGCAGATGTTCGCAGAAATGGCATTGCACATGGTGAAAGACAGGGAGACAGGAGACAATGAGGTGCTCTCAAAGAGAAAAGAAAGATGACTGTGCTGGGCCCGAGGGATCCTGCAGGAACCCGGGTGAGCTGGTTACAAGGGGCCTCAAACATATTGCTGAAGAGATGTGAACAACAGCTTCAAGATGCAAAGGAGTCTTACACAGAACATTAGACGACTCATTCTGCATGCAAAGAATCACTGCGAATAAGAAGACGCAGATTCAAAAGAGATAGGGATTCCAGCTCAGGTTATTGGGCACTTGGTAACATCACTGAGCAAAATCTGGAGCTCAGTGGGTAGGGGCTGATGAGCAGACGATGAGGGATCTGTGCTGATGTGGGTGGCAGTGTCTGGTGGAGGGATAACACAAGACAAGTGGTTGGGACAGATGTGAGCACAAAAGCTCAGACTTGGGGATCATTAAAAAATAGATAGTGGTCAAAAGTGCAATAGCAGCCCCCACCACGAAAGACAGGTGTGGAGAGAGAGCAAGAACACATGGAGATCTAGGCCAGAAGAGTGGGGACTGCCTACATTCAAAGAGAAATCAAGAATGCTGGAAAGCAAAAAAATAAAAAATAAAATAAAAAAATCATTACTCTCACCCTTAAAGTCATAAGACAACTAACCACGGCCTTACAAATACTTGTGATTATTTAAAAACAACTAAACTTTATTAAGTACCTACTGTGTACAAAGTGATGTCTTAAGTGTGATGACAGGGATGTGAAGATAATCATTATCATGAGAAATGCTCTCAGTGTCGAAGGAGCCTCCTGAGCAGAGAGACACACATATGTACACAAAAATTTAAGGGTGTGAGCTCACTGAGGATCCTGAAGTGAGGAGGGAGGGGCGGACCCTGTGTGTGACAACACTATAGTGGTTGTGAACTGGGCCTGGAACATGAGTGTTTCTGTGTAGAGTGGGGCTTTACAAAGCAGCAGGGTGGATGATGAGGAAATACAAGGTCAGGGAGAGGAAGGAGTGTGGAAGTCTCTAGTCAGAGTGCCCAGTGGTACCCTCTGTTTGTTTTGTGTTGCTGTGAAGAATCACTGGGTCCTGGGTAATTTATAAAGAAAAGAGGTTTACTTGGATCATGGTTCTGCAGACTGTACAAGAAGCATGGCGCCAGCATCTGCTTCTGGTGAGGCCTCAGGGAGCTTCCAATCATAATAGAAGCTGAAGGAGGAGCTGATATGCCACATGACAAGAAAGGGAAGGTGCCAGGCTCTTTTTAACAACCAGCTCTCTGAGAGGACTCATCAAGTGAGAACTCATTTATTACTGTGAGGAGGACACCAAGCCATTTATGAGGCAGCCACCCCCATGATCCAAACACCTCCCACCAGGACCTACTTCCAACATTGGAGGTCACAGTTCAACAAAAGATTTGGAGGGACAAACATCCACACCGTATCATACCCATACACAATCCTTCACCCAGTGCTAATCTGTGGGTCCTGTGAGACCTCACCACATAAACAATGGATATGAAACAATTCACAGACTTGTTAGGAGGTCTGAATTATCCTCTTCCAGCCGCCTCTTCTTCCACCGACACAGTGCTGATGTCCCTTGGACTACCAAGTACTGTGAAGCCAGGAGGACCATGGGACATGACCATTGAATAGTATCTGTCTAGTGCTCTGGTAGATTCTGCCAGTACCAGTAATATTTCCCATTCTCATGTCCCACTATTTTCTGTTTATATATTTACAGAATAAATTCATAGTCTACCTAAAATTTAGCTGTAAAACTTATGAACTACCTTAAAGTTACTTATTTTCAAAACTTATTTTCTTAGTGAAGAAAAATTACATTCCTGTAAGAGATGCATAAACTAAGAGCCATTACCCATTCAAGAGTCATAATCTACAATCAGCTTGCTGGCGTGTGGCACCTCACACACACACCTCACACACACGCACACACGCACACACACACACACACACACACTCTCTCAGCAAAGGCCTCTGAGTGCTACAGCAGACCAGGTCAAGACCAGGAAGTCCTATTCTACAAACTATAAGAATTCTATTTTCTTATATATATATATATACACACAATCTGTGTTAATTAGGTCTTTGATGTTCATATAATAAAGATTTTGTTAAATGAGTTCCATCCTAAAATGAACAGGGAAGATCTGTCTCTTAGGATAAGAGTAGAGAAGAAGGAAGCAAGGGTTATCTACTGTTCTATACCATGCTGTGTTGGGTTTCTTTATTTCTCTCTATGGATGTGTGTCTATGTGACAGAGGGGGAGAAAGACATTGTTATAGAGAATAGACTCTCCTATCATGTTTTTAATCATTTAATATTTGATTGACAGAGTTAATATCACCCTTGTTTGTCCAAATATCTAGAATGTCCTTTACTATCTACTAAATAGTAAAAATCTACTGGATGCATTCTGAAGGTCTCTTTGGGGACTCAGAAGACATTTTGGAATCTTGCAGCATTTCAAAGATATCATCATAAACAACCATTACTGGTGTATTAGCAAAAAGCAAAGATCCAGGACACTAAAGATTTGGGGTCAACAGAATGGCAGCAATAAGGGTTTCTGCAGATTTTAAAATCACATTCATCCTAAGAGCTCAAAATTCTTCCAAAAACATAATTTATCTCTACACCCCACTTACGATGAGGGTGGAGACAATGTCTTCTCACTTTGTCCATGGAGAAATGGAAGCCTAGATACATTCAGAAATATCCCATCATGTACAACAGACACTCTATCATGGAACTCAGATTAGGCCCCAAGGCTGCTGGTTCCTGTGATAGCATCTCAGCCAGAAAATTGCTGCTTTCAATAGAGACGAGTGGTAAAAAACAGGGGAATTTATGTTCCAGTTAGCTGGAGCAGAGATAAACCAACTGAGTTAAGGATTTGACATGCCACACTGGAACATCTAAAGGGCAAGGCTGTCTAACTTTCGGATAAGAAATACTTCACTTTTCAAATATTTGTAATTTATTTTTTTAAGACCCATTGGGAAAATTCAGGAATTAGAACAAATGAGAATCTCCCAGGTTATGAATGCGGTAGGAAGTCTAAGGACAGCCATAGTGTCAAGCTTCCCCCGAAACTAAATGAGAGTATAGAGAAGGCCACAGGTAGGAAGGGGCCCGCTGTTGAAGCACTGCCAGCTCTTGGGACTTCCCGCAGGGAGGGGCTTCCTAAAGAAAGAAGCTGGTGACAATTTGATTGGGGTGACAAGAACATGGCAGGAATTATTTTAAATCATTTGCACAGCAAGTACACTGCATTTACTTAGAATTAGTGTTTATTTGGGGTGGTTTGAAGGTAAAATAGATGGGGATTATGGGGAAGAAGCACTAAAACACCCAACCCCTCCATCCATCCCATGGCTAGCACTGTACGATAGGTGTCTTTGCCCTAATCATTTGACTGGGGGCAAAATCTATTTGTTTAAGAATTAGGCAAAGGTAGCATTTATGCTGAATGTCAGAGACAGCCTGGGAATAGAAATCATTAAAAAAACCGTTGATAGAGGAGAGAGGGAATTCTCACGAATTTACAGGTTCCCAAAAGAAAACACTGGCAATGGATTAGTACCCAGGCCTGCTGTGGATTGAGAAGGCTCTCCGTGGCCTGTGGCTTTCACTCTAGTTATAAAGCTCCATAGGCTTTCTGTTCAAAATCCCACCACCAGACACAGTGGTTTGGCCAGAGGCCTATCCAACAGAGAGATGTGCAAACCTATCTCCACCCAGAACACTGCCTCCCCTCCTGACACCAGAGTACACAGGTGAGGCAGTCACTCACAGTCAATGAAAATTTTGGAAAATCTGAGAACTTGACCCTTTGGAGGACTAGCTACTGCCTTTAATTCATTTTAACTGAACTATTCCATCTTCATTGCTAGTTGTTGGTGCGGTGGTTTACTGACTGATATGCTGTAGGATTAACCTTTGTGAAAGTTTTTTTTTTTTTTTTTTTTTGAGACAGAGTCTTGCTCTATCACCCAGGCTGGAGAGCAGCGTTGTGATCAGGACTCATTGCAACATCCACCTCCCAGGTTCAAGTGATTCTTGTGCCTCAGCCTCCCAAGTAGCTGGGATTACAGGTATGTGCCATCATTCCCAGCTAATTTTTGTATTTTTAGTAGAGACAGGGTTTCACCATGTTGCCCAGGCTGGTCTTGAACTCCTGGCCTCAAGTGATCTGCCAGCCTCGGCCTCCCAAAGTGCTGGGATTACAGGCGTGAGCCACAGCGCCCCGCTGAAAGTTTTCTAATAAAAGATAATTTGATTTAAATGCATACGTTGCAATGTACATTGCCTGCTGCTATCCAACTGCAACTAAAATAGGAAAGGGATGGGCTCTGGCAGTGGGAACAGTGTTACCTTACACAGAATTAAATGCTGGGACAAGAATGGGATTCCCCTCTGGCCCATTGTTCCCTAAATATAACAATTATGCAAATTATTTTTGTGCAGGCTTAAGAATGCGCTGTAAGTGTTTTTGGTGGGCCTGGAAAGGCAGCCTTCCTAAAAACGGTAGAAATACTGCAATTAAATCATTTCAAGTGATTTGAACATAACATGGTGTTACCGTGCCCTCTTTGTAGTCTGCAACTACTGTCTTAAAGAAAGTATTAGGCTTGTATCCTTCTCAAGATCTCTGGTTAGGGCTTCTTATTTAAGAACAAAGAGAAGGTTGAACCTCTCATTAGAAACAAAGTTATAATTCAATGCTCCTGCATTTCCTCCAATGCATTTGGTGTTAGCGACATATCTATCAGGTGTAGGCTGTCATCCCGGGGATTCGATAAAACCATCATTTTGGCGAAGCAAAACAAAACAAAAATTTGGCCTTAGGAACTTGCGAGTCATCTCTGTGATCCTTCCAGCTGTGCTTTGCACTGGGGGTAATAAATCACGCGTAAATAATAATCACCAAAATTAAATGTGTGGATGTTGGATAACTCTTTGTCATTGTTACTCACTAATAACAGTAATTTGGTTGAGTAAATTGTATTGATATCAAATGTTCCTAGTATGCAGCTTTCAATTAGTAGGTCATGCATTCCATCTTCAAATGCCACATTTCACTGGATATTCCTTCCCTGATCATATTTTAGAGAGTCGTTCTTCCTCTAGTTTCCCAATGCCTTCTTCTCTCTTTTCTTTTTTGTTTTGTTTTGCTTTGCTTTGCTTTGTTTTTCTGGTCTAGTTTCCCTTTTATGGCCAACACTGTACTGAGCTGTGCCACCACAAACAGCCCTAATGCACAATCAAAATGTGTTGGTTGATGCTGCCAACAAGAGAAAGCTGTGTGCTTTCCTCATTGCCATGCCAGGGACCTCCATGCCCTCTCTTTCCACTATCTCCAGGCCCTCACCAACCGTGACCAGACGGGGCTTTGAACTGTCACTCACAGTTACGGAGTCCAACAAACAGTCATAGAGACTGAGTGTAGAATGGAGGACTGTCTCCATTGAGCATTTGTGGTTCTAGAAGCTCTCATAGTGTAGAGTCCCACATATCTTTGCACAGCTGCTCACATCAGCTACGTTTTTCAACCAAATACGGCAAGTCCACTCAAAGCAGAGCCGACGTGAATCATCCAAGATTCTGGTGGTGCGGAACCTGTCTCCCATTCGATCCCCAGTTCACATGGTGGCATTCATGGCACTCATTTTCCTTTACCCTTCTAGAAAAACAAAATGATAGAACTGGAGGTGAGCAGATGCCACTGCTATAGTCACTTGCTCCAAGACACACAGCAGCTCACTGGTTGGAGAGAAACCAGAACTGAAGGCAGCAGATTCCCAGCACAGAGCTTGGCCCCTCATGTTGAAATAACTTGTCACTATTCCTTTAGAGCTGGACGATGCACAGAAACCAGTTCTAGGCTAAACCTCTCACAGGACAGAGGCAGAAGCTGATGTCAAGGCAGCTGATAAATAAGCCATGCTCTTCAGAGGGCAAGCCTGGTTAGACAGAGAACCCTGGTGCCCAGCCTGGCTGTCTCCGGGCTGACTCTGACCCCGAAACACACTGGGCCTCTGGATATGACTCAAGGCCATCTTCTGGGCTGTGGATCAGGACTGCAGGTTAGAAGTAAAGTAGTCCACGTTTTAAAAAGTAATTTTTAAAATTTTTGAGGAACCACATTTTAAAAAGTAAAAAGAAACAGATAAAATGAATGTTAGTAATCTATTTTATCTAATTCCAAATATCCCAAATATTATTATTTCAAGGTGTAAGCAACATACAACATTGATGGGATATTCTACATTCTTTTTTCAAGCCAATGCTTTGATATCCAGTGTGTATTTGTCATTTTATAGCCCATCCTGATTTGGACCAGCCGCATTTTAGTGCACGTGGGCTTAGTGGCTGCCTGTTAGCCGGATTAGACCCAACTTCAGCTCCACCTTCAGCAGGCTCAGCAGCCTCCCGAAGGCAGGTTTTGTGGCGGGGACCACAGCAGATGTGCGAACTTCTGGCCAGGCAGCAGGCCCTGGCCACACTGCTGCCTCTAGTGTGACTCCTGTCTGTCCATGCCTCACCGTTAATACCAGCTTCAGTGTCCCTCCATTGCACAGCAAAGACTAAAAAGAATAATGTCAAATTTGTTGGGATAGAACCAGTCTCACAGTGGTCCCCAAGGTCTCTTCCAGCCCTCAGATTATGTAATAATGATGGCGATTCTGAAACTGATAATGTCTAATAGAATGCAGGGATACCTTCTAACCTGCACCTACTCTGTGCTAGAATTGCTCACGAAATAAACCATGGTCCTCCCTAGTGATGGGGGACAAAGTGGACACAACCATAAATTGTGTGGGCTAAAGGCAGGAAGTAAGGCAGATCAATAGCAGAGGTACAGCCGATCAATACCATCAAAGGCATCTCCCCGCAGATGGGAGCAACTTTCTGTAGACCTGGTGAGATGAGCAGATAGGACATCTTGAATATTACTGTTGCTTTTTAATATTATATATGTGATTATAATAGAAAAATGCTTTTCATTCTCAAACTACATGATGAGATCCCACAGGCTGGCACATCGCAGATACGACCTGGTAGTGTTGCTACGTAACTATTAAAACTAATCCCATATTAATTTAGCGAAACTATCACCCACATAGTCAATATTATATTTCCTGCTTCAAGAAGGAAGCCACGTGACTTGAAATGAGCCAGATATAGTTATTCCAGACCAGGTCTCTGGACACAAAACCTATAATTCATTATGTCAACAGGAAGGGCACACAGCACTAGCCACTCCACAGTGACCAGACGGTGCATGGTGGGATCACCTGAGGCAGCCCCACGGGGTGTCTCTTCCACAGAGAGACAACCCCAGTCAGAGTCTGCAAATGACATCTCTGGACGCTACGTCCGTGAGAAACGTATGCAGTGGGCACTCAGTCTCTGTGCCTCCAAATAGCTGTGGCTGTGCACTAGCATGGTGTGAAAAGAAAGGACCTGGGGAGGGGTTGGTGTAAGAGAGAGAGGAACTCATCCCTGTGGGCAGTTATTCTACCAGAGCTTTGAGGCATTGTGGGCCACAGCAGGCAGGCTCCCACTGCCGGGCAGTAACTCGGAGCACTCTTAGCTCATCCATCTTGCCCTTAAACAGCTGGCAGTGGTTGAGGCTAGAGTTCGATTGCTGGCATGTTTTGTGTTATCTGCTTTGAGTTCCTTAGCTCCCAATGTCACCCACTGCAGCTGTGAAGCTCGGCCTCGTCAGAACAAATGGCAGAAGACTGCTGCCAGCCATGCGGGGACTCGGTCCTCCAACAGATCAGTCCCTCCAACTCATCTGGGCAGAATGGCAGGTCCAGGGTTGTCAGGTCTTTAAAAATGCCCACATCCTATCATGGTCACAGTAGTGAAGCCAGAATGAGACCACCGCTCGCTTTCTCATTCACAAAATCCATTTCCTGTCTCAGGTCCAGAACTTCCAGCGTTTGGTTCTGTTCATTTCCCCCTGGATCAACACAAGAGCTTTGAAGTGAGGCAGCCTGGTGTGGCCCTGGTTAGGTGTGCGATCCTGAGCAGGCTCCCCTGCCATCTCACAGCAGTGTGTTTATGAGGATTAAGCAAGTCCATAAGCACTCCAGCACTCCACATTGGTGCCTAGAAGCTGCCAGCACATGTAACCTATGCCTATTCCGTTCTTATTACCATTACTACTACCATCACCATAATTACTGAAACAGGAAAGGTTCTCTTGTCCCCCTCGCAGGGTGTGTGATGGGATGTGGCTCACTTCCTCAGTGCCCCACTGCTCAAACATCTAGGGGAGCATACAGACGGGCAGGCTGTGGGGCTCCCACCCCACTGCAGTGTCTAGGAGTTAATGTTTACAGCTCTTGAAGCCCCAGTGGGTGTGTGTTACAGGATGCTCTTTTAGTTTTGCTGTCTATAGGCGGCTTGCGTTAACCAGCTCAATTAGACCCTCTAACTTGTGGCAGGGACAGAGGGCTTTCTTTATCCCTGCCTTGGTGTACAGGATGAATCGGATCACACCTGGGCTTGGAGAATGAGTGCAAGGTTTTATTGAGTGGATGTAGCTTTCAGCAGATGGGCGAAGCCAGAGGGGATGGAGTGGGAAGATTTTCCCCTGGAGTCAGGCTACTCGGTGGCCCGAGTTCTCCTCCAACTGCCCCAGTCAAACTTCATGTCGCTCTGCCGGTCAGTGGCCTGCCAGCATGCCGGTTCCATCCAGCGGCCCGTGTGTTCCTCTGCTGATGTGCTCCTCTCCACATCCAGCCACCCGTGTGTCTGCTTGCTAGGGTCTCTCGGGTTTTTATGGGCACAGGATGGGGGCATGGCAGGCCAGGGTGATCTTGCGAAATGCAACATTTGGTCAGGAAATGCCTGTCCTCACCTAGGTCCAAGGGGGTAGAGCCCTAGCCAGGGACCATGCCTTCCTCTAACCAACACTTTCCCATTATGTGTTATTTAAAGGGACCACGCCCTTCCCTTCCCAGCACTTCCCTTCCATATCATTACTAGGAGAGGGGGTGCAAAAAGAAGCACAAGTCAGAATAACCCTGGAGAAGGTCCTATCCATTTCAGAGAAGACATGTGAGACCACAGTGAGCATTCAGTGTGGCGCTACCCAGAAATGGGGCCAGCGCAGAAGCACAGCGACATCACTCTGCCTTCTCCTGGAGCAGAGGAGCAAGTTGAGAAGGACTGGGAGCAGGCCTGAAATCCCAGCTGGGCATGAAGTGTGCTTGTGAGGGCCAGAGCAGGCTTGGCCTCAGCGAGGTGAGAGCTGAGGAAGCCCTCTTGCCTTCCTGCACCCAGATTCTGGAGTGGCCCACGTTCCAGCCACAGCTTCTGTCTCCAGCCCGCCCTTGGATTCTCCCTCCTCCACCTCTCTTCTTTCCCTGAAATCTCTCCTCCACAAACTACTTCAGAACAAGACACACTCTTCCAACTTCTCACCTGCTGGCCCTGACTGAAGGGCTCAAGCATTATGACCATTTTAAAGAGATGTTTTTTCAAATACTAACAACAAGAAAATGTATGAATATTTTCAACAGAAAATTTACGAATATTTTCAACAGAAAATTCAAGGAACAGGCATCATAAAAGACACTGTGTAGCCAAGAACGCTTTGGACGGCCAGGGAGGAGCTGGGTTGTTGCTCAGGCTTTGGGACCGACTGGTCAGGTGAATGCAGGTGTCTCAGATCACATGGGAAGCAGGAGAGGCAGGAGAATGGTGGTCCAAGCTGCGTGCTCCCAAATAGCAAACAGTTCTCTTGATCAGAAATCCCTAAGGCCTCACAGCACATATTGGGCTCTCTCTTGACATGTCTTGATGTCCAGGCTCCAGACACAGCACAGAGCATTTCCTCCCAGCTGCCAGCCCCTCCTGTGTGCTGGTGAGCACAGAAGTGTGCTTGAGGCTCAGCTGAGCACTCAAACCAGCTGTCAGGCAGATGAGGGGAGCATTAAGTCTCTGATATGCCCTGGCATTCTCTCCAAGAGTGGCGTGAGAAGGACTGGTCTGCTGCAAGGGACTGGCACTGCACAGGGAGAGCCCAATTCACATCAAACAGGAGAACACTGCAACCCAACGGTGTATTTTCCCTTGCGCACTTTTTCCTTTCAAAAGCATTCATTTCAGGAATGATGCTTAGCTATCAGAGCACTGAACACAAAATCCAAGATAATGTGGGCCCTCCTAGTGCTAGAAACACAGCCCTCTGAATGCTCAGGCTTATTAAACTGCCTTAATAACATGCCTTTTTTTTCCCCTCATTAACTATTTCAAAGTTAGTGACTTTGTGGGATCCTGGGGGAAGCTGTAAAAGGCAGATCAAACGAAACAGTCTCTGCCCATCCCAGTCCCTCCACCCTCTGAGCTCCCTGCCCGTCCATTACCGTAGAATGCTGTTTACAGCCCTTTTCATCTCTCACTACCTGCTTCTGAAGAGGAATGGGGTCGGCAAGAAAAGGGCAGGAGGAAGGAAGTCTGAAGCCATCGAAGGCTGGGCATAAAGACAGCAAATGAGGCAGAAGCGAGCAAAGGGAAGATCCCTCCTGCCTGGGGCTGAATTCCCCATTCTCTCCAGCTTGCTGCAGGTCCTTCACACAAGTCTCTGCTCTGGAAGGCTCGAGTTGCACTTCATGGACTGGGTGTCTGGACCCCTACTGGACAGCTCCCAGTAGGCACAGATGCCGTCTCTCACTTGTCAGGGCTCCTGTAGCCTAGCTCAGGCCTGTGGAGGTGCTCCCGGAAGGGTTGAATGGGCAGAGAACACGCCAGTCAGGGGCCCTTGGGAAAGACACCACGGGAAACCCACCTTCATTTTTCTTTTTGAAAAATGAAAATGCTGCATAAGACGACTTCTAAGGTCCCACCAAGTCTGCTGAGGTTTTACTATAGTGCATGCTCGTTACAGAAAACATGGAGGACACTGAGAAGAGGGGCCGACTGCCCACCTCCCTATCAACCAGTGCTGTTAGTGTGAGTTGGGACATTTACTTCCAGAATCTCAAAACTGCACTGAGCTTTGAAACTTCATCCAAAAGGAAATCAGTTTGTCTAAGAGATATCGACACTCCCATGTTTATTGCAGCACTATTCATGGCAGTCAAGATTTGGAAGCAATCCAATTGTCCATCAACAGATGGATGAATGAATAAGGAAAATGTGCTGCATACACACCATGGGGCACTATCCAGCTGTGAAAAAGAAAGAGATCCTGCCTTGTGCAACAACATGGATGGAATTGGAGGACATGATATTACGTGAAATAAGACAGGTACAGAAAGAAAAGCTTTGCATGTTCTCACTTATTTGTGGGAGCTAAAAAATTAAAACAATTGAACTCATGATGATAGAGAGTAGAATGATGGTTACCAGAGACTGAGAAGGACAGTGGGGAAGTGGGGATGGATAATGGTACAAAAATATGGTTAGATACAGTGAATAAGATTTAGTATTTGATAGCATGACAGGGGGACCACAGTCAGCAATAATTTATTGTCCAGTCTAGAATAACTGAGGGAGTACAAGTGGAATGTTTGTAACACAAATAAATGATGAATGCTTGAGGTGATTGATACCCCACTTACACATTGCATGCCTGTATCAAAATATTTCATGTACTCCACAAATATATACACCTACTATGTACCTACAAAAATCAAAAATTAAAAAAATTAAAAATTAAAAAAAGACTGGGCGCAGTGGCTCACGCCTGTAATCCCAGCACTTTGGGAGGCCAAGGCAGGCAGAAGCTGAGGCAGACGGATCACCTGAGGTCGGGAGTTCGAGACCAGCCTGGCCAACATGGTGAAACCCTGTCTTTACTAAAATTATAAAAAATATTAGCTGGAGATGGTCACAGGCACCTGCAATCCCAGCTACTCAGGAGGCTGAGGCAGGAGAATCCCTTGAACCCAGGAGGCAGACGTTGCAGTGAGCCGAGATCACGCCACTGCACTCCAGCCTGGGCAACAGAGCAAGACTCCATCTCAAAAAAAAAAAAAAAAAATCAGTTCATAGGAAGTCGTCCCTAGTAGGCGAGACTTGAGCAGGTCACTGTCCTGCAGGGCACTGCCATGGAAACAATGGGCCATGCCTTCTCTACAGAGCTGAGGATTAAGAGGCCTGAGGCCTCGACACTATGGCTCACTGTATTCAGGCTACGGGGAGAAAGCGAAGGTAGGAGGAACTGCCCACCACTCAAAATCACACCCATGAGGCAACCTGGAGCCACATCCTTCTCTGACTGAACTTTCTCCTTTTTTTCTCTAGCTGCAGAATCACAGGAGTGAAAAAGAAAAAGGAAGTTGTTGGCCAGGCGCGGTAGCTCACGCCTGTAATACCAGCACTTTGGGAGGCCAAGGCAGGCGGATCACGAGGTCAGGAGATAGAGACCATCCTGGCTAACACGGTGAAACCTCATCTCTCCTAAATATACAAAAAAATTAGGCATGGTGGCGGGCACCTGTAGTCCCAGCTACTCGGGAGGCTGAGGCAGGAGAATGGCGTGAACCCGGGAGGCGGAGTTTGCAGGGAGCCGAGATAGCGCCACTGCACTCCAGCCTGGGTGACAGAGTGAGATTCTGTCTCAAAAAAAAAAAAAAAAAAAAAAAAAGAAAGAGGAAGTGTGTGCTTTACCTTGTCAAAACTGAACAAAAATGTATATGTCTATTATGTATCAAGAAAAAATAAAATTTTTTGTAAAACTGAACTTACTATGTCCTTGAAGGAAAAGTCTTCTTGATTTATCCAAGGAGAAACGGAAACCCGTTGCTACCAGATTTCCTCCCAGTCAGGCCTGCACCCTCCCTCTTTTGGGTCCCATGGAGCTCTCTGGTCCACCAGCCAGGGAACACTTGCCACTTTGACTTCAGCTATGGGGATGCATGCCTTCTCCCAGGAAGTGCAAGCTGCCTTCTGATGATATCGGTCTTGGTGGCCTCACAGCCCTTAGCACAATGGGTGGTTCATAGGAGATGATTAGCAATTTTGTTGAACTGATGAATTAATTATAAAATTTGGTAAGTAGATGTGATAAATTTTGTATTGCTTAAGTCTACTTTGGGCATTTTGGAGGAATCTCCTTACCCTGTCTTTAAAATCTTTCTCCTTTCTGAAAAGTAAGATTTGGATCAAATTAATAATCAAATTTTGTTTGAAATCCACACGTTAGGCATGTTTTCTAACTCACAATTCCTACTGCACTTAAAACACCTCCTGTACTTTCCTTTCCCTGAAAGTATCTTGGTATAAGAGATGGCAACCTATATAAATCCAATTCTCTAGTAACAAGGTAGAAATTGCACTTAGAAAAAACTAGCTCATTCTGCTTAAATATAGCGATTTCTAGGGATTGAGTAATGTGGACATGGGTATATTTCTGGACTGTCTCCATTCCAAGACTTCTGTGGGTTCCTGAGAAGAAGCTGATGTTCTAATCTGTCTAAATTACCTAACGCTGGTGTGAGGATGGTCGAGTCAAAAGAGCTGCTAAAAACAACATCAACAACAGCCATTTCTTCCAGAAAACTCAAAGAAACCTTATGGATATATACTCAATAGGCATCAGGACATTTGTAAGAAAAGAGCCAATGTAGGCAAAACTGAATAAAATAAGATGTCAATCCCTGTGACTCCCACGTACCTATTATCTAGTCATTCATTTGTTTAATTCTTCCTATTCAGCCTATAAGTGTTTCTAAGCACTTATTTCACTGGCGATCAACAGTAACCAATAAAATTCACTCATGAATCAACAGTTGACCACCAATTGTGTGTCAGATGATATACTGGGCACTAGGCTTACCAGGGTGAGCAAAAGAGCCATGTCGCTGCTTACAAAGGAAGTATAAATAAGTAAGAGAGGGGCCTAATATACGTTTGGTAATGAGCAAAGGCATCTTTGAAGTAACACCATTTGAGTTGAGAATGGAAGGCTATGTAAGAATTATCCAGGTAAAGAACAGGAGGAGTCTTCCAGGTTGAGGGAAGAGTATGTGGAAAGGTTGCAGGATAGGTGAAGTTCTTCTCACATCACATCCCTCTCACCCATTCTTCTGCCTCCCTTTTCCACTTTTAAGGAATTTTGTGATTACATAGAACCACTCAGATAATTCAGGATAATATCCCTATCCTAAGGTCAGCTGATTAGGATTCTAAATTCCAATGACAATCTTAATTCCCTTTTGCCAAGTAAACCAACACATTCAGACTCCAGGAATTAGGACATGGACATCTCCAAGGAGTTCATTATTCTGTCTACCACAGGGCATCTTCCTCTTGTTCCCAACAATACATGTCTGTCCCAATGTAAAATATATCTATCCCACTTAGAGTTCCCCAAAAGACTCAACCAATTACAGCATCAAATCAAAATCCAAAATCTCATTCAAACCTCATCTGTTCAAAAGTCCTGAATCTCATGATCTAAATAAGGTATGGGCAAGGCATTATGTATAATCCATCTGAGGCATGATTCTTCTCCAACTGTGAGCCTGTAAAATTTAATAAGCCAGTTATCTTCTTCCAAAGTGTGATGATGAAAAGGGCATAGGATAAGGGTCATATACATTCTGGTTCAAGAAGGGAGAAAACAGAAGATAAAAGAGGATTCACTGATTTACTTGTTGGTAAATTCTACCAAATAATTAAAGAATAAATCATGTCAATAATTCACAAACTCTTTCATAAAATTGGGGAGAAGGGAACACATTCTGGTTTGGTTTATGAAATTGACATCATCCTGATACCAAAGTCAAACAAAAAGATGACCCATCCCTGACCAAAGACACCAGTATAGTTAAAAAGCATAGGTTCAAAAATCCCTAACAAATCATTAGTAAACCAAATCAACCCAAAATGTATATATAAATGATAATATATCATGACTTGATATGAATATATCAGTTAAACTCAGGCCAGGAACATGGCATTTGTTTGACACTCAACACACTGAAAACAAAAAGCCATCAGATGATCTGAGTGTGCAGGAGAAGCATTTGACAAAATTCAACATATTTTCAACACAAAACAACAAACAACTCTCAACAAAGTAGGAATAGAAGGAATTCCCCTCAGTCTGATAAAGAACATCTACAAAAAACCAACTGCTAATATCATACTTCACAGTAAAACACTGAACTCTGTCTGTAAGACTAACAACAGGGCAAGAATGTCCTCTCTTATCTCTTCTTTTCATGATTGTACTGGAGGCTTAGTCACTGCATACAGCAAGACAGGAGTAAAACACATAAAGATTAAATAATAATAATAGAAATGGCTTTATTCAAAAATAACATGAATATCTATGTAGAAAATTCATAAAACCTTATTTTAAAAAAACTACTAGAGTGAATAAGTGTAATATCACAAGATACAAGGTCACTATAAAAAATAGTAATGGTAATTCTATATACTAACAATGAAAATTTGAAACTATGGTTAAAATACAATAGCAGTTAAAATCACATTCATAACCAAAAATTCCAGGGATACATTTAACAAAATAAGCACAAGACCTGCACACGGAAAACTGTAAAATGCATCTTAGAGAAATATAAAAAGAAAGACCTAAGTGATTTAAATAGAGACATATACCATATTTCTAGGTTGCACACCCACCCAAAATTGCTAAGATACCAATTCTGTTTATCTGCAGATTTGACACAATCTCCTTTAAAACCCCAGCAAGCTTTTTTTTTCTTGTAGAAGTTGACAGTTTCTTAAAAAAATTTATATATATAAAATGCCAAAAAACAATTAGAATAACTAGAACATACTTGGGGAAAGAAACAAGTTGGAAGAATTACATTTTCTGATTGTGAGATTTATTATAAAGCAATGGTAACAAGTCAATACGGCCTTGAGGAAAAAACTGGATCTTTACCTTACACCACACACAAAAATAAACTCAAAAGGGATTAAAGATCTAAATATAAACCTGAAACCAAAAAATTCCTAGAAGAAAACATAAGGGGAAAGCCCCTTGATATCGGCCTTACCAATAACTTTTTCGATGCCACCAAAGAGTTCAGGCAACAAAAGCAAAAGTGAGCACGTGGGCCTACATCAAACTAAAAAGCTTCTGCACAGCAAAAGGTACAATCAACAAAATGCACAGGCACCAATGGAGTGGAAGAATATATTAGCAAACCATGTATCTCATAAGATGTTAATATCCAAAATATATAAGAAACTCACGTAACTCAACAGCAAAAAAAAAAAAAAATGTTTTTAAATGGGCAAAAGACCTGAATAATCCTTTTTCTAAGGAAGATATAAAAATAGCCAGCAAAATATGGATGAGTCTGGAGGACATTATGTTAAATGAAGTAAGTCAGACACAGAAAGATAAATGCCACACGTTCTCATTCATATTTGGGAGCTTAAAAGAAATGAGTTCATAGAAAGAGAATAGAATTGGCCGGGTGCCGTGGCTCACACCTGTAATCCCAGCACTTACAGAGGAAAAGGCGGGCAGATCACCTGAGGTCAGCAGTTCGAGACCAGCCTGGCCAACGTGGCGAAATCCTGTCTCCACTAACAATACAAAAATTAGACAGGTCTAGTGGCAGGTGCCTGTAATCCCAGTTACTAGGGAGGCTGAGGCACGAGAATCACTTGAACCCAGGAGGCGGAGGTTGCAGTGAGCCAAGATCATGCCACTGCCCTCCAGCCTGGGTGACAGAGCAAGACCCTGTCTCACAAAAAGAAAGAAAAAAAAGAAAGAGAGTAGAACTGTGGTTATTAGAGGCTGAGGAGTGTTGTGGGGAGGGAAGGTAGGGAAAAATTAGTAGAAGGATACAAAATTACAGTTACAGAGGAGCCATGGGTCTGGTGCTTTACAGCACTGTAGGGTGAATATGGTTAATAATAACATTGCATATTTTCAAAAAGCTAGAAGAGAGGATTTTGAGTGTTCACAACACCAACAAATGATAACCGTTTGAAGGGATGGATATGCTCATTGCCCCAATTGGATCATTATATATTGTAGGCATGTACTGAAATATCGCTCTGTATCCCATTAATATGAACAACTATTACATGCCAACTATAAATAAAAGGAAAAAATAGACACCAGACACATGGAAAAAGTACTAATCATTAGGGAAATGCAGAGCAAAACCCCAACGAGATATCACCTCACACCAGTTAGGGGGGCTACTAAAAAATTACAAGTGTTGGTGAGGATGTGGAACAAAGGGAAACCATGTACAATGTTGGTGGAAATGTAAATTGATACAGCCATTTCAGAAAACAGTATGAAGGTTGCTCAAAATACTGAAAATAGAATACTAAATGGTTCTGGCCAGGCACGGTGGTTCATGCCTGTAATCCCAGCACTCTGGGAGGCTGAAGTGGGTGGATCACCTGAGGCCAGGAGTTCAAGACCAGCCTGACCAACATGGTGAAACCCCATCTCTACTAAAAAAAAAAAAAAATACAAAATTAGCTGGCCATGATGGCACACACCTGTAATCCCAGCTACTTGGGAGGCTGAGGCAGGAGAATCACTTGAACGCGGGAGGTGGAGGTTACAGTGAGCCGAGATCACACCACTGCACGCCAGCCTCGACAACAAGAGTGAAACTCCATCTCAAAAGAAAAAAATAAAATGCTAGATGGTCCAGCAATCCCTTTGCTGAGTATGTACCCAAAGGAAATGACAGCAGCACCTCGTAAAGACACCTGCACTCGCACGTGCATGGCATCATTCCAGCCACACTATGCAAACAACCTAAAGTATCCATCAACGGATGAATGAATAAAGCAAGTGTAGTATATATACATAATGGAATATAATTCAGCCTTTAAAAAGAGAGAAATCCTGCCATTTGTGACAATATAGATGGGCCTGGAGAATAGCATGCTAAGTGAAATAAGCCAGACATAGATAAACCAGAAATAAGACTGACAAATTGTATGGTCTTACTTCTATGAAGAATCTTAAAAACAAAAGTTGAATAAATAGATGGCCAGATGCGGTAACTCACGCCTGCAATGCCAGTACTTTGGGAGGCCAAGGTGGGTGGATCACTTGAGGCCAGGAGTTCAAGACCACCAGCCTAGACAACATGGTAAAACTCATCTCTACTAAAAATACAAAAATTCGCTGGGCATGGTGGCGCATGCCTGTATTCCCAGTTACTCTGAAGGCTGAGGCACAAGAATCATTTGAACCCAGGAGGCGGAGGTTGCAGTGAGCTCAGACAGAGATTCTGTCAAAAAAAAAAAAAAAAAAAAAAAAAAAAACAGTTGAAAAAACAGAAGGCTGTTTACCAGGGGCCTGGAGGGCAAACGAGGAGATGTAGTTCAAAGGATATGAAGTTGCAGTCACGCGGGATGAATAAGTCTAGAGATCTAACACACAGCATGAGGACTATAGTTAATATTGTATACTGAAAATGTGCTAAAAGAGTAGATTTTAGGTTCCCTTAACACATGAAAAAGGTATCTATGGAAGGTGATGAATATGTAAATTTGTCTGTAGTAATCACTTTAAGATAAGTATGTATATGCATATCAAAACATCCTATTATATACCTCAAATATAAAAAAATTAATTTTTTTGAAAAAAAAAGACAACTGCCCAATTTAAAATGGGCTAAGAACTTGAGCAGCCATTTTACAGAAGATATATGAATAGCCAATATGCATGTGAAAAAGTGTTCAGCATGGTTGTCAGAGAAATGCAGAGAGAACACAATGAAGTGTCACATTGTCTTCTAAAATGGCTAAAATTTTAAAAGCTGACAATACCAATGTTTTAATAAATTGGAAAAAAACAGCACTCTCATACATTGATGGTGGGAGAACAAAGTAAAACGGTACAACCATTTTTGAAAACTGTTTGGAAGTTTCTTATGAAGCTAAACATACGTTCACCCTATGACCCAGCATTTCTAATCCTAGGTATTTACCCACTAAAACATGTTTGAAAAAATAAAACAAAACAAAAATAAGCAAGCAAACACAAGCCTATATAAGGACATTTATAGTGTCTTTATATCCCAAAATTGGAAACAACTGAAATGTCCATCAACAAGGAAATGAATGAACAAATTATGGTGTATTTATATATGTAATAGAAAACTATTCCACAATAAAAAAAGAATAAACTACTGAGACCTGAAGCGATATGGATGAATCTCAAAAACATGATGTTGAAAGAAAAAAACCAAGATACAAAAAAGTGTATATTGTATGGTTCAATCTATAAGAAGCTCTAGAAAAGGCAAAACTAAACTATGTTGATAGAATCAGACCTGTAGTCACAAGTGTAGAGAGTTTGAGCTTCGACTTAGAAAGGCACGTGAGAACTTCCTGTGGCAATAGAAATGATCTCTGACTTGATCGGAGAAAACACGTTTGTCAAACTCATCACACTGCACGCTTAAGATATGTGCGCTTCACCCTTTGTAAAGTACACCTCAATTTAAACATCCATCAAATTATATCGAACAATTTTAGAAGAAATTTGTGTTTAAAAGAAGAAGAAGCACACCTTTCCCCCAAGTCAACTTTCCATAGAAATATCCATCTATAAATCATATTCAAGAAAGCAACCAAATTGCCCAAGAATAAGGGATCATTGAAACCAAATATAGCATGCATTAAAAAAATACACACCTATTACAAAAGATGTTATGAAAATATTTGATCACATTTAAAAAATCCACACTAATTTTAAGTGAAGATTTTAGCTTATTGAGTAGGATGTATACTGGATGCCCAATTTGGAAAAAGTTTGTTTCTCTGTGTGTGTACATACAGAGAAAAGGCAAGAAAATTTGTACCAAAATGTTATCTATTTCTGGGTAATGCAATTACATATCATTTTAATTTTGTTTCTTGATGCAAGATTGTCAACAATGAATTATGCCACTATTACACTAAAAGGGAAAATTATTTTCAAAACGTAAAATTAAAGGTGATAGTGCTCATGACAAAACCATGTCAAGTTACCACTTACCTCTTTGAAATTTTTCATTTTCATTTAGATTCGTCACCACCACCACCAGCACTACCACCATCACACCACTCACCCCCGGAGCCTCCTACATACTCCTCCCAAGTCCCAGGACTATAGAGCTGTCTACAAACTGAGAAGAGCCAGGAATGGCACACATCCCTGGGTGCTGATGCTGATTTGATGTGATGTTTTGGGTACTGATGAATGGAAGAGATCTTGCCATGGACCACTTGGTTCTGGCTACTTATCCAGGATTATGTCTTCTGCCCACAAGGCAGGGCCCCTCGAAGTACATGCAGACCCTCCCGGCACTCTTAGTGCACACAGTCTTCTGGTCTTCTGTGTTGGCTCCTGTCCGGGCCCCGTAGTCCAATGCCCAGCTCATCGCAATGTCCACATCAGCACGGGGCTTTTCTTGCTGCCTGATTATGGAAACTCTTTACCATCTTGTGTAGCCTGTGGGGTTTTTTTTCATAGTTTCTTTTCCCGTAAAACTATGTGAGTGAGCCAAGATCGCACCACTGCACTCCAGCCTGGGCAACAGGGAGAATTGTAATTAGCTTTCTACCTTAATTTCTACCTGTAATTAGCTTTCTACCTTAGCTCCAAGATGCTCCCACCTTCCCTGTCTGCCACTATACAGACGCACTCCCCTAAGCACCTTCAAGTTGCCTATGCTTAAGTCTCATATGTCACCCTGGGGTCCATGTTTTTGCTTGAAATCCACTAAAAAAAAAAAAGCCATACATTATAATCCCTCAGGCCCTCATTAACAGCTGAGTCCAAACATCTAGCAAATTACCATAGACGTGAAGCAAAATCTCATTGGTAAGTCTGAGTTGCCCAATGAGGGTTTACAAGAATACATTCACGTTTTCTAACTTCATTACCTTTTCTTACTTGAATTTCAGGAGAGCACATGGTAAGATCTGGAGCAGGAAAGTGAAGTCTCTTTTTTATTTCAAGGTCGCAGTATTTATAAAACGTTCTCTCTTGCTCTCCTTCTGGGAAATCTGCAGTCTCAGAAATGTCAAAGTGACTCAAATCAATTGCCAAGCAGCATGACGAGATTAGACTGAATTTAAAGCCCTTTCTGGAGGATCTGGGGTTGACCGCAGGCACCCGTCACAAAAACGAAATTCTGAGTGTGCCTGACAATCATAGATAAAATTTCCCCTGACCACATGCATCCTGACATGATATCGACTAAAGAGTTTAATAGGTGTGCTTTGAAAAGCTACAAGGATTTGTCCTTCCTCAGAGAAACTTGCTTCTAGGTGAGTCACAGCACAGCAATAAAGACCTCACAACAGGATTAGCTGCCAGAGGACAATGCCTGGAAAAAAGATTTGGGCCAATACTCTAACAAAAGTTAGTTTTAGAAAGTTTTTTTATATATGCCTAACTTTATCTGCAAAAGGTCATGTTACCAGGAGCGCAGCCTAGACATTTCTGAGGCCTATAGGCATAGAAGTAGCTACATCATATGACGTAAAAATTCCTACAGCATTTTTTAAATTTCAAACAACCTACTTCCTAAAATCTTTCAACAGCTTCTCTGTAAGAGTTACTCGTGTGTGTATTGAGTGTGTGTGTTTGTGTGTGTTATGGCGTGTGGGCATGGGTCTGTACAAGTGTAGGATAAAGCAGGATCTATGTATTTCTATTTTACTTTGATATGTCGTCCTTGTGCAAATACAGTGAGAAGTCAGCACATCCCATTACTTAAAAGGTGATGGCTTTAGATTTTTGGGGGCATGCAACAGCTGATCAGTACATATTTGTTACACAGAACTGAAGTGATTTGATCTCTTTAGGTCTTACTTAACCCTCCTGTGAAGTGCAGATATCTACCCTGCCGAAAGGTAGCTCTGCCATCTCCATGAAGATCCGCACTGGGGGTCATTTTGATGAGCTTTATCAGACTGTACATTTTTTCATTGAAAATAGTAACAAAGTGTAATTGGTATGTCTGACAAAAGTGTTAAGAAAGTTATGGGATGTAAAAGAACATGTAGATGAGCTACAAGGATCTTAGGTATCCTTACACCTACCCCCAGTGGCTTGGTGGTCAACGTCTAATAGCTGCCTGTGAGTTTCCCAATTAAATCAGATACCGAAGTATCCCAGGCGCTCAAAAGCTGTCTCTCACATCAGGGAGGTGTTCAAGTTAGGCACAAAATGTTCAGCCTGCCTCCCTTTGCGGAGCAATTGCTCATCTCCTATCCATCACGGGGCCTCTGGAAATGCCTCAGAAATTCACAGTGTCCTTCTGAGACCGGCCAGCACCGGAGCTGGATGCTAGCACTGAGGCCCTGGGATCCGATCCACGTGCACAATGTGGTTTCTCTCTGACAGCATGCAGCTGTAGCTGCCTTCAAACCATGCCTCCAGGGAGCTTTTCTGGGTGTTCTCTGGTGCCTGTCAGATATTTGAGCCTCGATAAACAGCTTTCTTATGGCTGAAGTTAAGTTGGAGGCTCTCGTTCACACTCTCAGAAAATAGCTTTTCCTCTCCTCGCCTTGGCCGCCTCTGTCTGGGCCCAGACGTCTCTGTTGGAGGATGCTGGAGGTCAGAGTTGTCTTCCTTGGACTCGGCCCCCAAGCATTCTTCATTCAAGGACCTCCCGTTCTCCACGCTGGGGGCATTAACCTGCCTAAAGGCAGCCCTGGCCTCAAGGAGCTTACCACAAACTCAGGAAAGCCAAACACAAATGATAATGCTACCAGAAAGTTGAATTTTACTTTTAATCTTCCAGTGTTTTCTTATTTATTAAAGAGATGCCATCATTGGGAAAGAGGGTTATTCTCATGACAGTTGACCACAAAACCGTGACTACCCAGAACCAGAATTAGAAATCAAAGTGAGGTCCAGGACGTACTCTGGAATGCAGACTCCTCCCTCCCTGCTCCCCAGGCTCAGTATAGAAAGGCGGGATTCTGCTGATATCCAGGAAGGAAAAACATCATCACAGTTCATGTGCCAGACAGTCTGGAGTGCGACGTGCTGGGGCAGGATGGCCAGTGTGGGAAGCCACAGCCACAACCACGATAGGAAAGAGAGGCTGGCCGCTATCTGTGCTCATCATAAGAAAGGGAAGTGGTGGTGGGGGGCAGTGACTCACGCCTGTAATCCCAGCACTTTGGGAGGCCGAGGCGGGTGGATCGCCTGAGATTAGGAGTTCAAGACCAGCCTGGTCAACATGGTGAAACTCTGTCTCTACTAAAAATGCAAAAATTAGCCGGGTGTGGCGGCACACACCTGTAATCCCAGCTACTTGGGAGGCTGAGGCAGGAGAATCGCTTGAACCCAGGAGGCAGAGGTTGTGGTGAGCCGAGATTGCCCCATTGCACTCCAACCTGGGTGACAGAGCCAGACTCTGTCTCAAAAAAAAAAAAAAAAAAATCGTACAGGCCAGGCCAGGCCAGGCAAGGTGGCTTACGCCTGTAATCCCAGCATTTCGGGAGGCTGAGGTGGGTGGATTTCTTGAGGCCAGGAGTTCGAGACCAGCCTGGCCAACATGGTGAAACCCCTTCTCTACTAAAAAATACAAAAATTAGCTGGGTATGGTGGCACACACCTGTAATCCCAGCTACTCAGGAGGCTGAGGCAGGAGAATCACTTGGACCTGGGAAGCAGAGGTTTTGGTGAGCCGAGATCGCGCCACTGCACTCCAGCCTGGGCAACAGAGCAAGACTCTATCAAAGAAAAGAAAAGAAGAGAAGAGAAGAGAACAGAACAGAAGAGAAGAGAAAAGAAAAGAAGAGAGAAAAGAAAACAAAAGAGTAAACAAAATGGACTTGGTCACCATTAGCAGGGATTGTTCATTGCTACCGTAAGTAGCACAAACCTTAGTAAATCCTAGGCCTCCCTGAGCAATGTACACACACTTTCTCATTAAAATTTCACTCCCACGCCTATTCCCCCCACAAAAAAGTCTACATGGTAGATATCCCCACTTTAAAACAAAGGAACCAGTTCATGTTGGTTAGGTAACAAAACCTGCATCACACGTTTTATACGTGCCAGTATGGGGATTTGATTCCAGGCAGCTGAGTTCCAGAAGCTTGGTATTTTGTAAAAACTGTGACCAAGCGGAAGGAATAGGTAGCTGCAGGACAGATGGCGATGTGGCCTTTTCATCACCATATCCTTTAATAAGCCATTTCAATACCATTGGTAACCATTTTCTCATTTAATAAGAATTTATTGCTGTAAATACATTTTTTTAAAGTCTCAGGGTGTTTGAAATAAAGGATGTGGCTTACGATTTTTGTTTTTCCTAAATGCAGTTGATGAAAGGAGCTAGTTTTTAAGGTGAAGCCCCAGGCCTTGGGAAGAAAAAGGAGTTGAGAATCAATTTTGTTTTTAATACACTCAGACTCCAGAAACATCTTTTATCTCTACTTGTGTGTAAGGTTCAAGTAGACTTAAGATAGTGCACTATACTTGCACATTAAATAAAAGCATTATGCTCTATAAAAATAAGAAGCCTATTGGCCTTAGATGGAAATAATAATTCGAAACACATCACAGACAGAAAAGAGCTAAGCATTTTCCAGAATTTTCATCTATTCCAAGATAAGCGTATGCATGTTTTTAAACAGGGAGTAAGTACACACTAATGCTCAGGGTTCTGTGCAACAGTGGTGGCCCCAAATGCTGGGACAGGCACTGGCCTCCTTCCCTCCCTCTCCAGAAGAGCAACTTGAGTCTCCACAGAGGGTGGGCAGGCCTCAGGCTGCACGCTGAGGTCAGCAAAACTTAATTCATGAAGGTCTTAAGTGGTTCTTAATAGACATAAGGATTCTTTGTCATTTGGGAGGCCAAGGTGAGTGGATCACTTGAGGTCAGGAGTTCGAGACCAGCCTAGCCAACATGGTGAAACCCCATCTTTACTAAAAATGCAAACAGTAGCCAGCACCTATAATCCCAGCTACTCGGGAAGCTGAGGCAAGAGAATCACTTGAACCTGGGAGGCAGAGGTTGCAAGTGAGCCGAGATCACGCCATTGCACTCCAGCCTGGGCAACAGAGCAAGACTCTCTCTCAAAAATAAATAAATAAATAATCAAATAAAATAAAGAAAAAAGTCATTTAAGAAAACAAATTTGGAGGATTTCATTATGCACCATATACATATATACATATATACATACACACATATATGGTGCATAATGTGTATATATATGTATATATCACAAATTTATTTAAATTCTACTCAGAATCCCAAAATACCTTTTGTGATAAGACTCTTCTGTCACATCAAAGCATCTTCCCTGACTTGTCCCTGGAAGCAGAAAAAGGCCCCATTTTTAGTGCTGCCAGAAGTCATGGACAAGGTAGACACACAGTGCCAGCTCTCACCTCCCAGCAGGGTTGGCAGCCTTTGCAACACATCCGGAGATGTGCTGTACACGCTTTGTTCCATCCAGTATACACAAGTTCTAGGGCATTGTGTCCTGGACAAGAAATCTGAGCATGACAATCCAGGGCTGTGGCATGAGAAGCCAGCAAAACAAAACAAAACAAAACAAAAAACAATAAAAAGCAGACGCTTCTTCCATTGGGCCCCATCACTGTGACCAGAGCATTCGGGCATCACAGTGGTAAGCCCTCTAGACAGTGTCAAACACGCAGTGCTCACTCTCAGTAACAAGCCCACTGCCTGTTTTCACACCTGACTATTGCCAGCTGCCTGCCAAGACTCTAAAACTCATGCCAAGAACCCTGAAGAGCATCGATGCTTCTGAAGAACCCAAGTGTTTGCTTCTGAAAGTCATGAGAGATGCAGAGGAAAAGAATGTGGGATAAATGCAAAGGGCTGGGGGTCATGAGGCTTGGAGACCTCGCTCACTCAAGTTGTGCTATTCCAAGCTGCTCCCTGGAAAGCCAGCCAGGGGTTCCAGCAATGCCCACAGGACAACAGAGCCCATGGGGAAAATGCCCAGGGTTCCTTTTGAAACCAAACACAAGACATTTTGTCTGTGTGGTTTGGGGCAAGTTTTAGTTTACCCCTGAATGTGAATCGACAAAATTTCTCAAGAAAGACCAAATGCCCCAGACAATTAAGGGATGATTTTATTCAGGTTTTAGAAGAGGAAGAATTTCCACTGATGAGAAACTTGGGGTTCATAAAGGGAGTCAATAAAAGATCCATTTCAAGTCTTATGGGAGTCACTTACGTGGGTGGAGGCTGGTCTTATTCTGAGGACATGAGGGTAGTCTTTTGTGATTAGCCACTGCTAGGAACACATGAGGGTGGGGAACTTCTCATGGCAGATTTTCCCAGAGCTCAGGGCTCAGGCTAGTTCACATCGTCACCTCCCTCCAAGCCTTTTTATTTTTTAATTGACAAATTAAAATCATATATAATTACAGTACACAAAATGATGTTTTGAAATATGTATACATTGTGGAATGGCTAAATCAAGCCAATTAACATTCTATGCATTACCTCACATACTTTTGTGTGTGTGTGTGCCTGTGTGTGTGTGTGTGTGGTGAGAAGACCTAAAATCTATTCTCTTAGTGATTTTCAATAATACAATACATTGTCATTAACTGTAGTCACCATGCTGTGCAATGAATCTCTTTAACTTACGCAGATCTTTTTAACTTGAGAGAAATGCCCAGTACGGAGAGTATGCCCCAAGTCGCCCCTTACTGGCCCAGGGTCGGCTCCAGCCCCGATGGCAGCTGGCCACCGATCATCCTCCAGGGGACCCTGTTCACATAGGGCCTCACCACAGCAGGCCCAAGCAAAGCCTTCCTTTCTCAGGAGTGAGAACAGAAAATGGAACTGGAGAATGCAGGCCAGTGAGCAGGAGGCACAGAAGCTAAAATCCACATAGACAAAGGCCGAGAGATGATAGGGCCAGGAGGTATCAAGAGGAAGCCATCGGGTAGCAGAGGGCAAGACTGGAGGAGGCAGTGGGGTGGGGGCTGGTGGAGGCAAGAGAGGGACAACAGAGGCGGAGACAGTCACGGGGTGGCAGGGGACCCACCCCCACCAGCTGTAAGCACAAAAAGACACTCAAGGTGCACGATGTCTGACCCTTGTATTAATATTCCAAAACATACCCTTTATAGCTATGAAAGTCTGACTTGAAGATCTAACATAGTTTATGTAACTCCATTATTATTCCTAATATTAAATATTTTTTATAAATTTCAGAATACACACATAAGCAAAAAGGAAAACACGTTTAATGATCCCTTTGGTTCCAGTAGCCAAAGAGAGAAATGGCATCATTTTGGCAGACATTGTCTCTCTACTTACGGAGGTGTATTTACTCTCTCTTGTATTTTAGCCCCTTCTTTGTCAGAGGTTTCAAAAATAGGATGAGCTTATGATATAATAAAAAACGTAGTAAGTGGTTTGTAATGCAAAATTTAGTATATTTGAAAGGCCTATTTGTTTACAATTTAGGGACCTAAGCTTTTTACATATTTTAGTGTTGACATGTCATTTGTTTTGTGAAAGATGCAATGATTATAGGTTAGGGGGTGGTTTTTAAATCTGATTTTGCTTTAGGTTTGGTTTTTTTCTTGTGCGTTTGTTTTAATATTTCTGATGTTCCATTTTGTTAGCAAAATTAAAAATTGACAAACCTACCAGGACCTCTAACATTCTTAGAAATTTTACTGCTACATGAAATCCCGAGGTGTGAGAACTACTAACCTCGTCTGTGTGGAAACTGAGTCTACCCTGGGGAGCTTTCCAAAACGGTGTGACAGTTAGGAATGAAGCTCTGAATTCCCGCTCATTAACGGATGCAAACCCCCATCCAAACTGTCTCTCCTTCAGATGCTCTATCTTTGGCTACAGCTGCAAGGATTTGGGGAAGTGGAGACACTGCAACAGGTAAAATATAATTATGTTACTTATGAGGTGTTGATAATATCCCCATCTATGTGTACGCCATGACACGTTATTGTTGAAAAGGGTCTCTTCTACCACTTCAGGGAAAGAAGGCATATTTCCCAAGATGTGGGATACGTTACAGCCACAGTTCCACCTAGGGGAGGGAGGAAAGCTCAAAATATCCCAGGCCTTCTTATCTCCAAAGTTTACAAGTGAAAAGAGAAGGGAAAATTACCAAACACATACTCACATACCAACAGGCAATGACTTCCAGCCATTTAAGAGTGAATGAGAGAGAGAAAGAGAACAAGAAAGACACACACATACACACACAGAGAGAAACAGAGAGAGACAGAGAGACAGAGAGACAGGGAGATGGCCAGCTGGGATGATGGGTCCACTTAGATCCTCAGGAAAGAAACGAGAGTCCCACACAGCTGCAGAAGGTACACTCCACATCCATGGGCCATCATCAATCTTTCTGAAAGCCTTTCTGAGCTTTAAAAGCCCACGGCTTTTCAATTAGCCATTAAAATCACTGTGCCATCTACTCGAAGTCTTCCCTGGAGACATTTGTAATAGATGAGAAAGGAGCAGGAAGATGAAAGGGGGCTTGCTGCTGTAGTCAGGAACTGCATCTATTAAAGGGTTAACAGCAGTTCTAACTAGTTACCCACCAGGAAGTGTGATGGCCTCAGGGTGCCCTGTGTGGATGCTCCAGCCCCAGTTCCAGGGAGTCTTACAACTCCCCAACCAAGCCACTCAGTAGGGGACTGCTTCTCTGTCAGTCACAACTTTCCGAATAAGCAGCAGAGGTGAATTGAAGAGTTATTTGACAACAGTTCTATTTTGTTTTCTCTATCCAAATACAAGCTCTAATTCAAGTCCTCTCTTCTCTGCATCTCAGTTTTCCACACCCATAAAATACATAAAATGCTGCTCCTACGTACAGGTTCAAATGCAGTCCTGCACCTGAAAGAAGCTTATGTCAATAAACAGATGTCAGTTATTGCATTACAAACCCAGATAAGAGGTGGTCAATCAAATACTGATCAGTACAACTGAGTACCAGCCATGAAAGCAGCATCAGACATTTATAATCTAGCTGGATGACACAGCCGAGCAGAAGGAATAGTGTAGTGTAATACAAGACAATACAGTCAACTCTTGAACAAGAAGGGTTTGAAGTGCACAAGTCCACCTATACAGATTTTTTTTTTCAATAAATATATCGAAAATTTTTTTGGAGATTTGCAACAATTTGAAAAAATCGCAGAAAAACCGTGCAGCCTAGAAATAGCAAAAAAAAAAAATCAGAAAAAATTATGCTATGAATGCATAACATATATGTAGATACTAGCCTATTTTATTATTTACTACCATAAAATAGACATGAATCTGTTATAAAATGTTAAAATTTATCAGAACTTACCTACACACAGACCGGATGTACATGGTGTCATTGGCAGTCAAGAGAAATGTAAACAAATGTAAAGACGCAGCATCAAATCGTAACTGCATGCAATTCATTGTAGGAATTACTGTAGTGCCGGAATCATTTCGCAGCCACCTCCTGTTGCTATTGCAGTGAGCTCAAGTGTTGTGGGTATCCGCTTAAAACACCGCGCGATGCTCATCATCTCCACGTGAGCCGTTCGTCTCACCAGTAAATTGCATTTCGCAGTAAAAAGTGATCTCTTGAGGTTCTCCTGTATTTTTCATCATGCTGAGTGCAATACCGTAAACCTTGAATAACACCGTAGGGCCCACGTGAAGTGCCACTAGTGGTGCTGGAAATGCTCCCAAGAAGCAGAGGAAAGTTGTGACAGTCCAAGAAAAAGCTGAATTGCTTGATGTGTACTGTAGTAGACCAAGGGCTGCAGCTCCGGGTGCTGCTATGTCAGGCAGGCGACTCATCTCGTAAACAGACACCACAAATGTTCACTTCAGATCACAGCAGCATAGCACTGTAAATGTATAAAATGTATTTTCTCTTCCTTATGATCTTCCTATTAACATTTTCTTTTCTCTAGCTTGCTGTATTGTAAGAATACAGCATATGATACATACAACATACACAATATGCGTGAATGGACTGTTTTTGTTATCTGTAAGGCTTCCAGTCAACAGTGGCTGTTAGTAGTTAAGTTTGCTTGGAGGAGTCAAAACTTATATGTAGATTTTTGACTGCACAGAGGTCAGCACCCCTAATACCCATGTTATTCAAGAGTCAACTGTACAACTGAATGTTAAGCTGATGGTTCAAATGCAAAGAGCAATGACGTTAATTTTTAAAATATCCATTTATTCCCATAAATTGAGTCCCAACAGCTATGCTGGCCCAGGGTGCTCAGGCTGGAGAAAGTGCAGGTGAGTGGGAAAGCCTGGCCGTGGTGTGGATAAAGACAAGCACCTACAGGAGGAAACCGAGCTCCAGGGCTGCAGACATCGCCCAGTCATGAGTTTTAAAGAAGGAGTAAAAAGCAGCCGAGTGTGGAGGCAGCAGGAGATAAATTCTAACAGAGACCTTAAATGATGACTCTATTTGTGTAGGTCAAGTGCAGCCACCAAACTTTACTGAACTGTTACAGAGATCAGCTTGGGAGAAGCAGAAAAATGGCCTGCGCAGGACTCACATTTGTCCTGGTGCGGAGCCTGGTGTGAGTGGGTCACTTAAAACTTCAGATATCTTGTAAGTCATTTACATTTGACTTCTCAACATGAGTGTAAATCTCGATATAGATTTGCCAGGTGTCCTTTGCAGGCTGATATGAATGCTGCTGAACATAGAGGCAGATAACCTCTCTTTACATCTGTCCAAAACCCACTGCATGTCAGGCACAAAGGGGTCATGCATGTTACTGGATGCTGGCCACTCTCTCCCCCTTTTTCTCACCATCTGCTCCCAATGCCACCACCTACTCCCTACACCCCTTGCAGAATGTGATAAAAAGGAAACCAGAACGTTTCTGCTAATTCTCAGCCCTTTATGCTAGCCAAAGTCATCAGGCTGGAAAAACCTAGCTCAGTAATGGGGTCAGGGGGCTGTGGGGACGACCAGCATCACCACACAGGCTGGGCTCAGGCCCCTGGGATGGGGCTCACCCACTAGCCTCAGAGTGGATGACAGGAAGGCTTTTCTGATCCAAATGTGAGAAGGAGACCTTGCCTGCCTTGCCCTGCCCTAACCTCATGAGCGATGAACTACACAGAGAAGCAAAAATGCTCATCCAGTTGTCACTTATCGGCACTCACCGGGCACCAGGCACCATGCTTTACATGCCGTGCTTTTGGGGCTTACTCCCCCCATCCTCACCACACCCCTCCTGCTGGGCCTCCTGATGCTTCCTCAGCCTCCCAGGAGAAAAGCAAGGCTCAGACAGGCTAAATAGACAGTCCAAGTTCCCACAGCCTGGTGGCGGAGCGGGAGGTACAGCCCAGGTGTGGCCGGCTTTAAAGGGCATGCCAGCAACTGTCTCGTCAAGCATTGCTAAGGCTGACACTGAGAGAGTATCAATTCTGGGGAGTCCCCACCCCTGCGAGCAGTGCTGGCTGTCCCCGACACAGAGCCCCACCTGTCCTGGACTGGGGTCTCCCTCCCTCTTTCCGCTATGCCCTCAATTCTGCTTCTGGTTTTCATGACCTTCCCATGACTACAGTCACTTGGCATTCTCCAGATCCCTCCACAGTATTGAACTGTCAAGATTCACCTAAAATTAAGTCACACAGTCCTGAGAACATTAGGAAGCCACAGAGCCAAAACCAAAGCCCCTCTAGTGAGTCGCTGATCATCACTAAAATAGTACCTGTTAGGGGAGAGATTATATTATTCAGGACATGTTACCCCAACATATGGCACCATAGCATTTGAGAAAACAGCTGAAGCAGGAAGGTCTCTCTGACCTTCTCAACCCTTTCCCCTGAAACAAGCCATGAAAGAATCCTCTGATGCAGGGAGACCCTTGCGTGACAGGTGCACCCCCCTATACTCAGAGGAAAGGAACATGCTTATTTATATATGTATTTTTTTTTGAGACAAGGTCTCACTCTGTTGCCCAGGCTGGAGTGTAGTGATGTGATGGTGGCTCATTGTAGCCTCAAATCCTGGACTTAAGCAATCGATCCTCTTGCCTCAGCCTCCCAAGTAGCTATGACTACAGGTGTGTACCACCACACCTGGCTTATTTACTTATTTATTTATTCATTCATTCATTTAATTTTTTTGGAGACGGGTGTCACTATGTTGCCCAGACTGATCTCAAACTCCTGGCCTCAGGCAGTCCTCCCACCTCAGCCTTGCAGGAATGTCCGTACCTCCGAAGACCCAGGGACACAGGGAAGAATCAGAACAATCAGGCTTTGCCGAGTTTCCCCCCATTTAATTACTATTAGATCATACCCCCTTTGTGCAATCATACCTCTGAACAACTCTACTCACCATCAAACCTAAGCATAAAAATACACAGGATTCCCTGTGTCTCTGGGTCTTTATTTCTTTATGAAGGTTCTCATGCCACATAAAACCGCTTTTTTCCTGTTCATCTGTCTTTTGTTACAGGGGCTTCAGCCATGAGCCTGAGATGAGAATGAAATACACGACTTTTTCTACCCTGCAACCCCTCATCCCCTGCACATTCTTTGTGGTTTGGGTCCTGGTTATAGCTCCTCTCTTAAGGCAGGGACTGTGTTCCTTCACATTCTGTAATCACTGACTTTTATACTCCAGTTTACCTGGTATTGTTGAAACAGCACTGGACGCAAAGTTAGAAAAGCTCGTTTCAAGTCTCACTAATGTCAGTCTTCAGCTAAACCCCTGGGTAAATTCCCGAGCAGTCAGAATCATTGGCATTGCTGAGGATTCACTGTGGCCCAGCGTATTCGTCTTGATAACCCCCTACAGGGTAAGTACAAACATCATCTTCACTTCCACCAGCACAGGAGCAGAGGCTTAGTGAAGTTCCCTACCTTACCCAAGGTCACACAGTTAATCGCTGGCAGTGCAGGGACTTGAACCTCTGCCACCCACTTCTACCACAGTGCCTGGTACGTATTAGCGCTCAGTTGATTCGTTTTGACGGCTTGTTAACTTAATACCAAGCTGTGTGCGTTGGCCTTTCCATCTAAAATGAGAGAAGTTATACTAATACTTATCATCAGGGGTTCTGTGGAGAATCAGTGCAATCCTGCACGTAAATTGCCTTTGAAACCGGGAAAGCTCCGTAGAAAAGCCAACCATTGTCATAATTTTTCCTGACCCCTGCCTCCCTTTGCCTGAGGCTGATCAAGGGACTGCAAGAGAGGGCGGACAAGGAGTGTGAGGTGATACAGTTCTGAGTTCTAGTCTGATGTGAGCTCCTTAACACTGTGTCCTTGCCTGCACGAGGAGGGTATGGAGTGAAACGTGTGCAGCGTCTTGCATTCCCGCGATTGTACAAGTGAGGAACCATGACTCCTCTCAGGGCACTGACAACAGGAGCCGGTCTCCAGCCCTCAGTTCTGACAGATGGGTCAAGTTGGCCTCCTTCCCAAGCACTGGTTTGGATTCTTTCAGCTTCTACTTTTTCAGTTGGATCTCATTTAGTTGTTGTCATTTCATGCGTTCACCTCGAGGCCCTGGGCACCTCACACACCTTAAACACTTCAGGCATAAAGCATACAAAAATAAATTCTGCTTCAATCTTTCCACATGGTGGAAAACCGGCCACTTATATTAATAATAGAACCCTGATGTGTCCATCTAAAACCCTCTGAAGACCACCTCATGGGGAAAACAAAACAAAACCGCCACAGTTCCACCGGTTCAAGAGTGAGGAGAGCAGGAAGGAGAGAAAGAAAAAGAAAGGGAAGCGGGGAGGGGAAACAAGAAAGAAAAAGAAAAGAGAAAATGCACAACATTCTTTTTCTTCCTCATTCATTATCCTGCTGTGTTAACTTCAAATAATTTTGAGGACATTTTACCATAAATATTGAGCCAAGTTCCATGTATCTTATAGAACAATCAGGGAAAAACAGAACATTTATTTCTGAGCACCTGGAAGGCCATTGAGCACCAGACATTGTTCATGATGGGGTGCTCAATGCAGTTTGCTTTATTTTCCTTTGTTCCCACATGTTCTAAAGTTTAGATTCAATTGAATTCAAGGGGACAATGGTCAGATAACAGAAAACCAAAAAAAAAAAAATCGGTTTCCATTTTCCTTCAGTGAAATGGGAATGTAAACAAACCAAGGTCCATGCATTCTTGAGATCACTCAGGACTCCTGGCCTCAATCTGTCTGCAGGACCTGCATGTGCCTCATCTCCGCTGGAACCACCAACAGGAAACGCGGCTCAGCTGACCCCCAATGCCAACCCACACCGTTACCCTGAGACAGCTCCATTCACAGATCCAGCCCCCAGTCCCTGGCTGGATTCCTGGAAAAAACAATGGAACCAGTGCCTGTCGCTGACATGGAGGACGAACGGGTGGGGAGGTGGGGGAAAAGAAAGCAGTGGACACTGTCACACCCAGTGCCAGAGGGAGATCCTGGTGTGGGCGCAGCCCCCTGCGGGGCTAGGTGGGCAGAAGTGGCAGGTGGCACCTATACCTCCTCTTCCAATAACCCAGGTGGAGATGGAACTCCAGGTTTTAACGTGGCCCCTCCCAAGGGGCCCACATTTAAACCACTGCACAAGCCAACACTGTGTGGGCAACGGACACGTCCGCAGAGGGTGAGCCCAAGGGGCTCTTGCTTTCTTCCTCTGAATGAGCTTGCAGTCTGCAGGGTGCCTTCCTCTACCCCCACTGCCTCCCCACTGCCAAGCCAAGCGTCGGTGGCCACGTAGGACCTTATGAGTGGCTCGCTTTATTACTTCATGGTGTCTGCCTGGTACCTATAGATATATGAGTTTATAAGCGCAGGCTTAGATCCATCTCACACCTCCCTTTAAAAATAGGGGGTCTTAGCTCAGGGAGACGGACGTCCACAGAGCGAGGCTGCCACTCACTGCTCTGTCTCTAGGCTCACGTCCACACCTGGTGTCTGCACTGTGCTGACAGATAAATATATTCACTATAAACCCTGGAAACAAATTAGGATGCCACATTTTAAGGTCCCTGTATTTATTATCTCTTTCTATGAAACAAATTACCCCCAAATTTAAGGGCTTAGAAAACAAACATTTATTATCTCAGTTTCTGCAGATCGGCCAGGGAGCACAACTTACCTGCGTTCTCTCACTCAAGGCCTTTCGTGGGGTGTCATTCAGAGCGTCGGCTGGGTCTGGGGCTGGGGCTGGGGCCCTCTCCAGGCCCGACTCGGGAGGATGGCGTCCAGGCTTACACAGGGGGCGCTGGCAGGTCTTAGGTTCTGGGTTCCATGCCTCATGGGCTTCTCCACGGGGCAGCTCACGGGGGGGGAGCCTGTTGCCCCAGAGTGAGAGATTTGCAGAGAGTGAGGGACGGAGAGCCCCATGAAGTCACAGTTGTTTTATAACAACCTCAGAGGCCACATCTTTTCCATATTCCATTTGGTAAAAGTGAGTCTTCAGGTCTCACCCACACTCAAGAGGAGGGGGTGTCACCAGGAGGCGGGGTTCTTGGGAGCCAATGGCAGGCCTGGACCACAGTCCCTTTAGCTTCCCAGGCAACAGGAGACACGCACAGCAGGGGCAGTGCAGGGCGCCTGTGAGAGTCCCCAAGAGCAGTTCCTAGGCACACGCTGTCCTGGCACGACTGTTGAGGACCCCTCTACTCTCAGAGCTGCCTGATGAGATCCCATTGCAGTGTTTTCCGAAGGAAGGAGCTCAACTCCCCTTTCTCACAGCGTCTGTCGCTTACTCTCCCAGGCAGCACAGTCACTGCCCTGGGTCCGGCAATGCCCCATTCCAGCACCAGCCGCCTTTCCTTCCTGGTCTTAGTAGTACCCTTATTTTCTACTATTTAAACATTTTCTTACTTTAAAAAAATCTTCATGTGGCCGGGCGCTGTGGCTCACGCCTGTAATCCCAGCACTTTGGGAGGCCAAGGCGGGCAGATCACGAGGTCAGGAGATCGAGACCATCCTGGCTAACACGGTGAAACCCCGTCTCTACTAAAAATACAAAAAATTAGCCGGGCGTGGTGGCGGGCGCCTGTAGTCCCAGACACTCGGGAGGCTGAGGCCGGAGAATGGCCGGAACCTGGGAGGCGGAGCTTGAGGTGAGCAGAGATCGTGCCACTGCACTCCAGCCTGGGCGACAGAGCAAGACTCCGTCTCAAAAAAAAAAAAAAAAAAAAAAAAATCATCATGTGATTAGCACCACAGTTTTCTATGTCCCAGTGTAAATGGATGGGATTATACAGAGGGCAAATACTAGCTATATAGTTGCTTATAAATATTTGTGTAGATATTTTGTATATTATGAGACAATAGCATTATCTTTTATCATGTTTATTTACCATAATCAGTATATGGATGGCACCGTGAAAAGCTTTCTAAAAACCCTTCAACCTTCTCAAATTTTTGCATGTAAAAATGAACATGCCATGAATGGAACCTTTTGCATTTGCTCTCTGAATGGTCTCTCAAACACAAGGGTGAAACAATTAGCAAAAAAAAAAAAAAAAAAAGGAAAGTCATCTTAATGGAAAAAAATGCTTCTGTTATCTGAATCATATTACTATTATTTGAGTCTGTTTTTGGAGGAACTGCCTATTTGGTTTTTTTTCATAAACATTTCCTAAGGACAAAAGTATTTCTGAACATATGGGCCATGTCTCTGTTTTGGATGTAAAAACTTCTGGCATTTCGCTGACTTCATTTCATTCTGAGTCACTCTCTCATTTGCTATAAACATCAGGATATTTTGATCAATTAGGAATAGCTGAGATACTTTGAGCCTAACACTACTATCACTCTGTTTCCTAAATGGGTGACTGCCCAATGTGCTGTTTTCCTAATTATTTTTAAATTTGTATTTTCTGTTTATTTAGTGACTGAAACAGATGGTCTGAGTGGAGTTTTTGTTAAACTCCAAATAAATGCTGCCCAGCCCAGTGTTCAACGTCGGCGAAAGACCAGCTGGCCAGGCCCTAAGAAGTCCTGCACTGGGTTGCCTTGGTGGCCTTGTCAGGTCATGTCTACGAGAGGCCCATGAGTTTGAGTGATAAATAATCTTTCAAGATTTTGCTCACCTTAACTCAGATCTGCTGTGCCTGGAATTGTGCAACTCAGTGGTCCTACGAGAGTGTGCTTGGTCAAAGACACCCCCAACAAGCAAACAACACAACACACACACACACACACACACACACACATTCCATACACACATCCCTCACGACACACCCACACACATCCCTCACAGAAACACACATCACACACCCCACAAACACATCTCTTACAGACACACACCACACACCCACACACCTCATATGCACCCCACACATACCACACACCCCACACACCACACATACCCCCAATACACCACATACCCCACACACAACACACCACACAACACACACACATCCCTCACAGACACACAGACATCACACACCCCACAAACACATCCCTTACAGACACACACCACACACCCAGACACCTCATATGCACCCCCACACACCACACACCCCACACATACCACACACCCGCCACACACAACAACCCCACATACACATCCCTTACAGACACACCACATGCACATACCCCCACACAACATACACACTTCCCACACACACAACACACACACATGCCTCACAGAAACACACATTACACACCCCACATACACATCCCTTACAGACACACATCACACACCCCACACACCTCATATGCACCCCACACACACCCCACACCCACACAAAACACACATCACACCCCACACACACAACACACCACACAACACACACACATCCCTCACAGAAACACACATCACATACCCCTCATACACATGTCTTACAGACACACAACCCACACTTCATATATACCACACACACACCACACGCCCCCCACACACTACACCACACAACATACACACATCCCTAACAGACACACAGACATCACACATCCCACATATACACCCCTTACAGACACATACACCACATAGCGTGTACCACGCATGCACCCCACACATAACATACACACCACACACTCCCCCACACTACACCACACACACCCCCACACTACACCACACACACCTCACATGCACCCCACACACCACACACCCACACACACATCCCTCACAGAAACACACACATCACACACCCCACATACACATCCCTTACAGATACCACACACACCTCATATGCATTCCAGACACCCCACACACCCCACAAACCCCACACGCCACACACCATATACACACACATCCCTCAGAGAAATACACACATCACACACCCCACATACACATCCCTTACACACACCACACACTATACAAATACACTACACACACATACATACACTGCACACATACCACAAACATCCACACATACCACAAACATCACACACAACACACACACACACACCATGCACATACACACCATACACACTTTTTTCATGTGAAATTGAAAATGATCCAATACTGATAAGAACACGGTGATGCAGTGACCAAGACCAGCAATGTCACTCCTCTCATGAAACTGAAATTCTGGTGAGAGAGGTGGGTGGAGACTACCTTAAGAGCAGGATGGTTTTCCTGAAAAGGTGATTTCAGGCAGAAACTTGTGCATTGTGAGGGAACAAGCCAACAACCCCCGGAGGAAACGGGATTCCAGGCAGAGCACGTGCTAAGCCTGTGGTGGTAGCCGGCCTGGTCCACTGTTTGAGCAGCAGAACCCTCCTTGGGTTGCTGCATCGTTTCTGCAGACCAAGAAAACAAGAGATGGTGTGGAATGCATCTCCCGCCTGGTCCCTGAGGACCTCAGACCCACTGCAGTCCAACCCTCAAGACCTCAAGGCTGAGGCTTCCAAAATGGAGGGTGGCCAGATGGATTTTTTTTTTTAAGACAGAGTCTCACTCTGTTGCCAGGCTGGAGTGTAGTGGTGCAAACTCAGCTCACTGCAACTTTGCCTCCGGGGTTCAAGCAATTCTCTGCCTCAACTTCCTCAGTAGCTGGAATTACAGGCGCCGGCCACCACACCCGGCTAATTTTTTGTATTTTTAATAGAGACGGGGTTTCACCATCTTGGCTAGGCTGGTCTTGAACTCCTGACCTCGTGATCCACTCGCCTCAGCCTTCCAAAGAGCTGGGATTACAGGCGTGAGCCATCGTGCCTGGCTGCCAGTTGAAATCTTATGCTCTAAATCAGTAGGCTTGCCATTCTCTCCAGCTTCACTTCAGTGGTCGGGTTGTGACTAAGCAGTCTCCGGCACCAAAGCCTGCTGCCCTCCCCTCCAAACCCCATCCCTCCCCAAGCCCAGTGCACCTTCCTGCAGCAGCAGCCCGGCGGGAGCCTGGGAGCTGAGCTTGTGAAGGGCGTTGTCCCCAGGGGAGAACAGCCGGCATCTCCAGAGACCCAAACCATCAGGTCAAGCCTCACTTTCTCGGATTCCTTGAATCCTCCACCAACTGAATTCCATAATTTAGAAGGGTGCACTAGGGCTCCCCAGCCTTGGCAAGATGGACATTTTAGACCAGAGGATTCTCTGATGTGGGAGCAGTCTGGGCATTGCGGGGGTGTCCCAGCACTCCTGGCCTCCAGCCCCTAGATAGCATTAGGTTCTGTCCCACTCGTGACATTCAAATATGTCTCCATACACTGTCAAATATCCCCCGGGGCCACAACCCTCCATGGGGCCTCATGCCCTATCCAGATTCCAAGCCATTCTTGTCCCATAGAGACCTCCTTGGGTGACCCAAGATCTGGAGCCACAGCTCCCTATGGAGGGGTGTGGCCCCTGGACCCCTTGCCTGGGGCGTGTTCGAATTCAGTCTGTTTTCATCCTGAAATCCAAACTGATGTCTGAGTTTTCTGTTTTATTTGCATACTACTGATGTTAACTTGGAATAGTTCACAGACTCTGAATCACAGTTTGTTTATCTGCAAAGTAAGTAGAAAATTACCTTTCTTAGGAGTACCTTGTGAGGATTAAATAAGAAAATGCATGTAAAGTGCCTGACACATGGTAATTTGTCAATATAGTCGAGTTTCTTTCTTATTTTTTTTTAACCACAGGTTGCATAGCTACTTAGAGTATCAGAACTAGAATCTGGTCTCTTAGCTCTACGGCTTCTCTCTGAGTGTCCTCTGGGACTATGTTTTTCTACAGTATTTTCAGAATACCCATAACCAGTAGGTTGCTTCCCGCTTGCAACGCTTGAAAGGGGGTCGTGTCTGAATGGGAGGGAGGGCATGGAAACGTCAGGGAGAAATTCACATGGGTCCTTCTGCTTCTTTATCTCCCTCCTGACACAGCTCTGAATGGATCATGAAGAGGCAAACTGGGGGGAACATTTTACACAGGGAAGAGAAAAACTCCTAAAGAAAATTGTTAACTTTCCAAAAGATTCATCAGCTTTTTATATTTTGTGATCATCTTCTTGACTTTATGGACATCTGAATCAAGAGTATTCAGAGTTTGACAAAGACACATCAAAAGAGGTGAAGTGAGGCTCAGAGGTTCAAGCTCCCTCTAGAAACACGGCTTCATTTCCTGAGGGCAGAAATTTCGCAGGAACCTTTGCCTAGGCTCTGACAGCAAAGAAAGCGTTAAAATCCACGGGTGCAGTCTGTAATGACAGAAAATTATCTGTATAAGTCAGTGGCCAGCAGTTGAAGAAGTATCCTGGGAATAAAAGTATGGTTAAGCTTTTCCAAATGGCGGTCCCCCAAGAGGCTCATCCACCTAAATCCAAAAGGCCTTTCTGAGGTCCCTTGTTGACTGTGGCTTAGCACATTACCCCTAAAAGTGTCAGCTGGTTGAGAATACCACTCCTTCTTATGGTGATCTCACTTCACTTTCTTTGAATCAGGCAACCTCCCACCATTACCGAAGTAGCCATTAGAGGTAATAAAAACCAATGGAAGGATTTCAGAAGGATTCAGAATTAAGTATCAGCCTTTGATATTTTTGGCACTTACCTGATGTCACCAAGTAACCAGCCCAAAGGTGGGATGCCAGCTCACCCCACTGGGTCTCCTTGTCAAAGTGCAGATCAGTCTGCTGCCTTGCTTGTTAGGCCATATGCTCCCCCTTTGTCTGGGGAAGATGACTCACTACAAACTGTAAGAAGACACACTCCATGCTTTCATCCTCCCCTTGAGCCAAATGGCATGCTTTGTAAATGCGTGGCATCACTTAACAAGCACTTTTTAATGATGCTACTATTAGCTCTTTTTCCTTTTTGGAACAATTTCACAGGACCAAAATATAGATTAATTAAAATAGGTTCTAACACACAACACCTCTGTTTTGTCCAGTTGAGTATGGAGACCGTTATCAACAGTAATACTGAGATTTATATACAATTTTCCATACACATAGAATACGTTGGAATGGCAAGCAAACGGGAAAACTCAATGGGATCTCATCTCACATTTTTGTTACTGTTATTAGCATTTGCAGAGAAGAAAAAGACTTTCCTTCTAACCTCCTAGGTAGAAGACTGACAACAGGTAGATTAACAGGAGAGAGTCATATAAACTTGTTAGTTTTTAGTATTATTTGCACAGGGTCATCATAGGAAAAAAGGTGAATACCCAAAAAAGCCATGAGATTTGAGAGTTTATATATACAGAACTGAGATATAGAGAGATGGTCACCAACTAGAAAGTATCAGAATGGGAATTTAAATCTCATGTGAAGGACACAAAGTCCCTTCCCAAACACCAGCTCTCCTGAGGCTCGCTCCACTCCTAACTCCACCCATGTGCTGAAATTCCATGCTGAACTTTTTAAAAAATTAAAACCTGTGGAAAATTCTATGGGAAATTGAAATTAAATTCTATGGGAAATTGAAATTTCTTTTTTTTTTTCAAGACACAGTCTTACTCTGTCACCCAGGCTGGAGTGCAATGGTGTGATCTCAGCTCACTGCAACCTCTACCTCCCAGGCTCAAGTGATCCTCCTGCCTCAGCCTCCCGAGTAGATGGGACTGCAGGTGCACACCACCACACCTGGCTAATTTTTTGTATTTTTGGTAGAGATGGGGTTTCACCATGTCACCCAGGCTAGTCTTGAACTCCTGAGTTCAAGTGATCGCCCACCTAAGCCTCCCAAACTGCCAGGATGACAGACGTGAGCCACTGCACCCAGCCAGGAAATTAAAATTTCTTAACTGTCAAATCTGAAATATGCAGACATAATACTTTCTAATTCTTTAACTTTCCTATGTTTGAAAATGGAATCTAAGAAGACACCCTCTCCCCATAAACACACACACACACACACATACACACACACACATTCACTTGCTCTATGGCAGTGAAAAAAAATTGTGGTAAGGGAAAGCAGAAAGTTCATTCCGTTATTTTTCTCAGTCCTGAAGTTGTATTCACACAAGTGTGCACGACTGTGTAGGATTATTGCTGGATGCATTAATACAAATGTATTCAGTCGCCAGGTTTGGATAGCCAGAGATCAATGTCATCTAAAGTATCTGATTCCAGAGTTTCAGACAGCATGTAGTGAGAGTTTTGGACAGCAGAGAATTGATCCAAAATGGTATCTAAATCTGTTTGTCCTCTGAGTTAGGACAGTAAGAACTGGGCTGGTGAGAGAGCCGTAGTGAAGAACGCATATATGCATGGCCTGTTGTCTGTGCGTAAGTTTCACCAAGACCATGTGTTTTCACCCTTTCTCGTTTGTCTGTTTAAGCAGGGAGACTGATCTCCAAATTAAATCATACAGACAGGCTCCCAAAGATGAAAGCGATCAAGGTGAAGCAGCTCCAGCTCAATAGGTATTTTGGATACCAGCGCTTCTCCTGGAAGCCCTTTGTGAAATCTTTGGAGGTCCAAGTGATAAAGTTTGGAAGCCACATGCCATCTTTGGCTGTGCAAATGCAAGGCTCTGCACTGACACCAGAACTAAGGAAACAATAATGATATTATTAGCTCTGCGCTAAAGCCTCAGAGGAAGGAGGCATCCTGTAAAGAGCAACTGATGAGTAAAAGCAAGAGAGAGGGAGAGAGCGCCAGATGTGTGAGCTGATCTAAATTGTCTTCTTTCATGCCTGGAATAAAAGTTGATCTTATATTTTAAATTTTGCTTTTAACGGATAATGTCTACAGCACAAATTATAGGAAGGCAAAAACATGAAGGATTATAGGGATACAATATGTTAAATGTAATTTTCAAAGGCCTTTGTGAGGAATTACAGTAAATTTCTCTGAAGACAAAGTGACTTTGAAGTCAAGGGTGCTGTGTGGCCGTCTGTTCTGTAATGCCAGGGGCAGAGCTATCATTATGCTGTCAGCAAGAATGCCTTAGGAGCACTCTTTTCTATATGTGTCTTCTACCTATTCATAGAAAATTCTGCCTCCAAAATACTCTAATAAGTTGCTAAAACTAATAAAGAGGGTCATTATGCACTTTGAAAAGTCATGCTGTTATACAGCCCAGAAGTCTTTTACTACATAAATGAAACACATTCTAGACCTTTTCTTTTCTGTTTTTTATAAATTATTTTTCCTACTTTTTCAGGCAAGAGCTCAGAATGAAATATCTCCATCTCTGAAAAGTAGTAAAGAGAAATGTTCCTCTGACTCTTCAAACAGAGACACCAGACAGCCCAGATTTTCAGAGACAACCCACCTTGTCCAATATTTTACACAGTTATCAGATCATACATTCCTATCTAGGATTCAGAAAAGATGTTTGCTGTAACATTTTAGATGTAGTAGAGGAGAAGGTTGAGGAGGTCAGGAGAGAAGACGTTTCAAGTCCCAGTATAGAAAACGCCAGTCCTACTGCTCACCCTAAGCATTCAGCGAATGCTACGCAGGTTTGCACAGAGCCTCTAGCACTGCGCCAAGCATCACGGGTACCAAGGTGGATCCAGCACAATCTCCATCCTTGGCTTGCTCCAGCGGCATCCTCACCGGCCCTGCTACCGCTCACTTTGCCCTTATGACCACCTCTCCACCGCAATAGGAGTGATGGTTCTAGATGCACACTGACCACGTCCCGCCCCTTCTCCTAAAGGCGGTCTCTTCCCTCCTGAGCATCGCAGAGATCCCCTTTATGACTTGGCCCCACCCACCTTCCTCCCTTGCACCCTGCACTGCAGCAGAACTGGAACCCCCGGAGACCCGCACTTGGACACCATAGGCATTCATAAATGTGACTTCATTCGCCTGCAATGTCCTTGTGCCCCTTGCCATCTGCCAAATCTACTCTCACTCTTCAGGGCTCTGCTAACCTCCTCAGAGGCTCTCCTATGCAGTTTATCCCTCTGCTCCCCAGCGTCCGGGTCAGCAGCCTGCTAAGATGTGACTCATTATACTGGATGCCTACCTCTACCAAATGATTCATCTCACCATATTTTAATCATCTGGGATTTGGGGAGGGTTAATTACAAACTTTATTTTTGAAAGGTTTCTACTTTACAAAAAAATTCAGTGGAAAGTAGAAAGAGTTCCCATATACTCATCACCCCCCAACCACCACCAGCACCAATTCTTCCCATGATTAATATCTTGCATTAGTGTGATATATTCGCTATAATTGAGGAGCCAATATTGATACATTATTATTAACTAAAGTCCATAGTTTACATTAGAGTTCACTCTTGGTGTAGTACCTTCTACGGGTTTCAACTAGTGTAAGGATGTAATGTGTCTATCATGATAGTGTCATGTAGAATAGTTTCACTGCCCTGAAGATCCTCTGTGCTCCACCTACGCATCTCTCTCTCTTCCAAACCCCTGGACACCACTGATCTTTTTACTAGCTCCATAGTTTTAGCTTTTCCAGAATGTTACGTACTTAGAATTATACAGTATTTATCTCTGGCCTTTTAAGATTGGCTTCTTTCACTTAGTAATATGCATTTACATTTCCTTCATGTAGCTCAGTTCTGTTTATCACCGAGTAGAACTCCATTGCCTGATATACCGCAGTTTATTTATCTATTCACCTACTGAAAGACTTATTGGGTTGCTTCCAAGCTTTAGCAATTGTGAATACAGCTGCCTTAAATATCCATCTGCAGGTTTTTGTGTAGATATAAGTTTTCAACTGATTTGGATAAACACCAATGAGTATGACTGCCCACGTTAGTCAGTTTGGGCTGCTATAAACAGAATACCATAGACCGGGTGGCTTCTAAACAACACAAATGTATTTCTTACAGTTCTAGAAGCTAAAAGTCCAAGGTGTGGCAGATTCGGTGTTTGGTGAGGGCCTGCTCATATCAAAAGGATGAGCCTTTTTTATGTTTACTTTGAAATGTTTATTAGTTTACATTGAAATCATTTTAAAATATAAATAATTGTTTATTTTTGAGATCATCTATTTTATCAGCTTTTTTTCTTTTTCATATATTTTATTTTATTTTATTTTAAGTTCCAAGATACATGTGCAGGATGTGCAGGTTTGTTACATAGGTAAAAGTGTGCCATGGTGGTTTGCTGCACCTGTCAACCCATCACCTAGGTTTTAAGCTCCACATGCATTAGCTATTTATCCTGATGCTCTCCCTCCTCCAGCCCCCAAACAGGCTCCGGTTTGTGATGTTCCCCTCCCTGTGTCCACGTGTTCTCATTGTTCAGCTTCCACTTATGAGTGAGAACATGCAGTGTTTGGTTTTCTGTTCCTTGTTAGTTTGCTGAGGATAAACGCTTCCAGCTTCATCCATGTACCTGCAAAGGACATGATCTCGTTCCTTTTTATGGCTGTGTAGTATTCCATGGTGGATATGTACCACATTTTCTTTATCCAGTCAATCACTGATGGGTATTTGGGTTGATTCCATGTCTTTGCTATTGTGAATAGTGCTGCAGTGAACATATGCATGCATGTATCTTTATAACAGAATGATTTATATTCCTTTGGGTATATACCCAGTAATGGGATCGCTGGGTCAGATGGTATTTCTGCCTCTAGGTCTTTGAGGAATCGCCACACTGTTTTCCACAGTGGTTGAACTAATTTACATTCTCACCAACAGTGTAAAAGTGTTCCTATTTCTCCCAAACCTCACAAGCACCTGTTGTTTCTTGACTTTAATAATCACCATTCTGACAGGTGTGAGATGGTATATCATTGTGGTTTTGATTTGCATTTCTCTAATGATCAGTGATGTTGAGCTTTTTATCAGATGTTTGTTGGCCACATAAATGTCTTCTTTTGAGAAGTGTCTGTTCATGTCCTTTGCCCACTTTTTGATGGGGTTGTTTGTTTTTTCTTGTAAATTTATTTAAGTTCCTTGTAGATTCTGGATATTAGACCTTTGCCAGATGGATATATTGCAAAAATTTTCTCCCATTCCGTAGGTTATCTGTTCACTCTGACAACAGTTTCTTTTGCTGTGCAGAAGCTCTTTAATTTAATTAGGTCCCATTTGTCAATTTTGCTTGTGTTGCCATTGCCTTTGATATATTTGTCATGAAATATTTTCCCATGCCTATGTCTTAAATTGTATTGCCCAGATTTTCTTCTAGGGTTTTTATAGTTTTTGGTTTTACATTTAAGTCTTTAATCCAGCTTGAGTTAATTTTTGTATAAGGTATAAGGAAGGGATTCAGTTTCAATTTTTTTTTTTTTTGAGATGGAGTCTCACTCTGTTGCCCAGGCTGGAGTGCAGTGGCACGATCTCAGCTCACTGCAAGCTCCACCTCCCAGGTTCACGCCATTCTCCTGCCTCAGCCTCCCGAGTAGCTGGGACTACAGCCACCCACCACCACACTGGTCTAATTTTTTTTTTTTTTTGTATGTTTACTACAGACGGGGTTTCACTGTGTTAGCCAGGATGGTCTGGATCTCCTGACCTCGTGATCCACCCACCTCAGCCTCCCAAAGTGCTGGGATTACAGGCCTGAGCCATCGTGCCTGGCTGGGATTCAGTTTCAATTTTTTGCACATGGCTAGCCAGTATTCCCAGCACCATTTATTAAATAGGGTATCCTTTCTGCATTTCTTGTTTTTGTGAGGTTTGCCAAAGATCAAATGTTTGTAGATGTGTGGTCTGATTTCTGAGATCTCTATTCTGTTCCATTGGTCTGTGTGTCTATTTGGGTATCAGTACCATGCTGTTTTGGTTACTGTAGCCTTGTAATATAGTTTGAAGTTGGATAGCATGATGCCTCCAGCTTTGTTCTTTTTGCTTAGGATTTAGACCCCCTTTTATAATGAAGACTTCATCAGTGAGTCTCACCCTCATGACCTAATCACATCCCAACACCATCACCTTGGGAGTTAGGTTTCCATATATCAATTCTGGGGGGACACATTCAATCTATAGCAGTAAGAGTGTGTTTAGTTTTGAAAGAAACTGCCAAACTGTCTGTCAGAGTGGCTACACAATTTTTGCATTCCCCCCAACAAAGAATGAGAGTTTCTGTTGTTGCCAGCATTTGGTGCTCTCAGTGTTTTAGATGTTGGTCATTCTAATAGGTGTGTAGTGGCATCTCCTTATTTTAATTTGCAGTTCCCTAATGATCTATGGTGTGGAGCACATTTTCCTATGCTTATTTGCCATCTGTGTATTTTCTTTGGTGAGGTATTTGTTCAGATCTTTTGCCCACTTTTTAATTGAGTTGTTTGCTTTCTACTTGTTGAGTTTTGAGAATTGCTTGTATATTTTGATACCAGTCTTTTATCAGGCATGAATTTTACAAATATTTTCTCCCAGTGTGTGGCTTGTCTTTTCATCCTCTTGATTTTGTTATGTTTTTAGTCTATCTCAAGCACCAGGATGAAGGCTCCCAGGCTCTGTCCCATTTGTCTTGGTATATTCCGCCTCCCCCAAATTCTGGCATGTCAGTACCATCCCCAGATAGCATCAGTACAATCTAGTGATACAACAGGGCCTAGTTCATTGCTTACCACTGCAGGGGAGGACACCACCCCATCGGGGCTTCAGAACTGTCTCAGAAAGAGAAAAGCAAGGTCAGATTTCATTGGCATTTTGAAGGTGTTTTAAGGTTGCTCTTTCAGTACAGGTGGTTGATTAGGAATGGATAAGGATTATAACCAAATAGTTTATGATTGGTGGAAGCAGCAAGACAAAGGTTTGGAGTTGAGGGGAACGTTTTCTAGGGAAGAGCTGATGGTTGTTCTGGAAGTTCCTGTAATAAACAATAAAGCTATTCACCTAGGTGAGGCTTCCAGTAACAGCAACGTCATGTTAATGAAGACAACGCAATGGTAGTCTTGTTAATGCAGACTGTGCACTGTGCTTGGTACATAGCCGTGGTTCTAGTCAGTGTTTGGTGTATGTGGTGAGGGATGTAGGCAGGCAGAGAAACCACCATTGAGTCTCAGTGGACCACTTCTTATGGACCCAGTTCATTGGCTCTGATAACCTCGTCTTCCAAAGTTCTGCTTTCTTAGAAAGAAAATGCTGTTCAGCAAGAACATTCCAGAAAGATTCATGGGACATTTATTAATTGGCCCCAGGTCCTTCTTACCCCTAGATGACTGTGTCTGCCTTCTTCTCTATTAACTGCTAACTATAAAAGGAATCGATAAAAACCACTCAGGCTTAGATTAAAACCACAGAATTCAGCGTTTAACATCTTGCTGCACCCCCATTACATTCCCAGGATTACTCTCCTGTGTGAAGTCCCTGAGGATTGGGAGGTGTTAAACTACGCCTGAAGGTGCTTCACATGGATTGCAATCATGGGGTGCAATCACAAAGCCTCTGATAGAGAGGAGAAGATGATCTGTGGGGGAAGGTCTTCCATGTAATTTTCCTGTAGAGAATTTCTCACTAGTTTGAATTCTCTTATGATTACAGAAGTATGAGTTATGTCTGAGGCTTTTCCACATTCCTTAAATATAGAGTTTGTTTTTTTAATAATGAATCTTCTTATATTCAGTGTGAGATGTGCCTCCATTGGCAATTTCCCCACAGCCATTTTTGGCATGGCCATCCCTGCTATGAGATGGCTGGCATGTCTTCGGATGCCGCCCCATCTACCTCCCTAGCCTCACTGTCTCCCCTCCGGCCTGGATCACCCAGCTCTAGCAAACACTGGAATCCTTTCTATTGCTCAGACATCCCAGGCCCATTCCCTTCTCAGGAACTCTAGACATGAGCATCATTTAGTTCTCATTCAATGTCACCACCCTTGACCACCCAAGTGACAGCAGACACCATTCATCTCTTAAGTCACTCCCCAGCTCATGGCCCTATATTAGGTTGGCCATAGCACTTCTCAATATCTGAAATTATACTGCATCATACATTTTTGTATAGATGTATTGTCTGTTCCTGCCCAGTTAAAAATGAAAGTTCTCTTAAGGCAGGGACATCGTCTTGTTCACGCCTGTATCCCTAGTCTTAGAGGAGTGACTGGCATATGGATGCACTCGTTATTTATTTAATGATTGAATACAGAAGTCTGGACTAAAACATTCTTCGCATTCATTATTTCTCTCCTGCTTGATTCCTTTAATGTTCAGGAAGGATTGTGCCACAGCATAAAGCTTTTAGGTACTGCTTTTATATGGCGCATCTTTCCATTATGAATGTTATGATGGAAAACAAGAGCTAATGTATGCCTGAAGGCTTTCTCATTGACATTAGACTTCCAGCATGTGCTCTCAGTATCAATATGTGATGTTGAATAAGGCATGAGAAAGACTTCCCAGATCTCAGTCCCTCTCGCCTTGAGTCTCTCCTATGTATTTCCATTACAGCTTATGTATTTCTCTATGGGGGTCTTTATCAAATTAACATAATTGTGTCTCTCCAGATGACTGCTGACTATTCAAGAGCAGAGACTCCTCTGCCTATTTTTTCTTTTTATCTTTAGCACTTGCAGATATTTTCTTTTCTTTTCTTTTCTTTTTTTTTTTGATGGAGTTTCGCTCAGGCTGGAGTGCAGTGGCACAATCTCGGCTCACTGCAAGCTCCGCCTCCTGGGTTCACGCCATTCTCCTGCCTCAGCCTCCCGAGTAGCTGGGACTACAGGCGCCCACCACCACGCCTGGCTAATTTTTGTGTTTTTAGTAGAGACGGGGTTTCACCATATTGGCCAGGCTGGTCTCGAGCTCCTGACCTCAGGTAATCCACCTGCTTTGGCCTCCCAAAGTGCTGGGATTACAAGCATGAGCCACTGTGCCCGGCCAGCACTTGCAAGTATTTTCTACATAATAGAAGCTCAACAAATGTTTGTTAAATTAATAAATAAAGGCTTTCTCCACTATTTTTTCTGATGACTTTAAAGATAAGATTTTTTTAAGACAAAAAAATAACAAATGCTGGTGAGCCTGCAGAGAAAAAGGAATGCTTATAAACTGCTAGTAGGAATGTAAATTAGTTCAGTCACTTTGGAAAGCAATTTGGAGATTTATCAAAGAACTAAGAAAAGAACTACCATTTGACTGAGCAATTTCACTATTGGGTATATACCCAAAGGAAAACAAATCACTCTACAAAAAAGACGCCTGCACCAGTATGTTTATTGCAGCACTATTCACAATAGCAAAGACATGGGATCAACCTAGCTGTCCATCAACAGTGGGTTGAATAAAGAAAATGTGGTCCATATACACCATGGAATACTACACAGCCAGAAAAAAGAATGAAATCATGTCCTCTGCAGCAACATTATGGAACTGGAGGTCATTATCCTAAGGGAATTAATGCAGGAACAGAAAACCAAATACCACATATTCTTACTTATAAATGAGAGCTAAACATTGGGTACATATGGACACAAAGATGGAAATAATAGATACCGGGGACTACCAGAGTGGAAAGAAGGGGAAGAGGGAAAGGGCAAAAAAAATACCTATCGAGTTCCATGCTCACTACCTGAGTGACGGGATCATTCATACCCCAAACCTCAGTGTCATGCAATACACCATTGTAACAAACCTGCACATGTGCCCCCTGAATCTAAAATAAAAGTTGAAATTATTTAAGAAAAAGAAAAAAAATAAAGATAAGATTGTTAAGTGAAGGTTTTCCCACATATACATAAATTTGTAGATTTTTCTCTCTATTGTAAAGTCTAAGATATTCAGTATAGCATGCACTGGTGTCAAGATAATTTGCCAAGTAAGTAGTTTGGTGCCAGATCCTTTCTTTTGCCTATAGCCTCTGTGGTCATTCTTAAGTCAGCAAATGGAATGCAAATGGAATAATTCACTAAGCAGTTTCACTTATGTTAAAAGCTAGACCAGAGAATTTTGCAACCCTAGCCCTCTGCCCTACCTCCATCAGCACTCCAATCCCAGTCAACATGAACAAGTACAATGTTTGAAGCCATCAGCCACTTAGAACACATTAGTTGTGGAGGGTCATTATTTTGGTTGCAATCTACAACTTCTTCTGCTGGAAAAGCTTCTGAGGCATATCACCTCTCAAGCACAATTCATGCCGACCGGGAAAATTCATAGCTGGCAGGGGATGGTCAGGGAGAAAGCCCCTTTTCTTAGAAATTTCATCTATTTTTATAGTTTGTCAAAGCTAGCATGGTGCTAACACTTAGCACTTTATATTGGCAATTCAGGATTTAAATTGTTTAAATTACGTATGCTATATTTCTCCTGTTTTGGAATCAAGGTTAAGACTAAGAGACTCCTTTACCTGCTGACCCACGTGGTGGTAACTTGAAATTACAGAGGAAAATAGAGCAGAACATTAACTGAGAGTTTGATTCCCTGTCCGTGAGACACCACAAAGTGGGCTTTTAAAAATAGGAAGTACCAGCTGGGTGTGGTGGCTTATGCCTGTAATCCCAGCACTTTGGGAGGCCAAGGCAGGTGGATGGCTTGAGGTCAGGAGTTCGAGACCAGCCTGGCCAACATGGAAAAACCTCCTCTCTACTAAAATTACAAAAATTAGCTGGGTGTGGTGATGGGCACCTGTAATCCCAGCTACTCGGGAGGCTGAGGCAGGAGAATTGCATGAACCCAGGAGGCAGAGGCTGCAGTAAGCCAAGATCATGCCACTGCACTCCAGCCTGGGCGACAGAGCAAGACTTTGTCGAAAAAAAAAAAGTGTGACTTAGCAACCCATTCAATCATCTAAAGAAAGTTGTCAAATGCTTACCATGTCACCCATACATCCGTTTTTAAATGTTTTCAGTAAATGTACCAGGTGCTGACTACCTTTAAATCATTTTATTTCTTAAATCTCTGTAAAGTGAAGGTGATTATTCACATTTTGCAAAGAATAAAACTGAAGTTCAATTAGGTAACATTTTCTAAATTACACAGCTAATAAGTAACAGGTAATTTATATACTGCCTCTACCATACAACCTACCTTCAAGAAAATAAAAGATAAGAAGGGAAAAGTAGCAAAGGGCAAAGGGAGCTAGTCCTGAAAGGGACTGAAAGGTGAATACTCAAGGAAGTGATTGCAGAGAATTAAGAAGCCAAACTGGACTGGCGTGGTGGCACACAGCTGTAATCCCAGCACTTTGGGAGTCTGAGATGGGCAGACAACTTGAGCCCAGGAGTGGGAGACCAGTCTGGGAAACATGGTGAATCTCCATCTCTATTAAAAATAGAAAAATTAGCTGGGCGTGGTGGCATGCTCCTGTAGTCCCAGCTACTCAGGAGGCTGAGATGGGAGGATCACCTGAACCTGGAGAGGTCAAGGCTGCAATGAGCCAGGAGCACACCACTGCACTCCAGCCTGGGCAACAGAGCAAGACCTTGTCTTAAAAAAAAAAAAAAAAAAAAAAAAAAAAGCCAAACTGTCTCTGAAGGGTGAAGTGTGCCCCAACGCTAAAAGATGCTATCAATGGACGAAAATGGACACTCATAAGGTGAATGTTATGAGGAATATATATAGGTGATATGGTTTGGCTCTGTGTCCCCACCAAATCTTATCTTGTAGCTCCCATAATTTTCACGTGTTGTGAGAGGGACCCGGTGGCAGATGATTGAATCATGGATGGGTCTTTCTCATGCTGTTCTGGTGATAGTGAATGGGTCTCACAAGATCTGATGGTTTTTTAAAATGGAAATTTCCATGCACAAGCTCTCTTTGCCTGCTGCCATCCACGTAAGATGCGACTTGCTCCTTCTTGCAAGTCACCGTAATTGTGAGGCCTCCCCAGCCATGTAAAACTGTGAGTCCAGTTAAACTTCTTTCTTTTGTAAATGTCCCAGTCTTGGGCATGTCTTTATTAGCAGCATGAAAACAGACGAATACAGTAAATTGGTACCAGTAGAATGGGGCACTGTTGAAAAGATACCCGAAAATGTGGAAGTGACTTTGGAATTGGGTAGCAGGCAGAGGTTGGAACAGTTTGGAGGGATCAGAAGAAGACAGGAAAATGTGGAAAAGTTAGGAAAGTCCTAGATACTTATTGAATGGCTTTGACAAAATGCTGATAATGATATGGACAATGAAATCCAGGCTGAGGTGGTCTCAAATGGAGATGAGGCATTTGCCGGGAACTGGAGCAAAGGCAGCTCTTGTAATGTTTTAGCAAAGAGACTGGCAGCATTTTGCCCCCACCCTAGATATTTGTGGAACTTTGAACTTGAGAGAAATGATTTAGGGTATCTGGCAGAAGAAAGTTCTAAGCAGCTAAGCATTCAAGAGGTGACTTGGGTGCTGTTAAAGGCATTTGGTTTTAAAATGGAAACAGCATAAAAGTTTGAAAAATTTACAGCCTGACAATGTGACAGAAAAAAAAAATCCCTTTTTCTGAGGAGAAATTCAAGCTGGCTGCATAAATTTGCATAAGGAACAAGGAGCCGAAGTGATTCACCAAGATAATGGGGAAAATGTCTTCAGGGCATGGCAGAGACCTTTGCAGCAGCCCGCCCCATCACGAGCCTGGAGGTTTAGGAGGAAAAAATGGTTTCATGGGCCGGGCCCAGGGTCCCTCTGCTGTATGCAGTTTAGGGACTTGATGCCCTGCGTCCCAGCCACTTCAGCCATGTCTAAAAGGGGCCAACACAGAGCTCAGCCCATGGCTTTAGAGAGTGTGAGCCTCAAGCCTTCACAGTTTCCACATGGTATTGAGCCTGCTAGTGAACAGAAGTCAAGTATTGGTTTGGGAACCTGCACCTAGATTTCAGAAGATGTATGGAAACGCCTGGATGCCCAGCAGAAGTTTGCTGTAGGGGCGGGGTCCTCATGGAGAACCTCTGCTAGGGCAGTGTAGAAAGGAAATGCGGGATGGGAAACCCCACATAGAGTTCCTGTGGGGGAACCACCTAGTGGAGCTGTGAGAAGATGGCCACCATCCTCCAGATCCCAGAATGGTAGCTCCACTGACAGCTTGCACTATGAACCTGGAAAAGCTGCAGACACTCAATGCCAGCCTGTGAAGGCAGCCAGGAGGGAGACCATACCCAGCAAAGCCACAGGGCAAAGCTGCCCAAGACTATGGGAACCTACCTCTTGCATCAGTGTGACCTGGATATGCAACATGGAGTCAAAGGAGATCATTTTGGAGCTTTAAGATTTGACTGCCCGCTGGATTTTGGACTTCTATGGGGCCAATAGCCCCTTTGTTTTGGCCAATTTCTCCCATTTGGAATGGCTGTATTTACCCAATGTCTGTACCCCCATTGTATCCAGGAGGTAACTAACATTGCTTTTGGTTTTACAGGCTCATAGGTGGAAGGGAATTGCCTTGTCTCTGACTAGACTTTGGACTGTGAACTTTTGAGTTAATGCTGAAATGAGTTGAGACTTTAGGGGACTGTTGGAAAGGCATGATTGGTTTTGAAATGTGAAGATATGAGATTTGGGAGGGGCCTGGGGTGGAATGATACGGCTTGGCTTTGTGTCCCCACCCTAATCTCATCTTGTAGCTCCCATAATTCCCATGTGTTGTGGGAGGGACCTGGGGGGAGATCATCTTTCCCTTGCTGTTCTTATGATAGTGAATGTGTCTCACCGGGATCTGATGGTTTTTAAAAACTGGAGTTTCCATGCACAAGCTCTTTTTGTCTGCCACCATCCATGTAAGATGTCACTTGCTCCTCCTTGCCTTCTGCCATGATTGTGAGACCTCCCCAGCCACATAAAACTGTGAGTCCAATTAAACCTCTTTCTTTTATAAATTGCCCAGTCTCAAGTATGTCTTTATCAGAGGCATGAAAATGGACTAATACAATAGGTATATTTAAAATGAAAAGACCCCAACCACAGCCTGAAAAGAAGGAGCAGGAAGGAGGAAAAGAGACAAATCATCATCCCAATAAATGCAACAAATAGAATTTCTTCTATTTTCTTGAACATTCTAATATTTAAGTATCAAAAGGTTCTTGAGAATCATCTAGTTCCTATCCCTCCTTCAGGTAAATCCATATTTCCATGGTCTCTGACAAATAAGAACCTCGTTATGTATCTTCATGGCCACAACACTAGTGGCGTCAACAACCTTCCTCAAGGAGTTTCCTAAATTTCAAACTTCCAGACTTAAAATGAATCATTGAGTTGTCTCCCCATGATCTAGTTAAAAAAATATTTCTAAGCGAATGCTGTGTACGACCTCTACTATTTCATTACTAAATAACAGGACCTGTTAAAATGTTTTTATGGCTAAGATCAGTCCAGCACCAAAAGATCTCTGAGACCCAGCAGAACAAATGTTTAAAAATCAGAATCTCCTGTTAAATAGAAGATAACAGAGCTAAAAGCATCCTTGATTCCAAAATAGACATTCTAAACCTTGTTTTTTCCACTTTCAGATAAAAACTCTGGCAAGAAAATAGGTATTTTCTGTGCTTTCCAAAGCAATTGTTTCCAATTTTTTTCTTTGTTCAATAGGTAATCAGACTTCACACTAAATACAGATTGTCTGCATCTTCCAAAGCTAACAAGAGTACTGGTAGAATTGTATAAGGCCTCCTGCCTTCATGACAAAACACACAGGCTTTTCACAGGAGCCCAGGTTGCAACATTCTGACACTAGAGGCAAGGTGCACTCTCTGAACCCATCCTTCTGTAATGCAGAGGCTTGTTTTTCTGGGACAGACCATCAAGCAGCTCAAAGTTTAAAAAATTCAGAATAAAATCATTTTCTTAAACTATGCCTTCTTAGCCCTTCTTTATTAAAATTATCTCTTGTTATACTTTTTTCTCTTTACTGTTAAGAGAAATTCCTAAATATTATATTGTAACCCACTGGGAAAGCCACTCACTTTCTCTTTTTTTATTTATTTTACTTTAAGTTCTGGGATACTTGTGCAGAACGTGCAGCTTTGTTACATAGGTATACATGTGCCATGGTGGTTTGCTGCACCTATCAACCCATCATCTAGGTTTTAAGCCCTGCATGCATTAGGTATTTGTCCTAATGCTCTCTCTCCCCTTGCCCCTGACCCCTAGCCAGCCCGGGTGTGTGATGTTCCCCTCCCGGTGTCCATGTGTTCTCATTGTTCAACTCCCGCTTATGAGTGAGAACATGCAGTGTTTGATTTTCTGTTCCTGTGTTAGTTTGCTGAGAATGTTGCTTCCAGCTTCATCCATGTCCCTGCAAAGGACATGAACTCATTCTTTTTTATGGCTACAGAGTATTCCATGGTGTATATGTGCCACATTTTCTTTATCCAGTCTATCACTGATGGGCATCTGGGTTGGTTCCAAGTCTTTGCTATTGTAAATGGTGCTGCAATAAACATACATGTGCATGTGTCTTTATAGTAGTATAATTTATAATCCTTTGGGTATATCCTCCATCCCTTTATTTTGAGCCTTTATGTGTCTTTGCACATGAGATGGGTCTCCTGAATACAGCACACTGATGGGTCTTGACTCGTTATCCAATTCGACAGTCTGTGTCTTTTAATTGAGGCTATTTAGCTTATTTACATTTAAGGTTAATATTGTTATGTGTGAATTTGATTCTGTCATCATGATGCTAGCTGGTTATTTTACACATTAGTTGATGTAGTTTCTTCATAGTGTCATTGGTCTTTATATTTTGGTGTGTTTTTGCAGTGAAAGCTACTCACTTTCATATCACTGGGGTCACCTTTAGGGGATACTTTTTATGGAACACTTTGGACCCAAATGTGGACAGAAGACAAAAGCCCATCAATCTTTTGTGCACCAGATGGATCCTCATTCTCGAAAGTTACTGTGATACCTTTTTCCCTGGGGCTCTGGCTTACAGTGTATTATCATACTAATTTTACTGATTCCCACAACTATCTCTGATGTAGGTAGAATATAACTAAGATTCCAATCTTACAACTGAAGGATGTAAGACTCAGATGTTAGCTACCATGTGACCTCTCTGAGGTTCAGGGTGAGCCCAGAGTCTCTACTCCCATACAGCAAATGACAGATGTCTACCTCCTCCATCGAAACAAATCAGACAAGACCTACCAGGTTACCCACATTGTATTTCTACTGGACAAGGCTACTCTAGAGCCAATATAAGCAACTTTTCCAGAACAGGGCCAGATAGTAAATAGTTTAGTCTTTGGAAGCTATACCATCCCCATCACTCCACTGTTACAGGAAAGGAAGCCACACAACATGTAAACAGACGAGCAGGGTTGTACTCCAGTACAGCTTTATGTGAAAAGCAGGTGTCAGGCTGCATTCAGCCATGGTCCACAATTTGCTAATACCCCACTTGAGAACATAGCAAGCATTTTAAAATTAACATGTTATTTTTCAACAACCTGTGTTTACTCAACAGTTTTCATGAGCCAGTAATAATACAGAATGAGATCTTACTGATTCCTTTGGATAAGGAAGAAGCCAACTGCCAGGGCCTCACAGGCAGAGATAAAGGCCCCTTAGCCCTGTGTGTCACGGAGGAACCTGGTTTGCCTTCTCACCTTGTTCATTTCAAGCTCCCCATGGAAGCAACGAACTGACCATTGTCCCCTACCACAACAGAACACAGGCACTCTTTACCCTCTTTACCACTGAGTTCCCCTTTCCAGCCAGTGCCTGCTGGTGTGGTTCACGAGCTAGTACCATTTTGACACAATCCACTCTGCCTCTCTTTACATCTTGATTACTAATTCCTTTGCAGCCCAAATCTGCCACTCAAAGTTGCATTTGTAACATTGTCGCACCATTTAATCGGCAGTATCTAGCCTGCTTTTGTGCGGCAGCTGGAGTTCCTGGGGCAAATTACAACATGTCCCACAGGTGTCCAAGTCATCCATCCGGAGAAGCTCCAAAAAGGGCAAATGATGCCTGAAATCACTTTGGTCTCAAACACGATGTGAGAAGAAAAGAAATAACATGGAGGATAGCATGCTGAGATCTTAGAAGAACCTGCCAGTGCTAAATATTAACCAAAAAAGCGCCCATCTAAAAGCAAGGGCTTGATTGTCTCACGACCAATTCTCAAAGGCCCTGTTGGTCTCCAAATCTGTTATCATTCTTGATTTGCCCAAACAAGAGGAAGCAAAATTTGCCAACATTAAACATGTTTTAATGACTTCTTTCACAGGGAATAGAGTGAGCTATTGAAGGACTTCCCAGCTTATGTCTCTAGATGCTAGAAAATCCAAATTTCACCACCCACTGCATTGTTAGTGTGGTTACTTTAGATAAAGAATCATCATTAAGCCAGGTGGGGTGGCTCACACCTGTAATTGCAGCACTTTGGGAGGCTGAGGTGGGTGGATCACTTGAGGTCAGGAGTTCAAAAACAGCCTGGCCAATATGGTGAATCCCCATCTCTACTAAAAATACAAAAATTAGCCGGGTATGGTGGCACATGCCTGTAATCCCAGCTATTCAGGAAGCTGAGGCAGGAGAACCCCTTGAACATGGGAGGCAGAGGTTGCAGTGAGCTGAGATCATGCCACTGCACTCCAGCCTGGGCAACACAGTGAGAGAGACTCTGTCTCAAAAAACAAACAAACAAAAAAAAATCATTATTAAATTAGACATGTTCATCTCTTACTGACATATTCACAACCTCATTTACATTTTTCTTATTTAGTGAAAATTAGTATTTGCACATTTAATTCCACAGAAAATAAAAAAATTCCCAACTATGGCAGAAGAACAAGTAAGGACAGAAGCTAAATTGCTTTCGTGCTTCCTGGTATCATGTCTCTGCCTATTTTAAACAGAAGGGATCAAGTTTCTACTTTAGAAAATAAGCAAAACAAATCATTAGTGATATTAATCATTGTCAGTTTATTTTTCCTCCTATTTTTTATTTGGTTAGGTGCTGACATGTATAAGCTTTAAGTAAATGGAACGTCCACTTGTATTTTATTGCTTGTCACAAACCCTCAAACCACAGCAACAGTCACAGTTTATGTTAGAAACAGCAAAATCGATGTGAATTCTGGACTTGACAGTGACAGATGGAGGCCCTTATGCAGATGTGCTCGCTGCTTCGCAGGACTTGAGGTCCTTGGGAATTCTGTGTGTTATTTGTGAGACAGGTGACTCGGAAGGCAGTGTGCCCAGGCAGCAGCTCCCCTCCAGCTCCCACCCACAGGACTGCAGCACTCGGCTCATTTGCAATGGGCATCAAGATTGACTTTCTTTAAGAAGTAAACCCAGGGCCGGGCGCGGTGGCTCACGCCTGTAATCCCAGCACTTTGGGAGGCCGAGGCGGGTGGATCATGAGGTCAGGAGATCGAGACCATCCTGGCTAACAAGGTGAAACCCCGTCTCTACTAAAAATACAAAAAATTAGCCGGGCGCAGTGGCGGGCGCCTGTAGTCCCAGCTACTCGGGAGGCTGAGGCAGGAGAATGGCGTGAACCCGGGAAGCGGAGCTTGCAGTGAGCCGAGATTGCGCCACTGCAGTCCGCAGTCCGGCCTGGGCGACAGAGCGAGACTCCGTCTCAAAAATAAAATAAAATAAAATAAAATAAAAAGAAGTAAACCCAGAAACATAGAAGCCTGTGGCTATGTATCAACTGCCTTCAGGGTTTCCGCAGTCTGTCCTCAACCACAGAACCTCCCAGGGGAGGTAAAAGCTGAGCTCATGGCTGGGAACCAGAACAGGAGCCTCACGCAGTCCCAGAACTGCTGGGTGACACCTGGTAAGTCTCATCTCCCTTTGGGACCTGGTCTCCTCCTCCAAAAATAGTCAGTAGTTCCTACAATGCACATTTTAAGGTTTTCATGCTCAAAAAACATCTGTGAGCACTTACTATTTACTGGGAGCTGAGTGACGGTAGGGCCATGTGTTCTCACTGGGGAAGCCATCCAACACACTCCCTTCCAGGTACCATCCTCTCACACCTGAAACCCTCCACATATCCGAGGAGGAAGGTGATGCTGCTCCCCGCTGTCTGTGCAGTGTGACTCGCGGGAGCTCCTCCTCTCATTCAGCAGGAAGTCTTTGCAAAGTGCCTGCGTGCTTTAGAGGCTTTGCAGGGCCCTAGAAGCACAAAGACCCATGAGACAAATGTCTGGTTGCTAGATTCTCCAGCGCAGTAAACAACAAAATGAATTACCATGCAATGCAATCCTCCCTTACAGCAGAGGCATGAGAAACGTGCTGCAGGTGGAAACTACTGAGATCTGTGCACCTGATTTTGACAGAGGGAGAAGGTGAAGGTGTCCCCTAGCAAGTGTCATGAGAGTCAGCCTGGAGGATGTGCCAGAGATGGTCAGATGGGGATGGTGGAGGCCAAGGCTGTCTTCTCAGGCTCGGGGCAGGCATGCAGCCTCATGGGGCGGAGGTGAGCCACAGCAGGGAAAGGGGAAGAATCCATGAGAGAGGTTTGTAAAATCAACTGCATATTTTTTAAACATCTATTTTGACACAGCAATGATGTTTTCACAGTAATCCATTTACTGAATAAAATCAGAGCAACCATAGTTTACTATTCTGCCTAGAGCTGAACTTTTTATCTTAAAGTAGCATACTTTTTAAACATTGTTAAAAAAAAAAAACTCTTCTGTTTTTCCTGTGAACATTTATGATGTGGTCAGGGAAAGGTTGTTGTTTTTTACAATATAGAAAGGGCTCCAAAGGACTTGACTTTTCAGCCAACCTCTGTCCTCCCTGTTCTCTGAGTACCCATCTGCCCCTCCGTCTGCTGACTTGGGACCACTTATGTGATCATATTCCTCTGAGTAATAGGAAGTTTCTGTCCTACTCATTGATTGCAACCCATAAAACTGCTTTCAGTTCAAAACCATGTTCTGGAATAGTACAGTGCATGCCGCGGGCTCAGCGGGCCCAGGATTCCTTTTGCACCAGAAGTATCGACTTGCAAGTCTAAGACCGTGGCTGTCCCCGTCAGTAGTCACCTTCCTTGTCATCCAAGGAGTGACCGTTGGCTGCGATGCTTGCTAGCAGAGGAGGGTGGACAGCCGAGGATCCCTACACTCCCGTTCTCTTCTGCCCTCCACCGGGCAGAGCCAAGTTGAATTAGAATGTCCTTCCAAGTCTGCTGTTACACACAGGTATACTCAGTGTGTGTGTGCAAATAATTTAAGGTGCAGAATTTTGCTTTCAAGAAGGAAATTACAATGCACACAAGTCTTTCTTTCCTCCCTCTGTTTTCCATTCATTCTGGGATCTCTGTAAGGCCAAATCCACCCAGTGCCCAGCACCACCCCTGGGGGTGGAGGAGAGCGGTCTATAGGCATCAGTAACATCAGTAATGGTGGTTCACCTCTACTGGGCAGGCTTTCCCCTACCTACACCACATGCAATGTCACTTCTCAGAGCTCAGCATTTGCATTATGCTGGCTGGATGCCTCCGGCATGCCTCAGGAAGACCATCAAGCACTGGAAGGCCTGTGAGTCCTCCAAATGACCCTGGTCATCACTGGCCCAGTCTGAGGGGTAGGGGATACCACAGTTTACTTGGAATGCTCAAATTTTAAAATCCTGTAGGTCAGATGTTCCAAACCCAGCTGCCCAGAGTCATCCAAGGAGCTTAAATATAATACATACCAGGGCCAGGATCCACTGGCCCCACTGGCCCCACTAGCCCCACTGAATGTGAAGTGGCGCATGTGAGAAAATGCTACCATCTCCTGTCATGTCTGGCATTTAGCTAAGAGTAAATGAGTATACAGCCAGAGTAGGATGTATCCGTACATCCTACAGTGCATAAATCTGAAGCGAGCTGCAAGCTGCAGATTGAAATAAACGTTCCTCACGCTGTCATCACTGCAGAGCTCATGAGTCCCCTCTCCCCTGGCTGACTGGAGTCTATAGAACTGAAGCCAAGAAATATGTCTTTGCAGAAAGTCTTGTACAGATTCTGACCACAGCCACTGGGTCAACGCCCTGAGGATTCCACTCAGAATTTGCATGGCTGCACCAGTGTGGGTTGGAATAATCCCGGTTCTGGGTCACTCTGAACCTGATCAAGAAGTGCCTGAGGGGCCACCAAGGCATTCCTCAAAGGTCATTGTGGGCTGACAGCCACAGATGTTGACAACCAAGACAGGAGGCTGACTCCAGTACAGCCACCAGGAGCTCGACAGGTTTTTGAGTAGCAGGAGGAAGCACTCCAAAGCTATAGACCAGCAAAGTGGGTTTACATCCCCTGTAATGTTTCAATGTCTTTAGGTTCCAACAAATAGTATAATTATATGAGGTAGGGAGCAGAGTCATGTGAGAAAACAGTAATTAAAACCTTAAAAAAATCCTCAAAAAAAAAAAAAGTCCTGCCCATTGGGAATGAGAGTACAGGGAGTTAAAAACAAAAATTCACACCCAAACAAAGTTCTGAGGAAGTACCAAGCCCTCATTTTTTCTTTCTTTCCCAAGAAAATACAATTTTCATCAGATATTTAAGCCCTTTTGGAAAAAGACTCCATCCCAGTTGGCGCAGCCATGTACAAGGCACTTTTAACATAAATATATAAACGCAATAAAAGTCTGATACAGAATTCGAAAGGAGATTTCTGAAGATAACTTCTCAGGAAAGCTTTCAAGAAGCATAAAATTATAGGTGACTCATACTCTCAATCCTTATAGCTAAAAAGAAGCATGTGGCCAACAGTAGGCAAGCAACACCGCACAGAATCCCTGCCACGCTCATAGGTTTCTTTGAATTGGAAGGAATCCTTGCTCATTTAGTTAACATAAGTTTAAACGCTTGAGCACTTCGTGGTTGTCAGAAGCTATATGAAAAACCTAAAATACAGAATTAGTTTGTGTTCCAGAGGGTTTTTTTGGTCTTTCTATGAAAATAAAACCAAACCGCAAAATCTCTTCAGATTCTTGAGGCCAGAAGGCCTCATCGAAACAAAAGTGAGGGTTCTCTTACAAATCTCTATCCAAAAATTGTTCTGGTGAATGATAAATTGCAGCCAGTCTCTACCCAATGCCAAAACAGCAAGAAGAAAATGCATTACTTGTCTAGTGTTCTGAATCAACAAGGCCCATCCTGGTCTCCCAGCCTGCAGTGAACACTTGATCCTCATGAGGTCCTGGGTCTCTTCAAACCCTGGCTCACTGTGGCCCCTCACACAGTTGGTACCTCCTTGATATGGTTTGACTCTGTGTCCCCACCCAAATCTCAACTTGAATTGTAATCCCCATAATCCTCACATGTTAAGGGCAGGACCAGGTGGAGGTAATTGGATCATGGGGGTGGTTTCCCCATGCTGTTCTCATGATACTGAGTAAGTCTCATGAGATCTGATGGGTTTTATAAGCATCTGACATTTCCCCTGCTTGCACTCATTCTCTCTCCTGCCACCCTGTGAAGAGGTTACTTCAGCCATGATTGTAAGTTTCCTGAGGCATCCCCAACATGTGGGACTGGGAGTCAATTAAACCTCTTTTCTTTATAAATTGAAACTGAAATACTCAGTCTTGGGTATTCCTAGCAGCGTGAAAATAGACTAATACAGTAAATTGGTACCAAGAGTGGGGTTCTGCTGTAAAGATAACCGAAAGTGTGGAAATGACTTTTGAACTGGGTAACACGCAGAAGTGGGAACATTTTGGAGGGCTCAAAAGAAAATAGGAAAATGTGGGAAAGTTTGGAACTTCCTAGAGACTTGAATAGCTTTGATAGTGATCCAGAAAATGAAGATCAGGCTGAGGTCATCTCAGATGAAGATGAGGAACTTGTTGGTAACTGGAGTAAAGGTCACTCTTGCTATGTTTTAGCAAAGAGACTGGTGACATTTTGCCCCTGCCTTAGAGATCTGTGGAACTTTGAACTTGACAGAGATGATTTAGGGTATCCGGCAGAAGAAATTTCTAAGTGGCAAAGAGTTCAACAGGAAGCAGAGCTTCAAAGTTTGGAAAATTTGCAGCTTGACAATGCACTGAAAAAGAAAAACCCATTTTCTAGGGAAAAATTCAAGCCTGCTACAGAAGTTTGTATAAGTAATGAGGAGCTGAATGTTAATCACCAATACAATGAGGAAAATGTCTCCAGAGTATGTCAGACACTTCCAAGGCAGCCCCTACCATCACAGGCCTGGAGGCCTAGGAGGAAAAAATGGTTTTGAGGGGCCCAGGGCCCAGGGCCCTCCTGATCTATGCAGCTTCAGGACATAGTGCCCTGCATCCCAGCTACTTCAGCTCCAGTGTGGCTAAAAGTGGCCAAGGTATAGCTCAGGCCATTGCTTCAGAGTGCAAGCCCCAAACCTTGGTGGCTTCCACATGGTGTTGAGCCTGTGGGTGCACAGAAGTCAAAAACTGAGGTTTGGGAGCTTCCACCTAGATTTCAGAGGATGTATGGAAATGCCTGGATGTCCAGGTAGAAGTTTTCTCCCTCATGGAAAACTTCTGCTAGGGCAGTGCTGTTGGAGCCCCCACACAGAGTACCCATGGGGGAGCTGCCTAGTGGAACTAGGAGAAGAAGGCCACCATTTTCCAGACCCAAGAATGGTAGATTCACTGACAGTTTGCACTGTGTACCTGGAAAAGCAGCAGACACTCAAAGCCAGCCCATGAAAGCAGCTTGGAAGGGGAGCTGTACCCTGCAAAGCCACAGAGGTGGAACTGCCCAAGGCCGTGGAAGCCCACTTCTTGCATCAGCATGAGCTGGCTGTGAGACATGAAGTCAAAGGAGATCATTTTGGAACCTCAAGGTTTAATGACTGCCCTATTGGATTTCAAACTTGCCTGGGGCCTTTATTTTGGCCAATTTCTCCCATTTGGAATGGCTGTATTTACCCAATGTCTTTACCCCCATTGTATCTAGGAAGTAACTAACTTGCTTTTGATTTTACAGGCTCCTAGACAGAAGAGACTTACCTTGTCTCAGATGAGACTTTGGACTTGGACTTTTCGGTTAATGCTGGAATGAGTTAAGACTAACACTTTGAGGACAGTTGGTTGGAAAGGCATGATTGTGTTTTGAAATGTGAGGACGTGAAATTTGGGAGGGGTCAGGGGCAGAATGATATAGTTTGGCTCTGTGTCCCCACCCAAATCTCACCTTGAACTATAATCCACATAATCCCCACATGTCAATGATGGGACCAGGTGGAGGCAATGGGGTCATGGGGGCAGTTTCCCCATGCTGTTCTCATGATAGTGAGTGAGTCTCACAAGATCTGATGGTTTTATAAGCATCCAGCATTTCCCCTTCTTGCACCCATTCTCTCTCCTGCTGTCCTGTGAAGAGAGATGCCTACACCATGATTGTAAGTTTGCTGAGGCCTCCCCAGCCATGCAGAACTGTGAGTCAATTAAACCTTTTTCTTTATAAATTACCCAGTTTTGGGTATTTCTTCACTGAGGCATGAGAACAGACTGATACACTCCTTCCCATTGAACCTAGAACAATGTCACCTGATGGCGGCCTCGCTCCAAAGGCTTTCACATAGACAGTGTGGCCTAAGGAATCTGTGCTGATTTCATTAATGATATATGACATCTAACATCACCGTGTTCTCAAGTATCTAGTTTACTCGTGCTCCCCAACTTACATAATGCCATGTGAATTATATGTGAGTAAAAATTTGAGTCCAGATTCATACTTACTGCTTGTATCACCAGTATGGACTCCACTCACTTTGACATGGGGAGAATTAGTGTAAACTTCAGCTATCTTAAATCTCCTGGGACTTCCTGCACACCTTACTTTCCCTCTCTTCTCTACACAGGACTAGCCTTAACTGGAATTTCCCTGAAAGTTCTTATTTCAAGTATGACACAGGCAGGGAGGGTTGGTTGCCTTAATGGCAGGAGATTCCAGTAAAATAAACTCCAGGAGGCCTTCTCCTTATATTAGATATTTCACCTAGCTGCCCATTGAGTAGTATTCACTGGCACATCCCACTATTTGCCCTTCTGTAATCGTGTTGCATGTAATTAATTGGCCCTCAGCATTCATTCTCAACCCTTTCCAGGGTGCTTTCCTGCACTGTAGACCCTGAGAGGCTAAAAACTACATTTCCTAGACTTCTTTTCTGCTAAAGATCCTGCGGATATTAAAAGTCACTGACATTTTAAAGGGGAAAGCCAGGTAGAGGAGAGATTGGTGCCCTTCGGCTTCTTATCTGCTGATAACAAGGTCTTAGGAATATGAGGTTTCTTCCTGTGGCTGTGCTCCACCGCCCCATCTCCAGCTTCCAGGGCAATGAGAGGCAGTTACAGGTGAGACAGGGACCTCATTCTGCTTCTGAAAGTCCATCTCCAGATTCGTGGGTGTAGAGAGGCCACTGTAGCCCCAGCAATAGGGCCTTCCCAATCTATCTGTGGATCTCAGACTTAAGGGTGTGTTCCTGAATCTTACAGGCCCAGGGGTCACTGCCAGACTCCCTGGCACCTGGGCATTATTTTCAGAGTTCTAGACTGGAACTTGCTTCTCCAGCCTTTCCAACAATTGTGTGAGCACTTGACTTAATTCATTAAAATACAGTCATTTCTGCTTAAGATACCTCAAGTAGATTCTGCGTTCTACCCTGAAACTTGACTGGCACAGGAAATAAAACAAATTCCACATCTGTAATGTTTTATTGGCTGTCTTCTTGGTCAGTTTGTGCAGCACCAAGCTTGAATATGCAAAGCATCACTGTGGAGCCTAAAGCCCCCTCTTGGATCTGATCCACCATGTTGGCTTCTGATTAATCCCTGTTCCAGGAACGCCTCCAAGATTTCTACTTTATCTACTGTCACCATCAATCCTGCTCTTAGGTCAAAAAAAGAACGTTGACCGGCCAGGCGCGGTGGCTCACGCCTGTAATCCCAGCAGTTTGGGAGGCCAAGGCAAGGGGATCACCTGAGGTCAGGAGCTCAAGACCAGTCTGGCCAACATGGTGAAACCCCATCTCTACTAAAAATACAAAATTAGCTGGGCGTGATGGTGGGCATGTGATGGCCCAGCTATTCAGGCGGCTGAGGCAGGAGAATGACTTGAACCTGGGAGGCGGAGGGTGCAGTGAGCCCATATCACACCACTGCACTCCAGCCTGGGTGACAAGAGCGAGACTCCATCTAAAACAAAACAAAAACAAAAACAAAAAACCAACAAACAAAAAAACCTTGACCATAAATCCTGCCATCAGGCAGATTCATACAGCACTCTCGCCTTTCCCTGAGGGGTCGCTCTGGTGTATAAGCCCTGGGTCTTGTGGGGGTGATGGCACAGGGATCCATCATCCTGTCTGGCCACCACCCAAGACCCTGCCTTCTGTTCCTAAGTCGCCATTAAATGTTTCTTTCTGAGAAAATGGATGTGTTAACCTCTTCCTTCAGCCTCTCGGCTTCCTCGGACTTTGGAGGTAGGTTTGCATAGACCTGCTCACTGTGGAACAATTGCAAACTGTTCAAATAGACAAGTTTTTAGTGACCATGCCATGGTTTGCCAAACACTGAAGTCCCAGGATCCATCTTGGAAAATGCACACCAGGTAGTAGCCATGTTGTGAGGACTCTTTTTATCTTTTTCCTTTTTTTTTTTTTTTTTTTGGAGAAGAAAAAAGAAGTAGGGAATAAGCTAGCAAATTTTAAGAAGGCAAGTTTTAGGTTTTCAAAAATCAGAATAACACAGTCAAGTGCTATCAATGCCAGACTTAAAAGCTAGTTAGTAAAAATAAAAGAAAAGAAAGTTAAGCCAAAGCCTTGTATGTCTTTGTGAGAAAATAAAAAGCTAATATCACTTCCTACAGCTGGGCTGATCCTAAGAAATGGTAGGCGCATCATGCATTTCTATGGCGTAAGAAACTAAATTCACTGAAGTAAAATATTGCCTAACAGAATAAGAGAATGCAGATAAGCTCCATTACTTAGTGTCCATATATTTATAGGACAAAGATTTTGTTTTTTATTTCTATTCCCAGAGCCTATCATTATGCAAGGCACAGAACGGACCTTCAATAAATATTTAATTAGAGAAGGATGCTGGAGATCAATAAGGGAAGAGGAGAAATCAGTACATTTATTTGGAATTTACATTCATCCAAACTCCAAAGTATAATGGAAGTTTTGTAAGAACTAAACATATGTAAAAAGAACAATTTAAATAAAAACATAATGAAAGTAAGTTTAGAAGAGAGATGTGAGATCAGGCCAATTCACTGAAAATCATTGAAATGACCAACTTATGGAATGCTGAAGATGAGTAAACTAAGGAATGACCTAGAAAGAAACAATAACAGCAACAATAAATACCACATCCAAATGAATTTTGCTATCAAGTCTTGGAAATAAAGGAAACTTGATGTGCTACTTGAGAAACTGAAAAAAAATCCTAAAAATTCCAAAACTTTGGCAAGCTAAGAAATGACATCAACATAAAGTCAAAGGAAATTGTTATATACTGAAAAAGGTCAGATGAAATGTTGAAGCTGTGGTTGCTGATAATAAAAATAGACTTTTCTGAACACTGAATATATTCGTAAGAAGTCTAAGTTACCTTATGACTCTTAGCCATCAGTAAATTAAGTATTCCTTAAAATGGTACCCAGAAGATGAAACAAAAAGAGTCAAGTGCAACTGCTGAGATATCTTCAGAACGTGGCCAAGAGCCGTGGAGTCCATCCTCTTCCCTAGCCACACTGGTTTCCTTCTGGATTCTTGCAGGCAGGCTCCTCATTTCCCAGAGACGCCTCCCCATTAGGTGGTTCCCTCCCCCTCCTCCTACATCCCTCACCTGACCTAATGCAGCATCATTAATTCATTGCTTCTGTAACTTGCACACACATTGTAAGATCCCTGAGAGCAGCCACTCCATGCCCCCTCTGTATCCCCAAGGCTGATTGGAAGGCCTGGTTCTCAGCAGCCTCTCAACATTTGTTCAATGAAAGGATGAGTGAATGAACAGACAAGATCCCTACTGAAGGATGGGAAGCAGATGGGAATTACAGGGTCTAGGACAATGTCTGGCCCAGTGGGGAGGGTGGTGGGGTCCAAAGTATATCTAAACAAGATCGGAGCACCTGGAGAAAAGTCTCCAAGGAGACTCTTTGCCAATGTTATAATTTTGACTGGAGCCTCCCTTAGGTGTAACCAACACTAAAATTGCAACAGGCTCTGAAGTTGTAAATACATCTAACTACATCCCTAGAAATAGGAAATAGGGAAAAGATCTCAGAGAAATTCTTTTCATAAGATTTTATGCTCAGAGCACCTTCCATGGGCTTCATTATGTAAAGTATATCAAAACTCGGCTTCAACTGCTGGATGCCCAAGTGAGTAGGGCTGCTCCAGGAGCTGCAATGCTTCCTAATAAACAGAGAACCATGATAGGCAAATGATCTGGACACCCAGCTGTCCCCTCAACATTGTGTGGCTGGTTTCAATATGGTGTTTTAAAAAGCATATTTTACATTTTAGATAAAAGACAGACCAGATGCCCACTTTCATCTGGTCCCCCTCGCCCAGAATAAAAAAAGGAAAATGAATTCCCTCAGTGCCCAGGATAAATATAGGAATGCTGTTTGACCATTAGCCCTGCAAGGACTTCCCAAAAGAGGTCAGCTTTAAGGATAATTTAGAAAAACAGCAGTGTGACTTAGACAGACTCCAAAGTCAAATGCCTAGAGAAACATGAAAGAAAGTAAAAAGCAAAGATAAAGACACATGTATTTAAAGAGCTGTTTGAAGGCTTAAACAGGAGCATAAAATAAGGGCGACCCCTTAGGATTATGGTATTATTTCTGGCTTGGACAGTGCAAGATATTAAATGAACTCATGCTAATTTCGCTTTTTTAAAAATAAAGTGGCAAGATCAAGCAGGGAATATTTAATTTAGGATGGGCTGTCCGTGGCTGTGCCCATCACTCATTTGTGTCTAAAGCCCTCTCCTCCAAAAACAACTCAGAGGGCTTGTAGATCAAAACGCACCGATATTCCATAAATAAAAAGCCATCAAAATAGACATTAAAGATAACCGATACAGGCTTCAATGCTTCTCTCCTCACACAGACAACAGACAAGTTATTATTTTAACAGAATTGTGCAGTGGATGCTTTCACCTGTCCAAACAGCAAAAGCAAGTCTCTACAAAGTACAAACCAGAGTTAACGTGAACAGACGCTCTGAAGATTAACTGTACGGAAATGGAGCTATTTGGTGGCCGACAAGCACAGCTTTCTGTATTCAGGCATCAAAGTGACAGTCCTTTTGTTTGTAAACGTGCATTGCCTCAGATTAAATACTTTAACAACACCCGGGGACAAAGCTAAACTTTCACATTTTCTAACCTATCTCAGGAGTGTGCATTGTGTGTGTGTGTGTGTGTGTGTGTGGTGTGCCCACATGTGCACCCACACACTTAGCTGTGCTCCAATATCAAGAGGCATAACCTGGACTAACTACACGTTCAAAAGAGGAACGTGACACCTTACAGTGCCAGCCCGTGTGTTTGCTGTACGCTGGCTCATAACAGTGCCTCTGCAAGGAGTTTAATGCTTCCCAGAAAGTGCCACAAGAGAGACAAAATCTGGTTGGTGGCCTGGCCAGGTTAGTGGAGTTGTGCGTGATATCATAAAAAGGACAGTGTGCAGATCACCCTCCAGGGACTTTTCATGTGAGTCACACATCTTCTGAAAACACTTCTCCTGTTTAGGGCCCTGGATTTTTCTCTTCCTCTGCAGCTGTCTTAACTATGAAAAGCCTGGGAGAGACATCAAAATGCAGTTATTTTTTTACATGGAGCGCATTCCACAAAACCCAAGGCTTCTCTTCTGGAGTTGACACTTCTTTCCTGCTAATCCTCTACCTCTCATCTTTCTCCCTTTTTCATCTCCCTAATCCATCTGGTTCAATTGCTATCTCCACGCTCACCTTCTGTGGCTCCAGGCTTTTTGTTCCACCCTCAGACCCCCTTGTACCTAAAAATGGCACCATCGCGTTCACCCAGAATGGCAGGGCCACATTCTCTCCCTTCCTCCCCATCTTAGACTCTCAGGCTGTGTCAGCCACAGCTCCCACAGAGGGTTCACGGCACTAGTTTTTGTCTGGTATTGGAATGCAAAGATGTCCATCTATTTATGAAAATGTGAGGATCACATAGCTATGTATGAAACCAGACACTTGACCGTTACAGAATAATGTAGACCAATGGCTATAAACCAAGCAAAGTGCTCAGAAAGCTCTGTGGCTGGGGTTCCGATTGTGGTTCTAGCCAATGACGTAACTTGCCTCATTTGTCACCCTACGTCATCATAAAGACATATCGGGATGCAGAACTTATCGGTATCTTTTGGGATTTTATTATCATTTTTTTCCCAAGCAACGTTAAATTAAATAGACCTAGGCTGAAGAAATAATTACCACAAGCGACTGTTGCATGATGTTCAAAATGTAAAATGACCATAGGAAAGAAGCTGCTGATAATCGTCTGTCTGCAGACAGGAGACCTAGTTCTGTCTTATGCCTTGGCAGGGTACATATATGCAGTGGAAAACTAAAAGGTCCAGTATTGCCATTGCTTGATCCCATGTGTGACACTCACTCATACCGAGCACTGCCATTTATTTCATGAGTAGATTGTGAAGATTAATTAGGAAATGTTTCTGACATGCTTGGAATTCACTAGGAAAAGGTAGGCATGGGCTTTTGAATAGCCTCAGATATAGTCACATGGGGGCCCCGGGGAAGAGCAGCTTTGCACTACTTTTGTTTCACATAGCAACCTTGGCATGAAGTTAGGGGAAGCGTTTTAGTTTCTTTGGAGAGGGGGCACTAAATTAGGAAACAAAATATTAAATAGGTGTTACATTCTAAAAATGTCTAAGCTACAGCTGCCTCTTTCAATCCATGCTATTGACTGTGTTCACAATAATACACCAAATGTGTCAATGAATCAAATCACCATTGCCGTCAGATGACTGTGGATCCATCCTCCCCTCATCGTTTCATTTGTAGGCTTGATATATGCTGGTCCATGGACTTCTGGCTTGAATATCTTCTTAGGTAGCACACACTCTTCCATACCTGCATGCACACCCACACACACCACCCACCTTCTCTACACACACACACACTCTTCACTATACACACAAACACCCACTCTTCCCTACACACTCTTCCCTACACACACGCTCTTCCCTACACACACACCACCCATTCTTCCCTACATACACACCCACCACCTACATCCCCTACACACACACACTCTTCCCTACACACACACTCTTCCCTACACACACACAAACACACTCTTCCTCCTCACACACACACTCTCTTCCCGACACACACACACTCTTCCCGACACACACACTCTTCCCTGCACACACACTCTCCCCTACACACTCACACACTCTTCCCTATACACACTCTTCCCTACACACTCACACACTCTTCCCTACACACTCACACTCTTCCCTACACACACACACTCTTCCCTACACACACACACTCTTCCACCCCCCCACACACACTTTCTTCCCGACACACACACTCTTCCCTACACACACACACACACACTCTTCCCTACACACACAGACTCTTCCCTACATACACATACACTTTTCCCTACACACACACTCTTCCCCATACCTACTCACACACCACCCACTCTTCCCCACATACACACACCTCCACCTACACTTTCCTGCACACACACACACACACATTCTTCCCTGTCTTGACCCCTTCTACTCTGATCACTTCCTCCAGCCCCTATGCTTCTGAAAATGGAACACTTTTTTGGCGAAAAGAAAGTCTGCGCTTTTCTCAATACATGGTTTATAATGCTTGTTCTCTCTGAAGCTCATGAAGAAGACAAACTGTAAGTTAGATAAGATTCAAGTTCTACCTCAACTCTGACTTGGGTTGCTCTGTGGCCTTCCATGACTGATTGACATTAGATTCAGCTTCTTCATCTGCTAATACAGATGGTGACCCTTATCTCAATCCTCCTTCTAGGACACATGGAAAGAAAGAATGGTGTAACAAACATAAATAATTTTTCAAAAGCATATAACACAATTTAAACACACTATGTATCTTAGTTCATGGGTGCTGCAGTAACAGAATACCTAAGGCTGGGCAATTGCTACAGAACAGGAATTTATTGACTCACAGTTCAGGAGGCTGAGAAGTTCAAGAGCATGGCACCAGCATCTGCTGGCAAGGAGCTTTCTACTGTGTCATCCTATAGTGGGAGGTGGTTGGGCAAGAGAAGGCAAGAGCAAGAGAGTGCAAAGGGGGCTGAAACTCACTTATAACAAACCCACTCCTGCAATAATGAACCCACTCCCTCAATCACAACATTAGTCTATTCATGAGGGCACAGCCCTCCTAACCTAAACACCTCCCATTACGTTCCACCTCCCAACCCTGTTGCATTAGGAGTTAAGTTTCAAACACATGAACTTTGGGGAACACATTCAAACCACAGCACTGGGCATGGTGTATTTATTTAATTAAAGACACCTCTCATATGTAATTATGTCTTTAAGGCAGATATCATTGAGGGTAAGTGCTTTACTTCCTCCTAAAGCATTCCTTGGTGTAACTATGAAAGAGAGAATAATGGGCTAGAAGGACAATGGATCTCATCCACTAAAGAATCCTGGGGTCCTCAGTAAGACCTCCGAATTAACTGCTCTCAAACTGTCCAGCCCATGACTTCAGCTCTGAAGAGTGACTCGTGTGTTCCCGTGCCTCTGCCGAGGAAGATCCAAAAGGCATCCCGAGGCCAGGTGCAGATGCCAGTGTACAGGTCTGAAGGTCTACATTTTATAAGCTTTCTTTTAAGGAAAAGAAAACAAAATTGCAAGTCCAAAATTTAGTATAAGATGTTAGAAGGGATCTGGGCAAGTGAGTTCCTAAAGTGTAAGTTCCATTAGCGTCAGGATAAATTCACCTCTACACTCAGGTTTTCCCAATAGATGAAAAGTTTTACTAAGGATGGAGCCTGGGCCTTCTAGAAGTTTAGAAAACTTCTCGGCCAGGCAAGGTGGCTCACGCCTGTAATCCCAGCACTGTGGGAGGCCGAGGCGGGCGGATCACGAGGTCAGGAGCTGGAGACCAACCTGACCAACATGGTGAAACCCCGTCCCTACTAAAAATACAAAAACTAGTTGGGCGTGGTGGCGCACGCATGTAAACCCAGCAACTCAGGAGGTTGAGGCAGGAGAATTGCTTGAACTCAGGAGGCGGAGGTTGCAGTGAGCTGAGATTGCACCACGGCACTCCAGCCTGGGTGACACAGCGAGACTCTGTCTCAAAAAACAAAAATTAAAAAAAAAGAAAACTTCTCACGCTCCTCAAGGTTCTATGGTCTGCAGACAATGAGTGCTTAGAGCATGCTATGGCGCAGTTAGGAATTCTTAGCCAACCCCTCTGTGCATTGTCTTTCCGCTACCTCGTCTGACAACGCATGCCAAGTCAGTCATTCCCTTCAACAAATATTCTGAAGCACTTCAGTTCAGAGCTCCGTGCCAGGCCCTGAGGCAAGGCAGGTGCAAAGACACAGCAGACAGGTCCTGGCTCTCTAGGGGCACCCAGGCTTGGTGGAGAGGGAGATTTGCAAACAAATAACCCGAACACAAGCAGGCAAGCTCTAGACCCAGGAGATGCACAACGCTGTAGGGCAGAGAGGAAACGATGCTATTTTCCTACATAGGCAGTGACACTGAGCCATCTGGTAAAGGACAAGTATGAAGGGAAGAGCTCTTCAGACAGAATGAACAGAGCAAGGAAGCAAGAAGCCAGTCAAGAGGACCTGGAGCACTTGATTATGGAAAGCGGTGGAGAAAGGGATGGCAGCTGAATGTGGAGAGTAATCCAGAAGAGACAGATTGGGATTGCCAACAAGCAGATCACAGAATATACCACATCCACCAGGCTCAACAGAACACACCATTATCCCTCTGGAGTTAAACTGGGAGTGGCAGCCAAGACAGGTGGTCATACATCAACTATCAATCAATCCACATTTACTAGATGTGTATATAGCTTTACTCTGCTGTTCCCTGAACACAGAAGAAGTGAACGATGTAATCCCTATAGACCTTACAGATTCATTGGGAGGAGAAAACCAGTGTCCTCAAACAACACAACAACTCCTCAGTGTTCATTTGTATGGCCTGAACTTTAAGTGCAAAAACAGTTCAAAATGGGGAAAGATTCCAGTAGGCTAGAGTCATGGAGGAGAGAAACTGGAGTTTGACCTCAAAGGAAGGAGGGCCTGAGGCCATATCCGGAGGGCATAAGTGGTCCTGAACTCTAGGTCACATTGGGATTGCCCTCTCAGCTCCAGCATTCACTGGTTTGGGGGCTTCAGGCATGTGACTTAACCTCTCTGCACCTCAGTTTGCTCAATTACAAAATGAAATATATTAGTCCCTTCTAGCTACAAATCCTGATTCAGCAAAGAGTGTCAATTATGCACTGTATACATATTAAAAATCCCTAAGGGGAAAAAAAACTGGGACAAATAGCTATTTTTAAAATGTGGGGGTAGGGGATACCGTGATTTGGATGATATTTTATTTGCTCAGCTACCAAGCAGCTGCAGCCTGCACCAGGTGCTTGGGAGCAGGAAGAAGTGGTTCAAGGAGGCCCTAAAGGAGGGATGAGCCTCCTTCCTGGGCTGCACAGAGCCCATCGTCAGCTGAGAAGCTGGGTTAGCAAATGGATGCCCAGCTCAGAATGGCTGACTCAGGAAAGAACAGCCCGCAGCTCTGGAGGTTAGTAAGCCCTCTGCCAGCCAAGTTCCCAGGGAACTCCAAGCGAATCCTTAAGGAAGTTAGTCTAAGAAATTGTTTACTTATGGGTGGTTAGATTCTTCAGGGCAGCCAGCCTCGAGCCATCTGGGTTTCACTGAGCACCTGAAATTGGACCTTAATGGAATAAACCGTGCAATGTAAACAAACCAGAAGGTAAGTATTTGTGACTAAGATGAGCCCCTTACGTTTTAAGAGGGGCTGGTTCTGTGTGTGTTCTGGTCTGGACTGAATTTTCTTTCAAAGAATTCAATTTGCTTTCCCCAGCAGGTGAGGAGAAAGAATGTGAAGCAGAATGATCAAATTTCATCCAAAAAGTACAGAAGAAATGGAATCGGCCATTACATTAATCCTCATCTTCAGGCAAATTTTTCTTGAAGTCAGCAGGTGGCAAGAGAGTGGGCCAAAGGTGACAAGTGATGAAACCTGCAATTTCCTTCTCCAAAGCCTATTGCAAAATCCACTATCCTTGCCTCAACCATGCAGGGAAAATAGCCCTTCTGTGTTATGAATAATAGGTTCCAGTAATTAATTCTTGTTAAAATCCTCCATCCAGTCGTCTTTGGTTAAATTTTCCTTAATTTGCAGGGAACTTCTGCAGCTGCCCTAAGGGTGGGCAGGAGGCTGTGGACAGCCAGGACTGTGGCAATATTCCTGGGCAGGGAGGTGGCCTCTGGGCAGCAAGATTTTGGGGCCAGAGCAACTACCTTCGAGGGCTGGTTTTGTTGCTTACAAGTCATGTGGCTCGGACAAGATGCTCCTGTTGTCCAAGTCTCCGTTTCTTCATCTGTAATTTAAGCATACCCTGAATTACCTGAAGAGCCGGCTCTTCCTACCTTGAGGGGTCATTGGAAGGACCAAAATGAAGGCAATGAGGATCCTTGATATTCTTATATCCCTAAGATTAGAGGATTCCTGATATTCCTTTCAGGTCTAAAATTCTGATTCTAATATATATTAAAGTACCTTGTAAGCTGTTCACTGTTACATAAACACAAAGTATTAGTAATATTATTCAACAGCCCAAGGGCCTGAATTCAGGGGATAAAATGGAACCAGACACCCCCCAGTCCTCACTCCACCCCCACCACTGGGTCCCCGGGGGGGTTCTGCCAAAGAGATTCCCGGAGGGCCGGGAATTGGAATAACAGGGAACAAAACACACATCCTCAGCAAAGATGTTGGTTTCCTTGGACTGGGTAAAAAGGGCTTCCCAGGAAAATGACTTACCCTTCAGTAATTCCTCATTTGCACTGTCCAGACCTCAAACCCTTTCCTCCTCAAAGCTACTCATAGAAAACTGCTTCTGAAAATAGACTTCCTATGGCTTAAATCAGTCCACATACAAACAGCAGCTTTATGCCCAAGAAATTGACCTTTTCCGCAGACCTTGTAATACATTTGACCAATTACAATGATCATTTTGCGACATCTGTGACAAAGACCATTTATTTTTAAACATTCAGTAGGCATGTGAAGAGCTCTTAAAAAGCAACCTATAGAATTTGTAAAATATCACCTTTCTCCTCTTAAAGTTCTACATAGTACAGAGACAAATACTGGCCCTGATAAAAATCGGAGTGGGGATATCGGAGACCCTCTTAAGATTCCGAGCTTCTCAAATACTCCTAGCACCGTACTGCTAACAACAAAGAACAACAGAGGGGCAGCCCCAGGACTCTGGGGCCAGCACTGGAAGTGGGCTGATGGCAGGCAAACCGTGCCACCGGAGTCAGTGCTTAACTGTAACACTCTAAAGACAGCACTATTCAGATAGCTTGTTTTCTATCTTGTACACCAACTCAAAATTGGGACTGCTTAAATTAAGATTTGCCCTAATCCATTCTCGTAGTATGACCCTCAACAGCCAACTTTCTGTAGATCCACAAGTATAAATAGGATAAAGGTGACATTAGAACACACATACATGTAATTTTTATCTAAGTATGGAATAATATGTGGGTAATGAAGTGACTATACTCACTGTGGGATTGATTACTTGATCCAAAAACCATCCTTTCAGACTGCATCATTTTCTCACCATTTTACAAATGTATTATTTTGCAAATGATTGACTTTCTCCAATTCTGACATTTGTTTTACAATAGAGAAGAGTTTTGCAGGGTGCAATAGTGAGCCCGCTTACTTCCCTCCCTCCTACTCCGTCCCTTCCCGCTTCCTTCCTCCCCCATCCCTCCATCCTGTCCTCACATCCTCTCTCACATCTCTCCTTCCTTCAATTGTTTTTCACTCCTTTCTCTCCCCTCCTCCTTTTTCCATCTTTCCCCCTTTTTCCTCTGCTCCCCTCCATCACCCTCATGAATATTTGCTGAGTGTCCACTTTGTGCCAGAGCTAGGTTACTTTTTGGTAACGAGACCCAGGAGGCACAGGGGAAGCCCCAGCAGACTGTCACAGTGACCACCCACAATGACTTCGAGAAGGACACGTGTGTGGAGCCGCAAGAGGAGACAGCCCAGGCACCAGCAGCTGGGGCTTCCTGAGGAAATGACAAGCTGGAGGCCCTGGAGGTCAGCCCACCCTCTCTATTTTACCCAGGCTACTCCTAACTCCGCAGTCCTTAGACCAGGACCAGGCCTCCTGCCCCCAGCCCACGGGGATTTCCTACTGCAAGTCCATTTTTCTGCTCCCCACTGTACCCACAGCCAGCTCTGCCTGCCCATGTAGGGATGAGGCCTGAACACCTCCAGATTTGTCCTTCTATCTGGTTGAGGTTTTTTGAAAGATCCTTCCTGTGAAATTCTGTCCTTCCACGTGTCTCTCTTCACCTCCCTGTGAGCCACATGATGAGATTTGGTCTGTGTCCCTTGTTAAATAAATGGATCCTTCTCCTGTATAAAAGGTAAAAGGCCGGGCATGGTAGCTCATGCCTGTAATCCCAACAGTTTGGGAAGCTGAGGTGGGTGGATCACCTGAGATCAGGTGTTCCAGACCAGCCTGGCCAACATGGTGAAACCCCGTCTCTATTAGAAATACAAAAATTAGCCAGTCGTGGTGTTGGGCGCCTGTAATCCTAGCTACTCACTACTCAGGAGGCTGAGGCAGGAGAATCGCTTGAACCTGAGAGGCAGAAGTTGCAGTGAGCCAAGATCAAGCCACTGCACTCCAGCCTGGGCAACATAGCAAGACTGTCTCAAAAAAAAAAAAAGATAAAAAACATCCCTACTCCTACAGAATTTTTTTAAAGGCCATATTTACATATTTAATTAAGGAGTTTCTATGCTAAAGAAAAAGGCAAGCAGCATCTTTGACTCCATGACAGGGCTTACCTAGGCTAGCTGATTGGAAAACGACACTTCTCAGCAACTGAGTTTCTCGGGAGCCCTGCGTCCACTGCAGCCGGGATGGACCTACCTTCAGGAGGCCCATCTGCCCTCAGCCATGGCCATCTGTGGTAGAAAATGCATCCCATGCGGCCACCCAGCAGGCCCTAACGTGGTGCAGCCGTGGGAGAAGTCCCAGCAGACGAAAGCAGAGGAGAGGAGCGAGCAGGGAGAGGCCGCCCAGTGTGGCTAGACCATGGCGCGGGTGGGATTACAGCGAGGGCACATCAGAAGCCAGGCACAAGGCCACGCCCTTTCCATTAACTGGATCAGTTAGCTGCCAGAGCCACAGGGAGCTGCTCTGAGGACTTTGTAAATCAGATGGAATTTACTCTTACAATGCAGCCACCTCTAACATGCTTGCTTCCTTTCCCGTGAGCCCTGTGAGCTGCCCTCCCCACCAAAACAGCACAGGGAGGGCACGTGCACGCGGGGCTACACTCTTGCCAGGGATCCCGCACTTCATCTGGGCCTCAGCCTTGAGCTACAATTGTTTATTTTTCCCAGTAAATGCATTATCCTAAAGTGAAAAATATATAAGTGAAACAACATCCAGAAGTCTTGAATCCTGAGGCCTCACTCCTGTAAAAAAAAAAAAAAAAAAAAAAAAAATTCAGTGGACAACTTAGCTAATGCTGGCAAGAAGACGGGGGTAAAGGGGCATGTAAAACCTTCAAACCTGGGTCCTACAACCAGATAAGATGGAAATATTCTCTGAGCTGTTAAAGAGAGTGAAACGGAACATCTGAATTGCAAAATGCTTGAAGATCAGCATGTTGTTACCCACGGGAAGTGTTTATTTTTATCCCTCTGTAGAAAAGGTGATACTGTAGTCACCCAACACTTGGGAAAGCATTATAGACTTCTGTCATCATTAACATTACTTTTACAGGCATTGCCCTGAAGGTGACTAACAGATAAAACAAGACAAAAGACAAAAAAGTATACCATTGTATTTCTTTGACTCTTTTTTATAATAATGACAATAATAGCTAACATTTATGAAACATTAGATTATAGGCCTAGCATTTGGCCTAGCACTTTATTATATGATTATCTCCTTTCGTTTCTAGAAATAATGAGCATTAAAGGGAATTTCTTTAGTGACTATGAATAAGATCTACACACATATATATATATATATATATATATATTTTTTTTTTTAGACGGAGTCTCGCTCTGTCGCCCAGCCTGGAGTGCAGTGGCACTATCTAGGCTCACTGCAAGCTCCGCCTCCCGGGTTCACACCATTCTCCCGCAGCCTCCCGAGCGCTGGGACTACAGGCGCCCACCACCACGCCCGGCTAATTTTCTTTTGCATTTTTAGTACAGATGAGGTTTAACTGTGTTAGCCAGGATGGTCTCCATCTCCTGACCTCGTGATCCACCCGCCTTGGCCTCCCAAAGTGCTGGGATTACAGGCATGAGCCACCGCACCTGGCCCAGCCTATATCTTATCTATGAAAAATCCTCTGAAGCCATTTACTCAACCTGACGAGTACAGCAATTAGAACTAATTACGGAAAGATTGGCCTACATTAGGGCAAAGATTGAACTAAACAACATGCTGGTTAAAAAAAAAGTGTATACAATTTGAATGTTGATAAGACATCTACAAATATTGCTAGTCCCATTGCAATCCAAAAATAACATGTGTAAATTCTTGTTGGTAGTTTAGAACATATTTTCCCATGACAGTGAGGTTATAAGTAACAATTAGTGTTAACTGTGTGATGAGATGGAAAGCTATTTGGCCAAATCCTGGTCCTTGACCAGACACTCACCCGGATCACATGGAAAGATATTTAGCCAAATCCTGGTCATGGACCAGATACCCACCCGGATCAGCCGCAGGTTCTCCCTCTCTGGGGTAGAAGGCAAGGAAGACAGCAAGGAGAGATGCACCCTGTCTGTTACTCACGGGTCCAGCCCCTAAGCCGGCTGATTTAGATGGGGACAATACGTGGGCCACAGGGGCTCTACCTAATGAGCCAGAGCCTGGACTGGGAGCTGATTTACTTCTGTCCGTTTCCTCTCACCCCATGTGCTTGATCCTCATCTTTGGTGGAGTGGGGAGGGTGGACGGTACTTGTATTTGTCTGCTCAGGCCCATCATGACGATGTCCCATGGCCTGGGGTGCTTAAACAGACATGTATAGTCCCACAGTTCTGTAGTCAAGAAGTCTAGGATCAAGGTGTCAGGAGGTGTCGGTGCTCCTGGGGCCTCCCTCATCCTTCTTGCTGGGTCTCCACATGGCCTTTCCTCTGTGTGAGCATCCCTGGTATCTCTGTGTGTGTCCAAATTTCCTTTTCTTATGAAGACGCCAGTCAGATTGGAATAGGACCCAACATACTGCCCCAATTTTAACCTAATTGCCTCTTTAAAGGTCCTATCTCCAAATAAGGCCACACTTTGAGGTACTGGGGATTGGGACTGTAGGATACGAATTTGGATGGGAGACGTGAGGCAATGCAATTCAGCCCCTAACAGAGCTCATTTCTCTTCGGAATAGAGGAGCAAAGGGAAGATACACATTTATTTGTTCCCAAGATCTGCAGCAGAGCTGGAGGGAGCTCCCTCACATCGAAGGTGGCCCAGGCCCACTCACTCACACTAACCCATCCTTTCACACTATGTGGGAAAAAATATATCTACATAATATAGTTTGGATGCTTGTCCCCTCCAAATCTCATGTTGTAATATGATCCCAACGTTGGAGGTGGGCCCTGCTGGAAAGTGTTTGGGTCACAGGGGCGGGTACCTCATGAGTGGCTTGGTGCCCTCCCCACGGGAGTGAGTGAGTTCTCACTCTATTCACTCCCACAAGCGTTGGTTGTTTAAAAGAGCCTGAGCGCTCTCTTGCTCCCTCTCTCACCGTGTGACACACCTGCTCCTCCTTTACCTTCTACCATGAGTGAAAGCTTCCTGAGGCCTCCCCAGAAGCAGATGCTGGTGCAGACCATGAGACAAATAAACCTCTTTTCTTTATATATTACCCAGCCTCAGGTGTTCCTTTATAGCAATGCAGAATGGACTAATGCACGATAAAAGGGCCAAGAGCTAAAAAAAGCACAAACCCTTCTCCCACCTCCAGCTCCCTGAAAGAAGGTGATATCAACTAGCATAGCCGTGAGGGCCCAAGAGCCCCTAACCACTTGCATCTTCTCACCAGCACCCCCAGCCAGGAGACTCCTTGGTCTTGACACAGGACATTTTGGAGAGAGATAGGGCAGGGAGCTACCAGGTAGGGGAAGGACACTGGGGGCTGGAGCTCCCTCAAGAGGCTGGAGTGAATGACTGAGAGTCATTTTCTTAGGCTACACAGCAAAAAATTATTGAATCCATAAAGTAGGTAGATTGTTTTATTAAGAGTTCTGGGTCCCAAGAACATGGATTCACCATTAGAAAGTGAGACCAAGAGGAGAAAGAGTGTCTTCTCCTTCCATGCACTGCTCAGGGTGGACCCTTTGTGAGCTTTGGAAAAGAGGTGATTTGACTTTGCCAGTCTTCTGTGCCCTTTTCTAAAGCCCTTTCTCCTGGTGTTGCTCATTTTTGTTGAGACCCTCAAATGTCCCCACTTTCAAAATGAGTATGTCTGCTGTCTTCGCAGTCAAAATCCCCCATACCTCCATCCCACCCTGTTATAATTCCCACAGCCCCATGCCACCCTGTTATAATCCCCACGCCTCCATGCCACTGTTATAATCTCCACGCCTCCATGCAGCCCTGTTATAATCCCCACACCTCCATGTCACCATTATAATCCCCACGCCTCCATGCCGCCCTGTTATAATCCCCACACCTCCATGCTGTCCTGTTATAAGGAAAGGAGTCTGACTGAACCGAGCCCACCTCGTGATATGCCTGCAAACTACTCAGAAGTATTTCCATTGTCAAAGATATCTGAAAATGCGCATGAATCTACATAGGAGGAAATGAAGAAAGGACCATGAAATACTCACCTGTGCATTCCTGGAAGCAAACAGGCCTGGAATGCAATGAACACCTGTTGGTCTGAACTGAGCAAGGTCCACAGAGTGCATTCCTACAGGATGCTCCCCCAAGCACTCCCTGCCTTGGGCAGCTTTCTCCTTTCTCCCTGGCTGAAAGTAAAGATTATCGCAAAGCTCCAAGCAACCCTTCCAGTGGCAGCAGGTAGAAACAGGAGGATAGGCAGGAATGGAGGTATTCCATGTAAACCACGAATTGGCACATCTGACTTCTGCTCAAGCACCAAGCAGGTCTTAGGAGCTTTATGAATGCCAGCCCATTTAATCCTCAGGAGAATCCTGCAAAGTAAGAAGCAGAGGCACAGAGAGGTTCAATCCATTTTCCAAAGACAGAGGTATGATTCCAACCCAGGCCATGTGTTCCTGCCTCTTAGCCCCACACCTCTATGCCTTCGGTTTACAATCAAGGTTGAAAGTTTACAACCAATTATACAGGTAGAAATACAACTGTATCTCTATCAGTTTCGTAAGACCAAAGTAAGCAATAACGATGAATTGATCAATCAATGATTACTGAAAAGTTGCCACAAGGAAGACAATTGTCCCTGCACAGCATGTAGTTGAAGTCTCCTCGGGGGCTTCTCAGGCTCCAGGTACAGACAGAATCAAAATCACTGCTCCTGTGGAGGCCACTGCTAGTCCATGTGGCACCCACGTGCACTTAGAATAAGCCAACCTCTTCAGTGACTGCAGCCGTGCCCAGCTGAAGCTTCACAAGCAGATAGCAGGGTGGATTTTGAACCCATCGCCCCACAGCCAGATACCTTGTGCTCTTCACAGCTAAACAATCATGTCCTACAGCCTACTTCCACCCACCCTGGACAAAGCCTCACCTGGTTCTTCCTGCGAGGCTGGGGGGTGTTTCCGTGAAATTACAGTCTTCACTACCTGGTATTCTTCACATTCTTCTTAGACCGCTTTGCTCATGAATGCTGTCACGGGACTTCTCAAGGGCCTTCATGGCCTGGATCTGCATGATAATTGAGGAGGATGTGACTTGGATAGACTGTCTTGGGACTCTCAAAGCTGCATGTCCTTGAGGTGATGCTCAGACCTCTATATTCCTCAAGTGTCCTTCCTTCTTTCCTTTCCTCCCTCTCTTCTTCCTAATGAGTGCTTAGTCATTGACTATCTACTGTGCACATTGCATCCACTAAAGCCATGCTGTGCCCCATGCAGAAACAAGAATGGTCCTTTCCCTCACTTTGGGTCATGTTTGGCTACCCCAGAGGACTTCTCGTGCCTTCAAGACTCTCAGACTCTTGCTCCTTCACTTGTGCCTGAAGGCTCACTCTCCAGTGAGAGGCTCAGACTCACATTCCTGGTGCAGGGCCAGGGGACCTGTCTCCAGGACAAACATCACTGGCTGAGCTCACTACTTCATGTTCCTGTAGTCCTCTTTTCCTAAATAAAGACCATGCAAATCTACACTGACTCTGAGCTTGCCTCAGTGAGTTCATCAGATGCCCAGACACGTCTGTAAGCCCAGCTTCTGCTCAGTCTGGAGCCTCCACTACATGTGAAATGTTACATAATGAGATAAACAATAAATACTAGGTCTTCACACCAGTGGAGAAGACGTCCCAGGCAGTACAGAGTGGAGAAGAATTTCAAGGTTGAATGGTATCTTTGTGCCCAGGTTTCTGGGCTGTTCATTTCCTCCATGACGTGCAAGAGACAACAGGAACAAAAAGACCAGCCCACAACCCTAGAGACTGGCTTTGGACAACAGAAGAATCTTCCCACTGTTGCATTTCTGGTTATAAAGGCTGGTTAGGGAAGAAAATATCTGAGAATGTGATTCCACCAGGAGGAATTGCGATTCCAAAACTTCCACGTATACTTTATCTTGCAAAGGAGTGGAAAACCAACGCTGACGGTCTGAAGGAGGTTCAAACAGAGGATTCAGTTGAGACCATGGTCCTCCATCACCACAGACCTTCAGAACATGCTGTGCAGGGTGGTACTGCGGGTGGCCCTTCAGGGGACAAGGAAGTAGAGAGGTGACCAGCAGGGAATAAAGCAGAGCTCAAAAGAGGATGGAATCCCCAGGACCCAGGAGGTGGGTAGGAAAGAGACCAGAAGGACAGAGTCCCAGGGACTATTGAGGGGACTGGGGAGTAGTGATTGCTTTGTTGTACTCAGATAAAGGGCCTCTCTCATCAGAGCAAACAGGGAAAGGAACCTAACCCACCAACCCAGAGGCAGCGCAGGAGGGGAGTCACAAGGTGCTGGGCTTCAGGGCTGGCTGTGTGATGTATTAGCCGCGGGGTCATGGGCAAAATGCCCTCTTGAAGCCTCTGTCTTCTCAGCTATAAAATGGAGATTTTCGCTTGAGCCTGGGAGGCAGAGGTTGCGGTGAGCTGAGATTGCGTCACTGCACTCCAGTCTAGGTGAGAGAGTGAGACCCTTGTCTCAAAAAAATAAAATAAAATGGGGATTCTCCTCATTGTGATGAAGATTAATGAAAGTAACGTAGGCAAAGCTCTTAGTACAACTAGTGGTCCATGCTAGCTTTTGTTACCACAAGCTATTATTTACACTTACCTTCTTGCCGGATAGAAGGTGTTTTTTAAGCTTTTTTACCAATTTGGTTCAGTGTTCCAATAGTTCATCATTTCTTTGTTTAAAAATGAGTTATAATTAGTAGTCACCAAAAGAGTACAAAGGCATCCTGCCCAGTGTTACAGCTTTATTCTAGGCCTGTAGTCTTTACTGTAGAGGTTCTCAAAGCTGAGGGTTTAGACACCTTCCCAGAAGGAGACCTCACAGCTCCCTGTTCTCGGGGAGTTAAGGCTGCTGGATTAGGAAAACCATCCTTCCACACTTGCTCTGACAGCAGCGTCTCCTCCCATTGCTGAGCCCACAAGTCCCCGACACTTGTCCATCTCCACTGCAGCTGGGCAAGGGCCTGTGACCAGCCTGGTTTGGGAAAAAAACCTTCCAAGGAAAACTTCTGGGAGAGATTTTTCTCTCTGATTAAAACATGAGAGACACACAAGGAGGGTGCTTGTAGCCAGCCTTCCTTCCTGCCTTTCAACATTGTCCTGTGAGGGAACGATGTTCGAAACTACCCCTAGGATCATAAGGACAGCCACCTAGACATTGTCGAACAACAGAACAAACCCTGGACAACACTCCTCTGTGGACTTCTCCTTAAGGGAGCAAAATCATCCCCAGGTGTGTCAGTCACTTCAGTTGGATATGCTCTTACCTGCGGCGTCAGACATGCTCTCACTGTTTACGTGTCAGATACCTGTTTCTTGAGACTCTGTCTTCGCTGTTAAAAACATGGTGTGGCTTTGCTGTTTTCTGGCTATGTGACCTTAGAAGATCTACTCAATCACTCTGACCCCTAGTTTCTTCTTCTGTTAAATGAGGATCATAATAGGACCTACCTGGAAGGATTGCAAAAATAGAAATGCAAGCACGTAGACATCTGTAAGCACACACTCCCCAGCTAAGACATCTGTAGTTTGTAAGCCATTTGCACTTGACTCATGAGTGCTTCCAAGTGTTTGCACTGGAAACATCCTCTCTGAAGCCTTGTTTACATTGGTATTTTGCTTAACAAACCCTTTCATCACAGACTATGCAAATGGATATTATCTATTCCAGGCCAACGGAAAGACCCTACAGCAGAGCAGGGGAGACACCATATGCTTTGATTTTAAATACAATAGTAAAATTTCACAGAATAGTCGCAGAGATAGAGCTGGAAGACAATGCTGATCAGCCACCTAACAGGCAGTGGGAGCTAGACGCCCCAGACTGGGGACCCTGTCCTTATGACCTAGGCCGCAGAGGACGGATGAAGTCAGCTTCCTTTGCAGTTCCTGGGTTCTGAGCAGCGACTTTTCCCTCTTCTCAGATAACCGCAGAATGTCCGCATAGATGGACTAGTCACTAACTAAACTATAAACTGGGTGGCTTTGATCTTCACTTTTGTATTATCCCATGAATATTCACTAAACTCTAACAAGTAGCCTTGGGTTACGAGATCTTATTGTCCTCTAAAACACAACAAAAAGCATACTTTAAAAGAACTCAAAATACTTTGAAATCATCTTTAAACAAATCCATAAGATGTCCCTAGAAAGTTAATAAGCACTTAAGGTAAGGAATGCACTAAAAGGAACAATGAATACATTTTAACCTAAATAAACAACCCAGCATTGGAGTCAAGAGCAGGGCCTGGGAATCTCCACCCAACAGTAAAAGCTCAGTTTTCCCCTTCCACAGAAAACTTCTGGGAGAAATTTTTCTCTCCCACGGGAGGCTCCAGAAACAGGCCTTCCAAACAGAGAGAAAGAAATTCTGGTTTTCCTCCTCCTTCATTTTCACTGCCTAAGGCTTCCTCTCCAGGGCCGCAAAGATGAGGTAAGGACAACTTACCTGAGTCAGTCCCAGCTGGAGAACCAAGGTAACCCCCTAGAGAGGACACCCCTTGAGTACTGGACCTTACCCCCCACCATCAGGCTGCCTTTAGTTTCCTTCCTTCCTTCACGAGTCACATCTGGATAGACAAGATGGTCAGTAGTTGTTATTTTCCGTAAGTTCACCCACAACAGCTATTGCACATATTCTCCGTGTCGGGCACTGCTCTGAGTCCCTGCCCAAGTTATCACCTTCGGTCCTTATGAGAGGTGACAGCATGCTGGCAGCCCTCGCTTGCTCTCGATGCCTCCTCGGCGTCGGCACCCATTCTGGCCACGCTTGAGGAGCCCTTCAGCCCGCCCCTGCACTGTGGGAGCCCCTTCCTGGGATGGCCGAGGCTGGAGCCGGCTCCCTCAGCCTGCACGGAGGTGTGGCGGGAGAGGCACAGGCAGCAACTGCGGCTGCGCGCCGCGCTTGTGGGCCAGCTAGAGTTCCGGGTGGGAGTGGGTTTGGCAGCCCCGGGCAGCCGGCTGCCCCGCCGGCCCCAGGCAGTGAGGGGCTTAGCACCTGGACCAGCAGCTGCAGAGGGTGCGCCGGGTCCCCCAGCAGTGCCGGCCCAGCGGCGCTGCGCTCGATTTCTCGCCGGGCCTTAGCTGCCTCCCCGCAGGGCAGGGCTCCGGACCTGCAGCCTGCCATGCCTGAGCCTCCCGGACGAGTGCAGCCCCCTGCTCCACAGCCCCCGGTCCCATGGATCGCCCAAGGGCTGAGAAGTGCGGGCGCACAGTGCGGGACTGGCAGGCAGTTCCACCTGCTGCCCCAGTGCGGTATCCACTGGGTGAAGCCAGCTGGGTTCCTGAGTCTGGTGGGGACTTGGAGAACCTTTATGTCTAGCTAAGGGATTATAAATACACCAATTGGCACTCTATATCTAGCTCAAGGTTTGTAAACACACCAATCAGCACCCTCTGTCTAGCTCAGGGTTTGTGAATGCACCAATCGACACTCTGTATCTAGCTACTCTGGTGGGGACTTGGGGAAACTTTATGTCTAGGGATTGCAAATACACCAGTCGGCACTCTGTATCTAGCTGCTCTGATGGGGACTTGGAGAAACTTTGTGTCTACACTCCATATCTAGCTAATCTAGTGGGGAGGTGGATAACTTTTGTGGCTAGCTCAGGGATTGTAAACGCACCAATCAGCACCCTGTCAAAACGGACCAATCAGCTCTCTGTAAAACAGGCCAATCGGCTCTCTGTAAAATGGACCAATCAGCAGGATGTGGGTGGGGCCAGATAAGAGAATACAAGCACACTGCGGGAGCCAGCAGTGGCAACCCGCTGGGTCCCCTTCAACATTGTGGAAGCTTTGTTTTTTTGCTCTTTGCTATAAATCTTGCTACTGCTCACTCTTTGGATCCACACTGCCTTTATGAGCTGTAACATTCACTGCAAAGGTCTGCAGTTTGACTCCTGAAGCCAGCAAGACTACGAACCCACCGGGAGGAAGGAACAACCCCAGACGCGCTGCCTTAAGAGCTGTCACACTCACCGGGAAGGTCTGTAGAGTCACTCCTGAAGTTAGTGAGACCACAAACCCACCAGGAGGAGGAAACTCCGAACACAGCTGAACATTAGAAGGAACAAAGTCCAGACATGCCACCTTTAAGAATTGTAACACTCACCGTGAGGGTCGGCGGCTTCATTAAGTCAGTGAGACCAAGAACACACCAATTCCGAACACACTTACAGAATTTCTGTGTGACTGGGTGGGGATGGTCATTGCTATTTTACACATGAAAAACGAAGACTTGTGGAGGATAAACAACCTGCTAGAGTCGCACAATTCAGTCCAGTGCTGCTACCGTCCCGGTTTCGTTACGAGGAGTCCCCGCATGGAAAGCAAGGCTCTCCTTCTCTCCTAAGAACCCCCATCTACCTTCAGGGCCAGTCCTGCCCTCCCTTGGGAAGAAGCTGCTTCGGCATGTTTCTGAGCTCCTCATCGTGTGAAAAGCATCCACTAGCGCTGGCTGGATGGAGGCTGAGGCTCGTTTTCACCTGCATGAGAGGATAGCTGCCTCCAAGGACCGGGAGGATGCGTGCTGCACGTGGTGCCTGGGCCACAGGCACGCTGAGGCAGCTCCCAGTTTCTACTTCACTCCCAGCAAACACGGGCAAAAGCCCTATCACAGTGTATTTTCTTCTTCCCCTGCCTCCCATATGCTCAACATACCTACCTTTTGTCTTGTTTTAGAGGAAAATAAGATTGTATAACCCAAGACTACTTGTTAGAGTCTGCCTTCCAGAGCTCTTCCAAGCCAACCTTGGTGAATGGGAGTGACAAGATACCAAGTGAATAATGTTACCAAAGTCCTAAAGGGAAGAGGGGACTCTCCACAGTCTTCCCTTAGTGAGTTATCAAGTTCATCACCAGCTCACTGCTCTTCTGGAAAATCAGCAAAATTGCTGTAAATGTACTTTAAAATACTTAAAATGTCTTTCTAAGCAATAAAATATCACTACTTAGAAAGTAAGTGTCTTTGTGCTGTTATTGAGAAGTAAATAAACAGGCAGTTTGATAGAAATAAGATTTACACATAGGTAGTAACTAGACCTCACATTTGGGTATTGCTTTTTTCCTACTTCCTTTTCATCATAGATACTAGGATTATAGATTTAATTTATTATACCTAAAATAAGCCTTGCAACAGGAAATATTCATTAAGGATTTAAATGCCTTCATATGCTTTCCTACTGTTCACCTGCTTGATCTGAGGCCACGCCTTTCTATTTCAGAAAGAAGGAATAAAAAAACCACTTACCCTCTAAGATATTTAATTTAAGATCATTTGAATTGTATTAGTTTTAGAAAGGGGACTTTTACTCTGTTTCCAAAAACCGAGTGAGTGCAGAGAATGTGTCCACTGAGTGAGATCACACAGAAGGGAGAGACTGGGATCCTATTACAATCTTGGGTTGGCCTAGATTCATCAGTTCAATGCATATAATAGCTTTGGGACTTGGGACAAGTCAAGTATCTCAGGGGCTCATTTTTCCTTATTTTACACATTCGACAAATATGTATGGAGTGCTTACTAAACAAAACAAAGAGGTCTTACCAGATGACCCTCAAAGTCTCTTTCAAACCTAAAGCTCTGTGAACCTCTTCTGTGAGTTGGGATAGTCTAGAGTCTATACCAATGCCACACAAGTATCACTTTAATAAATTGTTGTTCAGTTCTTTGGTACATAGTGAGCTGCGAGTGCTGACTACTGTGCTAAGTCGAGCAGGAGAATTTTTAAGATAAGAGCCTCAGTGTCTCTTACTATCCTGTTGGGAAAATAATATGTTCTCAAAAAAACAAAAAAAAACAAAAAAAACAGTAATTTCCAGTGTTGTAGGAGGTCAATAAAGGGAGAGGGCAGCCGGAAAGGGAGTAATAAAGAAAAATTCCCCAAAGGAAATGGCACAGAAATCAAACCTTGATGGGTGAAAAGAATTGTGGAAGAGGAAAGGAAAGGCATCCCCATCAAGGGCTGAAGGAGCACAGCACTCGAGCTGAGCAGAGAGCAAGTCAGCCCTGTGAAACAGAAGCCCTGCGGGAAGGAGGGAATGTATCGAAGGCCATTTGCAGTTGCAATGCAATTCTCCTGCTAACTGCCTGGAGTTAGGCCAAACTTCATAGCCCTGCACAAGGCTGCCCTCACTTCACATGCCAGCTGCAGGCTCTGGGGTGCCCAGGCCACCTGCACGTCTGACCAACTAGCTACAAATTCAGGGCTGCCCTTGACCCCCTCAGGTTTGATAATTGACCAGAATGACTCAAATAATTCAAGAAAGTGCTGTTCTTATGACAACAGTCATTAGAAAGGATGCAACTCAGGAGGCAGCCCAATGAAGAGACACACAGGGAGGTCTGCGAGTGTCACAAATCTCAGGATGCATTGCTCTTCTGGCATGTCAATATGAATCATCAACCAGGAAAGCTCACTTGAGCTTCAGATGTCCAGAGTTTTTACTGGGGCCTCATTGAATGAAGGATTGATTGAAGCACTGGCCATGTGATTGAACTCAATCTCCAGCCTCTCTCCCTCCCCAGAGGTCAAGGGGTCACTGATACCACATGGCTCAAAACCCCAGCCCTCTAATCACATTGTTGGTCTTTAGAGCATGCCAGTCCCCGTCTTGAAACTGTCCAGTGATGCTCCATGAGTCAGCTTGTTGGCATAAACTCAAGCATGGTCTAAGGGCCCCACCACGAATAACAAGGACACTCCCATCACTGAGGAAATTACAAAGGTTTAGAGGCTTCCTCCAAGAAACCGGAGAAAACGACCAGCCAAATCATTTCTTATACAACAATAGTCGACTGGAAGTTAGTAGTAGTTGGGGGGCTCAAGAAACTAAGGACATAGTAGAAACATTAAGAACTTCTTTAATCTAGAAAAAAAAAGTGTATTTAAATACATAGAGTACTCTTTAGCCAAACATAAGAGAAGAAAATTAAAATTCTCTAGGAATATTATATTGTAATCCATAAAAAATAATTACAATTAAAATTATGAGATTTTTAAGGACTGCATGAAAGAAACAAAAAGGCAAGACCTTAAAACATTGATTTTTTTTAAAGATAGGGATTTAGAAAAAAATGGGAACTGGAAATATAAAGGTATACTAAATGAAAGGAACCCAAAATATGTGATAGCAACTAGATAATCTATTTTAAGCCATAGTTTCATAACTTCAAAGGGGCAGGTGAGGCCCAGGGTCTGAGGGCAGGAAGCAGGAAGGATATGTGACCAGGATTTACACTCTCCACAGGAAGACCCACTCCTGTGTTCAGAGTTCCCTTCCAAGCCTTTAATGATCAATTTTACTTTGGAAATTTTTATAAAAAATTGTCTCGGCCGGGCGCGGTGGCTCACACCTGTAATCCCAGCATTTGGGGAGGCCAAGGTGGGCGGATCACGAGGTCAGGAGATCGAGACCATCTTGGCTAACACGGTGAAACTCCGTCTCTACTAAAATTACAAAAAATTAGCCGGGCGCGGTGGCGGGCGCCTGTGGTCCCAGCTACTCAGGAGGCTGAGGCAAGAGAACAGCGTGAACCCAGGAGGTGGAGCTTGCAGTGAGCCGAGATCATGCCACTGCAGTCTGGCCTGGGTGACAGAACGAGACTCCATCTCAAAAAAAAAAAAAAGTTTTCTCAAGAAATGGAGAATCCACTTTGTCTTCCAAGGGATGATCATCTTCCCTTCCACTTCTGCAGACCCTAGCCACAGTGATGTGGCTATGAGAGCGGGGAGGGCAAGAAGGGGACAGGACCCAGAATGTTTAGGAAGCACGGATCAGGGGACACTACATGAGGAAGAAGAAAATTAAACAAGGGATGGCTTTAGTTTCTGGCTTAGCTGACTGTGTGGACAAATAATGATTCCATTAACCAAGATGAAAAATGTTAAGAAGAGGAGCAAATATCAAGGTCAATCTTAGAACAGGATTTTGAGACATCCACATGGAGATGGACAGGAAGCAATTAGAAAGACAAATCTGGGTGCCAGGGGTCCACATCGTCGTCTGTTTTTAACTACTTACATGGAAACTCTTTAAATTTAAAACAGGCCCTTTCAGCTGGACGAAAGGCTGCTATCCCAAGTTTAATTATTTGTATTTATATTTACATGTGTTTGTGTCTGTGTGAGGGCGGAGTGGATGGATGGATGGATGGATGGCTGGATGGATGGATGATGGGTGGATGGATGGATGTTGGATAGATAGGTAAACAGGTTAGTGTAGTAGCTACCACCTTTGTCATCAGAATTTTTATCAGCCAACTTAACACAAATTCTTTCTGGGTTTCTGTCTGTAGTAAAACATTTGCATTACTTCCAAATTTATCAAATAGCAAAGAAAACTGACAACTAGAAGGAAATTAATCTTTATGAAATTCCACTTCTGTCAGGCATTTATTCTTGAGCCATCTCATTTAATCTTCATGATGACCCTGAAAATCAGCCTATAAATCCTATTTTCTCATGTAAGGAAAACCGGCGTCTGGAGGGTTCTGCTCCAAGTCCCAGGACCAATGAGTGTCACAGCCAGACCTGAAATCCAGCAGGGGAGGGATGGCCAGGATGGGGAGCGTCAGACAGGCAGGTAGTCCTTGCAGCCCTTCTAGTCCAGTGGGAGTTTTGAGACTGAGGTGAGTGATATGATATTTGAATGAGATAAAAATATCAGAGAACAGAAGGAAGGGATGCCAAAGTGGACATACGAAGGCTGTCGAGAGAGCACTGAGGTGAGCCCAAACGGAGACAAGCCTGCTTGCATGGGCAGCCATGGAGGAGGAAAGAGCAGACAGAGATCATTAGAATATGAAATGGAGGCCCTGTATCTCCCCACCTGCCTGTCCCCTTCACCACATGCTACTGTCTCCCAATGGCTCCCACCTCCAATGCATTGATTTCCAGTCCTCCCACGGCCATCCTACCATAGTTAGGCCTTGTTTGCAATTCTTCAGAAGGTCATCATCACCTTCATAGAAAGTCTGAGGCTTTAGCATAGCACCGAGGCCCATGGGACCTCCGATTCCCCTGGCCGCTCCATTTCCTGCTGCCACTGCCAAGCACACTGTGCTCTCATGGCTGGTCCTGACATGCCTGGCTTTCTTAGTTCTCCGTGTCTCTGCACATGTTCCCTTAGCCTCAAATGTCACCACCTGCTTTTCATGTCAGTGCCCTCTTCTCATTTAAATTTCAGCTCAAGAAACTAAAATGTGGCTTTCTATGAAAAGATCTCACTGACAAGCCCAGCCCTCACAGACACACACAGGCACATGCACACACACGTGCATCTGTGCACATATGGACATGCCTCTGAGCCCACTTCTCTTGATAAACTCATTGCACCAAATTTTTGTCATGCTGAGTTTTTACAGTTGGACAGGAACTATAGTTTTTCCTGCTTGTGCCTAAAGTGTGTAACATGCTATGTTTTCAATACATATTTGAGAAAGATGGCAGGGACAGAGGATGGAAACAGGGGAAGGAAAGAGAAAATGACTTAGCAGAGAGAACAGCAGTCCTCTCCTGAATCCAAGTTGAGGCCTCACCTGGACCCCATCCCCACTAACGGCAAACCTTACGTCCTCAATCACTAGAAGCCAATTTTAAAAATTTTTAACTATTTTTCATGCGTTGCTTTTTATAATGTAATTGCAAGCACTATAAAATTGTATCATTATTTTCCATTGCAATATGAGTCAAAATATGAGTTAAAGGGTTTTTGTAGCCTCATCTAGGCATCTGACCTTCATGGTGACAATTACTAAATCATGGTAAAAATCATAAATATATAATAATTATAAAGAATTATAAAACAAATGAGTCCTGAGTTCCCATTAGCAGACTTACAAATTTACTCCAAGCAGGTGAATTAGGAGCAGCACAGTCGCTGGCCTTGGAGAAGTCCCTCCATTTCCTGTGACTTCACTCACCCATCCACAGAGCAAAAGGAGTGAAGACTCACCATTGGAAGGGCTTTGGGAAGCTGAGTTGCTCACTGATGTTTCTGCTTCCATTTTTTATTTTTATTTTATTTCATTTTGTTTATTTATTTATTTATTGCAACAAGGTCTCTCTCTGTTGCCCAGGCTGGAGTGTAGAGCCATGATTACAGCTCATTCCACCTCCTAGGCTCAAGTGATCTTCCCACCTCAGCCTCCTGAGTAGCTGGAACCACAGGCACACATCACCACGCCCGGCTAATTTTTGTATTTTTTGTAGAGACGGGATTTTGCATGTTGCTCAAGGTGGTCTCGAGCTCCTGGACTTAAGTAATCTGCTCACCTCAGCCTCCCAAAGCACTGGGATTACAGACGTATAAGCCACCGCACCCAGCCCGCTTCCATTTTTATAACCCCTCATCATGAAGCCACCTGACTCCCGTAGATCTTACTGTCCCCTGACAAGAGTGAGACCCTCAGAGTTCCCGGGTGCTAGCACATCACAGCCCACAGAAGGGCTGGCGAGGGTGGGCTCAGGGCAGGGGCCTTGGGAGCTGCAGCCCAGCTGGCTCAAGGTTATTCTGGGGCAGGAGGAATGGCTCCCCACAAGACTGGAGTGGGAAGTGGGGCTGACGGAAGGGCTCATAGGTGCCTGGTCCTGGGAAGCCCCAGGCACACAGCAGGAGCCAGCAGAGCCTCTCCCTCCTGGCTGGGGCCTGGCTGGGCAGCAGCTGTCCTGAGCTCTTCTTCCCACTTACCTCGCCTCACTCTACTCTCTCTCACCCTGACCCGTGGAAGCAAACAACAGCGCCTCCCAGAGGAAGTGAAATAAAAGGACTTTGTTGGAGACTGAGGACAGAGGAAGCCACTCCAGGAGTAAACAGGTCACGGAGAAAGGGATGGTAAAGAAGCGAGATCGTGTGAGTGCGAAGACTTTATTCTCACACTTCTGCTACCATGATCTGGGCTCTAGGGAGGAACACATGAACGTTCCTAAGCCATTTCCACCAAACACACTCACATGTGAAATGGTTCAAGTGCAACGAAGTGTCATCCACGTTCAGTGATAGCTAATGTATAACAACATTTCCAGCATTTGCCATTTGCCTGCTCTGGCAAAAACTCTCATGATATTTGCTCATAGATAAAAAATAAAGAAGGCTCCAAATTATTTATTTTCCTACCCCTTTGTTTGCCAAACATTGGGCTAAATATTACTTCACATATATTATGTTGTTCTGGTGCAACATTATTCCCTTTCTTTTGATGAGGAAATGGAAATTCAAAGGCATTAAGTAACTTTTTCCAAACAACACAACTTGTCAATAGCAGGGTGTGGATGCACACAAGGGCCTCTGTCTCCCCAGGAACTCCCAGACGGACATGCACCGTGGCTCACAGTGGTGCCGGGGACACGTGGACCAGCACAACTTGGAGTGTCATATGAGTAAACATTTATTATATGTTTATGCTTTAACTCATTATGGCAAATGAGATTACTTTTCCATTTGCAGTATGATATAAGTTTTTCTTTAAAAAGAAGCCTTTATTTAATTTTTCTTTACATTTAAGAAAAACATCAAGAAGTTATACAAATGACTGACACTGGCCAGCCCTACACTACCTCACCTGCCCTGGCCCCAATATCAAGCATAGGCTTTGATGTTTCAGCAGTAGCTTCCCATGGCTTCTGAGCATTTACAGCATTATGCAGCTTGGTGCTTGTCAGTAATCCCCATCACCCTGAATGACAACCTGTAGTTCCTACACACAAGGCAGATATCTAAGCTACCTCGGAAATAGCTCCACATACTCACTATGAATTATGCTTATTCGGGCCACCCAAGGCTGGGAAACCTCAGAGTTATCCAGAACCAATGCTTTACAATGTGAATAGAAAACAAAGGAGGCTGAGTCAGAAGCATCCACACAGCCAGCACCTTCTCCCCATGCAGGCAGCACTCAGAACCACACGGTGGGGTAGGGGGGGTGGGGGGGAAGGGGGCACAGGAGGGTGGGCGGACTGGGCCCCAGAGGGACACCCAATGGCTAATTGGGCAACTGGGTCCCTGAGTCCTGACCCTCTCAGTAAGTAAAAGCTGAGTTAATAGATCAGTGAGAATTCGCTGATGAGTCACCCAACAATTTCCATTTGTCGATTACCATAAGGCCAGCATTAAGCTTAGTGCTTAGTAAATACATAAAGAATAATCCTGGTTCCTGATTTCAAGGGGCTTTCACCCAAGTGGAAGAATAAAAGTTAACTAACAAACTAAGTAAGAGAAATGTGCTAGAAAAATGAGAAGGAATAAGAGAAAGAACAAGAGAAGGAGGAAAGGCCTGTGAAAGAACTGGCTGGGGGAGGGGAGAGGTCACTTCCAGCTAGAGCACTCCAGGATGGTCTAAGGGAGAGATGAATCTGAGCTGAGTCTTAAAAGATGGCACAGTTTACACAGGTGGAGGCGGAGTGGAGGGTGAACTGCATCTGGGGTTGCTACAGGCTTGCAGTTGGAGTCTGGACCTACCTTAAAAGCCCCCAAACCAGGGGCATGAGTCCAAGAGAGCAGATACCTTAATAAGTCATGCATTTTAAGTATCTTAAGCAACCGAGCTTTCCTCGTACCCTTGGGGAAAATAACCCTTAAATCCTACTCATATATTTATATTTTCAGTCAGTGAAAATAACCACCTTTAGCTAAAAGTGACCCTGAGATTCAAGAACAGAAAAACATCTCTTGGTTTGCCGTACGGTTTTTGTTTTGTCTTGTTTGTTGGTTTGTTGAGACGAAGTCTCACTCTGTCGCCCAGGTTGGAGTACAGAGGCGTGATTTTGGCTCACTGCAACCTCCACTTCCCTGGTTCAAGCAATTCTCCTGCGTCAACCTCCTGAGTAGCTGGGATTACAGGCGTGCACCACCACACCTGGCTAATTTTTTGTATTTTTAGTAGAGAGGGGTTTCACCATGTTGGCCAGGGTGGTCTCGAACTCCTGACCTCAAGTGATCCGCCCGCCTCGGCCTCCCAAAGTGCTGGGATTATAGGTGTGAGCCACTGTACCTGGCTGTGCTGTACGTATTTGTTAGCTAAAACCACCACACAGACTCACACACAAGAACTTCATAACTAAACTACTGAGAGCAAATCCCGCTCAGCAGTCAGTCACACCTTCTATCGAGACATGTCAGCACTCAACAGTCACCAAGTGGGATCCTCCTGAGTCTGCCGGGGCAGGCGGAGGAGTCCCAGAGCCAGGGAAGGCACTGCTTCGAAGAGTTCTGTTGGCAGCAATTCATGCAAAGGTGCCAGCAAGAAAGCATGGGGACTGTGCATGCCATTATCATATTTTGAATCAAAATAAAATGTGCCCATCAAATGTCTCCCTCAGAAGCAAACACACTGATGCTAATGCACAATCTGATATTTCCTCAGAATCAATAACATCTCTGCTTCTAGGTCTTTGTTACTGTAAATCTTGACAAGATTTTGTCAAGTGATCTTCAAAAGGCCAGAGCCAAGACTGACCACGGCCCGATGATTTGGAGGGACATGCCTCAGGCTGACCACTAGGTCTCATGGACTGGCATGCCTGTATGGTAAGTTAGTGACGAGAAACTGACTCGAGTTGATGAGATGGACGCCTCCAGGGACTTATGAGAGCAGGAACATAGGTACACAGAGGGGAATTCTGCTGGGAAGCCAAAAACACTGTATTCTCTGAGGACAGGGAAGATGGGAAATGGAGGCCTTTGCTCTCCCTCAGGAGGAGGCACCCCATGATGCCACAGGCCCCAGAGCAGCCCTGGAGTGAGGTGGAAACACACCATGGCTCACGTGCCACATGAACATGACCTGGGGCAGCCACAGCAAAGCAGGTGACACGGCGACCTGCCTTCTAAAAGCTCAGGTGAGGAAGCTTAGGTGGTGCACGTGGTGGCAATGGAAGCCTCCGGGGTAGCGGGAAGGGCAGGGTTGGCTCTCCATACTGCCCCACAGCCCAATGAGCTCCAGATCCAAGACAAGCTCCCCTGTGTCCTTACCTTCCTGCACTCATTTCTCTCCGGCCCACCAGCCACCAGGGAGCTCCTGGGCTCCTGCCCTTCTTCGCCCACATCAGGCAGGCATGTCTGAGCTTCCCTTTTCCATATCCCGCAACCCTCCATCCCACTCTTCTTACCACTGCCCTGCTTCATCCCCTAGAATCCCACAGGCACTTCCTACCCTCTCCCTGGCTCTGGTCTCTAACATCTCTCAAAATCCTGCCACCCACACTGCAGCCAGCGTGGTCCCTGCACAGGACAAATCTGCCTGGTCTCTCCTTCCTCCACAGCTCTCTGGGGGCACCGCATTGCCTGCCCTGAAAAGTCGATGCTTCACTGTGGTGAGAAACGGGACTTGTAAGGCTGTGCATTGCACCAGGCAGTGCATTTGGCTCAGATGCCCTGCAGGTGTGTGAGTCATTCACCGTTCCTGTTCATTAAGACAGCCGCTGTCTCACACAGGCTGAGCCATCCTATTGGGTCTGCTAGGAGGAGAAACCACCCAATAACATGTACCAATCACCTCGACCACCCTGGGTGGTTCTTCCATTCCTTAATCAGAAGCAAGTTTGCCAAACAGTGACTCCACTGAGTGTTTGTCCCATGAAAATTTGCCTTGTACTGTAATAAATAATTTGCTCCTTTTTGCACCCAAAATATCAACCATTAATCCTCAAAGCATAATCCTGGGTCTGTCATCACTGGAATCACGTGAGGGCTTGCAGAGATGTAGATTCCTGGGTTGCCTTCAGCCTTTTTGACCCAGCATCACTAGGCACCAGGCCCAGGAATCTCCATATTTACTGAGTCCTATTTTTTAGCACATACTAAAGTTTGGTATCATGGATATGTCTCCCTAAAGTATAATGTGAGCTTACCCATTTGTATTTCTGCCTACATGCTTTGAAGTGGAAAGCGTTCAAGAGCTTTGAACTGCACTGGCCGGCCGCAGATCAGAGCACCACCGTGCTCAGGCACTGCCCACAGGCCCTGGACTGCTTTCTCCTTTACTACAGCATGTGGGGTCCCTCGGAGGAGGAGAGCGTGAGGCAGGACCCAGCCAGCTACCTGCGTGTGCCATTTCAAGAGACCCGAGCTACATTTTGTGAAAGGGCATCATGAATTGTGTCAGGCGTATAGAATGATCTATTGTAGCATTTTAACATTAACAATCCCAGGACAAACCTGGGGCTCATTGAAGGCACTGTAATGAGAAGCCTTCGCATTCAAAGACTATGAGACCACCAATTAGATTCCAAACAGTAGACAAAGGCACAGTATCAAACGTGGGTAGGCTGTTCTGCCAGAATCTGGCTTTTCATACTTTTCAGCTCATCGACGTGGCTTTGCCCAGCTCCACTCTATTTGCTGTGGAAATTCCTGCTTTTGGGATCAAACTCCTACTGTTTTGTTTTGTTTGTTTTTAGAGACAGGGTCTTCGTCTGTCACACAGGCTGGAGTCCAGTGGCACGATCTCGGCTCACTGTTGCCTCAACTGCCTGGGCTTAAGTGATCCTCCCGCCTGAGCCTCCCAAGTAGCTGGGACTACAGGCATGAGCCACAGTGCCCAGCTAATTTATTTTTTATTTATTTTATAGAGACAGGGTCTCCCTATACTATCAAGGCTGGTCTCAAACTCCTGGCCTCAAGTGATCTTCTGGCCTCAGCCTCCCAAAGTGCTGGGATTACAGGCATGAGCCACCTTGCCCAGCCAAGTGTTTTTAATAATTTCCCCAAAACTGAAATACCAGACTCTGTTGCCTTCTTTGGAAAGGGTTAGGGAATAGAGTAGGAAGGTGTGTTGAGTGATTGTGGAGGATGCAAACAGGGACACTGGCCCCAGGGTCGAGGCAGTAAGAGAAAGATACGTGTTTGTGCCAGCGCAAGGCTGAACACGCTTACAGCGTGATTTCACGTGCACCATTCCATTCGGGTATCACCACAACCATGTTGTGATGTAGGACGGACAGCATCTAACATAAAGGACGTGTCTTTATGTCCTGGGGGAAGACAGCTGGTTTCCAGGCAAGGGCTTGGCCTGGGGTCTCACAGTGGTGGGACCGCGGTTCTGGGGCCTCAATTTCACCAGGGTGATCAGCCATGGGAGAGGGGGCGATTCACTGGCCTCAGGTTTGCGGACACTTGGGATATATCGGCTGCCGTTCCAGGGAGTCTTGAACATCTGTTTTCCTGAGTCTTTGTTTTTTTCTGTGTCTCCCCAGACATTCTCCATACTCCTCTGCAAGAAACAGAGCAGAAAGGTCCTCGAAGTGCAAGCACATGCCCTGGGTTCCTGAGAATGCAGCAAGAAGCAGGGAATTGTTTTCTTCCATTAAGCCCTGCCCTGAGCAGAAAGAAATCATCTCTAAGCTCCTGTCTTGGGTGACATGTTCCCTGACACAGGGTTGCTTTTCCTCACCTGTCTAAACTAAGTAAAGAGGATCCAATATCCACTCAACGCTGATCTTTTCAGCAGATACTCAAAGGATAAAGCAAGGATAATTTATTCTTCTGTTTAATCCCATAGAGTGGATTGTGAACTTCCAAACAGAGAGACATTCTTCTGAGAAGAGAGCCCCCTTATCAGTTTGGCCCTGTCCAAAATGATAACTCCACGTTGCCTTTGCCTGCAGGAAGTATTTGTCCTCTGTCAATAACTAATTGTCAGGATTGCATTTGCCTCTGTAGAAGGGAAATCTGAAAAACATTTACATAAACATAAACAAAAACATTTAGAGCCCAGGCTTCTAAATGCATGTGGGTTACAACCAACTTCCCACTTTAATTATGCTCCCAGTATAACCCTAAGAGCAGAGGGGAAGGCGGCCGTCCTTCCCTTCATTTGGCTCTTCTTGGGTGAGAAGCTCTTAAGAAAAAGAAACAGACATCCCCAGTTTATTTCTTGAAGCTATTTCTTTTGTAAGGCGTAATATCCAGGTGGGTTTTGCATACTTCATGAACAGAACATTTAAGTTGCTCTTAAATTGAATTTATAGCACAATTTTTATATATAACCACAGATTATTTGTTTGTTTGTTCAAGCTAAAATTAAAGCTGGCCGTCTACATAAACCGTCCATGGAGCGGCAAGGATTTGCGCTCTGCCGCCTGCCCAAGAGTTCCACCGGAGACCAGATACCAAGACAAACCAGCAATTTGGTGTGGCTGCGCGTGCACTCATTTCCCTGCCTGAGTACTCTGAGGTCATTAAGGGGTGCTGGGTTCTTTAGAAAGACATTCTCATTAAGTGAATGGTGTTGAACTGCAGTTTCATAGCAGCCTAGGCATAGGCGTCCATGACACACACACACACACACACACACTGACACACAAAAACACACACACACACAAAAACACACAAACACACACAAAAACACACTCACAAACACACACACACAACACACACACACACAAACACAAAATGATTATTATATTTACTTATACAAGTTATATTTAAACTATGCCTACATACAGTATATATGTTGCAAAACTATTCCCCCCTAGAGGCCAAGGAGGTTGTCTTTCTCATCTTTAAATTCCTAGAAGTGAGTATTTAGTTAAAAGTTACCAGCATATTTGGCTCCAGTTATATTATCCTTGATTTCTGAATTTATTCATTCCGACATATCTACTGGGCACCTCTTGTGTTCTAGACAATCTACAAAGCATATGGGTACCAAGACAGCCTTCTCAAGGAATATTCCATCTACCAAATTGAATATTTTGATCTTACAAATGAATTCATAAGGGATTATGGATATTAAAGAAGGGTTAAAGATCAGTAGAAAAGTCCAAGTATTTTTTACTTTGAACATAACCCCCTAAGTTTATACTGTTTGCTCAGAAAAAAAAGTAATAACAATGGCCTCTAAATCCTTCCCTTCTTGTCTATTTGTTTTTTAACTCTTCACTGGAGTGTGAAACCCTTGAGGGCAGAAACTCAGGCCCAGTGGCTTCTGCAGCTCCAGCTCCTGGCACCTGGCAGGCACTCGCTGCTGACAACCTGACCGACTTACTAAATAAACCAATATCGAGATTTTCATGAGATACCAGGACACAAGCTTCTAAAAATGTTCAGCATTCAAAATATCAGAATAAGAGGTAGGATGCTCCAAAGAAATAAATCAGCCTTCCCTATCCGCAGCCCCGCCCCTGAGAGAGATGTGCCATGGGAAAGAAGAGCTTCCAACACTGGGAAAACTGCTCACCCTGGCACTGAAATACAGGAATTCTAGGAATCCCTGCATTTCATGAACACTCTGAATTTTTGAAATAAATAACGTGAATGATGACAACACAAGCCATACATACTGGCACTCACATGCAAGCCCCAGGCGGGGGCTGCATGGCAGAGCTGCAGGCCAGTTGGAAATATGAATGACTGCGCTTCTGATGTGTTTTTTAGGCTGCTAATTTTTACAGCCAAGAGATTTGCTATTATAAGTTCACTTCAACGTGGCTGAAAGGAATGGAAATGAATTGGCAGATGTTACAGGTTGTCTTTACCTTTAATCTGTATTCGTAACTACACCCTGGACTGAGACCCCTTTAAGATACTACATTGATCCAAGGTAAAAAGTAATATACTGCAGGTCCTCAAATAACATCGTGTCATTCAATGTCATTTCATTATAATATTGGTGAGAAAAAAAAAACTGATTCCAGCTGGGGTCACTGTCAGTGTGGTGTGTGCAGTTCTCCCCATGTCTGTGTGGGTTTTCTCTGAGTACTCCCATTTCCTCCCACATCCCAAAGCTGTGCACATTAGGTTCATTGGTCCCAGTCTGAGTGAGTGTGGGTGTGTGAGAGTGTGTGTACCCTGCAATGGGATGGCATCCTGGCCAGGACTCATTCCCCCCTTGCACCTTGACTCTGAGCTGGAATAAGTGTGTTAGAAAATGAATAAGTGAATGAATGAATGAAAAAAATTTCACAAATTCTTGTAAAATAAAAATGCATCAAGTCTACAATAACCACACAGATGATGCACAACAATAAACAATGAGGTCTGAAAGAGCTCAACAAGCCCCTCGTATTCATGATGGCTTGTTTTTGCGCTGCAAAGAGGTGCTCCTTACAAGTTTTGCTTTGCAAATATTTCTTCCTTAGTTTAACCAACTACCACTATGACCACCGTCACTCACTGTTGCAGCAAAACTCGGGTATATTCTCTTATTTGTCTTTATTAATTTTTCTTAAATGTATAGCTCACATTTATTTCAACGTTTAATACTTGCAGTGTTTTGGGTCTTTATTTAGAAGTTTGGTGATGTTTTTGTGAACAGAAATGTGTCCTAGGAATTTCACTCGTTTATATCAGATTAACTGATTTTATTTAAGGTTAGATTTATTGTATGTTATTTTGCTTAAAGTCACGGTTTCCAAGAATCTATTGGTGACCTTAAGTGAGGACTTACTGTACGTGAAGCTATTCATTTGTAAACCTTCAGTGATGATGGAGAAACAGAGTCCTGAAGGAAGGACAGCTGGATTCCTGCACCACCCGGAACCATCCTTTGTATCCATATCTGCGAGTATATAGTACCCAATGGAACAGTAATTAATGGTAGCTAGCTCATGCCTAACTATTGTCTTCTCATTTTGAAGACAGGGAGAATTAAATTGTTTAGCCCTTCTTTTATAGGTAGGACCGAGAGGCTCCATATAGCCAACGAGTTGTGATGAATAGTGACTGAAGTGCTTCATCGATGATGGAAGATGCTCCATTGCTCAGTTTCCTTTTCGTGGGACCTCAACACTTGACTTGGCAGCAGTGTCATCATCCAGGGTCCCTGAGAAACGACAGTGAGCAGAGCATCACACATATGTGAGACAAGTACACAGTGTGGATGAGAAATACAGAGATTTTGTAAAGCTGCTGAAATTGGAGGCTCTTTGGTGTTTGTTATTGCAGCGTAATCCACCTGACCCTGCCTGATATGCTAGGTTGCTAGCAGAGCGAAAGAAGTGGATAGGGCCAAAGGAAGGCTAAGTCCCAGTGCCACCAAGCCGCTCCCTCTCTGCTTCCTGGGAGAGGGGCTCCATCATCAGCATGGTGCAGTGTGCAAATCAGAAACTTGGGCACTTAGATTGCAGCGCTGTTGTCAGAATAATGTATGGATGGTTCCTATGGATTCTTCTGTGGTCTCCTGAACATAGTGAATGCTCAGGAAGTGGTAGCAGTTATTACATTAATTTTTACTTACAAGATGTTTGGGACATAATATGAGTCTAGATAGGAAGGGACGATAGCCCTAGACCTGCATTCAACATCAGCAAATATTTATCTGAAAGTCTAACAATCACTATCTAGGAGTCCTTTCCTGAGCAAAGCTGAACAAGCTAGAAGAGGAGTCAGAGGCATAAAGTAGAGCCTAGTGGAGGTGGCCTCTAGTGGAGAGAAGCCCAGGTTGTTATGTGAATCCTTGGGCATCTGTGAAGGCTCTCTGGAGGAGGTGATGTGGCAGCTGAGATCTGTCAGATGACTTGAGACAGTCTGGTATGAAGAGGGGAGGACGAGCTCAAAGAGGGGGAACAGTATGTGCAGAGGCCGGGGGGGAAGGAGGGACGGTGCATGCAGAGAACTGCAGTGGCCATTTGGAGGCTACAGTGACTCCATCTGGAGGATGATCCATCATACTGGCTTCTGATTAACCTCTGTTCCAGGCACACCTCTAAGATTTCCAGTCTGTCTATTGTTCCCTGTATAAGAGCAAGTACTTACTGTAAATCCTGCCCTTAGGTCAGCCAACCTTGATGTTATCATACTTCAATCGTCCTGCACCTCCCTTCTGAACCAACCCTCCCTGTGATCTATAAGCCCTGGGTCTGGGGGTCATGGAGCAGGGGACCCACCATCCTGTCTCACCGCCACCTGAGATGCTGACGGGGCTCCTGTTCGTAAGTCCCTATTAAATGTTTCTTTCTGAGAAACTGGATACATCAGCCTCTTTCTTCAGCCTGTTGGCTTCCTCGGACTTTGTGAGTAGGTTTGCATAGACCTGCCCACTGTGGAACAGGCCAGAGAAAAGAATGTGAGGGGCAGGTGATGAGAAACGGGGCTGCAGCCGTAAAAGGAAATCTAGCCACACCCAAAGCACGCCTAGATCGTCTTCCTATCACAGCAAGTGAAACTTCTCAAGGTCAATTTCTTCTCTTTGTCCACAAGGAGTCATTTGAAATGAAGTCCTGCTGGGCACAGAAGACAAAAAGATCTGTTAGCTCTCCCAACATCTGTGCCTAATCATTCAGTAACTTGCCTCAAAGCTAGCTTACACAGAGCAGGGGCTGGGTCCTGCAGTATCATGGTGTTCTCCCATTCCAGAGAGACAGTCTTATCTCCCTCCCCTCCTCCCATCTGCCATCAGCTTTATGGAACCCAAATTCTCCGGCTGCAAAGCTTCCAAAAGATGTCTGAGAGGAAACTCTTGACTTGGCAGTCGATGCCTCTGAATTGCTGAGCAGTGAATGGAATTTCTGCCTCTCACTCCACCCACTTTGTAGGACTCTGGAACCCAGGAAACACATGATACTGCTTGCACGGGTAATGTGAGGAGGAGAGAAAGAAACCCATCCCGTGCACGAGGACATCCAAGGATATACAAGGTTCCCCTCTATGCCTTTAGATTGGCCCTCTCTCCATGCCCAGGAGGAGAATTCGGCTCGTCTTCTCCTGCCAGCTCCAAATTATTTCTAGCTGGCTCATCCATCTCCCTGAAAGACCCAGAGGATTAAGAGACATGGCAAGGCCTTCTGATGGACATTGAACTCACTGACTCGGCACGCACTGTAGCAAAGGTTTGCACAGAAACTTTACACCCAGAGCCAATAAAGTCTGTGCCATCAAAAGCAAGTCAAAACACAATGGCATCCAGCAAAGCAGCCAGCAGATTGTCAGCCTGTCCTCTTAAGCAAAAGTTCTGCAGGAGAGCCAGCGGAGAAGCTTGAGAAGGAGCCAGGAAGGGAGTGAGTTCCACATGCCCCATGCTGCTCCTGCCACCGCTGCCACAGCTGCTGCTGGAAAAACACATTCCAGCATCTGGTATCGGAGACCCGCAGCTGGGGTGCGCCCTGCCTGTGTGGCCAGGAGTGCCCTCTGAAAGGCACAGCCAAGAGGGGAGAGGACAGGGCAGGTACAACTAGGGGTGCCAGTCCCACGAGGCCGGGCCAACTCTGCCTTGCCATCCGATGCCAGCCTATTTCCTTGTGCCATAATGGCCAGGTTTAAGAAATGTCAACCTTGTGTTCTGAAAATGATCAATGCTCTGGAATAAAGAGGTGTCTTTTCCAGCCATGCCCCAATCTACTCATGAGAAGCAGGGGCTGGGGAACAAATCTCCAATAGGAAGAATAACAGAGCAGGGATGAAGCGAGGCTGGCAGCAGGCGGGACCTCCTCCAGCAAACACATGGAAAGAGACTGAAAGCAGCATGTGGCTTCCAACCAACACCCCAGCACTCTCTCCAACTCAGGCCACAGTGGGGAGATTTGCTTCCCTGCTGTTTTCTTACCAGCAGAGCATTTTTTTAAAATTATTATTATACTTTAAGTTTTAGGGTACTTGTGCACAATGTGCCAGTTAGTTACATATGTATACATGTGCCATGCTGGTGTGTTGCACCCATTAACTCGTCATTTAGCATTAAGTATATCTCCTAATGCTATCCTTCCCCCCTCCACCCACCCCACAACAGGCCCCGGTGTGTGATGTTCCCCTTCCTGTGTCCATGTGTTCTCATTGTTCAATTCCCACCTGTGAGTGAGAACATGCAGTGTTTGGTTTTTTGTCCTTGTGATAGTTTACTGAGAATGATGATTTCCAATTTCATCCATGTCCCTACAAAGGACATGAACTCATCATTTTTTATGGCTGCACAGTATTCCATGGTGTGTATGTGCCACATTTTCTTAATCCAGTCTATCATTGCTGGACATTTGGGTTGGTTCCAAGTCTTTGCTATTGTGAATAGTGCCGCAATAAACATACGTGTGCGTGTGTCTTTATAGCAGCATGATTTATAGTCCTTTGGGTATATAACCAGTAATGGGATGGCTGGGTCAAATGGTATTTCTAGTTCTAGATCCCTGAGGAATCGCCACACTGACTTCCACAAGGGTTGAACTAGTTTACAGTCCCACCAACAATGTAAAAGTGTTCCTATTTCTCCACATCCTCTCCAGCACCTGTTGTTTCCTGACTTTTTAATGATCGCCATTCTAACTGGTGTGAGATGGTATCTCATTGTGGTTTTGATTTGCATTTCTCTGATGGCCAGTGATGATGAGCATTTTTTCATGTGTCTTTTGGCTGCATAAATGTCTTCTTTTGAGAAGTGTCTGTTCATATCCTTTGCCCACTTTTTGATGGGGTTGTTTGTTATGACATTCACAAGACCCTGCTTCCTTAAGAGAAAGCCAGGCTGGTGCTTCTGCTGCTGTGGCCTGTCACCTAATCTCTGTTTGGAGCCGGGCAGTCCTCTCGCCCATGAACAACCACACACCGCACCCCCAGAGGAGCCAAGGGAGGGAGCCCTGGGCAGAGGCAGCAGATGAACTCTGGGCGACTATTTCCAGGGAACGCCTCCCCAAGCACTGTTTATTAACTGGAGGAAAGGGAATCACTGTGGCAAGAAGAGTGGCATGAAAGATTTTTCAGTTGTGATAGATGTTTCTTAGCCACTTACTTAAGCTCAGTTTAAGCCAAAACATGACCAAAGAATTGTCATCATGCATGAGCAAATGTAGAAATGCCGTGTCCCTTAAGATTCTTTATAGAAAAAATAAAACCAGGTGATCACTGCAAATGAGGGCATCTTCAGAAAATATGAAAGGCACTAACTTCATGTGACCCTGTGCAAACTGCTCTAAACCCGAAAGAGCAGCCAGCTTCCTGTCTCAAAGTTCTGCTGCATTAAAAAGATGGCAGAGTGGTCCCAGACATCCCAGCAACTAGGCCGGTACACACATTTCAGAAATGAGAGGTGGACCAATAACAGGTCCACAGGGAATGGTTTGGGCACAGGGCAAAGGGGACAGATAACCTCAAAAGTCCTTTGGGTGGACACAGAGGCCAGTTGGGGCACTTGCCACAGCTTCGGGGTGCATCTTGTGTCAAGACCTTGGCACGCTGAAGAAGCCAGCTAAAATAGAGCCACTCACGAGTTATGATTATCCTCGTTCAGCTAGGATGGAGAATCGCATGCAGAGAACATGGTCACTTTCCTTTCTGGACGTCCTATATTTAATTGATGAAGTCACTCGAGCATCCTCTGTTTGAGCTAAGGTCCCTGAGTTTGGCAGGAGAGGGATGATGGGAGTTCCTGGGGACGTGGGGAAGGAGGCTGATCTCAACTCCATTAAACGTTCTGAGAGGGTGTAAAATTTGTCTGGCCTGTTTGCTTTTTTTTCAAACTCCAGGCTAGTGGGTGGGATACAGTTCAGAGCAGAAAAACAGAAGCGGGCCTTGGAGGAAGGTCCAGCATTTGTAGGAAGGATGGCAGTGGTTGGGACCATCCAACAGAAAGCACTGAGCCCTACCTGAGCCTTGGGTGCTTCTTGGGTGAGCTCCCTGCAGTCCCAACAGACCCCTGGCCAAAGGTATTTTGAGACTGGGAATCAGAGCAGCTTCCGTAGCAACCACCACGCTCAGTCACCGGGTGTGTCGCAGGCCTGTCCTTGAAGCTCCCTCCTACAAGCAGATTGAAATGCTTCTTTCCCAGGGCCGTGTTCTGCACTGTCAGTCTGCACTGCAGAGGATGCTTCAGCCAGAGGATCAATTCTGTACTCTCTGCAAAGAGCTCTGGAGCTGGGGGTGTGCCTGGAGACGCCAGCACTTTTCTGAGTCTGAAGTTCACTTTGTAAAAAATTAGAATGACTCAGGGCAAAAGGAGAAAAAAACGTGTATATTCATGCAAGATAAAGATTTAGAATCCATGCAGGGAAGTTATGATCCACAAAGCAACCATAATTTAGCCACATTACATGCCAGAATTAAGCCGTAAATTTAATAGCATGTATTTACAAAGTAATGAAAGTCTACATATCATGTTTTCAGAAATAATCCCACAAATCTGAAAGTAGGTTGATTTGACTGCTGGACATTCCTCCGAATGTTTTTCTACTTGTGAAATCAAATTCTTATCCTCACTGGAGCATTGATGTGGAGGCATTTTATGGATGCATTATAGAAAATATGTGGAACAGGTGAGGAAGTGTGGGAGGGACCTGATGCCATTGTCTTTGATGAGGTCACATTTTCTGTGAGTTGAATGGGCTGACGAATCGTGCCTGCTGCATTCTGTCACAGTGGAGAGCACTACTAATATTACACGGTGGAAGGAGGCCTGGAACTCCACACCAGACTAAAATGCACTCAAGGCAGGACACTCAGGGTTCACTCTAGAAGGCCTGATTCTAGTCTGCTGAGCTCAAAAAATGCAATGCCAGCTTCACTTTTTTGTGGCAGGGGAAGGAACAAAATCTATCTTCTTAATGTCTTCCCATAGATATTATTTACTTGTCCCTTTGTGGAATCAAATATTTTGTTGCCCTAAAAAGTAGAAGGATGAACACTTTTCAAGCTCCTTTTATATTTTTTGTAAGGTATTAGTAGATGCTTACAGTACAGGGCTATATATATATGGGAAAACAAACTGCTTTGACAAAAATTCTGGAAGCTTGTAACGCCATTTCATTAGGCTGTTTGCACAGCCTGAATCAGCACAAAGACAGGAGGTCATTGCAAGGAGGGTGGACAGAAGCTCCAGCAGCTTCTTCTGGCAATCAACTCTGCAAAGGCTAGGCCTGACCAGGGGAGGGTTCTAGATGCTCCCTGGGGGATCCAGATGAGCCAGAGAACTAGGACTTAATTTGAATCACAGCTGATTTTTGCAAGCCTCTCAGAATCCTTACAAAGGGAATGGTGGCACTTGTAAACCTCCTGTATGGTGGACTCCCCAACAAACAGCAGAGAGTCCCAGACATTCCAGCAACTAGGCTGGCACACACATTTCCTTCTTTCCTGAGATTTGCAAAAGGTCGAGAACCAACAGCCTGGATCTTCTCAACCAAAAGGGAGTCCTACTAGAAAGAACCACTAGGCTGTAAGCCTCCCATGCACAAGGATTCACATCCACTACTTACCAACAAGGGCATGTTGAAGGTGCAAAAGAATGAAGGAAGGTGCAAGTGGGTTGGCAGGGAGACCTTTTGCAGAGAAAACAATCAATTTGTCTAAAATAAAGGATGAAACCCCAGAAATGCAAAGAGGCCAGGATGAAAGGTGGAATGGGGGAAGGACGCCATCAACGGGCAGGGACAAGGAGAGCGTGTCCTTGGATTCCCCCCTGCAAACAAAGGCTGCCAGCAGCTAACCCCTGTGGGTTCCTGCTAAGCCCTCATCCAAGTATTTCTGCCTCAGTTGCAGTTAAATAAAGTGCTAGAGGAAGAGATGGGATTTAGCAAAAATGACTAGTGCTGAGTGCACCGAGGCACTGAATAAATGAAATTTGATTAAAAGGGTGAATCTGAGCCAGGGAAAAAAACCGAGCCAAGTGTTGACAGCGGAAAAGCATCCTCAGAGGCTCAAGTGCTGAGGCCTCTCTGGCTCTTCCCTTGGAGCCCTGGGGTCATCTGGCTGTGCGTGTGCCTCTCTCCTGCTTCAGTCCCTTATCCTGGCAGATTAAAAAAAAAAGAGTCAACAGAACGATGCTGCCCACTGCTCAGGCAAAGGCCCCTTGGAGTACCTTGGGGTCCCCATTAATTCTTTCCATAAGCGTTTATGAAGTGCCTACTAGATGTCAAAGAGAAATGAAACCACAGCCACAGTTAGAGCCTCAGGCATTTCTGTTCAGGAACTCACAATGTTATCAGGTTCACTCAAGGAGATGATTTATTTTAGATCTTGACTCTCACTCCAGCTGCCCCACAGGAGAATGACATGTAAATCAGAATGCCACGTTATCCATTTACAATAGAAAATATATATTTGCAGTGACCATAATATTTCAGAACCTGGCTACTCTAAGGGTGGTCCACGAATCCACAGTGTTGGCAGCACCTGGAAACTTGTTAGCAAAGCAGAAATTCAAGCCCTAACCCAGACCTACAGAATGAAAACTGCATTTTAACAAGATCCCCAGGTGATCCTTATATGCATAGAATTGGAAACGATGGTCTAGAATCGTGGTTCTCAAACAGGAGCGTGCATCAGAGGGAGGGATGGTTAAAACCAGGGTGTGGGGGTCCCACTCCAGCATTTCTGCTTTGGGGGGGTCTGGAATAAGGCCCAAGAGCTGGCAACATCTCGCAAGTTTCCAGGGCCCACACTTTGGGAACTACTGATCCAAACATCTAGACAACCCCCTAGGACACCACAATGCCTGACTTCATGCGGTGGCTGAAGTTGCAAAATTAATCCGAAGCCCTCACCATCCTCACATCTGAGCTGTATCAGCCTTACAAGGAGGGTGTGTGTATAAAACAGATCCCTGGTCCCCATCCCCAGATTCTGTGTGTGCCGCATTGAATAAAAACAGACTTACACCTTTTCACATCATCATAAAATTTAAGACTATCAAAGACAAAAAGAAAATTTTGTTCTCTTAAAAAAAAGAACTGATTGAATTTCTTGAAGTTTCTTAAAACTTAGAAGGCAAGAAGTTAGTTGTTTCGTAACAATTTTAAAGTTTGAAGTAAGTTGTGTTGAAATGTGTAGGTGTGATTTTGGACAGTGCTAGAGTTCTTTGGGTAGAAAAGTAAGCACATTTATTTCTTTCCACTTTTCCTCAGCAGCCTTGATAGGATGAAAGCTATCACATATGCCACTATCATTCCTGCACATCTGTGTGGCAATAATAATTCTTGATGGTAGATATAGCAAAATCCTTGATTTTTCGTCTTGGTGTCCTGGACCTTTGGCCTTGCCTGCTGCCTCCACAAATGTTCTTGACTCACGCGCCCCACCCCTCATCAAAGTGCAGACAGACTCTGGACTCACCAGGCCCGTCCACTCCAGGCTTTGGATAAAGATGTGGGGGAGAAAAGTGGCATGGTGGTTTTTAAAAATAACATTTTTAATGTTTTTAAAAATAACATGAATGGGGGTGGAGACCTTCAGAATCAAGAAAATAAAATGTCAGTGAAAGTAAAGGAAAGGCTGGTCCCCTCTTTGAAACAATATTCTGCAGCTTAAAGAATAGCTTGTGAACAGAGTGTGCTAGGGAGAATTTAATCCAGAGAAGGCAGAAGCAAGACAGGAAATGTCTTTTCCCTCCTACAGATTGGAGTAGAGGGGCCGGCGTGGCTGTGGATTGGTGACAGGGGAGGCCCTGGCTTCGAGAACACTGTTCTAGTGTGCGCTGAAAAGATGTCCCTATTTAGATCGTGCCTTTCACGTGGCTATTCTTCTCTAAAGTTATTTTTATCTACAGTGCCTCACCTGTACATAATGTTATAGGTACACGTGCCATCAGTGCTTAAAATAGCACCTCATTTCTATCATGATAGCTAAAAATAATCCTGGGGTTCATTTGGAGCTCGCCTGGTGGCTGTCCTCGGCACACAGGCATGGATCCTTGCAGGTTGCCTTCCCACGAGATCTTCAAAAGACTTTCTCCACTCCCCTACCCCGCCCCTCCCCCCGCACCCCCCGTCACCCCCATTGCTTCCTGGAACTCATTTCTTCTTATTGCTTTGTGACGCAAGCTTCTCGAAAAACTTGCACAATCACAAACTCTGATTGGCATTTCTACCCTCCTTCTGCTCATCAGCAAACGTGATAATGAAGCAGTTGCTTTCTCTTTCTCCCCATTTCCCTCCTTCACTTTACAGCTCTATCGGGACAGATGTTTATTGAATCTTCCCTTCCACCTGGGAAGAATTTGTTAACAGGAAAACACAAAACAGACTTCATTCGGAACACCCAACAAATTACTGACTCCTCTCTTTGCCCAGTAAGTCGCAGGGACTAGCTAAGTTTTCCCATGTCTTCAGTTATAGAGGGTTAGCGGCAGTGTTCTGCCTGTCCTTCCAAGCTTTGCCACTCCCTCTTATTATCAGGCCTCTCTGAGACAGAACTGCTGATCCTTACGTATTACCAGATTCCAATCTGAGCACATAAACCCAAGCCTCAATGAGTTCCATAAATTCTTCAGATTTTCATTCTAGAAACTTCGAAGGATAGAAACTTGCTACCTGAAAAAATCATCATTTGTTCAACATCAGGCCCTGCTAATCTGCAGCCCCAGAAATGACCCGATGATTTCATGAGAAAACCCAATTTGGGGTTTTGATTCTCCTTCAAGTTTCAACTTCTCAGAAAGCCCCTGGACTTTGTGGCCAGCATCACCTGGGGCTTCAGTGTGGCCCCCAGCACAGCCACGCTGTGACCACCCAAAGGATACACGGTGGATACTGGAGAGAAATTCCTAATGGCCCCCTTACCAATTCCAGCTTACTTTCATTCTGTCTTCACTCTCTGTCCCGTGAAAACAGATAAGTGGCATCTGTGACCATGATTCCAAGCTGCTTTTAACAGCAAAGTATCCAATTAAAGACACCATTTTACGTTGCGGGCACTCCATTATGTCTGCTCAGAGTGCAGCTCCATGCATCCCCCTCCTGGAGCGCCACAGCCCGTCACCTCCACACTGCACGTAGTTCTGAAACTTCCTCATAATCGCATGCACTGGCACAAAGCCTCAGCAATTAGTCTCAAACAGCCCCATAAACGAGCACCTGGCTAGGTGTCACAGACCTAATGAAAGTCAAGTGCGTCAATGAGATGCTTATTATATGGCGCCTCTCCCTTCTTTGTTAATGTTTGGACTTCATGGAAACCCACATACATAGGAAAATACAGGCAGCTGTTCAGGTCCCCTCAGCTTAAACCAATGTTTCTCTCAAGCTAGATGAAACAGTGAGCAAACTGTCTTCATTTCTGGAGCCCTCCAGAAACATTCCCAGAATTCCAGAATTAATATCGACTGCAATACTGGGGGAGAAATAGACCCCTCAGGACAAAGGAACTCCAAGCACTGTCACCAGCAATACAGGATATTTCTCTTGTTCTGATTTGGTGGAATATGTCGGGCCACAGTGACCCTGGAGGGTTTGATGATTACAAAGAAAAAATAAAATTTAGAAAAAAAGAAGAGAAAGGAAAAAGAGTGCTCTGGGGGTATGAGAAGAGCAGAGGACGAGAGCAGAAACAGTTTTGTAATGAGGAAGGTCTGGGCATTTGAGCTCCAGCCATGGATAAGGAGCACTTTCTGTTTTGTACTTAACGCCCGGGGCTCCCCACACACTGAGTTTGCTGCTGGGTATACGTCAGGCCCTAAATCCCCTGCATCCCCACAGCCCACGCTGTTAAGTCCAAGGGGAGAGACCAGGGCATAAGGAAAGAATCTGGGCCGTAGTGGTTCATGCCTGTAATCCCAGGCAGGTGGATCACCTGAGGTCAGAAATTCAAGACCAGCCTGGCCAACAAGGCGAAACCCTGTCTCTACTCAAAATACAAAATTAGCCGGGAGTGGTGGCGTGCACCTGTAATCCCAGCTACTTGAGAGGTTGAGGCAGGAGAATCGCTTCAACCCGGGAGGTGGAGGTTGCAGTGAGCCAAGATTGCGCCACTGCACTCCAGCCTGAGTGACAGAGCCAGACTCCATCTCAAAAAAAAGAAGCAGCTGAATGCCCACCATCACTTGATTTTCCCTTTTGTCAAGGTCATTGTCCAATTCTTTTTTTTTTTGGTGGGGGGGGGACAGAGTCTCGCTCTGTCACCCAGGCTGGAGTGCAGTGGCACGATCTCGGCTCACTGCAAGCTCTGCCTCCCAGGTTCACGCCATTCTCCTGCCTCAGCCTCCTGAGTAGCTCGGACTATAGGCACCTACCACCATGCCCAGCTAATTTTTTTTCTATTTTTTAGTAGAGACGGGGTTTCACCGTGTTAGCCAGGATGGTCTCGATCTCCTGACCTCATGACCAGCCCGCCTCGGCCTCCCGAAGTGCTGGGATTACAGGCGTGAGCCACCGTGCCCGGCCCCCAATTCTTGTTGCAACACAGTGCAGTGGAGCTGAGGGCCCCACACAGATGCGGCAGCAGCAGTGCTGAGTTCCAGGCCTGCCACAGCTGAGTCACAGGTCACTCTCCAGTCCCCAGTCCTCTTGGCAGTGAAACAGTCCCAACTCCACAACTCCTGAGCCCTAACAGCATCCATATCCGGGAATCTGCATCTCAATTGCTTCCTTCCAATGGGCGTTTCCCCAGAAGCTCCCATCTCTCCTGTCACCTGCCACACCCCGCAAGGCCCCACCACCACCGGCCCAACCAAGATCTCTCCATTAGCCTTCTGCCTGCACAAGTCCAGATGCTCCACATCCCCTCATCACAAAACATTTGGGAATTCCTGGCCTTTTGCATTTTAAAATCCACTATTTTAAGATGTTCTGCAATCAATGAATCCTCTAGAGAGAGGGATTTTTTTCCTGGATTCCTGTGAAAGGCAGCCACCTCCTCCCCTCATTTAATATTCTGTTCCCTCGCTCGTTCCATGTTACCTTTGCTTTGCCCAGTCACATGGCCAATGGCTGTCGAAGAAGAGAGGACACTCAGCACCAGGGAGCCTGATGAGGAAGGAGTGAGGGGGAGCAGGGCACCTCTGGCTCTAGCCCAGCCACACCGGAGCCCAGCTGCTTCCAGAAGCCTGAAGGTGGCTGCTTCTGCTGATTTCCTGATTCTCCTGTTTTTAGATGGTCCTGGACCTAAAGCCCGAGGAGGTTAGACCACAAGAAGGCAGACAGCCTGCACAACACCACCAATTGGGAAGTAAGGCTTCACATGGATGCAAATACCCAAAACATGCTTGGGCTGAATCATACAGCAAGGGACAAATGTTAGTGAGGATGAAATGTTGTCACCGTCAGCCCAAGGGTGGGAACGTAGCCAGTGGCTAAAAGACAGAAACATGAGCTTTGTCTGGGCTCTCCTGCCCATAGTCCCTCCTTCTGCTCATCCTTCCCTTGCTCTCTCACCCTCTCTCTAACCCAGCTCCCTCTTCCCTTCAGGCCTATGCAAGAGCAGTTGCCCTGTGGTTCCTGATCTCCTCTGGATCTCCTCTGGAGCCAGTCGCCTGTAGAGGATCTGGACTCCCCGGCTCCCGGAGCCTGCGGCAAGAGGCAGGTCAAGTCAGCGCCTGCTCCTCATCCTACTGGCAGGCCCCGAGGATGGAAGGGTGATGGAGGGGCCCACTGTGAGACTAGGGGGAGACAGAAAAGTCAGGAAAAGGTTTCCATGACAAGCCGTTTTCTAGGAACTCTTAACAATGGGGAAATAATATCATCCAAACCTAGAAAAGAGAAGACAGGACTTCAAGAAGAAAGAAACAATGATAAACGATACTAGCTAGAGCTAGTATCATGCCGGGCTTAAAAAGCAAATGAAACAGAAAAGGGGAGAGGGCAGCAGCTGCTAGCCGAGGACGCGGCCTGATTCTAGGAGGTCATGCCTTTAATTGGACACAGGAGTGTGTACAGGGGTTGCCCCCCTTCCTGCACCTTCCATGATGGCAAACATTTGGGTTTTACCACCACCAGAAGTTTCTCTATCAAAAATCACAAGACAGTCCATAGCACCCTACAGGCTCCCCACCCTGCCCTGGGCCAGGATAGGCCTGAAGTTGTTATCATGAACAGGAACCAGAATGTTCCACGACATTTTGCAAACAATATCGCTAAAAAAGAGGCTAGTGCTACAGACAGTAGGTTATATGACAATAAGGCAAGGGCGTGGGCATGTGTATCTGTATGTGTGTGTCTATGTGTATGTGCCTGTGGTTATATCTGTGTATTGTGAATGTGTGTTATGTGTATATGTGTGCATACATGTGCATGTGTTGATGTGAGTGTATGTATATGCATGTGTGTGTGGGCGTCCATATGTATGCATATGTGTACTGTTTGCACTTGTGTATGTGTGTGCAGCTGTGTGCACGTGAGTTTTGTACATATGTGTGCATGTGTGTGTGCATGTAGGGGGTTGTGCATGTGTGTATGTGTATGGGGGTGTGGGTATATGTATACGTGTGTGCTCTGTATGTGCAGCTGTGTGTGTATGTGTTTATGTGTGCATCTGTTGACGTGTCTATATGTGTAGATGTGCAAGTGTGTATGTGTGGGGGGTTGTGTATATGTGCATGTGTAATGCATGCATTTATGTTCTGTATGCATGTGTGTATCTGTGTGTGCATGTGTGTATGTGGGTGGGTGTGTGCATATGTGTATGTGTACGTATGCATGTGTGTTCTGTATGCCTGTGTGTTCTGTGTGCATGTGTGTATGTATGCATGTATTCTGTATGCATATCTGTGTGTGTTCTGTGTGCATGTATGTGTATGTATGCATGTGTGTTCTGTATGCATTTGTGTTCTGTATGCCTGTGTTCTGTGTACATGTGTGTATGTATGCATGTGTGTTCTGTATGCATGTGTGTTCTGTATGCCTGTGTTCTGTGTACATGTGTGTATGTATGCATGTGTGTTCTGTATGCCTGTGTTCTGTGTACATGTGTGTATGTATGCATGTGTGTTCTGTATGCATGTGTGTTCTGTATGCATGTGTATGCATGTGTGTATGTATGCATGTGTGTTCTGTGTTCAGTGTATATGTGGATGTGCATGGATGTGTCTTCTGTATGCATGTGTATATGTGAATGTGTGCATGTTTGCCACGTATGCATATGTGTATATGTGTGGGTGCAAATGTGTGTATGTATGAGTGGAAGGATTGTGTTTAAGTGTGTGTAGCTGTGTAGGTATGTATTATGCATGTGTGTTCTGTATGCAGTGTGTATGTGTATGTTGGTGTGTGCATGTGTAGATGTGGGTGTGTATGTGTGCCTTCTGTATACATAGAGTAAATGTTCCTTCCTACACACGCGCACACACACACACACACACACACACACTTACATGTTCCAGTATGGTCCTTACCAAAGCCCACAGGCACCTGCAAGGGACGCAGCACTTGCCAAGCCACTAGCCAAGCCATACGGCTCAGAGACAAGTATTTATGGTAAAGTCATCTGTTCCAGACAGCCTGTGTCTTTAATAGAAATGCCAAAAGTGCTTTGAGTTGGGCAGCCTGGGGTGTGTCCTAGTCAGGAAATCTCATCAGATTGCTTCAAGATTTCCTCAGCCTTCACTCCAAAATACTAACTGCATCGCAACCATATGAAAATCAAATCCACAAAGTAGATGTGTCTGTTTTGAATTTTTATGTAATTGGAAAAATGAAATAAATTCTTTAAAATTTGATTCTAATTTGCCCTCACCTTTTATGGATTTTGGAGCTAATCGACCAAGATACCACTTATTTCATTCTTCCCTTAAATCTGGGCAATATACACACACACACACACACACACACACACACACACACATATATCTATATCTCCTTTATTTGTGAATAAAGATGATTGACAGATATTAGTATTTTCAGGGATTGCTGCTACTTAAATTTATTTATGTACTTTTTATCAAATAGGAAGGAGAAGAAATAGAAGCTATTTAACTGGCTGTCTAAAACATACTGGAAAATGATCTGGAAATTTATGAAGTGATTAAAAAAGTAATTACAATTTTTTGCTTTCATTTGTCTAGAACATGAGGGATTTTTTGGTCCATTTCGAGAGCTGTAAAAGCCAAAAATTAAGAAGAAGGAAAATGCTTTCCTGAAGGCAAACCCACTTAACGTGACAGCTACTGCTACGGATTCATATATATGAGCAAAAGAAAAGAATGGGTCTTTAACACAGGAAAGAAAAGAATGAAATAACTCTTTAATCCTTGCTAAAACATAGAAGAAAGTAAATCTGACTTTAAGACATCACTACCATGGTTAGATCTTCCAGTCATTTTTGAGCCACAAAGTGTGGTTATATACTAATGAATAATATTTGAGCACAAAAGCTGAATCAAATAAAATAAATGATGTAGGTTCCAAATTTACTGAAGCAGAACTAAATTGCACTCATTGTTTTTTCATTTTTAACGTGAGGCACGACGCTTGGTTTAAAACCGGAGGCTGTGGTGGACAATTCCCACAATTTAACGCCCCTTTCATCCAAAGCTGTGTCACGCTCTAGGTGGTCCACTATTTTCCTTGATCCAACTCCTTCTACAGCATGCTCCTAGCTCCTGGGACTTTTTTGAGCCTTTTGGACAAAACTAGAAATTTTAGTAAGAAAACCTAAGGCCATCGGTGTGCAAACCCAAGCCTGAAATTTCACGAGCACAGCGATACACAGCAACAGATTTATTTTTGCCTGTTTCAGACAACTCATTTTCCATTTGCAACAAATAATTTATAGTTAGAAGTTAATGCCTGCTAGACCATGGTCATTGAAAACATATGTCGATCCTGTTGAGGCTTCAGAAACAATCAGGAGTCTTTTTATTTCCCATTTCAAAGACCAAAACAGTAGCTTACATTTTTTAATACATGACCAATTGTTTCAAAACATCTGGAGAGCTATACCTTTCTGCATTTATAGACAGATTCTTCCTTTAAAGGCAAATAGGAAAATCTTATGAGGTCTCTTTCCTCCAAATCCAATACTCTCCACTTCACTGGTAGAATTCTTTTGCCTTTGTTACTCACTGTTTCCATATTATTCAGACTCAGAGATACATCAGGAGTTTAATGTTATTGCAAATAAAAATAATTCTGCCTCGGATTGCCTGTGAAATATGAAAGCTCTTCTTTTCTTCACCATGAAGCCTCATCAAAACAGACATGCACACACACACACACACACACACACACACACACACACACACACACAGACTCAGATGGCAAAGAGCATCAAGAAAGTGGATGGCAGCCCCAGGGGACCCTCCATCAACCCACACCATTCGCCCATAAACAACCAGTAACACACTGGAAACACTGGCTGTGTTGGAGAAAGTGCTTCCCAGAGAGGTGAGAAGTCTACAGGGCTTTGAATGCCATACATCATCAGATGTAAGGGTGTGTGTGTGTGTGTGTGTGTGTGTGTGTGTGTGTGTGTGTGTGAAAAAGGAAATTCTCCCATATATTTGTAACTGTCCTCCCAAGTCTCAACTTTGTACAATGAAGTCTTTCTTTAGACAACAAAAAAAAAGTGTACTGATTCCAAGCTAACTCTTACTGACTTTATTCTTTCATATTACACTAAGACTTTTCCAACTTTAAGTGCAAAAAGCAATCTATCATCAGTGTAGTGGAATCACAGTTGGGGTTTTAATGATAGAGAAAATCATCTGGATTCCTGTTTCGAAAAGTTAGTTTCCCAATGTGCTTTGTGCAGCCTTGATTCAGGAAGCCGGCACTATAGGCAGACTTTATACATTTCTGCTAATGTCTCTCAACATTTTAATCTTACTCTCCAATTGAGTCATTTTAATTACTCCATTTTAACCTTGCTTTCCAATTTAATCTTACTCTCCATCATCCACAGGTGTAATGTAATATTCCTAGGTTTTCCTCTTTTGCAGACTAAACCACCACCACCAACACCCATCACCGGAAGTAGATTCTAAGCTTTTGTGTATATAAATGTGTTCGTTTTCAAAATACTCCTGTTAAGCCAGTGCAATACTTACTGTTAAGATTTCAGCCTTCATCTCCAAAAAATGGTGTTACTGATAGCTTCATAGGAAGATGCAACTGAGAAGACCAACAAGCAAAGACTCTTGCCCACACGTCCTGCCAGCTAGCACAATCCCTTGGGTTAAGACTGGAGATGCCATCTTGAAAACTACATGCTGTTTGCAAATTGACCTTTCCGAGTTGAGCTCTTTTCAGTACTGTGTTCAACGTTCTATGCAGCAGCAATCCTGCTTTGGTGAATCAACCTTCCACCTGTTATCACTTTGTTCATCATTTTTCTTTTTACTAATGGCCAGCTAAAAATCAATTAGGAGAAAAGTTTAGAAACATCCCCAATTCCAAAATAACACACCTTCCTTGAAATAAACATTATGAGAAGACATTCTGGCTCTCACTTTATGGCACTAAAACAATTGGCTCCTTTCTTCTCTTCTTTCTAACGCTTGAAGCTGCTGAGAATGACAGAGAACAGTGCTCTTTTTCCTCATGGTCGCTTTAACAGTGAATTCCCCTCATGACAACCTGTGCACCCAAATGCATTGCGAACAGTTCCCAGGGGCCCTAGGTCTTTCTCTACACTCACTTCACCTACCCTCCAGGTTACCTCTGAGTGGCCCAAATGGTGGATGCCCACGGAGGAAACTTTCTAGAATCTAGAGAGATATCCGGGTGACAAAGTCTATGACAATTAGGGAATGTTGGCAAAATTTATTCAGCTCCTTATTTCTACCCTAAGCCCCAATTCCTTCCTCAAATTCACAGTAAGATGTAAGTATACTTGCCAGCGTCTCTCAACACTCAGACAGCTAACTGCCGCCTGGACAGGCCACTTCGGTAACAGGCGTCTTAATCCTAGTGTGTCCCAAACTGAACATACACACCATCCCTCGCTTCCTGTCACTGTCTCTGCCTCAGAAATGTCCACACACGTATTTCAGCGCCCAGGCCAGAAGCCCTGGAGTCACCCGTATCCATTCTCTTTTCCTCACAATTAGGACCAACCCACCCACAGTTTCTGTCTTCACATTACATCCTAAATATGTCCTGAATGGGATCACTTCTCACCATCTCCACTTCCGCCACCCAACCCGGCCATCATCCTCTCTCCCCAGACAATCATGGCAGCTTCCTTGCAGAGATCTCAGTTTTGCCTTCTTCAGACCCTCCGATGGCTTCCCCTCCCACCCAGAGAAATAAGCCAGGATGCTTACGGTGGTCTGCCCACCTCCTGCCGCCTCTGAACTCACTTCTCACCAGCTCTCCCTGCTTCCCAGGTATCACAGTCCTTGAAGCTTTTCAAAAGGACCAAGTCAGCTCCCACCTCGGGGTCCTCGGACTTGCTACATCCCTGCTTGGAATGTCCTCCTCAGAGCCCGGCCCAGCTTCCTGCCTCCGTGCCTAACCAGAAATGCCTGCCCCGACTACCCCATGGACAGAAGCACTGCACACCCCTTTTGCAATACTCCTTACCCTCTACCCTTCTTAATCTCTCCCTCCAGTGAGGACTGCCCTCTGCCATATTGCATATTTATCTGTTTGTTCTCTCTCTCCATGCTAGAAGGTAAATCCGCAACGGCAAGGACTTTGCTTGGCTCACAGAACAATGCCTGCCACCTGCCAGGTGCTCAGTCAGTATTTGTTGAGTGAACTCACTCATGAATGGTGCAGTCACAAGGAGCTGAGTTCCAGCAAAACTGTCCAAATAAAGCACTGGTGCTGACAAATCCACAATTTACTTCCATGCTGCTATCCTTCTTGCTGCCTGTCCACTCCATGGACTATCCAGCATGTGAACGAATAATGAGGATGGTAGCAGGTGCCGAAACTCCTCGCGTGCTATGGAGTCAAACCATCCAGCAATGAGCTCTTCTAGAAAGCCAGTTACCAGGCAAATTCAGAACAAAAGCTGGAAGGACTCTAAAGCTGCTGACTTCCTCTTGTAAGGGCCTTGCAGTGTCGCTACCACTCTGATTCCTGTTTTACAGATAAAGAAACCAAAGCTACTAAACATTAATCTCCTTGACCAAGGTCACAGAACTAGGATTCAAAGCCAGGGCTTACTCTGGTGTCCAAGCTCTGGCCCATGCCCCATCTTTCAGGTGAGGTGTACTGGCCGCCCAGGCTGTCAGCTCCCTGAAGCTTCCTTCCTTGTGTTCTCAACAGCTTCTGCTAACCCTGGTCGACGTCGGTCACCACACAGAGACTTAGGAGCAGCCACTGAGTGTGTAGACAGATTCAAGGCATCCTCCAGTGTAACTTGGGAGGAAGGAGTGCTCTCTTAAAGTGTCAACAGCTTGGAATTGTTGTAAAGGCCCTGCTTACTGAAACAGCCAATCATGTGTCAATATGTTTGCCCATGTGCATTTAATGCCTGTCGACTCCAGTTTGAGACCAAAGAGAGTTAAATAGTTTTCAATAGTGTCCTAAACCACCCCCCTCCTGTTTGTCCTGTAGAAATTCCATTGTGAATTAATGTGCAAGCTGGAGGTGACCCAGCCCATGAAGGGCCAAGAACATCCTCCTGAAGGGAAAATTAAAACAAGGAACGATGATTTAGAATTCCAAGTATGCAATCCACTCTCAGATCCTCTCCCCTGCCTGAGCTTACTTTCCAAGTCAGATCTGGATATAAACTGTATTCGGTGATTATAAACAATAATTAACATGGCCCGACGAAGAATGCATTTTGGGCTCCCCAGGAAGCTTCTTTCAGTAGCATCAATAAGGAACATGAACTCGGGCTGGGAGGGGGCAGGAGTGAAGGGCTGTGCCCAGGAGCAGCTTGTTTACCATAAAGGCCCAGTGCAAACACTACATCTGCTCCTCAGTCTCAGGTCCTCATATCTGATTTTACAGCTGCCCTGACTGAGAACCAAGGACTGAAACCAGTTTGTTTAATGTCAGAGCTTCAGTGTTGTGCCCCTCTACAAGGCTCAAAACCCCTGGCACTAATCAGCAAATAAAAGAATGATTTAGAGTCCATCTGGATTCATCAAGTCCCACATAACTAGGTGAATTCACACATCATTTTCTTCTGTTCCTATCAAAAATGTACCATTTTTTCATTCGCTTTCTGGTCTCTCCAAAAGACTTCTAGAAATTCCATCTGCACAGACTGGGCTAGGTAAACCTTTCTGATTCCAAGCCACCAAAAGTAGCCCCTATGGATGAATTCTTCATCTTTTCTCAGTCCCAGAAAATGACAAATTGTCCTACAAATCTGTGCTGTTCTGATTCTGAGCCTAACAGAGCTAAATAAATAAGTCAACACACCACACACACACACACACACACACACACACAATGGCAGACACAGCATCAGAAACTGACTCTTCACTGAGGGATAAGAAAAGTGTAATCACAATCTCCAACAGGACTTTGAGTCAGGCTGGAGGAAATGGGTGATGGGGAGTCGCCCACAGAATATGATCAGTTTTCTTACCAAGCTGTAAATGGATTATCTCACTGGGATGTGTTGATTAGTTACATATGTCCTCTGTTTTCCATGAGGATAGAAGAGGCAGGTTTTATTTCTTAATAGTACAATACATAAGGCATTATAGCTCTATACAGGCTGTGAGCATTTAGCATATTTTACTTTACACAATAGCAATGATTATTTTTCTGAAATATTAAAATCTGAAAGTGGCTGCGATTGTACAGAATGTTTCAAGGATTTCATTGGCTCGACTGATCGTTTTCAGCTCACAAATCTCAACTGCACCTCTTCACTTTTTCCCTTGCCGAGAAACACGTCTGCTCTTTTTATTCCTGATTTACAAGGCAAATTTGGCATGCAGTTCTCTTATATATGCTGATCTAGGCTTATTGAAGGCAGGTGCGCTCTTTAATATATGTGGGCATAGGGACCCCCTTCCATCCCATAAAAGAATACTGGGCATGTTCTCAGGTGGAATATCTGCTCTCTTTTATTCATAAACCTGAAAATCTGAAGCATTTGTATTGCTTTTACATATTACTATGAACAAATTAGAATAGGAGAAATAATGTTCCAACCCTGCAATGGTACCATATTAAAAGTGTCTGAACCAAACTCTGTCCTCTATTCACTGACTGAAAGGGATCCCAGAACTGAGCCTACTTCCCGCTTAGTGCTTTTGTATTAACATTGCATAAACACAGTCACACTACACCATAGGGACAGGTAAATGCAATACCATATTTCCATCAAAGCAGGACGTGCGTATGGCCCTTCAGTTGTCCAGGAAAATGAAGCAGCTCCGACAGATGCATTGTTGTGTGTATTAGACTGAGCTATGAACAATCGGTTAATGTGAGAAGACCTCACTGAGTGACCTCAGCAGTGCCTGCGTCATCCTGATGATTGATTCTAGATGTCGGTAGATGTGGCTCGCAGGTGTAAGATGAGCACAGTTGCAGGTGACGGTATCTGATATTCACAGGTCAATGTAGTAAACACCTCCTAAGTAGGTCTGCTCTGTCCCAGGTGAGACAGAGAGCCCATTGAAAGGCGAGAAGACAAGGGCAGAGTTGAGTGCCCTTTTTTGTGTTCCTCTAACAATTTGCTTAGACTTCTACTATAGAGTAGTACATGGCAGGAAAGTTGTTTATTCACTTTCTAATATCCCAGTTAAGCAAAAATAGGCTTACCCATTCCTGTATATAGAGTAGCTAGCCTATATAGTGCACATAGTAGGCACTCAAAAACATGTCTTGAGTGAATGAATGAATTGAAGAAAGAACGCATGCTCAAATGAACCACTGTGAAATCTAGAATGAAATGGTAAGTCCTGAGAGGATTTTAAGAAACTAAAGAGAGTCAAAGCCTTCATCTTGTAAAGGAACAGGCCAAGGTCCACAGATGTTAAATGAGGCACCCCAAGAAGCACAGATCAGTGGTGTGGAACAGAACCTCGATTATTTTTCTCACACCTTTGCTTGAAGTCAACACATTTATAACAGCAGAATTCATTAGTTAACACATCTTTAATACTCTCCATCTGTATCATACCTGGACAGAGTCATGCAAAATGAGGGTCGGGACTGCAGTCTTGAAATCATGTGAGCAGGCTGGGTGCGGTGGCTCACACTTGTAATTCCAGCACTTTGGGAGGCCGAGGCAGGCGGATCACAAGGTCAGGAGATAGAGACCATCCTGGCTAACAAGGTGAAACCCCGTCTCTACTAAAAATACAAAAATTAGCCGGGTGTGGTGGCGGGCGCCTGTAGTCCCAGCTACTCGGGAGGCTGAGGCAGGAGAATGGCATGAACCTGGGAGGCAGAGCTTGCAATGAGCTGAGATTGCACCACTGCACTCCAGTCTGGGAGACAGAGCAAGACTCCGTGAAAGAAAGAAAGAAAGAGAGAGAGAGAGAGACAGAGAGAGAAGGAAGGAAGGAAGGAAGGAAGGAAGGAAGGAAGGAAGGAAGGAAGGAAATAAATCATGTGAGCAAGGCTGCAGCATGACTGAGGGAGAGGAGGCAGGCATGTGTGAGCTGTAGCTCTCAGGCAGCATTACATTGGCATACATGGGAGTCTTTTATTTACAGAAACTACAAGTCCCATTTCAAATACCTTGTTCTTTGTCTTAACCTTTGATTTCTGTGCCCCAAGAAGCATCTACCTGGATGTCCCAAATTCAACGTGAACAGAATTGAACCCATTACTCCTTCCAAAGCCACAACTCCATGGTGTTCCCCAGTGGGGGAGCCACCACCTTCCAATCCCTAAGATGACCTGCAATTTACCTTTGCTCCCTTTCATGCTCCTCCTACATAGAATCACCCAACCCTACTGGGAATTGATACACCAGCTACTTTTATGGAAGCATGGCTAATAAATGTTGAGCACTCCACCTGGGTTATCTCATTTAACCCTAATGCCTACCCTGCAGGTGGGTACTATTACCATCCTCCTCTTATAGAAGGGGAAACTGACTTGAAAATTGATCCACAATTAAACCTTAGTAAGCCAGGCCTCAACCTCAAGTCTGTCTGTGTAGGAAGTTTAGTCCAGTATTTAAAGTCCCGGAGAAGACAGAGCAGTACCGCATCAACTAAACCATAGATCAGATGTTTCCCAAATTCCTTCTTAAAATGCCCTGGTTGGCATTTAGCAAGTTCTCATCATTCATGTATGCAGAAGTGTACTTACTCCTTCCATATTCTTCTCCTGACCAATGTCTGAGCAGCCTGGGGCTCCACTCACCCACCCTTTACCTCTATTCCAATTGCTTTATCTGTCTCCCTGGCATTCCATTTTCCCCAATAGAGATAAAAGTCCTACTACATCTAGGGAAGTTGTTTAAGTCCTTCTGCCAGCTTCTTCATAAATCTTCCTCATTTTACAACTACAACATGACACCACTACTTTGGCAAAAGTGGCCCACACACTACATCTCAAGGAAAAACGAACACATCATAAAACAAATTGAGAGCTCGCTATCATGGAGCATGCAACCGTGTACAGTACAGCACAGAAACTTACCTGGGTCTGTAGTCCTCGTATATCCAATGATCTTTTTTGCACAGACACAAACTTGGGTGCCCTTTCACAGTGCCCCTGAGACAATGGTGCTCTCACACTCCCCAGGCATGTGCACTGAAGTGGCTCAGATTCAGACAGGTTGTGTCCCCTCCAGAACTACAATCCATCCTTTCATGCATAATCACTTAACTGTAGGATCTAAAATTCAGCTTTGTTCATCAATAGGTGGTGAGTGTGGTATCATCAGCATCCTTTTGTTAAGACGTATCACTTCACATTACTTCATTGTCATGAGACAGAAAGATTGGATATTAAATTCCCTTGCAAAGGACTGACCATCCCCCTGGAATCAGCCCAGCACAGAGCTACTGCTCAGACTTGCCTTTGTTTCCTTCACACAAGGGTTTTGATGGAAAAGAAAAAGACTGGCTAGAAAATCTAGCAGGCAATAGAACTGCCTAGAACACCTCTTGGCAGATCCTTCACATGCTCAGCCTCTCATGAGTCACACGGGGTACAACATTCATACGGTTTCAAGTCATGTAGCCTAACAAAGTTTAGTTAAAGAGACACCAACATGTGTATCAAAGTAGGGAAAGTTATCTTCAGAAACCTAAGATTTCCATAATTAGGATATGTTTCCAAGGCTGCCTATGCATCAGTGATAACGGATTTTCAGATGAGGATTTTCCCTCATTAGATTTCCTTTAAATTGATGAGACTTGGGAGTTGGTTCCTAAAATCCATTCGAATTCATGGCAATAAGCAATATTCAGAATAAGTCAGCTCAATTGTGGTGCACCGTGATTAACTGAGACATAGCTGGGGGCCTGGGATAGGGAAAACTGCTCCAAAAAATAAACAGAACATATTTATGAAGGGCTCTTTAGAGAGCACACCTGAGAAATGAAATTCCCTTTTAGACCACATGAAGATATTGGCCTTTACCTGATGGGCAGAGTTCATTTCAGACACCCTGGGAGCAGGAAAAAGATGAAATAAACAAGAGGGTGGTGGATGGACCCAGGTAGGTGGATGCTTTGATCTCTGATCTCCAGTCTTCTCTGGGTATTTGGTCACTTCTTCTCGCCTGGTGCTGGTGTGGTACTCAATATACTTGCAGGGAGAAGGAGCAATATGTGACAAGCAGAGGAGCAATATCGGTTTCCTTTAAAACACAGAGCATTACAAACAAATCGTGAGAACTGTAAAGCAGTAAAGATCAAGGTTGCTCAAAGGATCTAGGTTACCAGAGCCAGTAATGAGGATCCCCACACACTTGCACATCCTCAGCATCAGGAGCCACGCCCGTTCACACGTCGTTGGCTGCACCTCCCAAGCTTGAAGGAAGAGGCACATGGTCACAAGCACAGCCTCCCTGAAGTCACACCAGCCAATCACTGCAGCTCAGCTGCCATCTTGAAAACCACAAGACGCTGCAGCAGCTCCTTCCAAAGAGATAAGAATCTCCAGGAACCCCAGACACTGGGGGAGAAGGGAGTTCAAGTGGGGAGCATTTTGCCTTACAGGAGCCAAGACCAGGAATGTGAATGAGGCTGGCAGCCCCATCCAGGATTTGCGGGTTCCATGCAGGAAGCGAATTCCCTAACTGAACAAGCTTGATTCTGTGTGGGCTATGTTTTCTGATAACAGTCTTCTGTGTATGAAGTTTGTATGACACCAGTCATTATACATGTATGATAATATGGTTTATCATTCACACGCAGACAAATGAAAGAAAGTGTTTTGGTGGCCATGACAAACAGTAGGGCCACTGTGGTGACTGCAAGGAAAAGAAACAAGATGCCTTGACCTGTTTCTAATGCCATGGCCACCAGAAGGAGCTCAGCTCTCAGCACTGGGGCAAATATCACAAATGTTCAGGACCAACACCAGATGTTCCAGTGCCTGGCCCCTGTGCGGATGGGACAGGCAGGGACAACATGAGCCCACGAACACAGGGATCGCTCTGTGTTGAACCGCAGTATTCACCAGAGCGCATCTGAAGCTGGGGCACAAACAGCAGGCACCTCCTAGCGGCAGGTCAATGTCAGAGGGCCTGCCACTGGATGCTGACCCCGGCACAGGGCTGCAGATGGCCAGCTGACCTTGTCCACATGCTTTTCCAGGAGGGAAAGAGCGCTCGACTTTCTGGAACTTTTGCCCCTAATTGCATCATTTTTCATTTATATAAGAGATCATGTATCAAATTCCAAATTTATTTTTTTCTCCCCATCAGGGTCCCACTTCACCCCTTGTGAGCCAGCTGGGTTCAGGAGTAAAGGAGGGTCCATTGCGCAGTGTGACTGAGGGGCATAGGGAGAGGAGGGTGTGGCCACCTGTGCAGGTAACAAGTGCATGGGGACTTAGACATTGTCATACGCACCAGCCGCCATGCCAGACAGCTCAGGAAGACACTCACTGCACTACTAGCGGCTCAAAGGGTAAAAAACAGTGCTAACACCGTGGGGTTAGCTTCTTGCAAACCTTATCCTCCCCCAAAAAAGGTGCTTTATAAAAGATTCCAAGCACCTGAAACATTGTGATGAGGCCGTGTCTGTTGCCTTTAGACAGCAGGAGGGGCTTGCCAGTGCACCTCACAAGAGCTCGCTGCTCTGCGTCAGTGCTGCCAAGGAGCTCCTTCAGGGTTGAGAGATGAGAGAGCCAAGTCCGTGATTACTAGATCTGAGGTGGTTTGCACAATTTTAAGAGCATCTCATTCTTTTCTATACATAGTAGTTTCTCTCTCTAAGCCCAGTGATGATCCTGTGTGTCAGGAAGAAATCGTTTTCATCCTAAGGAACAGCCGCATGAAGTGCACACACTCCCTGCACATGACAGGTTCTCTTTCTGGACTGGGAAATGACTGCTTTGAGAATTTCATTTTAAAGGGACTTGCTGAGCTTTTAAGCGTTGAAGAGGCAATGAGGTCTAAGGGATAATAATAGTTGTCATTTATTGAGCACTTAATATTTGCCAGACAGTCGGCTACGTACTTAACATTTATTATCTCATTTAATTCCCACATCAACACACAAGGAAGATAATATTATTATCCTCACTTTTATGGATGATAAAATCGAGGCACAGAGAATTTCAGTAACTTGGTCAAGCTCACACAAGCAGTAAGGGGTGAAGGTGGGGATTCGGATCCCAGCCCGTCTGAATTCAAAACATTAACCTGGCGTCACAGAACCTGGATTCCATCCTCCACTCTGCCCCTGGCTCCTGTTTATCCTTAAACAAATAACTTCCCTTTTTCTGTATCACATTGCTACTTAATTCCAACTAAGACTCACATTTGCTATCACTACCAGATGCCCCTACTTGTCCAGTTAAAGCATTTGTGTGTGTGGAGAATGTTCATCACTGCTCCCCTAACTGAAATATTTAACCAACAAGCAAGGTTCTCATCTTTGCTCTCGTAGCATCACTACTGAATGCTATCACAAATCAGAGCTACCATTTTGGCTTATTAGTTAAGATCCCTGATTTTATTGAGGACATTGAAACATGAATATGTTAAAAATTGTACCCAGTGCTGCTCAGCTTGTAAGTGGTGGACATGGAATGAAACCCAAGTCTGAGACTCAAAAGTTGACTTTGCCGGGCACAGTGGTTTATTTGGGAGGACAAGGTGTGAGGATCCCTTGAGGCCAGGAATTCGAGACCAGCTAGGGCAACATAGCAAGACTCCATAGCATCTCTACCAAAAGTAAAAAAAAAAGAAAAAGAAAAAAAAAAGCTAAGGGTGGTGGTGCAAGCTTGTAGTCCCAGCTACTCAGGAGGCTGAGGTGGGAGGATCACTTGACCAGGAGTTCCAGGCTGCAGTGAGCTATGATTGTGCCATTGCACTCCAGCCTGGGCAACAGAGTGACACCCTGTCTCAAAAAATAATAGTAGGCCAGGCACAGTGGTTCATGCCTGTAATCCCAGTGAGAGGTGAAGCCAGGGGGACTTTCTGGGTCAAGTGGGGACTTGGAGAACCTTTCTGTCTTACAAGAGGATTGTAAAACACACCAATCAACACTCTGTAGCCAGGATTGTAAAACGCACCAATCAGTGCTCTGTAAAATGCACCAATCAGCAGGATCCTAAAAGTAGCCAATCACAGGGAGAATTGGAAAAAGGGCATTATGATAGGACAGAAAGGGAACATGGGCAGGGACAAATAAGGGAATAAAAGCTGGCCACCCCAGCCAGCAGTGGTAACCGGTTTGGGTCCTTTTTCGCAATGTGGAGTCTTCGTCCTTTTGCTCTTCCCAAAAAACCTTGCTGCCTCTTACTTTTTGGGTCTGTGCCATCTTTAAGAGCTGTAACACTCACCGTGAAGGTCCGTGGCTTCATTGATGAAGTCAGTGAGAATCATGAAGTCAGCCAGAGTACTGGTAGGAACCAACCCCAGACACACCAGCACTTTGGTAGGCTGAGGCAGTTGGATCACCTGAGGTCAGGAGTTTGAGACTGGCCTGACTAAGATAGTGAAACCCCGTCTCCACTAAAAATGTAAAAGTTAGCCAGGCATAGGGACGGGGACCTGTAATCTCAACTACAGGGGAGGCTGAGGCAGGAGAATCACTTGAACCTGAGCGCCAGAGGTTGCAGTGAGCTGAGGTCGCATCATTGCACTCCAGCCTGGGCGACAGAGTGAGACTCCGTCTTTGAATAAATAAATAAAGTGGACTGGAGCGCTGTGCTTTGCTGCTGTCCATGATCTCAATGGCTACTTTCTAGGAAGGTTACTACACATTTTTCATTGAATTATTATACCACTATTTCAAAAAAAGACATGCAGAGGGGAAATATTTCTATTTCTGGCCCATTTTTCTCTATCCCCAGAGTCCGGAGCTGGCTCTCCTTTACCAGAGTCAGATCATGGTCATCAGACACGTCCCATTCTCACTCAACCCAGGGGCAACAGAGTGCTGACCACAAAGCACGTGCTTAATGAGTGATGAGTGACCCAAAAAACAAATCAGAAGATGGGCAAAAATTCATCATCTAAGGGACTAGAAGAAATGGGATATCCTGTGAGGTTCAGAAAAGCCCAGCAAGGGTCAGGGGACACCACTGCAGAAGAATCATTGTCAAATCATCGCATAGGAAAACCCAGCAGCCTCAGAGGGGCTCCTGCAGGCCAAGCTCATGTACAGTGGGCCTGTGCTCTTCCTTAGCAGAAGGGCGTGGCCAGCCCTTGCCCACTGTCCTTACGGCGGGCTTCAACCTGGGCTCAACCTGCACTCTCTTCCCATCTGCAGCCCTGGAGGGAATCGACTGCCAGTTTAAGGAGTCATTGTCCAGTTCAGACTCCAGAATACGAAACGTAGAAACTGACAGGAAATGACCAAGTATAAATTGCAACTTGTAAAGAATCATCTTAAATCCTGGCACTGCGTTCAAGGGGGAGTTTGAGCAAGGAATGTTGCTAAAACGGCTAAAACCAGGAACTCAGAATATCGGTAGGTGTCAGGGGAAGAAAAAGGGGACATTTTACTACTCTATTAGAAGCAAAATTTCATCTAGCAAAACAACAAAGTGAGCACAAATGAACAAAATAAGCTTGGACTTTGGAAGTGCGAGGAATCACTCATTTTAGATCAAAGCTGTTAAAGATAAACACACTATAGGGAAAGATTCGGTCACGGGATGAAGGGGAGGCTGAAACTTTCTTTGTTCTATTTGTTTCTTCCAGTCGTCCTTCCTGAGGAGAATTCTTGTGTTTCATACCACAGTAATCAGTAAAAGTCCTTCTTGGGAGGGAGGAATGGGGGAGGCCGGCTGCATAAAAGTGGTCTCTGTTCTGTTTCTTCTTCTATTATAGCTATCATTTGCTGAATACCTATCACAGGCCAGGTGCAACGCTAGTTGTGTGCATATCCTTCAATAACCCCACAAGCCCCAATTTGACTTAGAAAACCAAGCAGTGAGTGCCTGAGAGGCTTGCCCAAAACCTTACAGCTAGCAAGCAGTAGAATGGGGGATCAAATCGAGTTTGGCTGATCCTACAGCCCACACTCAAAACTATGTTTGCAGACAACTCATCACCAATTGCTTGAGTTTCTGCAAGGTATTGGTAAATGTTCAATAATGACATCAAATAATGTAAACTGGCAGTTCTCAAAGTGTGATCTGGTAGCCCTTCAAGTCCTTGAAACCCTGTCAGGGCATCTAGGCGGTCAAAACTATCCTCGCGTGCCTCTCCCGCTCTTATTCTGTCACGAACGTACAGTGGCATTTCCCAGAGGCCACGCGGCATGTGCTGCCATCTTCCTTCCGATGGTCATGACATATGTGCTTGTAGATATTCTTGTGGTTTAAATTTTTCTCAACTTCAATTTCTAAAATGGTCAGTGGTGACAGATATAACTCAGATAAACAAAGGCTCATTTGGATCCTCAGTGATTTTTTTCTTCAGTAATATTTAAAAGCATAAAGAAATCCTGAGACCAGAAAGTGTGAGAACAGCCCATTTAAATCAACTGGATCAGACCCTAATCGAGAGATTTGTTAGCAGTTTCTCAGTGCCCACCTTTTATTGTTCACTGACCACACTAAAATGTGGAGATCCTATTTAATCTGAAGTAGGTGTGGTACAATTTATAAAATGGGTAAGACTTGCAGTTTTCATAAGGAGGTTTATATTGCATACTTGAAATCTGGAGGTTTTTCAGGAATGTATCATAAAACCACCTTCCATAAACTGTCTCTCAGGAAACAGTAATGATAACACAGCCAGTCAACTCTCATTTTTAAGCAGGTTATTGCAAACTTACAAACTTTCTGGAATCATCATTTTTATTATTATTCTTAAGTGAGGCAGAAAAGGCTTCCAATACTTTTGAAGTCTTATCAGCTGAGTTTTCAGAGGTATTTACTTTCTTCAATTTTCCCATCACTAATAATTTGCTACAATTTTCACCAGTTATGATTTTGTACTGCTAATGTTATAACACAGGCCCAGGCGGAGAGTGGTGTTTGATTGAAATAGAGCTTTATCTAGGAGGGTTTTAGCTGCTTGTCTTAGCTCATGTTAAAATTCTACTTCAATAAGTTATCTAGTTAACAAAATAAATAGAAAAGTAAAAACTTGCTCTTTAATTCATAATCAGGAGACATGTAGATCCAAATGAATATGAAACTTAAGCAAAATTAAGAGTTATCTTGAATTTGACAATATTAAAATTATAAAAATAACATTGTGTATATTACACAACTGAGGAAGATGGACCTGGACAATAGTGACTTTTAAAATAAATTAATACGCTTGGAAGAACACATGCAAATCTCTGTTGTCAGCAGCATGTGTCAAAGCCTGGAGAATTCCAGAAACACTTGGAAAAGTACAAAATGAACATTTTTTTAAAATTCTCCTAAAGTGCAAGTTTCTCCAAGCAGAGACTTTTCAAGAGAGGAGACTCTAACTTTGATAAATCTAAACTAGAACATAGAGTACTTACAAACAAAATATACAAAAGACATTGTATCAACTAGGAAATATTTTAATAATCACTATGACATCATTGCAAAGTTAAATTATTTTCTCTGTGTTGTATTTTCTCTGGAGAGATTTGCCCTCAACTCCTTCTTATGCCCTTGTTTCAGTTCTACAATAGAACCTAAAAACTGTTTCCAACCCATCACGACATCACCCTGAAAAATGAGTGAGCAGTCACTGAGGCTTCCCAAGTTTGAAAATTCCACAAGACTGAGAGCAAATGTTTTGTTGAAACTGAAGTCAAGATGAAGTCAGCTGACTCTCAAACCTCAGGTGAAGTGACTCAGGGCCCACACCCCGGTTCTGAGGCAGGGACACATTTTACTTGCAGCACCCTGCAGCTTTGGATGAGGCTGCAACCCGGGTGAATCCTGGCCCTGCTATCACGTGGGCAGCCACTGCATCCTCCGGAGGCTGTGGATGGGAGTCACCATGCTGGGAGGTCTGGAGTAAGATCTGTGCCATCTGCCTTGCCCAATCCTGTACCAGTGCCTGTGTTTCAAAATCTCAAAATAAAAGTGATTATTCTTGCAACACATCTAGGTGTACTAAACGAATACAAAAAAGCCTTCGATTATTGCTGCACACATCATTACAAGATGAAATAGGAGGGAAAAATAAGCTTTAAAAATACATTTAAGGCACTGAATATTTGTTCTGAATTGAATAGAATATTTTATTATAAAACGGGCCTCTGTGCATTTTCTAAAGCCACAGTCTTACTCATCTATGGGAGAAGTAAGAACACTGGGCATGAATGCAACTGTCTTTATAAAATTTATTTTCAAATTCCTTCAACAACGGGAGGATAGGAAAAACCTGGAAGCAGACAGCAGGTAGACTGTTTCTGTGTTGTAACAGTGGTCTTCATGATCATTTTACCAGGGGCAGATGTGTATCTGTCCTCTCCGTTTCACTAGTGCAGGCTGGCTTTACTTTGGTCCATCAACATACTTTTGTCATTCTACTACATGCAGGACACTGAGGAAAACAGGAATTGCACAGGGCCTCATTCAGAGAGTAGAAGAGACGGACAAGCAAATGTTGAAACTCAAAATTCGAAGAGCAATATGAGGAGTATCAATTGCTAGGAGAAACATCTGCTCCAACACACATACACGTGCCTTTCTGCAGTCTCCACGGGGAGGAACTTCCATTAGACTAACACTCCCTCCTTTCTCCACCCCTCTTCCTCCCCTGGAGAGAAGGAGTCACACTTGTCCCACAGGAGCAAGCACCTGGCCTGTTCCTGCCCTCTCCTGCCTGGACTCACCTCTTGCACAGAGCTCAAGCCCTGCCTGGTCCCCAAGCTGGAACAAGGCTCTGCTCTGGTTTTGGCTACACTGGGAAGGAGCGGGGTATGTGTAATTTGGGGTAAAATATTAACAAACCTACTTATCCACAGAGCTATATTACATCTTCTACTCTGACATTTTTTGTTTTTTCTTTTTTGTTTTTTTTCTCTCTCAATTGATCCAAACACAGGCGAGGAAGAGAAGTATATTTATTGACTCCCTAAATTTTCAATACCTGGTGCACAGACTGGGAACCTTAAGAAATAGACGGGACTGGCACTTGGAGAATGAAATAACATGTAGAGGAAGGAGACAGCAACCACGAAGGCAGGCAGCTCTCTGGCTTAAGCCATGGTGACTATCGATCACGTGGGATTCTGACTTTTGCAGGTCTCTGTAGCTCCTGGTATTTCATAACAGGCTGGAATTCAGCAAATGCTGGCCATTTGGGGTATTAACAAGCAGGAGGACAAATCGGAGTCTTAGAAAGCAGGCTGGCTGCTCGGGAGTGTTGGCACAGGCCTTAGCAAGACAGGTCAGCTGAAGTAAGGGTGTGGTTCACTGCCTGTGCTGTTTCTCAACCACGCTGAAAGGGTGGGAGACTGGGACACAGGGACTTTACACTGCACACATTTGAGCCCTTGTGTGCCACAGAGCTCTAGGTGATGTTTGCCTTTAACTTATTTTCGACAAATGTGCTTCCCAAATCCCATTACCTGAATTCAAGACCAAACAAGGACTCTGAGAGGGACTGGGCCCTTATTACTGTGCTGCTCAACCAATGAATATTAAAAGTCACGTCCATGAACCATGAGATCTCAATTGCACAGCTTTGATGAGTTCTATTATATTCTGACTTTACGCTTCAGACATGTGAACTGTGATTTCACAAGATTAGTATATTTTATTAATAACGACAGACAAAAAGAATTGCCTTGTTCACTGGTATATTCCAAGTGTGTAGAAAAGTGTCTTATCTTCAGTAGGTACTCTCATTTAACAAATGCCTGATCAGGGCATTTATTTTTTTAAAAAAAAGGCCACAATCTTCAGTTAAAGTAAAGAAACAACTCAGTAAAATGACTGCAAGTCCAAAAGCTAAGAATGCATTTTTTTGTTGTTGTTGTTTTGATCTTTTTTGGAGATGGAGTTTAGCACTTGTTGCCCAGGGTGGAGTACAATGGCAGGATCTCGGCTCACCACAACCTCTGCCTCCCGGATTCAAGTGATTCTTCTGCCTCAGCCTCCCGAGTACCTGGGATTACAGGCATGCACCACCACGCCCAGCTATTTTTTTTTTTTAAGTAGAGACAGGGTTTCACCATGTTGGTCAGGCTGGTCTTGAACTCCTGACCTCAGGTGATCCACCCGCCTTGGCCTCCCAAAGTGCTGGGATTACAGGCGTGAGCCACCGCACCTGGCCAAGAATGCATTTTTAAAGGTCTGTGCCTAGAATACTCTGTATCTAGGAATTCAATTTGCTTGGACAATCAAAGAGAAACTAGTTTGGCTTGAAAAGCAGGCTTCAATCTTATTATCAGATTGGGAGTGTTTCTTTTTGTAATGAAATCAAAATAAAGGAAGACAAGAGAGGTACCTTTAAAAGAGATGAGAGATTTCAGAAGCTGATTAGAGACTAAAGAAATATGAAGTGGAAATGACATCTTAATGGCAGCTCACAAACGGAAAAAAAGACATACTTGGGGTTCATTGTTTGAAAAGAGGTTATTGGAAGAGAGGGCAGGATTTTAGTTGTTACAGTTCAAAAGGATAAATGGGGCCCAAAAACATTCAATGAACAAGATGAGACAGGCTCTCAGTAAGCATCCTGGATGGTTTCCCCAGTAGAGCCAGGGTCCCAGAAACTCCTGGGAATGCCATCTTAAAACCATAGATGAGCTAGGAGTCTGCAGGGGGCTCCACCCCCTGAAAACAGTGTAAAAGGGCTTCACACTTCATGTTCCAGAAGGATCCAGATAACCTGTAACCTGAAAATTATTTCGCTATAAGTACCTACAGATGGTAAGTTTAAAAGTAACTAAAAAAGCCGTTATATGACAGGTGAGCTTGCAAGAAAGAAAGAGAAAATTCAAAAAACAAACATAAGAGACAAATGAAATTGCATGTGCCGATTCATGTGTGCCCTGAGAGGTTGCCAGAAGGGGATGTCAGGTTGGTGGCCCCTCGGCTGGGGTTTCCATACTCACACATAGCAATAGGCAATAAGGCCATGGTCCTATTCTCGGTGGGGAGTCCAAACCAAAATGGCTCCAGAGAGCCAGATCCCTCAAAGGACAGCAGCTTCAGGATTCTCTCACTGAGACTGGGGTTCTCGCCTGCCTAGGCCGGGGCTCTAGGAGGAAAAATAAAACAAAAACCCAAGATTATAAAACCCCAGACTACAAATAACTTGTGCTTGGAGTTGGAATTAATCTACCAACATGGGCTAAGAATCCCACAAGCTGATAAGCATACAGATTAGTCCCAGGCCAGCCCCAGGACACCACACAAAAGCAGTCATAGAACAATGTTGTGGGGACGAACCTTCAACCTCACTCCCAACAGGATTCCAAAGGCCAAAGCTCTGCTGATGAGTTCACAAGCCCAAACTATGAAACCCAAGAAGAAATAATCCGACAATAGCAAGAGGCAGCACAATCAGCAAATCGGAGCATAGAAGCTCAGGAACTACAGAGAACACAACAATTTCTATTGATAACAAAATGGGCAATAAAAATTGATAATACGGGCATATTAAATAGATTTAAAACATAGCAGAATGTCTTATAACCATTATAAAAGAATGGGCAATACTTACAGAAACCAACTAGGCCTTCCAGAAGCACCTTGGGAGGCCAAGGTGGAAGGATGGCTTGAGGCTGGGAGTTCAAGGCTACAGTGAGCTATGATCACATCACTGCATTCCAGCCTGGGCAACAGAGTGAGACCCTGTTTCTAAAAAAATAAAAATAATAAATAAATAATATATTTTATTTAATATGTAAATATATAAAAATAATATATAATTTAATATTTATTTATTTGTTATATATAAATACATAATCTGTAATTATATATACATACTATATATACATATATATAATTCAATAGGTCCAACTACAGATTATGCACAGGTTAATTAAAAAATTATTAAATGAGAAGATCTGAGGAAATTACCAATGTGATTTGTAGACACAGATATAAAAGATGGAAAACGTGAAAGAAGGATTAATCAACACAGAGAATAAAATGGATACATCCAATTTACATTAGAAGTTTCAGACCCTTTAATGTGAATCATTTCCCCCGTTTTATTACTGCCTGGCATTTAAATTTCACTTTGTTTTTATTCCCCAAATTAGTCATAATGATTAATAGTCTTCTAGTGAACACTCATTTAGATTTATTCACTTTTGCCAGTTTTTTGTTCAAAATAACTTCTTATATTTCTCTTCTTTTCTCTGGATTCACTATCCTTCATTCCAAAGTACTTCTTGCATCTGTCCTTTGAGCAAGGATCTAAGTTCCAAGAAGAACCTGAAACGGATTAAAGTCCTAAATGTGAAAAGCAAACTTATAAAAATGCATAGGAGATACTCTTTATGTTACTGCAGCATGGAAGAATAATAAAACACACAAAAAAGGAAAAGATGTATAAATTCGATAGCATTAAAATTAAAACTCCAATATGACACAAGATACTATAATCAAAGTGAAAAGCCAGTCCACAATAAAGAGGAGATATTTACAACCCAACCATGTAACCAACAAAATATTTTTATCCAGAATCTGTAAAAAAGTGACTAATGAATATGAAGATAACTCAGCAATAAGCAAATGATATAAATAATTTGTCCTCAGGCCAGCCCCAGGACATCACACAAAAGCAGTTATAGAACAACTGCTTTTCAGAGAGGGGAATCCCAAATGCCCAACAAACATTTTTAAATTATTTTCAAGCTCTCTCTAGTAATAAAGGAAATGTGCATTCAAATAAGAGAAACATCAAACATCTGTCTGATTGATAAATATTAGTAAGTCTGATAACATGCAGTGTGGAGGAAAACAGGAATGCATCTGTCACTCAGAGTATAAAATTGTTTCCATTTCTTAGAGAGCAGTTCAGCCAGGTTAAAGTTAAAGATAGCCATATATCCGGGCACAGTGGCTCATGCCTGTAATCCCAGCACTTTGGGAGGCCCAGACGGGCGGATCACAAGGTCAGGAGATCAAGACTATCCTGGCTAACACGGTGAAACCCTGTCTCCACTAAAAATACAAAAAAATTAGCCAGGTGTAGTGACAGGCACCTGTAGTCCCAGCTACTCAGGAGGCTGAAGCAGGAGAATAGCATGAACCCGGGAGGCGGAGCTTGCAGTGAGCCAAGATAGTGCCACTGCACTCCAGCCTGGGCAGCAGAGCAAGACTCCAACTCAAAAATAAAAAAAAGATAGCCATATATTGCAAGATGCAATTTCACTCTAGTTAATGTACCCTAAATGCCCTCACACATGCATTTTATCAGAAAGGCACAAGAATGTTTGTTGCAGTGCTATAGTAATACTGAAACAATCTAACTGTTGCTCAGAATGGAAATGGTTAAATAAAATGCTATTTAAGCTGGGCACTGACTCATGCTTGTAATCTCAAATTTTTGAGAGGCCAGGAGTTTGAGACCAGCCTGGGCAATATAGTAAGACCCTATCTCTATTTAAAAAAAAATTATTAGCCAGGCCTGGTGGTGCCTGCCTGTAGTCCCAGCTACTCAGGAGCCTGAGGCTGGAAGATTGCTTGAGCCCAGGAGTTTGAGGTTACAGTGAGTTATGATTGCGCCACTGCACTCCAGCCTGGGTGACAGAGTGAGACCTTGTCTCTAAAAAATAATAATTTTTTTAAAAGGTTATTTATTTATCACCACAGCTGATGCTCTCTTGAAAGTACCACCTCCTGGCTGGAGGCCAACCAACTCAAACCATTACAGCAACTCATAAAAGAGCAGCCCCACTCCAAGAGAGTAGAAAACAACAGCTAATTCCACCGCTTGTAACATCCTGGCTAACCAGAGGTTCTGAGTCCGTCCACATGACAACTTCACTGCTAGCACAATCAGCATTCAAGAAAACCAATGCACTAAACAAAACTACAACCAAGGACTCTCACAGAGTTCACCTCACTCCCCTGCTACCTCCACTAGAGCAGGTGCTGGTATCCATGGCTGACAGACCTGAAGACGGATCCCATGACAGGACCCTTTGCAGATACTCCCCAGTAACAGCCCAGAGCCTGTTAGCTCCACTGGGTGGCTAGACCCAGAAGGGCAATAACAATCACCACAGTGCAGGTCTCAGGAAGCTCCATCCCTAGGGGAAGGAGGAGAGCACCACATGGGACAAAAAAAATCTGAACAGCAGCGCTCGAGTCCCAGAGTCCCAGATCTTTCCTCTGACATAGTCTATCCAGATGAGAAGAAACTAGAAAAACAATTGTGGTAATATGACAAACCAAGGTTCTTTAACACCCCCCAAAAGACCACACTAGCTCACCAGCAATGGACACAAAACAAAATCTCTGATTTGCCAGAAGAAGAATTCAGAAGGTCAATTACTAAGCTACTCAAGGAGGCACCAGAGAAATGTAAACTCCAAAGAAATCAAAAACATGACATGGGATATGAAAGGAAAATTCTTCAGTGAAACAGATAGCATAAATAGCAAACAACCATAACTTTTGGAAATCAAGGATACACTTAGAGAAATGCAAGATGTGCTGGAAAATCTCAGCAATAGAATCAAACAAGCAGAAGAAAGAACTTCAGAGCTTGAAGACAGGGGTTTTGAATTAACCCAATCTGTCAAACACAAAGAAAAAAGAATTTTGAAAAATGAACAAAGCCTCCAAGAAGTTTGGGACCATGTTAAGTGTCCAAACCTAAGAATAATTGGTGTTCTTGAGGAAGAAATCTAAATGTCTGGAAAACATATTCGAGGGAATAATCGAGAAAAACTTCCCCAGCCTTACTAGAGATCTAGACATCCAAATACAAGAAGCTCAAATAACACCTGGGAAATTCATTGCACCAAGGTCATTGCCTAGGCACGTAGTCACTAAACTCGAGATGAAGGAAAGAATCTTAAGAGCTATGAGGCAAAAGCATCAGGTAACCTATAATGAAAAAGTTATCAGAGTAACAGCAGATTTCTTAGCAGAAACCCTACAGTCTAGAAGGGATTGGGGTCCTATTTTTAGCCTCCTTAAACAAGACAATTATCAGCTAAGAATTCTGTACACATGAAACTAAGCTTCACAAATGAAAGAAAGATACAGTCTTTTCCAGACAAACAGATGCTGAGAGAACTCGTCACTCAAGCCAGTACTATAAGAAAGGCTAAAAGGAGCTCTGTCTTGAAACAAATCCTCAAAATACACCAAAATAGAACCTCCTTAAAGCATAAATCTCACAGGAGCTATATAACAGTAACACAATGAAAAAAAAAAAAACAAGATATTCAGGCAACAAATAGCACAATGAATAGAATAGTACCTCATATCTCAATACTAACATTGTAATGAATGTAAATGGCCTAAATGCTCCACTTAAAAGATACAGAATGGCAGACTGGATAAGAATTCATCAACCAAGTATCTTCTGTCTTCAAGAGACTCACCTAACACATAAGGACTCACATAAACTTAAGGTAAAGTGGAGGAAAAAGCTATTCCATACAAATGGACACCAAACAAGCAGGAAGAGCTATTCTTACATCAGACAAAACAAACTTTAAAACAACAGTAGTTGAAAAAGACAAAGAGGGACATGATATAATGATAAAAGGACTAGTCCAACAGGGAAATATCACAATTCTAAATATATATGCACCTAACTCTGGAGCTCCCAAATTTATAAAACAATTACCACTAGACCTAAGAAATGAGATAGACATCAACGCAAAAATAGTGGAGGACTTTAATACTCCACTGACAGCCCTAGACAGGTCATCAAGACAGAAAGTCAACAAAGAAACAATGGACTTAAACTATAACCTAGAACAAATGGACCTAACAGATATTTACAGAACATTCTGCCCAACAACTACAGAATATAATTCTATTTGTCAGTACATGGAACATTCTCTAAGATAGACCATATGATAGGCCACAAAACAAGTCTTGGTAAATTTAAGAAAATCAAAATTATATCAAGTACTCTCTCAGACCACAGTGGAATAAAATTGGAAATTAACTCCAAAAGGAACCCTCAAAACCATGCAAATATATGGAAATTAAATAACCCATTTCTGAATGATCGTTGGGTCAACAATGAAATCAAGACAGAAATTAAAAAATTCTTTGAACTGAATAATAATAGTGACACAACCTATCAAAACTTCTGGGATACAGCAAAAGTAGTGCTAAGAGGAAAGCTCATAGCATTATAAGCCTACATCAAAAAGTCTGGAAGAACACAGATAGGCAATCTAAGGTCACATCTCAAGGAACTGGAGAAACAAGAACAAAAAAAAAAACCCCAACCTCAGCAGAAGAAAAGACATAACAAATATCAGAGCAGAACTAAATGAAATTGAAACAACAAAAATTACAAAAGATAAATGAACCAAAAAAGCTGGTTCTTTGAAAAAATAAACAAAATTGATAGACCATTAGCAAGATTAACCAAGAAAAGAAGAGAGAAGATCCAAATAAGTTCAACTGGAAATGAAACAGGAGATATTATAATCAATACCACAGAAATACAAAAGATCGTTCAAGGCTACTATGAAAACGTTTATGTGCATGAACTAGAAAACCTACAGGAGATGGATAAACTCCTGGAAATATACAATCCTCCTAGGTTAAACCAGAAAGAAATAGAAACTCTTAACAGACCAATAACAAGCAACAATACTAATTTAAAAATTGCCAACAACAAAAAAGTCCAGGACCAGATAAATTCACAACTGAATTCTATCAGACATTCAAAGAATTGGTACCAATCCTATTGAAACTATTCCAAAAAATAGAGAAAGAGGGAATCCTCCCTAAATCATTCTATGAAGCCAGTATCACTCTAATACCAAAACCAGAAAGGACACAGCAAAAAAAGAAAACTACAGACCAATATCCCTGATGAACATAGATGCAAAAATCCTCCACAAAATACTAGCTAACCAAATCCAACAGCATATCAAAAAGATAATCCTCCATGATCAAGTGGGTTTCATACCAGGGATGCAGGGATGATTTAACATTTGCAAGTCAATAAATGTGATTCACCACATATACAGAATTAAAAACAAAAATTGCATGATCTCAATAGATGCAGAAAAAGTATTTGAAAAAATCCAGCATCCTTTTACGATTAAAACCTTAAGTAAAACAGCATACAAGGAACATAACTAAGATAATAAAAGCCATCTATGACAAACCCATAGCCCACATTATACTGAATGCAGAAAAGTTGAAAGCATTCCCCCTGAGAACTGGAACAAGACAAGGATGCCCACTTTCATGACTTCTATTCAACATAGTACTGGAAGTACTAGCCAGAGCAATCAGACAAGAGAAAGAAATAAAGGGCATCCAAATCGGTAAAGAGGAAGTCAAACTGTCGCTGTTTGCCAATGATATGATTGTATGCCTAGAAAACCCTAAAGACTCATCCAAAAAGTTCCTAAATCTGATAAATGAATTCAGTACAGTTTCAGGACACAAAATGTACACAAATCAGTAGCACTACTGTACACCAACAGCCACCAAGCTGAGAATCAAATCAAGAACTCAACCCCTTTTACAATAGCTGCAAAAAAAAAAAAAAAAAAAAAAACAACTTAGGAATATACCTAACCAAGAAGGTGAAAGACCTCTACAAGGAAAACTACAAAACACTGCTGAAAGAAATCATAGACTACACAAATGGGAACACAACCCATGCTCATGGATGGGTAGAATCAATATTGTGAAAATGACCATACTGCCAAAAGCGATCTACAAATTCAATGCAATTCGCATCAAAATACCATCATCATTCTTCACAGAACTAGGAAAAATAATCCTAAAATTCACATGAAACCAAAAAAGAGCCCACATAGCCAAAGCAAGACTAAGCAAAAAGAACAAATCTGGAGGTATCTCATTACCTGACTTCAAACTATACTATAAGACTATAGTCACCAAAGCAGCATGGTACTGGCATAAAAATAGGCACATAGATCAATGGAACAGAATAGAGAACCCAGAAATAAAACCAAATACTTGCAGCCAACTGATCTTTGACAAAGCAAACCAAAACATAAAGTGGGGAAAGGACACCCTAATCAACAAATGGACCTGGGATAATTGGCAAGTCACATGTAGAAGAATGAAACTGGATCCTCATCTCTTACCTTATACAAAAATCAACTCAAGATGGATAAAAGACTTAAATCTAATACCTGAAACCATAAAAATTCTAGAAGATAAAGTTGGAAACATCCTTCTAGACATTGGCTTAGGCAAAGACTTCATGACGAAGAACCCAAAAGCAAATGTAATAAAAACAAAGATAAGTAGATAGGACTTATACTACAAAGCTTCTGCACAGCAAAACAAATAATTAGCAAACAGACTATCTACAGACTGGGAGAAAATCTTCACAAACTATGCTTCCAACAAAGGACTAATATCCAAAATCTACAAGGAACTCAAACAAATCAGCAAGAAAGAAACAAATAATCCCATCAAAAAGTGGGCTAAGGACATGAATAGACAATTCTCAAAAGAAGGTATACAAATGTCCAACAAACATGAAAAAATGCTCAACATCACTGATTATCGGGGAAATGCAAATCAAAACCACAATGCAATACCCTCTTACTCCTGCAAAAATGGCCATAACTAAAAAAAAAAAATAATAGATGTTGGCATGGATGTGGTGAAAAAAGAACACTTTCACACTGCTAGTATAAACTAGTACAACCACTATGGAAAACAGTATGGAGCTCCTTAAAGAACTAAAAGTAGATCTACCATATAATCCAGCAATCCCACTACTGGGTATCTATTCAGAGGAAAAGAAGTCATTATATGAAAAAGATACTTGCACACACGTTTACAGTGGGACAATTCACAATTGCAAAAATACAGAACCAGGAAGAAGCAGCCAAGATGGCCAAATACGAACAGCTCCGGTCTACAGCTCCCAGCGTGAGTGATGCAGAAGACAGTTGATTTCTGCATTTCCATCTGAGGTACCGGGTTCATCTCACTAGGGAGTGCCAGACAGTGGGCACAGGACAGTGGGTGCAGTGCACCGTGTGTGAGCCGAAGCAGGGCGAGGCATTGCCTCACTCGGGAAGTGCAAGGGGTCAGGGAGTTCCCTTTCCTAGTCAAAGAAAGGGATGACAGATGGTACCTGGAAAATTGGGTCACTCCTGCCCTAATACTGTGCTTTTCCGACGGGCTTAAAAAACAGTGCACCAGGAGATTATATCCCACACATGGCTCGAAGGGTCCTACACCCACGGAGTCTCGCTGATTGCTAGCACAGCAGTCTGAGATCAAACTGCAAGGCGGCAGTGAGGCTGGGAGAGGGGCGCCCGCCATTGCCCAGGCTTGCTTAGGTAAACAAAGCAGCCGGGAAGCTCGAACTGGGTGGAGCCCACCACAGCTCAAGGAGGCCTGCCTGCCTCTGTAGGCTCCACCTCTGGGGGCAGGGCACAGACAAACAAAAAGACAGCAGTAACCTCTGCAGACTTAAATGTCCCTGTCTAACAGCTTTGAAGAGAGCAGTGGTTCTCCCAGCACACAGCTGGAGATCTGAGAACGGACAGACTGCCTCCTCAAGTGGGTCCCTGACCCCTGACCCCCAAGCAGCCTAACTGGGAGGCACCCCCCAGTAGCGGCAGACTGACACCTCACACGGCCGGGTACTCCTCTGAGACAAAACTTCCAGAGGAACCATCAGACAGCAGCATTTGCGGTTCACAAAAATCTGCTGTTCTGCAGCCACCGCTGCTGCTACCCAGGCAAACAGGATCTGGAGTGGACCTCTAGCAAACTCCAACAGACCTGCAGCTGAGGATCCTGTCTGTTAGAAGAAAAACTAACAAACAGAAAGGACATCCACACCAAAAACCCATCTGTACATCACCATCATCAAAGACCAAAGGAGATAAAAGCACAAAGATGGGGAAAAAACAGAGCAGACAAACGGGAAACTCTAAAAAGAAGAGCACCTCTCCTCCTCCAAAGGAACACAGTTCCTCACCAGCAACGGAACAAAGCTGGATGGAGAATGACTTTGATGAGTTGAGAGAAAAAGGCTCCAGATGATCAAACTATTCTGGGCTACAGGAGGAAATTCAAACCAAAGGCAAAGAAGTTGAAAACTTTGAAAAAAATTTAGACGAATGTATAACTAGAATAACCAAACAGAGAAGTGCTTAAAGGAGCTGATGGAGCTGAAAGCCAAGGCTCGAGAACTACGTGAAGAATGCAGAAGCCTTAGGAGCTGACGTGATCAACTGGAAGAAAGGGTATCAGTGATGGAAGATGAAATGAATGAAATGAAGCAAGAAGGGAAGTTTAGAGAAAAAAGAATAAAAAGAAACGAACAAAGCCTTCAAGAAATATGGGACTATGTGAAAAGACCAAATCTACATCTGACTGGTGTACCTGAAAGTGACAGGGAGAATGGAACCAAGTTGGAAACTTGGAACTTGGAACTTCCAACCAAGTTGGAACTCTGCAGGATATTACCCAGGAGAACTTCCCCAATCTAGCAAGGCAGGCCAACATTCACATTCAGGAAATACAGAGAACGCCACAAAGATACTCCTCGAGAAGAGCAACTCCAAGACACATAATTGTCAGATTCACCAAAGTTGAAATGAAGGAAAAAATGTTAAGGGCAGCCAGAGAGAAAGGTCGGGTTACCCTCAAAGGGAAACCCATGAGACTAACAGCGGATCTCTCGGCAGAAACTCTACAAGCCAGAAGAGAGTGGGGGCCAATATTCAACATTCTTAAAGAAAAGAATTTTGAACCCAGAATTTCATATTCAGCCAAACTAAGCTTCATAAGTGAAGGAGAAATAAAATCCTTTACAGACAAGCAAATGCTGAGAGATTTTGTCACCACCAGGCCTGCCCTAAAAGAGCTCCTGAAGGAAGCACTAAACATGGAAAGGAACAACCAGTACCAGCCGCTGCAAAATCATGCCAAAATGTAAAGACCATCGAGACTAGGAGGAACTGCATCAACTAACGAGCAAAATAACCAGCTAACATCATAATGACAGGATCAAATTCACACATAACAATATTAAATTTAAATGTAAATGGACTAAATGCTCCAATTAAAAGACACAGACTGGCAAATTGGATAAAGAGTCAAGACCCATCAGTGCGCTGTATTCAGGAAACCCATCTCACGTGCAGAGACACACATAGGCTCAAAATAAAAGGATGGAGGAAGATCTACCAAGCAAATGGAAAACAAAAAAAGGCAGGGGTTGCAATCCTAGTCTCTGATAAAACAGACTTTAAAACAACAAAGATCAAAAGAGACAAAGAAGGCCATTACATAATGATAAAGGGATCAATTCAACAAGAAGAGCTAACTATCCTAAATATATATGCACCCAATACAGGAGCACCCAGTTTCATAAAGCAAGTCCTGAGTGACCTACAAAGAGACTTAGACTCCCACACAATAATAATGGGAGACTTTAACACCCCACTGTCAACATTAGACAGATCAATGAGACAGAAAGTTAACAAGGATATCCAGGAATTGAACTCGGCTCTGCACCAAGCGGACCTGATAGACATCTACAGGACTCTCCACCCCAAATCAACAGAATATACATTTTTTTCAGCACCACACCACACCTATTCCAAAATTGACCACATAGTTGGAAGTAAAGCTCTCCTCAGCAAATGTAAAAGAACAGAAATTATAACAAACTATCTCTCAGACCACAGTGCAATCAAACTAGAACTCAGGATTAAGAAACTCACTCAAAACCGCTCAACTACATGGAAACTGAACAACCTGCTCCTTAATGACTACTGGGTACATAACGAAATGAAGGCAGAAATAAAGATGTTCTTTGAAACCAAGGAGAACAAAGATACAACATACCAGAATCTCTGGGACACATTCAAAGCAGTGTGTAGAGGGAAATTTATAGCACTAAATGCCCACAAGAGAAAGCAGGAACGATCCAAAATTGACAACCTAACATCACAATTAAAAGAACTAGAAAAACAAGAGCAAACACATTCAAAAGCTAGCAGAAGGCAAGAAATAACTAAGATCAGAGCAGAACTGAAGGAAATAGAGACACAAAAAACCCTTCAAAAAAATTAATGAATCCAGGAGCTGGCTTTTTGAAAGGATCAACAAAATTGATAGACCGCTAGCAAGACTAATAAAGAAGAAAAGAGAGAAGAATTAAATAGACGCAATAAAAAATGATAAAGGGGATATCACCACCAATCCCACAGAAATACAAACTACCATCAGAGAATACTACAAACAGCTCTATGCAAATAAACTAGAAAATCTAGAAGAAATGGATAAATTCCTCGACACATACACCCTCCCAAGACTAAAGCAGGAAGAAGTTGAATCTCTGAATAGACCAAAAACAGGCGCTGAAATTGTGGCAATAATCAATAGCTTACCAACCAAAAAAAGTCCAGGACCAGATGGATTCACAGCCGAATTCTACCAGAGGTACAAGGAGGAATTGGTACCATTCCTTCTGAAACTATTCCAATCAATAGAAAAAGAGGGAATCCTCCCTAACTCATTTTATGAGGCCAGCATCATCCTGATACCAAAGCTGGGCAGAGACACAACCAAAAAAGAGAATTTTAGACCAATATCCTTGATGAACATTGATGCAAAAATCCTCAATAAAATACTGGCAAACTGAATCCAGCAGCACATCAAAAAGCTTATCCACCACGATCAAGTGGGCTTCATCCCTGGGATGCAAGCCTGGTTCAATATATGCAAATCAATAAATGTAATCCAGCATATAAACAGAACCAACGACAAAAACCACATGATTATCTCAATAGATGCAGAAAAGGCCTTTGACAAAATCCAATAACCTTCATGCTAAAAACTCTCAATAAATTAGGTATTGATGGGACGTATTTCAAAATAATAAGAGCTATCTATGACAAACCCACAGCCAATATCATACTGAATGGGCAAAAACTGGAAGCATTCCCTTTGAAAACTGGCACAAGACAGGGATGCCCTCTCTCACCACTCCTATTCAACATAGCGTTGGAAGTTCTGGCCAGGGCAATTAGGTAGGAGAAGGAAATAAAGGGTATTCAATTAGGAAAAGAGGAAGTCAAATTGTCCCTGTTTGCAGATGACATGATTGTATTTCTAGAAAACCCCATTGTCTCAGCCCAAAATCTCCTTAAGCTGAATAGCAACTTCAGCAAAGTCTCAGGATACAAAATCAATGTACAAAAATCACAAGCATTCTTATACACCAATAACAGACAAACGGAGAGCCAAATCATGAGTGAACTCCCATTCACAATTGCTTCAAAGAGAATAAAATACCTAGGAATCCAACTTACAAGGGACGTGAAGGACCTCTTCAAGGAGAACTACAAACCACTGCTCAATGAAATAAAAGAGGATACAAACAAATGGAAGAACATTCCATGCTCAGGGGTAGGAAGAATCAGTATCGTGAAAATGGCCATACTGCCCAAGGTAATTTATAGATTCAATGCCATCCCCATCAAGCTACCAATGACTTTCTTCACAGAATTGGAAAAAACTACTTTAAAGTTCATATGGAACCAAAAAAGAGCCTGCATCGCCAAGGCAATCCTAAGCCAAAAGAACAAAGCTGGACGCATCATGCTACCTGACTTCAAACTATACTACAAGGCTACAGTAACCAAAACAGCATGGTACTGGTACCAAAACAGAGATATAGATCAATGGAACAGAACAGAGCCCTCAGAAATAATGCCACATATCTACAATTATCTGATCTTTGACAAACCTGAGAAAAATAAGCAATGGGGAAAGGATTCCCTATTTAATAAACGGTGCTGGGAAAACTGGCTAGCCATATGTAGAAAGCTGAAACTGGATCCCTTCCTTACACCTTATACAAAAATTAATTCAAGATGGATTAAAGACTTAAACGTTAGACCTAAAACCATAAAAACCCTAGAAGAAAACCCAGCCATTACTATTCAGGACATAGGCATGTGCAAGGACTTCATGTCTAAAACACCAAAAGCAATGGCAACAAAAGCCAAAATTGACAAATGGGATCTAATTAAACTAAAGAGCTTCTGCACAGCAAAAGAAACTATCATCAGAGTGAACAGGCAACCTACAAAATGGGAGAAAATTTTCGCAACCTACTCATCTGACAAAGGGCTAATATCCAGAATCTACAATGAACTCAAACAAATTTACAAGAAAAAAACAAACAACCCCATCAAAAAGTGGGCAAAGGACATGAACAGACACTTCTCAAAAGAAGACATTTATGCAGCCAAAAAACACATGAAAAAATGCTCACCATCACCGGCCATCAGAGAAATGCAAATCAAAACCACAATGAGATACCATCTCACACCAGTTAGAATGGCAATCATTAAAAAGTCAGGAAACAACAGGTGCTGGAGAGGATGTGGAGAAATACGAACACTTTTACACTGTTGGTGGGACTGTAAACTAGTTCAACCCTTGTGGAAGTCAGTGTGGCGATTCCTCAGGGATCTAGAACTAGAAATACCATTTGACCCAGCCATCCCATTACTGGTTATATACCCAAAGGACTATAAATCATGCTGCTATAAAGACATATGCACACGTATGTTTATTGTGGCACTATTCACAATAGCAAAGACTTGGAACCAACCCAAATGTCCAGCAATGATAGACTGGATTAAGAAAATGTGGCACATACACACCATGGAATACTATGCAGCCATAAAAAATGATGCATTCATGTCCTTTGTAGGGACATGGATGAAATTGGAAATCATCATTCTCAGTAAACTATCGCAAGAACAAAAAACCAAACACCACATATTATAGGTGGGAATTGAACAATGAGAACACATGGACACAGGAAGGGGAACATCACACTCTGGGGACTGTTGTGGGGTGGGGGGAGGGGGGAGGGATAGCATTAGGAGATATACCTAATGCTAAATGACGAGTTAATGGGTGCAGCAAACCAGCATGGCACATGTATACATATGTAACTAACCTGCACATTGTGCACATGTACCCTAAAACTTAAAGTATAATAATAATAAAATAAAATAAAAAATGGAACCAGCCCAAATGCCCATCAATCTAGGGGATAAATTGTTATATATATATATATATATATATATATATATATATATATATATATATCATATATATTTACACATATATGTACATATATGTGATATATATGTGAGATATATATATGTGAATTGATATATATGTAAATATATACACCACGGAACACTACTCAGCCAAAGAAAAGAATAAAATAATGGCATCACAGCAACCCGGATGGAGTTGGAGACCATTATTCTAAGTGAAGTAACTCAAGAATGGAAAACCAAACATCGTATATTTTCACTTACAAGTGAGAACTATGCTATGAGGCTGCAAAGGCAAAAGAATGTTACAATGGACTTTGGGGACTCGGGGGGAAGGGTGGGAGGGGGGATGAGGGGTAAAAGGCTACACATTGGGAACAGTGGACACTGTGGGGGTGATGGGTGCACCAAAATCTCAGAAATCACCATGAAAGAACTTTATGCATGTTACCAAACACTACCTGTCCCCCAAAACCCTACTGAAATTTTTAAAAATAACCTTTAAAAAATGTTACTTATTTGTATGATGAAATATTATATAGCAGGTTAAATAAATGAATTAGATTTACATAGATATATCTCAAAAATATATTAAGTGAAAAAATAAGTTGCAGAATAATATGGCATCATTTATGTACATTTTTAAACATGCAAATAGTATGTATTGCTTGTGGATATATCCTTCTGTGGAGAAAACACACACAAAAATGCATCGGTGGGATGCACTCCCACTTCAGGATGGTGATTTCCTCTGCAAAAGGTTGAAGGAAGGAGGAAGAGAAGGAAGAAGGAAGCTTTAAATATACTTTAAAGCTTATTTTTAATGAGATTGTTCAAAGTAATTATTTAGGCTGGGCACAGTGGCTCATGCCTGTAATCCCAGCACTTTGGGAGGCCAAGGCGGGTGTATCACCTGAGGTCAGGAGCTCAAGACCAGCCTGGCCAACATGGTGAAACCCCATCTCTATTAAAAATACAAAAAAATTAGCCGGGCGCGGTAGCAGGCGCCTGTAATCCCAGCTACTCAGGAGACTGAGGCAGGAGAATTGTTTGAACCTGAACATGGGAGGCAGAGGTTGCAGTGAGCAAAGATTGCTCCACTGCACTGCAGCCTGGGCAACACGAGCGAAACTCTGTCTCAAAAGATAAAAAATAATAATAACAATAATAATTTTGTAAAAACTAAATAATTATAGAGAAGTAGGAAGGAGGTGCTTCACGTAAAATTCATACCAAGGAGAGGAGTTAGTCCTTGAAAGATTACAGAGGAGGGGGGACATACCAGTCAGGTGAAACACTCACTGAATTTATGTAGTAACAAGAGTTCTTCCATTTCTCTTTTTTACATTACATCTGATTTTAAAACAAGTTGGAAGCACTTTAAAACAGATGGCCCTTTTACAATTGACCTATTAAATAAGAATAAAAGATCAGCACTACAGAGTGAAGACACCTGTAACAGAAGATCCAGGCTGGAAGAGGCACAGAGTGGCAGCTCCGAGTCATGTTAAAAGCACAGGATCTAAGAGAGACTACCTGGATTTGAACCCAGGCTCCACTGCTAACCAGCTGCCACCTGCACAAGCCAAGTGCCTCCATAAACCCCAGCTTTCTCATCTGGAAAATAAGGATCACATTGGCTGCTACTTAGTGGGGCAGCTTTAAGGATTAAATAATGGAAGTATGTAAAGTGCTTACTTAGCACATTGAAAGAGGCCTAGTAATTACTCAATAAATGTTAGCTGTTATAATTACTATTTTTATTAAAGAAGTTGAGTATAAACCTTAACTCTAAGCTTTCTACAAGCTAGACTAAGCAAAAAGGTAACTCAAGTAGTTACACAGATCCCACTACTTAGGATGCATGGATGAACAAAGGGATGGATGGACAGGAAGGAGAGAGATGGGAAGGAGAAAATGAGAGAGGGAAAGAAATTCTTTACTAGTTTGAAGGTAGCTACATATTTTTCCAAGTTCTGAATTCTAAAACAGTTTTTACTTGGTTCTATAAATAGTGGACCTGAATCCATAAAATAGATATCTGGCACAATGTAATCAGAAACTCCAGTTTTCTTTATTTTTTTATTTTTTATTTATTTATTTATTTTTTTTTTTGAGACGGGGTCTTGCTCTTTCGCCCAGGCTGGAGTGCAGTGGCGCCATCTCGGCTCACGGCAAACTCCGCCTCCCGGGATCATGCCATTCTCCTGCCTCAGCCTCCTGGCTAATTTTTTGTATTTTTAGTAGAGACGGGATTTCACCGTGTTAGCCAGGATGGTCTCGATTTCCTGACCTCGTGATCCGCCCGCCTCGGCCTCCCAAAGTGCTGGGATTACAGGCATGAGCAGAAACTCCAATTTTCTATCCCACTGAACTTCACTCCAAAGAAACCCGAGGCCCTGATCAATGTTGTATGCTCACTGAGACACATACACACGATCAGCCATGGCAGATATTTCATTAGAGGTTCTGTGAGGGCTGCATAGCTTGGTACCAAATATCAGCAAGAAGACTAAACATCACGGCTTTTTCCTAATGTATTCTTCATTAGTAGAAAAGGATTTTCAGTAAGTGGCAAAATCACAAGGGATTAACATTTGAAAGGCCACTGACTTTCCAACCTCCTCCCCAGAAAGTATCGAATCTTGGAATTTTATTCTTCCTTGGTTTTTCCATTGGCTTAATCACTCTAGCACTGCATACAAGAAAAAAGAATTCCTTTGAACAGGTGCCCTATTTATGAAGACATTTATAGCCACCATAAAAATATAGGAAAATGATTATTCTTCTTCCCCTTTTCACTTTTTTCTGCTAAAGAGGTAGAACAATAAATTGCATCTGAATTGCACATCCTGGTATATTTACCTTGCCCAGATCTTCCCAGATGTACAAAAAACAAAGTTGTATTTTTTCCCTATATTTCTGCTGCAATTCTAATATGTTTCCCCAAGGCTGACTCTGACTTTGAATTTATAGAGAGTCTTTCAAAGGACCAATAATAATAATGAATTGTTGTATTCGGGGAGGCTCTGTGCTTAATTTCATGCTCATAAATTAATACTGCTGATTTTAAAAGACTGCAAGCAGGTATTATCTTTATAGTATATTGAAGACCTTAAATGCTTTCTATTGTTATGAGGAAAGCCTGATGAACTTACTTCTTTCATTAGCAGTTATTTTCTTCACAATTATTTCTATCTTATAAAATCTAAGGACTTCCTAGTATTTTTATATTGAAGACTCTATAGGTGTTAAGGAGAGGTGCATTAAAAATCCCAAGACATTCTATGTGCTACAAAAAAAATGAAAGGAAACAGAAAACTTACTTGAATTATCTTGACATGAAAGCAAAATTCTTAAAATTCTATCTACCCTCTTGGCATCCCCACACAAAGATCCTGCAGAAACTGGAAACTTGTAGGAGCCATGACTAATCCTGGCAAAGCAAGTTATGAACTGCCTCTGCAAAATGACCCCTGTTCTGCCAGGAACATTTGCATTGCATCTAGAATGTGAAATCTGGGTACTCTATATCATCGCATTCCCAGCCCTTTCTTCTTGTGTCTGTACTTAGTGAAGTCTCTCAATGCAGAGAACAAGGAAATTTACATTCTTTTTGGAAGAAGGTTCAGATGGAGCCAGAGTCTTGGGCCCAAGACACTCTTCAAAGAGGTTAATTAATGACGGGAAGAAGAAAGAGGTGTGTTGTATATAATAGGGGCAAAATCTTCTGAGGTCTCTTGGCTAAGAATTCCACAGAAAATGTAGGCAATCACTTTCTCCACTCTGTCCTGACCTCCCAACTCCTCTCCTGTGTCCTCCTCCCAGGAAGTCTAGGGTGTCAAAAAGGAGCCTGTATCTTGTCTAGAAAAACTCAAAGGCAGCCATCCCAAACACAAATAATATGAAATAAATCTTATAAAAGAGATGGTGAGAAATGACACCTTGGTTTAGCCTAGGCTGAGAAACCTAGAAAGACTGTTTGGAGTGAAGCAAACACCAGCTGGGAAGCACAGTTCAGGCCGAGGGCCTGACCCTGAGTTCAGAGATGGAGGAGCAGGGCAAAGTATGTGTTCTGTTTTGTAACCTTAATTTTTATGGCTATCTGCTGGTGGGCTGTTTCGCCTGGTTCTGTTCTATTTCAACATCCATTTATGTTCCACCGCTAGTTCTTTAATAAACACATTTTTTACTCTACCTTGCCAAGCAGGAGTCCTCAATGCTGGAAGCACCCCAATAGTCGTAGGAGGTCTCTTCTACCTGATTTGGGGAGCAAAGGTGTCTGCCGGTAGCCCTTTCATTTGCTCCTCTGCAGCACCCTGTAACTCCCGGCGTGCTTCGATCCCTGGTACAGACCAAAGCCTGCTGCACCTGAAAGAACCCTGGCCCCGTCTCACCCCTGAATGCACTGGATATGATCTTGTGGTGAAAGAATCCACCTTGTTTTCCAAAGCCAAAAATGAAACAAACCAATTTTACTAGCAATTCATACTCAATATTTTCCATCTCTGAGTCTGTAAACTAGAACAGAGGGATTTAAGACCTACAAGAAAAGAAAAGAAAGTTGCTCAGAGAGAAATGTAAGAAAAGGTGAGTGATGCCATCCAAACAGCCATGAAGAGATGACAGTCATTACCCAGGGACTCCAATGATGGAGTTCGGGAGGCAGCCTGGGGTGGAGAAGAAAGTGAATGGCTCAGGTTTCAGGCCAAGGTGGGTGTGCATCTTGGCTCTGTCACTTACTAGCAGCATAAGGAGATCAAAGTGACCCAGCCTCTCCCAGCCTCAGTTTTCTCATTTGTGCAACAGTGGTAGCAGTGCCTACCCCAACATTCTTGTCAGAATCCCATGCCAGCATGTAGCACATGGAGTGTGCTAGAACACACATGGCACTTCTAGCAGGGTGCTGGCACGGCTAGAAGCAGCCCTACAGGAGTGGCTTTCATTACCCTCAAGTGGTTTAGGCCACAATAACCCAGTGTGCTCAAACTTCCTCATCTTTTGCAGACAGCCTTCCCATACCACGACCCTAAACGTGGTACAAGAACATGTCCTGATATTTTAAACAACATTTGCCATAAAACCAAACCTCCATGCATTTCCACACGAGTGGCTAGATAATATGATAAATCATCTACAGAAATGCAGGATTCTTGGTGACTCATTTAAAAATAGAAAATGTTTTATGCTGTTATCTACCAATGGAATGAAATCTGCATGCCTATGGTCTCAACAAACTAGCGTGATGGAGGGAGGCGCTAGATCACGCCAAATGAATTTTTATCAAATATTAATCCAAATTCATAAGCAGGATTGTTAATTAGAGATGCAATCCAGTGCCAACTTTTACTGGGGACTATATTTCACAAATTCTCCTACATCTGACTTGGGGAAAATCTGACTTTGAGCAAACGCTCAGCCTGGTGAGTGCTTCTTGAACATTACAACGGTCTAATAATAGAAAAAGGTTTCCCGTAGATAGAGTTAAAATCAGCACATTCATTCAAGCACACACAGTAACGAAAAGTAGAGGCAAAGTCAGAGCATGAAAAGTAAGATATAGGGACTTTTCTCCCTCACATGTTGAACTTTAAAATTAAGACAGTGATGCCTATATGGGTAATAGATAAAACCTCCAAACTTGAGGCAGCCTGGTCTTCAAAGTCCAGAAAATTGTTTGCAGACTTGTCTCAGCCATGAATACAAGTTTTGGCTTACACATCTAGGGTGAATAAGGGATCCAATAAATGAGAATGTTCCAGTATTTTCCCTCTGTGAACAGAAACTTTATGAAAAATTAGTGTTCTAGAAAAACAAGAGGTGCCTAAGGGGTTTCTAGCTTTGGTGGGCACAGAGAGAGCACACTAGACACTCTAAGAATGTACCAGGAGATGCCCAGAAAGGAGGTCAAGAAGGCAGTGACAGAAACACAGAAATAGAGACAGAAATCAGAGACAGCCATAAAAAAAAAGAAAGTTATAGGAACACAGTTCAAAAGATGAAGGTCAACTCATCACACCTCACTGGCCCTGAACTCCCTTGACAGCATCTATTTGCAAAGTTGTACTAACAGGACACTGGAGCATAGGAGGAGATTTGGGGGAAGCCTTGCACGTGGTAATGAGCCATTCCCTCTACTGGCTGAGCTAATGAACTGCACCACTCATTTCCATGTATCACATTAAAGAACAGGTTTGGGACCTAGAGAGAGAGAGAAAGGGAGAGAGGAAAAGAGAGAGGGCACGCAATAATACTCAAAATGTGGTTCATTTCTGGGGATTTAAGATTAGTTCCCATTACCAATCTCTCTTAATTTATTTTCTTGGTTTGAAAATGGAAACAAAACATGAGTTCAAGTAGACACACAATGTACCCACCAACCATATGACTTTCCCCTCCCCCCCACACACCCCAATTCCTTCTCATTTATTATTTTTAGAAGTTGTTCTCACCTTCTTAGTGGATACACTTAAATTCAGTTAAGCCTCAATATAATTTTAAATGTTTTATTCCACATCAGACATGCAGCAAACATAGCCCCCTTGCAACTTACCCAGGAATCAGATGGATTCAGACTAAAGGTTTTCAAGGAAGATGTTTCAAGGACCTGTATTTAAAATACAGTGTCTTCTCCCAAAAGGTAGGAGTGCCAGCTATAGCACTGCGGGGGGCTTGTCACAGCCAAAATCACTCCAGTATTGAAATAATCAGGGCCAGGTCTAGTGGCTCACACCTATAATCCCAGCACCTTGGGAAGCCAAGACCGGTGGATCATTTGAAGTCAGGAGTTCAAGACCAGCGTGGCCGAGATGGTGAAACCTTGTCCCCACTAAAAATACAAAAATTAGCCTGGTGTGATGGTGGGTGCCTGTAATCCCAGCTACTTGGGAGGCTGAGGCACGAGAATTGTTTAAGCCCAAGAGACGGAGTTTGCAGTGAGCAGAGATCGTGCCACTGCACTCCAGCCTGGGTGACAGAGTGAGACGCTGACGCAAAAAGAAAGAAAGAAAGAAAGAAGAAGAAAGAAAGAAAGAAAGAAAGAAAGAAAGAAAGAAAGAAAGAAAGAAAGAGAGAAAGAAAAAGAAAGAAAGAGTGAATCGGCATCTGAGACGGCATTCCAGGATGGCCCTGACCGGTCTCCTGCACCACAGGCCAGATGCTCGCTGTCACGGTTTGGCAAAGGTGGGATCTGACCAAAACGGGTAAGATGCTCATCTTTCCTTCCCTCAAAGGAGTTGCAGTGAATTCATTTCTTTCTGAGTTCAGAAATACCTTCTCTGCATCACTTGAGACATGCTATTTACACTCTTACTAATATAAAAAAAATTCTTTATCTTTATTTTACATAGTAACTTGTAGCTCTTAACATAAGCTCAGGGAAATAATGAGAAGATGGACTTGATGATTCTAACCATATACAAGGTGATTGTGAACGGGAAGGCTGCGATGCTGCACCGTGGCACACACCTCCAAGACAACTTTGAGCTGCATGGAGAAAACTATCTGGGATGATATCATAGCAGCTACTTCCATTAAAGAAAATGCAATCTGGTTGACATTTAAGTAAGGCTTGAATTTACTTCAATCTGAGTTTCTCCTTTGGGTTGATAAAAGGCACTGTAAGAAACTACATGTAATTAACATTTCAGTCAATAAAATATAAATGTCAGTATTGGAGGAAAAGCTGTGGTTGGAAATACTAAGATAAAGATGTGGTCGCCCGGGCGCAGTGGCTCAAGCCTTGTAATCCCAGCACTTTGGGAGGCCGAGGCGGGTGGATGACGAGGTCAGGAGATCGAGACCATCCTGGCTAACACGGTGAAACCCCGTCTCTACTAAAAATACAAAAAATTAGCCGGGCGCGGTGGTGGGCGCCTAAAGTCCCAGCTACTCGGGAGGCTGAGGCAGGAGAATGGCATGAATCCGGGAGGCGGAGCTTGCAGTGAGCCAAGATCGCGCCACTGCACTCCAGCCTGGGAAAAAGAGCGAGACTCCGTCTCAGAAACAAAAACAACAAAAAAAAATGTGGTCAATTGACAGATATTTAAATATGTAATGTGTCCCAGGGACCATGAGCCATCAAAATGACTACACTCGCTCCTACATGAGCCACAGCTCTATTCATATAGTCAAGAGGTAGACACCACACAAATGCCCATGGATGGATAAACAGATGCAGAAAACATCGTACCGAATAGAAAACAGTTTCCTCCTACTGTCCTCACACCACTCTCAATACTTCCAGAACACCTCCCTTCTGACACCACACTCAACACGGATCACGCCTGTGACCAGATGTGTGGGGTGTTTTTCCTCACCAAGCAATTCTCTGACACCAGCAGCTCCTACAATTTAACTCGCGTCTGACGCCGTCTACGTACACTATCTACATGGAGACAGTGCAGCACCCACAGGTTGAGAGCTGGGTTCCGCAACACTATCCCCACTTCAGAGTCCAGTCAGGTCACTTGAGCTTCTGACCCGCCAGCTGTAAAGCACGTGTTCTCGTGACCCCCTTCTCAGATTCCGTCATTTACTAGAGTGACTCACAGAACTCAGGAAAACTCTTGATTACATTTACCCATTAATTATAAAGGATACAACTTGGAAACGGCCAAATGGGAGAGCGCGAGGTGCGGGGAAGGGGCGGGGAATTTCCACGCCCCTCCCAGCGCCTCCGTGTGTTCAGCAACCCTGAAGCTCTCCAAACCTGTCCTTTGGGGGGTTTATGGAAGCTTCATTGCATACAACAATTGATTACATCATTGGCCATTAGTGCTCAGCCCAAACTTCAGCCCCCTCCCCTCCCCAGAGCAGCAGGCAGGCACTGGGCTAAAAGTCCCACCCCTCTAATCTCGTGGTGGGTTCCCCTGCCTACCAGCACCCCCAACACAAGGCTATTCAGCCACCCAGTCATCTCATTAGCATAGGAAAAGACACCACCTCAGAGATTTCAAAGGTTTTAGGAGCTGTGCTCCAGGAAACGGGGACAGAGACCAAATGTCTATTTCTTATTATTTCACAAGTATTTACAATGGAATATTATCCAGCCTTAAAAAAAGAAAGTAATCCTACCATTTGCAACAACATGAATGAACCTGGAAGACATTAAGCTAAGTGAAATAAGCCAGTATCAGAAAGACAAATCTTGCATGATTCCACTTATATGGGGTGTCTAAAATAGTCAAACTGACAGAAGCAGAGAATAGAATGGTGGTTGCCAGGGGCTAGAGGGGGGAGGAAATGGGAAGCTGTTGTTCAATGGCTGTAAAGTTGTAGTTATGCAAGATGAGTAAGTTCTAGAGATCTGCTGTACATCCTAGTGCCCATAGTTAACAATACGGCACTGTGCACTTAAAAATGTGCTAAAATGGTGGATTTCATGTTATGCATTCTACTGTCAAAAGCAAGGGAGGGGCAACGAGGAAGCTTTTGGAAGTGGTTGATAATGTTTATTACCTTGAGTCCATAATAACACAAAATAATAATAAAAGGATTACAGGTGTGTGCATATTAAAAAACTCATCAAATTATGTGCATTAAACATATGCACAGGTTTTTATGTGCATCAATTATACTTCTATAAACTATTAAATAAAATATTAGGAAGCTATCAAGCAAGATCAAATAACCTTCCCAAATCCTGTGTATACCTCTCTGATTTCTCCCACATTCAGGAAAAATATGGCCCTGAGGATTGACATGCCCAGGGCCCTTCATTTACTGCATTTTTAATGAGCTTGCCAATAAATGACTTAATATCCGAAAAAGAAGAAGAATTTTCTAGAATTGAGTGTAATGGCTGCACGAGTCTTTAAAAATACTAAAAACCATTGAATTGTACATTTTAAATGGGTAAATGGTATGGGTATGTGAATTATATCTCAGTAAATTTGTTACTTAAAAAAATAAAGGGCTGGGCGCTGTGGCTCACGGCTGTAATCCCAGCACTTTGGGAGGCCGAGGAGGGCAGATCACGAGGTCAGGAGATGGAGACCATCCTGGCTAACATGGTGAAACCCCGTCTCTACTAAAAATACAAAAAATTAGCCGGGCGTGGTGGTGAGTGCCTGTAGTCCCAGCTACTCGGGAGGCTGAGGCAGGAGAATGGCATGAACCCCAGGGAGTCGGAGCTTGTAGTGAGCCTAAATCGTGCCACTGCACTCCAGCCTGGGCGGCAGAGGGAGACTTCCATCTCAAAAATAAAAAAAAATTAAAAAAATAAAGAAGGCCAAGTGTGGGGGCTCATGCTTGTAATCCCAGCACTTTGGGAGGCCAGGGTGAGAGGATCACTGGAGCCCAGGAGCTCAAGACTAGCCTTGGTAACATAGTGAGACCCAGTCTCTACAATTCTTTTCATTATGCAGGTCTGGTGGTGCGAGCCTGTAGTCCCAGGTATTCCGGAGGTTCAGGATGGAAGAGTGCTAGAGCCAAGGAGTTCAAGGCTGCAGTGAGCTATGATGGCTCCACCGCACTCCAGCCTGGACTACAGAGCAAGATCCCATCTCAAAAAAACAAACAAACAAAATGGGTGCACATGTTCTTCCTAAGTGTAGCCTACAAATTCATAATGTCTACATGGATCTCCTTTTAGGCGAAAGCCCGGCAAAATATAGTTCTTTAAACCTCTGGACAAGGCCACATGTGGATACCCTGCCAGTAGCCTAGCTTAGGAATTTCAATGAGAAGAAACAAAATTTTAAAGCAGTTCAATATATAACAATTATTCTCATGAAAAAGAAATGGACCTCCTTTATCCATCACTAGTGGATAAACATATACTTTCCTGAATCTGTTTTTATGAAGACTCAAGGTTGGCAGGCCACGGTAGCTCACGCCTGTAATCCCAGCACTTTGGGAGGCTGAGATGGGCAGATCACGAGGTCAGCAGATCGAGACCATCCTGGCTAACACAGTGAAACCCCGTCTCTACTAAAAATACAAAAAATTAGCCAGGTGTGGTGGCGGGCGCCTGTAGTCCCAGCTACTCGCGAGGCTGAGGCAGGAGAATGGCGTGAACCTGGGAGGCGGAGCTTGCAGTGAGCCGAGATTGCGCCACTGCACTCTAGCTTGGGCGACTGAGCCAGACTCCATCTCCAAAAAAAAAATAAAAAATAAATAAAAAATTAAAAAAAAGACTCAAGGTTGAGGGATCCATTCCACAGAAGTTAGGAATTTATCATTTGGGACACAACACTTATTGATTATTTCAACATTTGCCCAGATTCTAATTTGAGACAATGTAAAACTTACATCTGCGACCACCCAAAGCTGTTCCAAGTATATTCATGATGTTCAGATTCTATGTTCAGTTTATACATCTGTGTCAGCCAGTACCAGACACCACATCCTAAAAAGTCCCTACCAAACATAGTAAAAATATTTAAACAGCGCTTATCTGTAATCAACCCTTCATATATTCATTCAACAAATATTCCTAGAATATTTAATCTACTAGGAGATGTAGATGGCAGAAAAATGAATCTGACACAGGCCCTGTCTTCAAAAAGCTGACACAGAGACTGGGCGCGGTGGCTCACGCCTATAATCCCAGCACTTTGGGAGGCCGAGGAGGGCGGATCACGAGGTCAGGAGATTGAAACCATCCTGGCTAACACGGTGAAACCACGTCTTTACTGGAAAAAAAAAAAATAAGAGGGCGTGGTGACGGGCGCCTGTAATCCCAGCTACTTCGGAGGTTGAGGCAGGAGAATGGCGTGAATCCCCGGGAGGCGGAGCTTGCAGTGAGCCAAGATCACTCCACTGCACTCCAGCCTGGGCGACAGAGCGAGACTTCGTCTCAAAAAAAAAAAAAAAAAAATTTAAAAAAAAGCTGACATAGAACATGAAATAGTTAAACCGTAAGGTAGGAAGCAGTAAGTACCCAAAAGAGAGGAACAATTTAGGCTCATAGGATTTTTGTGGAGGAGATTCCATTTGCCAGGATTTCTGCTCAGCATTGTACGAACACCACCTCATCCAGTCCTCACACTGGGGACTGTTTTTCTAATTTGATAGCTAAGGACACTGATGGTGATGTAGCCAGGTCACTGAGGCAGTGGACAAGGAGGGCTGAGTCCGACGCCGCCCAGCAGTTCCTTGGCTGCAACACCATCCCTGCCAGCAGTGCCCAGGTCAGGCTCATTCCCCGAATCTCACCACATCACTCCAGACTTGTGTATCCAACCGGATATTCGAATAAAATCTGTTTGCTTCTAGGCATCCGGTCAGTTTCATTTGCTTCTGTTTTCCTTTTGGAATTTTTTTTTTCTTTTGTGACGGAGTCTCTCTCTTTCGCCCAGGCTGGATGGAGTGCAGTGGCACCATCTCGGCTCACTGCAAGCTCTGCCTCCCAGGTTCACGCCATTCTCCTGCCTCAGCCTCCCGAGTAGCTGGGACTACAAGCGCCCGCCACCATGCCCGGCTAATTTTCTGTATTTTTTTTAGTAGAGACGGGGCTTCACCATGTTAGCCAGGATGGTCTCGATCTCTTGACCTCGTGATCCGCCCGCCTCGGCCTCCCAAGTGCTGGGATTACAGGCGTGAGCCACCGCGCCCAGCCTAGAATTTTTTAAATGACCAAACTTTGGGTTTGCCTCCTTCAGAGTTGGCAACAATCCGACCAAATAAACATTATCTTTTTATTGAAGTCAGTGCTTTCAAAAAATTAATTCGTATCTCATATATGTTTCACCATTAGTTATTAAAGATGGGCAAAGGTAAAAAATAACTTTGGCTTTCTTAAGCTTATGTATTGCAACCTTCATGGGAAAAAAATTAATTCTGGAGATAAATACTGTAGAATTTAATTAATTTTAAAAATAAAATTAAATAAATAAAGTGTACGATCCAGTGGTTTTTAGTATGTTCACAGTTATGCAACCATCACCACAATCAATTTTAGAACATTTTCATTACTCAAAAAAAAAAACCCCATACCCATGACTAGTCAGTCCCCATTTCTCTACCCCAACCACTTATCCTCTTCCTTTCCCCAATCCCCCACCCCAGGCAGTCACTTGTCTACTTTCTGTCTCCATATATTTGCCTATTCTGGACATTTTTTATTTTCCTAACTGTAATTATATATTATTTGATTAACATCTCCCCATCCCCCTTCCCCCTAACCACCCCAGTCTCTGGTAAGCATCATTTTACTCTCTCTGTCTATGAGATCAACTTTTTTAGTTTCCACATACCTGTGAGAACATGTGATATTTATTTTTCTGTGACTGGCTTTTTCTACCTAAGAGAATGTCCTCCAGGCTCCTCCATGTGGCCGCAAATGACAGGATTTCATTCTTTTTTAAGGCAGAACACTATTCCATTGTGTACATATACTACATTTTCTTTATCCATTTATCCACTGACTGGCAGACACTTATGTTGATTCCGTCTCTTGGCTATTGTGAACAGTGCTGCAAGGAACCTGGGAGTGGAGATATGTCTTTGACACGCTGATTTCACTTCCTTCAGGCTTTCTTTGAGCAATTGCTAAGTGACCTGAGCAGAAACCAATTTCCTTATTTTTAATTTCATCCTTGGGGTGTAAATACTTTAATAAAAAAAAAACTTCCTTTTAGAAACAAGCAGCCGTGAAATAGCCTTCTTAAGATACCACAGAAGCAATATTTTTACAAAACCAGAATGCGACCTTCAAGACAAAATGCCCTAAACAGGTAATAATTGTTTTCCTATCACCCATGCATTGTTGTATTCTGCAACAATACAATGCAAAGTTGACAGCTAGCATTATATTGTCTCTGGTTAAGAGGTCAGTTTGACTGTTGCAATCATCCCTCTGACACCCCAGCTTTTTCAATTGGCCCTCCTTAGTGCTCTCACAGTTCCTGCAGAGGGTGTCACTGCTGTGCAGTCAGAGGGTCCCCTGGGTATCTCCTCCCACCCTCTGTAAGCTTTGGAGAATAGGAACCATGTTTCGTCTGCTACTTCCAGCCTCACGTGGCACCCAAACCAACCAGGCACTTCGTATGTGTTTATGAATGCAGAAGTGCCCCCATACAAGGAGCTGACCATTCCAACGCAAACAGCATAGGCTAGAAAGGGTAGGGGACGGAGATGAGTTTAACAGATGTGGAAAGAAGAAGGCCTCCAGAAAAGCTCAGGACAGGAACAGTTTCTTGACTAATGGTTCCCAAATTCCTTAAAAGGAATAGACTGAATGTTGGCCATTGTGGCCACTGCTTGCTGCTGTCGTTGTTATGCTTGTCCGTAGGCTGGAGATAAATGTTTGTAAACAGTGCATGCTTCTAGGTCAGAGTGTGGTTCTGTCATCATTAGAAAGTCCTGAGTTAAAGAATGCGTTCAGGCCTTATTAAGACAGATCCTTGAAAGACAATATTGAACATTGCCATCAAAAGCCAGGAGCCCGAAGGGCAGAGAAAGTCACAGCACCCCAGATAAGCATCCCTGGAAAGGTTTGCTACTGTCATTTCATACACTGAACATTACATCGCAATGGCAACAGCCATCTCACCTTCCTCGGAAGTCATGAAAAAACAAATAGAAAAGAAGAGCAGGAGAGTATCTTTACTCCACAAAAGATGCAGGGAAAAACTCTAAAATCAACACAACAAATACATCATCTAAACAAATACAACACAGCTAAAAAGAGAAAAAAGTAACATTAGAAACAAAAAGATTTTGCTTTCTCCAAATTTAAGACATCAACTCAAAAAGTTATTTTATATAACACAGTATCATGGGGAATTCAAAAATCTCAGCTGGAGAAAGACAAATCTCTAAAGTAGTTTTCCTCACCAAACTACCTCACAGTTTGGAGCATAAATTCACACACATAAATGGTTCATGTGCCATTTTCTTCCTTGATGAATGTCATAATTTTGGCAAAAATGAAATTCATAGCACTGGCTATTTTTGTTATGCAAACACACTAAAAAGAATTCTGGCAATTTTTCATATTGAATTAAAGTATGTTTTCCATCTTGGTATAACTTTGTAACTGAATTAGCTTTTTCTTCTCAAACTCTACTAAGCCGCTGAAACCTATTTTTGAATAACGTGAAATTTCTTTTTAAAATTCAAGACAAACTTAAACATTGGGTCTCTGAAAATGCTGACCTTACTATGTAGCATGTAATTCCATAAATATGTTTAAAAGCTCTATTGTGATTTAACACACTAAAATCTGTTCTAATATGTTTCATGTTATTTTGGAAGATACTTTTCCATTAGCCTCACTCAGATAGTACTAAATTTAGAGTTTGGAAACACTCACCTTGCCATATACGGTGGAATTCATACTAACTTCCATTCTGAAATTAGATTATTTTTCAATTAACAAGCAAGGCATTCATTTAAGGTCACTCCTCATAATAGTTTTATAACAGGCTTTTAATGTAACTCCTTTCAGAAAACATGATTTGACCCATAGTAGATTTAGATTTGTGTGGTATAGCTGCACTGCACAACATTAAGCAATAATTTTTAAAACTAGAAATTTAATACAATGTTTTTCCAGATTTTCCACCAGTTTAGTCATCCATGATAAGGTGTTTCAACATGTTTCAAGCTATAACCCTATTTTGGTAATTACAGTTTTATAACTTTATGATTTTATGCAAAAAAATGATAAGAGAACCTATTCTGAAAGAGTGAAAAGGCATGAAAATTTTAACAAACAGAACTTGGGAAAAACCTACTTGCCTCACAAGGGGAAAAGCAGAACAAACCATCTGCTATTCCATGGTGAAAAGAGATTCTCAGGCAAAAGACCTGTTTTTCCACATTTGTGTAATCCCTATTTGAAGATTTATTAACATTCATGGACATTTCTGTATATAAATATTATTGTACGTGCATTTCATAAGTATTGGCATTGTTCCTTGACTTATCAACATTCTTAGGTAGAAAAATGTTATGTAAACGTGAAACTCAGTATGTGCCAGGAACTATGCTGGGCTCTGCATCTGCCTGAGAGTTTACAAGACCTGCATACATACAGAAGTAATCTGATGGGTAGTCCCTAATTCGGCAAATCTCATCTGATGTCAGCCTTTGCCGTAGGTTTTGTCATGCTCTCCTCTTCGTGTCAATTGCACTCTGAGCACATATGAAAAAGCAAGGCAGTGGCACCAAGACATCAGTTTGAAATAACTTGATATTGGAATTTAAAAAATAAAATAAAAGCACTGGAGAAATAATGGAGGAAAATCAGAACTTTGTCATTTTAGAATTTAGAAGCATTTTATTTTGATTCACACATTTCTGCCAATGGAGAATGCATGGAAATCTGGACACAGCTATGGGCTCTTCACTTCTTGGGGCCTTTAACTCACAAGGCCCATTTCTCACCATAACAGGAAGAGCTCAAGATGCTAGTGTCATCCTTGTCCCTCAACACGGAGACTCCATCAGCCTTCATGCAGGGAGCTACAATATACATTGAATCCGCAAGAGACTGCTCAAAAGATGTGGAGAGCAATTCCCATTTATCTTGGCTGATAGTCACACATTTACATTTTACTTACTGGACAAAAATAGGACTAAAATGATAAAATTCATTTGTTTTCAAAATACCATTAACTCTGAGACATTTCGTAAAAAGTGTTTCCTATTAAACTGTCATTTAAACAGTAAATAAGAGACATTTAAGCCATTAGGTGTGTTGAAGGTGTCTGTTTTCCACGAGGCGGAAGATTCATACATGCAATCACACACACACATACACTTACATGCACACAGGGCAAAGAGACAGCAACACAGGTCTGAATATGCTGCCATAAGCTCTCCGCAAAGCATCAGAGATGAAAATACTGATAACATACAAAATTTCAAAGTTTGGGGGCCAGTACTACTAATTTTATTTCCTTCAGTTATTATTTTTAAGCCAATTTTACAGTAACTGAGATATTGAACAAATAGTCAAAATAAAGAAACATGAGTAGTCAAGATGAGGAAAAAGCCCACAGAACTGAAGCGACTGGCTTAAAGTTTTACATAAATTGGAAACAAGAATTTGGGGGAACTGTTAAATTTTCATTGTAATTGCTATTTTTGAATTTTTAAAAAATTCTTCTGATAATGGAATACAGTTCTTTTGTAAAAATTTTTTTAAGTTAGAGAGCTAAAGTAACTGTGAACTCCTCAAATTCCATTCCTCGTCATAGAATTGGAATGGACTTTTTACAATGTATTACAAATTCCAAAGGCAGAAAGGAGGGATGAGCTCCGCCTCTCAGATGGAAGAGGAAAACACAGGCTCCCAAGAACGAGGGATAGTCAACATGCCATCTAGATAAACTAACATCTTCACTCCCCAAAACTCGGCCAGATATTTTTATTTTTGGGGGGAGGTGATTTTTGATTTACGGAGAGTCTCAAGAATTTGTTGCTTAATTCTACTTGGGTCATAAAATCTTTGGATATCGCTATTTTGAAATATTTTGAACAGTCTATCATCAAAAGCCCTCGTCTCCTACAGGGCATCCAGCCACTTCCTGTTTCATGCATCTTGCCCTTAATCATCTCTCCGGAAGACTTTTGAACTGTAAACAATCAGGATTTAAGACCTTTAACATCAGGGGAAACATCAGTATGCAACACACCCTAGCAGATATTTAAACTCTCCTGTGCTTTCTATAATTTTTATAGCTACTGCCCCAAGTGGTTATCTAGAAAAACTGTAGTGTTTAAACAGGGTGGGCAACGTGGGGTCAAGGGGAGTCGCATGGGTTAATGTTTGCACAGCACTTTGGACTAGACAAACTCGACACTGGGCCTATTGTATTAAATATAAAAGGTGCTTTATTTGACACAGGAGACCAAACAATAGTAAAGTAAAATGTTAAGTGTAGGAGTTGTGGGAGAGGAAGAAAGAGGCTACACCAGCTATAAAATTGATGTACAAATCTCCCCGAATTTAAACGATCCACATCGACTCAGTCTCTTTTGCTAATGTCTGTGCTGTGGAAATAGACAGGCTCCAACACTGCTTTCTGAACAAGGTGTTTGCAACTGCAGCTCTTGGTGCTGTTGAAAATCTCTTGTCTTTGCAGTCTTGTTGAAATCCCAGAATTCCACCTCACAGGGATGTGTTAAGAAAGGAAGCCAAATATAAAATGATTAACTTGGATGCTATCATCCCTCAGATCTCTGCTATCCCTAAAAGTCTATGACTTACCTGGCATAATAGAATATGACTGAGTCCATTTCTCAACTTCCCTAGAAATCATTCAGTCACACGTTCAACAAATGCCTACTAGCAGCCAGTGAGAGAAAGGGGCAGGGGGAAGGGCTAGAAAGCATACGAAATTAATACAGCCAGTGTCTGCCCTGGAGCAGAGTGGGGTTCGGCAGAAGGCATGGGGCCTACCCCAGATCAGTCTGTGATTAGTCACAGAGGAGAGGTACTATAACCACAGGTGTGACAGAAATTCGGAAGAGGATGGTATTATGATTTTGGAGAACCAGAGAGGCCAGGGAGCAGAGAGAGACATTTTAACCAGACTTCTAAAGAGGTTGGAGATTTCAACAAAGACTGATAAGGTCTCCATTCGGGCCACCATTAAAACCTTAAGGGAGACTTAGTTTTTCAAAGAAAACTCAACCTATTCTAAAATGAGGAGAGAACAACAGAGAAAGGCCTTCTTCTTGCAAGGGAATGTCAGAGAGCATGAACCCCCCTGGCAAAGAATGGCGAGTGAGAGAAAGGCCATCCCCACTAAAAAGAAACAGCTGGGCCTGAGTTGTCCAGAGCCTATAAAACTCACACTTTGTTACTTTCAGATTAATATTCTCTTTGGATCTAAGTCTTTGGCCAGTTAAAGTCCATCTTTAAAAGAACAAGCAAGAACATTTTCTAGCCAGAAAAAAAAGCAGCACACCCTCATTGTCATGTGAGGCTCTTCCCGCCAGTGCTTCTGCCCTCAGTTCCCAGCAGGCCATTCATTCATTCATTCAATGGCTGCTGATTGACTTTGTCATAAATTTTCAAAATCTGGGACAGAGGATTTTGAATGTTCACAACACAAAGAAATAATAAGTGTTTGAGGCGATGGATGTGCCAATTACCCTGATTTGATCATTCCACATTGTATACCCGTATGGAAACACCACTCTGTATCCCATAAATATATAGAATTATTGCATATCAACTAAAAAGAAAAGAAGAAAAGCCAGTTGCTGATTGAGGCCCTGTGTGTGATAACCTGTGTGTTTGTCATTGTCCCTGCCCTCCAGTGGTTTACAGTTTAGTGAAGGAAAAAGACATCAAACAGACATTCTTCCCTCCACAGCTCTGCTAATCTGGAAGAGAGAAGTCTGTGGGCAGCAACATCTCATAAACCCTGATTAAGCCAAGAATTCATAGACTCATGAAATTCAGAGCCTGAGGATACCTTAGGGCTCTCATCCAGATGTGGAAAATAAGACCTAAAAAGACAAAGTGGGCCGGGTGCAGTGGCTCACTCCTGTAATCCCAGCACTTTGAGAGGCCAAGGAGGGTGGATCATGAGGTTAAGAGATCGAGACCATCCTGGCTAACATGGTGAAACCCCGTCTCTACTAAAAATACAAACATTAGCGGGGTGTGGTGGTGGGTGCCTGTAGTCCCAGCTACTAGGGAGGCTGAGGCAGGAGAATGGCGTGAACCCGGGAGGCGGAGCTTGCAGTGAGCCGAGATTGCACCACTGCACTCCAGTCTGGATGACAGAGCAAGACTCTGTCTCAAAAAAAAAAAAAAAAAAAAGGCAAAATGATTTGGGTCTGAGTCTCAAATCCACTTCTGACTTGGAGTCCAGAGTCGGGTCCAGAAGTCTTCCTGTCACAGGGCTGAGTCTTCACACTAGAGAGCATTTTGGTGTCTTCTCGATATTTTACCACTATTCCACATATAAAGATTTTGTCAATTACATTTGACATGCACATAGGTTGGATAATAGGACTTAAATATCTCTGAGTCCATTCAAACTATTCAGACCAAATGGTACACTTCTCTAGGATCCCCTGACACGGGCATCAAGGAAATTCTGGCGGAATATTGTGAGTGGTGTCTGAATGAATATCGGTTTTTTGCCTGCTACAGCCCCAAGATCCATTTGTTCTGCTATTGATCACAGTATAAATCTCTATGCTGTATAAAATGTGACAACATAAAATGCTTTTTATTGTAGTAGAGATTTGCTATGTTAGTACTATTGTCAGTCATCTTAAAAATTTAAGCTGATGATTTCTACAATTATGCTCCATACACAAAAGATGCTATTTTGACGAATCAGTTAATTGGGCTCACTACATAGTATGAATGATACCAAAGTGATTTCCTTTTCTTGATATATATTTCTAATTAATCAAGTCATTTGAGCTGAATAGAAAAACAGCACGTGATTGTTTTTAGAAGTGGATGAGTCTGCAGGAGAGAAAATAATGTAAGAGCTTCTTCTTGTTAAATAAGCAAGCTGAATTGCTCATACAGTAATTGAAATCTCTTTGTTTTCCTGAATTACCTGAAATTGCATGCAAGGAAACTCCATTTTATGTTATTGCAATTTATATGTTTTTAGGATGTGTAACTTTTCTTGGGCTTATTAAATCAACAATTTGTAACTTCCTTTGCCCTCTCCAGATTTTCGCATGTGCCACAACTTCTTCCACTTTAGTTTTATTTGCTCCAATTCAATTGCTCCTTCTCAGGGGTTTCACACTAATCCTGAAAGTCTGCCCTGTGGGGAGCTGGGAAAAGCAAAAAGCAGGCTGGGAAATGGTTAGAGATAAAGGCTGGGAAGGGATCGCCTGGGCAGGATTGTCAACCTTCTAGGCCTACTGTGCTTTGATTTCCACCAAAGCAGAGAGGAGACCAGTAGGCTAACCACAACTCTGCTGCATTTTCTGCCCCCGGCTTCTGGAATTTACTGCGACCAAAACCAGATTTTTCACCTTGTGTGCCATTCTGTCTCCAGCACTAACACTGTTGACAATTCACAAAAGGAAGAAATGATTAACAAATCAATCAGTCAGACCCTCGGAACAGTCCTCACCCTAAGCCTTTGCTCAAGATGTTATCTCCACCAGAGCCAGGAGAGAACCAAGCGTGTTTAACAGGCAGAGCAGGTCATTTTTTAATATTTCTATCCTCCACGTGCCAAAACAGGAAACACACAATAACACTGTCCCCAGATAATATGCAGACAGTGGACACAGTCTTCTGATCAAAGCAGTAAAAAGTAATAATTGATAAAAATTACATTAATATTACAATACAAAAAGAGGAATAAATAGTAGATTAATATCTTTTTAATTGCGTTTATGTTTTTTTCCTTCCTGCACCAGAAGGAATGCTTCTAAAAGAGCCAGTTCTTCAAGGTTCAGAAATGGATTTGAACCTAAAAGGACTGAATTGTAAACAGACTAGTGGCAGTTTTAGATTCCGGATTCCTAGCCCATGCCAGCTCCAGGCGAGTGGGAGGTGGGCCCACGGCCTCCTGCCATTGTAGAAGGTTGAGGTGCTGAAGTAGAAAGAATGCTACCACCAGGCCAGGCCCTCTGGGAAAAGCAAGACCTCAGAAACCACACGTGCTGGGGACCGGAGGATTCGGTGCAGCTGTGTCATGTCAATCCCAACCAAGCCCTTTACCCCTGCCATTTAGAAGCCAGTTTATCTATGGGTCCTGTCCGGCTTGGGCTAAAGGAAGCCGTCCTCTCCAACACCCCCTTAGTTTAGCTTCTGCCCAGCTAAACCTCCACGTCAACTAGGAACATTGGCTGCTTTCCCTGACCCTTCGAGTTACTCCCTGGCCTCCCCACTTCTGACGTGTCATAAATGAAAGTTGATCTCTGGGAGTGGCTGCAAGACAAGGTGACATGTCTTCTATGCAAATGGTCAACCACTGACTTACTCAGCCACTAGTGCCTAGAGCCGCCTTTAACGTGGGCCATTCCTCCTAATTTTTTTTCTTTCTTCTTCCTGACTTCCTTTCCCTCCCACTCTCTTATTTTGATGTAAAATTCAGACTATCTGCAGTGTATTCTCCCTTTATTCTTTCCATCCCCACAACCTGACTCTCTCCAGTCCCGTTTCAATATGGCGCCAGCATCATCACTCACTTTGTCTGTTGCACAGCTCTTCACCCATTCGCCAGGGCAATAGAGTCAATACTTTGTAAGCAAAGGGATTATTTTTTCTTGTGTTTGTTTATTTGCAACACTATTTTTTTATATAGATTTTTGGGGTACAGGTGCAGTTTACTTATATGGGTATATTACATAGTGGTGAAGTCTGGGCCTTTAGCATACCCGTCACCCGAATAGTGAACATCGTACCCCATAGATAATTTTTCAACCCTTTCCCTCCTCTCAACCTCCCCACTTCTGAAGTCTCCCATGTCTATTTTTCCACTGTGTATGTGTGCTCATCATTTAGTTCTCACTTATAAGTGAGAACATATAGTATTTGACTTTCTGTTTCTGGGTTATCTCACTTAGGATAATGTCTCCAGTTCTGTAGCAGCAACATGATTTCTTTCTTTTTTATAGCTAAGTAGTAGTCCATGGGTATAAGTACCCCATTTTCTTTATCCAATCATCCACTGATGGACACTTACACTGATTCAACATCTTTTCAATTGTGAATTTTACTGCAATAAACATACATGTACAGGTATCTTTTTGATATAATGGTTTATTTTCCTTTGGGTAGATACCCAGTTGTGAGACTGCTGGACTGAATGGTAGTTCTGAGAGGTGAAGCCAGCTAGGCTTCTGAAACAGGTGGGGACTTGGAGAACTTTTCTGTCTAGCTAAAGGATTGTAAACACACCAATGAGCACTCTGTGTCTAGCTAATCAGGTGGGGACCTGGAGAACTTTTCTGTCTAGCTAAAGGATTGTAAATGCACCAATCAGTGCTCTCTGTCTAGCTAAAGGTTTGTAAATGAACCAATCAGCACTCTGTAAAAACGGACCAATCAGCACTCTATAAAATGGACCAATCAGTGCTCTGTAAAATGGACCAATCAGCAGGATGTGGGTGGGGCCAAATAAGGGAATAAAGGCTGGCCACCGGAGCCAACAGTCAGCAACTTGCTGGGGTCCCTTTACGGGCTGTGGAACCATTGTTCTTTTTTCACAATAAATCTTGCTGCTGCTCACTGTTTGGGTCGGCAGTGCCTACTTTTATGAGGTGCAACGCTCACCGTGAAGGTCTGCGGCTTTCCTCTTAAAATCAGCAAGACCACAAACCCACCAGGAGGAAGAAACTCCAGACACACTATCTGTAAGAGTTGTAAAACTTCTAACGCCTGTAATCCCAGCACTTTGGGAGGCCGAGACGGGTGGATCACGAGGTCAGAAGATCGAGACCATCATGGCTAACAGGGTGAAATCCCGTCTCTACTGAAAATACAAAAAATTAGCCTGGTGGTCGGCGCTTGTAGTCCCCGCTACTGGGGAGGCTGAGGTAGGAGAATGGCGTGAACCTGGGACATGGAGCTTGCAGTGAAATGACGTAGCGCCACTGCACTCCAGCCTGGGTGAAAGAGTGAGACTCTGTCTCAAAACAAAAACAAAACAAAACTGTAACACCACGAGTGTCTGCGGCTTCATGCTTGAAGTCAGCTAATCCAAGAACCCACTAGAAGGAACCAATTCACGACACAGTTCTATTTTTAGTTCTTTGAAAAATCTCCATGTTTTTCACGAAGGCTGTACTAATTTACATTCCCACAGTGTACAAGCATTCCCTTTTCTCTGCATCTTCACCAATATCTGTGTTTTTTTTGTCTTTTTAATAATAGGCATTCTGACAGGTGTAAGTTGGTATCTCACTGTGGTTTTGATTTGCATTTTTCTGTCGATTAGTGATACTGAGCATTTTTTCATGTTTGCTGGCAGCTTGCATGTCGTCTTTTGAAAAGTGTTCATGTTGAAAGCAAAGTAATTATTTTTAAGGTACTAAGGGAAGAAAAGACAGTAAACATATTCCCCTATCAATATTTTATAGGACACATCATGGGTGAGTCCTCACCTCACCCCACCAAAAGACATCCTCAACAGGTGTAACTTTAATATGACAATAAACATCTATAGTTCCCTTTTATTTCATCTGATTATTCCAGTCATTTTCTTCCAGATGCAAATCTTTAGGTCGTCTAAGTATAGGTTCTCCTGAATGTCAACCTGTAATGCCTGTGTTTTCCATTTTGCCGGTGGTTTGAGAATGCAGGTACTAATTTTTTTAAATTATCATTATAAATTACTTTGAATTGAAGTGACATTCTTGATCTATGAAAACCAATCCTTTTACCATTCATTTAAGGGAGGGATGAGACTGTTAATTTGAGCATCTGATTTTATGATGATATGAAACACTTTTCTCTTGACTGCCAGTGGCTTAGAGGCATATCACGAGAAGCATATTATAATCCATTTGGTAAGTTTTTCATCACAGGTCAAGTAAGGGAAAACATGATTTAAATCTTGAAAGTATATTTAATGAGGATATTGTTACTCGAAATAAGCATTTGATATTGTTAATGAAAATAAACTGGGTTTAGAAGTAAAATATGCATTCTGAGATATTTTTGAGATTTTTTTATGTGGATGCTGGTGAGGCTGTGGAGAAAAGGGAACACTTACACACCGTTAGTGGGAATGTAAATTAGGCCAGGCACTGCAGAAAGCAGTTTGCAGATTTCTCAAAGAACTTAGAACTACCGTTTGACTCAGGAATCTCATTACTGGGTACATTTCCAAAAGAAAATAAATTAATTATTCTACCAAAAAGACACATGCACTTACATGTTCATTGCAGCACTATTCACAATAGCAAAAACATGGACTCAACTAGGTGCCCATCAACAGTGGATTGGAAAAAGAAAATGTGGTAAATATACATCATGGAATACCACACAGCCATAAAAAATAATGAAATAATGTCCTTTGCAGCAACATGGATGGAGCTAGACAGAAACCAAATGCCCAATGTTCTCACTTACAGGTGAGAGCTAAACATTGGTACTCATGGACATAAGGATGGCACAACAGAAACTGGGGACTACTAGAGAGGAGGGGGAGGGAGAAGGGGAAAGGTTGAAAAACTTACTGTTGGGTACAGTGCTCAGTACCTAGGTGACAGGATCATTCGTACCTCAAACCTCAGTATCACACAATATACCCAGGTAACAGACCTGCACATGCACCCCCGAATCTAAAATAAAAGTTGAAAAAAAAAGATTTTTATGTGAACCAATTTACTTGAAAACAAGTAAAAATGAAAAAATACAGAATAAAATAAAATAGAGCATGTTTAAGGCAATGGGAATATCTACAAAATTAGAAGGTGACCCACAGCTGAAACAGTTTTCACTGGGTTACAAATCTGGTAGGCAGAGTCCACGTTTGATTGAACTTTCATTCATCTCATTGCTGTCTGCAGTTTTGCCCTTTTTCGTGAAAACAGCTGCTCATGCAGCCGGAGTAAGCCTCAACAATGCGAATCCAATCTTGTCACTGTACACCGAAGGTTATAGCATCCAGCAATGAAGCGCCTTTGCTACCTGCATTTTATTTTGAAAAAATGATACTCATTCTTCAAAATCCAACCCAAAGAGTTCCCTCCATTAAGACTTCTCCAGTCAGCTCCTCCTGTACCATCAACTGTGCCAGGTAGACAGCTCTACTTTTCGCTCCTATCACAGTGTACTGCAATTACTTGTTTACGTGTCTATTTCACTTACTGGATTAAGTGAAATAATAATTACATGAACAAATAAATGTTTGTTAAGAGCTCATTATGTGTCAGTACTATAGAAATGATGAGTAAGACAGATATGTTTCTGAACATTTGCGGTGGGTCGTAAAATTGAAAAGACAAAATGCTTCAATGGATTGAAAGTCAAAATAAATAACAATAGTAAGAAATATTACCTGCTGATCTTAAAAAGTCAAGTCTCCAGGGCCCACTGAACAACATTCAAAGTACTAAAAGGATTCGCAAATATGATCACAATCATTGTATTTCAATTTTGGAGAGAACAGGAGAGGTAATGAAAGATTGAAAACAGGGAAAAGAGTAATATTAAAGAGTTTATGTCAATCTCTAGAAAAAATTCTCTAATAAATTATTAAATGTAGGGTGGTAAACACCTTCAAAAGGAAGCAGCAAGGCCTGGGAGCCAGCATGGGGTCACCACCAGCAGGCTGGAGAAATTAACCCACTGTGACCTTTGGTTGGAGGAATAAGGTGTGGAGTAGCAGAATGCTACAAATACTGACACCTTAATTTCAATCAGCTTTTCAACAAAGTCTCCTCGAGTATTTTACTTCTGGGTGTGAATTAAAAAATTAAAAAGTTAATAATTCAGCTTTGTAGATTTCTTACTGATTGAACTGCCAAAGAGTTTTAATTACGAAAGTAAGATCAACTGGAGTTTCCAATGATATGCTAGAGTTTTAATTCATGGGCCTGACATTTCTCTTTAAAATGAAAACACACAAGTCAATGGATAATCCCATATAATATGTTTTATAACAAGATCAAGATTTAGAAGATCTCAATAGACTGGAGCAAACAAACCAAAAACAGTATCAAACACACTAAGGGATCATCATAAAGTGCTTCCATCAGGTTCAAAAAACAAACTCTACCAGGAGGAGGAAGCCCTCATAACAGCAACTGCAGCTCATGTAAAGGCAACATAGTGTGGTTTCTCCCGTGTATGTTTTTGTTTTACTGAAAGAGCAACATGACATGTCAGGCTAAAAAGGGAATGCATTCTCCACCCCATGGATTGAAGCACTGTATGTGGACTGCGTTCTGCACTGGTCAGATATAGACAAGATGGAAATAATTACATAAATAGCATGACCCATGTCCTCCAGGAATTCAGTCCATTAAGGCAAATAGACATGTAAACATGTAGTTACAGTACATTGTTAGAAGAGCAAAAGGTAGAGCTATCTACCTGGCAATTGATGGTGAAACAGCAAAGTTCCTTTGTCCTCCTCACAGGACATGTGATGGGGGTGTGGTTCTCTTCTTCAGTGCCCCACTGCTCAAACCTCTAGGGGAGATGGGCAAGCTGTGGGGCTTTGACCCCACAGCAGTGTCTAGGGGTGAATGTTTACAGCTTCTGACCCCCAGTGGGCGTGTGTTACGGGGTGCTCTTTAGGTTTAGCCATCCATAGGCAGCTTGTGTTTACCAGCTCAATTAGCCCCTTCCTTATCCCAAGAACAGAGGGCTTTCTGTATCCCAGGGTTCTTGCCTTGGTATACCAGAAGAATTGGATCACACGTGGGCTTGGAGAATGAGCCCAAGGTTTTATTGAGAGGAAGTAGCTCTCAGCAGATGAGGGAGCCAAAAGGGAGATGGTTTTCCCCTGGAGTCGGGCTGCTCGACGGCCTGGGCTCTTCTCCGACCAAAACCAAACCATCACTCTGCCAGTTGGTGGCCTGCTGGCGTGCAGGTGCTTGTCAGTGTCAACGTCCAGCCACCCATGTGTTCCTCTGCTGATGTGCTTCTCTCCACATCCAGCTGCCTGTGTGTCTGCCTGCGAGAGTCTTGGGGATTTTTATAGGCATGGGATAGGAGTGTGACAGGCCATGGTGGTCTTGGGAAATGCAACATTTGAGCAGGAAATGCCTGTCCTCTCCTAGGTCCGAGGAGGTGGAGCCCTAGCCAGGGACCATGCCCTCCTCTACCCAGCACTTCCCTTCCCCCCTTCCGTATCATTTAAAGGGACCATGCCTTTCTCTACTCAGCACTTCCGTTATCAATAGTATAGAAGGAGTTGACTGGAGAAGACCTAATCGGGGGAACTATTTGGGTTGGTCTTGAAGAATGAGTATGATTTTTTTCAGATAAAATACAGAGGCAAAGGCATTCTAGCCTAGAGGAACATAAAAAGGGCAAAACTGCAGATAACAAAATCGTTTAGGAGTCCATAGCAAAAGGCTAGGACAAGACGATAAGGATTGAATAAAGGTAATCCCAAGGAGGTGTGGGAAGGGAATCTGTACAAGAATCATTAAACCCCCAGGAAGAGCATCCACCAGGAGTCAGGTGATTTCTTCAGCAATATCACTCATTAGGCATTTGTTGAGCTCCTACTGTATGCCAAGCACTAGGTACCAGATGCTAGGGACTAGAGATATAGGGTTAAACAAAGCCAGACAATAGTTTCTGCCCTTTTAAAGTTCACAGTCTAATAGGGGATGCATAGATAATTAAATAATCCCATAAATAAAGTTGTGGACTGTGGCTACAAAGGATAGTACCAAGGATTATAATTGCCTATAAGAGGGTAGTTGATTTTTACCTTTCCAGAGACACCAGGGAAGGTGCCCCTAAGGAAGCAGTGTTTGCGCTGAGATCCGAAGGACGGGAAGGAATGACCTAGTAAACAGGAACAGGTTCTCCAGGCTAGGGACAGAGCACAGGAAAGCTCCCTGTGGCAGATGAGTTCATGGCAAATGTAAGACTTAAAGAAGACCTGACCCCACCCCCCAAGTTTGAAGGGGTATGGGATCAGGCCTTTGTCAAGACCTGGACATCCCTCTTTACTCCTGACTAAACTATTTGTTCTGTGAGTACAGGATCTCTACATCATACACCATTTGGGGCTTTTCAAACACAGAAATGAAACAAGTAATGATTCTTTCAAACAGAGGCTGATCAACACATTGAATTCTCATCATGTCATCACTTGGTCTTCTTCCAAATTCTATCCATTTCTCATGCACCTGTTCAGGTCTCACCTCCTCCCCCCAGCATTCCAGGACTACTCCAGCTTGTGCACAGGAAAGCAGAGTATTCAGTTGGCAGTCCAGGCTCAGAAGAAGGCTGCCTTATTTTGTCATGTCATGCACCAGCTTTGTTGACAAGACAGCAGGAGAAGGGTGAGAATGATGTCATAGCTGTTCTTAATCCCCCACACAGGAGGTCCGTGGTAAATAAGTAGATTGCCAGTTGATTTATTTACTTCATAGACTTGAGTCTTACAGAATTCTAATTAAATTATAGAAAACATAGAAAGGCACACACATGGTAGATGTGGAAGGCAAAAATATATTCACTGGGTTAAAAAAAAATAGTTTCTCATTCCAACATTATCTCTGTGTACTTTCTGCAGTATAGCACAGTCGTCCTTGAAACTTAGGGCTCTATCTTATACATGAGAAATGAATTTTCAGGCTAAGGATATAAAAACCTCAGGTAGGCTTTTCCAAATTGGTGTGGGAGTTTAAGGGTTTGGAGGCATTCCAATCTAAGCACAGAGAGACATTCATCATGCACTGCCCAAGTTCATCTTCACTGCTATGTTAATATGAAATGGTCAGCAGTTATTTTGGTTGAGTTAGATTTATTACTACATTTAATTTAAAAGAAAACAATCAAGCAGAAGAGAGTCCTTTCTTCTGTCTCATCAAAACATTAGTATCTCAGAGACAGAGCGGCTAATGATAGAGAAATCAGAGCTACATTCCATTGGCAGAAAGGGCTCATCCTTGCTGCATGTGGAATTACAGAAAGATATTTCTTTTCACACATGCACAAAACGCAGTGAAATATTCAAAACCGAGGAAAGGTGGCTTGCTAAGAGCATTTAAAAATGCTTTATCTTCAGCCTGTGGATCTTTGGCTCTGCTGTGTCTCCAAGGGCCCAGATGCTGCTGTTAGTCAAAAGCAGCCTGAAGATGACTCTTGGTGAAAGCACCATGTGGGTTTCATTCTGCTGACCACTCATCAAGTATTCACAGGGCAATAAAAGGCTTGTTTGCATAGCCAAAAAAATGAAAGACTTTTGAAGACCCAACAAAATTGTTGTGCATGTTTCCAAATACAACCAAAGATAAAATTAGATGCTACCCAAAAAAGCATGTTTGCCCAAATTTTTATCAACATTAGGGTAATCATAACTGTAACTTCACTGCAGATAGATGGCCCAGGGAATGTGTCATGTGAAAATCTATACTATTCAGTACTGCGTGTTCTTAATGACATTTTCTGCTTCGAGCATCTTCTGACCCTAACAATCTAGAAACCCATCGGTCATTCCTTACACGATGTTACAAACAAGACCCTATTTTCTGGCAGGATGTCAAAGGGCCTGGCCAAATGTCTACTTTTTTCAAGTACAATTGATAGCGGATGACAAGGTCCAGCTCTTCTCTAAATTCTGACAACTATGCAACAACAAATAAAAAACATTCCAATGATTTACTGTTTTAATTCTAGGTTTTGTGTTCTGTGTTTCTTTAAGAAAGGTGCAAGTGTATGCATGAGAGTCATGAAACACTGCGGTTACCATGGTAATTATCTGTGTTTAGAGAGCGTGTGGAGTAAAGGTCCATGTAGTGGTGGAAGAAGAGTGCACGTTAACGATGGCTTTTCACGAGCCTAAATCATGTTGAGTTCCCAGTTTCAAAGAAATGTTTTAAAAAACTTGTAAGCTTTCATCTGGAAGAGCCATAAGTGCCAAAGTATGTTTTGTTCCAGGGGTGCTACTTTCCTACTAGTAATGAGATTCTATCTAAAGACAGAAGTTAGGACCTTAGTGGGCCGTGGCTCCCGGGGAGGAGGGGGTTTTCTGATCAGTCTTCCCTGCTGATTAGCCTGGGGACACATTTACTCTTTTGCTTCCCACAGTCTGGTTTTCAGACCCTTTAAAATCCTTTGGGTAATCCCAGAGAGTTACTCTACAAGAAAATATCAAGTCCCGTTACCTGGAGGCTGCCATCTGAGCAGAATTTGGCACAAGCTTAGCACAATGCCTCACACCTAAAAGTCTGAAAGTGTTGCTTGACTGACTGATGGAATTGCTTCACTCACGTTTACAAAAGCAAAGGGCCTAACAACTAACAAAAAAATCTAACATCTCAATTACGAAATGGGCAAAGGACATTTTTCCAAAGAAGATATACAACTGGCTGATAACACATAAAAGGATGTTCAATGTCACTGGTCATTAGGGAGATGCAAGTCAAAATCACAATGAGATGCCACTTCACACTCATTAGGACAGTTATTCTTTTTTTTAAAAAAAAAAAGCAGAAAATAACAAGTGTTGGTGAGGCCATGAAGAAACTGGAACCCTTGTGCATTGCTGGTGAGAATATAAAATGGTGAGGCCTCTGTGGAAAAAGTATAATGATTCCTCAGAAAACTAAACACAGAATTACCATATGATCCAACAATTGCACCTCTGGGTATATACCCAAAACAAGTGAAAGCAGGAACTTGAACAGATATTTCTATACCCATGTATGTGCATAACAGCATTATTCACATAAACCTAAAAGTAACTCAAGTGCCCATTGGCTGATGAGTGGATAAATAAAATGTGGCATATCCATGCAGTGGAACATTATTCAGCCTTAAAAAGGAAGGAAATTCTGACACATGGTATTACATGCATGAACCTTGAGAACATACTAAGTCAAATCAGCCAGACACAAAAAAGACAGATACTGCATGATTCCACTCCTATGAAGTACTCAGGGTAGTCAAAAATTGTAGAAACAGAAAGTAAAATGGTGGTCAGCAGGGGCTGGAGAAGAGGAAGAAAGGGCACTGTGTTTAATGGAACAGGTTTCAGTTTTGCAACGTTAAAAAGAGTTCTGTGGGTAGATGGTGGTGATGGTTGCACCACAATGTGAATATACTTAATGCCACTGAACTGCATACTTAAAATAGTTAAAATGATAAATTTGATGTTACATATTTTTACCACAATGAAAAAAAAAAGCAAGAGGCCTGCCGTGCTAGAGAAACTCTGGGAGAATTATATTCGCACAGCATTATTACTGAGATGGCAACTGAACCATCAAAGTAACCGATGTTGTTCTGTTTTGTAACTAGGTAGTCTAAAAATAAAATAGCCACTTTCCCCAAGTCATGGCCTTCATTATAAATCCCCAAAGCCAAAATTTTTGCAGGTGAGTGATAGTCACAAAACATCCATTCTTCCAGGTTCTTCAGACCAAGTTGCCAGTTAGACAACAATCAGGACCTTCCAGCAGGGCAAACGTCCTGAAGAAACGCAGGAGCTATCAGCACCGTTCCGTGTTGGGCTTGGCTGTGAGAAAAGACAGCCTGCGTGCTGCAGGCTTCCCTCGCTTGTTTTCATGAAGCTTGAGCAAATGTTTTAGAAAGTTATTTCTAAATATTTCTAAGCTTGTGACAATGAAGATCACAAACTGATTTTGAAAATAGTCACTCCAAGGGAAGAGGGATGAAGGAATAGCAGATGCCTTCCTCAGGAATTAAACATTGGCTCTTGGGTCTGCAAGTTAGGAGAAATTTGTACAACACTAATGAAAATCAAGCTATGGGTTTAGAAGAAATTGGATGTAAGCCATCTTTTGGGGTGGTGGGGGGTGCAAGTGAGTCATAGGATTTGAAGGAACTGGAATGTTGCTCTATGCAGGTGAGTTTGAATTATTAGCCTGGAAGCACAGGAAACTAAAAAGATTAGAAATAATCAGGAAGTAATGATCACAGAAAATTAATAAAGGGAAAGTGCCCATTCATGAATTTGTGTAGGCCTACTAACAAGTTAAAAGTTACAAATAAAAGTACAAATAATTAGGAGCTGAGTATAATTAGTTATGTTATTAATCAGCTTGATAATAAGCTTTCTAACTGCAACAAATTCTGCAACAGATTTTATGCACATAAACTACACCTAAGTGTTTCTAGAAGTGTGTGCATTTATCAATTCTGCCAGTCACACGTTCCACACAGGTGAATTACAGGACCAGGCTCATTAACCTGGAATACAGTTTCTGAATCACATCTACACAGTAACAGACCTGCCCTCGTTCACTCACTGACCCCAGGAAAGCTGTAGACTGGACAGCATCGAACGTCAGGGGAGTCTACTCATCATACCATACTTAGCAGGTCTACTCGGTAGTGTCCTGGGATTCGCTTCACAATGAAAACGTCAGATTCTCATGACCACTTGAAGCAGGAAAATATCTAAGAAGGAGAATGGCCACCGGCGTGATGAGGATTCTCATGCTTTCTGAGGTTAAGATAATTTAGGATGATTCTTCACCTGCTTTAGAGAAGTCAAAGATTTTAGAGGTTATTCATACAAGGTAAACATAATATTTTTATGAATGGCAACGGAGTTGTTTCCTTTCACTGGTGTTAAATAATGCCCCAAGAGAATGTATTTCCTTGCATGAGAGAGTATTTAACGACCAAAGGTGTTTTACTCATTCTGGCTCAGTCCCAGAATAAGAATTTGACCTCTAATTGTCAGGAGATCCATCTTTAAGAAACGTGTTATCACGGATTAATCCTCTATCACCCATGGTCTTCATGCCACCAAGGCTTGCTTTACAAATATTTATTCAAGGAGTTGAAAAAGGTCCACGCTATGTTTGGTAGTAGTTTTATTTCATTTCCTTCAAATAGTACAGTAAAGTGCATAACTCTTTGTTGTGTTGCTGTCTGTAGAACGCTGTAAAACTGAACTGGACAAATCATTTTAAAGGTGAAAGCTCTTTGTTTATATAGTCTCTTTGCAAACAAAGCATATTGAAGCCTCAGCCTGTATTAAAGAGAAATATTTTTTTTAAAAGAGCAGTAGGAAGTTTGGGGCTGTTGGGCTTTTGGTTACTTCTTTTTCTTCATTTGGGTAAAAGAATAAGATAGCAATGTGCGGTGCATGGTGTGTGGTTGCTCTAAGCATAACATAGAGGTGGTCAACCTAAAATGTCTTATCACTTTCTGTACTTGGAACCAGCAGCTGAAATTGGTTACTTATTTTGTAGCTGAAGTTAGGAGGAAAAAGTTCTATATGACTTTTAATATTAGTTTTAAATGTTAAGTATTAGTATTAAAAGTATTAGCTGTCCCAAATTAACCCTTGCTCCCAACGCTGCTTCATAAAACTTAGCATTTTTTGATAGTTAATAACAATCGCTGACATTCACTGAGCAGTTACGACATGCTGGGCACTGCTCAGTGCTTTATAAACATGAGATTATTTAAACCTCAGATCATCCCTATGAAATAAGGAATATGGTCTCCATTATACCGAGGAGAAAGGGCAGACTAAACCATTTATAACTTACCTGAGATCACACAGCTATGAAGATGCACCCTGCGCCCCAGGCTCCCAGCCACTGCCAGGCTTATGTCTGAGCTGCGTTGCTGGCTTTTCCCTCCATCCTTAGAAAGCAAGCATGCCCAGTTGGCCTGCAGGGAAGATCTGTTCCATGGCTGAATTTAGCATGTTTGTTCCACATGCATCACAAGATAAGCCAGCCTTTCCAGGCATTCATTAAGTACAAGTATCTTAGAACAGTGTCTCACACTTCACTCCTGGGGATCTGTTTAAAATGCAGATTCGGATGCAGAGGGCCTCAGGAGGGGCCTGGGATTCTGCATTTCTAAGAAGCTCCCCAGACAGCACTGATGCTGCTGATCCCTGAATACTTGAGGCACAAGGATTTTGGGAGCTCATGAAACCAGTTAGTAGACTATGGAGTGGGATCTCGAGCACTGGAGCAAGGTAGATTATTCAGTAAGACACAGAAAACATATTTCAACACTTCAGGAAAACATTCAAACATCACCAATCTACCACCCTCTCCCCTACCCCTTCCTCTCTGGGAGAAGAAGAGCTGCCATCCCAGGACACAGAGGGACATGCGGTTGTCATTTGCTGTCAGAGTGGTTTGGGGCCAAATCAAATAAGCATTTTGGTCAATGAGTTTGCAATTTTCATGACTCATAGAAAAGTTGTCAATCAAATAAATTCTTACAGAGCCATACAACGACTACTAGATAGCCAATGACATTGGAAAAGAATATTTAAAGGCATCAAAAAATATTTCCTGTCTATTGCAAGTGGAAAGAGGCCATTATAAAATAATTATGAAGAAATACTAGAAGGATCTACACCAAAATTTTAATAGCAGTTATCTAGGGATAATATTTAAGATGGTTTTATGCTTATCTATATATTGTAAATTTTCTACAATAAATATGTGCGACTTTGAGAATCAGAAGAAAAATCATGTTCAATACTTTGAGATTACTCTGTGCCAAATCCATGATGACTCTTAGCATCCCTGAAGGTGGGATGACCAGCAGTTGTGGCCGTCCCGGCTCAGGAAAAAGGAAGCAAAAAGAACCATCTGTGGAATATTCTTGCAAAACAATGTGGCTGAACCTGATACATCCTCTGGAACTAACTTCCATTTCCAGGAAACACGGTGGGTACAGGAGTAAGTTAAATGATAGCACAAGAGAGCCAATAAACAGATCCAGAATGTGGGGCATTCTCCAGGACAACCGACCCAGTTTCTGCAACAAGGACATGAAGCGGGAACGGGGGCCTGCTCTGTATTAAAAGACAATCAAGACACATTACAAACCAATGTAACGTGTGGTGTGTTTAAGGAGTGAATGTTGTGTCATCCCAAAATTTCTATGTTGAAGCTCTAACCTAATCCCCAGTGTGATGGCATTTGTATGTAGGACCTTGAGAGGTAGTTAAGTTTGGATAAGGTCATGAGAGTGGGGTCTCCATGATGGGATCAGTGCCCTTATGAGAAAAGGAACAGACCAGAGCTTGCTCTTGCTCTGCAAGTGACCACACAGCAGTAAGGCAGCCTGACACCGAGTCTCCTGGCATCTTGATCCTGGACATCCCAGGCTCCAGAGCTGTGAGAAATCAATGCTTGTTATGTAAGCCACCCAGTCTATGGTACTTTATCATCACCGCGTGAAGTGGCCAAGACACGGCATCTCAATTGAACAAGCCAGAAAACATTTTTAAACAACACAGAAATTTCTATTATGCAAGTAATATTAATTTTTAGGTGTGCAAACGGCATCGAGATTATAAAAGAAAATGTTCAGTTTTTAAAGATGCAGGAATACGTAGGAATAAAATAATTATGTATTCCTGAAGGATGTAGGAATAAAATAAAACGGTAGTACAAGACATTTTTTAATGCTTTCAACAAAAATTGTATAAATGGGTAGCTTAAGGGGAGCAGCAACATATCAACTACCACCAAATATGGGTGATGAATATGTAAGTGTCCACCATACTCTTTATTCCCAATTTTGTGCATTAGAAATTTTTCACAATAAAATATGTGATCAGGTTTCCTAATCTCTGCAAAGTAAAATACTAAGGTAAACTAGGACACAGAGCCATCGGAGACACACAGATATTTTAAGCTGGAGAAAGCAGCATCATCTATGCAAATTGAACCTTAGAGATTTAATATGATCCCACTCGAGTAATTGAGATAGCTGAATAATCTGCATTGCGTTGAGTTGCAAAGACAGAACAACATTGTGATGAAGCTGTGTACAGGCTGGATTCTGAATTCAGAAATAATTCGTCCAGATTAAGAAGATCATGAGGATAATAACTTTCCTGTGTACAGTGCTTTACGGCTTATATATATTTTCAGGTACAGCATTTTATTTCTTCATTTAATCTCCTTTACTTCCATTCTAAGTTGTAAAGATTACTTTCCACCTTGTGTTAGAGATTTCTGCAAATTCAATCAATGAGCACTTATTTAACAGTACAGGCCCCCTGCTTGGAACTGGAAATGCAGGACAGACATGGCCTTCGGCTCTGCCAAACAAGAACCCCCCAGTTTGGATTCATGATGGTTCCGTCTTGGAGGAAGCAGCATCTCAGCAATCAGACCAGATTTAGAGCCTTACGTCGAGCAACGAACTCCACATTTTGAGATGAGGCTGTGAGTCCAGGCGGGCTCAGAAAATTACCTCCTATTGTGTCCGGAATTGGTGGTTGCTTGGGCTCACTGACTTAAAAGAATGAAGCCGCGGACCCTCACGGTGAGTGTTACAATACTTAGAAATCATGTGTCCAGAGTTTGTTTGTTCCTCCCGCCCTTTTGTTACTCCCAGTGGGTTCGTGGTCTCGCCGGCTTCAGGAGCGAAGCGGCAGACCTTCGCGGTAAGTGTTACAATTCACAACGCAGTGAACCCAAAGTCAGCAACAACTAGATTTATAGCAAACAGCCAAAGAACAAACGCTCCACATCTTGGGATACGACCCCCGAGCAGGTTCTTGGCGCAAGGGCCGGCACCCTGCTTTTATTCCCTTATCTGACCCCACCCACATCCTGCTGATTGGTCCATTTTACAGAGAGCTGATTGGTCCATTTTGACAGAGTGCTGATTGGTGCATTTACAAACCTTGAGTTAGACACAGATTGCTGATTGGTGCATTTACAATCCTTTAGCTAGACACAAAAGTTTTCCAAGTCCCCATCCAACATAAGAGCCCAGCTGGTTCTGCTAGTGGATGCCGTTGAGAGCGGAGCTGCCTGTCAGTCCTGCGCCAGCACGCTCGCACTACGCAGGCCTTGGATGGTCGATGGGACCTGGTGCTGCGGAGCAGCTGGGAGCGCCCCTCAGGGAGGCTCCGGCTAATCAGGAGCCCACAGGGCAGGGGGCAGTGCTCGAGCATGGTGGGCTGCAGGTCCCCAGCCCCTGCCCCGCAGGGAGGCGGCTTGAGGTCCGGCCAGAATTCAAGTGCGGGGCGGGCGGGCCGGCCGGCAGGCAGTGCTGGGGGACCCGGCACATCCTCCGCAGCTGCTGGCCTGGGTGTTAAGCTTTTCACTGCCTGGGGCCAGTGGCGCCGGCCGTTCGGAGTGCAGGGCCTGCCGAGTCCGTGCTCACCCAGAACTCACGCTGGCCCATGAGTGCCCTGCACAGCCCCGGTTCCCACCCGTGTCTCTCCCTCCACACTTTCCCGCAAGCAGAGGGAGCCGGCTACGGTCTCCGGCAGTCCAGAGAGGGGCTTCCACACTGCAGCGGTGGGTTAAAGGGCTCCTCAAGCGCGGCCAGAGCGAGTGAGGGCTGCTAGCACGGTGTCTCCTCTCACTATAGAGCTGATGAAAGAAAATGGGAACGGTTAGCTTAAAAAAGGAAGGACGTGAGACAAGAGAAAATCTGTTTTGACTCTAAATAACAGAGTCCTTTCCAACAGCAAGTGCTTCCCAGCCCGCAGGGAGGCGCATGTGGCGAGCAAGCCCTTGGGGTGTGGTTTGTCGCTCACACGTGTCCCTCTACTGTTCCGTTGGTTAATTCCAGTGAGCATTCACTTGCACTCCTGAAGTGATGACCTTAACGTTTCACCACTGTCTTTCCACCGCTTCTGAAGCCACCGGCTCACTCAACAGGGTCAGCACATTTGGTCTCCTCCTCCACAAAGACATGCAAAAGAACATTAGATGAGAACCTCCTCAGCTTACCTGCACCAGCAACACCCTGCACAGGCAAAGCATGACTATCTTTTTTTTTTTTTTTTTTTTTTTTGAGATGGAGTCTTGCTGTGTCGCCCAGGCTGGAGTGCAGTGGCACGATCTGGGCTCGCTGCCAGCTCAGCCTCCTGGGTTCACGCCATTCTCCTGCCTCAGCCTCCCGAGTAGCTGGGACTACAGGCGCCCACCAGCATGCCCAGCTAATTTTTTTGTATCTTTTAGTGGAGACGAGGTTAGCAAGGATGGTCTTGATGATCTGACCTCGTGGTCTGCCCGCCTCGGCTTCCCAAAGTGCTGGGATTACAGGTGTGAGCCACCGCACCCGGCCCGAATCACTAGTACTTTGTTTTTTGAGACGGAATTTTGCTCTTGTTGCCCAGGCTGGAGTGCAATGGCGTGGTCTCCACGGACTGCAATCTGTGAGGCCTCCAGGGTTCAAGAGATTCTCTTGCCTCAGCCTCCCAAGTAGCTGGGGTTACCGGCGCCTGCAACCACACCTGGCTAATTTTTGTAATTTTAGTAGAGACGTGGTTTCCCCATGTTGGCCAGGCTGGTCTCGAACTCCTGACCTCAAGTGACCCATCCACCTCAGCCTCCCAAAATGCTGGGATTACAGCAGTGAGCCACAGCACCAATCCTGGAGATAGATTTTATAACAATCCAAGGAAAGCTGTAGACCCTCTTACCAGGAAAAGACATGGAACATACATAGTTGCATGAAATTTCAGGAGGTAAGTGAAAGCCCCTGCAGCACGGACCTCCTGAGATTCTCTGTTCCACCTGGTAGGTACCATTTTACCACCATCTACCTAGTTACAAGGTCAAACAGCAAAGTCCTAGGTAACTCTTCCACATTTGCCCCAACCCCTTCCAAGTGGTAACCAAATCGTGTGCCTCTTCCTCCTACGTGTCTGTAATCTGTGTCTCCTCTAATCTATCCACAACACTACCTTAGTGCAAACTCTCGTTATCTGTCACCTAGATTACTATAACAGGCTAAAACTTGTCTCTATTCTCCCCTCCAACCTGCACACTGGCAACCAGTGTTCTGGTTTTTTTTCCCTGCATCTGTAAGATATAAATGTAACTGTACCATTCCCCAGATTAGAATCCCTCAATTCACAATAACCTAAAGGCAGGAGCAATCCAAATACTCATCGATAGATGAATAAACAGAATGTGGCCCATCTATACAATAGAATATTATTCAGCCTTAAAAAAGGATTGAAATTCTGACAGATGCTACAGCGTGGATGAACCTTGAGGACATTGTGCTAAGTGAAAAGCCAGTTACAAAGGGGTAAATAATGTAAGCTTTGACTCATATGAGGTGCCCAGAGTAGTCAAATTCATGAGACAAAAAGTACTGGTTACCAGGGGCTAGGGAAATGGTGGTTGCCAGGAGCTTTGGAGATGAGGGAATGGAGAGTTATTGCCTAACGGGTGAAGAGATTCATTCGGGAAGATGAAAAAGTTCTAGAGCTGGCTGGTGACGCTGGTTGCAAAGCAACGTGATGTGCTTAATGCCACTGACCTGTATGCTTAAAATGGTTAAAATGATAAATTTTATGTTACATTGTTTTACCACAATTAAGAAAAATCCTCCCATAACTATCACCTAGAGATAAATTCCTTAAAATGACATCTAAAATCAGGATCCAGCCCGACCTACTCCTCCAAGCTCCGTGAACAAGTCACCCTTAATTCCTGATTCCCTGACTCTCTCGTAGCTGTTCACAGACCTTGCCTCTCCGCCAAGTGTCTTTCTTCCTGTGCAGGAGACAGTCTAACCTAGTGCTGAAGAGCCAGGACTCAGAATCACACTGCCTAGCTTTCACTCCCTGCTCAGCCACTTACTGGTTGCACGAGTTATTACCCGACCTTGCAATTCTTAGTTTCCTAATCTGTAAAATGGGAATAATAAACTAGTAGTTATTGTAGTGATTAAGTGAACTAGCACATGTAAAACACTTCAGATTGTGCTTGGAACTCACTAAATGCCTAATAAGTTGTCATTTGTCAGTCATGTGAGAATGTCTCCTGATTCTTTTTTTTTTTTTTTAGACAGAGTGTCCTCTGTCGCCCAGGCTGGAGTGCAGTGGCGCGATCTCGGCTCACTGCAAGCTCTGCCTCCCGGGTTCACGCCATTCTCCTGCCTCAGCCTCTTGAGTAGCTGGGACTACAGGCGCCCGCCACCGCCCCTGGCTAATTTTTTGTATTTTTAGTAGAGACGGGGTTTCACCATGTTAGCCAGGATGGTCTCGATCTCCTGACCTCGTGATCTGTCTGCCTCGGCCTCCCAAAATGCTGGGATTACAGCGTGAGCCACCCCGCCCGGCCATCTCCTGATTCTTATGAAGCAATGTCTGTGATGGGATCATATGTTGGGAGCCATCCCTGTTCTCCCACCCTCGTCTCAGGAAGCGCTGGGTACTCCTTCTCTGCATTCCTACGTAGTACCTTTTATATACTTGTATTTCTTTTAAAGAAGCAGTGTTGTTATCTGTTTAAATGTGTGACTCCTCCAGTGAACTGTGAGCTCGTAGAGATCAGAAATTGTAATTTATCGCCTCCCTACAGAGCCTCAGAGAGTCTGGCAGGTGCTACATTTTATAAGCCATCAGCCGAACTCTGTTGAATAAATGAGTCCATGTTGTAGAGGGAATTCCTGCTGGAGTGCAAGACTGGATTAGGTGCCCCTGAAACCTAGGAAACTCCAAGCCCTGGAGTCCAAGATCTCTGCATGTTCCCACTAAATACTGGCACATCGTCTTTGCATATTTGCTTTAGAAAAGCAAAGAAAGCACACCGTTTGCAGGGCCTGTGCTTACCTCTGCCATACATGTTTGATAGCAAAATACAGCATGCCTGATCCATGGCAAATGAACGTTCATGTCTTTAGCAGATTCTGGAATTTTTACCCCCAGATACAAGTTGAAATTACTGCTGTAATTGAGAAAATAGTAATAGAGCATCTGTTTTGTACCAGGTATTGAGGATACAGTGACAAGCAAATTCTTGTGGGCACTGCCCTCGCTGGGCACCCATGGAGTACACACAGACGTGTGCCCAAATGCAGTCCAGGTTCCTTTCATCCAAGTGACCTCACTGTCTTGACTGAAGGCTACTCTGCACAGGTCCACTCTATGCAGAAGCCAGCGATGGAAAGAAATTAAGCTACTAAGCACACCCTCTAATCACTGAAAGGGAGTCAGTTCAATGACAAGGTCATCACTGGCCAACTGCGCATGTAAAAAGATCTCCATGTCCGACTCCTAAGGAAGAGGTGCTTTCCCTGTACTTCAACCTCTGGTTCTGACATTACCTTGAACTCCAGGTAGAGCTAAGATTTCCTACACCCACCCCACCCTCTTCACAGGATATATTAAGCCTCAGGAAGAATGCCTTAGTAAACATCGTTTTCTGTTTCAACTTGTTAATAATTGCCGAATTTGGTTTGGGGGAATGTTTTATTATAATGGCTGTTAACAGGAAGGTCTCCAACTGTCAAATCACCTAACAGGCTTCATGTGGAGAAAATCTAGGTGTCCCAAGGGTGATCCAGGGCATCTCTGTGGATTAGCAGGCTAAATAGAAAGAAAATTTTCCAGCAAAGACATTGAGGCTGGGATAGAGAGAGAGAGAGAGAGAGAGAGAGAGAGAGAGAGAGTGAGAGAGAGACCACAGTTCATAAGAGAACAAAGAAAAGAGAATTTCAGATTCAGGACATAGTAGTACCTGTTTCTTCCCATGCTCTATTTTTTACAAATCCCCTGGGGATCTTGATAAGATGCAGATTTTGATTCAGCGGGCCCAGGTCGGATCTGGCTCTCTGCATCTCTAGCAGCCTCTCAGGTGACGCTGTGCTGTGGATGGAAGGATGACACTTTGAACAAGCAAAACCTTCCGAGTTCATTAAGAACATGGATTCATGCGTCCTCTTAAAAGATAACAGACAACTTCATTTCTTCTTTCGAAGAACTTTGGGGGAAGTATTTTAAACATCTTTCCTCAACTATGGCCTTATTGAGTTTGTCTAAAGTAGGGTCTAAGTCTCAAATCTTGAGGGAGCCCCTTTATGAGAGAGGGTGAAAAAACTGCCTTGGGAACAGGTGGGAGAGCGCCACCTAGGAAGGGGTCAGGTTCTGGGTTCAGGAGCAACTAAGAAACTCCCTTCTATTGGCACCTTCTCAGGCTTTCCCAATCTGAGAAAAGTTTTTGAAGATGAGAATAAGGATGCCCCTCATTTTTCAAACTATGTGAATACCCCAGAAGACATCAGTGAAACCTCTCGTTATGTTTCACAGCCATGGGGAAAGCCCTCTCATTTAAAGATTTTGTAACTGTTTTCGTAACTTAACTTTATAGAAATCTGAATTGTCCTGAGCTGAATTAGATGATCCTGAATGAAAAACCCCCTTTTTTTCCTGTCAAATATTTAAGACTTTTTTTGACTCTCCCAAAGGTAAGATTCCACAAAGTCCAGACATGACATTCTCCCAAAAATTTGGCTGATGTTCCATGAACCTTGAAGCCTTCCCCACCCTGGCCCTCAGTTCAGCTTACCTGCCTGCCACTGAAATATTTAGGCCCACGGAAGGCACCTGGTGTAGGAAGAGCATTCCCCCGTGTGGCAAAATGAAACATGCTCACTGCAGCCTCTGCGCCCACAGCCATTCGCAAGCCACCACTGTGTCCCAAGAAACACCAGCTCTCTACACAGGGCAGCCCCTGATCTAATGTCACCAGGGGGCCACCCATGGGATGTAATCACAAGCCCGATCCCTGCTGGCAGACTTCAGTCCCCTGATGCCTCATCTTCCCTGCAGGGCTCCCCCAGCCAGCAAGTGTTCAAGCCGGACCCCAGAGGCAGTGACAGCAGGACTGGAGGCCCAGCCAAGGGCACAGCCGGGAGAAGAGCCACACAGCTAATTAGTCCAGGAACCACATGCCTATTGTTCTCCTGTATTCGCCAGCCGGAACCTGATCCGCCAAACCGCTAGCCCACCGGGCAGAGCAACACATTCCAGAAATCTGGGCTGCCTGCCAACGCCACCCCGCCTGAAAGCTTCTTCCCCCTGAAATCCAAACCTGGGGACCATTAGCCCAGGAGCCCTGCCTGATCATGCACTGCACTGCGGGGCATGGGGAGACACCCTCCCTCGGGACATGGACTGACCCACAGTGACAGAGGACAGCAAAGGCCACTGCATCCGGCATTGCACCCCAGTGGCCCCCAGGGGCGGGTCCCAGGGACCTGCCCAGGGGCCTATGCTGGGTGGCTCTGCCACCTTCGCCTTTTGACCTGCTTTGGTGGTGTCCCCAATCTTGAGGACTGACTGAAAAGAAACGAAAACACTGCTGGAACACTGTGATCATTTGCATTTGGGCTTGGTCGGTTTGAGGCTTTTTCTCTCCCATTGACAATTGTCTCGAGACCTGACCCCCAACTCTAGGTAATGCTGGCTGTTGGCAGGGAAGTAAGTTTCTGTTACTTTGAAATCTCCTCTAGTCTGGTATTGGTGTAATATATCATAAGAGAGACCCTCTTCACTCCTGGGGATACCTGGAGAGCCCATGAGCTTTACATCAAGAAAAAAAAAAGAAGGGGAAGATGTTAAGAAAACTATAAAATGAGAACAAGTAATTCTCATGGAAGGCTTCCAAAAGGTACCTTTTCCTATGGCTCACAACACTGATCTCCCCTCTCTATCACTTGGCTCTCCTTGAATTTCATTGAACCAGGTCTAAAAGGAAGAGACCCAGCTGGTACCCCCACCCCCCTTTAAAAGTAACTTTTCTGCAACTCCCCCAGACCACCAGGCTCCCCTCATCTTCAAGGTGAGGACACTGTCGAATACCCTCCTCCTCCTCCTGCCCTGACTTTTCCTCCTTCTCCCAACAGTCTTATCTCCCCAGATTCTTCCTGCTCCCATCCTAGGTTCTAGCATTTTCCTTTCTGCCTCATCCTTCTATGCCCTCACAGCACCACTATCCCCAAATTCACCTCCAGTTGCACATCCTCTCAAAGCACCTTGTTTCGACTTGTGGGACGTATCCACCTGGATTTGAAGACAATGCCTTAAACTCATCGTGTCTAAGACCAAGTTCATCCTCTCCACAAAACTAGCCCCTTCCTCTACTTTCCTTCTGTCTCTTAATGACATTAACACTGGTCCAGAAAACTGGGTTTGGAATCCAGTAATCTGCTCATCCTGATCTCTCTCAATTCCAACCTCCAGTAGTTTCCAAGGAATAGCCACTCTCCCTCTCATACTCTCCCCTTTCTTTCTCTCCACTCTGTGCCATCCCAACACACCCTATGTCACCTGCCTAGATGCTGGGCAAACACCTAACTGATGCCTGTCTTTATGAATCATCAAACTCTAGAGCAGAACTGGGCCTTAGAAAAGATTTTGTAAGCCCCCTTATGCTTCCAGATGAGGATAAGAACTGAAGCCTGGGAAGTGGGCTTGCCAAGGCTCCTCGGGTTTTGAAGGAGTGCTCTCCTCTGTCCCAGACATCACTGCTGATGATGTCACTCAAATATTGCAATCAAGACTCTCTCCACTTGATATCAGTCCAGTCACTGAACATAGTCATTTTTTCCTGTCTCCATACTTTGCTCATTTTGCCTCTTTTTCCTGGAATAATTCCTCCCCAACATCCCTCTCCCCTTTCTCAGCCACAGCTGAAACTCACCTCAGGTACCACTTCTCCATGTAGTCCACTTTGATCCCCCTCTACTCCTGGCTGTCTCTCCTTCTTCTGAGCTCCTCCAGCCCTTTTCTAGACTTCTCTTGAGACACAAGCATAACTCTCCCTTCGTTACAGTTATTTGTCCTACTTAATATTGCAGACTGCCCTACTTGTTATTTTTTACCCTTTATGGATTCCATCAGTATGTTCTGAACAAGAAATAGTTAAACTGAACTGCTTTCTATAGCCCTACTGTTTATTTAATAACCCAGAAGCTGATGATAAGGTCCCCAGTGTCATTTTGGCCCACATTCCACCCCTGGAATGATCCTGGGATCTGGAAGAAAGAAGCAGGTTAGGACAACTGTCAAATGAAAACAAGTAACTCTCTTGATGGCAGGAATGATGGACAAGCTAAGTACCCTAAGAGAGCTTAAACTGGGTAAACCTGGCCGGGAACGGTGGCTCACGGCTGTAATTTCAGCACTTTGGGAGGCCAAGGCAGGTGGATCACCTCACGTCAGGAATTCGAGACCAGCCTGGCCAACATGGTGAAACCCCGTCTCTACTAAAAATTCAAAAAAAAAAAATTAGCCAGGCGTTGTGGTGGGCGCCTGTAATCCCAGCTACTCAGGAGGCTGAGGCAGGAGAATCTCTTGAATCCAGGAGGCAGAGGTTGCAGTGAGCCGAGATAGCGCCATTGCACTCCAGCCTGGGCAACCAGAATGAAGCTCCATCTCAAAAAAAAGAAAAAAAAGGGTAAACCCCCGTAACCCCCTCTCCCGGAACACAGGCTGATGTGGACCCAGATCTGTAGTCCCATTGCTCATGCAAGAAGAACCAAATGGAAATCATCCTTTGGAGCGCATGTCATGAACACAATCAAAGCAGCTCCACGTCATGGAGGCTGTCATAGGCGCAATTTTAATATCCTACAAAATACAAGTTGGGAAATATCATAGACCCAAATAGTCACCAAAATTGAGATCATCCTGAAAAACAATCGGGCCTTTGCCCACTGAACAGTGGCATAATTGATACTTTCTATTCTAGGGACAAGGAGGTGTTGAGGAAATATGGGAAGAGCAGAAATCAGCCACTCCTTGGGAACAATCTCACAGTCAGAATTGTAGGAATTCTTTCAGGCTAATTGATAACAATCATCTAAGCCTGGTTCACATGGAAGTTAAACCCATAAATGGAATTAAAGGAAAAAACTTTTTTAAGGGAATTTTGATATTTATTTAAAAGGCTGAAAGTGATTTTTTGTTTTTTTGAGACAGGGTCTCACTCTGTTACCCAGGCTAGAGTGCAGTGGCATGATTACAGCTCACTGCAGCCTCAGCCTCCCAGGCTCAAACAATCCTCCTGCCTCAGCCTCCTGAGGAGCTGGGACTACAAGTGTGTGCCACCACACCTGGCTATTTTTTTCTATTTTTTGTAGAGATGAGATCTTGCTATGTTGCCCAGTCTGGCCTTGAACTCCTGGCCTCAAGCAATCCTCTCACCTTGGCCTCCCAAAGGGCTGGGATTACAGGCATGAGCCACCGCACCTGGCCTGATTATTCTTTAATATTTTCAAAATAATACTTTCAAATAGTCTGAGTGGAGAAAGAAGTTTAATGTGTAAAAATATCTTTTTTATTTTTAAATAACAGCTTTACTAAAATATAATTGGAAGTTTGATATACATATACATTGTGAAATGATTAATTACTATAGTCAAGCTAATTAAAATATCCATCACCTCACACAGGGACCTTTGTGTGTGTGTGTGTGTGTGTGTGTGTGTGTGTGTGGTGAGAACACAAGACCCACTCTCTTTACAAATTTCAAGAGTTCAGTAGTATTAACTATAGTCATCATGCTGTACATTAGGTCTCTAAAACATATTCATCCTATGAAACTGAAACCTGTATCCTTTGACCAGTATCTACCACAATTTCTCCCAACCCCAATTCCACCCCTGCCAATGGTAGCCACCATTCTATTTTCTGCTTCTATGAATTTTACTTTTTTAGATTCTACATATAACTGAGATCATGTAGTATTCTTTTTTCTGTGTCTGGCTTATTTCACTTGGCATGCTTTTCAAGTTCATCCATGTTGTTACGAATAGTAGGATTTCCTTCTTTTTTAAGGCTGAATAGTATTCCAATATGTGTGTGCGTGTATATATACCACATTTTCTTTATTCATTCATTTGTCAATAGATGCTTAGGTTGATTTCATATCTTGACTACTGTGAATACTGCTGGAATGACCATGGAAATGCATACATCTCTTTGAGATATTGATTTCAATTCCTTTGGGTATATATTCAAAAGTAGAATTATCAGATCATAAGGTAGTTCTGTTTTTGATTATTTAAGAAAACTCCATGCTGTTTACCATAATAGCTATACAAATTTACAATCCTACCAACAGTGTACAAGGGTTCCCTTTTCTCCACAGCCTTGCCAACACTTGTCAATTTTTATTTTTTGATAATGGCCACCCTAACAGGTGTGAAGTGATGTCTCGTGGTTTTCATTTGCATTTCCCTGATGATAGGTCAGCACCTTTTCATATACTTGTTGGCCTTCTTTGGAGAAATGTCTATTTAGGTCCTTTCTCCATTTTTTAATCAGATTATTTGGGTTTTTTTGGCATTGAGTTGTATGAATTCTTTCTATATTTTGGATATTAACCCTTATCAGAGATATGGTTGCAAATATTTCCTCTCAATCTGTAGGCTGCCTTTCCATTTTTTAAATTATTTTTCTTTGCTGTGCATAAGCTTTTTATTTCGAAGTTGTCTCACACATTTATTTTTGCTTTTTTTGCCTCCGCTTTCAATGTCATATCCAAAAAATCATTGCCAAGACCAATATCAAAGAGGTTTTTCCCTATGTTTTTTCCTAGTACTTTCACAGTTTCAGGTCTATGTCTTTCTTTTGAGTTGGTTTTTGTGTATAGTGTAAGATAAGGGTCCAATCTCATTTCTTTGCATGTAGATATTCAGTTTTCTCCACACTGTGAACTGGAGAGACTATCCTTTCCCTCTTGTATATTCTTGGCACCCTTGTTGAACATTAGTTGACTGAATACACATGAGTTTATTTCTGGGCTCTCTATTTCGTTCCATTGGTCTATATGTCTATTTTTATGCCAGTACCATACTATTTAAATTATTATAGCTTTGAAGTGTAATTTGAAGTCAGAAAGTGTGATACCTCCAACTTGTTCTTCTTTCTCGAGATTGCTTTGGCTATTTGGGGTCTTTCGTTGTTCCATATGAATTTTAGAATTGTTTTTTCTATTTCTGTGAAAAATGCCACTGGAATTTTCACAGGGATTGTGTTGAATCTATAGATTGCTTTGTGTTATATGTACATAATATTAATTCTTCCAACTTGTGATAGGAAATACTTTTCCATTTATTTGTGTCTTCTTCAATTTTTTCATTAATATTTTGTAGCTTTCAGGGTACAGATCTTTCACACCCATGTTTTTCTTTTTGATGCTATTGTGAGTTGGATTGTGTTTGATTTTCTTTTCAGATAGTTCATTGTAGGTATAAAGAACATAACTGATTTTTGTATGTTGATTTTGTGTCCTACAACTCTTCTGAATTCATTTATTAGTTTTAACATGTTTGTGGTGTTTTTAGAGTTGTATACATATAAGCTCATGTCATCTGCAAACAGAGGTAATTTTATTTCTTTCTTTCCAATTCAGATGCCTTTTATTTATCTTTTTGCCTAGTTGCTCAGCTAGGACTTCCAGTACCGTGTTGAATAGGAGTGGCAAGAATGGCAATCCTTATCTTGTTCCTGGTCTTAGAGGAAAAGCTTTCAGTTTTTCCCCATTGATTACGATGTTAATCATAAGTGGCCTTCATTATGTTGAAGTAAGTTCTTTCCACATCTATTTTGTTAAAAAAATTTTGTCATGGATAAATCCCTAGAAACATACAATCTGCCAAGACCTAATCAAGAAGAAACAAAGTTTGAACACACCAACAAATAAGGAGATTGAATTCGTAATCAAAACCCTCCCAACACGGAAATGTCCAGGACCAAATGGCTTAATGGATGAACTCTACCAAACATTCAAAGAATAATTAATACCAATCCTTCTTAAATGCTTCCAAAAAATAAAAGAGAAAACACTTCCAAACTCATTTTATGAGGCAACATCACCCCAATACCAAAGCCAGACAAAGACACCACAGAAAACTACAGACCAATACCTGTAATGAACATAGATGTGAAAATCCTCAATTAAATATCAGCAAACCAAATTCAACAGCACATCAGAAAGATTAAACACCCTGACCAGGTGGGATATATCCCTGGGATGCAAGGTTGGTTCAACATAACACAAATCAGTCAATGTGTTACACCACATTTAACAAAATGAAAGATAAAAACCACATGACTGGATGATTATCTCAATAGATGCACAAAAAGCACTTGACAACGAACTCTTGCAAATAAACTTGTAAAGTTCAATTACAGCTAAAAATACAAAATATTCTTTGTTCAAACGCTAGGCACACGTTTTCTTTGGTAAGATGCTAGAACAGAGAGCAATGAAGTGAGTTGAATGAAAAAAAGATAGCAAAAAGAGAGCATCATGCTGTAGTCTCTCTTTGAAAATGTTTTCCAGTAGAAAAATGCACATGTTTATTCCAAATCCATTTCAAGTACAAGCAGACATTTCAGTCTCTTGCCTGCCAACTCTCTGTCTTCTCTAACCCACTATGGAGAATACTTGACATCTGCGAGGAAGGAACAGCATGACTTGCATTTACTTCAAGGTTAAAGGTGAAATGTATTTGTCATTAAAGTCCTCAGCAAACACATAGAACGGGCCTTTTTTTAAAAAGGGACATCAAATATTTTGATGTGGTTAGAGGCACAAACAAGACAACAGATGTTAACGTCTGGTGATGATGTCAGGACCACAATGATTTTTTTTCCTAAACTTTGTTCTTTTTTTATGTAATCGGTTTCAAAACATATTCAAATGATATTTAGGACGACCTAGAAACTAATAATTCATCTTGAACCTATGTCAAAAAGCAGATCCAAAGGAAGCACAAAATAAATTTTGTGTGGTTTTTCACTCCCTTTCTCTCTCTTTGGTCCCAAATATTACCCTTACTTCTTTTTAGAAAGTAGTACTGTTAAAAAAAATAAAAATGAAAACCTTCTAGTATCACACAACTGAAGTTCTAAGTGCTTCCTTTGTCCATAGAATGAACCACTGTGACTTATGTAAGCTTCCTCCTTCCCCCTGACCAAAGGAGATCAACTGCCTGGTCTAGATCATCCTTCGGCTTTCATGGGCTTTATGAAAATGCTTTAGTCTACCAGGAAGTCTACAAATGTACTCTACAAGTCTGAGTTGTTGCATTATGGTGAGTGCTTTGGGGAATCAAAGCATCCTTTGCTCTGATGGACCAACAAGGATACAGCCATTTTAAAAATAGGTCAAATAAACTCACCAAAACTCTGCTTTTATTAAAAAAAAAAAAAACTAAATGCCAGTGGGACTATTTTTAACATAATTCCCTATTATCAGTTTGGGTCACAAGTCTTCATATAAAAATGAAAGCACAAACCAGACAATGAGGAACACAAACTGACACTTACTGTGTTTACAAGCTGCTGATCCATCCCTGGAGTCACTCCGGGATGCATTTAGTTACCTTTTTTTATACAAAGGTAACAAAAGTAATTTGAAAAACTGGAATATTTATTAGAACTCTTTTGCTTTTAAAGAAGACACAGTTTTGTTGAGATATAATTTACACACCATGAAACTCACCATCTTAAAGAGTATAATTTAGGGGTTTTTAACATATTCTTGAGATTGTATTAATTCAACCAACATCACTATTTTATTTCAAACCACTTTCTTCAGCCCAAAAAGAAATGCTATACTTCCTAGTAGTCATTCCCCCTTTCTTCCTCTCTGCAGCCTCTGGCAACCACTGCTCTACTTTCTGTGTCTATGGATTTGTTTATTGTGGACATCTCATGTAAATGGAATCACACAATATACAAGTTGAGCATCCCTAATCTGAAATCCAAAATACTCCAAAATCCAAAACTTATAAATGTCAACATGATGCCACAAGGGAAAATTTCACACTTGACCTCATGTACACAAACATTGTTTCATGCACAGAATTATTAAGAATATGACTAAGACCCCAAAAGCAAATGCAACAAGAACAAAAATAAATAAATGGAACTTAATTAAACTGAGAAGCTTCTGCATAGCAAAAGAAATAACAGAGTAAATAGACAATTTATAGATGAGAGAAAATATTCACAAACTATACACCCAATAAAAACCTAACATCAAGAATCTACAAGGGACTCAAACAAATCATCAAGAAAAAACAAATAAACCCATTAAAAAGTGGGCAAATTACATGAAAAGATATTTTCCAAAAGAAGACACACACACAGAAATGGCCAACAAACATATGAAAAAAATGCTCAACATCACTAATCATCAGGGAAATACAAATTAAAACCACAATGAGATACAAAATTACCCCCGTCAGAATGGCCATTATTAAAAAGTCAAAAATAATAGATATTGGCATGGATGTGGTGAAAAGGAAATGCTTGTACACTGCTGGTGGAAATGTAAATTACTACAACCCCTATGGAAAATAGTATGGAGATTTATCAAAGAACTAAAAATAGAACTACTCTTCAATCTGGCAATTCCACCATTGGGTAGATACCCAAAGAAAAAGGAGTCATTATATCAAAAAGACACCTGCACTTGTATGTTTATTGCAGCACAGTTCACAATTGCAAAGATAAGGAATCAACCTAAGTATCCATCAACTGATGAATGAAGAAAATGTAGTATATACATATATAGATATAGATAGATAGATAGATATTGTGAAATATTACTCAGCCATAAAAAAGACTGAAGTAATGTCTTTTGCAGCAACTTAGATGGAACTGGAGACCATTATCCTAAGTGAAGTAACTCAGGAATGGAAAATCAAATACTGCACATTCTTATAAGTAAGAGCTAAGCTATGGGTACGCAGAGGCATACAGAGTGATATAATGGACACTGGAGACTCAGAAGTGGGGAGGGTGGAAGGGAAGTGAAGGATGAAAAATTACCAGTTGGGTGCATTGTACACTATTCAGGTGACAAGTACACTAAAAGCCCAGGCTTCACCACTATACAATTCATCCATGTAACCAGAAACCACTTGTACCCACTAAAGCTATTGAAATAAAAATAATAAAATCAGAACTATGAAATCAAATCAAATCAAAGGAAACAAATGAACATATGTATCCAGTTGGTGGCATAACTACCAAAAAGGAACCATTCCAAGTGACTTAAAAACACAGGAATTTGTCAGGCATTCCCAATGGGATATACCCTAACTATAAAAAGAACTGCAAAACAATTAGTAAAGAATTATTTAAGTTTAAAAATATATATATTGTTTAAAATTACCTTCGGGCTCTCTGTATAAAGTGCATATGAAACTTGAATGAATTTCATGTTTAGACTTGGGTCCCATCTCCAATATATCTCATTATATATTTGTAAATGTACCAAAATCCAAAAGATTTGAAATCCGAAATATTTCTTATCCCAAGAATTTCAGATAAGGGACACTAAACCTGTATAAACCTTGTGTCTGGCTTCTTTCACTCAGTATAATGTTTCAAAAGTTCATCTATGTTGTAGCATGTGTCAGAATTTCATTCTTTTTTATGGATAAGTGATATTCCATTGTATGAATATACCATATTTTGTGTATTCATGCCTCAGCTGACAGACATTTGGGTTTTTTTCACATTGGGAATATTATGAATAATCATACTGCTGTGAACATTCATAGCAAGTTTTGGTATAAATAAATATTTTCAAATCTCTTGAGAGTGGGTACTTTTTTAACCAATTAATTGTCCTGGGTTGCTCAATTTGCAATTACAAGCAGGTATTAGAGGGGTCCTCTCCACGGCCTACAAGTCCTCTCATGAACTATTGGATCTGCCTATATCTCTGACCACAACTCTCACTATCATTCTCTTTCTCACTACATTCCAGCAGCTCCTAAATCTCTTCTAAATCTTCCCTTCCTCTATATCTAACCACTAACCACCACGGTGTCCCCCACCCCAAAAATTTTTTAAATGAAGAATTAAAGAGGTTCTGTCTCAGTGCAACAACCTGGTCTTATTCATTCTTCCCCAAGTTATCCACCACCTTAACTGCAGGTGTTAATACAATCTCATAGCTCTAAACATCTGCACTTAATGCCAAGTCTTCACTCAAATCAAGTTCCAACTCTGGGTGCTGGACCTCTCATCTCCCATGGGGAAAACGTTTTCACTGAGTTTATCTCTCACTCTCTCTTTACCCACAAGGCCTAGTCTCACCTGCAAAATAACCTACTGCCATCCATCTGCACTCCACTCATTCGCTTGGAAATCCTGCAGGTTCTATCACCAGCTATAGACCAAGTTTCCTGGCCCTGTTGTGGCTCAAATACGAGAAGAGTGAGTTAATATGCAAGAGAACCATGGATGGTCTCACACTGAAGATGTAACAGCAGCTGCGCACACATTCTCAATGACCTAGGTTGGATCCATTGGAGGGTAAGGGAGGTCTTGTACATCTTAGTCACCGCTGCATGTCCAGGACCTAGAATGGTGCCTGCAGCTAGAAACCTTTCAATAACATTTGTTGAATAACTTAATGAATATAGGAGGGACTTCTCTCCTCTTCCCTTAGGCGTTGATTTATTTTATTTCTACTCCTTTCTGTGCAATGTGTGAACCTTCATGCTAATGTCACTATTAATTTTGTTCCCATAAACCCTTCAACTAAAGTAGTGCAGCTCCTTTCTCTTTCCTTTTTGGAATGTCATGTGTTTTATGGCACTGGCAAATAGCTGAGATGCTAAAACCAAGTCTTAGTTGAAGCTGCATACATAATTATAAGCCTACTGTTTGTATTCTACTGAAAACAGCAACTCCATGCTTAAAACACCTTTATTCTGTTTTTGATTCCTTCTAGACTCTCTGATACCAAGTAGCATGTGTTTTGCTCTTCATAAGTGCTCTCAGCCCCACGAGTTAGACAAGTCTCCCATTACGTGGTGCAATTGCAGCCTTTGGCAGTACCATCAGTCAGACTTGAAATATTCACCCACTGTCTCTTACCTCAAGCATGAGCCCTCACAGCCACACTTCATCTTACATTATCTCCTGCTCCAGGGAGACTCAGTTTTACCTCTTTCAAATATAAACTCTCTGACTCTAAATGATTCATTTCCCATCTCTGGACCTTGGTTTCTATTGTGTAAGAACAGGCCTTTAGTCTAGATCAGGAGTCTGGAAACTGACTCATGGGTCAATTTCAGTCCATTACCTGTTTTTGCAAATAAGGCATTAAAAGAAAAACTTTAGTCACATTGAATTTAACGAGTTTATTTGAGCAAAGAATGCTTTATGAATCAGGAAGCATCCTAAACCAGTGGGGGTCCTGAGATCTGCGGCCATCCATATGAGCCGGGGGCTTTTGTAGGCTGGACACAGAGGCAAAGTAGAGAAATCACCTGATTGGCTACAGTCAGGCATCTGCCTTATATGGGCATGGTGTGATAAGGTGGCTGTTTGTGATTGGCTGAAACTCAGCTGTTTGTTATGCTCCTAAATTAGGCTTGTTTATACGCTAAGGTCAAAGTTCACTACCTAAGGACTCAAGGTGCCCGGGGAGCCTCAGGCCACATTTAAGTTAATTTAACAAAAGTTTTATTGGAACAGAGCCATGCCCACTTTTCTAGATAATGTATATGGCTGCTTTCATGCAACAGTAACAGAGTTTTGCAGTTGCAGAATAGTCACTCTCTGGCCTTTCACAGGAGAAGTTTACTGACACTAGTTCATCTCTCTTGGCACTCTTCCAGCCCGACGTTCCAAAAGCCAGGCCCTCTGACAGGTTATTTTCTACTTCCCAGTCCATGGCAGAAGTTACCCCATGGGCTCACAGCAAAGTGACTGGTAAACCTCCCAGTCTCCAAACCGCTGTAATATTTTTGATATTCAGTCCTTGTCAATCTTTCTACCAGAGGGTAAATTTTAGTAATTCTTAAAAGAATAAGCAATATTCGCAAGTGTTGTTGTGAAAATCCAGGCGTCATAAGGCAGTGATAAAGTTAAATGGGGACGCCCTTGTGCACATAGATGCAAAGCAGGGAGAAAATGCAGAATCCACAAAAAGAAAGAAAACTGAGGCTGGAAGAGAATGAGCTCCTTCCTGGGCAGGTTGGAAACTGTGTGAGTACTGCAAGCATCAAAAGGGGAAACTAAGAAAAATAAATGGATTTTTTAAATAGAAAATAAGACAATGAGAGACAAGAGTGTGGTGGTATGAGAGGGAACTTAACATGCTAGGATTCGAGGGGCAGAGAAAGGGAGCCTTTGCCACTGGCCAGAGAGAAGCCAGGGTTGGGGGAACAGCATTTGCACCCTGGGCAGGCCAATGCCCCTTGCTGGACTCAGCCAGAGCCGTCTGCTGCTGTGATGGGGAAAATGGCCCTGCATACTTTCATTAAACCAGGTATTGAAAGGAGCCTGGTTACTCACAAAATCTGAAACTGAGATACTGGGTTGGACCATTTCTAGCCAGTAAGTGGCCTCTTACTAGGACCCCAGTAGGAGGGGGTATCTGTTCATTCGTCAAAGCCGCATCAACAAAGACAGGTGCATCTCTGCCTGCTGGCTTGCTGGCAAAGATGAAGTAGAGGTGCATGTGAGCTCTGGCAAGCCTCTGCTGGCCTTCAGGCACCTTTTAGGGAAATGAGAGGATGCTTGCTCTCACTGGGGCAGCCTGAACCCCCAACCCCCTCCCCAGAGGTCCTGGGCTCAGATATTTGCACACATCTGCGTGGGAGCTCCTTGCAGTGGATAGTGGAAGGATGGGACAAAAGAGAAACAGAAAAATGAAGAGGGCAGGCAGGAGCATGTGAGCTCAGGAGGCAGCCTCTGATGGAGGCCACAACCCCCTTTTAGGTTGGACAATAAGGGCGGGATTCCGCAAGCAAGAGGTGCTGCAGAGATAGGTAAGGTCTATCTCCTTGCTCTCCCCTCCCTTGCCACGGCCATCCCATTATGTCACAGACACGGGAGCAAGGCAGTGAAACAGACGCTGTGGGAGTTCAACACAGGGAGATAGCTACCTACCGAGTTTGTCTTAACAATGATTGAACCAATTGTCATTCAGCAAAAAAAAGGAAATGTTGAATGTTGTTCATTACATTCAAGTTTCTTTTTTGTTTCTTTTTTCTTTTCTTTTTTTTTGAGACAAGGTCTTGCTCTGTTGCCCAGGCTGGAGTGCAGTGGTGCGATCTTGGCTCGCTGCAACCTCCACCTCCTGGGTTCAAGCGATTCTCCCAAGTAGCTGGGATTACAGGCACATGCCACCACGCCCAGCTAATTTTTGTATTTTTAGTAGAGAAGGGGTTTCACCATGTTGGCCAGGATGGTCTCCATCTCCTGACCTCATGATCCGCCTGCCTCAGCCTCCCAAAGTGCTGGGATCACAGGCGTGAGCCACCGCGCCTGGCCTTTTCAGAATTTTTTTTTCTGAGTATTTTTAATCAATAAAAAAGTATAATCTAAAATATAAGCTGGGCACGGTGGCTGTAATCCCAGCACTTTGTGGGGCTGAGGTGGGCAGATCACGAGGTCAGGAGATCGAGACCTTCCTGGCCAACATGGTGAAGCCCTGTCTCTACCAAAAATACAAAAATTAGCTGAGTGTGGTGGCACATACCTGTAGTCGCAGCTACTCGGGAGGCTGACGCAGGGAGAATCACTTGAACCTGGGAGGCGGAGGTTGCAGTGAGCCGAGATCGCGCCACTGCACTCCATCCTGGTGACATAGTGAGACATCATCTCAAAAAAAAAAAAAAAGTATAATCTAAATTATAAACACTTTGGATACGAATTGCAAAATCTTTGATATGTCATCTCCTTTAAGCATGTTGTTTCTTTGCTTAATTGAGACAATCATTTCAGCAAATGACAGTATACACTGAAAATACAGAATAATTGTAAAATTATGAAGATAAAGCAATCAACTGGCATAAAATTGGTAATAAAAGAATAAGTGAGGTAAACAAAGGTATAGAAAAACTTCTAAAACTTACATTCTTTTTTTTTTTTTTTGAGACAAGGTCTTGCTCTGTTGCCCAGGCTGGAGTGCAGTAGAACGATCACAGCTCACTGCACTCTTGACTCCCCTGGGCTCAGCCTTGTGAGCATCTGAGAACACAGATGTGCACAACTTCGCCCAGCTAATTATTTTTAAACTTTTTTTTTTTCAGAGATGAGATCTCCCTTTGTTCCCCAAGCTGGTCTCAAACTCCTGGGCTCAAGTAACCCTCTGGCCTCAGCCTTGTGAGCATCTGAGAACACAGACGTGCACAACTTCACCCAGCTAATTATTTTTAAACTTTTTTTTTGTAGAGATGAGATCTCCCTTTGTTCCCCAAGCTGGTCTCAAACTCCTGGCCTCAAGTGATCCTCCCCCCTCAGCCTCCCAAAGCACTCAGATTATAGGCATGAGCCACCATGGCCTGGCCTAATGCTTACCTTCTTATATGGAACTGTGAGTCATGCTGAACACTTGCAGAATCTCTCTGCACTCCAGGAGAAAACAATGACATGATCACTGGTGTCAGAGATGAACGGCCACAGGAGCAGTGGGAGGATCATGGACCTTGGGGTCCCTCGAGTACGGGTTGAAATTCCAGTTTTCTAATTTACTACCTATGGGACTTTGGTCAAGTTGCTTAATCTTGCTGAGCCTCTGTGTCCTCCACTATAAGACACTATGGGAATGACAGTTTTACCTCTTGTGGTTATTTCAAACATCAAGCAAGATCTTCCAAAGCACTCACTACACCTACTCCATGTTGGCTTTCACGCCTATCTCTTAGGACTGGGATGGGAAGTAAGTGAGAAATGCCACGTCCATGGCACATGGTAGGCATTGAATAGCCATGGGAGGCAGCTCTCATATGGAATATGTGGTTGTAAATATAAAGGCGTGAATGAATGAGAAGGAACTTAAGATGCCCCAGCCCCTTGTAGGATACCATCTCTACAAAAGGAGGTGTTGGGAGGGAAAGTCCCAAGATGGTAGCTCTACCAACCAAAGAACTACAACCACGAGCAAGAGACTGCACCTGACTGTCTTCGTCTCTCCTGCTCTGATGTATAACAGAGAAAAGACCCTGTAATTCAACCACCCTGTGTTCTCCACTGTGCCCTAAAGAGGACAGAGATCCATGGAAACTAACATGGACACAAAACACTAATTGTCATGGAAGGAGTGGCCAAGTGGAGTTTCTGTCTGCACAGCTTGCCTTTTATGACTCCCTCAAAGTGAGGTCCAAACAATAACAGATGGGTCTCGTATCCTTGATCCCCTCCTCCAGCCAGCATAGCCTCTCTCCACCATTTTAATTAGAAATGTGTTTATTCAATAGGGTGACTTGATATTTTATATTTTGCTGTCTCAAATTATGATCATTGAATAAGCAGTAAAAAAAAAAAACAAAAACTCTTTTTCATGAGAAAGCAGAGCGATGATCCTTTAAACCCCTGTCAAGCGCACACAGCGAATGGTAGGCGGTGCTGTTAGGAGGGGAGGGCGCCACCTTTGTCGTGCAGACTTGGGGTTACAGGGGAATGTCATTTATCAAAGCTGCATCAACAGAGATGTGTGCGTCTTTGCCTGCTGACTTGCTGGGCTTCCCAGGCAAATCATCTGTCAGAGGCCTAAGCCCTCTCATTTTTCTGAGAAAACTACCAGGGAGAGGAGAAGAAGGCAGGATGGCAGGGCCAGGTCTGGGATTTGATGCAGGGGCCGAGCACCTGCTTCCAGAGGAGGCCCCGTGAGGGTGCAGGTCCTTCTTACATGCTCAGCGAACTGATGTTGGAATGTACAGAAAGACAGCAATAACCACAAAAAAAGAGTTGGATTTCCACACAAAAAAGGGCTCTTTCAGCTTCCCAAGCTATTTCTTTAGAAACATAATGCACTGTTGAGCATAAATAGCATTAATGGCTGCGAGGAATTTACTTTTATTTGTCCTTCTATAGAAGCTAAAGATACTCCCAACATAAGAAGAAAAAATGAGTGAAGCACAATTTAAGATGGCTTTGAAATGTCTGCTTGAGCTATTTTTACTTTTTCTCATTCCATTGAAACAAAAGTTTCTAAAAATGGACTTGGAAAAGCCAAGTTTTGATGTGACTATTTGGTAAGTTCCTTGAGAGCAGGAGTTATATATTATATTTCCTTATGTCCACCCCTGGGCAATGTGAGCAGAAAAAGGTATTAGGAAACTGTCGAATGGAGGAAGGAGCCAGCAGGCAATAGCCGGCTGGCTGAGAAGCAAAAACCGACCCGGGCAGGAGGGAATGAATTGCTCACAAGAGGGATGTTGCTATGCAATTTCTGTCTGCGCAACTTGCATTCATTATTGGGGATGAGATTGATAGGGCTGAACTGTAAAGCTAGCAAATGGAAGAGAAGATGGAGGTTTACCTTATAATACAGATTTTATGCAGATGCTGGGAAATATCCTTTAGGTCAAGGTCTCCCTTCTATCTTGAATAAAGCTCAAACTCTCCTGCACTTTGCAGTTTTCACACTTGCCCCGCCTAACTCACCCTTTCCAGAATGACAAGACTCACATTTGCTGAGAGTTTTGTACTTCGTCAGGCACCGTTCTAATGCTTGGAATGTATTATGTTATTTAGGCCTCCGAACAAGCCTTGGGATGAGTGCAATGCTTACCACCCATTTTACAAAGAAGTGGACTGAGGCCCAAAGGGGTGAATCGATTTAAGCAGTGTCCCAGAGCAGCAAGTGGGAAAACCAGAGTGAGAATTCAAACCCATGCATCCTAACTCCAATGCCTTTCCTCCCAAGACCGCAGCTTCTCTAGAAAATCTGACCTCTCTTTCTGTCCCCCACCTCTTCCTCCGTCTCTCCCCCTGCCTCTCCACTGGCCCCTGCTCCTCAGTGAGGACCCCCATCCTCCCTTCCACATTTGCTCAGGCTATTCTTCTGCCTGGACCGCCCATCTCTCCTCCTGACTCTTCTCCCAAAACATTGTCTGAAAAGTAAAATTAGGAAAGTTGTCACAGGAGGCCTTTCATTGCTCTTAAATTATTTCAAGTCTCTTGCTTTTGCAGAAAGCTCTCAACACTTAGAGGATGAGGACTCTATTTTATGTATCATCCCCTCTCCACCCTCATCAACTGCCTAGGCTAAGAAAAGTGCTAAACATAAAGTATTGGCTCAGTGAGTACTCATTTAACTGAAAGATGTAAGTGACTCCTTGTGCCTGTCTCTCACGAGTGGTGGAAGTCATCAGTACTCACCAACATTCCCTTGTCCTCTTCTTCTTGGCTCCTACACACTCCATGGCCAGCCCTGTGGCGTTGGTGGGGCACTGGTGGGGCCTCAGGCCTTCTCTCTGCTGGTATGGGGACAGTAGAGGCTGCTGTTGAAGGTCGAGATGATGGAGCCACAGGATCAGGCCAGGCTGTGCCACTGTCCCCTTCAAGGGCAGCTGTTCTGGAGAGCAGCCTTGACCTCCACAGACACTGGGGAAGTGAGGAATAAACTTTGCTGTGGCTTGTTTATGCCTGCAGCGTAACCTGGCCTCTGCCCACACGCGTGTGTTCATTCCTCAAAGAGTTCCCTGAAACACAAATGCAGGAATCCTGTTTCTGTTGGCCTTTTCGTTTCAGGATCATCCTTGCTGGTAAGTAGTAAGTAGAGAATCAAACCCACCAGATCCTAACTTGTGAGGCCAGAGGCACCCCCCCCCCGACACTGAGCATCTCTTCCAACGGTGCTGCTGTCCCATTTCCCCCTCGGGTTCGCTTTCGCGACCTGCAGCACAGAATTCTACAGCCTCAATAGAAGCAAATCTTATTTGAGAAACATCCAAAAGTCATTTAAGGCCGGGCGCGGTGGCTCACGCCTGTAATCCCAACACTTTGGGAGGCCGAGGTAGGCAGATCACTTGAGCTCAGGAGTTGGAAACCAGCCTGGGTAACACAGGGAGACCCAGTCTCTACCAAAAATCCAAAAATTAGCCAGGCATGGTGGTGTGCATCTGTGGTCCCAGCTACTCGGGAGGCTGAGGCAGGAGGATCACTTGAGCCTGGGAGGCTGAGGCTACAGTGAGCCGAGATCATACCACTGCACTCCAGCCTGAGTGACAGAATAAGACCCCATCTCAAAATAAATAAATAAATAAAAGGCATTCCGATGCAATTCTCAGTGACAAGATGTGTAATCAAGATAAGGGACTCCTTTTTTATTATAAAATGGAATTGAGTTAAAAAGTAATTAAACTTTCTTGTATGGTTCATAACGTCGCTGTGATGGTTAATACTGAGCACCATCTTGATTGGATTGAAGGATTCAAAGTATTGATCCTGGGTGTGTTTGTGAGGGTGTTGCCAAAAGAGATTAACATTTGAGTCAGTGGGCTGGGGAAGGCAGACCCACCCTTAACCCGGTGGGCACCATCTAATCAGCTGCCAGCGAATATAAAGCAGGCAGAAAAAGATGAAAAGGTGAGACTGGCGTAGCCTCCCAGCCTACATCTTTCTCTGTGCTGGACGCTTCCTGCCCTCGAACGTCACACTCCAAGTTCTTCAGTTTTGGGACTCGGACTGGCTCTCCTTGCTCCTCAGCTTGCAGACGGCCTATTGTGGGACCTTGTGATCATGTGAGTTAATACTTAATAAGCTCCCCTTTATATATATATACATATATATATACACACATATATAATATATATATTATATATGTAAATATATATTAAATATGTTTTTATAAATATATTTATTATAAATATATAATGCACATATTGTATATTTATAATATAAATATAACATATATTACAAATATACATATCTATGTATCCTATTCTGTCCCTCTAGAGAACCCTGACTAATACAGTAGCTCTGGAGGCATTTATAAGAAGGTTTTGGAAAATAGCAGCCTTATGATCCAATATGCCCAGTGTTTCCTAGGTGTAGCTAGTATTAAGTGCAAAAAATTATTTTCTGTTTTTTTCTTTATCAGTGAAACTGTTTAAATGTCTGAACATAAACATTAACTAGTACTGATATAATTATTGTATTTAAATATGTCTATGTTCTAATGTTTAGAAAAATTACTCTTTAAGGGGGACATTCATTCATTCATTCACTCAGGCCTTCAATCCCTTAAAAGCATGCTTGATGGCCCAGTGCAGTAGAAACGACATTGAGAAAATAATGGTGCGTAACCTCAGGAAATTATAATCTCGTGGTAAATAAGGCATAATCCCACATAAATATAATCCTACACCGGTGTAATAAAGTTTGTAAGAAGATACAAAGTTTTGTAGAAATCAGGAGGTGTGGAGTCATTTTCAGAGTTTCAGGGGGGTGAATGCAGCTTCTGTGAATTGCTCCTTTATCTAAGCCCTAGAAGATGGGATTGCAACAGATGAACCGGGTCAAGGAGAAAGGGCTGTTCAGCAGGGACCGCACGATGTTCAGGTGCCTGGGACAGTACAGTTGGCTGGAGTCTGGGGCTGGAAAGATAATTTGGGCCAAGTCATGAAGTCTATGAGTAGGTCTCATAGGGAGAGGTGGCTTCACTCAGTGGGCAACCAAGAGAAGCCAATGAAGATTTTTGACCAGAGGACTCTCATGATCAAAGCCAAGCTCAGGGTGACGAGGCAGGGAGTTGTGTGCAGGAAAAAGAGAAGGGCAAGGCCAGAAGACAGACAGATGAGTAAAGAAAACATTGCTGTGAGCCAGAGGAGTATTGCTAAAGGAGCTGAGAGAGGTGTGGAGAGAGACGGAGGGAAGGAGGAGCTGGGTGTCAACATCAGTGAAGCCGCTACAGCACCAATGAAGGCAGCATCAACGAATCAGCTTCCAGGATTTAGCAACTGAGCAACAGGGAGAGGCACAGCAGAGGAAGGAGACGGACGAACCTGGAGTCACAAGTGACAGATGGTGTCATGAGAAGGAGCTGACTCAGCGCGGAGATTGTGAATTCTGCTATTGATGCTGTGTCGAGTTGAATGAAGGAGCTGCCGCAGGCTGCACAGCATGGAATGGAGTGAAGACAAAACAGAGGTGGATGGGGCCGGGCGCGGTGGCTCACGCCTGTAATCCCAGCACTTTGGGAGGCCGAGGCGGGCAGATCACGAGGTCAGAAGATCGAGACCATCCTGGCTAACACGGTGAAACCCTGTCTCTACTAAAAATACAAAAATTAGCTGGGCATGGCGGCCGGCGCCTGTAGTCCCAGCTACTCGGGAGGCTGAGGCAGGAGAATGGAGTGAACCCGGGAGGCGGAGCTTGCAGTGAGTCAAGATTGCCGCCACTGCAGTCCAGCCTGGGCGACAGAGCGACACTCTGTCTCAAAAAAAAAAAAAAAAAAAAAAAAAAAAAAAAAAAAGATAGAGGTGGTTGAGGAGCCCGGGGCACTTGGAGAGTTCTCGCGTGGACGTGAAGTCACGGGATCTCAGACAGGGCCAAGGTAGGGAGGGAAATGGAATCCATGGAAAGGTTGTGAGTCACCGTTCATGCAGCCCTCACCCTCTGCCCAGCCTTGGATGGGACCAACTCGGCCGGAACCGTTGTCTTTTATTGTCACAGTCCCCTAGCTTGTCATGGCTCTGGACACGTGGACAGCTTTGTGTAAGGACACTTGCAAGTGTGTCATTCTAGTCCTTGCTCCTCTCTCTAGCAGAAGCAGCTAGCTAGCTACCTACAGTTCATAGAAAACAGAGCTGTTTATTCCTCCAAGTTCCCTGATTTCAACCAGTGTATTATATTACTAGCACAAATATAAAACAGGAGAAAAGTTATGAAAATCCTCCAGGCCAGTGATCTGCATAGAACCTCATGGTCATTGTCCCCATTCAGTTTACCTTTTTATAAATCTTAGAAATGGCCCTTTCAGGGTAAAGCTCTAGGGATTTCTAACCAATATCAAAGATTACCTTAGCAATTATATGTTTATAGGAGAATATTTTCTATACAGATGGCTTTCTGAAATATACTTAAAATTATAAGAAAGTGGCCGTGCTAGAACACGACTTCTTTTTTTTTTCTTTCTTTCTTTCTTTTTTTTTTTTTTTTTTTTTTTTTGAGATGGAGTCTCACTCTGTCGCCCAGGCTGGAGTGCAGTGGCGCGATCTTGGCTCACTGCAAGCTCCGCCTCCCAGGTTCATGCCATTCTCCTGCCTCAGCCTCCCGAGTAGCCGGGACTACAGGCGCCCGCCACCACGCCCGGATAATTTTTTGTATTTTTAGTAGAGACGGGGTTTCACCATGTTAGCCAGTATGGTCTTGATCTCCTGACCTCATGATCCACCCGCCTCGACCTCCCAGAGTGCTGGGATTACAGGCGTGAGCCACCGCGCCCGGCCAAATACGACTTCTTAAGTGCACTTATACCCAAAGCCACATGTTTTCTTTTCCTATCTATAAACTGATAAATCTACTGGCCTCCCTTTCATGACTGGATGTCCAAAGATGGGGCATGGAAAGGAAAAGAAAGAAACAGATTTGTATGTAGAAGAATTGGCCATTGCTAAGAAATCCTGAGTCAGAACTCCCTAAAGAACCAAAGAGGTAGGAAAGTCCTCTGTGAGCCACATCAGGTACAGTCAGAGACTCAGATGGTCTTTCCCTCCAGCCCTACCCCATCCTGGCCTAAGAGACCAAATGGAGGACTTCCTCTACCACCCCCCTTTGGTCTTTTATTTATTTTTTATGATAGAGACAGAGTCTTCCTATTTTGCCCAGGCTGGAGGAGGGCAGTGGCTATACACAGATCCCTCTACTGATCTGCTGACCAGTGTGGGAGTTCTGACCTGTTCCCTTCCTGACCTGGGCTGGCTCACCCCTCCTTAGGCAATCTAGTGGTCTCCTGATTCCAGAAGGTCACTATCTTGATGTGGAACTTATCACAGACACCCCATCCATTGGCATAGCACCCTACAGCCCAGAACCACTGAGCCCAAGAAATCCTCCTGCCTCAGCCCCCTGAGTAGCTGGGACTAGAGGCACACACCACCACACCTGGATAATTTTTTATTTTTATTGTTTGTACAGACAGGATCTCATTGTGTTACCTAGGCTTGTCATGAACTCCTGGGCTCAAGCAATCCTCCTGCCTCAGCCTCCCAAAGCGTTGGGATTACAGACATGAGCCACCCTGCCCAGCCTGATTCTGTTTCTTGTTATAAAGATTGACCTCAGAATAAAATCTCCATCTCTGTCTTCTAAGTGAGTGTCTTGATTCATATCCCAATCGCCCCTTCAGTTTGTTAGTGTCTCTTGGCATTCTTAACCAGGACTTGACCCTGACTCCAATTAACCCAGTAATGGCAGTTCCAGCTCCTAATGCCAGCAGCATATCTCCTTGACACTACTGGAACAGTCTTCTCTCATGAAAAAAAAGCACAGTGGAAAAAGAATCTAGAAGTAGTTGGGGGAAAGTATCTCTCCCTCCCCTCTGGGGAAACATGAGTTCTCCCACACAGCAGCGGAGAAGTCCATCTAGTGAGTAATGAGCGCCACCCTGTAAGGGGAATTGCGGGAGGCACCTGGGAGGGAAACTGCTCTGCATCCCAGGCAGGACTTCTCATGGACAAGGCAGATCTAAGCAAGATGGGCAAAACACAGCCATGTGAACAGCAGGTCACTTAGCAACAAGATGGGAAGCTCTCTGTCAGTCACTTGACTCAAATATTTCGTAAAGAAACAATAGAACTTATTAGCAGTGGGACTGATATGGTTTGGCTTTGTCCCCACCCAAATCTCAACTTGAATTGTATCTTGCAGAATTCCCACGTGTTTTGGGAGGCACCTGGGGGGAGGTAATCGAATCATAAGGGCCGGTCTTTCCCCTGCTATTCCAGTGATAGTGAATGAGTCTCACAAGATCTGATAGGTTTACCAGGGGTTTCTGCTTTTGCTTCTTCCTCACTTATGTCTTGCAGCTGCCATTAAGAAGTGCTTTTCACCCCACGCCATGATTCTCAGGCCTCCCCAGCCATGTGGAACTGTAAGTCCAATTAAATATCTTTTTCTTGGCCGGGCTTGGTAGCTCACACCTGTAATCCCAGCACTTTGGGAGGCCAAGGCGGGTGGATCACGAGGTCAGGAGATCGAGACCATCCTGGCTAACACGGTGAAACCCCGTCTCTACTAAAAAATAGAAAAAAATTTGCCGGGCATGGTGGTGGGTGCCTGTATTCCCAGCTACTCAGGAGGCTGAGGCAGGAGAATGGCGTGAACCCGGGAGGCGGAGCTTGCAGTGAGCAGAGATGCGCCACTGCACTCCAGCCTGGGCCACAGAGCGAGCCTCCGTCTCAAAAAAAAAAAAAAAATCTCTTTTTCTTCCGGGTCTCGGGTATGTCTTTATCAGCAGTGTGAAAATAGACTAATATAGGGACCCACCAAGGGAAGATTCTAGGTTCTACTACAGAGAAATGGAAAGTAGAACACCGTTTAACCAATCCTAGTCTTAGGGGATGCTAAATAGTTTTGCAAATGCAGCTACACAATGAGAAAGTTGATGATCAACTCCTACTTCAATTCAGAAACGAGAGTCACCATGAAGAGATAAAACAAACCCAAATTCATTTTCCTGAAACCAATCAGCCATGAGACAGATTGGATATTCTCATTTAAAATTTAGAGTGTGTCTCTAGTTGCTTTTTTGGGCCAATGGGAAGAAAGTAATAAGTGGTTTTGTTAATTATTATGATCATTTTTATTCTTTCTAGAAAATATAGAAGTACTGGCCGGGTACGGTGGCTCACGCCTGTAATCCTAGAACTTTGGGAGGCCAAGGCAGGCGGATCACGAGGTCAGGAGATCAAGACCATCCTGGCCAACATGGTGAAACCCCAACTCTACTAAAAATAGAAAAATTAGCTGGGTGTGGTGGCATGAGCCTGTAGTCCCAGCTACTCGGGAGGCTGAAGCAGGAGAATCACTTGAACCCCGGTGGTGGAGGTTTCAGTGAGCTGAGATTGCACCACTGCAATCCAGCCTGTCAACAGAGCAAGACTCTGTCAAAAAAAAAAAAAAAAAAAAAACCAGGAAAAGAAAATATAGAAGCACCAACAAGTTAAAATAACTCTCATTTTGAATCACAATAAAAATTTATTAAGTCAGACTCCACTGGTACAAAGTTATAATCATTAAAAAAAAAGTTATTCTTCTACTAATAAAGTAAGATTGCAGGGGAATGTTAACGCACCTCAGAGGGAGAAGGTAAAACATTCTTAAGTACTACCCCTGATAGGTAAGTACCAAGTTATTGATTATATACCTAATAAGCTGATCACTGATTTTTTGTCATTCAACAAACCATTCATCTTGAGATGGATTGGGCCAGGATTGTGGTGAGCATTCAACTGTCCCCCTATTTTTATTTCCTTTTAAAAAAGATCATGCAGCCATTATTTAAGGCACAGGATATCCCCCAGCAGGCAAGCATACATGGTGCCTGCCCTCAGGCATCTATTAATTGATAGATGATAGATGATAGATAGATAGATAGGATATGATAGATTGATAGATGATGATAGATATGATTGATTGATGATAGATAGGATAGATATGATAGACATATTTGACTATGAAAACAGTGTTTTTTAAATTCTATGATTTATAAAGATTAGGTATTATCAGTCTGGTTTTCAATACTCTAGCATCCAGGATTTTCCCTAATTTGGGCATAACCCTGTCTTCAATTAATCTTATCTAACTCTGATAGTATTGTATATCTGATAGAAGAGACTGAGACTCTGGGATGAAATTCTATGACTTTAAAGCTATGGTAGCTACATTCCAGGAAAATGAAACAACTTGTCCAAGGTCAAATAGCAAGTTGGTAGCAAAACTGGAACAGAAACTCAGATCTCCTAATGAGGTGAAAAGTTTTCTTTCTGCATAGTCTGTTTGTCTGTCCTCTATTAGAAAATTACACTGTGAGAAAATACATAAGAATACAAATTGCAAAGAAAAATTGAGTATCCAGAATATATAAATATCTCCCATGAGCAAATAAGAAAAAGTCAAAAGAGAAAATGAACACAGGAAAAGGACATCAGCAGACAATGCACAGAAGAGAAAATCTAAAATTCCCAAAAAATATATAAAAAGAGGATCCACCCAACTGGTAATCAGGAAAGTAAAAAATAAGTTGAAATGCAATTTCTTAAGTTTAGAAATACCAAATGAGGGCCAGAACATGGAGTGGTAAGAACTCCACACTCTGTTTATAGGTTCCTGGGAGAATTGATTGGTACCATCACATCCGGGAGCCATTTGGCAAGATAGATCTAATAAAGCTAAAGACACCATTGCCCAAGACCCAATAACTCCACCTCTAGTTATATACCCTAAAGAAGTTCCAAACACAGGTGCACATGGAGATATGGGTAAGAAAGTTCTTTGTAACACTTTAATAGGGAAAATGTTGGAAACAAATATACCTTGATATATTTGAAAATCAATTGGGAATAGATACATTCTGGCATATTTATACAGTGGCATAATAAAGAACATTTAAAATGGATTGACGACATCTATGTATATTTACATGGCTAGGTCTCCAAAACATGATGAGAGAGAGTGATAGTGTGAAAACATAGAAACTGTACAGTAGCATACTGTGTTTGCAATTTTTTAAATACCCAAACCAATACTATATGTTATTTTAATTTTATACATAACTCTATAGTAGAGATGAAAGAAGAATGTGGTATTAGTTTTGTAATGAAGGTATTAAAACACTGATGTAAATACTACATACCTACTTCAATATAAGGATTGCCTCTTGGTGGGAAGGATGAGAAACTAAATGGCTCAGTGTGGGATGGAGGACTGTGGCAAGACTTCAACTGTCCCTCTAATTTTATTTTCTTTAAAAGATATATGGCAAAACATTATATTTCTGCCTGTATGCTTCTACGTGCTTTAAAGATTTTATAATCAAATTTAATTGATAAAACTATTCTTGTTGTTTTGATTAATATAATTTATCTTATATTCATTAAAAACCTAGTATGCCACCCAGAATGTGAATCTAAGCAACATGAGGATGATTGTGGAGGAAAAAAATATTAGTTTTTTTTAAAGTTTGTAAGCACTTTTACAGAGTAACTTGTAAGACTCGAACTGCTTTGCTTCTTAGTGATTTTCAAGAGAGGATTTTTCTAGATTCATATTAGGTGTACCTAAAATCTCCCAAATTGTTATTTGATTCCTGTTAGATAGATAGATTAGATAGATAGATATTATAGATAGATAGATGGTAGATAGATATGATAGAATAGATATGATAGATAGATGATAGATATAGATAGATGATAGATAGGATAGATTGATAGATGATGATAGATATGATTGATTAATTGATAGATTATAGATAGGATAGATTGATAGATTGTGATAGATATGATTGATAGATGATTGATAGATAGATGATAGATAGATAGATAGATAGATAGATAGATAGATAGATAGAATAAACTATTCCATAAAGTTCTCTCTGACGTGTGGCTTTCTCTCCTAAAAACTTATAAGATTTTGGATTTCAGGGGTAAAGCGTGGGATATGAAAGAGATTGGAGGGAAAAGGAGAAAGCCAGGAATTTTCCCTAAGACTTTCTGTCTGATCAAGTTTTCCCTAAGTTTGCCTTCGTTCACAATTTCCTTTCAACGTCACCCTCAACATGCTGAATTATAATACCATAATCAAGTGGAGAGGGGGCCAGAATGACTTTTGAGGTTTTCTTTTCGAACCCTGAGACTTCAAATCTACACACTCAGCCATCCTTCTCAAACTCGGGATAGTCTGATTCAAAGGGGCTGCCAATGCAGGGATAATCACCATTACACAGAAAAAAGATGGAATCTTCTGCGGCTTGACTGGAATTGTCTTTGGCGGCTATTCATCAACAACTGATTAAACCTCCTGAATAAAGCTCATTTGTTCACAGGCATATACTGGACACTGCTGCTCCCAGGAGCTGACCCTCTAACAGGAGAGAGAACCAATGAGCGAACAGGCCCAGGTCAAGCCCCGTGCCCCAGCTTGTATGCCCCGTTCTGGGCTCTCTCCCTTGTCCTCTCTCTGCCCCAGAAGTCTGACCTCTCTCACTTAGACAGCCACATTCGGCTCTCTCCAGCCCCAGAGTGCCCAAACCGCCACTGCTCTCTGGCCTGCTCTCACCTGAAGGCTGCTTTGGTCACAGACAATCAACCATCTCACCTTCAGAAAGCTGGCCCTGGATCCCCCGTGACCGTCTCTTTCCATACCCTGCCTCTGTCCCCATATTCCTGCATTCAGCGTCCACCTTTCCTAACAGTCATGCCTCTGTTTTGCTCAGCTCTCCAACCCCAGGGCCCAACCTGCCAAGTCCTGTGCCCAGCACACGGCAAATGTTCCATTCACATCTCCTGAATGAAGTCTCTTACACTATCTCAAGGCAGGCTGTCCCAACTGCAAACAAGTTGTCCAAATCAGCAAAGGAGATGGAAAGGCAAGATGAGTTCAGCTGAGAGGCCGTGGAAAAGGATTCATTAAGCTCCTTGTGATTGGACAGAGTTAAAACAGCTCCAAAGGTGGCTTGCTTGGAGAGAGAGAGACTCAGAGTCTTCTTCACTGGGAGAATAAGTACAGCGACAAGAGCTCTGACATTTAGGACATGATGGCAGGACTCCTTCTTGGAAAATTCGATAGGCAAACAAGGTCAAGTCCTCTCCACCATTTTTCTCCCCTTCAGGGCGTAAAGGTCCTCTAAACTACGAGGTCAAAAAAATTAGTCACAGTCTAATAGACCATGCGAGAAAGGCTGCCAAATAAACAAAAGATGTGATCACTTTCCAGGAACCACTCTTTTGGCTGCCTCCTGCTGTTGCTGATTGGAACCCGTATAAAGGCCCAGGTTTGAGTTAGGCTTTGAAAAGTAATCTGAGTAGTGAAAAGAGCGCCTTCCGAATGATTTTCTTTTTTCATACAATTCAACAACACTGTCTACTCTGGAAAAAAAAATAGACAAGGTTAACCTTCAGAACCCAACTTACCCATCTACAAACATATTAAAACTCAAACTTTTTGAGGTTAATAAAAGATGATCATCCTGAAGCATCCTTTTCAGCACAGGGTATAGGACGTATCATCATGGAACATGAAAGCAGCTGTTGGTGCCCCTCTAACCTCACCTTTTCTCCTGTTGCCAGACCAGTCCCAAGTGATTCTTAACATAGATGGAGATAATAATTTTGACTAGAAATTTTTCCTGAGTTTTTAAACCCCATTTATCAAATCCTATTTTGGTTAAAAAGGGGCTGTAATATTAACCAACGAATGTTCTAGCTTTCATCGTAGTGAGGAAAGACATTACTTGTTGCCTAAACAGCCACATACCAAGTAGGTGAATTCACCTCGACTCTTAGAGGCAACACTTGGAGAAATTTCCATCACTGAACACAGATCCCACATGGAATATTATTCCTGCCAGACTCTAACAACACAGCATGGTCACCACTCGGGCACCAGAAGGACAACTGGATTAGCTTCCTCTGACAATTAGGATGCTTGAAAAGTTCTGTGAACTTAGGATATCATCTGTGCACTAACAGAAATTGACTACAAAGTAACAGACTATCCTCGTAAGTACTTACCGCTAAGTGTCAAAATTTGCACAAAGTTGGGTCCTTTACTTAAATTCTTATTTTATTTACTTGTGTTATTTTACTTATTTTATTGTTACTTATTTTGTTACTATTTGTTCTTGTGCTACTTATTTTGTTGTTACTGCAAGGGACCTAATGTGGACTCATCTCCAATCATCTGGACTCAGCTCCGTCACAAACAAGCTCTGATGAGTTTTGTGCTGCCACGTGGTACCTCGGGATTCAAAGCCAGGCATCCTGATGCTCTTCACGCTTTGACCAATGCCAGTGCTCATGTAATAAAGGACTTTGTTTTAATTAAAAAGAGGATTGGTCTTTTTAGTCTTTTAATTTATGCGTCCTCAGTTCCCATTCCAGTCGTCAGCCTTGGAGAAGAGAGCAAGGCCATCTTTAGGAGATTTTGCAAATCTGATAAACTGTAAGTTGATCCAACTCAAGCATTTTCCAATCCTGGACAATGTTGCTCGACATCAGGTGGAGAAATGATGGTCACTGTGGATCTTGTTTAAATGATCGTTATCTCCCCAGCTTTAGTTTCCTTGCCTGTAAAATTAAGATAATAAGCCTTCTTAAAGAACTTCTTTAAGTATTCTACAAAAGGACATCTTGAAAAGCACAATATCCTGACACACAGAAGATACTCAATACTTTACCCCTCACTCCCTTACCCCCAGCTTCTCAAAAGAACTCTTGCCTAGGAGTCATGAAGAGTCCAGGAAATTCCCAACAAACCTCACAACCTAAATGCAAGTCAAATGAGTGTTTTTATACATAAAGCCACATTTGTCCTGACTCAACTATTGCCAAGTGCTGTGATCATTTCATCAAAGACCTTCCTTCGAGAAGAATTGCTTCACGAACAAGGCAAATTACAATGCCAAGAATATCAAATGCAGGATATTTTAAAATCCTGGCAATGTTTCCCACTCAAGACCTTTACACAGTTCAAAAGTTCTGCTCACATGTGCTGATTGTAAATCTCTCTTATCAATCCATTAGTACAGGTGATGATGAGTGAGCAATGTTAACAGGGAAGTCATATTATTTGAAGACTAGTAAAAGTTCATTTCCTCAATAAATTCTGTATTTGAGATTTGTAATAACTTGGTCTTATTTTCTCTAAATTATTCCAAATAAAAGTTTATATTAGATAGCTCAGGCTTCAAGTGAACCAAGAGACCAAAAATCACTCTCTCACCTTAGAACAGCACTCCTGGTATCCTGTCTCTCACCAGACGTGGGCTAATGCTAACACGTCCCTCCATGCTCCACCTGAATGCAAATTTGTATGTCACCTTCCCCAATCCTTGACCTACTTGTGCAACCTGATTATTGCCTTAAATTGTTTATTCGTGATGTGTTTTGCCATGCATTTTTCTCTTAGGCAAAACCCTCTGTGATTTATGGGAAGCTGAAATCATGTGTTTTTGGTTAGTTTATACTTTAAAGCACCAAAATGTTACTTTGTAGAGCTAATTCCATGTCCAAAGAGTTTTTCAAAGACTTTTTTCTTAGGACTAGAGTTCAACATTTTGCCCAGGGAAATCAATCCCCAGACCCAAAGGACTAAGTTTGGCTTAAGATCGTAAATATCTGAGTTTGCAGGAGGCATTCAATTCACAAACTCAATGTCACTTCCACCAGAAGAATCCCAGCAATCTGGTCAGTGTGCCTTGTGGGGAAGTCTGCCATGACCTTTGGGGTGGGCCACAAAAAACTTAAGTTCATTCCTTTGGGAAGTCTGGGTTTTAGAAGTCATTTTGCTCACAAGACCAATAATCCCGAGTTCATTTTTCCATTAAAATGCAGCATCTTTTGAGCATTTCCAGGCAATGTATGAAAAGATGTACTTGAAGAGATGCCTGCTCTGCTTTGAAATTTTAAACTGACTACAAAATGTTCTCACTTAAGAGTGTTCTTGGGAGATGTTGGTAAAAGGGTACAAAGTTTCAGTTGTGTAGGATGGATAAATTATTTTTTAAAAAAGAATGTTTTGAGATCCCTAACTCAAAATTGGAGTATCCTGAATCCAGGGACAATTTTTAGGCAAGATTTCCTCCTCAGAGCTGTCCAACAGTGTCTGCATGCCTGCATGGCCCTTGCTCTCTATGGCCTCCCTGTCTTGTTGAACTCTGGTTGTCACTCACTCCCCACCCTGACCCCACCTCCATCAACACAACCAACTCTCACTGAGTCTGACAGAGGTCATCACCAGGCCCAGGGGACCACCCTGCACCAGGGAACCTAATTGTTGGCGAACGTGGGCACTTCCTCTTTAATCCACACTGTGAATATTGTTTATACCTCCCACATAAACTAATAGCCTATCACACACTTGGACGTGACTGATTTCTAAACACAGAGAGATTCATTTCACATGCAGGCATACCTCAGAGATATTGTAAGTTCAGTTCCAGAGTACTGCAATACAGTGAATATCTCAATGAAGTCAGTCACATGCAGTTTTTGGTTTCCCAGTGCATATAAAAGTTACATTTACACTATACTATAGTAAACTAAGTATGTATACAATAGCATTATGTCTTTAAAAAACCAATGTACATACCTTAATTTAAAAATACTTTATTACTAAAAAAATGCTAACAGTTCTCTGAGCCTTCAGTGAGTCATAACGCTTTTGCTGGTAGAGGGCCTTGACTCAATGTTGATGGCTGCTGGCTGATCAGTGTGGTAGTAGCTAAAGGTTTGGGTGACTGTGGCGATTTGTTAAAATAAGACAGTGACATTTGATGCTTCATTTGACTCTTCCTTTCATCAAAGATTTCTCTGTAGCATGTGATGCTGTTTGACAGCATTTCACCCACAGTCGAACTTCTTTCAAAATTGGAGTCAATCCTCTCAAACCTTGTCACTGCTTTGTCACCTAAGTCCATGGAATATTCTAAATACTTTGTTGTCATTTCAACAATGTTCATTCAAAGCCTCTTCACCAGGAGTAGGTTCCATCTCAAGAAACCACTTTCTTTGCTCATCCATAGGAAGCATCTCCTCATTCAGTCAAGTTTGATCATGAGATTGCAGCAATCCAGTCACATCTTCAGGCTCCACGTCTAATTTTACTTCTCTTGCTTTCATCACCTCTGCAGTTATTCTTTCCACTAAAGTCTTGAACCCTTCAAAGTCATCCATGAGAGAATCAACTTCTTGCAAAGGCCTGTTAATGTTAGAATTTTGACCTCCTCTCATGAATCACAAGAGTTCTTAATGACATCTAGGATGGTAAATCCTTTCCAGAAAGTTTTTGATGTACTTTTCCCAGATCCATCAGAAGAATCACTATCTGTGGCAGCCATAGCCTTATGAAATGTATTTCTTAAATAATAAGATGTGAAAGTCAAAATTACTCCTTAATTCATAGGTTTCCGGATGAATATTGTGTCAGCAGGCATAAACACAACATTAATCTCCTTGTACATCTTCATCAGAGCCCTTCAGAGACCAGGTGCATTGTCAATGAACCATAATATTTTTAAAGGAATATTCTTTTTTTCTGAGACATAGGTCTCAACACTGGGCTTAAAACCTTCAGTAAACCATGTTGTAAACAGATGTGCTGTCATCCAGCCTTTGTTGTTCCATTTCTAGAACACACAAAGTTGATTTAGCATAATTCTTCAGGGCCCTAGGATTTTCAAGGTCAGTGAACACTGGCTTCAACTTCATGTCACCAGTTTCATTAGCACTTAACAAGATAGTCAGCCTGTCCTTTGAAGTGAGCATTGACTTCTCCTCTCTAGCTATGAAAATCCTAGATGCATCTTCCTCCAAGAGAAGGCTGTTTCATCTACACTGAACATCCATTGTTTAGTGAAGCCACCTTCATCCATGATCTTAGCTAGATCTTCTAGAGAACTTGCTGTAGCTTCTATATCAGCACTCGCTACTTCACTTTGCACTTAGTTTATGGAGACAACTTCTTTCCTTAAACCTCATAAATTCACCTCTGCTAGCTTCAGACTTTTCTTCTGCAGCTTCCTCACTGCTCTCAGCCTTCAAAGAATCGAAGAGAGAGCCTTGCTCTGGATTGGGTTTTGGCTTAAGGCTATGTTATTGGCTGGTTCAATCTTCTATCCAGGCCACTGAAACATTTTACATGTCAGCAATAAGCCTGTTTCACTTTCTTATCATTCACATGTTCACTGGAGTAGCACTTTTAATTTTCTTCAAGAACTCTTCATTTGCATCTGCAACTTGGCTGCCTGTTTGGCACAAGAGACCAAACTTTGGACCTGTCTTGGCTTTCAACATGCCTTTGTCACTAAGCTTAATCATTCCTAGCTTTTCATTTATTTAAAAGGAGAGATGTGCGACCCTTTCACTTGAACACTTACGCCCATTGTAGGGTAATTAATTGGCCTCATTTCAATATTGTTGTATCTCAGGTAATACGGAGGCCTGAGAAGAAGGAGAGAGATTGGGTAACAGCCTGCCAGTGGAGCAGTCAGAACACACATGTTGGTCAGTTAAATTCACCGTTGTATATGGGGTACAGTTTGTGGCACCCCAAAACAATTACAATAGTAACATCAAAGATCACTGATCACAGATCACCGTAACAGATATAATAATGAAAAATTTCCAATATTGTAAGAATTACCAAAATGTGACACAGAGACACAAAATGAGCCCATGATGTTAGAAAAATGGCCCCGATATACTTGGGAGGCTGAGGCAGGAGAATGGCGTGAACTGGGGAGGCAGAGCTTGCAGTGAGCCGAGATAGCGCCACTGCACTCCAGCCTGGGTGACAGAGCGAGACTCCGTCTCAAAAAAAAAAAAAGAAAGAAAACGAAAAATGGCCCCAATAGGCCGGGTGCGGTGGCCCATGCCTGTAATCCCAGCACTTTGGGAGGCCAAGGAGGGCGGATCACGAGGTCAGGAGATCGAGACCATCCTGGCTAACACGGTGAAACCCCATCTCTACTAAACACACACAAAAAAATTAGCCGGGCATGATGGCGGGCGCCTGTAGTCCCAGTTACTCGGGAGGCTGAGGCAAGAGAATGGAGTTAAAAAAATAAATAAATAAATAAATAAATAAAGGAGAAATGGCCCCGATAAACTTGCTGAACACAGAACTGCCACAAACCTTCCATTTGTAAAAAAAAAAAAAAAAAAAAAACTCAGTATCTATTAGGCGCAATATAAAGTGCAATGAAACAAGGTGTTCATGTACATAATTTGTGGCATATTATGAGATGCACCTTAGCATATTACATAAGAACTGAGTTGATTATCTCTTTTTCTTTCTTTTCTTTTCTTTTTTTATTTTTCTTTTTGAGACAGAGTCTCACTATGTCACCCAGGCTGGAGTGCAGTGGTGCGATCTTGACTCACTGCAACCTCTGCCTCCCAGGTTCAAGCAATTCTCCTGCCTCAGGCTCCCAAGTAGCTGGGATTACAGGAGCGCACCATCACACCCGGCCAATTTTTTGTGTTTTTAGCAGAGACGGGGTTTCACCATGTTGGCCAGGATGGTCTCGAGCTTTTGACCTCAAGTGATCCACCTGCCTCGGCCTCCCAAAGTGCTAGGATTACAGATGTGACCCACTGCACCCCACCTGATTATCTCTTTTTCAAAAACAATTATCCAAAACAAAACTACTACTATTACTACATTACCTATTGACGGCAATTTTTATAAAGTCATTTGGATTTTTTTTTTTTTTACAGACATATCAGAATTCATGGAGTAACCTTCAGAGAAGCAATAGGTAACACCAAAGGCAGCCCTAAAAAAGCAAAGACACAGGAAGGTTGCCTTGAATGAGGCAGGAGACTAAAGAGGAAACAAGGAACAGCCCCATCCAAGTATGTTCCACCAGCCCAGCAGTTAAAGGGCAGAGCCAGAGTTGGTTATGTGAAGAATCTAGCAGGGTGTCAGCTTACCATTCAATAACACTTTTAGAACTGCACCAGGATACCGAGTTCAGCCAGCATTATCATCCAGATAGTTCAACTTATTTATACTCTGTCTTTTCATAACAGCAGCCATATCTAATTTTATATGGTAATAATTTCAGTGGAGAGAGTTGATGAAGGTCACCACGGTGACCACGCATTTTGGTCTCCATGGTGACACAGCTGATAAAGACCCTTAAATTTCATTTTCTTGGAAGTTCCAAAAGGTTTCTTCTCCTCAGACTAATTCATATTATGGGACTAAAACAATTTTAACTTGCTATTACTTTTTATTCTTATGAAAGCAAAAGAAAAAGATAGGAAAGATAAAAAGAAATAGGTAAAAAATCTTCAGAGCAGATACAATGTGGATTAGTTTTTTCTTGAGTGACAAATAGTCCTTGATCATTAATAATAATGGTGTCCAATAATTATAAATATGAAACACCCACTCTTTTATATTTGTTGTGTTATGTAATCTGCATAATAGACATTATTTGTCATGTTTTATGATAAGAAAACTGAGACACTGAGTGATTAATTAGTTTGAGGCCACATAGCTAGTAAAGGGTGGAGCTGGGCTTCAGAGACAAGCCTATCTAATGCCACAACTCCTACCAGGCTTAGGAAGATATTTCGCTTATTAAATGGTATCAGCCAAGTCAATGCTCATCCAGCTTCATAAAAATTGGAAGGGTTTCAGGATGAAGTGAAGTAAGACCTGAATTTGTATTAGTCTTTTCTCCTCCCATTCCCTGGACAGGAACTCACAAAGGCTCCATTAGCCACACAATTACCAGGGAAATGTAAGCAAATGAGAGAAGGTTTAGAGAAAAAAAAAATGATTAAGAAAGTTGAAACCTCAAAAGTATGCACAGAAGGCCAAAAAGATAACTAGAAGGTGACGTGACAGTAAAGTGTAAGCAGTAAAAGCCGAAAATTCTTAGCCTGTGCTGAAAGTCTCTCTCACCTTATAGACTAGTATATACCAGAGAAGCTGAAGACAAGTTTCTTAAAGTAAAATCCTATTTTTTCATTAACTTTTTTCAAACTTACGGCTATTTTACAGCAAATTCCCTTCGATGTTCAGTGGAAAGGCTGATGACACTCAGTGTTCCCACATGGAAAGGGGGTTGACTCACCTGCGGGAGGAAACCCATGCAGGTTCTGCCTTCACCTGTCACAGAGCAGAGGGCCAGAGCCTAGGAGCAGGCTCCCTCCAGGAAATCCCTTTTCAATCCACAAGGCTCCGTGGGGCCCTCACTTCCATCATCACCTCTTAACCCAAGGCGACCCTTACAGTTCCAGTTGTTTCGTTCCCCTCTAATCCTCTCTCTCTGGTTGTGCAAGGAAGTCCCTTGGCCGGGCACGGTGGCTCACAGCTGTAATCCCAGCTCTTTGGGAGGCCGAGGCAGGCGGATCACGAGGTCAAGAGATTGAGACCATCCTGGCCAACATGGTGAAACCCCGTCTCTACTAAAAATACAAAAATTAGCTGGGCGTGGTGGCGCACGCCTGTAGTCCCAGCTACTCGGGAGGCTGAGGCAGGAGAATCGCTTGAACCTGGGAGGCAGAGTTTGCAGCGAGCCGAGGTTGTGCCGCTGCACTCCGGCCTGGCGACAGAGTGAGATTCCATCCAAAAAAAAAAGGGAAGTCCCTCATGGCGGTGAGCTGCACCACAGCCCTTACTAATGGGAATAGTCACCTGTCATGACATATTCCACTCAAGAATTCCACTCTGGTAAACTAGAATATGTGTATTTGTGGAATTCTTATAAATTCCGCAAGGTCCATGTTTTACTACAATATATCCATTGCAAGGGAAGGACACCTGGAGAACATCTTCAAACCGTCACTCTGAAAAACCATTGAGTTATAAACAACCTTCAGACGAAAAGTAGATGCAACAAGAAAACAGCAATGGTTCTCACAATTCCCCTTGCTCCTCCCCTGAATTGTAAGCTCATTTCTGGTCTCCAAAACAGGGCCAAGAAAAAGTGAGCAATGGGTAAAAAGACAGTGCCATGGGTGTGCGGGCCCTCAAAGCGTAACTGCCGAGGCAGGAGTGCGCAAGGCATGGCTGGGTACACAGAGAAGCCGCCTGCAGAAGGAGTTCCCTGGTCAGCTTGGCCAGTGAACACACTGGTGATTAAGAGTCTTTAAAATTATCCTTCAATTATCTGTATAACCAAAACAAACGAAGGGCACGTTCCTGCTACATGATCGGTGTGGCTGTGTGTGTAGGCATTTGAAATATGATGTATCAGTTAGAGTTTGCGAGAGCAACAGAACAAATGGCAGATAGATTGATTGATTGATAGGTAAATAGATACATAGAGATTCAGTTTAAGGAATCGGTTCATGTTGTTATGCAATTGTGGGAGCTGGCAAGTCTGAAAACCATGGGGGAAACCAGCAGGCTGGAAACTCAGGCTGGAGTTGATGTTCCAGTCTTGAGGCAGAATTCATTCTCCTTCAGGAAACCTCAGTTTTTGCCCTCAAGACCTTCAACTGGGCTGGGCATAGTGGTTTACACCTGTAATCCCAACACTTTGGGAGGTTGAAGTGGGAGGATCACTTGAGACCAGGAGGATCACTGTCGAGACCAGCCTGGACAACACAGTAAGACCCCCATCTCTACTAAATAAACAAATAAAATTTTAAAACATTAGCCAGGTGTGGTGGTGCATGCCTGTAGTCCTAGCTACTCAGGAGGCTAAGGCCGGAGGACCACTTGACCCCAGGAGCTCAAGGCTGCCTCAAGCCATGATTACACTGTTACACTCCAGGCAACAGAGCAAGACCCTGTCTCTATAAAATAAAATAAATTAAAGACCAACTGACTGGATGAAGCCCACCTACATTATTGAGGATAATCTTTACTTACCGTCAATGGCTGTAGATGTCAATCACATCTATGAAATACCTTCACAGCAACTTCTAGACTAGTCTCTGACCAAACAACTGGGTGCCATAGCCTAGCCAAGTGGGCACACAAAATTTAACCATCACATAAGGGAAGAACCATTTTGTTTAAAAAGGATGTGGCCTGAGGAAGTGGGATAGGGAGATCCCAAGGTGGGAGTGTGCCTGAGGTCAGCTTTTGCTGGAGAAGAGAGGAAAGGAAAAGAGACTTTCCAGCAAGTGCATGTGCTTCTTTAATAAAGAACACAAAGGTAGGAAGTCAATGGTGTAGAGCTATTCCTCAGTATCTAGATCAACAGGCGTGTTTGGGGCATTTAATGGATATTTCTTTCCAATGGCCATGCAAAGCATTGTCAGCCTGAAGCATTGATTCATCTGCCATACCCCATTGCCTGTTTCACTTTAAGTCAAAAAGAAGATGACCTTCAAACCAAGCAACTATATCATAACCTTTGTACTTCCCATGGCAATGTTTGTTAAGAGGGACCTCTAGTTTCTCAGTCCCTTTAGTTTGTAATATGGGGAACACAACAGAGCACACTTGAGGAGCTGTTTTGTGTGACAGACGCCCAGGCTGAGATGCTTGGAAAGTGAGTGGGTGGTGGGCAGAATGGTGGGGAGATATGCAAATACATATATGCTTTAAAAAATATTGTGCTAGAAATTTCATTCAGTTTTGGCAAACTTAAATAGAAGCTACTGAAATATATATATATATATTCCTAAAAAGAATAGCTGCATTATAGCAAGAATGCCTTTATTATCCCAAATTAGTTGCAAAAATCCCTTTCAAGACTTGACAGGAGGTACAAAAGAGATTTCTCACAGCATCACAGAGAAGAAAACCCCAGGATAAGAATATTCACACAATACAATTTTGTTTCATAACCATTCATACAGGCTTTTAATATCTAGCAATTACAGCAAAGAATAAGAAGAAAAAATGCTGCAGGAAACAAGAATGGAAGACTGGAGAGAATTCATACAAACATTGCAAAAAAGAAAAAAAAAAGAAGAATTCTAGTTAAAGTCCCTTAGGAATCCTAGGCAATCATGAGGTGGTGTCAATAGGGTGAAATTAACTTTAAGGGATACCCCATCCTACATGGTTCACTCATATTTTAGAGCACATTTTTGTCCTTGGCTTTCCAGGCAACACTAAAATAACCCAAACTGGATGTGTGAAGCAAGGTGTAGCTGCGGAGTGGGCCACTAAGATGAACAACGGAGACTCCTGGCCTTCAAATATCTTAGAATCTAGTAAACATTCATTTATATTTTTAATCTGAGCAGTCTTGTAGCTTTTATGGACTCTTCTTTCTTGCCCAGAAAACTAAGTGCTTAAGAAAAGAAAAAAGAAAAAAAAATAGGAAGAAATGTCTTTACTAGACCATTACTAATCCTGTTGCATTATAAAGACCAACCCCAAGGCCAGGTGCGGTGGCTCATGCCTGTAATCTCAGCACTTTGGAAGGCCAAGGTGGGCAGATAACTTGAGGCCAAAAGTTTGAGACCAGCCAACAGGGTGAAACCCCGTCTCTACTAAAAATACAAAAATTAACCAGGCGTGGTGGCACGTGCCTGTAGTCCCAGCTACTTTGGAGGCTGAGGCGAGACAATCGCTTGAACACAGGAGGTGGAGGTTGCAGTGAGCTGAGATCGTGCCACTGCACTTCAGCCTGGGCAACAGAGTGACACTCCACCTCAAAATAAAAAAAAAAAAAAAGAGAAACCAAACCCATCACTAAAGATTGTCCATTCCTACCTTAATATGAGCCTATTCAATCCACCTCAAAGTCACAGTGTCAGACGTGTAGAAGACACTGTATCAGCCCATGAGGGTTAAATAAAAAGAAAGTTGAACACATGTTGACCTCAGAGAGCTTACATTCTAGTGGAGGAAACAGACATGCACATAAACAATGTAAATAGCAAAGCAAAACAAAGTGGGAAAGAAACGGAAAAGAGAGCAATTCACGCAAAATTGGGAGCTAGAGAAGCTCTTCTGGAAAATAAAAAATTTAAAAAATACCAGCAAACTAACCCTGACTGAGATCCTACTAGGTATGCAGACATCATGCTGCCTGGCATTGATGTCAGGACTTAAAAGAGAAATTGAATTTCTTTCTTTTTTTTTTTTTGAGACGGAGTCTTGCTCTGTTGCCCAGGCTGGAGTGCAGTGGCGTGATCTCGGCTCACTGCAAGCTCCGCCTCCCGGGTTCACGCCATTCTCCTGCCTCAGCCTCCCTAGTAGCTGGGACTACAGGTGCCTGCCACCACGCCCGGCTAATTTTTTGTACTTTTGTTAGAGAAGGGGTTTCACCTTGTTAGCCAGGATGGTCTCGATCTCCTGACCTCGTGATCCGCCCGCCTCAGCCTCCCAAAGTGCTGGGATTACAGGCGTGAGCCACCGCGCCCAGCCAAGAAATTGAATTTCAAAACAGAAGGTGTTCCAGGCAAAAAACCGAATCCATCAAAGATTGCACAGAGACAGAGAGCGAGGCAGGCAAGATGGTGTGAGGCGATTCCAGGCTCTCAAGTCAAACAGACTCCAATGCAGCCCATGCTATGAGGGGTTCTTCTATACCCTCTCAGAACCTTTGTTTCCTCAATTGTAAAATGCAGATTATACCTGACAAATGGTGATGATTCAATGAGGTGTTTGCAGATTGCTTTACACTTAGTGTTATATAAATGTTTGCTTATAAAGTTAATAAAAATGAATAAGCCATGCTACTATCTAACGAAATTTTTCTAACTAGGAAAATTAAATTCCTCTAACTTCATTTCATTTCTCCTGTTCATTATTCAATGGACCTATTTACTCTCCATTTGCAGTATTCAGACAACATGCTCATCGACATGATTACAGTTCACAATTTTCCAAATTTCACAGCAATTTCCCTCAGCCTCACTGTAAGTCTAGTGTACTAATGTGCCAACGTATGCACTAAGTGCTCAAAAATATTTGCTAAATATCCCTAGTTTGTGCTGGGCAATTAGAAAAAGAACATAATCAGAAGCTGCTAGCCACTTTGCTTTTTGTGGAAGTAAAAATCTCTCCACAAAAATTACTGAAATGCCATAGACAGAAGTTTATGTGGGTGTTAATAAAGTCTCTAAAATATTAGAGATGTCTCCTAGGCTAATGCCCAAACTTACACTAGAAAGACTGTCCTGTAAGAAGAAGGCACTATGGTTAAGCAGGTGTACATCGCCAACTTCATGGCTGCAGGAAGAAGTAACAAGTGCTGTTAGCAGGTGTGGCCAGTGCAACTCATTCCCTCATTGACACCTGGCTTCTGCAGGATTTGCACCAAACCTGCATGAAAAGATATGCACTTTACTAAACTGTCTATTTACATGCTTGAAGACAGTTCTGTCTCAATTAGCCCATAAATATGTTTTAAGATAATAAAATGACATGGGACCTGATAACATGGAGGATATCCAGCAGCCCAAAGCTCTTTTGTACATTTTTAAATTGTTTAAAAATTCTTTAAGTGCTAATTAAAAATAACAGCAACAACAACTACCCTTCCATCAATGGATGTTGATACCACAGGTGGCTACATTTATCTTCTCTCTGAAACTCCATTAACAGGCTCTGCCCATTTGACCCATTTCTCTGCTTATATCTAGCAGAAATGGGAGGCTTAATACTATGGTTTTCCTATATAAATTTACACTGGTTTCTCTCCAACTATACAGAGTGAGAGGTGTGATGGGAATGAAATTCTATTTTCATGAAAGCAGTTGATACCTATTGTGCAATAGCATGTTTGCCATTTTCAGATGCCATAGGCAGCTTAAAGAATGATGAACTTCTTCATAAACATAGTAGATGGCATCCACCTTCGAGACCTCATTTAAATGACAGCAAAGAAATGAAGGCATTATAAAGCAGCACTGATATAGAAAAGGAGATGGAGGAGAGATTTCAGTGAATGATAGGACAGAAGATGAAATGGATGTGGCAGGAGAGAGATAGTCAATTGCACATACTTCAATATCCAAAGAGGAAAATTCCACAGGGGAAAGAAAAAAAACCAGAACTTTATCCTAAGACATCTCACCACTGTAGAAGGAAGAACTACACATTCCAGTAGGAAGAAGTCCCCCAGTAAAAATGCTCTATCACCACCTATAATCCTGAAGTAAATCCCACGAGTTCACAAACTCCATTCACATTCACAGAGCTTACTGTCAAGTTTTAGTGCCTCGCCTTCAAATTAAAGGGAAGGCTAAAAATCACCAGCATTTAAGTTTCCATCCTGAAAGCAAAGACCAAAGTAAATAAATGAATGAATAAATAAATAAAGCTAAAGCATATTCTTAAACAACTCTATGGCTCCTATTTATAGACTGATTAGAAAGATTATTGTATCCATAATGCCAGAACAGAATGTTATAAATGTTAAATTAGAGAAGGTAAAAAAAATTAAACTTTATGAGATCAAAAAACATAATAAATTAATAGAAGATTGGAAAATAAATTGGAAAAACTACCTAAAACCTCAAAATGAGAACTATAAAAGAGACAGTTTCAATAAACCATAGGGACACCACTGCACTCCAGCCTAAACTACAAAGCAAGACCTTGTCAAAAAAAAAAAAAAAAAGGATCATAGCAAATCAGTCCAAGAGGTCAAGATCCAATTGATAGGAGTTTATAAAAGAGATAGGAGGAAACAGAGAGAAGGAAATTATCAAACAATGCATTCAAAAGAATTTTCCAGAAATAAAAGAAATCTCCAGATTTAAAGTGCTTCTAGATGACTACAATGAAAAAGGACCCATACCTGTGCCTTACCTGTGTACAACATTGTGAAATTTTGAATACCAAGAATGAAGAGGAAACTCTAAAAATCAAGGGCAGTATAAAATAAAAAAACATCAGGGTGACCTTCTCATCAATAATAGTGGATGCCAGAGACAGTGAGTAATACCTTCAAAACTCTGACCAAAAATTACTTTCAACCTAAAATTCTATTTCTACCTATCAATCAAGGGTGAAAGTGAAATACAAACATCTTCAGAAATTGAAAGACTTTGAAAGTTTCTTCCCACACTCACTGTATTAAGAAGTTATTTCGGGAGGTGCTAGAGCATACAAAGAATCAACCAAGAGGAAGAAAGACTCAGAATCAAGGAAGCGGTGAGACCAGACCAGGAAAGTAATAAAGAAAAGCTCCAGGAAAACAGGCATGCAGCACATCTACAGAGAAATAGATCCAGATCGAAAAAGGAGAGGGAAGGACTCTTCATTTATATTGGGAAGTATCTCTGGAGGAAATTAGATCAAAAAAATGATTTGATAGATTGGGAAAAGTTGGTAAAAACTGAAAATGTGATAAATACACAAAGTCAAGACAAAAAGAAAAGCAATTATAAACTCCAGGAAAAACAAAAAGATGTACCAGGAAAGAAATACAGAATTTTATTTGTTTCTACAATTAATATTTACATAGCAACAATAACAAAATGATACATTAATATTCATCTTGGATACCCAACCTATAGAGGATGTATGGATGCAATATTTAGGGTTATAGAACAAAATAAAAATGTTATTCATCTTATTATAAATAAAAGTGATGATAGAAATTAGGAGGTAGAAGGGAAGAAAGAGAGCTGAAGGGTAAGATAGGGTACAAACAGGTCCAGTTTTGGGGTGTGCAACGAGTGTATTCACACAGGGCCCCATGCTTACTTAGAAGGTCCCCATGCTTAGCTTAACTGTTTTTGTCTCCATCTTGAAATTCATAATAATTTTTGAACAAGGGATCCTACATTTTCATTTTCCACTGAGCACTAAAAATTCTGTAGCTGGTTCTGGGGCTGGGTGCAAAGTTAGAAGCTGACATACTCTCAGTAGTTAATGTAACAAGAAATAAAAGTCTACTTATACTTATTAAAGTTACAAAGCAATCCAACAATAAAGGTACGTGGAATGTGGTATGACAATATTGAAATATTGAAAGAAACAGTGATGAGGATGTGTAGACTAATTAAATCCTCATTTATCCAATCAGAATAAAGAAATAACAGTATAAACACAATATTTAGAGGTTGACAATAACTAACAGAAGAAACGGTTAAAAGAGATCAAAGTAGTTGTCCCTGAGGAACGAGACTTGAAATGGGGAAGGATGAACCCAGGGACCACTGCTTCTTATCATACATCCTAATACACTTTGTTTTATTATTTTAACCTTGTACATATATTACCTTCATTTTAAAAATTAACTTTAAAAGGATAACAAAAAAATCATAACATAGCAAAGATATACCATAAACATATTCTATAAAATAATTCTACAAAGCAACAAATAATATACATAAATGTTCAAATTTACTTAATACAAATGTCATATGATTGATATCTTAAAACAGAAAGTGACAAGCACAGAACATGTATGACATAATTTCTGCCCTCTAGACATTTACTCATTTTATAAATCATGTTGTCTCTGCCAAGGTCAAGGCTAAATGGAGAAAGAAGAAATTATCAAAGCTGAGACGCTTAACAGTGGTCATGTTTGCTTGAAAGGGTTGTTTGTCTCATTTTTGAACAAAACATTGTTTTCAAATGCTAGACATTTGCAGATACCAGTACACTTTTCAGCAACTGGTCCTTAGTCTGGTAAAGGGCAAAAGAAGTAGAGCTCTTATCTCCTGAAAAATGAGGACTACTTACATACCAGTCATTCTAAGTAACAAGGGATCAGTAGGAGGTTTAAGGAAATCAACTGGGACTCTGACCAATCCACTGCCTTCCATGGATTTTTTCCACTGCCTAATGCAGACACAAGAGTAACTCATTTTCGGCAAGACTGAGGAATGATCGTCAGCAAGTAGGTTACAACCGTCAGTTTGCTGATGTAGACACGGTGCATGAAAGCAACGTGTTTGGAAGATGAGCTCTGGTAATGCTACCAATATCTCATGTCATGAACAGAAGTGGTAGTGAGTACTGCACAATCATTTAGTCTTAGACACTTTTGCCTTACAGGAAAGAGTAACTGAGGCAATACCTATACCCCTGCTAAATAAAATAATTACACAATTTAACCAAGTCTTAAAAAGCTGTACAGTTTCCATCAAATCCTCCTCCCCAGCTAAAGTTTTAAGAAAGAACAAAGAAATCATAGCATGACAACCATAGCCCTTTAGGTGCATAAATCGAAACTTCTCTTTTTCCAGATCTGACTTAGTGGCAATATTTTAATAAACTTTCTTAATGCCAACACACTCAAATTCCCTTGATGTGAAAGAATTATCATTACCAATCACATGATAATCTTTCAGTGTTATTTTAATCTACCTGATCTCATATCCAAATAATGATAGAGTGATAGAACATTGTGAAGGTCTACAATTGAGACATTCTTCATGAACAGGGGATATAAAAAAGTGAAAATTCTAAAGCAAATGCTTGGCCAGACTTTTATGGCCTTTGAAATTTTGAAGTCCTGCCACATTCTTCAGTGTAAAGGGTATTTTTTTTTTTTTTGAGGACATAGGTTTGAGGAAAGCCCATGGTGAGAGATTGTCTATTGATCCCTGAAGAAGTCCATCCCATCCCACCTAAATGACAGTGTTTCCTGGGGAAAAATAAAGGGCCTGTCTTCTCAGGCAGCATCTCAAGAGGAGATGGACCCTAACCTAAGAGATCGACCACCTAAGTGGCACCACACAGCCTGACGACAGATGCCCACAGCACTGGGAGGAAGAAAACAAGCCGTGTAGTAGGAAACAATATGGCACAAAGCAAGTTGGAAGAGATGCAGGCACTGATTCTCTCCCCTGGAGCTGAAAGAAGGGGGAGCTGTTGGCCAGGCAGTAGGAAGGCGCCACCAAAATAAAGGAAGAACCAAAATACAGGAAGACGTGGCAGGACGTAGCAGGAGAGTACATGGCTGGTCAGCAAAGGTAGCAGTGCATGATGACTGCCTGGAGAAGGGAGTCTGGGAGCCCTGCCTCAGGAGCATTGAGGCAAACACGATCATTATAGACACGTAAATAGTTTCAGCCAGCCGACTCTAGAAGGAAAGCATGGGACATGGGAGAATAGAAGAAATGAATTCAGATGGAAATATGACTTCCTTGCTTACCTCAACCCCCATCTTTGCAACTTCTTTTATCAACTGTGACAATATTAATAACTTCTTTTTCTTTTAACTTTTCGTTATTGAATACAGCCATCACCGCATAACCATGATTTGGTCAACCCCAGACCATGTATGTAACTGATCCCGTAAGATTATAGTGCCGTATTTTTACTGTACCTTTCCTATATTTAAATACACCAATACTGACCATCATGTTACAATTGCCTACAGGATTCAGTACAGCAATGTGCTATATCAGCTTATAGCCTAGGAGCAGTAGGCTAGACCACACAGCAGAAGGGTACAGCAGGCTGTACCATCTAGGTTTGTGTAAGTATACTCTGTGATGTTTGCACAACTACAATATTGCCGAATGATGAATTTCTCAGAACAGATCTCTGTCATTAAGTGACATATGGCTATAATTTCTTAGGAGTTGCAATAATAGTACAAAGAACTCATATATTCTTTATTCAGATTCTCAATTTTAACACTTTGCCACATTTGTTTTCATATTCCTCGTCTATATATAACACATTTTATATATTCTACATATTTTATGTTACATTTTATGTAATATATAATTCTATTTTTTCTAAACTCTTTGAGAATTAGCTGATCATCTCCTGCCTCTTCACCAGAAAATCCTTCAGCATGCATTTTCCAAAGACAAGAACATTCTCTTCCATTATAACATTAAAAATTCAGAAAAGTTAACTTCGATTAAATAGGATTATCTAATGTACAGCCTCCATTCAGATTCCACAATTTGTTCCAATAATGTCTTGTATTCCTGTTTTCCCTGTTTTCCCTGTGAGTCAGAATTCCATCTAGGATATGCATTGTAGTTAGTTGTCATGTCTCTTTAGTTTTCTTTATTCTGGAACGATTGCTCCAATTTTCCTCATTTTTCATGACACTGATACTTTTGAATATTTCAGGCCAGTTATCTCTCAATTTGAATTAGATTCAGGCTATGCATTTCAGGCAGAAATGCTGCAAAAGAGATGCTTTAAGTTCATCACAAACGGGTTACATGATGTTAGTTTGCAGCATCCTAACTGGTGATGCAAACCTTGATTGCTTGGCTAATATGTGTTCCCACAGGTTCTTCATCATAAAGTTACCATTTTTACCTTTGTAATTACTAAGGAATCTGTGGGGAAGACTTTGAGACACTGTAAATATTCTGTTTCTCTCCAAACTTTGATCCAATAGTTTAAGCACTCACTGATGCTCGCCTGAATCCTTCTTGACTCTGATGGTTGCAAAATGGGGCATTTTTTACTGTACTATTCTTTTAGAGATTCTATTAGCTGCTTCTTTTATCATATGGTATTTAACTTTAGAGCTCTTTCCCTTCCTCTCTGTATATTTGTTTATCATCACTGTGGACTCAGGTGTTCCTACACAGTCCCGCGAGTTGCAATCCGTTACTGAATTTCTTCATTTGAATCCTCAGATTGTCCCTCATGGCCTGTGGGAGCTCCCTCAAGCCTTTCCTTTTGTCCTTGGTGGTGTCCCCACCATTCTGTGAGCACTTTCTTACTTTCTGACATAACAAGATGTCCCAGACTCATCTTGCACTTTCTGAATCAGCCACTTCTCCAAGAAGTGTTGGTTCGTTTTAATGGAGCATAATATCTGGATATCAAGATCTAAGCACAGAGTGTGCTACAGGCAATTTCCTACCAGGAAGCATTCAAGGTCAGTCTAGAAATGTTTTATTTTATTTTTATTTTTTGGAGCCTTGCAGAAAGAGTTTCTATTCAGTCGTATGGTATTTAGAAAATCCAGAGAAAATGTTATCCATGTTGTCCCTATTTTTATTTTCAAATAAACCTTGTTGTGATCGTTGTGGTTGAGGTTACAGTGGTTGCTGTCCTAACATCCTGGCGTTGTCTGCAGAATAATGCTGCAACTCTCTAGCTGCAGTTGGCCACTTCTCTGACCAGTCATTTAGTGTCTACATTTGTCAATAGGTAGAAACTAAGCCAAATTAGCTCCTCCTGTACTTCTACCTTTTAGCAAGAATATCATCAGTAAACAAAGGCAGCTACACCTGTCCTCTAGCAAGTATTCATGTAATCATAGAATCCACCAGCAGCCGGGTAACTCAGGAGGCTAAAAAGCACTTCCTCAGCACATCAACAAGCCTGCTATTTGAACCAATGGTCTAATTCATGTCCTCTAAAAACTGATTTCAAACTATTCACAGATGCTTTTCAATCTTTTTGATGTCAACCTTCAAATACAGCTGAATTCCACTTCATGCTTTCACTGGCTGGACTGCGCCACACAAACCTAAATGTTCAGTGAGATGTTATTTTAACATACTACAGCAAAAATAATTCGGGGAAAATAAAATAAGCAAAACCTCCTGAGAGGAGCTACCACCGTTTCAGGCCAGCTTCAAAGTTGGAAGTGTTAGGATTAATCTACATTTCAACAGCTAGGGGGCATGGATTTAAAAAAATATTTATTCTAACAGTAATTTTGCCAAGCATTGTAAAAGTTATGCTTATTTATCTCCTTTCACTTTAATTTTTAATCTCCTAATTTAAGGCAGTAAATGGAGCTTCAGAGAGGATTCAATGGGAAATGGTTTCAATAAGATCCCTTCTCAGATATCCTAATTAAGTAGAAATTAATTAAATAGAAACTAAAACAAATATTTTCAACTTAATATAAGACATTATCTTTATTATATACATAAAAATATTTTCTGGCCGGGCGCAGTGGCTCATGCCTGTAATCCCAGCACTTTGGGAGGCCGAGGCGGGCGGATCACGAGGTCAGGAGGTGAAACCCCGTCTCTACTAAAAATACAAAAAAATTAGCCGGGGCCGGGCGCAGTGGCTCACGCCTGTAATCCTAGCACTTTGGGAGGCCGAGGCAGGTGGATCACGAGGTCAGGAGATCGAGACCATCCCGGCTAACATAGTGAAACCCCGTCTCTATTAAAATACAAAAAATTAGCCAGGCGTGGTGGTGGGCGCCTGTAGTCCCAGCTACTGGGGAGGCTGAGGCAGGAGAATGGCGTGAACCCGGGAGACGGAGCTTGCAGTGAGCGAGATCGCGCCACTGCACTCCAGCCTGGGTGACAGAGCAAGACTCCGTCTAAAAAAAAAAAAAAAAAAAAAAAAATTAGCAGGGTGTAGTGGTGGGCGCCTGCAGTCCCAGCTACTTGGGAGGCTGAGGCGGGAGAATGGCGTGAACCCGGGAGTCGGAGCTTGCAGTGAGCCGAGATAGTGCCACTGCACTCCAGCCTAGGCGAAAGAACAAGACCCTGTCTCAAAAAAAAAAAAAAAAAAAAAAAAAATTCTACCAGTATGTTAGTAGTTTTTATTCACTGAAGGATGAGATTATTTTCATGATCTCATAATCATGACCTTGTAATAAAGATACACTAAGCATTTGAGAAGTGAGGCAATTAATAGGAGTTGACTTTAATCATAATTGTACTAAACTAATCAGATACCCTCTACTAGATTCAGTAATGAACACAATTCCTCCACTCAGATGGAATGGTTGCATGCTGTACATGCACGTCAGCAAATATTTATGGAGTGCCTGCTATCTGTAGCCTTATAAACCCTGTATAAGGTGGTAGGTTCATTGGCATGTTAATGTTGAACAACACTTTTATACAGCACTCATTGCTAGTGGCCAGGGGACATGCCACCTTCTCCAATTACCACGGCAAGTAATGACTTCCCCCTTGGGACACCCCGCACTTTCACCCAACACGTATGTGGCACTGACCTTTTCCTGCTTTGCATGACAATGAAGAGTGGTCTGCCTCTTCTCTCCTTGCTAGATTATGAGCATCTGGTACCTTTCTTTTTTTTTCATACAGAGTCTAGAACTTCACCTTAATAAAAATTTGGTTAACTAATGAACTAATTAATTGATTTTTGAGGTAATCATTTGGAAAGCTAGGCCAAGTAATTCAAAATAGCAAGTGCTAATATCTCCATTAATCATCCCACTATCTCTTGAGGTCAAACTACCTCACTTTCTCTACCCTCCTAAACACACGATATACACACACTCCCAACCTTACCACTGACACCAATAACATTTTTAAAATGTGTATCAGAGCAAAGTGACTGCGACTGGGTGATCGTTTCGGCAGCGACTGTCATAGTGGTAGATGCGCTCCATGCATTTAGCACAGGCCCAGGCAACGCTGAGAACACAAAGCCTATTCTTAGTATCAATTGGCTTCTGCCTTCACCGCTCCCCTCCACACCTGCCAAGTGACCTGGCCTAAGTTACTCATCATTTCATTTTAGATTGACAGATGAAGAAATTATGCCCCAGTTTAACCTGAGATACTTGGGATAACCTGAGCTCCTACAGATAAAGCACCTGGCCATGGTGAACACATCATTAAGTGATGACTTTTGTTACATTTTCAGTCTCAACTTTTGTGACCTACTCCCACATATCCCATAATCAGAACCCAGATGAAGCTTCCATCTACTTAAAGTCCTTAAACGTAACTCCGACCAAGCCCTTTTGCCAGAGTGCCCGTCAACTCGATGTATTAAAATATATTCATCAGATCAACAAACACTTACTGAGCACTTACTGTGTGGCAGGCACTGTGCTAGGCGCTGAGCAAACAATGCTAATGAGATCCACACAGTGCCTGCTGTGGCTCTGCCCAAGCCTCAGAGCCCAGGAACCCAAGAGCCTCTGGAGCTCCTAGGCTAGAAAAGGTTACAGACTGTCAACCTTAAAAAAGACACTAGAGAAAATTATCTGTAGGTATGTTGAATTTACTCAGGAATGGAAGTAAGGATTATAATCCGGAATGCATGGAATGGCAAGCTACCAGTGCATTCAGTGAGGAAAGGGTGAGGGGGGCTTTTATTAGCAAACCGAGATTGACATGAACTTCTTAGAAACAGAGTTTGTTGATTCCAGAGGTTCAAAGTCAGAGTTGCTTTCAGTTCATTGGTGGAGATGCCATCAGTGGGCAAGTGTTCTTCCAAGAACATCTTATCTGAATTACTGTAGTCCTAAACAATATCTCGTGATAAACCTTATCAGAACAGGGGATGCATAAAGGACATGAAAGGATTTTAGAAAGTCCTCGGAAGCAGTTCTCATCTCAGACATGTCAGCCCGAGCCTCCTCTCCTATGGGCCTTTCTGGCCCTCTTCTGTCCGGGTATGGCAAAAGCGATTTCATTTTGGTATCTGCAACTTTCACAGGACAAAAGACCCTGCAGTGTGAAGAGTGCAGTAAGAGGCTGTTGTTGGAGGGCCCAGGAAAGGACCTGGAGGAAGAGCTATAGGTGCCAAAGGATGGGTGGGAATCAGACAGTTACAAAGTGGAAAGTCTACTCCCAGAAGATGGAATAGCATATGCAAAGGCCCAAAGCATAGGCAGATGACTGTGTGTGGGAATTCATAGACATGTGGAATACATGATGGAAAGTGGCTAGAGAGGGAAGGGAGCAGAAAGCACAGCCATATGGTAAGCAGTCTTGTAAATTTCATGAAGGTGTTTGAGCCTGGGGATACCTACCATTCAGGGTGGTGAAACAGGGGCATGAGGAACACGATCAGATCGGAACCATCCCTCGGGCCACAAGCGGAGAATGGGTGTTTGAGATGAGCAGAGCAGGGCAGGAGGATTAGATGGCTACCGCAATGAGCCAGGCAGGAGCAAAGGGCGGCTCCAAGGCATAGTGGCAGTGGGAGGGAGAGTGGCCATAGATGGAAATGACAGATACTAAGGAGGAAAAATCGTGGGTTTTTGCATATAAGAAGATGTTAAGGATAACTCCCAGATTTCTGACTTGAGAAACTGGATGAATTTTTTTAGATGGAGATAACAAGAAAAAGAGCGAATTTGGTGGAAAAGTTCACAAGTTCTGTTTTGGACCTGGTGATGCGGAGGTGCCGGTAGGACGCTCGAGTGTACATAAGTGCTAGATCTCTGAGAGGGTCAGTCTAGCACTTGGAAGCCAGGCCTGGGTGAAGGATTACGTTTGGTGTGCTAGCGCATCGCTAGTACCAGGCTCGTGGCATGAAGAAGGGCACAGGGAAGGCACAAGAAGTGAGGAGAGGGCCCCAGCCAGGGTCTGTGGTGTGTTAATGAAAAGATGGTTGGGTTCCATCTTAAGTGTGCACCTGGGACATTATCAAAACAGGAACAAAAAGAAAAGCTTGGGAAAGAATTTCATGTTTTCTATTTCAAAAAATACAAGAAGTGATTTTCCCTTGTGGGGAAAGCCTGCACATGGTTAAGCCATCATTATGTTCATTTTAGAACTAAGTTGAATTTTATTTTCTTATGGCCGAGGAAGGAGAAGAGCAGCTAATGCTGTCCACAGTTAAGGCTCCTGGAGGTCCCAGTCCAATCCTGATGTAAATATCACCATGGGCTCAAACCTTCAGATGAGGTGAGCTTGTGGGGGTGCAGTGCTGGGATCTCAGGTCAGAGACAGGCTGTGGTACAGGGAGGGTTAAGAAGGGCCCCTCACCCTGGCCTTCAGGATCCTGCAGGTGATGTCTATTTGGTGAACTCATTAATTCATGGTATGTGGCCTGTGTGCTAATATGTTAATACATTCCTCTTTTAAGTTGACTTTTTGCATTTTAAAGGAGAGGCCTTGGAGTCCAAACCCAAACTGAAGTGTAGAAATCTCTCCATCTAAAATTCAGATTCAGAGGTAAATCTTTGAGGAGAGAGGCCTATTTCTCTGTCAGGGGGCTGCCTTTCTGGCAACTTCTGAATCACACTACTTAGGTGGCCCAGCTCCTCCGCCTGCTCGTGTGGAAACAGCCCTGGGGTGCTCATCGCTTCTCAGCTCTCTCTACAGCCAAGGCCCGGATGGTGTTCAAACCTCACCCCACCACTGAGTCCCAAAACCACGTCTGGCTCTTGAGATTCCAGCCATTTATAAAACTTCCGAAACCTCAAAGTTGGCCAATTTCCATGTAAATTTAAGATTTGTACTCAAGGAACAGCCCCCTGTTGCTGAAGTCCTGGTGTTGGCAGGAGAATGCCCCCAGACCCGACAGCCACCCTCCCATAACCGTGTTCTCACGGGGACCCTTGTAAACACTCTGTCCTCCACACGTGTAAATATTCTCAAGGTGTCTTAAAGAAACTGAACCACTTCCAGTTCAGTGCATTATTAATAGCTGTTGATGATTTTCTCCCAAGTTCTCATGTACAAAGAGGGAGGTGCGGTGGAGAATTCTGTTTACTTGCATAGCGAGAGTTACTGCTTAACCAAGCCGTGCTCAGCATGTTTGATAAGAGACCAGAAAGTAAGAAATGGTATTTTTTTTCTTTGGGAGTTAGCAATTAACTTATGAAAAGCATGGAGATGGGCCAGACTGATTCGACAAAGGTTCTAGAAGGTAGTATTCACCTGATACTCACCCCATGTCAGCAGCTTGCTGTGTTTTAAACACAAAGACAGAGGAAAACTTACTGAAATAATTTCAGGATGGGCTGCAGATCGACTCAAGTAAAACCAGTTCAGTTGTTGGAATGAAAGAGCATGTGAAAACCCAGAGTAAACCAGCAATAATTCCCTCACTGTGCTCAGCACACCGAAAGGCCGCCTTCTTTTTCTGCATTAACAACTGCTGCTTGACCAAACTTAAGCCAGGCTCCCGAACCCAGACCAGCAAAGTCCATCTGTGCACTTCCTTGCAGAAGGCAGTTTTAGCAAGAACCCTACTAAGGCAGTTTAGCCAAAACCTCTTGCCCTCAATACCTAATCAGGTTCCTCAACCCTCACCATCTCCCAGGTGATGTCTGGTCACCTGGCCTGTCTTCAGCAATAATCCTGTGAGGTCAGTTTAGCCAGATACCCCTCACTCCTGAAGGTTCCTCTTCGTGATTTTCCATCCACCAAACCCACCCTGCTCCTTAGCTATGAATCCCCACTTGCCCATGCGGTATTCAGAGTGGAGCCCAGTTTTACACAGAGGTCTCTTTTTCTGTATTGCAGCAATGCTGAATAAACTGTGTTTACCCCGTTAACTGCTGTCCGGCTCTGCTCTTGCCTTGGCACTCCCCACTGTTGCACGTGGAGGTCTACAGAGAAATTCACAATAAACCGAGGCACGACCTGCTACCAAAGGAAGATGGGGGGAGGAAGGCCCACTCTGGCTGTTCCAACCTTTATTTGTTCTTCCTATGAGAAACCGGGGAACTCAGTGCAAGGACATTCTCTTTAAAGTTTCCCTCTGGGGATGTACAAGGAAACAGTTTCCTGGCATTTTTCTTCTAAGCTACTTTGGAGGTTTGAACTTTAGGTACTATGATGTCAGGTGACATAATACCCGAAAGAGCAATAGACAGCGAGATAGATGGTTATAACCACACCTCTCAAAGGTCTACACATCCACTCACTACCAAGTACATCCTGTGGAAAATGCCAAGAATACATTTTAAGAAACAAAGCCAATGGCCAATTGTGCAAAATGTGTTCCCTGGCGCTTGCTGGCACTAAGTTGGCATGCTTTGGGGGGGGGGTCTGTCTTCAGGGGGCTATGAACTGTTCTTGGCCTGCAGCATTGCAAGCTGGACTCTGTTTCAAATACTCCTTGTATATTTTTCTTTCCTCCTAGGTTTAAAATTGCTTTTTAAAATCTGTATGTTATCAGAGGGGGTTGTGAACTCTTAAAATGTCACCATCATCTCTCGATCTATTTTCTCTACATTAAGTGCTAGACCTTAATACATAACATATTCATTGAGAAAACCGCTCCATCAACCTGCTTATGGGCCTCTGTTACAGCATTTGTATTCCTCTGTTTATCTAGGTGTGTTTCTTTGTTTCCACGTTTGTAAAAAGAAGGAAGTTTTTAAAGGGAGTTTTAGCAACTTGGTGTGAAGTCTGGGAAAGTCCCCCACTCCAACCTAGAATATTATCAATGTGCTATGGATAAGAATTCATAAATCCATAAAAAGCCAGATGAAGAAAGAATTGTGATGTCAATGTACAACCCAGCTCTGCTGATCTGATTGCTAAGACTGCTAAGCACCTATTACCTAGGTCACTTCCTTATGTGTGTCATCATCCTCTCTCTCCTCCTTCTCCCACTTCTCCTCCTTCTCTCCAGTGTGATCTGAGTAGAAACTACGATATTTGAGAATATGAAGAAGACATATTTGTGGAATTTATTTTGAAAATTCAACCAGCCAGTCTTCTATATGAAGGACACACACACACTTCAACTTCCAGGCTCAGCAGCCCCCAAGTTTCTCTAAGCTTCTCTGTCCAGGGATATTCACCAGCACACTCAGGCTGGCACTGACTCCTATGGTTTCCAAGGTCCCAATCCACTGTGTCATTCCCAGCTGCACTCACCCTGGCTCAAGACAGTGCCTTCTGCCTTGGGCCACAGGTCTAAGTTGATTTCCAGTGCTAAAGCCTGGCTTGCATTTTTCTATCAAATATATCATTCTTGTCTCTTTTTTTCTGAGTTTTTGGGTTACATAGTCACATCTACAATTTTCGTCAACTTCCTGTCCATCAGTGTCCCCTCTGTGGCTTCCTCAATATAAATGGGTACATAAATGCACAATGCACTCATAAATACAACCTGGGCTTCCCAGGCCAGCCCAGCCCAGCCCACAGGCAAGTCTTGGGTCTCTGGATGGTCAGACACAGACATTCTCAAACTTTGCCCACACTCACCATCCCAGGACCCCCAATTTCTCTTCCAATCTGTCCCCTTTCAAAAAGTGTCAATTCCTCCTCATGACCCCGCGGTATCTGTCCTTTCCATGACATCTGCTGAGGGCTGTGGAGCCCACAGAGCAGCCGGTGCCATGGGAGCTAGGAAGACACTGCCCTGCTGGGGCACTGCAAGCATAATAGATTAGCTGCCTGATGCACACAGCAAGTCAGTGTGCCAAGACACCAGTTCGCAGCAAAAAACAGGTTTAATCGTAGGGTCAATGAACAAGGTGATGAGAAGGAACCTCAAATCCTTCTCCCTGAGGAATTTGGGGTTAGGGTTTTTATGGGTTTTGAATGGGGCCAAAGTGTGGAGATTCTTGACTGGTGGAAGAGTGCAGGGTGAAGTCAGGGGGCAGGGAGAGAGGAAGGCGTTTTATCCTCATGCTGATCCTATTCCTCCGTGGAGGTCCTCAAATTGGTTTCTGGAATTTGAGGTCTGAAAAACCTCTTAAGCGATCCTTAAACAAAAGCCTTATGATTCCAACGTCAGAGCTGCTGTCTGAAGGAACAATGGGAACACAAACGCTCAGACTTGTGGACACAAGGAAGTGGGCCACGGTGCAGCCTGGCTCATGCTGAATTATAACTCTATTTCCACCCAGACAGAACCCAGCATGCAGTTCCTGTCAACCCTGCAGAGGTGGTTTCAGCACCACAGACCTCACCATGGGGGAGATGGGCCTGCTGTGTGTACAAAAGCTGTCCCTTGTGAGGGCAGTGAAGTCCCCTTCAAGGGGTCACCCTCCAAGGCTACCGAGCTGCTGGGATCCATCATCTCTTATGTCAGGAGAAGCCACCAGACCTGCTGGCAGGGAATAAAGGCATACTCTGCTCCCTGCCCCCCCACCCCAGACACCTGGTGCACACTAGGAATAACACACCCCTGCATGGATGTGAAGTCAGCTTCCCTTTCACAGCAGCACACATGCTTTCCACATGTCCTCTGGAAAACAGCTCCCAACAGACCCACCACAGCCCCCGCAGGCCAGCCCAGCCACACCTGAGTCCCTGAGTGAACGACGTGCTCCAACTGCGATCCTTGACACACATGAAATACAGTGCCCTGCATGCCGTGGCTCGGAGGTGGGAGGAAGCTCTGGATCTTCCCATGTTTTTATGTCTGTCTATTGTTGGTGAAGGAAAGTAAACTCTGTAAAATATCTAAAGAGGTTTATTCAGAGCCAATATGAGTGACCATGGCCCAGGGAACAGTCTCAAGAAGTCCTGAGAAAGTGTGCCTGAGGTAGTTGGGTTAGAGTATGGTTTTATACATTTTAGGGAGATAGAGGTTATAAGCAAAGACATAAATCAATACATGTAAGATATACATTGGTTCAGCCTGAAGAGACAGGACATCTCAAAGTGGGGGCTTGCAGGTGGAGGTGGATTCAAAGATTTTCTGTTGGGCCATTGGTTGAAAGAGTTAAGCTTTGTATAAAGACTTGAAGTCAGTAGAAAGAAATGGTTTAATTAAGATAAGGGAGAGTGGAAGCCAAGATTCTTGTTATGTAGAGGAAGCCTCCAGGTAGCAGCCTTCAGAGAGAATAAATGGAAAAGGTTTCTTTTCAGGCTTTAAAAGGCGTCAGACTCAGTTAATCTCTCCTAGATCTGGGAAAGGCCTGGTTTCATTCATAGAGATTCTCTACAGATGCAAATTTCCTCCTCAAAAGACAACTTTGCAGTACCATTTTAAAATACATCAAAGAAATATATCTTGGGAAAAATATTTTTATATCCTTCAGGGTCTGCCATCTGTCATATGACACTACACCAGAGTCAGGTAGGAATTTGGTATCTTCTTGCCAAAAAGACTCTGTTTTTTCTGTCTTATGATTTCCATTTTAATGTTAATGCTGGTCAGTTGTGCCTAAACTCCAAAAAGGAGGAGGTATGAGGAGGCACATCCAACCTGCCTTCCCTTATGGCCTGGAATTCAGTTTTTTGGGTTTCTCTGGGATCCCCTTGGTCAAGAGAGGGTCCGTTCCATGGGGGTGCTTAGGATTTTATTTTTGGTTTGCACAATGACTACGTTTTAAAATATGTTTTTCATCTTTAATGCAACTATTTTTTAAAGGAAAGGGGGCTGGGTTAAAAGGTCAGTGAACTAATGAGGGGAAAGAGGCAGCATTTGGGAAGGAAAGGAATGCTCTCATTCCTGGACTGTGGTCACTGGGCACCTCTCCTCAGCCACTCTTTTTCTCTGTGGCTGAGAAAAAGGCCTCAAAGGAAGGAGATCAGCTTCTCCTCCCTGGCCTCCCCCTGGAGGCCTGTGCCAGAGCTCTCAGGTCACAAGAGAGCACTGGGGCCGCTGCTGGGCAAGTGGTGGAGAAGCCTGCGTGCTTATTAAACACCACTGAGCACGGGCACCACGCACACCCCAGCTACTTCATCCTCTAAACTACCCTGGGTGTCCACCTTCTCAGTGCATTTTACAGATGAAGACACTGATGCCCAAGAAGGACCATTTGCCCCAAATCACAGAGCAGATGGTGATGGTGACAAGGTCACCCTGATTCCAAACCCCATGCTTTTTTATTTAACTGAAGCTTTCCTCAAGACCAAAATGTATAGACTGGCCCAGGAGAATGGATAAGACCCAGAAAAACCTCAGAGATCATGAAGAATATTAGGTAAATGGTGAATGTAACATTACGGCATCATAGCTTTCCTAAATGAAGACTGTATGCCTCTTGCTGGAGCTGTAAGGAGCATCCATCACTATTAGGTGCTGGAAAATTCCTCTCCCAAGGGAATTCATCAGTTCTCTACTTCACCCTGGTCACATTGCTACGTCTCCGGACCACCTGGGATCGAGTGACATATGGACGAGCTCTAAAGTCCTCTACAAATTCATACAACGTGAAGAGTGAGCCTCTGACAGTCACAGCAGTGGCATTTCCCAAGCACCCAACCTAAAGGGAAGTCCAAGCTAATTTTAAAAACCCTGCTCTTAAATGGGATCTAAATGAAAATCTCACTGCTCCTGGCCCTTCTTGCTTTGGCGGATACACATGGGCCAGATGCTTGGGCCAAGTCCTAACCCAGGTGATTAGAATCTGACTCTTTCGCTTCTGGTCCCACATTCAAAAGCCCTAACGAAAGTACATCTAGATTTTGTACTAAAGGGTTGATTTGATTAGTTCCACCCTAAAATTGTGTGCTAGTTCTCCAGTTCTAATGCCCTAACCAAATGGAATAATAATCAGTGGCTTGCACAACTGTAATAAAGAGGAATATCCAAAGTTTAACAATGTGCATAGTTTTTTCTCTATTTTAAGTATTTAATCCACATCATTAACTGACATGTTAATAATTAGTAATTTTAAACAATGTCCCCCTCTGTTTAATATTTTATCACATGTACTGTGTATCTCCACAACTAAATTTCCAGACATATGCAGGGAAAATTGCATATACTTTTCAGGTTCACTTTACTAAAAAAAAAAATCAGAGTTGTTTCACTTAAGTTTTGATACTATGATTCTAGTTCTTAGATGTTAGATGAAAAATATTACAGTTCTCCATGAATATTTCTCGATTTAAAATGAACTCTATGCTCCACATACAAACTTAATTTAGCATTTGTTGTAATCCTCCTTTTCCGATCCTGAACCCTATCTCTGTGAGTTATGCAATCTGTGTAACCTCATTCAGAGCAGGATGCTGCCAGTATCAGATACGACACTTTACAGACTCCTGGTTTTCTCATATTAGTCCAATTTCTAATCCCCACTCAACCAGAGAGAGATGGAAAGAGAGATAGAAGGCACTGAAGAAAGACTCTATTAATTTTATAGCCGTTCAACTAAACGATTATTTCTGCAACTTCTACGTTCTCATTTAGCCATCTGGGAAAGTATGCCAAGACATAAGACTAAGACAAACAAGTACAAAGTTTGTTTGCATTTTGCAAAGAGCTGGAAATCAAATACATGTTTACTGTAAGCTGAACTCCATGAGTGTTCTAATTAAACATTATATAAGTCTACACATATATTCCAGCCCTGATTTGAGAGTAGGAAAGAGCAGAAAATGTTCTTCCTTCCCCTCCCTCCATGACATTAAAATTTTGTTCAATTTAAAGCATTAAAACAGAAATTGTTGAAATCTAACAGCATTTTTGGTTAAGAGCACAGATTCTGAGCCAGATCTCCTAGGTCAGAATACTGGCCATATAACAAATTGTGTGACCTTATGCAAATTACTTAATGTCTCCACACCTCACTTTCCTCATCTGCAAAATGGAAATATTACAGGATACCTAACCCATAAGAAGCTATGAGGATTCAATGATTTAACATTCATAAAATGTTAATATTTTAAAATATTTGATAAATAAAAAAGAAAACACTAAATCCCACCACTGGGCAAGAGCCAGCTCCAGCCTTTAAGGAAATCAACAACTAGTTAGGAACATGAAACAAAGGTAAACAGCAGTACAAAGAGACATAAAACAACTATTAAACCATTACTGGCTTTTGATAGTGGCTCTGGGTGTTCAGTGACCAGAATATTTGCCTAAAAACAGACAACACTTCTGAAGTCCTTTGAATAGATAAGGTAATCCAATATTTACACTGAAAGTCATAAAGCCAAAAGTCACTTTATTTATCACAATGGCTAGGTTTAACGCTATGGTCAAGAAGGAAAATTATCCACCATCTTGGAGCTTGTCATCCTGGGGTCCAAATCTGGGCTATTAGTTTTGCTGCTCCATTTTTTTCACAAGATGGAGTTAAGTGTAAATAAGATGCCCTCAGTGTTTCTGGCCTGAAAGAAACAAATTCCAATGTATGTTACAACATCATTAAAAATGCTAAACAGTGATGAGGATAATACATAAAAATTTTCTCACCTTGAACATTTAAGTAAGTGTCAAATTTGGAGATTCAACATAAAAAAAGTCATTAGCTTATTTATTTTTCTAACTTTAAAAAAAAAATTTATTTTTGCTTTTTGTGGGCATATAGTAGGTGTATATACTTATGGGGTACATGAGATATTTTGGTACAGGATACAATAATAATCACATCAGGATGAATGGGGTATCCACCACCTCAAGTATTTATCCTTTCTGTTACAACGATCTAATTACACTCTTAGTTACTTTTAAATGTATAACTAAATTGTAATTGATCATCCTATTGTGCTATCAAATAGTAGATCTGATTCATCTCTATTTGTTGTACCCATCAACCACCCTCCCTTCAATATTTTAATAAAAATGGAAGTCTATTTTAAAGTATCCATTCTTCCTGTGTGGCTAAAACATGACCTTATCCCACAATGAATAAAAAAGAGATTGGGGGAAAAAATGCCTGTTCTAGAGGACTTTACCATCTCATTGGAGAGACAAAGCACACTGATGCTTCTGAGACAACCATAAAATCCTATCAGGATCACGCATATGGAAGTGCCCAGGAGGGTGAGCCTTCACTATGGAGACAAGCCTTAAACTGAGTCTTAAAAAGGTGAATTTTCTGGTAGAGGTATGCATAACATGGAGCTACAGACAGCCTTTGAAGAAAATTTAGTGGTAAGTAAGGAATTATAATCCATACCACAGGGCTGTAAAGCAGGGGTAGCCCTCCGCTGAATGGACCAAGCTGCACTAGAGCATTCCATACTGGCGCACTGCTAGGATAAGCATTAGTGACAGGGAGGCACTCTCACCTTTCTCATGACTTACTTCATGCAGACACTAGTGGATGTTCTGATTTTGGAAAGTGGGAGCATATATTTTTTGATAGACCATGAAAAATAACAGAAAAATAGGAAATCGTGTGCATTTGCTTTGGGCTACATTGGCAGTGGAATAAAATGAACAGGCTGGGAAGCTAGCACCAGTGACACAGAGGAGTCAACATCGGACAAATCTGCAGTGGCTCTTGCAGAAGGATTTGGAATTGGTATCACCTGCTCAAAGGCCTTTGGGGACCAGAAAAGTAAGTAACTGTGTGAAGCTGAGCAGGATAAGGGAGAGGAGAGACAGGGGCAGTTGTGGAGAAGTTGGGGAGCCTGGCCCAAGGCACTAAAACACACTCTCCTGGCCCCAAGAAACCTCTGCAGGCAAGATTTGACGCTCTGGCTGTGTGATGCCGGGCAAGTTACTGAGCCTCTCTGAAGCCCTTTTTTATTTACAAACTGGAGATAACCATGCTTGCCTTGAAGAACTGTGGTGATATGTAGGTTAATAAATAACTTCCATTTTCAGCAAAATTATGGATTTAATAACTGGAAACTTTCCCACTACAGTACAATTAGATATGCCAAATTAAATATGGGATTTATTTCAAATGCATAGCTAGGTGACCGGAAGGAACTCCCCAAAGCCCATAAATAAAGAGGAAACCAAAAACCACAGTGAGGATGGTGGTCGAGTGCAGTGGCTCGCACCTGTAATCCCAACACTTCGGGATTAGATCTCAGAAATTAGAGACCAGCCTGGGCAACACGGTGAGACCCCCCCGACCCCCCGCCCGCCCACCCCAGTCTCTACAAAAAATACAAAAAAACAAAAAATTGGCTGGCACAGCTACTTGGGAGGCTGAGGTGGGAGGATCACTTGAGCCCAGGAGGTCAAGGCTGCAGTAAGCCATGATCGCACCACTGCACACCAGCCTGGGCAACAAGGCAAGACTCTGACTCAAAAAAAAAAAAAAAAGTGAAGATGATGTGAGCCCACATTGTGGCAGCATGAAGTTGGTTGAGAGGGTGTGGCAGGGATTTATCTCAGTTACCCAGAGGAGCTAGGAGATGGAACTGAAACTCCAATATACAGACAAGACTCTTGAAGATAACTCAGGAGAACAGTGAACCCACCAGCACAGGCAGAGAAAGAGAAAGCCTTTCTGTCTCTGACTGAGTGGGCATTTTTAAAGTTCCCTCTGGAAATTCAAAACTTTAAGTTAGATCTCACACACATTTAGATATCAAACTTGCTACCCAAGATGATGCAAAAGTAATACAAAAATGTATCCATGGACTGTGGTAACCTTGAATAGAAAACCAATGCGTGACTCTCAAACATGAGTTCACACACAGCACACAAAGAAAGAAACTACCATGAGTGAGAGCCAGCAGACAAAACAAGCAGGACTCAGTAAGAACTTCTGAGAATAGAACTCTTGTATAAGACTAAAATAATACAATTATTAATGATTTAAGAAAAGGATAATCAAATATGTAAGAAACAAGATGAATGATGATAAAAATATAATAATAAGATGAAAAATGAATAGGCAGACTTAAAAATATAGAACTTATAAAAATAACATTAGGGTTAATGTCTTAAAAGCATCTCAGTGCATGCGTTGGACAGATAATTAGACAAAACTGAAGAAAGAATTAGCAAACTGAAGATAAACCTGAGAGTACTACACAGAATCTAGCAAAGAAAGAGAAAGAGATTGAAATAGGTGGAGGATAAAATGGAAGTATCCAGCAAATATCTAACTGGAATTCCAGAAGGAATAAACAGACTGGTATTAAAAGAGACATTGTCTAGAAATGAGTCATATAAGATGCCTAATAAGTTTGTTTCTATTGGTTATATTCATGTCACTCTGAAGTTCAAACACCATTAACCATGAGAGCTCTGTGATTACCGTAGGCCTTCTACATTGTGGTATAGTCATGGCATTTTATGCATGGAAAGAATTTTTAAGGTAAACTAATGATGTAACCTGATGAACAAAGCTGAGTTTTCATCCTAGCTCTATCACTTATTAGGCAAAAATATTGCTTAAACTCTCTAAGCTCTAGTTTCTTCAACCATAAAATGGGAATAAAAACAATTAATCTCTAATAAAGGTTTCTGTGAAAATCAAAAGAAAAATGCATGTAGAACGCTTAATATAGAGTCTGGCACAGAATGAGATTCAACAAATGGGAACTATCATTACTTCTTTTCATTAACTTTCACTTAGGATGAGAAAATAGAAGCCCAGAGAAGCTAAGTAACTGCTCTGGTGTACTAGCAATAGAACCAGGATTAGATTCCAGCTCTCCCAACTCGTATTCCTGTGTTTTTTCTGCCATGCTTCACTGCCTCCCAAACAGAAATTAGGAGCTTCAGGCTGCCTTTGAACAGCCACATGAAACTTAGTAGCCGTGGCCTAAGATGCTTCCCTCTTGGTTTAAGATGACTTAATATATTGTGTGAAGATACAACAAGCCATTATCCACACAAACAAACAGGCCAGGTGTGGTGGCTCATGCCTGTAATCCCAGCACTTTGGGAGGCCCAGGCAGGAGGCTTGCTAGAGGCCAGTAATTTGATATCAGCCTGGGCGGTGAGATCTTGTCTCTACAAAAAGAAAAAAAAAAATTTAATTAGCCAGGCATGGTGGCATGTGCTTATAGTCCTAGCTACTCAGGAGGCTGAGGCAGAAGGATAGCTTGAGCCCAGGAGTTCAAGACTGCAGTGAGCTATGATTGTGCCACTGCATTCCAGCCTGGGTGACAGAGCAAGGTCCTGCCTCTAAAAATATATATATATAAAAAGACATGAAAAAATGAATATTCTGATTAAATTATAGGCCTGTGGAGAAGGAATTTCAAGCAGAGAAATTAGGAAGCAAATCCAGTACCTCAAGGCATTTCAAGGAAGGGTCAATGGCAACTCTGCCTCTCAGATGTGCAGGTGTGCAGAGGCATCAGTCTCTTGCTGTGACCATCCCAGTGAACAAGGGCGCTCAGGTATTCCAGGGAGATGCCTCCTCCATGGTATTTGGCAAATAGCCTCTGGAGCTCAGCTGGAAAAAATCAGTCAGTATCAACCTCACAGAGATTTATGTGCTTCAGTAGCACACAAAGAAAATTTGTAATCATCTATTTTCAGAGATGGAGTTCACTGCTGCCCCTGAGGGAATCTGCAAATGTGGCATCCTATGTGCTGTCAGGAATCTAGTCACTCCCTTCCCCTACAGCTTTGGAACTAGTCCCTTGTTTATTCAGTAAGTATTCACCAGGAAACTGTGATGTCTTTATGAGCCTAATATTTTAAACATCATAAGAGAGAGATTATACTCTGTTTTCATGTGTTTCCTGGATGGCAGAATTCTAAGTACTTAATGAGGTACTTAAAACCCTCACTGTGAACCTTATGGATTGAGGAAAGTCTTCCTCACTGTCTTAAACAGGATCAAGCACTTTGCTGATAGAATGCCATATTACTATGTGTGAGGAGAGTAATTATTAATAATTAATGCTAATGAGACTCCCACTACTGGCTAACGTAGACTAAAAGGGACCAGATTAACCCTCCCACAAGAAACACTAAAAACCAGAAGAAGAAGTAAAAATAAAAAAGAGCTTTCACAAATCAGATTTCAGGCAACACAGGACAGCGATTTCTAAGAGAGATGAACTATGTGAGGTGGGCTTTACAATTGTCCTAGCTTACTGCCGAGAGAGAGTTTCCAGGCCTGGGTGCAACAAAGGGGAATGTAGGTGATGCAGTCCACTCTCTCTCAGCTGAAGAAATGGAGCTGTAAGTCTGCAGAAGCCAAGACAGTTTACAGTTTGCAGCACAAAGTACTTGTCGTTAGCTAAGTACTGATAAGGACATGCATGTGAGAAAACTACCCAAAGCTTGGGAAAGACCACATAGAAGGAGCAGAGGAAATAATCCCTGCAGCTTACACAGACTCATAAGTAGTTCGTATTCCCATCAGCCAGAGTGGAAAGCCACATAATTCACGGAGTATCAGGAAAAGTACTTAACAAGGTACCTTAGCATAGTAACCCAGCAGCAAGGAAAAATTAGACTAAAGGTTGTACTGGTAACACCAAAAAAAAAAAAAAACAAACAAACAAAAAAAAAACTTAAAAGCAAACCTTAAAATCATCAAAGCATTTCTACATATTCTACATCTCAGAACAAGCCTCAAGACTATTTATAAGAATACAAATATAGCAATCATCCAAATAAATAAAATATATAATGTCTGATATCTAATCAAAAATTACCAGGCGTGTTGCATACCCACTTCATAGCAGCAGTATTCACAATAGCCAAAAGGCAGAAGCAATATAAGTGTCCATTAATGGACAAATGGAAAAGCAAAATGTGGTACATACATACAATGGAATAGCATTTAGCCTTAAAAGGAAGTAAATCTTGTCATGCTACAATGTGGATGAGCCTTGAGGATATTATGCTAAGTGAAATAAGACAGTCACAAAAAGGCAAATACTATATTAGTTCACTTATCTGAAGTATCTAAAGTAGTCAAATTCATAACAACAGAAAGTAGAATGATAGCTGCCCAGGGTTGCGAGTAAAAAGATATAATGGAGAGATGTTATTAATGGATATAGAGTTTCAATTTTGCAAGATGAAAAGGCTGTGGAGATCTGTTGCACAACAATGTAAATATACTTAACACTACTGAACTGTAATATATATATATATATATATATATATAAAATCAGGCATGCAAAGAATTCATACTGAGGAGAAGAAACAATCAATAGAAACAAACTTGAAAGTGATAGAATTACCAGACAAAGACATCTAAACAGTAACTTAATTGTATTCTATATGTTTAGGAAGCTAGAAGAAAATAAGCATGTTAAATAGCAACATGAGAGCTATTAAAAATAAAAGATCCAAATCAAACTTCTACAGTTGAAAATATAATGTGTGAGATGAAAAACACACTGGACTGGATTAGCAGCAAATTTTACACTGCAAAATAAAAAGATTAATGAACTGGAAGACATGGCAATATAAATTACCTAATATGAAAGAAACACAAAAGGAAAAAAGCCAAAAAATAATTACAGAAAAATATCATGAGTGAGCTGTAGGGCAATTTCACAGGCTTAATATATGTTTATTTGACTTTCCAAAGAAATAGAGAGAGGAAAGGAGACAGAAAAAAGGATTTGAAGAAATGACAGCCAAAGCCATAGTTCAATGAAAACTATAAACTCACACATTCAAGATGCTCAACAAGTCCCACCCACAAAAAAAAAAAAAAATGAGGAAAACTACACCAAGGCAATCAATTTGAGCAACAAATTTCTCAGAACAAGTGACAAAGAAAAAAATATTTAAAACAGCTTCACACACACACACACAAATATATATATGCAGAGGCACAAAGATAAGAATGTCAGTAGCTTTCTCATTGGAAACAATGCAAACCAGAAGACAGTGGAGCAAAATCTTTAGAGAAAAGAAGACTGCCAACTCAGAATTTGTATATCCAACAAAAATGAGAGAAAATAAAGACATTTTCAGACATACAAAATGCTAAATAATTCATCACCAGCGTACTCAAACTACAAGAAATATTAAAGGAAATTCTTCAAGCAGGAAGAAAATGATACAAGATAGAAATATAAATGTACACAAAGAAAAGAAGAACATTTAAATATAAAAGAAAGTAATAAAGTAAGAATTTTAAAATGTGTACAAATAAATGTAATGTGAGCACAATATGATAAATGCTAAAAGTAATGAGTAAACAAATGTTCTAGGACACACACACAAGAGAATGACTAATTTTAACCAATAAGAATATTGAGTGAAAATCAGTGAAGATTTAGCCAGGAAATGATATTTGAATGGAGTTTTGAAAGACAGGTAGGGTTTCAACATGGGAAATGAAGGGAAGGACATACTAGACAGATGGAAGAGCATGAGATAAAAGTACAGAGTGTGTATTGGCAAAGATAAGTGATCTTAGATGAATAGGTCATAAAATGCCAGACTGCACTGGAGCCAGGAGGCTCCAGTGTGTGTGAATAGACAGAGCTGGAAACATAGATAAGACCTTGGTCATCAGAGCCATGATGCTTTGTGCAAGAGCTTGGTCTTTCTATGGGAAGTGGGGAGCTGCTGAAGTCTTTTGAGCTGAGATATTTTATGTTTCAATCTGCTTTAGGAAAATAACTTTTATCAAATGTGAAGGATAGATCAAAGAAGAGAAGGAGGGAAGGCCAAAAAATAGATTCAGAAGTTAATAAAGCAATCACAAGGAGTGGTTGAGGAAGCCCAACATAAAAAATAGAAAGGTAGGAATGTATATGAGAATATCTCAGAGGTAGAATCTAAGGACATCTTAATTAATAGAATGTAGGATATGAGAATTAGGGAAGAATCAGGTTTACCCTAAAGACACTAACCTGGGAGTTTGAAGAAGAAATGGAGGCAACAAAAGAGAAAGAGTAGATTTGAAGAGGAGAAGAACACTGATTTGTTTTTGGAAATACCGAGTTTAAGATAATGTCCAAGTGGAAGGAATTCACAAGTTGTTGAGATACTGAACTAATTATCTGAGGGAAATGTCAGGGTTAAAGATTGAGATTTGGAATTACTTGCATAGGGCTAATGACTGAATCCCAAGTGTCTGCAATAGCCCTAGACAGAAGTATGTGGCCATCTCATAGCAAAGGACATCATGAATGTCTGTATTCAAAGTGAGGGCTAGGACCCAGAAAGGGATCAGAAGTTATCAGAAGTCGGAGGGGAGCTGGAAAGTCACCATTTTCCATGAGTCAAGGAAGAAAGTAGGATCCAGGCTCTGAGCATTGTTACCATTCCCTGCCATGTCTGCCAGGTAAGCACCTTTCTCCACTAAGGACCAACTAAAGCATCACCTTCTGTGATGCTCTCCTTGACTCCCTCACATAGACCGAATCCCTGACTCCCTTGGGCTCCTATTACACATTGTACACACCTTTATTGTGGCACTTATAACATTATTATAATGTTTATGTTTATATTATAATGTAATGTGTATGTGTGTCTTTCCCTACTAGACTGTGAGCTCCTTGACTTGCCCAACACATAGGAGGATTCCAATAATATTTGTTGAATGCATGCATGCATTCCACCTCTGTCAGCGTGCACACACAGGAGCCTCCTGGCCCCAGTGCAGTCTGACGTTTTATGACCTATCCATCTAAGATCACTTATCTCTGCCAATACACACTCTGTACTTTTATCTCATGCTCTCCCATCTGTCTAGAATGTCCTTCCCTTCATGCGTGCATTAAACAAATATTTAGCATGTGCTACTATATGTGCTAGACACTTTACAGGTCCTAGGGATGCAATGATGAAGAAGACAGACAAGGACACCACTCTTGGAAAGCTTATATTCTAGCATTGAGGATAGGGATAGGAAACAGATAAAAAGCAAACAAATTAGTGACAAAGAAAATTTTATTTTATTTTGTAATAAGTGCTGTGAAGGAAAGAGCACTGGCTGGTGTTATGGAGTGTGCTGGGACAGAGGCTAGGTGCAAATTTAGGTTGTGTTGTCAAGGGAGGACTCACTGAGTAAGTGGTGTTTGAACAAAGGCATGAATGAGAAGAAGGCAGCCATGCAGAGTGCAGAAGCAGTTGTCCAGGCAAAGGAACAGATAGCGTACATTTTTCTAAAGAGAAGATGCTCAAGAAACAGAAAGAAGGCCAGTGTGGCTGAAGCATATGGACAAGGGCACATATGGAGGAGATGAAGTCAGGGAAGTGAGCAAGAGCCAGATCATGGGATGCTGACATGATCTTGAAGGTAATAGTGAAGAAGGAGTTTAGATTTTCTCTTAAGTGCCTTGCAAAGCTCCTGGATAATTTTAAGCAATGAAATGAACTAATTTTAATTTGTATTTTTAAAATACCATATTGAATGCTATGTAGAGAGTTGAAAGAATGAATGGGTGGATGGATGGATGGATGGATAGGATGGATGGATGGGATGAATGGGTGAGTGGATGGGTGGATGGATGGATGAATGGATGGATGGATGGATGAATGGGATGGATGGATGGATGGATGGATGGATGGATGGATGGATGGAATGGATGAATGGATGGATGGATGGATGAATGGGATGGATGGATGGGATGGATGGATGGATTTTTGTGGGAATTTGAGGAGAAAGCATTATGTGGAAATAGAAGTTTTAAGAAGGGTCAGAGAGAAGCATAGTACCAGTTAGGAGAAGGAGACTTTGAAGAGAAAAAGCTCAAAGTTAAAAGAAATTATAGCTAAAACAAAGTGACAGAGGGGACCACAGAAGATGCAATCAAAGGAATGGAAGAGAGGTAGTACTTAGACGACAAGGAGGAACTAGGAGAGGCAGTGGAAGCCTTCTCAGATGGCCAGCGTCTCTATGAGAAGTGGTTGAGATGGAATGTCAGCACTGCTACAGTGAGGAGCACATTGGTACCATGAAGCATGAATGAGAGCAATTTGGGAAGCGCAGAGGTTAGGATGGTGAGGCTGGGATGAGTTCAGTCATCACGGTTGTATGGTATTTCTTTTTCCTCGTATTGCTCAGAAACCTAAGCACAAGAGCTGAGAGAAAAGAAGTTAACCTCTGAGGCTTACCCAGGGGCCAGAACTGAAGACTAAGTGGTGGAGCTGAGAACATTTCTTTCAGAACGATCAACTCAAAACATATCTACTGAGCATCTTTTGTGTGTCCTACAATGTGTCAGGTACTAAGGATACAACACCAAGTAAAACATTTTCCTCGTCCTTGGAGAACACACAGACTGGGGAGAGGTGACAGAGGTAATCATCCCTCCAGTGTGACACAGGCTGCAATGAGGGTAAACAGGGGTTCTGAGGTGCACATAGTTAAGAAACTTTCCCCAACGAAGTGACCTCTAAACTAAGAGACCAAGCAAGAGAGTCGGCCAATAAACTGGCTGGAGGTGGAGGGCACATGGGGAACAGCTAGTGAGCGGCTGGGGACATAAGGCTGGAGAGGTGAATAGGGCCCATTACAAAGAGCTTCTTGCCATGCAGCAATTTTGGACTTTATGGAAGAGGGTTAAGCAGAGTGGAGTCAGACTCGTGCATAGAGACATCCTTCTGGCTACAGAGTGGACTGCAGCGGAGGAAACGCAGGAGACAAGATGTAAGTTGATAAAAACATTCCTAACTCCATTGAGTTATAGCCTTAAGTTCAAAACAATGTCCCCCTTCCCCCACTGGGTCAACATTAGAATGTTAAAGATAAAGAAGGTAATAAAGATAAGACGGGGTGTGAACCTGAATGCAGGCCTCGGAGCCCAGACAGGTGTGCAAGATACAAGAACGCTTATCTAAGACACTGGCTTAACCCGCTTTCCTTGTACACCCTCTCTTATAAATCAGTAGCATGGATTTCTTTCTTATTTTTTAATTTATCATTTACAGGGACAACTAAGCATATTTTGATATATGAAATCAGTTTACAAAACATTCCACAGTCTTGATGCTGAGGGCAATGGATGTGATGACCTTGGATTTATTCCACTCCCTGAGTCCCATATAAGCATCACCTGGCTTTTTGTAAGCCCTGCCCAAGAGTCAGAATCTATGAGTGTGGGGTCCAGAAATCTGCATTTTAAACAACCTTCTTCTAGTCATTTCCCAGGACTGCTGTAACAATCACCACTAACTGAGTGACTTAACATGACAGAAATTTATTGTGTCTCCGTTCTAGAGCTCGAAGGTCTGAAATCAAGGTGTCAACAGGACCCTGCTCCTCTGGAGGCTCTAGGGGAGGGATGTCTTCTTGCCTCTCTCCTACCTTCTGGTGGTGGCCACAGATCCTTGGCATTGCTTGGCTTGTAGACAACTCACTTCAGTCTCTGCCTCTGCCTTCACGGGGTGCTCTCCCTGCAAGTCTCTGTGTCCATATCTTCCTCTTCTTGTAAGGACACCAGGCATTGGATTAGGGCCCGCTATAATCCACTTTGACCTCATCTTGGTTAGATCTGTGAAGACCCTATCTCCAAATAAGGTCACATTCATAGGTGGTGGAGTTAGGAGTTCAACATGTCTTTGGGAAGACACAATTCAACCCACAGCAGTTCTCGAGTGAGTTTCATGGCACTTGAAGTTTACAACGTTGTCACTGTTCTGGGAACTTGGATGAGATCCCATTTATGGCCCACGAAGGCAGGAGTTCACACAGTCACATAGCATCCCAGTAGGCTGGGGTCCTGCCTCCTGTTCTGATCTGGGGAAGAACGGGCTGTGGGCAGGAGGAACACTCTAGGATGCACTCTGCGGGACACAGGCAAGGGCCCTGGACCCCACATCTCAGCTCAGGCCACCCAGCTTTTCAGCGGGATGCACAGCTCGCTTTTCCGGAGGCAGCATCACAATCCACATAACAAACAACAAACATAAAATTTTTACCTGAAGCTTGAAACCAGAGGTGGAGATCTTTTTCATCATGATGCAGGCTGCCTGTACTATGAACCTTCCTCTACAGTTCTGCCTGATTTAAGTGGACTCCAGCATAAGCGGTCATGATGACATTTTCAGGGAGTAGCTGTTCTTGCACCTTCTGGGGTCAGGCAGCCTGATTCAAACCCTGGCTCTGCCACGTACTGAGCAATCTTAGACAATGTACATAAGCCTCAGTTTCTTTATCTCTAAAATGGGCCTAATAATTGCAACTACCTGGGAGAGTTAAATGAGATGACACAAGGAGGGCTCTTGCCACATAATCAGCGTTTAATACATGTGAGCCATTCTGTATATAACCCTCACCACTGGCATTGTTGCTGACACACTTACAGCTGATGGAACTTGACTTTTGGGGCTCCTATGTGAAGCCTCATTCCCCCATAGGACTATGTAACTTGCAATCTGATGAACTGATAAACCAAAAGTTTCCTCTGATATTGATGAATCAAGTAAAAACAAACGAGGCAATGCAGTGTGTTTTTTTAGAAAAGACTTCTTCCTAAACCAAAGCACCAGATGTTCCCTTGGGAACTACAGAGAAATGGCCCGGCCTTGGCAGAAATGTCCGTTTTACTCTCAGTAGCCTACTTAACATTGTTATTTATTGAGAAGTTTTATTAAATGCCCCATGAAATGTAATAAGTAATATGATTTACTCACACGTATTTTTTAAATAACTGTGTTGCTTTTTAAAAAGAGATGACTCCTAGGGAATTCTCTCTTCTCCCCAAACCCAAAATAATCCAATCAGCACATTCCCAGGTCAAAAAAATAGAAGCCGGGTTGAAAGAGAAAATTGCCATTATGATCAAATTGCAACATCAGGTTGCAAAGGCTTGGGGTTTGTTTGTTTGCTTATTTAAAATCACATGGGTCAGACATTTGTGAAATTTATATAGAATGAAAGCAGAAGGGCCCCTCAGCACCATTTCCACATGGGCTGCTGTGGGTGTTATTATTCTGTTGACTCGCTGCATCATCAATCATAAAAATCAAAACTGACACGTCAGACAAAGGGCCAAGGTCTCCCAGAAGGCCTGCATCTCGGTCCTTTTAACATTGCAGTCCACGTCACAGCAACGTGGCCTCTGCTATCAGAACAACACGAGAGGACCTAAATCATCTTTTTGCAAACAGAGGAATCACCTACTCTGTTTTCTACCCACATTTCAATGACCCACTTTCTGTTGGGGGCGAGATGAAAGCCAGGTTACACAACGCCACAGATGTTTATTTCCCTTGTTGATGTAAGCTCAAAATAATGCACCCTTATGGAAACGAGGCTGCCTATAGATGCCAATGCTCTACAACCAGAGATCTCAGCTCTCAGCCAGCACACATGTGAGCCCCTGGAATTGTCAGGGTGTTTGTGAAGTTCTTCTTGTCCATGGCACTGTGCTGGGCACCAGGCAAAGCAAACGGGGTCTATGTGTCCTCTGCACTTTAGGGGCTTATAATAGAATGCTGCATATACTCACATACACAGTCAGCTGCCAGGCATGTGGCCCTAGGGATAAAATGGGGACATGGGTGTTACGTGCATTCTTTGTCTTTTCATTCTACTATTGTCACGTGTATGCATCCACTGCTCCTTGTGTACGCCCCTGCCCGCCACCCTTGCTTCAATTCAATGATCCCTAAGGAGAGCTGTTGAAGCCAGGTAGCAGTTTGCCATGATTCATGCAAACATGCAAAAGGTGAATAATTCGTTAGAGCAAATCCACTGAAGAGATTTTACTCAAGGCAATAATCAAGTTTTCACTAAAGAAAATTCCCTGGAGGGTGAATGGCAAACCAGAGGAGAGCAAGAACAGAAGTAAAAGGACCCCAGGACGAGCTGTCAGCCTGATCCCAAGGAGACATCACAAAACCCTGGACTGAGGGGCGGCAAGGGTGGGGAGGCGGGCTAAATCCTGGAGACGCGCAGATGGGCTTTTGGGGATAGTTTGGATGTGGAGTGTTTTGCTGGTTGAAAGATTACTAGGCAGTATGTAAGCAAGAGATGACCGCATCCACATCACTGCCTGTTCTAAGAAGCTCCTGAGCATGGTGTGTGAGAGGGAGGGAGAAACGGCTTTAAAATTTGAGTGTACAACTCACAGCGCTTCCCACATGGTGCACATATAAATATTGTTCCCTGATGTGCAGCTGCAGCTGCTCCTTCCAGCACCTGGCTCTGTTTGTCACCCTGCCCCAAACTCGCTCTTGCAGGCTGGCTCCCAGGGCCACCCTCCACCTCTGCTTGCTTCAGGCCTCTCTAGGGCCACATCACCAACTGGGCTTCAGGTGGTCTGAGGGCTTGTCCTCTCCCTGCCTGGCTTTTCATCCCTCGTTCCAGTCCCAGCCCTGCCCTGCATGGAAGGACTTGTGCCCCAGTCCATAGGAATTCAGATGATGATTCCCTGTGCAGACAGGCTCATGGGGTCCCTGTGCTTTGCTGCGGGGCAGAGCCTCAGCCAGTAGAGCAGTGGGAATGAGTCCTGATGGTCTGCTCCGATTGGTCACCATTTACTGAAAGCCCACCACGCTCAACTCCTCACACTGGCACAATACATACAGGACACACTGAAGCACGAGCGTACAAAACAAGGCAGGAGAGAGGCAACGACTAGACAGGGGCGAGAAATGCAAGACCAGCGTGTGGCATAGACACTGGCTCACAACGTGAAGCACACTTCTCATTGCTCACATGCAATTTTCAGTGTTCAAATTTTCAGGAAATTTTGAAGCCCATGGTTAAGCCAGGGGTAGTTTGACATCAGTCATGATGACAGCATTTACACTATGGAAATGAGCAAATCTTACACATCAGCCCTCTCCCATCCCATCATTTCCACCTCCTGGACAGCTGCAGTTGAGACTCAACTGTCCTCACCCCTTCTCCTCCTATTTCTGGGACCCCTTGTGGAGAATATAGGACACCAGCCCACATTATCATGGACTTGGGTAAATGCTGTGCTAAATCTTGGGTTAGATTTGGAGCTTGATGCTGTGAACAGCAGAGGGATTGGAATATGGGGGTCCTAGCTTCCTGCTCACCTACTATCAGCCATACAGGTATGGGGGAAGGTCAGCTCTATAGCTACAGATGGTGAATAAGACATGGCTGGGGCCGGGTGCGGTGGCTCATGCCTGTAATCCCAACACTGTAGGCTGAGGTGGGTGGATCACCTGAGGTCAGTAGTCTGAGACCAGCCTGGCCAACGTGGTGAAACCCCATCTCTACTAAAAATACAAACATTAGCTGGGCACGGTGGCAGGTGCCTGTAATCCCAGCTACTGAGGAGGCTGAGGCAGAAGAATCACTTGAACCCAGGAGGTGGAGGTTGCAGTGAACCAAGATCGCACCACTGCACTCCAGCCTGGGTGACAAAAGCAAAACTCCGTCTCAAAAAAAATAAAATAAAAGACATGGCCGGGACATGACAGCCCAAGAGGAAACTGAGGCAAGGCAGGAAGGAGTGCCTGGAGCCCAGGTGTCCACTGGCTTCCAGCACACAGCTACACATCTTAGACATGGAATGGGATAGCTCCATGCTTTGGTTTCCTAGTTTATAAAATGAGGATCCTAATAGCGGCTCACAGATTGTCAGGACTAAGGCTGTAATGCGAGGAACATTATGACAGAGTGGGTTCCTGCCGCAGTCACTGCCCATCCATTTTGTCACTTGACGTTCCCAACATCCTCACAAAAGAAGCAGGAGAAAGGAGCAGGGACTCATCTGAGTCGTCTCCTCCTTTTCCTCTTCTCTGAAAATCCCAGTCATTTTTATCCCATGACTAGATTGGGCTTCCAAAAGCTCTCAGCCAGGAGTTCCCAAACCTGATCAGTCATTGGAATCCTCTGGAAACTCCTCAGAACACAGATTCAGGCTCACCAGATAAGAATACCTTGGCGGGGCCCAGGAATGTGCATTTTTAAAGCTCCCTGGGAAATTGCTGCTGACCTGGAGTGGGGAAGCCCCCGCCCCACAGCGTGCAGGCTCCAGGTGCAAGTCACCAGGACACTCAAGGTGGTCGGTGTCTGGAGATCTCAGATAGGGATAATCCCTTTATTTAGAGGGGGTTTTTAAAATCTTGAAATCAGGAGATCTTTGCAATAAACAATGTGCGTGCCTCCTTGCAAAGTAATGTAAACCAATAACAGGCTCCAATAACGCTATTTTTAAAAGGCTTTAAATAACTTTTCCGATGCAAAACAACCCACTTAACCAGACTTAGTTCATTTTATGGCCAGTTCTAAAGCTGAACCACTAGTGTTCCGAGATCATCACTGAACCAAACGGAGCCATTTCATGTCACCACCACACAGGCAACTTGCTCTGTGACATTAAACCAATAGATTCCACATAGGTGCAGGCCAGAAAGAGTACTATTTGCGGGGCTCCCTTCACTCCCTCAGTGGCGGGCACTGCCCTAATAGAATTCCCAGTGTTCTTGACTGTGCCTGTTTCATGCACCAAAAGGAAAAAAAAAAAAGTTCTTCATCTGAGCCTCTGGCTCCTGGCAAACCTGGAGATAAGTTCAGCTGATGTGTTTTTCCCGATAAGTTAGTGTTACAGGCTTCACAATGGTGACCTCAAATCCACATTGCGATGGACAGCAGTGCAGCCAACGCACCAAGCTCGATAGCCCACTGCCTGCCTTTTAATTAAAATTCCAAGTTGGTGTTTTTGTTTTCAAAGGAAGGATGGAGCCCATCAAGGTCACTCAGTGCAGCCAGGCGCTGCTGGGAAGAATGCCTCGCTGCATATTTACACTTCAGCAGCTCCTGGGAGGGCAGCACGCTGCCGCAGGAAGGATTTCTAACAACTTTCAGAATGGTTTCCAGATATAAATAGCCGCTATGGCATGATATATTCTAGCAAGAAAGACTGGAACAAAAGTAGGTTATTGACTGGCAGAAGCCTGCCTGCCAGTGGGCACTGGAGCCTCCGGGACTGGGCTCTTTCCAGCTATATTTAGCATCCACATTAATGTACTGCCTGCCGAACAATGCCCTCTAGAAGAGCCACATAAATCAGAGGAGGAAAGATTACTCAAATTTATGAAGCAATCACGGGAGAAACCCCTGGGCACAATCACTGTGATAAATACCTTGTTAAGCCCCCTGCCCATCCCCACCTTATGCTTCCTGTTAACACGAGGGGTCCATTACTGAGCGCTGCTACTTCCCAAAGGAGAAGCCATCTGCATTGAGGAGCTGTGCAGCAATCTGGGCCCAATCCAACCTGGCAAAGCCATTCTTAGAATTAAAGAGATGGAAGAGCCCGCTAAACAAGCACGCTCCCTCCCTGGATTTTTCAGGGCGATCATTTGTTCTTTTCAATGGCAAAATCTTTTTTTTTTTTTTTTTTTGGTAATTTTGTTCTTTTCAGTCGCAAAATCATTAAATACAGAAGCAAAGAGGTTTTCATGTTTGTTCCTTGACACGATTTTTTATGTAAAGAATTGTCAGGGAGCAATCCTGGCTGGGCGCGGTGGCTCACACCTATAACCCCAGCACTTTGGGAGGCCGAGGCGGGTGGATCACCTGAGGTCAGGAGTTCAAGACCAGCCTGACCAACATGGTAAAACCCGGTCTGTACTAAAAAATAGAAAAATTAGCTGGGTGTGGTGGTGTGCGCCTGTAGTCCCAGCTACTAGGGAGGCTGAGACAGGAGAATTGCTTGAACCCGGGAGACAGAGGTTGCAGTGAGCTGAGATCGTGCCACTGGAATCCAGCCTGGGCGACAGAACGAGACTCTGTCTCAAAAAAAAAAAAAAAGTGTTGTCAGGGAGCAATCATTTGTTGGACTGTGTTCCCTGGTTCTGGGGTCAAAGATGAGGAGCCCTCGCGGCTTTGAACTCCCCATTTTGAAAATGCAAGTGAAAGGACACCTCCCCCACAGAAGAGCAAGCTGGGCCACATGAGAGGCAGTGTTGGGTCTTGCATCAAGACATGGCACCAAGGGCAGCATGCCCCCTGGACAGGAAATTGGATCATTACCTCATTGATTCTGGCTCCTGGTGGGACAGCTGATTTCACGGTGGGCACACAGTGTCATGGCTAAGAATAAATCTAGTATCAGCTCCATCACTTACTGACTCCATGATCTTGGGCAAAATCCTCCAATTCTCCCAGCCTCTGCTTCCTCATCTGCAAAATAGGCGTAAGAAGAGACCCCACCAGGAGGAGCTACTGCAAAAATAAAATGAGAAAATGCAAGTTGTAAAGCACTTATTGCAGTACCTGGCACATAGTGAGTGCTCAAGGAATATTAGCCATTATTTTGACAGATGTTGACGATTCCTCAAACTCTGCCTGCATCTCCCCCAAGCCAGAGAGGATGCAGGGTAGACAGGTGAGGTCAGGGCTATCCTGCCAGTTTGCCACTGGGAGTGCCATTCATTCATTCAAATATGAATTGAGTCCCTACTGTGCAGTAAGTATTCTATGAGTGGGCATCATGTCTGTGCCTTTGTCTTCCCTTGTATGAAGTAGAATTAGGTATCTATGTTCAAAGATCATAATTCCATAAATCCAGTCCACTAATTGGCTGATTACATTCACACAGATCATTTTCCTTTTTCATGGTGATAATGTGAATATCATTCACGGCACACAATTTTCAGAAATAAACTGAGCCTGAGAAACGTTAACGTAATTGGACAAAGCAAAGACCTTTCATGTATTAAGCAATATAGACAGACTGGAAATAAATTATTTTTCCCTTAAAACTCCAGTGTCTTTTAACCACTTGGAGCAAGATGTCACTATTGAATGGAACAGTGCTAAAAAGTGGTGAGAAAGGATCTTTTGCTGACGTAAGTATTACTGTAACCTAATGTGCTAAGATCTAAATAACAGAGAACAAAGGGGTGCCTCCACACTCCCCGAAGACAATGGAACGGGCTCCCAATTCTTCAGCTTCATCAGGGTGTGAGTCACTCCGAACAAATCACTTCACCTCTGCAGGCTTTCATTTCTTCATCTGTAAAAAATGCAAATAATGACACCTAACTCCAAGGGTTTTGTGAAGCTTAACTGAGGGAAGCTGGTGCTTAATGATGTGGGACACAGGAAGTAGAGACCCTCCTATCCCTGGGGAATACCCCTCCCCCATCCAGTCTCTACCTAGGGCTCTCAACAGGAGAGTGAGAAGTTTCGAGCAAGGCCAGTCACAGGCGGCCCCTACCCTCCTGTATACCCCAATGTCTCTACATAGATGGACTTAGATTGCTAGGAACATCAAAGCAGGGTTTGAATTTTCCTTCTGCCCTCACCACTCTACTGAAACTCGGCAAGACCTTCTAATCTCTGAAGCTAATGACCTTTGGCCAGGATTCATTTTCCTCCCTCTTTTTGCAGCATTTGACACTGGCTGATTTTCATCTTGAAATCATTTTCTCTTTTGGTTTCTATGATATGACGCTGTTCGAAGTTTCCTTCTATCTCTCTAATACTTTCCTTCAAACTCCTCATTATAGGCTCCACTTGTCACTCTGATTCATAAATATACACAACCCCAACATTTCTAGACCTCTTCTTCTCCCTCTAGATTCTTTCCTTCCATCTATTTTATTCATTTCCATGGCTTCAACTCTCTCTTCACATCTCTCTTTCTAAAACCAAATCTTTATCTGTGGTCCTGACATCTTTTCCTAATCCTACAACAGGTGGTTGAGCACTCAAATACCTACAGGGGCCAGGCAGGTAATATGGTAATATAAGTAACAAGAACAGCCTGGACCAGAGAGGATTATAGGGAGCAGTGGGGACTGCAGCAAAGTGGAGAGCCTGTAGTTCACTCACAATTCCACCCTTGTAGTTTTGTAGGAATGAGTGCCCAGTATTTCCAAAGCTTAACATTTTTCAAGATAAATCATAAATGCAGCTATAATAAGCAATTAACTTTAAACAAATTCAGTTTTTAGATGTGCAGATCAACCCCATGCAGGGCAAATTGCACCTAAAAGCCAAATGTGGCCCATGAGCACCTAATTTACCTTATCTTTCTAGTCTCACAAGTTTAACTGCCCATTTTATGCCTTATTGCAAAGTCTTGCTAGAACTTCAAATTTCACATTATTCAAACCCACCATAATCTTCCCTAGGCCAGCTCTTCTTACTCATGCCTATAATTCAGATATTGCCAAACCCATTCCCCCCAGCACACAGGTTTGAAACTTCTACATCACCTTTGACTTATTCACTTCTACTCTCCACTGACCAGCTCCGCTACATCAACTTTGCAATGAGTCTTGAGTCTAAAAGCTCCATTACATGCTCACTGACACCATTAATTCTCCACTGTGATGTTACAGTAGGCTTCCTGGTCTCCCCATTTTCTCTTTCTCCCCTTCTTAACCCATCTATGTACTACTGACCACCTTCCTAAAATACTCCCTTTCATGTAACTCCTCTGCTCAGGAGCTTTACAGCTTCCTATCAACCCATAATCATGAAGTTTAGTGTAGATCCTTGTCAACCTGGCATTCAAGATCCTGCAAACTCAGATACTACCAGTTGTTCTTTAATGTACATTCTCTCCTTCTGTGGTAATAGAACTCCCAGTGATCTGCTGGGAACATAGACACGTAAAACACAGTCTGTTTCCCAGCCTCTCTTGCAGCTAGGCATGGCTGTGTGACCATATTCTAGTCAATGGAATGGACATAAAGTTTTATATGGCTGTTTCTGTAAACCTTCTGTAATAGATAAGACATACATGCCACTTCCTCTCCTCCTTCTTTGTCCCTTTCTCCATTCTGATGTCTAAAATATGATTATATTAGTCAGGGTCCTTCAGGGAAGCAGAACCAGTTAAATATAGATATATATAAAAGGATATTTATTATAGGAATTGGCTCACGCCATTCTGGAGGCTAAGAAGTCCCAAAATCTGCTGTCTGCAAGCTGTAGAGACCCAAGAAAGCTGGTTGTGTAATTCAGCCCAAGTCCAAAGGCCTGAGAACCAGGGAGCCAATGGTGTGAGTCCCAATCCAAGGCAGAGGGGCTGAGAAGGAGGGTACAGGCCTTGGTGTAAGTCTTAGGGTCCAATGGCCCAAGAACCAGGAGCTCGATTGCCCAATGGTGGAAGAAGAGGGATGTCTCAACTCCACCTTTCTGTTCTATTTGGGCCTTAACAGAACAGACCATGCCCAACCACACTGGTGAAGCAGATCTTCTCTCTTCAGTCCATGATTCAAATGCTAGTGTCTTCCAGAGACACACCCAGAGATGATGCTTTACCAGCTATCTGGGCATTCCTTAGCTCAGTCAAGTTGATGCCTAAAATTAACCATCACAATCTTGGACTGTCAATTAAAGACCCACACTGTAGAGCAACAAGGTAGAAGAAACCTAGGTCCCTGACACAAGGAGCACCATTCCAGACTGGACCTGCTGGGCTTCACATATTTATATCTTAAGTCATGGGTGCTTTTGGTTTTCTGCCACTCTTAGCCAAACCTTATTCTCACTAATATAGATTCCCCCTAACCTACCTCTTCCCACTCCCCTAACCTTATCGTATCCATTATTCAAACTGTTCCCCAATATGCACCTCTTTTTCTGCCTCTCTGTCTTTTCTCATACTACATCTGGATTGCTTTTCTCTCATTGAAATTCTATCCCTCTCTCAATATCCATCTCAAATCTCATTTTTCACTTTCATAAAAACTTTTTTCTTCCCTCTAATAGCACATGATCTCTCTCATTAACTCTCTCTCTCTCTTTCTCAATCCCTCTCCCTCTCCCTGAGAGGCATTTTGTCTGTTTCTCTTTCTTCTCCTTGCACATATGTATCCTAACACATGCTCATACACACACAGCCAGCATGATGCCCCAACATTGCCGGCCTGTGTATGTTGAACAGAATGGGTCCATGATACAATCTGTAGAACTGAATAGAGAAAAATCACCCACAAGGGAATAGCAAGCAGCTGAGGAATGGGTACAGAGGAAGTCCCTGCAGGTCTTAGAATGTCTGGGGACAAGGGCAGGTTGTGAATAGGCTTTCTGTACGTCTGTGAGCTGGAGCTGTTGGATGCACCCGCTGACAGAGCCATGTCTACATCCCTTCTTAGAGCAACAGCATGGAATCCCGCCTTGCCGCTGCTCTCCCTTGGCCTTGCTCCTTCCCAGTAAACCCGGGGCAAGGATAGCCTTGGCATTAACCACTTGATCATCAGACCATTTTGATTTTGTATTTGATCAGGCACACATTTTACAACTATTCACTTGGGCAAATCTCCGCTGCGCCCTAAGATCCACACACCCTTCCAGATTTTTCTTTTGGAAACTGCTCTGAATGACAATAAGAATAGCTTGGCTTGGCAGAGGGTCCAGGTTAGGATTACATGACATATGGCCCTGTTGGATGCAAGCCACACTTCTTAGATTATCCAGGGGACTGGTCTTGGTGCCCATGAGCTACTTACCTAAGAACCCCTTTTACCTCTTCTCACCAGAGAACTTTGACAAAAGATGACATTTGAATATAAATACCAAAGAATGGAGTGGGAAAGAAGACAGAAATATCCTTTCCAGGCTCCAGGTTACTCTGGGGCTGAGCCTGCCAAGCAGTCAGATGATCGCCCCAATATCTCTCCTGGGTGACATATGTTCTCTCAGGAACTGTGGGCTCTTCAGCAGTCTGGGCAGGAGGCTCGCACCATCTCTGAAAACATAGCTGCTTGCTCCTGCCTCTGTCCTCCCAAATGCACGTCTTTAGATTTCTAAACCTAGGTTCGTGCTGAGGGTAACCACAGATAGGAAGAAAGGAGAGAGCATCCGTGTCACAGGCTGGGTGCATGGTGAGGACAGGAAGAACACGGCAGAAGAGGAAGGAGATGGGAAGGGGAGAATGGGGAGGAGCTGGCCTCCCCGTAAGACACTGAGTGTGGCCTGCCGAAGGCTTCTTCTCACTTCTTGAAGCCTTTGTTCCGAGCCATCGATCCCACCATCATCACAGACGCAGACAGCATTTACCCAGGCACATTCAAAGAGATTAATTTAGACAAAGACCTTGGGTTGGACCTTAAGTTTACTGTTGGTTTTTTTTTTTTATCCTTTGCTTTTACTATTTTTTCTATCCTTCTTTTCGTGCACTACTTTTAACTTATTCTCTGTTTTTATTAACTTAACATTTCATCATTTACCTGTATATTTTTAAAGTGTCCAGCACCATCGTATGGTGCCTCTAAGATGTCTTAGATCTGGGGTCAGCAAATTTTTTCTGGAGAGGGCCACATAGTAAATATGTTTAGGCTTTGCAGGGTTTATGGTGTCTGTCGCAGTTACTCTACTGTTGCTGTAGGAAAGCAGCTATAGACAAGACGTAAACAAATAAGCGTGCCTGTGTTCCCATAAAACTTTATTTACAAAAACAGGCAGCAAGCAGGTTTGGCCTGGAGGCTGTAATTCGTCAACCCCTGCCTTAGATCCAGAACCAGAGAAGATACGAAGAACCCAAGAAAAACAGCTTCAGAAAGAGCCAAGTGAGTGAACAAATCTCACTGTCCTTTCAACCAGGCACCCACTCCTATTCCCAAGCTTCCAGTTCCTGGTGCTAGGATCATGGGGCCTCTTTGCTCACGTCTGAGTCTCTTAGTAACCGTATTTTTTGGTCTTCAATAATCACCCAGAAGCCCTGCTAGTCAGACTGTGGACTGAACCTTTCTCATTCTCACTCATTACTGGCACTGATCCTATATATAGTCTAGTTTTCATCTCCACCTAACATCAGATTATGAGACTTCTTTCCAGACAAAATGCTAAAGAGAGCATAGGGCATCCAAAATGTATCCATGAGTCAGGTGAGGTGGCTCATGCCTGTAATCCCAGCATTTCGGGAGGATCACTTGAGCCCTGGAGTTCAACACCATCCCGGGTGATATAGCAAGGCCCCGTCTCTGCAAAAAAAATTAAAAATTAGCCAGGCATATTGGTGCACACCTGAGTCCCAGCTACTCGGGAGGCTTAGGCAGGAGGATCCCTTGAGCACAGGAGTTTGAGGTTATAGTAAGCTAATTGCAACACTGCACTCCAGCCTGAGTGACACAGAGAGACTGCAAAAGAGGGGAAAAAAATGTATCCACGGTTTTATGAAAGGCACCACAGAGAAGGCAGCATATGAGCTGAGTCTTTACCGGGCAGAGAAGAAAAAAGTACATTTCAGGGAGAGGGGAAAAAATGACTAAATAGAAAACTGACATGATCAGATTTTAATTTTAGGAAGGTAAATGGCTTCAGTTTGCAAGGAAAGAGTTGGGCAGGACCAGAGGCAAGGAGACAAAACAATAGGCTGTTACGAGAGCCCAGGCAAGCGAGGATAAAGATCCAATGAAGGCAGTGGTAACACAGCTGGGATGTCATCTCACACATGAACAGTTTCTACTATAATACTGAGAGAATTAAGTGATCTGCTGAATACGAGCAGTAGGAGAGAGGAGAGCGGGGTTAGGTAGTATTTGGGTTAGGATTAGAGAAGGGTTTGGGCTAGAATTAAGGTTAACACTGGTTTACTCCCCATTTGAAAACATGATTCAAAAGATTCTCATAACCTGTCATATTCGCCCCTTCTAAAACACATTCTTTTTCCCATTTTAATATCTCTAATTATAAGAGGTATGTTCGAACATTCTTTGTGTCTTAGTTTAATTGACAGTATATTTTATCTCCTAGTGATAGCAGCACAATTAACCATTGTGGATCTTCAAATCGATGGCATCTTGGATTTTATGAAATATAGTGAATGTGTTCAAAACACAATAGAAAAATCAAATGATTCACATTAGGCCAGAGGGAGCAGAGCCATCACTGATGTGTATTGTTTGCTAATCATATTTTAAATCTTGTGTTTTAAACAGCAGATATTTTAAATCTTGTATTTTAAAGCTTGCAGAGACTATGAAGTGCTTCCCTGAAGAAAAGCTAATCAAACTCACTTATGGGTTCAGGAGAGACTACAGAGGGTCAGGTAGTTACCTTGGTGGTGTTCAGTCAACGACATGTAAGAACACATAAAAATTAAACAATAAAAACTGACGTGGATTCTAAAAAAATAAATAATAATAAATAAAAAAACGAAAATGGAGTTCTTAAAAAGAGAAGGTAAGAAATGCAACAGAAAGTATAGGAGTAAATTACGACACAAGAGTTATTATGGGAATTTAGTTCAGGAATATATCAAGCAAGTGAATTTGGTAAACAAATAGCTATTTTTAAAATAACTTGTGACTCATTATCAACCTAATGTATGATTTGAGTTCATTCAAATGGGTCTTTTGTTGTTGTTCAAACTGGACCGCGTGAGTATCTAATAAACAAAGTGTCATGTGAGCATGTTAATTGCCTAAATCCGGAATAGGGCTAGAAATCCTAAAAGGTGCCTAAGGATAAGAAACTAAAGTCTCCCTGAAAAAGAATTCTGCTTTCCTGCTTCTTGGCCGCACATGTAGATGAATATAACCGCCTCCCGTTTGGAATCCCTGACTCTGGTCTTATCTGATCCAATCTATGCCTCATGCCTCTACCACCCTAATTCTTCTTAGATACCATTTTCACATCGCTGTTGTACTCCGAAACCCTTAACAGCTTTCTAGTGCCTCACAATTACCATCTAAACATTTCTGCCTGACTTGTAAGGCCCCTGATCTGGTCTACGTAGCTGACCCAAATTCCCACTCTTTCTTTCCTTGTGGCCTCCACTACCAACAGCTAATCTCAGTCTATCATCTGTACCTTTTCTAAGATGTTTTTCTCCCAAACTGATATACCCCCTTTAAAACTCCTGCCCATCAAGGTCCACTCTTTCAGAATCTTCCCCCAACGCAGTCAACAGGTCAGTCAGGATGGTCGCAGTACCCAGAGCTCCCTGTGACACACACTTTTATAACCCAGCCCTGGAGCCACAGCAGTTCCAAGGGGCTCCTTCTGCATAGGTGATCATGCTCCATATGACCGAGATACTTTGGCCAGAGCTGATTGAATAAGGGTAGGCTCCTAACCTAGGTCGATAGTCAAGAGGCTGGCCAGGGTCCCATGAGTTTGCCAGATGTGAAAGATCTGCTTAGAAAAGAACGGTGAAGTTGCCCAGACCGATGGGATCCCCTCTCTTGGAAACCTCTGCAGAAGACACAGAGAGCAGGAGTCCTTCCAGGAGCAGGAGTGGAAACACCAGCGAGCAGTCAACACTCACAGTAGAGCCTGAGAGGTGAGTCGGGACCTGCTGCGCCAGGCCACAAGACTGCCTTGTTACTAGAATGCTTTTGCATCTGGTACAGCCCCCCAAGTCCAGTTTCCATGGGGCCAGGTATAACACTGTTTTCATTTTCCCTAAGAACCCTGTCTGAAGGACCTTTTCTGGGATCTTGTGAAGCCTGATGACTGAGGTTCCTGTTTCCCATGCATATCCATACAATACCTAAGGGAAACAGAATGTATTAATTCCATAAAACAAACAAACCTGATGCACACACTGACCTTCACTGGTCCCTGTTCTCTGAATGTCTACAGCATTTCCAGCCTGAGCCCACGCAATCTGGCACTTGTTTGTAACATCTTCTAAAAGTCTCTGACATTGCATATGCTTTAATTTTGCTTCCCAACAGATTATATACTTCCTTAGGGTAGGGTTCACAGTTCGTGTTTCTTTATTTCTCATCGCATAATGACCTTAAATAAGGTATTTAACCTCTCCAAGCATCAGTTTTCTCATTTTCAAAATCGGAATAACAATAGTACCTAGTACTTAACAGGCTAATCTTGAAGAATAAATGAGAACACATCTATTAAGCAATTGACTTACTGCATGCCATACAATAGGTGCTCAATAAGTGCTGCTGGTGATAGTGATGGTAGTGGTAGTATTGGTAGTGGTAGTGGTTGTGATGATGGTGGCGGTGGTAGTGATGGTGCTAGTGATGGTGGTGGTGATGGTGGTGGTGATGGTGATGGTGATGGTGATGGTAGTGGTGATGGTGGTGATGGTGGTGGTGGTGGTGGTGATGGTGGTGGTGGTGGTGGTGATGGTGGTGATGGTGATGGTGCTGATGGTGCTGATGGTGGTGATGGTGATGGTGGTGATGGTGATGGTGATGGTTGGTGGTGGTGGTGGTGGTGATGGTGGTGGTGGTGGTGGTGGTGGTAGTGGTTGTGGTGGTGATGTTGTTAGTATATGCATCATATACTTCTGAATATATAGTAGATAATTTGGGAATATTTCTTGATATGTGGGTTGTCTGGCAAACTATACGCTACATGAGTTATAAAGGAGATAAGAAGTAGAGATAACTGGAAATGAAAACCAAATTTGTGAACCAACTGCTTGAATATCAAGCTCTGTGCAGGATATATTATCTCATCTATACCTCACAAAAACTGATTGGCAGAAATTCAAATTTAAAGATGAGAGAAGTTAGAATAAAATAAATGTAATTACGGGCCAAATTTTACAATACTAAGAAATAACAGTGGCTGTGTTTGAGATCTGATGACTCTGGTAACAGCACCTTTCCCACTACCCCATGCTATTGCACAAGTAAGCCTCTGGGTAATTAATGGCCAGGAAGAAGAGAAGCCCAGCAATGTTTTTTCAAGACCATGATGGTTTCAAAGTATAAACTTCATAGTTTTTCTCTGAAGGGGCCACCTTTATGCATACTAACTGTATCTATTGTATCCTGATCTCCCCGTCAAACTGCATTTTCCATCGACAACTGATCAGGGTTTAAGTGTTAGCGGTAATAAAATTGAATACTCAATTTCAACTTTGATGTAAAAAGAAGAGGAAACACGACAGTGAGGTGTCAAGAAGCGCTGAGGCTGCGGGCTGGGAAGCCGCCATCAGGACGCACGTCGAGTGAAGCTCCATTGAGAAACCTCCTCAGATACATCATCAGCGAATTCTGTCCCTCAGAATTCAAATGATGGAAAGAGCTGCTCTGTCGGGGTCTGTTTCACTGAGCAAGTGAGAGAAATTAGAATAAAATTAATGTAATGACTCGCCCAATTTTACAATACTGAGAATTTGGGTGACTCTTGAAGCTACTTTCTGGACAATTGGCGTTGAGGGAGGCAGGAGAGTGCTAATATTTACGGAGCATCTAGGAAAAATTGAACCTCCACTCGCTTATTTAAGGAGCTCAGTGGTCCTCTGAGGATCTACGTTTTCTCAGGATGAAGGAATGAGGCCCAGACAGTGCTTGCTGGGGCTCCTCGGTGAGCAAACGCCGAAGCTGAACCTCACTGCCGCGTCCGTCATGGCCGCCTGCCTCTCACGTCCCCTCTGGAGAAAAGCAGAGGCTGTGGAGTCAAGCCGGCTTAGATTCCAACCCAGCCGAGCCACCTTCAGCTGAGTGACATCTGGACACTTACCTAAATGTCCCTGAGCCTCAGTTTCCTCAGTCGGCTAGATGGAATTCTTAGGAGTGTTAAATAGGGGAATCCATAAATAAGCCTCAGCACATAGCCTAGCAAGTAGGCAGCACTGGACACAAGCGGCGACTATTACCGTAATTAATTATACAGCTAGACCTGCTCCCTGGGTCTCTGTTCTCGATTTTTTCTTCCTCAGATTCTCGCTGCTGATCCCTAACAGCTAAAAGCTAGCAAAACCACTGTAGAAGCACCAAAGCCAGCACTACGCATCAAGCAGCCGCTCTGGCTGTGTGGAAGAGCTGCCAGGGTGATGGAGAAAAGAAAATGAGATATGAGTTAGTCAAGCCGATACAGCAGCAGAAGGGCTAATGCAGTTGTGGGCTTTGTTCCCAACGGTTTCATCAGCGGAGAACAGGGGTGAGAGGCCTTTCTAATAGCCTTTCTCCAACCCCACCTGGAAAATTACATTAAATTCCGGGCACTTCAATACCATAAAGATGTAGAAAAGCTGAAGGGAGTTCAGAGAAGAGTAATAAAAATGATGGGGAGGTTGGGAGACTTGATTTACTAGGAAAGATTAAAATAACTAACTATGTACAGCACGTCTGGGTGGTGATGCTTGGGAGCAGCGGGGGGAAAGCTCGCAGCCTATAAATAATGGGGCCATGTAAACACCGGGGCAGAACTATCTACCCGGTGCAAGGAGGCACAGCCCCCGGGGAGGAGGAGACGATGGGAAAGGACAATGTATGAAGAACGCTGGGAAAGTTGTGTCGCTGGGTTTTGGGTTTTGATGTTTTGTTTGGTTTGGTTTGGTTTTAAGACAGCAAGAAAGGCAGAGAAATTAAAGACACCAAGGAGTAATGTTCCAACTCAGCAGAAGAAAAAAAAATCCCCCTTTTTTTTTTTTTTTTTTTTAAGATGGAGTTTCCCTCTTGTCGCCCAGGCTGGAGTGCAATGATGTGGTCTCGGCTCACTGAAACCTCCGCCCCCTGGGTTCAAGCGATTCTCCTGCCTCAGCTTCCCGAGTAGCTGGGATTACAGGCACCTGCCACCACACATGGCTAATTTTTTTGTATTTTTAATAGAGAGGGGATTCCACCATGTTGGTCAGGCTGGTCTCGAACTCCTGACCTCAGGTGATCCACCTGCCTTGGCCTCCCAAAGTGCTGGGATTACAGGCATGAGCCACCATGCCCGGCCGAAAATCTTTTTTTTCTATATCATACTGGTTTCCGGTCTCTGCAAATCTACTACCCCAACTTATATAACACTCTATTGCCATTCCTTCCCAATAGATTGTCAACCCGGCAACAGGGGAAATGCATCCGTTTTGCTCACCGTTGACTCCATAGCCCCTAATGCAGTACTCAGCTCATAGCCATTATTCCATAAATATTGGCTGAAAGGGAAACTGAATGAACAGTTTTCAAAGAAATAGAATGAAATAATTGATTACCAAAAATGATATGTAGTATTGATCATTTTAAAGCACCAAAGATCTCACAAGATCGTTGCCATGGATTGTAAGATATAAAATTTGGGAGTGAGAGGGGCCATTAAAAGTCATATTTCAATGATTCTCAACTTTTCTTCCAAAAGCATTACATGTACATACCTATATTAATGCACAGTTTTCAGGACATTAATACATTTCTGTTTCTTTCTTTCCACCTCTGGAAATGTGTATCAGTCAATGGATGAATGGATAAAGAAAATGTGGTATATACATACAATGGAGTACTATTCAGCCTTTAAAAAAAGAAGGGAATCCTGTCCTTCGTGACAACTTGGATGAAGCTAGACGACATGATGCTAAGTGAAATAAGCCAGACACAGAAAGACAAACACCGCATGATCCACGTATGTGTGGAATCTAAAATAGTCAAACTCATAGAAGCAGAGAGTAGAATCTGTGGTTAACAGAGGTTGTGGGGAGAGGAAAATGAGGAGATGTCGGTCAAAGGGTGCAAAGTTTGAGTTTGCGAGGTGCCTCAGTTCTGCAGCTCTGCTGTTGTACGGTGCCTGTAGCTAACAACATTGGATCGTTTTCTTGAAATTTGCTGAGAGCGTAGATCTTAAGTGTTCTCACTACAAAAAAGAAGAAAATGGTAACTATGTGAGGTGATGGATATGTTAATTACCTTGATTGAGGGGATCATTTCACAGGGTATCATATATCAAAACAGCAAGTTGTAAGCCTTAAATAGATACAAGTTTTATTTGTCAATGATAGCCCAATAAAGTTGTTAAAACAATTTTTCTACAGTGTGAAATAAAAGGAAAATGCAAAAAAAAAACACCTCAGAACACAGCCAGATGAGAGTGGCATTACTACATGAATAACCTTGACGGCACTCTTATCTGTTAAAAACAAATAAGTAAATAATTCATGGGCTGTTTGTATTAGTCCTCCTTGACTGCCCCTGAGCATTGCTTACTTACAATCTGTGTCCCCTCCTGGGCTTTAACATCGCTGCAGACAAGGGCTGCCTGGTTCTTTGCATGTCCTCAGCCCTGAAGCAGGGTCCAGCACATTCCTAGGTGCCTGAGAATATTTTTTTGTTTTGTTTTGAGTTTTGAATAACAACAGTATTTGTTCCATTAGCCATGTGACTGTGACTTGTGTTTTGGGGTAAACAGAGGGCTGGAGACCACCATTCTAGCTCAACATCTTCCTTTTCAGATTAGGTGGCATGGCTCCCCAGACAACCCAATTCACAGCACATTCAAAACTATAGTGATCCCTCAGACTGACTGAGTTTACCAGCACGGTTCTTAGTATGCTGTTGTTATTTACCAATGAGGAGACTGAGGTTTAACAAGTTCAAGAGTTGCCTAGAGCGAGCGGTGAAGGCTGGCTTGAGCACCTGCGGAGCCCACCTGCCCAATGCCCTGCCGTGCTTCCTTACACAGCCTCACCCACTCCGCAGATTCCTCTGCACCAGGTCATCAAACAAAGCTACCAAGCGCAGGCTCATTGAGATTGCTGGTGAACAATTTTCTTTGTCAGTCTGTCCAAACAGTTACAAAATTTGGAGGCAAAGCCCAGGCATCCCTTGATGCAAACATTTGTTTCTGCAAAAGCTCACTTTAAAGCCTAAAGTCCATCTATGGAACTCCAGCTCCCCCATTAACACCCACAAGAAAATGGCAAATATATCCCAGGCAGAAAGCTAGGAGAGAGAGCCCTTTCTTCAGTTTGCTCAGTACCCCTGCCTAGCGCCCCTCCAGCCTTTGGCCCTTTGAAGGCACTGGGAAGACAAAGGTAAAGGAGACTGAGCCTTTCCCTCCACCAACCTGGGGACAAAAACAAACCGCGCTGTACCACTGTGCTGCCAGGCGAGTGAGGGGAAAGCTGTGATCTTGTGGGAGCCCAGCAAGGGAGCAGGAGAGGTCCTAGGGAAAGGGGCTGCATGAGCAAAGGTGAGCAAAAGCATAAAGTCAAGAATCGCTGGGGTGTGCAGGGGGGATGCAAGCATTTCAGGGACGCTGGGACAGAGAGAAAGAGGAGCAAATGTTGACCCTAAAGGAGTCCAGGGAGCCCAGGTGATGGCAGATGGGATGCTCTATTAGAATTTGTCCCGCAGGCTAACGGGAAGTTCCTAATGCAAATAGGGTGGCACAGGCACAGTGAAATTTAACTGAGGGTAGACAACTTGGAATCCGAAAAGTTCAGAACGTGAAGAATCAATTCCTAACATATTGGATGAAAAAATCAGACCCAATCTAAGCTTAGGACATAGGCAAAACCTGACGTGCCTTGGTCTGAAGCTATGTATAGACTTTATTTTATCCACTTAATGTGGTCAATTTTTCCATGCAGAAACATTAATGTGTTGGAACATAAGGTGCTACCTCAGACCCTGCTGGGTGTTACATAATATATGGTGTGTATGCTACATCACCATTCTGAAATCTGGACCATTCCAAAACACAGCAGGCCCCAGAGGTATGAAGTTGCAGCTCTGTACTCTCCTGGCATCTCTGTGAAGGATGGATGGGGGCCATGAGCCTAGGCGGGGAGTCCAGCTCAGATGACTTGGGGGAGCCTAACTGTGACATGGCAAGAGAGATAGAGGAAAGGAAATGATTTTGAAAAATAATTTGATGATAAATCTACAGGATTTGATTATTGTGACATGTAAGGTTGGAGGGTTGGGGACAAGGACTCTCAAGTTTCTCCCTGACTGCCAGGGTAGATGGTGGTACATTGTTGAGATGCTTCCCCCAGAAGTAGGTTAGGGAGTAACATCATATGTTCCGTTTGGGATACACTGAGTTGGAGGCACCAAGGAGACATCCAGATAGAGCTATCCAACAAGGAGCTGGATATACAAGTCATAAGCTAGCTCAGGGGGGATGTTTGGCAATGCGTGGTGGTAAATTAAAATTTCATAAATTGATACTGAGCAAGAAAAGAGAGAAGAGAGAAGAGGCAATTCAGAGAATTCTTTTCCACCTACCAAGAACAGAAGGCAGAGAAACTCCAGCCAGGCTCTCCAGCAACTTCCTAAAGATGATCAGCCATCTATGCTGAGGCAGGTGCTGGAAGTCAGAGAAGAAGCTCTTGAATTGCCCCAACTTTCTGTTCCTCCTGCCTGCCCTGTGCTGGCTTGGTCGCATACAAAGCTGCTGACTCCCGTCAGCCCAGGTCGGCACCCGAACACCTCTCCTTGGACTAGACAGCCTCCACTGCGTCCCAAGGATTGTCACCCCAAAGGGCCTCTTTCATTAATTCCAGAGACAAGTTGTCAGGTGAGCAACATGGTACTAATTCAAGCTCCATTATATAACTAAATAAAAACACCTTGTTGGTATTTTTTTTTTTAGTTTCGCTTATTTGTTTTGAGTTATGGAGGTGGAAGAATGTGGATTTGGGTATGTTTTAAAATTGGTGGAATAAGGAGTTACGCGACCTCCTGTGCCGGCTTTTTATTAAGTGTAGGTAGAGTGAATGACTCAACATTCCTGTCTCCTCCCACCTGCACTTCTCCTAGTGCTCGGTTCCATGTATACAGATTTGTGTACTCTTCTCTAGATGTCTCTGAAGTGTTTTTAAAAGTCATTTATAAAATGCAGGCATGATCCTTAGAACAAACACCCAAATTCCAAACAGGAGGCAATGCGTTAACAGTATACCCAGCAAAGGGTCACTAACGAGGTGGTTTTATTCAAATGTGCAGTTCTAGAGAGAAAAACAAACAATGATTTACCCAAGCCTGCAAAGTCATTTTCTATGAAACAAATTATTCTCACTCAGTGAATGTAGATGAGCAGCACCGTTTATGAGCCATTTTTTGTTTTTGTCTTTGGGGTTTGTTACTCACTTAAAGTGGGTAAAACTCCATTGTGAAAGACCCAGCATAAAGCCAAGGTTAAGGCTAAGATAAAACAAAGAGAAGCAATATTATAGTCTCAAATAATATGTCCTTGTGGGTTTTTTCCTTTATTTATTTTTTAATTGATGAATAAAATTGCATATATGTTGTAAAACATGATGTTTTGAAAAATGTATACATAGGCTGGGCACAGTGGCTCATGCCTGTAATCCCAGCACTTTGGGAGACTGAGGCAGGTGGATCACTTGAGGTCAGGAGCTCAAGACTACCCTGGCCAACATGGTGAAACCCCGCCTCTACTAAAAACACAAAAATTAGCCTGGTGCAGTGGCACGTGTCTCTAATCCCAGCTACTTGGGAGGCTGAGGCAGGAGAATCACTTGAACCCGGGAGGCGGAGGTAGCGGTGAGCTGACATCGCGCCACTGCACTCCAGCCTGGGTGACAAAGCGAGACTCTGTCTCAAAAAAAGAAAAAAGAAAAATGTGTATATTATAAATGTATATACTAATATTGCAAATGACTAAATCAAGCTAATGAACATAGGTATTACCTCACATTTATTTTGTGGTGAGAACACTTACTATCTACTCTCTTAGCAATATTTAAGTGTACAATACATTATTTTTAACTATTGTCATCATGATGTATAATAGATATCTTGAACTTGTTTCTCCTATCGACCCCAACTGTTGTGTCCTTTAATCAATATCTTCCCAAGCCTCCCACCCCAGCCCCTTTCTACTCTGCTTCTATGATTTCAAATATGTCCTTGTGAATTTCTCTCTTCCATGAGGACATTTAGGGAACTAAGGTCTTTTCTCTCTTGTACCTCCATCATGCCACCAGCCACGAGGCTGCAAGGTCAAAGCTGAGTCTCAAGGTCAGATGTGTTTCATGGGCCTGGCTACCCACCAGTTGGAAAGAAAAGACCCCACCTTATTGTACAGTCTGAGGTCTTCTGCCCTCGTGCCCAGTGATAAGTTTGGCCCAAGCCAGTGCTGCCTCTGGATCCCCTGACTACCTATGTAGCCCAATCTCCTCAGCATGGAGGAGGGAATAGAGGGATTTAGAAGATGCAACAGAAGGGAGACAGCATGTTATTGGGAGACATATGTGAGAACTGGACAATCAGGCTTCAAAGGTGGACTGCATCTCACTCCCAGTGGCAACCAAACCAAATCAAGTCACATCATTTCTTGAATTTCCATTTGTTTTCAATTTGGAAATAAAGGAGGCTCGCCCAGGGCCATTGCATCACCTCTCTGGAATGTGGTGAAGGTAAGTGAGATTGTGCCTGCCCACTGCTTTGCATTCCAAGAGGCACCACGGCTTGCAAAGAACCTAACCTCATGGACGCCACATTTGAACTGCCAGAGCAGAGGCAGGAGGGGCACCCCGAAGGCCATTACAGTGCAAGAAAAATGCTAGGTGGAACTTTCTGGAAAGTAGAAATCTTAGTGGGCAGCACCCCTCAGGTGCTATAATATAGTATAGAGAAGAAAGCTAAGACCAAGTCAGAAAGCCTAGGTCCAATCACAGACATGATATGAACTACCTAGTTTGTTATTCATAAAACAGGGATAATCACAGCTCCTTCTTATGTTACTTTAAGGATTCCAGTGTGAGATATGTAAGGACAGCCAATATCTGATGAGTGCTTACTACGTTCCAGACGCTATTCAAAATGCTTCACAGACCTTTACTTAATCCTGACAGTCCCTGCAGAGGCAGGGATAGAGGACTAAGCTAAGGCACAAAGAGGTAAGTAATTTTGTTCCAGGTCACAAAGTTAGAAGAAATGGTGAAGATGAGATTCAAATCTAAGTGACCTGATTACAGTGTCCATGCTTTTAAACACTGCTCAGCCGCCTGGTGGAGGGTGTTTAACAGATGTTGAAGAATGACACTATAATGTTACCTCCACTATCCTTAAAATATTGATGTCTCACTGATCTCCCTCAGTCAGCATCCCACGAAAATTCAAATAAATATTATTTATAAACTATTATTACCCAAGTGTGAATTCGTACCAGCACAAATGATTAATATTTTAATGGGCTCGAGTCTCCTTTTTAACTATTAATAGTTCAGCATCACAGTCAGAATGTGTAATTTTTAAGTCCAGAAGATTCCCCTTTAGTGTTGGGCACAATGCTACATAATGAAAAGCAAAAAAATAAAAAATTAAAAAAATTTTTAAAAAGTCCCCATTTCCAATGAGACAAACCACAGCTGACTTATTTACTGCCCTGCTAATAAAAAGGTTTCATGTCCAGTTGTAGAAAGCAAAAATAAGGCTTTGATTGGATCTCCTCTCTTTTACACATAACTTGTTTTCAGACCATTCATCCGTCATCCTACAGTCTTGACCTTTCTTTGTGTCATATTTTAAATATAAAGTCCTACAGCCCTAAAGATGGGTAATTCAGTCATCGTCGTATTAATTTTTCCCTCATCTCTCGTGAACTTCACAGCATATGTCTGAACTCTGGCATTTGCTTCAAATGCTCAGCCTCTGATAGAGAGCAGTAACTGATCAAGTGAATTTGTAATGTGTTCATACATTTGTCACATGGCCCTTAATATAGTTTCTTGAATGTGCTCAGAACCATCGGGCGTGGTTCCTAATTTAGCCTCCTGACAGTCACGTGTTTCTGTGATAAAAACAGCTAAACAGGAATTTTGCAACTTAACTGCTGTTCTGAACTAAAAATATAGAGCTAATCATTCCAAGGCGCATCAAAAAGATATTCCGTATGACATTACATATATGACTTGATGTTCTTTTTTGATTTGCTTCCACATCTCCTTTACTGTATATTGTAAGTCAAGTCACTTTGTAACGGAAGGCTAGAGTTTCCCGTACGCAGGTTTGGTAGAACCCAGGTGGAGGTCTATTTGAACCTTCACCCTCTGTAATGCTCTCCCTTGTCCCCAGATTCATCCACCTGTCTCTGGCAGATCACTCCACCTCTTAGAGCTGAATTTTAGAAAATGGCAGTCAGGAGCAAATATCCCGATATTATTTCTCTTCCTCTGAATTTTTTCTATCTTTGCTATTTAGCAATTTGAGGAGAATGTCCTTGATGGGAAAACATCAGTCTATAGTTGCAAGGAAAGGGGGCTGACTTAGATTTGGACTCCCTGACATGCCAGGATCACAACAGCATCCCTCATTTTAACTGCATGACAGCTCTGGAAGGTCATTATGGTTTGTGAGCATTTCATATTATATGTTTAAAATGTGTCATCATGGTACAATTGGCATACAATAAATCTGCACACAAGTATATACTTTGACAAGTTTGACATATTCATACACCTTGTAAATCAAGATTGTTAACATATCCATCACCCCCAAAAGTTTTCCCATGCCTCTTGGTGATCCCTTCTCCCACCCCTGCCTCTCCTTGTCATCCCCAGGCAATCAATGATCTTTCTAGAACTCTATACTAGCTTTAACTTTCTAGAATTTTATGCGCATAGAAATGTACAATATGTACCATTTTTTTCTCTAGCATTTCTCCTTCAGTACAACTATTTTGAGAATCATCAATGCTGTGGTGTGATGCAGTAATTAATTCTCTATTACTGCTGAGCAGTATTGCACAGTATAGATATACTGTAGTTTATTTATTCATTCACCTGTAGTGTTTTGCCCAGTTTTTGGCTGTTACAAATAAAGCTGCAAGTTTTTGTACGAACATATGCTTTTAGTTCTATTGGGTACAAACATAGGAGCTGAATGGCTGGATCGTATGGTAGGCATATGTTCAACTTTTTAAGAAACTGGCAAAATGTTTTCCAAAAAGATTGTAGAATTTTACATTCCTACCAGATGTGTATGAGAGTTCCAGTTCCTCCAAATCCTTACTGACACATAGTAAATTCCATTTTTTTTAAATTTTAGGCCTTTTAATATGTGTTGTATGACTGTGGTTTTATTTTGCATTTCCCTAATGAGCAATGATGTTAAGCATCTTTCCATGTGCTTGTTTGCCATTCATATATTTTTTGGTGAACTGTTCAAATATTTGGCCATTTTTTTTCACCTTAGTTGTTTATTTTCTTGAGTTTCGAGAGTTCTTTCTACATTCTGGATATAAGTTCTTATCAGATTCATAATTTACAAATATCGTACTGTCTTAATTACTGCAGCTTTATATACAATGTTGAATTTATGTAGTGTCAGTCCTCCAACTTTGTTCCTTTTCAGAGCTGTTTCATCTATTCTAGAACCTCCACACTTCTATATGAATTTTAGAATCAGCTTGTTAATTTCTTAAACTAAAAAAGTATAAATGCCTGTGAAATTTTGATTGGAATTGCCTTAAAGATATAGATCAATTTTCAGGAAATTGACATGATACCAACATATAAACATGATATATCGCTCCACTTATTAGACTTTTTTAAATTTATCTGAGCCATGTTTTGTAGTTTGCAGTATATTGGTCTTGAACATCTCCTGTCATTTCTCATCTCTATTTCATTCTTATCCTATTAAATGGTACTTTTATTTCAACATCCAATTGTTTATTGATAATATGTAGAAATGCAGTTGTTTTTTGTACAATCGATTGTTCTTGCATCCAGAAGCCTTGCTAAACTCACTTTTTAATTCCAGTAGCAACTCTGTAGATTCTATCAAATTTTCTACATACATGATCATGCAATCTGCAAAAAAAACAAGACAGTTTTTCTTCTTAGTTTCTCATCTGGATGTCTTTTATTTCATTCTCTTGCTTTATCACACTGTCTAGATCTTCAGTACAATGCTGAGTAGGAGTGATAAAAGTATACATGTCTGTCATCTCCCTGAGTTTTGCAGTAAAGCACTCATTCTTTCATAAGTATGATGTTCACCATAGGTTTCTCATAGACCCCTTTTATCAGGTTGAGAAAGTTTCTTTTTTTTCTTCTTCTTTTTTGAGACAGGGTCTCACTCTGTCACCCAGACTGGAGCACAGTGGTACGATCTCAGCTCACGGCAACCTCTGCCTCCTGGGTTCAAACGATTCTCTGCTTCAGCCTCCCAAGTAGCTGGGATTACAGGCACCCGCCACCACGCCCAGCTAATTTTTGTATTTCTAGTAGAGATGGGGTTTCACCATATTGGCCAGGCTGATCTCAATCTCCTGACCTCAAGTGATCCTCTCGCCTCGGTCTCCCAAAGTGCTGGGATTACAGGACTGAGCCACCATGCCCATAATAAATTAGTAATAGAAAGAAACTTTCTTTTACTGGAAAGTTTGTATCCATATTCATGAGGGATATTGGTCTGTACTTTAGCAGTGGTCTAGAATTTTTGATATATTGTATTTCAATTTTTATTCAATTCAAGTGACTTTATAATTTCACTGTTGATTTCTTCTTTGAGCCTTGGGTAAAAGGATATCATTTAGTTTCCAGTATTTGGGGATTATCCACAGATCTCTCCAGTAATTGAATTCCATTGCCAGAGAACATACTTTTGTGAATGCTTCTAAATGTATTGAGATATGTTTTTTGTTGTTGTTGTTTAATTATACTTTAAGTTCTAGGGTACATGTGCACAACGTGCAGGTTTGTTACATATGTATACATATGCCACGTTGGTGTGCTGCACCCATTAACTCATCATTTACATTGAGTGTATCTCCTAATGCTATCCCTCCCCCCTCCCCCGACCCCATGACAGGCCCCGGTGAGTGATGTTCCTCACCCTGTGTCCAAGTGTTCTCATTGTTCAATTCCCACCTATGAGTGAGAATATGTGGTGTTTGGTTTTCTGTCCTTGTGATAGTTTGATCAGAATGATGGTTTCCAGCTTCATCCATATCCCTACAAAGGACATGAACTCATCCATTCAGGACATAGGCATGGGCAAGGACTTCATGACTAAAACACCAAAAGCAGTGGCAACAAAAGCCAAAATTGACAAATGGGATCTAATTAAACTAAAGAGCTTCTGCACAGCAAAAGAAACTACCATCAGAGTGAACAGGCAACCTACTGAATGGGAGAAAATTTTTACAATCTACCCATCTGACAAAGGGCTAATATCCTGAATCTACAAAGAACTTAAACAAATTTACAAGAGATATGTTTTATGGCTCAGAATACCTTGGTAAATATTCCTTGTGTGCTTGAAAAGACTATGTAATACTCTATTGTTGGATGGAGTCTTCTATAAATATCAATTAGATCATATTGTTTGATAGTACTGTATAAACATTCTGTACTGGTAATAATGTGCTGTTTACTTGTTCTATCAATTATTGGAAGAAGGTTATTGAAATCTGAAATTATAATTGTGAATTTGTGTATTTCTCCTTGAGGTTTTATCACATGTTGCTTCATGCACATTAAAGCTCTGTTTATTAGGTATGCAAACATTTTGGATTTTTATGTTTTATTGATGAATCGACCCCTTTATTATTTTGACATGATCTTCTTTATCCCTGATAATATTCTCTTCTGTGAGATCATCTTGTCTGGCATTAACATAGCCATTCCTGCTTTCTTTTAATTATTGTTAGCATGGTGTACATTTTTTCATTCTTTTACTTTTATCCTATCTGTGTCTTTATATTTAACATGTCTGTCTTATAGGCAGCATATAGTTGGGTCTTGCTTTTGAAAATCTGACAATCTCTGCCTCTGGGTGTTTAGGCTATTTACATTTAATGTGATTATTAGTATGGGTAGGTTTAACTATATCATCTTGTTATAGCTCTTTATTATTTTAGTGATTGATTTAGGATTGATACCACACATCTTTTAACTTGTTGTAATATACCACTTCAGGTGTAATATGAGAACCTTACAATAATAAGTTTTCATTAACACCCTCCCAGGTTCGTACTATTGCTGTCATCTATTTTACTTTTACATAGGCAATAAATTTCACACCACATTGTTATTATTTTTAAAGTCAATTATCTTTTTAAATGATTTGAATAAAAAGAAAAAATATTATACATTTATTCACATAGTTATCATTTCTGGTGTTCTTCAGTCCTTTGTATAGATCCATATTTTCATGTGGTATCTTTGTCCTTCTTCCTGAAGGATTTTAACATTTTTAACATCAACAATTAACATTAAAAAAATTTTTTTTTTTGAGACAGAGTCTCACTCTGTCACCCAGGCTGGAGTGCAGTGGCACGATCTCGGCTCATTGCAAGCTCTGCCTTCTGGGTTCATACCATTCTCCTGCCTCAGCCTCCTGAGTAGCTGGGACCACAGGTGCCCACCACCACGCCTGGCTAATTGTTTGTATTTTTAGTAGAGACGGGGTTTCACCATGTTAGGCAGGATGGTCTCGATCTCCTGACCTCGTGATCCGCCCACCTCGGCCTCCCAAATTGCTGGGATTACAGGTGTGAGCCACCACGCCCGGCCAACATTTACAATTTTAACATTTCTTACAGCATGTCAGGGTCAGCTGATGAATTCTTTCAGTTTTTGTAGGTCAGAAAAAAATCTTCACCTTTGTTTTTGAAATATATTGTTGCTAGGTATATAATTCTAGTTTCACAGCTTTGTTCTTTCAGTACTTTTAAGATATTACTCCTGGCTAACACAGTGAAACCCCGTCTCTACTAAAAATACAAAAAAATTAGACCGATGTGGTGGTGGGCGCTTGTAGTCCCAGCCACTCGGGAGGCTGAGGCAGGAGACTGGCGTGAACCCGGAAGGCAGAGCTTGCAGTGAGCCGAGATCACGCCACTGCACTCCAGCCTGGGTGACAGAGCGAGACTCCAGCTCAAAAAAAAAAAAAAAAAAAAAAAAGATATTACTCCTTTAATAAAGATATTAAAGATATTACTGTTTTCTTTCTTATATTGTCTCTGATAATAAATCATCTCTAATCCTTAACTTTGTTCCTCTGTAAGCAGTGTGTTTTTTAAAGGGCTGCTTTTCAGATTTTCTCTTATCAATGGTTGTCAGCAATTTGATTATCATGTGCATTGGTATAGTTGGATTTTTTTGTTTTCCTTATACATGAGGTTTATTGAGCATCCCAGATCTGTATGTCTACAGTTTTTTATCAAATTTAGAAATTTTCTGACCATTATTTATCCAAATTTTTTTTCCTCCTCTTCTCCCTCTCATCTCTTTTGGAGACTCCAATTACATACATATTGAGCTACTTGAAGTTGTCCCACAGTTCAATATTTTTAAATTCTCTTTCCTCTGCTTTTCATTTTAGTCTCTATTGCTGTAATTTCAAGAGAATTTATCTTTTCTTTTGCTTTAAATTGCCATTTTTAAAATACCTTCATTCTAGTGTATTTTTCATCTCACACATTGTAGTTTTCGTCTCTAGAAGTCAAATTTTAATCTGTTCTTGTATCTTCCATGTCTCTTTTTGAAAATGTAGAACACAGTTATAAAAACTGTTTCCATGTATTTTTCTACTCATTCTAACATCTTTCTATTTCTAGGTCAGTGATATAATTTGGTTTGTCCCCGCAAATCTGATGTTGAAATGTAATCCCCAGTGTTGGAGATGGGGCCTGGTGGAAGGTGTTTGGGTCATGGGGGTGGATCCCTCATGACTTGGTGCTGTCCTCGTGATAGTGAGTTCTCATGAGATCTGGTTGTTTAAAAGTGTGTAGCACCTCCCCTCCCCACTTTCTCTCTCTTGCTCCCGCTCTCACCATGTGAGACGCCCACTCCCGCTTCACCTTCTGCCATGACTGTCAGCTTCCTGAGGCCCTCACCGGAAGCCAAGCAGATGCCAGCACCATGCTTCCTGTACAGCCTGCAGAACTGCGAGCCAAATAAGCCTCTTTTCTTCATAAGTTACCCAGTCTTAGGTATTTCTTTATAGCCATACAAGAATGACCTAACACAGTCAGGTTGAATTGACTGATCTTTTTCTCCTTAGTATGAGTTACATTTTCCTGCCTCTTTGCATGTCTGGTGGCTTTTGGTTGGATGCCAGGCATTGTTTATCTTCTTGGGTGGTGGATTTTTTTAATTCTATACATATTATTGAGCTTTGCTCTGGGATGAGCCTCTTGAATATAGTTTTATCCTTTTTGGTGTTGCTTTTAAAATATGTTAGGTGGGGCTGGAAAAGTGTTTAGGACTAATTGTTCTCCATAACCGAGGCAAAACCCTTCTCTGTACTCTACCCAGGTCTCTGTGAATCTTGACGTTTTCTAGTCTGGCTGTAGGAACAAGCACTCTTCCTGGCCCTTTGTAAGTGCCAAGCACTGTTACCTCTCATGTTTTAGGGTGGTTCTTTCCCTGTCCTTAAGAAGGTTCCTGAAACTCATGCACTAATCAGTTCACAGCCCCTTTCTAGAGAGTAGTAGCTAATCAAATATATTTATAAATTGTTCATACATTTGCCACATGCTCCTTAATATAGTTCCTTGAGCGTGCTCAGAACTACTGGGTGTGGTTCCCAAATAAGATAGCCTCATGACAAGCTGTCACATGTTTCTGAGATAAAAACAGTCACATAGGAATTTTGAATCTTAACTACTGTCCTGAACTAAAAATATAGAACTAATCATTATAAAACATGCCAAAAAGGTATGCTAAATCACCACATATTGACTTTATGTATGTTTTATTTTTCAGAAGCACAATTCAAAATCAAACCAAGAGGAATTCTTTTGGGAACAATTTTAAGCACCCAGCTGAATGAGAAACAAAATATTTCCAAATGGCCTAGGTCTGTTATTTAAAGTACTTACTTTAAAGAGATAGTCTCTATTTTAAGTCATATCCCAGTCCCTTTCCCCACCAAGGAGTGGTATTTTCCATAAGGAAGACAAGAAAAAAGAGCTCATGAAAATTAGTTCACCTCACTTCTACAAGAGGCATGCAAAAACCATACGGATCAATATATATTTATATTGTACATGAAAACAGATTTTAATAATTGTTTTTACTTTAATCTTAGAACATAGTATTTATCAATAATTGCTTGCTGAATATATTAGTAAGTTTCAATGAAAAGTTCCCTTCACTTGAATTTTGGTCAGGTTCTAAGCTATATGGGAATTATAGACATGGTGAAAAATCGTGGGTTTACCTAAGACTAAACTTCAACTGTTGGCCAGTTTTTAAAGGTTTGTTGTTGTTGTTGTTGTTGTTTTAAAAAGGCATCAAATATGATTCATGACTACAAAAATAACCTTTATTATTCATACTATAATATTTGCTATTTGTATTTTAATTCTCCTATAAGCTGACATTTTGATATTTGAAAAAATATATACAACCCAAGTGTCTATTAAAATCAGTTCATTAGGACATAAAACAACTCATCTGAGATGTAATTTGGCCATTTCAAGGTACTGATACTTTTGAAACACATTTAGGACCACATGGAATACAGAATGGGGCCAAAACACAGAAATCTGCTTTTGGGCTCATGGATATGGATTAGAGGTGACTAGACTATATTTTCAGTCAGGTGAATTTATCCACTTCAACAAAAAGCATTGTTAATTCAATACAACTCTTCCACCCAATAATCTATATTTTAAAAGAAATAAGCATTTTGCATCTGGAACAAAATGAATGCTCTGAGATGAAAATAGTAGAATTCAGCCTGCTTGCACAGGAAATATGCCAAGAGGAAGAAAGAGGAAGCATACATTAGGCACATTAGAGTCACTACAAATTGTAAGTCCCTTCTTTGAAGCAAATAATCAGAAGAAATGGCCTGATTTCTAATTTTGTGCCCACTTACCAAGAGTCATTCATAACCCTCATCTATCTCCAGATGGCACTTCAGATGCTAGGTGAATGGCAGCATCGTGGAAATGTTTAGGCTTTACTCAACCAGTGTCAGTCATGAAGTATCTCCTGAAGAATGGAGAGTTTCTTTGTTTGCCAAGATGCCCTGCTTTGAATACTGCTCTGATTCAATTCACTCTTATTTCCTAAGCCAAATTTAAGATCATAAGACTCTTCTGAGAAAATTCTAAAGACCATCCATCACACTCTGTCCGTTCTACTTATTCTGTAATATGAACCTAAACATTTCTACTCTTTAAACATGGGATAGGGAAAGGGAGACCCAAGAGAGTAGGAATCCATGGTCCACCCTCTCAACTAGGAAAGGAAATCAAAGCAAGCCACAAGGAATCCAGAGACAGATTAATTACGGATTTGTCATTTGGTGAAGATGAGCAAAATGAAAGGTTTCATCTCTCTAACCAAGATGTACAATTTCATCTCTCTGGCATTAAACCTATGACTATATATTAGATGCCCATTGACATTCCAATGAGAAGGGTTTAATGGGAGAAGAGGAGGCATTTTCCAAGCTCCATCAGTCCTTTTAGCCCACTAAGTGATGTCTTCACTGAGCTCTCATACCCTTAAAAGACATCACAAATCTACAACTGAAAAACTTGGAATGCCATTGCCTTTTCCTTTGAATTTTCCCAAGGAGAGGAGGTCAGGGAACTGTTTATTTCAAAAGAAACTCATTTTCTGCCAAGCAGTTGCTCATCTACCGAAACAATCTGTATCATCAAATTTGAGGACATTCTTTCCATGCCATCCTACTTAAACCAACAGAACTTGAATAGCGCTGCTTTGAACTGAGTTCTTACATATTAAGGTAAATTAAATACATAGTTGAAGAAGAGCAAAGTTCATGAAGAATTGCCGAGGTGTCCTAATTTCTTTGGATGTGGGCATCCCAGTCCTACAGTTTCTTGAGCAGGTACCATGTGTCTATAGATTCATTGACATAGAACTCAGCTTGGTATTTAAGTAACAAGATCAGAATGTTGTCTTATTTTTTACTACTATATCCCCAGCCCTGTTTCATATCATATAGCAGTTGCTCAATACAAATTCATTGAAAGAATGAACTGGATATTTTAAAGATTATGTTTTTGCCTCTTTTATTTTCCTGTATTTTAATTATTTTTACACTGCAGATATTGCCTGTGACATGAGGCAAATGTGAGAGGGATAATTAAAATAAGTAACGTTAATAAAAACATGTAGGGGCGCAGTGGCACATATCTGCGATCCCAGCACTTTGGAAGGCTAAGGCAGCCAGATTGCTTGAGCCCAGGAGTTCAAGACCAGCCTAGCCAACATGGTGAAACCCCATCTCTACTAAAAACACAAAAAATTAGTGGGATGTTGTGGTACGTGCCTGTAATCCTAGCTATTCATGATGCTGAGGCGGGAGAATCGCTTAAGCCTGGGAGATGGAAACTGCAGCGAGGGGAGATCGTGCCACTGCACTCCAGCCTGGGTAACAGAGTGAGACCCTGCCTTAAAAAATTAAATTAAATTAAATTAAAACACAAATGAGTAGGATAACCTCTCTCTGGAAAGAAACCAAGAACAACAGAAGAGCATTCTGAAAGAGGCCACAGGTGAGCCCAGGGCAACAAAGCTGATCTGACGCAAAGACTGTGTTCTGATTGTCTCCACGAACCAACACCCCCACACAAGGCTTAGGAAACCCTGCAAGACCAAAGCTGGCCCATCAGCCAGCACTTTTTACCTCAGGCTTTTTACGTCACTTTTATGTCAGGCTCAGCCACGGTTATCTGGGAAACATCAGAGATAGAATAAGCCCAAGTTCACAAGGGAGAAAGCACTTTCTTGACACATATAGAACGCCAGAGAATCTATAGCTGTCTTTTCCGTAACCCTTCTCATTCTTTGCGTTTCACCGTAAACATCACATCCCTGGGCCCTTGTAAGTCCGGATTGCGTGCAACTTACTTTCTACAGCTCCCAGTACCTTCCTTATCCCAGTATTCATCACGATGCACCATGATGTCTATTTGTCTAAACTGTGTGTGTGCCACCAGTGACGTGTCTGTCTTCTTCATCCTGACTCCAGCTCCACATAATGAAATTAAGGAAGGAGGGAGGGGACTGAGAAGAAAAATAGGCAGGAAAGAGGGAGGACGAGTGTGGTCAACCACAGAGTAAGGGGACATCTGGAGTATTGCTTCCCTCTGAAACAGGAGTTGTAATTCTAACATCTTCACAGACTAGGAAGAGCCCTCTTATTAGTAAGTGGTAAGAAACAGAAATCTCACCAGGCTGCAACCCTGTGCCTGTGCATACACCAGGAGCTAGAGGCAACAGCCAGGAGGAACTTAGAGAATGTTTTGCAACATCCCACAAAATGGTAAGGAAAAAGCCTGCATGAGTGTTTCCAAAAATAAGTTTCTCCAAGCTGGACCATGAACATTGTCAATAATGCTTGCCCTTCCCCAGTGTGAGGAGGGCAGCACTGGTTGTTCAGCTCTGAATGCTCTCAAACACAACTTTTTCTTTTAACTCCTTTTAATTCCAGATTTTCCTGAGTCTACTAATAGGATCATTACAATAATAATAATACAATGGGAATCATAACCAAAACAGCATAGCTAGAAGGACCTTCAGAAAGGGACAGAAAAAAAAAATAGCAAGAGCGCAGCTTGCCAAAGGCTATTCAGATATCCAATTATGCCTATTTTTTTTTTTTTTTTTGAAACGGAGTCTTGCTCAGTCGCCCAAGCTGGAGTGCAGTGGCGTAATCTTGGCTCACTGCAAGATCCGCCTCCCAGGTTCATGCCATTCTCCTGCCTCGGCCTCCCAAATAGCTTGGACTACAGGCACCTGCCAGCATGCCCGGCTAATTTTTTTTTGTATTTTTAGTAGAGACGGGGTTTCACCATGTTAGCCAGGATGGTCTCGATCTCCTGACCTCATGATCCACCCGCCTCAGCCTCCCAAAGTGCTGGGATTACAGGCGTGAGCCACCGCAACCTGGCCCAAATTTTTAAATTAAAATTAAATTAAAAAAATTTTCCAATATATAAGCTGGAATATGGCTGGAGAATAATGAGAATTTTAAGTAAGAATTTTCTTTTCCTATGAACCCAAACAGCAAAGAGGCCTCATAACTGGCTGACCTAAGAGCCAGATGTCTGTCTAGCAACCTGGTGACTAAGCTGGTGGAGAATACACATTAAGAATATTCATTTTCAATTTCTTCCAAAAGAAAATTACAGAAGTGTCTATTTCTTATTTCTGCATGTTCCTCTCTAATGAAGGGTACTTCAAAAAGTTTTTTCTAAAGACCTCAGGGCAATGATAGAAGCGTGCTGCAAGTAAAAGGTACAAATCACACTTTGAGCCGTTTATTCACACATTTGTGACCAAACATTCTGTGGCCAGGGTCCATCCTACAAACCTGAAGCCCTGAATTTTGGACCGTGTCCTAAGGAAGTAAACGCAGTTTATTGTTATAATTCCTCCCCATTCCACTTTTAAGAATAAAATATAAGTTTTAAAATGTGAAATGTCTCTGGATGCATGTGGGTATCATAGAGCACGTAGGCCACATGTATACACACGTACACTTGAGAGGGCCTTGGTGGCTAATATTTCTTTCTATTCATCTGGCATACTCCCCGACCCCCACCATTTCATTGCTTTTTCGTGCAAGTGACCACAAACAGTGGATCTAAATTTGGCACATTTCAAGGTCAAGTGATGCAGCAAACAGAATCTGACGTCAAACAATATGACTTTGTCCATTCACCCGTCCACGTAAATGTGCACACACACTTAGCCTCGCTTGCTCCAAGTTCATAAATCTTCATCCCAGAACATGACTTGCTTCTTCATCGAACACTTACAGAGAGAACACATCTGGATATGTTTGTTCCTTCCCCTCCATCCCCCATAACCCTCAACCCCTCAACACATAGCACAGCTGTAAGAGCAAGGAGAACATGCTTTTTAAATTCCATTGGCTCATGTAGGCACAGAATGTGAAGCAGCTCCAAAATGGACATCAAGTAAAAAATACCAGTTTTCAAAACTCTGTAATTATGTATTTACACAAATTACATAATCCTGTATGTATTTACATACAATTACAGATTATCAAGTAAATAACACAAGGTTGTAGTGTTAATGAGATGAAATAGAATAAAAACACCAGAAGGCAGCCATTTGTTTATCTACAAAACAGGACCTGGCAGGGCAGGTTCCCCAACACTGACCTAGCATGTCCTTCACCACTGCTTGGGGACATTCACATGACAGATGGGAAGGTTGTTCAGCCCATGCTCGGTAAGTCTTTGACCACAGTGCAAGTGTTGGCACCAACAAGACAGTGGTTTGGCTATCTAAGCATCTGTTTGTGAAACCAGAACCCCCATTCCACAGTGGCTCAGGGCTGCCATTCACTGGGCTTTGGGTCTCTTAAGACAAGAACTGGATGCAAACCCATGAGCTGGGGATGACTCACTCTACTGCCCAAGAGACAATGCCCACACCGAAACCCTGAGCCATCCACTCTCCCAGTTCCACTATTTACATAAATCGCATGAGTCAATATTTATTTATTTACAGACCATTACAGTTTATTGTATCAATTGCCAAAAGCATATAACAATTTGCTCGTCTTAAAAAAAAAAAAAGTACCAAACAAAATTAACTCCAAAAGTAGACCTTAAAGTAGCGTTTTATAGGAATGCATGAAGATTTTTGTCTTTTTCACAATTTTCTTTCTTTTAGGTCGATTATCTAAGGTCTCATGCTACTTTAAGACTACTTTTGGCTGTCACCTAAAATCAATTTTTTCAGTGCTACATAGTATACCTATGACATCCTAGAAACTTGATTCTTCCCTGTGGTCAAATGTTTAATATTTTTCAGCCAAAAAAAAAATGCCTTTTGGAAAAACTAAAGCCTGAATATGTGCACATTTTAGCAGCAGCAAAGGGTTAAATAATAAATAAGAATACTACTTTTTGGAATTAAATGCAGTTTCTGTTTAGAAAGGAAAATAAAACAAGAAAATAAATGAAGAGGACATTCTGAGCTTTATCATAAATCAACTATTTTACATTGCTTCTGTCCCCTCCCCCTAAAATATATCTTAATTCCAAATATTAGACTTAGATTTTCCTTAATGCACATCAGCAGGAGGGCATTGCCATGTACTCCAACTTGGACCACAGAAAGGCAAGACATCGTCACAATAAGTCATGCGCTTCTAGCTCATAACAGCTGTCACTCACCAGTGACACACTTTTATTTTTCATAGAGAATGTGCATCAGAGCAAAATAAAGTTTGAATAGTAAATTTTAAAATTAGTTCAATAAATCCCAACACATGTTTAAACCGTCACTTTGCACTTCTCAACACAACTGGCTAGAAAGTGTCATATGTAGATGAGAATTTGTTATAAATTCCTTTTTTCTTAAATATTGCTTTAAGAATTTGGCTCTTTTCTCCTTAGTATATAGTAAGAAATAGTCTCGCTTGCCCAAGGGCAAGTTCCAAAATTATTGCTACTAAAGAAATACGTATTCTTATGCTTTTCAGCATAAAATGTTATAAAAGCCTTGTAAAAGATATTCTATATAGTAATATCCCCTCTAAAAAAATTGAGCGCTTGTGGAGACCATTTTAAAAAACAAAACACAGTCAACAAGTATAATACTTTCCCCCTCATTGTCATTATTGATAACGATTTATTAGTTTCATTTTGCAAGTTTTACTAAGGGTGCTATTACCACGTAATTATGACAGTTCACACTGATAGCCATTTTCTCTAAAAGATGTTACAATGACCCCTATGATACTTCTATAATTTCATATTTGATAGCCAAGTGAACCAAAAAAAGTTTACAAGTATGATCCTGTTAATCTGATTCTTACGTCTTTAAAAAAAATAGTCTGTGCTATGTACTTTTTTTTCCTTTTTTGAGAATTCTAAATCAATACAATGTTTGATGTTAATACTGTCATTCTGGAGATCGGCTAAAATGAAAGCATAGTTATTATTTAGCTTTGGTATATTCTGCGACAGATTTAAACAAGTAAGACATATATCAACCCTCATATTTTCCAACCATGAAGTTACAATAGTGGAGTCACTTATGAGAGAGGAAATATTGCAGACACAGAATCAAAGTTTGAGACCCAGTTTATCTTTAATCCTCTGGGATAAGCTATGAAACAAGCAGTCTGAAGAGTGAATACTCAGTGTCATGAGCGATGTGCATAAGTTTACAATAATATGGGCACAAAAGAGATTGTCGCCTTTAGTACATTAGGGTCATTAGAATTTCTTATATCCATGCACCATTATATCTACTTGCATGAATTTACCACAGGTTCATAGCGGACTTTGCCATTTAATGCTTACAGAGCCTAAAGCTTCCAAAATGCCTATCTGGCCTGTACATGTTTCATTAAAAATAAACTCTATATAATAAATAAATATATAAAATAAATAAAATGTTGCCTTTGGAATTTCTATAAATAAATTTAACTTTTTTTATTTTTATTTTTTATTTTTTTTTATTTTTTACTAAGAGGTCTTTGCTTTAAGTTCACTGCGATGATACCAGTGAGAATTAACTGAAAGTCTTTTAAGTAAGACTGCACCCTCGCGCAGGCCACCAGCCAGAATCCTGATAAGTCGAAGTATGGCAGCTGTGCTGATATAGGATGAAGTACAACTGATCAGAAATGAAAAGCGTGTCTTTTTCCAGCATGCATCAGGCCGCAGTCCTTTTGCTCTCGCTCCGCCCACATCTCCCGCTACACACATACACACACACACACACACACACACACACACATACACACACTCCTAGCGCTCAGTCTCTCTCTCTCTCCTCTTCTCTCATGATAAATCAAGCAAGTGGCCCTAGGCAGCCCTCCAGGAGGAGAAGCCTTTAAGTGCAGAACAAAATCAGCATATTCCCATCCAAGCCTCCATCATACATTATGCATGCGACAAAGTTTGGCAACAGTGGAGCTGATGTGATGACACAGCGAATCAATAAGAACCCACCGCGTGAAACCTTTATAGTGGTTACTTTTTTAAGGGCTCAAGTGAAGAAACTGTCTTTGTCAACTTTGGCTTAGAATATCCTTATACAGTTCAGGTACTTTGTCGGGGTCCACTGGTCTAGGTAAAAAATGTGTGAATTTCTGGTGCCGTTTAGTCCTAGTCCCTTCTCTCGGGGTCCCATCTTTATTTAATGCAACATAGTATCGCCTTCCAGTGTCCACGTGCTTATATAGGTTTGATGAGTACGTATTATACCAGTTTTCTTCGAACTGTTCTCTGAATACACACTCTTGGGTTAGTTTTTCCTGTAAAAAGAAAAAGAGGGAGAGCATTAGGAAAAATAGCTAATGCATGCTGGGCTTAATACCTAGGGGATGGATTGATAGGTGCAGCAAACCACCTTGGCACACGTTTATCTATTTAACAAACCTGCGCATCCTACACATGTACCCCAGAACTAAAAATTAAAATTAAAATTTTTTAAAAAGGTAAATAAATATGTTGCATAATTAGCTACATTCAATATTAAAAGTAACATTCCGTTGCTACACAATATAACCCCCATGAGAAAACACTGATGTTTTAGCCCATTTTAACCATTTTAATGCATTTTGCAAAAACTGCCTAACCCTACAAATTTAACTACATTCTAATCTCTAACTCATAATGACTAAAACACTAAAGAGTCTAAACGTTTTCTAGTTAAACTCTTGCACATACCAATCATTTGAATGAGTCAAATGCAAGGAACACCTAATGTCATACGTTGTTCCCATTTTTCCTAGAGCAGCTATGTGGTGACCACACTGGGAGGGAGAGCCTGTGCCTGTGGCAAGGCTCAGATATAACAGCTTTAACACCAGTATATATTTTATAAAGTACCTGCTGCAGAGATCAACATTAGCAACATGATCAGTGATGTCAGATATGTTCTGCCCTTTTTAGCAGCAGCATTTACTTACTACTCTCTATGAGTGGTTTTTAAACTTCATTCCGTGTATAGCAGAATCACCTGAGATGCCTTTTCAAGATGCAGACTTCTGAGCCCCAAACCTTTAAAACTCTGATTCAGCAATTCTCAAAATATGCATTTTTAACAGGTCCCTGGGAGAATTCTAATGCAGAATCCTAACTCTCAGTCTACATTTTAAAACATAATGCTTCTATCATGACTGAGTTTTCCTGAATCCAACGTAAAAGCAAATATTCCGGCCTTTTCCTTGAATTTACATAGAAGAAGAGACCCCTAACTAAAAAAGCTACATTCTCAGGTTCACAGATACCAAGAAGAAACGTGCATTGATCCAGATCACAAAGCTTCTGCATCTTCCCAGATGGACTACACTTCCTCTCTACTCGAGCTTTATGAAAGCTGGGGTTCAGTTGAACCCCACAACCTAGGGCTCCTGGGGTTGCAAAACTCATGGGCAGTAACAACAAAAATAACACACACACACACACACACACACACACACACACCACATCCCAAAGCTGTGAACACGCCCCAGGCAAAAATGTGTGCATTGAAGCTGGCCCCTAGAGAAATAAGGTGACAGGACTTACTGGCCTTTTTGCTCTTCTCACTGTTCAACTGAAACTTTTAAAATCGATATCTTTAGTGTTTAAAACAGTAAACACGAAAATAACTTGTTAGAAATAGTTTCTTTTCTCTTACCTACCTGGCGCCTTATATAAATAAGAAAACAAGCAAATACAGATAAGGACATTCGTTTCTGTCATTCAGACCCAGGGGACAGACAGTAAACTTTATACATCACCAAAATACAGACAGTTCTCTTTCCAAGTATGTAGTTAAGGACCCAATTTAATAAAATGAATTCACAGATATCAGTTGGGTAGAATCCATCATCCCCAACTCCTTGCAGAGTAAGTCAGGAGAGCAAAGGAGAGGAGAAAGGGACAGAATTTGACAAAATCAATCAACAGCCCATCATGAGGCCACCTTCTCTAGGTCCCCTCCCTAATCCAAAGGCTTAAACCACACTCAAGAGGTCATGAGGGCCGGCACTTCCTGACAAGTGCTCTTCTATGTGTTTGGAAGCACTGAGTAGGTTTTTAGCAAAATACTATCTCACTGGACAAGTTTTGCTAAGTGAGCTGAAATGGGGGGAAGCAGAAAGGAAAGACAATGCATCAGGCAAAGACAAAAAGGATGGGAAAACTTTAGACCTCTGGTGCTGTGTTCATGGGGACAGAATGAATCGCAGAAACCAAGCCCCACCCCAAACTGGAATACTCTCACCTGAGGGTGGCCGGGAGAAGCAGCTCTACCCCACAGGAGGGGTGCACAGGAGAGAGGCACTCCTGCACCCTCCTCTGCATGTGGGCCTAGAGGGGTGCTCTTCTGGGGCAACCCAACCTCCTCCTTAGCTGGGGAGATTGGGCTGAATGTGACTTCCCTCTCATCTCTATTGAAACGGATAGAAGTTTAAGTGTGTTAAAGACATTAATGGCTATTTTAGTCCTTACTTCCATTTGCATAATAGTCTCCTCACAGGCAAGATTATTCCTGGCTAAAAATAGCTGGTTTCGGTTTGCTGTAATTAAGTGAAATTTCTAAACAAATATGTGCATTTTTTTATCATTAATAAAACAGACCAAAAGATGGGATTGGATGAGCTTTTAGTTCTACAAGGGACAAGAAAAACTAATTAAAAGTCAGCTTTCTTTTTTCCAGCAGGAAATCACATCACCTACAAACACTACGGAATTAAACTGTATTTTAAATGTAGAACACTTCCTCCTCCTTTTTGAGCCATGAGTGAGGTGCTAGCTTATATTTCCTCTGCATACATAGCACACCCATAGCACAATGGTTTTTCTTGGATCAGAAACAGATACACAAAAGTCCCAGCAGAAGATAATGAGTTTATGTGATGGGAAAGCCTGACGTTGGAGTGAGAAGCCTGCTCCTATCCCAGCTTCACCCGTCACTAGCTGCAGGGCTTTACAACTGGTTCTCTCACCTCTCCAAGTCTCAGTAACCTCATCTTTACAACAGGTTAGTAATAAGTGTCTTGAGGCAGGGTTGTGACAGAGATCCAATCAGAGAGCAGTGCTGAACACCGAGGAAGCTCCCAGTCAACAACAGTGTTGTTAATATCACATTAACATCTTAACATCTTAGAACCTGAATAAACCTTAGAAAACAGCAAATGCAGCTTTTCCAGTTAAAATACATGGGACAGCAAGGCCCAGATGTGAAGCAATTTGCGCCTGGTCTGTGCCACAGGATCTTGTTATTATGTAATGAAGCCACCAGAGCAAGAAGTTTCCAGGAGCCCTAGCACAGCCACCACCCTCTTGGGACCAGGCCCTTCCACTTTTCACTTTTCACTAAGCATAGTAAAAAGAGTCTTACGTGGGGGCCGGGCGCAGTGGCTCACGCCTGTAATCCCAGCACTTTGGGAGGCCGAGGCGGGCGGATCACGAGGTCAGGAGATCGAGACCATCCTGGCTAACACGGTGAAACCCCATCTCTACTAAAAATACAAAAATATTAGCCAGGCGAGGTGGTGGGCGCCTGTAGTCCCAGCTACTCGGGAGGCTGAGGCAGGAGAATGGCGTGAACCCGGGAGGGCGGAGCTTGCAGTGAGCCAAGACCGTGCCACTGCACTCCAGCCTGGGCGACAGAGAGAGACTCCGTCTCAAAAAAAAAAAAAAAAGAGTCCTATGTGTCTATTTCAAAATGCAATTTTTGAATAATTCTATTTATCTGCAGGAGGAATGAGTGGAGAGGGCAGGAAAATAGCAATCGTGAACAAAATTCCGCAGTGGTAGAGGTATCACTATCTAAGAATGAAACATGAAATTGTTTTCAGTGCTTAAGAAAAGATTCTCATTTTATACTTTTTTAAAGAATACGAAAACCCCCCTTTTAAAAAAGTAAATATGCTAAGAAATTGAACTGACCTTTTCACTGCCAGTTAACACTGCCCTATTTCCCTAGCAGGCTATTAGAGCATCGTTCACGCACACACATAACTCAGAAAATAAAGCCAATTATTCAATTTCAAACAGTATCATTGGCCAGGCACAGCAGCTTATGCCTGTAACCCCAGCACTTTGGAAGGCCCAAGCAGAAATATCACTTGAGGCCAGGGGTTCAAGACCAGCCTGGAAAACATAGTGAGACCCCCATCTCTACAAAACAAAAAATTAGCTGGGCATGGTGGTGCACACCTGTAGTCCAAGCTACACAGGAGGCTGAGGCAGGAAGGTCACTTGAGTCGAGGCTGCAGTGAGCCGTGATTGTGACACTGCACTATAGCTTGGGCAACAGAGTGAGACCCTGTCTCTAAAAATCAAAAACAAACAAAAGAAAAACAGTATAATCTACAGCCAGCATTTTTTGTGATGGCTGAGTCCAATTCCAATTGTCTCATACACAGGAGGGTTATATAACTTCAGTCAACAAGTTAAATGAGATTGTGCAAACATGACATTGCAAAATCACCGGTACATTTTAGCTCCTGCAATTACACCAATTATGCCACACAGATCAGTTTAGATCCCTTAAAAATTAAAATTATCATGAAAAGTTATAAAGACTGTGTTACTCATCTAAATCATACATATGCTTTTAAATAATTTCTTCCTCTTATTGGGGATTATGCCAATGTGTGATTTTTGTTTTAGACGGAGTAGCAAGATCTACAGAAATAATCTCTTTAGGATCACACTTCAGTACTTAGTGATACAATATTTAGTTGAGGTGAAAATACTTATGTTATGTATTTCTACTCCAAAATCATTTCTCTAAATAAAAAATAAGTAAATGAATGCAAATTTGGATAGCAAAAAATATTAACCTGTATTCTTATATAGATGTGCGGATGAAGGGAAGGGGTAGGGGAAGGAGTGTCTGCCTTCAAATAAACTATACACTCTAGAATTATAGAACTCAGATGTTTTAAAACCCACCACGTTTCTAATGCAGACGGTTTATAGAGTATTCCACTATAAAGTGATCAATTCTTGTTTTATTGTGTTTCCATGTTTTAATTTTTTTTTAGATTATTTAACTATAGCTGTTTATGGCATACCTATCTTTGAACTGTTGGATTATATCACTAGGCTTGGGTGGAGAATGTGGATTTAATTCAAAAGTCTACTAAAGTCCATGCTTTGGAACAAAATCTGGTGAATGTTAGCAACGATGGAAACCTCTTTTCATTTTATATCATCAAATTCCAAGCGGTGGGAAAAACTGAAATTAAAACTTCAAAACTTTTACCAAATCCTATTAAAACCAAAGTATGAGATAATAATGTGAAAATTATAGTACAGCCCAGGGAATGCTTAGGAATGTTATAACACATAAACTTATACTGACACTATTTAAAAATATTAGACAATTTGAAAAAGTGTAATCCACATGGGCAACATTATGCTCAATTCGTATCTATGCCCACTTAAAAAATGAAGCCAGAGTTGTTTCAAAAGTCAAGACTTAGTAATAGTTATTGAAAACGTATAGACTTACGCCATGCTGTTATTTTAAAACATAATTTCCATATTAATAAACATGTGGTGTCGTTTTGTCCACATGTTTGCATTTATTCTACTCAATGGGCCGCTTAGACTACTTGCTGCTATGTTATAAACTACTACAACACATCAGCTTATGATCAGTGACTGTACAGACATTGACTTCACTGTAGAGGTCCCAAACATTTCATAAGTTAATGACTTCAATGTAATCATTCATTCTCATATCTACTGTTTATTACAGTCATGATATTGTAAACCTCCCTTAACCACAATTACTCGTACAGATGTACTCTTCCTCATTAATAATCTAGCAGTAAAGCCTTAATGGGAGTTGTTGCAAGGATCAGGGTGATTAAATATAATGACTAAAGGACCGTTAATAAGAAGCCAGGTCTTTTCACTCTCCTCTCATGGGAGAAGTCCCCAACTACACAGAAAGCAACAAACACAGACAGACGAGGCAAGAGGGCACTATTTATTTCATGAGAAGCTCCCACCCAGACCCAACCCAATATGGCTCACCTCAAGCCCTGTTTTCCAAAACCTCTAAATTCCCCAGTATTCCAGATGGGCCCTGCTTTTATATCCACATTCCTGGCCATCAAAATTGCCACCAGAATTGTGGGAACAATTGAATCAGTTGTGTCTGGTCCACATAAACAAAATAAACCAAGTAGGTAGGCCATTTTTCATTTTGTCTCATCAAAGTATATAGGAAACTAAGAATTCCTAAATTCTCTCCACTCCTCCTCCACCTAAAACAAAAAACGAAAAGGAAAACAGAAAAGACCCTTTCCCAGAAGCTGCTTACGTCAATATTTGGGAACTCAATGATATGGGTCCCAGGCTGAATCTAGTCTCTCTCACACACACACACACACACACACACACACACACGCACACACACACACGCACACATCTTCAGTGCTGCATGCTCACCAACCATGTGGTACCCAGTCTGCTGCCAAGGACAGAACCTGCCAAATATACCACAGGACAAACTAGACAATTGAGAGGTCTTCCTTGGAAGCTGCCTATAAAAATGAATGTTTGTTTAGCAAATCATATTAGCTCATAAACTTTTAACACATGTTCAGAGGGGTACTCCCACAGAGGAAAGAAAGTCTTGCTCAGGGAATAATAGAATTCAAGTTTTCAAAGTTTAATATTTACTTTGAGAAGTATTTTTGCTTGTGTTAATGTTTAGTCAATGTACATTTAATCATTCCATAAACAAACCTACAGGAAAAATTCATCAAATTTAACATCTTACAACATCAAGTTGAAAAAAAAATCACATATAACATTTTTCCCCCATAGACTAGTGTCTGGTAAGAGTAGTAAAATAATTCAATGATCACTTAAAATGCACATCAAAGATATGCAAAAGCTGAAAATACTTCAAATTAAACATTACTCAGTAAAAGCTGAGAGTAGAATGCCCTTGAAGGATCAGATTGGCAGACAACAGAGGAGAAATGGAAAGCTAAAAGGCTGAGAAGTAAAATTAAGGAAATAAGGATTCAAGAAAGACATGCTACAAAGACAATTGACTACATCTACTTTGTTCCCATGATAATCATGGGAGATACTGGAAGGGGCAGAATTTTTTTTAATGTACCAGACTTTCTATGATAGAGAAAGCAGACTAAATTCAGCACATGATTTGTAGAAATAAAAGGACAGAAAACGAAAGATTAACAAATAGAATGACAGTATAAGCTCAAAGACAGATTTTGAAAACTAAAAGATGCACAGAGTGTCCCTAGTAGAGGCATGCTGACCTTCCAGCAACACACACACATACTCGGGTAACTGTGGGTGAGTCGATTAACATTCCCGGGGCTCCATTTTCTCCTCTGTAAAAATGAAAAAATTGCACTAAGATGTCTAAGGTCCCTGTAAGCCTAAGATTCTAGTGATTCAGTCTTGGAAACATCAAAATGTGGAAAGCAAAGTTATCCACAGTAACTCTGGAAGGACATATTGAACAGGAAATGAAAAAAGGGACTCAGTGCAGTTGGAAAACAGGGAAAGAAACCAAATGAAACGGGCTGCATCAACTTGCCCAGTGCAGCAGGGAGGGGCAGAGGATGGAAAACACAGACTGCGTTCACGCTTCCAGAAGGCGGCAGAGAATGAGATTGCTGTTTCAAGGAGGAAAGGACAGGGAAGAAGACAGCCACTTTGGCCCCAGGGGCTCTCCTTCTCTTCCCCGGGAGACCACTGGGAGGATACAGTCCTCGAAGGCATCGCTACTTCCTTGCACTCTGGGGCCTGCCGCATCCTCTTCCCAATGTTGGCCTCAATAGACAGGGCTCATTCATGAACTGTCGGCTTGACCAATAAACCCTACATCATGAACTGCCCAAAGAGAACTTACTGGGAAGAAAAGCCAAATCCCATAAGAAAACAAAAAGTTAGCAATGTCATAGCACACTCAAATCTGGGGGAGCAGCTGGACATAAGCACAAGGCAGAGAAAACGCACCCTGAAGATCAATGATGCCAGGGATCCCTGGGCACTATATGATATTTCCACGTGGCTCTTGAATTTCTCAGATACCCACAGCGGATGCCCATGTCCCCTCAGCACCCCCATGTCCACCCAATACCCACAGAGAAGTCCTAAGCAAGAATGCAAGGGAGATGAGGCTGTCCCTGGCACCCTCCCCACTCCTTGGGCCCCAACTCCTAGCCCCCACTATACTCACATCAGCCCCGATTTCTCGGGAACTCATCCCTTATGCTGACACCACCTTTTGATAGATTAATAGAAATGGCCCTTCCCCTCCTCAACACTGTGGTGGGCTATGTCTAATTCTCTCAAGGATAAGGTGACCTGACCATCTGGTCATTCCATTCCTCCAAGACACCAAATGAATATGCTGGCATGGACCTTTTTAAAAATTGTGCCTTAACCCTGAGAGACCGTCTCTGATGACAGAATTTTGGGTGCTATGGCAGCCTGTAAGTTCACCATGTAAAAAATAATAAGTATAATCACAAAGTAAATTAAACCCCTCATAAAAGAAATTTGTTTAATTGAGCAGATAAAATAATCATGAGCAGCACATGAGAATAAAGTATGTAAAATTAATCTTGGTAAATAAGGCTTTATTGTTGGCATTTTAATATATAATTTGAGGAATGTCATGTTGGGATCTGGAGGAAATTTTTTATTTATCTTCGGAGGCTGTGTCATGGGTCTTAATTTCAGAATTCAAACTCGCAAGAAACACAGTGTCAGTGCGTCTCTCGTGTGAGTACAGCATTTCTGTCACCCCCACACACTTGGGAGCGTGACCATGTGCTGAGCAGACACAAAAGTCAAGCACTACATGGGCCACTTTGTAGGCGTCATCTTCTCTAATCCTCACAGCCCAGCTATGAAGTGTCTATCGTTAGCCCGTTCTATAGCCTCAGCTCAGAAAGAGTGAGAAGACGGCCCATGGCTGCAGGGCCAGTGAGTGACAAAGTGGCGATCCCGGGGCCTGTGCTTCCACTAACCGTGCTTCATCTCCAAGTTGCAACTGGTCAGCATGCAAGTATAGACTAGAGTCTCCCATCAAAACGCAGCAAAATGAAAATCAGCTTGAAAAAGAGAGAAAAGGAAAAAGAATACAAGCCAAGTCAACACAACCAGAAGAAAAATAGCTGAAACACAGAAATTCACATGGAAAACGAAAGAAGGGGGGAAAAGGAAGGGAGGAAGCAAAGTGGGGAGGGAGAAAGAAAGGAATAGAGCAGGAGAACCTAAAGCTGAGAGCGGACAGCTGATTATGTGTGAACACACAATGCAACATGGCAGCTAAATAGGCAAAAATAATTCAGGGCTACAGCAAAACAATCACGCTATGTACCATGGGGACAGGGATGTCTTTGGTACGACCTTGGCAAGTCTGTTCTTAGAATACTGCATTTAAGCTTTGGGCACTTCATTACAAAGAAGCAGCAAACTTCAACAGAGATTTCAATGAAGAATTACAAAAAAAAAAAAAAGATTAAAAGGGAATCAATTAATGTCAGGATCGTAAGCATTTAGAGACAGCATGAAGAAGACAGCTCTGAGTGTGGCTCTCACACTTAGCACCATAACCTTTTAGTCCTCGGGGGAAGCCCTCTGCAACGGGGGTGTCAGGGATGCAGACATTTTTCTCAGCCGGTTGTCACAGTGCCACTGAGGCACACCAGGCCAGCCGGCTGACAAATGATGTTTCTGACCAAGTTCAAGTCAGTCCCTGGTGAGGGGGAGTCGGGAGGGGTGAGGCGACCAGGCCACTGCCAAAGCTGGCCCAGGACAGTGGTTCCCACTCCACTTTGTAAGGATGGAGGGCATCTCTCGGGCCAGGACGCTGAACGACAGCCCCGGAGGGGCTGCTGATGCTGACAGGGGAGGACTCTCCACATGTCAGCAAAGATGCCTCTGGCAGCAACTAGGATAAACAGAAGCAGAGACAAGATGAGGCAGATGAGGCAGGGACAGAGGAAAGACCACAGAATCCGGAGACATCCAGAAGCCTCCATGTTTCTAAACCCTGCAGCAAAGTTGCCTTCTTGGCTGAAAAGGTTTCTCTACTGAGAACACCTGCCTGTTTTTCTCCATCTCCTCTGTGAATAATCCTGACATTCTCTCCTACTCCTAGAATTAAGCTCCCTCCTGCAAGCTCTCCAAGCCCCTTTTGTTTATAATTCTAACATTCATCACACCAAATTATAATTCTTGGTTTACATGTCTGACTCCCTCAATGAAGTTGCAAGTTCTTCCTGAATCAGCTCTAAGATCACCCACATGAGGAAGTACATTTGCATTTGTAGGTACAGCTGATTCTCCTTATTTGAGGTAGTTAAGTTCTATAAAGTCTCCTAGAATACTGAACCATTGCTCCCGGGGGAAATACAGGGTTGGGTTCCTGTGAGCCTCTGGTCATAAGATTTTTGTCAGCCAACAGATACGTAACCTTGTTTTATGTGTGTTTCTGTTGAATGACACCTCATTTAATATCTGTTGCTGATTAATTAACATCAAACTCACAACCAGCGGCTTCTCTAACACACATATTTGCTCCTTAAGCCGCATTACAGCCTTCTTGCGCTTAGCAACAGTTGACCGCACTTCAGTATTACACTGAGGATGTTTTCTACAGCAAAATCACCAATAAAAAGCACAAAACATGGCACATGGCACGAAACAGATCCCAAAGAGGACCCTTGCTTCCAGCAGAGCTGAGACAAGAACAGCATCTTCTTCAACCTCAGCTGGGAGCGTGTGCATGGATGCTACTCACATTTTTTGCCCACGACCACAAATAACCATGAAAGTCAGACAAATATTGATTTGGGGGTTACAAGCAAGTTTTAGTAAGTAGGCGAATTCACAAAAACCAGAATCTGTGAACAATGAGGATCAACGTATTTCCAGCACCTACAAAGCACCCAGCATGCATTATTAGTAGGTAATCAATAAGACTTGTTGACTTTGGGAAAGAAAACAAGAAACAAGGGGTTGTGAGGTAGTGCATGAGTATGAGGGTGTGTGTGTTGTAGGTGAATGCTAGTGTGTGAGTGGGTGTGAGCAAGTGAGTGTGTGTATAAGCACGTGGGTATGTCTGTGAATGGAAGAGTGAGCAAGTCAGTGTGTGTGAGTGAACTATGAAAAGAAGAATGTGTGTGAGCAAATGAGTGTGTAAGCATGGGAGTACTTGTGTGAATGGGAGTGTGTGAACAGAAGAGTTAATGTGTACATGAGCATGTAAGCGTGTTATGTGTGGATGGAAGAGTGTGTGAGTGTGTGAGCGAGTGTGCGAATGTGTGACTGATTACAGAGAGCTTCCAATTTGAGCCCTATTCTGAATCAGGCTGTGCAGCAGTATTAACTCAGGGAACCCAGAGAGACTACGCTACCCTGGAGAGAAGTAGGAAGCTCTGCAATTCAGGAACTGACCATGACACTGAGGCTCTGGTTGAGGGGTTCTCCAGGGTTCCATGCAATGAACAATCCATTCTGAAAACAGGGGTGATGTGGGAGAGGTGAGAGGAAGGAATGCCAGGATTTAGGAGGCCAGGAGGTGGAAGAAGCAGGAAGAGCTTGGAGACGCTGGGCTTGGGCCTCTGTTGTCCCTGAAGCCACTGTCACCTGGTTATCCTTGCAGACCCTAACTTACAAGCTGATCAGACTTCTCCAGTGTGCCTCAAGGCTCAGGATGAGGGGAAGCAGGAGTCAGCACTGTCAGGAAGCCACAGACAAGAAAGACCCTCACACAGACTGCTCAGTGAGGAATTCATTTGAAAGTGTTAATGAATTCAGAGGAATTGCTGTCATAATGCATTCTTTCAATCATAAGACACTTAGAAGTGCAATTACTAGCATGTGGGGCTCCCTAACACTTTTTATCAAAAAAGGAACCTTATACTCAAAATCAGGAACCACAGGTCTACATGTCAACTCCTCCAGCTCTCAAATACCTATTCAAGAATCAAGTACTTATCAACTAGGGTCTGCCTAGTCCATTTTTTGTAAGAAAAAAAAAAAAGATGATTTGGGATCCCACTGACAATACATTCATTCGTTCAACATTCATTAGGTGCCAAGTGCATGCAAGACTCGGTTTTAAGCACTGGCAGGACCATGGGAAGCACAGTCACCAAGTCCCTGCCTTCGCAGAGCTCTGCTTTACAAAATGGGGCAGCTTTAATAGGCATCTGACTCAGGGCTTCCCAAAACTACTCTCTCAGGCTCTCTTATCAGGCTTCTCAGGCAGGGACCCAGGCAGGGGCACTTCAGAAAATGCAGCAGTGTGAAGCAGGGAAGAGAGTAAAATCCAGCGTGGGAAAGAGGGGCGTTGGGCTCATGTGCGAAAGCTGCACCTGTTCTTAGGAAAACTCTGCTCCGGGATTCCTGAGCATGTTCCTGGGAACCCACGACAATATTCCTCCAAATTCGCATCCCAGACGGGAAATGTCTCTGCTGAGCAACTAATAATTTAAAATAATCCTTTCCCAAACCTGGAAAATCTCCAGACCTGTGTTCTATACTAGCTTGGGATGTTTTAAGTATGCCTTAGACAATTAGTAAATGTAGCTACCATGCTCAACACTGTAACTAAAATCAAATAGATACATTATTTTAAAAGACGATTGTCCACTAACTAATGGCCAGCAGTATAGATGCTAAGGAAACAAATGAACCACTAAGTTAAAACTAGGCTACTGGAAAAAAAAAAAAAAAATCCTCCAAAATCACATCTGTGTAAGAAATATTAAAACCTTGCCCCACTATATGGTTAATTCCAGTTAAAAATATTCATGTGATTAATTCTAGTAAATATATTTTTATTTACAAAAATGGATGGCCACTCTTAACATGCATATGTATCAGACAAGATTTACTAATTTACCTACATTCAAATCCTGACTTGTCATCATCTATGTGACCTTCAACAAGTCACTAAGCCACTAAAATCTCACCTCCTCGTCTCTAAAACCAGGACGATGTATGGACTCAGTCATACAGCAGAAGCTGCCCTCCATATCGTCTAAGAATTATTATTCAATTCTTTGAAAATTGGTCACGCACATATGAAACACAGCATAAGGCAATGCTCAATTACTCAAAATATCCGTTGAAAACCACCCATCTCCAGGGCATGCCTGTTATCAGGTAGGTTACTAAGGAAATGAACCTATTCATCTCCTTTGTGTGAACTGCATTCTTTGTACAGGACGTGTCTGAACGTCTCCCATCAAAGCAATCGGAACTGAACCACTACAGTGACAAATCAGAAGCTGAGTGGTCCTTGCCATGTGGTGTGGTATCCTGTTCCACGAACACATAAGGTCATTCTCCTTGTTCAAAAGTGGCTCCAAATTGCTCCTGCAGAGCACCTGACGGAGACAAGGGGGTCTCTGATGAACTGCATGGGTTGGCCTCCGTCCCCAACTCTGACCCTGCCCAGAGCTTCGTGCCTATGCAGTGTTCTCCCACACTGGCACCGCAGATACCTAGAAGGCAAAGGGCATAATCTGCGGGGCCACAAGTTCCCTCCAAGAATGTCTTTACTTTGCCTTTCCAGGTCAATGAAAAAGTACTAGAATTGTTTTAAGGGTATCCAGGAGCCCACAGATGACCATCCCACAACCACATAACTGTCCCCCAAGAATGGACTGGGGTTTAAAATTATTGTCAGTGGTACACAGTGCTACAATACTTTCACCATCAGGACCAACAGGAAAAAGAAAAGGCACACTGAGTACATCGGTGGTGTGTCTGAGATAAGTGAAGATCAGATGAGATCATTTGTTGTCCCAGGAACTCACATAGGAAGAAGTGGGGCAGGGGAACAAGTCATCCTGAGGTGCTCTGCAGAACAGGCACCCTGAGCTCACAGGAAGCTGCACCAAGCGCCAAGGCTGGATTTACAGTGAGGCAGCATCTTCGTCTCAGTCAGGGAGCATCTTCCTTCATATGAAATCCACTGTGTCAGTGTGCATTTTACTGATCTTGCCGTTTAACTTGAATTTTGGCATATAAATGTTTTGAATTATAGTTGTCAAAGAAGTATAAGGAATTTATATCTAGTTATCTAGTTTAATGTGTGCACATATTCAAATAACATAATAAAAATAACCTAAGTCGATATAGGATTTTAAGGATCTGAGGTACTTCATTGTCTCCTTTTAAAGAGGTGGATATGTCTCTCAATTCTGGGACAGAGGGACCTACAGGGCTCCTGCCACCTGCCCCACAATATGGAACACCATGCAAGAAACTTCTTTGACTCATGTGTGTCTGCCCAGCAGAAAAAACTGCCCCAAATGAGGTATTTACTAAAGGAAACTTTCTGTGCTTTGGAAACAGAGTTGAAACCCATCATACCTTGGTTACTGATTACATGGAGCCATATAAACCAGGGCCCTGTTGTGTCCTTGGAAACATAACCAAACCTACTAGTAAACACCTGTTTTAAGAAGCACCTGTCAGGATGAGGCTAGGAACGGCTGCAAAGTACTGGTCTGAGGCAGTCAGCATGAGGCTGGTCCTCACTCTGCATCTACAAGTTTTGGGCCTTTGAGCAAGTCACTTAACCTCTCTCATTTTCAGTTTCAGTAGCTGACTAATTCCTGTGGAAACACCCTGACTCTACAAGTTCACAACCCTGTATCAGTGCTATCACTATTCGATGCTCATGTACAGTAGACACTGCATGTGCGTGTTCATGACGGAGTGAATAATTGGGTCAACAAACATTTACCATGTGCCAACTGCACATAAATTGCCCTGCCTGGTCTTCAAGAAATAGAAAAATTATAAAGCCAAAGACTCTGACTCCAAAAAATTTCATCTAACAAAGAGACCAGCAGGAATTACAATTCTGGGCAAAATAATGTAAGTGCTACAAAGGGATACAAACGAGAAATGTTAGCACCTCCCCCATCTCTGCGCCATCCTCCAGTGTCACTTTTGCAGACTCCATGCTGTATGTTCCAACATCCTTACAATGTTAGTACCTGTACCAGCTACGTTTTTTAAAGAAAAGGTCAATTCCTTTTGTTAAATGCAAGCTTCTTGAAGGAGATTAATTTTTTCATGGCATTCTTTTTTAAGGAGGCATTTATTATGGTCAATTATTCTTGATGTTTTAAAGTATCTTGAAAGCCAAGCATGGGGGCTCACGCCTGTAATCCCAACACTTTGGAAGGGTGAGGCTGGCAGATCACTTGATGTCAGGAATTCAAGATCAGCCCGGTCAACATGGTGAAACCCCATCTCTACTAAAAACACAAAAATTAGCCAGGCTTGGTGGCACGCACTGTAATCCCCGCTACTCGGGAGGCTGAGGCAGGAGGATGCAGTGAGCTGAGATCATGCCACTATACTCCAGCCTGGGTGACAGAGTAAGACTCCATCAAAAAACTTCTTTAAGTATTTTTATAATACTCAAACAGTTTAGATTAAGACTCTAAAAGTAATTATCAGAGCCATGCCTCTAAACTTTCTGATAAGAACAAAAGTGACCAATGTTAATGAATACTCTAATCCCCTGGCCAAGTGTGTAATCTAACATCCTCTCGAAATTTCAACCTGGCAGCGTATTTTAATTGTGACATTTGAAGGGTCACGTGACCTAACCTGCCTGCCCTTCCTTTTCTGAGGCTCCTATTTATCCCTCAAGACCCATTTTAAATGCTACCGCTCAACCTCCCCAAGCAGTTATTTAAACACTCCTCTGGGATGCCAAAACATCTGTCCATTCCTCTACTATGGGAAATTTCACACTGCCCTGAATTATTTACAAGTATAGCTATCTGTTTCATTGCTTTGCACTCATCACAGTGCTGGATGAGTCAAAGCTATAAATAGGAAATAAATAAGCAAATGAATGAACGGATACATGGACAAATTATCACGTGAATACAATAATCAAACACCATCCCCAAGTTAAAATTATTCATATTCTCCTTCTAATCAAATCGTTATACTCATTAGCAATATAGTTTTTCTTATTTCCACATTCTAATAGGATATCAGAATCCTGTATATTTTTCTGAAGAAGTATTAACCCATTTACCTCTGACCTTTTAGATCTACTCTCAAGGTAAACCTGAAGACAAAAACAAGCAAACAAAAACTACATAGATGAAAAGAGAAAATTAATCCCAAAATAGGAAAATACGCTTTAAATGAATTTCACATTTACACATTTACTTTACGAAAGTGATTTCCCCAAATCTCCTATTTACCTTCTTTCGTAATGAGATCAGTTTCTAACCGTTTAGAAAAAAAAAATCTCCAATTTAGTTTACTGAGCTTCATGCAACTTCACACAGATAAAGATTCCTGGAGGCTCCAAATGTTAGTGTATTTAGTAACACAACCATTGCCCGTTTCTTTCCTTCTCTCAATCTCATCACAATGAAAATGAGATATTTTAGTCACTCCTCATTCTCACTGCCACACGAGGCATGATAACCACAAACCCAGTGGGAAATATGAGATTCCAGCCCCTGAGGAACAAGACTTTCACTCTCACCTTCCCCCTCACCTGCTGGAGGAACAGACCAAAGGGAAATAACCTGCTGCCCAGGAGCCTCCCTCCCAGCTCCTTACAAAAGAGACAAAAAGGTCTCACTGCACAAACATTTTGTGTGCACAGAGAACATCATGGGTCACACAGAGAAGACTTGAGAAAGAAGGCTGAGAAATTCAAACTACAGAATTCTTGGGATCCATCCAGACTGGGAAGAAACATTCCAGATGTCTAACTCGAGCTCTTCATCTTACAGAAGAGGAGAAAGAGGGCCTGGTGCCTACTTCGTAGCAGATACAGAATGAGAGTTAACCATGCCCTTGACACTACATTATCTTTCCTCCAGCTTCAGCCTCATTCCCCCTCAGGCCACACACACCAGAGACAACACAGGCACACACAGGCCAATTATGCATAGAAATGGAAGATGGTGATTCCTCCTTCAACTGGAGACCTAAGTACACAGCAGCCATACAAGCGAGATACTGTGAGGCCACATCTATGCATCCAATGCGGGACAAAAATAATCATAATTTTTAAATCAGTTCAACCCAATGAGCGTTCATCGAGCACCTACTATGTACAAGAGCCATAGCTGTGTGTTAGGAAACCAAAAAAAAAAAGAATGTGGTCCATGCCCTTTAGATACATTAGGGAACAGAGAAATACAATTGACCACACTGTAAACTGTACTGTGACTTATGTAATAATGGGAACAAAGTATTCCTAGGGCCCAAAGGAAAACATAAGAAATGCTAACTAGAATAAATAGGATTAGAACTGGGGGTGTAATGAAGGTTTTGCAGAAGAAGTAATATTTCCATTGAATTTAAATAAAGAGTCCTGCTTCTTCAGGTGGAGAAGGCAAGAGAAAGGCATCTGAGAGAGAAATTCACTTGGCCACAAGTATAAATCAGACTGCATGATGTGTTTGGAAAACAGCAAATAGACAGACTCGAGTTGCATAGGCAAAGAGGCACACAGGGTGCTCCTGGCAAAGCAGATCCAGGCAGCGGTTCATCCTAAGCATTGGGTGCCACATTAAAGAACGTGGGCTGTATCCTTCAAAAGCAAGAATTTGAAGGGATCTCTGTGCACAAGTGACACTCCTGTCTGGGTTTTGAAGGTACTTCTGCCATCAGTGTGGAGAATGGATTGGAGACAGAAGACTAGGAAGGCAAGGAAGCAGCTGAAGACGTTTCCGCAAGGAAAGCATAATACGGAAAAGTGTCTCTCACAGCCACCCTTCCTTGGAGCAGTTTCCAAGCCTGGGCACTCTTCACGAGAGAAGATGTGTGCTTCTCAAGCACACACGGAAGAAGAGCCATTTTACCCTTTCTTTCATTGCCCTTTGCCTGACTGGGACTCCATGACTGGACTGTCGGCAAGATGTGCAGCTGTATGGCAGTGGTGACAAGTCTATTCCTGCCCACGCACTGTGTGTGTGCTCAAAAAGCCCAAGGTGAGGCAGCCAGGAGTCACAGAAAACCTAAGAAGACAGCTGGGCTTCCCAGAAAAGGGGAAAGATGGTGCTCTCCAGCTGTCTACCTGGCTGCCGTGTCCCACAGTATTGTCACTGGCACTCCGTGGGTCTACACTCAATGTCCCTCTCATGCTGCCCCAGGCACTGTGCTAGGAACTGGGGTGTGCCAGGCAGGAAGGCATGAGTAAGAAACCATTTAAATCATCCAGAAGGAGAGATGAGACAGCCTGGGCAACAATCCTACCAGCAGCTTTGCTGAACACAAAATTAGACATGCTCTCCTTGTCAACCAATAAACCACAGGAGTCTGAATCATGCTGGTGATTTCATCTGAAAGACTGGTCAGCTCTCAACTGGGAAAAATTCAGAGGGGTGTGCAAGGTGATCCTTGGAGTGGGGAACAAATAGTAGGGCCCTATTTAGGTTTCCTCATTCATTCTATTCTTTAAAATTGTTTACTTTGCTGTATCTCTTATAAAATAACATATATAAACTATACTTTGAGATAAACAATTTTAAAATAATTTAATATTTGAGATGCATACTCAAATTAAGTATATTTATTTGAAATGCATATGTTGAGATGCATATTCAAAAAAAATTTTTTTGGTGGGGATACGTGATCAAAAAATTTGGAGGCCACTGTGATAAAGTTCCATCTACACACTAAAAGTCAGAACTTCTCTTCTACACACACAAAAAAAGCATTTTATTGAGTTCAACTGTGACCCACTCAAACCCACATTACATACCTAAAAGCAAAAAAAAAAAAAAAAACTGAAGTTGTGACAAAAAAGATCATTTTCTATTTTTTTAATGTAAGTTTCCTTTATCTTGTATCTTATCTTTTTTCACACTTAAAGGTATTCACAAAAATTGTGTAGGGAGTTAATAATTTTGCCTAAACCATCCACTGTGTTTAAAAAGCTAAAGTCAATCCTATACTTACAAATACATTTTAGCATTTTATATATATGTATGTGTGTATCTATATATACATATTTTTACAAGCCTAATGGTAGAAAATTATATCTAGAAAAAGTTTTGCCCTTCATTTCTGTGTATTGAGAACTCCAAATCTTTCCTCATTCTAAGCTTCTTTTCATTTTCAACTTTTTGTAAACTAAAGTTCTCATATTTCAGAAAACATGGATTAAATTCTCATTTGACCACCAGTAATTGCAACGATAAGTTACTTTGGGAGACCAAGGCAAGAGGATCACTTGAGGCCAGGAGTTCAAGACCAGCCTGAGCAACATAGCGTGACCTTGTCTCTACAAAAAAAAAAAATTTTCGTTAACTACGTGTGGTGATGCACACCCATAGTCCCAGCTACACAGGAGGCTGAGGCAGGAGGATCTTCTGAGCCCATGAGTTCCAGGCTGCAGTGAGCAATGATTACACCACTGCACTCTAGCCTGGGCAACAGCAATACCCTATCTCAAAAAAAAAAAAAAGAAAGAAAAGAAAAGAAAGAGAGAAAGAAACGCTACAGATTAATTTCATTACAAGTTTGAAAGTTGAAAACCCAAGTTAGTATATATTATTCATACTTATACATTCAGCAAAAATGTATTAAGTCCCTGCTGCGTACCACACACTGTGTTTTAGGTACTGCATTAATAGGAGTAAAGTGATACCATGATGGAAAGTTAGTCCCCGCCACAGAGTGGAAGAGTAGACTTTGTCTCATTCACACCTCAGCACCTATAACAGTGCCTGTCTGGCACCTGGCAGAGCACAATAAATACTTCTTCACTGTCTCCCATGAGGACCTTACAACCTAGTGGGGATGTGGAGTGGGAAAAAAAGAAATTCATAACATTTGCAAATAATTACAATATCGTAATATTCTTATTCACGTACAAAAATATCTGACAACAATTTCCATCTCCCTTCTTCTCTGCATAATGAAAATCTTGGATGTAGCTCAGAGAGAGTTTAGATTCACTGCATGGTCTATTTCTAGTTTTAATTACAATGCTTGGCAAAGCTTAGGAGGAGATCATTTCAATTCATTTCAAAAATAACTCTCATTCAATACAAAGAGATGGGATTTTTCACACTTGTAAATTTTTTTATTTACTTGATAATTAAGATGGTTTGGCATATAAATAAAGCATTTTCTTAGCAACTTTGGTCTAGTGAAGGTGCAGAGCTGTTTATCTATTAATAAAAATAAAATGGCTTTCCTCAAAAAGTAAAAACTTACACTCGCCTTCCAAACAGACTCAGTTGCATTTCTGGCCCTTTTTAATCCAGAGAAAAGACAGCTGTTCAAATCAAACATGGAGATAAAGCTGGATGAAGTCCCTCCAGTACTTACTGATCCATACAGCTCCCCCTTCTCATTCATCCCGAGGTAGAGTCCACTGTCCACGCCTCGAATGCTGACCAGGCCCACTGCTATACTGATAAATTCCAGAATGCCTGTAGACAAAGGGTAGAAGGCAGAGGACAGATCAGATCACAGAGCATGTCCTTAGAGTCCCAGCATCCCTGGGGTTTTGGAGAGGACACTAAGCCCAGCTCCCCACTTGGATAACCCCACGCTAGTTAAAGAAGTGTCTTCTCTTTGAAAATCACTGTGTAAAAGAATTGATTTTCAACTAAATTCTATCTTATCATAATGACACAAAAATACTTACCAACATGACTTACACAAAAAACAAAACATTTTAAAAATTAAAAAGTTAGTATCTACATAGATATGCTAAGAAGTAATAGGACAGAAAAACCAGTGTGTACATAATCTAATTAACTTCAAAGAGTAGAATTTAAGACAAAGACAACCTACATCCACTTTGTAAACATGAAGTTAAGCATCTGTCTGTGATTCTCTTATTTTGAGAGACATAAGACCATTCGCTAAACAGAATACTTTTTTAGAAAAGACAACCTATTTCCACTTTATAAACATGAAGTTAAGTATCTGTGTGTGAGTATCTTGCTTTTGGACTTCCCAGCCTTTAGAACTGGGAGAAATAAATACCTGTTTAAGTAGCAAAAAAAAAAAAAAGTATTCTGTTTAGAGAATAGTCTCTCAAAATAAGAGAATGAAGTGCTAACTAAAGCCTTGATTGGTTTATACAGAAAATTATCCAGCTCTCTATTGTGTTAACTTTTTTTAACTCTATCTAGAAAACTAAAACTGCCCACATACATCCCAATTATTTTTGCTTAAACAAAGTATTGGTTTTTGCTATACTTATCTAAACCTCAAAGAGATAGTTAAGCAATTAAAATAATAATATTCTGAAGAGATAAATACTGCTCTTGATTTAAAGTAGGCATGGAATGCTGTATTCCAAAATCAAATCGACACAATGATCTTATTTTACTTCCTTCTTTCCCCTTGCTTACCTCACTAAGAATAACACCTAAGCTGGGCATAAATCCAGAATTTTATGGCCACACAACAGCAGTTTCAATTTCTGTAACTACAGTGTGGTTATAAGATGATTAGCCCACAGTATATTTAGGACACTGCTAATTTTTTTTTTTTTTTTTTTTTTGAGATGGAGTCTTACTCTGTTGCCCAGGCTGGAGTGTAGTGGTGCGATCTTGGCTCACTGCAAGCTCCGCCTCCCGGATTCACACCATTCTCCTGCCTCAGCCTCCTGAGTAGCTGGGACTTCAGGCTGGGACAGCCACCACGCTGGGCTAAATTTTTTTTTTTTTTTTTTTTTGTATTTTTAGTAGAGACGGGGTTTCACTGTGTTAGCCAGGATGGTCTCAATCTCCTGACCTCGTGATCGACCCGCCTCGGCTTCCCAAAGTGCTGGGATTACAGGCGTGAGCTACCGCGCCTGTCTGGACACTGCTAATATTATTTGTACTCAGCCATTTTTTCCTTTTTATTGTAAATTAAAGTGCTACATTTTATGTAGACCTTACATTAATGCATATCAAATATTGAGTTCTTGTTTTAAAAATACTTTCAAATATTAAAAATTTTACTTACATTTAAGAGTTCAGAAAAAAACTTAGGGTAACAATGTGCTATAGTCAGTCTCATGTGACTAATAAAAAAGCACTTACATGAATTTTTCAACAATTAATTCTGCAACTCTCACAAAATACACTGGTACTGCAATCAAAAGAAGACATGAACAGCATAAATCTAATAAAGGATTAACTCAAGAGGAAACTATTTCAAGGTGATGTAAAAAAGAAGAGCTATTTCTTCTAAAGGGGCATTCCTAATTCTTTTATAAGGACAAAATGTAACAAATTTATCTTGTGCTTAATGTAATTATTTTAATAGGATGTTAAACAGTATATCAAAAAAAGTGAAATTACAAATTGTGTTTTGAATCTGATAATCTATGACTCTATGATGGAGAATACATGCAAAAGAAGCCAGTTTATTACTAGCCTTCCCTACTTCAAAAGCAAATGGGAATATAAATAAGGCAATATTTCCATGAGATTCATTTTTCATGAGATGCACTCCCTTTTTGATGCATTTTATTTCATTGTACTATTCTTCTGAGTCAAAATAACTAAAATTGTGGCATTTTATTATTATTAGCAGTCACATGTATGTGAATATCTTCTTAGTAACCTGAAAGCACACCAAAATGTGGGTCATACATACCCTGAAATTAATGTAATGAGTTAATTAATGTTCAATTTTCGTCGTAAGATGAAATGCAGGAAACATTTGGCCCCTTTTGAGGTCTGAATGATTTAATTTACCAGGTCAATAAGGAAAGGTTTAATCATAAAACTAAAAAATATTTGCAGCTTCTAAGGGAGCATGTGATGATCTTTCTGCTTTCCCTGCACACGGAGTAGCTGAGGACTAATAATGAATATTAGCCAGTGTTGCCCATCAGGTCCAACAAAGAATAAGGTGCATGTGATTTCACAAAACCTTTTCACTGGCTGGTCTGCAGAACATCAAGAAAAAAAAATAACAGCAGCAGCAATGATAATTGTAATAGTAAAAATTCTTGAGCATTTAGTCTATGCCAAATGAGAGGCCGTCTCTCATTTAATCCCCAGAACAACTCTAGGCATTACAATATTCTAATCCCCAGTGTACAAATGGGGAAATTGAGGTTTAAGGAGGTTAATAATTAGCCCCCAAGCAACTGGACTCCAAAACCTATTTCCTTAACTATTATGCACATCTTACATTTGGTTTTACCTTTTTTAATGTTTCTGTGATTTCTGTACCATTTTCATATAGCTGAGTTCTGAAAGTATTACTATATAATTTAGAAATGAAGATATCAAGATATCTATCTCGTTTCTTTTTCTGGCATTGACAAGACAGCTGTAATTCATATTCGTTCACTTTTTCATTCAAGAAGCTATTATTGAGGGTTTATTATAAGCCAAGCACCATACCATTTATTGAGTATATAAAGATGAACCGGATATAGCCTAGGTCCTATTACCCTCAAATTTTTGCTCACCATCTGTTGGGAAGAAGAACACGTAAACAGATAAATATAACAACAGTGTGGCAAATGCAGTTGAGAGGGAGCTGTTCAGGGTATGGGCAGTCCAAAGATGGGCAGCTCATCTGGGTTTCTGAAGGCAAGTCAGAGGCTTCCCAAGAAAATAAATACCTGAGATAAGTCTCCAAAAAGCTATCCAAGCGAGAAGGAACTACCTACAGACCCCAGGTGGAAAAGATTTCATCACCTCAAACCACCACCCATTTCTCCGCAGTTCCTTAAAAATAGAGACGTCAAAATAACAGCCCAGCTTTTTATGTGGTCACCTCAGTGATGCAAGGACAAGCAGACCAACTGAACGTAGGAGTCACAGTCATTCTCCCCCATGCAAAGAATTCCACTGTTGTAAGGTCAGGAAGATCTAGCAACCCCGCAACAGGATCCCACCCCAACCAGACCAGAAACCTCATCATTCCTGGTACCCTCTTGTCCACAATAAATTCTATAACCTCAACCAGGTCCATTCAGCTCTCTCTGGGGTGGAGCTGGTGCCAGGCAAGTGCTTCCAACTACACTCCCTGAGTACAACCCACTCCACATGTTATCTGCTCACATGACTGGGCAGCAGAGGGGGCTGGATCAATAACAGCCAGGAGAAGCCTTCTGTGCAGAGACATCTGAATGTTTAATGATCAAGGAGAGAGAAAGGGAAAGAAGGAAAGAGCAAAGAAAAGAAGGAAGGAAGAGGGGAGGAGGAAGGGAGGGAATGATGAGTTTGTGCCTAAAATTAGAACTGTGGCACACACATGTGTACCATGGCAGCCTGTCGCTCATTTTGGGCAGACACAGCCTTGACATCCTTAGCTCAGACGGCCCACAGTAATGGGTAGTGATAGGGTGACATGGGAAGCACAGGGTCGATGACTGCTGTCATTTCTTTGTTCTCTTCCACAGCAGTCAACAGTTCCAAATGAGGATATGCTCATTGGGACCCCATTGGATTTGATGAGGTGTGAGATCATCCATGGTCCATGAGAGACCAGGTCAATGCCTGGACTATTTCAGGAAAATCACCACACCGGACCTTCCTCATTGCCCCAGACTCACTATTAGTGACTATCCCCAGAGCTGATGGGCTGCCCCAGTTCTGTTCACATGGACCATTATCCCAAAGCTGGCACCGCCCCCTAGAGCCCATCTGTGCTGGGCCTCACCTCCAAGGCCAGGCAAGGCAGTGGGAGAGGAAGGCAGTCAGAGCTGCTCCACTCTGGCCCTCATGACATGGTTCTCTGGCTTAAGAGCCCCCAACGCATTACAGAACCGCACTCTTCAGACCACACAAATGTAGGCAGACTGTCGAGAGGGGCAGGGCATGAGGCTGCAGAAAATTAATGATTAAGCCTCTTCCCTGCAGAGCTTCCTGCTCACCCAGAGAAGCTCGAACCAGGGCTGCCAGATCAACCATCTCAGATCCTGCACCGGGGTAAGTTCGGATCTGTAGCAACCTGAGCACATCTCATAGAGTTTATATAGGAAATGACTAACTGAATGGGAGTTATAACTCCACTAATTTTTCCAGAACCTGAAGCAATCCTAAAACCATCTCCTTAAACACCCAGTGTTTTCCTGAGACATTGAAGAGTCAGATACATAGAACAGAATTAAAGTTCAAAACCCTGGAAATAAGTTTTAAACACCTGTTTAAAAAAATCATACTATCATATTTCTCCCCTCTAGTAAAACCTTCACCTGACCCAATTTGAATGGAAGCCCCAGTTTGGGTGCTCATCTGAGGTCCTGATGAAGACCGGCCTTTCAGAGCTACCTAACCCCAGCCAAAAAGGGAACAGACTTAGGTTTCCTAAACAAGTTAAATAGCAGATCAGGCCCAGCGTTCATGTTTTTATTATTTTACATTACTATTTCCCCAAATGATTTTCTGCTCACATTTCTATCCATCTAGCAAGGCTGGAGTGCTTTAAAAGTGAGCTCTATATATAGGCATATAGATATACAGATGAAACAAGACATCTCGCTCCCCCAGCCTACTGCACAGAGATACAATTGCGAGTTCCTTTTCTCCTTGTTCAATCTTATCTCCACACCACCAATCCGAGGGGGAAAAAAAAAAAAAAAGGCTCCTTCAAGGTCCCACCTAAGTTGTCACCTCTGCAGCTCCTGCTGGAACAGTAAGACTCCCCCACCCCCACGTCCTCTGCACTGCTGCTGCTGTGTCACTGCCAAGCTTGCCAGCAGCTGCAGTCACCTGCGGCTGCATGGGGGCGGCAAAAATCCTTTTTCCAGCGCGTTTCCTTCTGCTGTTTGATTTCAGGTAGAAAATGCACCTTCTATTTTAATCAAGGTGTAAACCCACCGCACCCCCCACCTACAGTTACTCTTTTCTAGAGAAACTGAGTGTGAGGACGAACTCCCCAGAGGGGAGCCGGGCTGCGGAGGAGAGGCTGCTGCCGGAGGAGGAGGAGGGCCGAAGGTGAGGCCGCGGCGGCGCGCGGGAGCGCCAGGTGTGCCAGAGCCGGGGCACCGCAGCCCCCTCGCCCCCTCCCGGCGCCTGTGCCCTCCCTCCGCCCTCCCCGCGCGAGCCGCGGTGTCCTAGCGCCGCCGCGGCCTCGTTCCGGGCGGGGCTGGGAAGGCGAGGGTAGGAGGCTCCCGGCACACGCACCACCGCTCTGCGGAGGTTGCTAATATTGGGACCTGCCGCAGCGGCAGCAGCGGGAGACCGCGGCACTGCTGTCACCCCGGGGGCCCGCTTCTCACTGCAACCGGATGAAAGACTTAAATAACCCTCCTGCCTCACCCTGCTTCCCCACCCCCACTGCGCACAGCCACCCACTCAACTCCATCCCAGCCAGAGTGAGTGGCACAGCGGAGCGCCAGAGCGCCCTTCCCCCTCGGCCGACGCCAGGCCGACGGGCTAGCTAGCGGCTCGGCGCCCCCAGTCCCCAACCTGGGCCGGGGCTTCCGCTCCCCTCCCATCCAACACTACCCCTAGCCCCTCCCCCCAGCCCCCACATCCCCCCCAGCCCCCACATCCCCCGCAACACTGTACCGAGAGCGTCTAAGGAGTGGAGATGCCACTTCCCTGACAACACCTTTCTCTGACCTCTAGGGGTGAGGGGTCTAGCTTTTTGTTTAACGGTTTCTATTGAGCCACTGTAGCCCGCCGCTGTCCTCATCCGCTCACCCTAGAATGCGCCTCTCCTGCCCTCCCCTCCCGCGTGGCCCCCGCCCTTGCATCCGCGCTCTCTCCAGTGGCAGAGTTACGGGATTTCTAATGACTCGACTGCATGTGGCAAACGTCCTATCCTAAAGGTGACTGCATCAAAAAAAAAAAATGCTCATGGAGGGAAGGGGTGCGTGAAGAAGCGCCAACTAGAATATCCCATAATCTCTGCACACCAGGGCCCAGTCGTGCTGCACCGGAGTTCTAATAGGGTCTCTCAAAGACAGGCTCGGCTGATCCACACAATAAAACCGGCTCGGGCCCGCCGCGGCGCCCCTGCAGCCGTGCGCCCCCGCCGCGCTCCCGCGCACACCCCGGGCTCCCCCGGTTGTGAAGCCGGAGCGGAGGCGGGGGCGCGGGAAAGCCAGATCGCGATCGGCGAGCTCGCGAGCTCTGCTCTCGGAAAGCGGTTAACAATAGCACGCCGCCCCCTCCGCCCGCCTCCGCGGCCCTTTGTCCCCCCCACCCCCACTCCTTTCCCTGCGGCTCCGGCCAGGGGCCCCCGACCCACCTCCCGGGCACCACGGAGCCCTTCGAGTCTCCAAAACCCGGCTGCGTGCTTCAGAAGAAGGACACGGAATGGGACAGGGGAGCTCAGGGGTCCGACCTCCAGCCCGTCCTCTGTCCCCGCCACCAACTCTCCTGCCGCTGCGCGCGCCTCCAGCCGTTCCCACACCGCAAACCACCGTGCAGCCCAGGGCGGCGGCTGTCAGCCCCGCCAGACCCACTCTCACACACAAAGAGAAAGCGAAGGGGCTCAACTTGGGCCAAAATGAAAAACCGGATTCCCTAAACGCGGCCAGAAGTGTGTCAGCCCCTGCCTGCCGCCCCCCGGCCCCCGTGGTCCCCGCAGCACTGAAGGGCGCACCCGAGCCAGGCGGAAAGGGAGCCGGAACGCGAGCGCGTTTAGGACCGCGCGGAGCCGGCCGGGCAGCCGCTAAGTGCGCCGCGGGGCCCGGGCGGCCGAGCGGGCACCTGCCGACCGCGAGCGCGGGAGGGCTGGAGCTCCGGCCGCCTGGCACACCTAGGCCGGCCGCCCACGCCGCTCGCTTCGGTCGGCGCGGCCCCGACACCCTGCGGGTGGCCGCCGCGGCCCCGGACACGCTCGCTCGCCCACCCAGGGCCGCCCACTGCCTGTTGTTCTGGTATCGAACGCTAGGCAGGGTGGCAGCCCTTAAAGAGGCCAGATGGAAACGGCACTTTTAGTAAAGTTTAGTCTTCTCTTTGCAACAACCAGAATCTACCTTTACTTCTGGGGTGGGGAGGGGATAGTTATATTTCAACTGAATAATTGCAAAGCAAAGAGCTATAACTTTTTTTTAAGCAGCGAGTGGAGACGGCCGGAGCAATTTCACACTACTAGGCTCAGCTGTGGGCTTAGGCTCAGGGGTGAGCATGAGGAGCAAATCCTGGGCCTCGTGGATCTGGGACCATCCCCAGCCCAGGCCTAAGTCCTCCTCACCTTCTGGCATCATCCGCAGCCGCACGAAGCTAAACATACAGTTTAGATTGTGTTCAACATCTGGCACTAAAGCATGAGGAAGAAAAATCACCAGAGGACTTTGTTTTTTACGACCTAGTTTAAGTGTTGTCAGGTGGGTTCACTCAGAAGTTAACTCCTTCCAACAGTCTAGTTGCCCAAACTGGCGCTTATTTTTTTTTTTTTAAGTAAGGAAAAAACTCAAGAGTCCACCCAATTGGGACTGTGTTAGTTGACTTCGTGCCGTTGGGCTCAGGGTGCCCCGGCAAGCACGTGTGTGCAAGCATAAAGTGGGCAGAGCCACCAGCCCTCGAGTCTGCAGCCCTCAGTGCTGAGTCACAAATACCCTCCGCTGAAAAATGAAATCCTCGGAATGCCCTTTAAAATTCGCTCGCAGCGTTTGCACGCGCGCACACACTCACACCAGAGAGCCACGCAGGAGACCTACACAGGGCTGCACACTATGGAAATTTAAAAGCAGAGGTTATCACTTGATAGCTGGAAGGACAAAAACCCCTGAGCGCCCTGCCTCTTCCCAAGTCATTTTCCCCCAAGCCTCTGCCCCTGCTTTTCACGGAGCCTAAAATATGACTTTAGTCCTCCCAACAGGACAATCCGTCAGCAACCTTCGCCTATGGGGCTTTCAGACCCTCACAGGGGAGAATAAACAATGCACTTAATATACAATTCAAGTAGTATACTTACTAGAGGAAAGGGGGAAAGGAAAAAAACCTTAATTTGGGCACAAGATACCCACTGCCTTCAAGAAACTGCATTAAGTTCTTAGTAGTTAATGATTAAAGCTTTAAACTCGTGCAATCAGTCCATTCAAAAGAAACTTCCTAAACCCGTGTATCTGATGCAAAAGAACTGGAAACTTGTATTATATTTATAAATTATGCCCCCCTTTAAATTAAAAGTAGGGGGCCTTTCAGTGTATACTTGCATCAGTGCCAGCAGCAGATCTGCAATTCCGGAGGCATTTTTTTTTCGGAGCTGGCAAGACAGAGAGAGAGAGAGACAGAGATACAGAGAAAGAGGGGAGGAGGGGAGAACCCTTCCCACGTCCCCCACCCGGCCACCACCTTCTTGGTAGTTATAATTTCAACATGTCATCTCATGGACACTAAAGGGTTAATGGTATACCTACCAAATCGGCTGTGGTCTTTCCTGGTTCCCTGGATAGTACCATTGGGGAAGATTTCTAAGTGAAATCCAGTCCTGCAGTATAGCTGCCTCCGCCTGAGAATCCCCTTTAAATGATCCAAGTCCGTGACTGCGGGTCCCCTGGGGAGCCCCCCTGCTTCGGACTGACCCAGGTGGTCACTTAACAAAACCGGGCTGTCCACCGGCAACACGGGCACATTCCCAAACGGTACCGCATCCTGCACACCGAAATAGTTCCCAACTTCACCTAAGGGAGCCATCAGAGGACTCGGCTTTTGGAGCACAAGAATAAACAATAATGATGGTGTCAACCCAGGAGATATTAGGCGAGGTATATCCAACTCCCCTCCCTTACTGCAGTTGCAGAGAGAGAGAGAAAAAAAAGGTTCTTTTCTTCAATCCATTAAATGCATAAATAAAAGTAATCTGCTGTTTCACTGGCACAGGTTCAAGGTCAAACCACTGATAGTCTAAGAAACCACCACTTTATACTCACACACTGACATATTGATAAACATATCTATGTATCTCTATAGATAGATCCCCAGCTCTTAGCAGGCAGGAAGGTCTTCATCCCATCCGACCGTAATAAGGAAAAAAAATCCGTAGTTTCTCCATTTGGTTTGAGATCAGAATGACCATAGCAACTTAAATGCCTAGGCGTTATTATAGGGATTTTTAAGATGCACGGGCTACGTCAGAATTTACGGATCCTGACTCCAGGAAGGCATGCGCTGTTTTTACTCTCTAACCGACTCTGCAGACATCAGCATGAATCCTTCAAGGGGAAAAAAAAATCTCACGTTGGTGGCGGCGACAAATCTCCCCTCCCGGTCCCCCCTCCAAAAAATGATAATAATAATAAAACAAAAAGAAGAAGAAACTTTAGGCGTCCAAAGCTAGTATCCAGGATTCTCCAGAGGCTCGGCAGATGTCCATTGGCTTAGAACGGGTGGCGAGCGGCGAGCGAGGAGAGCCGCGTCCGGGAGCTCGCGTGCCGCCCAGGCTGCCGCGAACAGGTGTTGCCGCGCCGGCTCGCGGAGCGTTGTAGCCGGGCGGAGCGCTCCTCCTGCGCAGCCCCCGCCGGCGCGCAGAGTGGCGCAGGCAGCGGCATTGGGCTGGGTTTAAGGTAGCGCCGCCGCAGCCCGGGCTCCCCGCGGTCCTAGCGCCCGGCTTACTGCCCGCGCCGCTCTGCGGCAGGCGAGGTGCGGCGCGCCAGAGCGCAGGACTTCCTGGGAGGCAGTCGAGGAGCCCTGGCTTTACAAAGAAAAGCAAATGAAAGATGCACTGCGAGAGGCGGGAGGAAGAAACCCTGAGTCTCCCGAGACTCAAAGTTCTCCTGCAGAATAGAAGCCGGTAACCTACAATCTAGCTGGCTGGCTACATTGATGGAGGGTCAGAGTGAAACTGGGAAACTAGTTTTCACTGGGGCTCTGTAACCTTGCGTTGTATTATAGAATATGACTGAGTTGAGAGAGTCGGAGGGAAGGGGAGTTGATTTAATGGACTCGGATGGCCATGGCAGTTTCTCTTCCATTCTTCGGCCACACACACAGAAGCGCAAACTATGTTTCAGGTAAGATCAACTCCTCTCCCCCGTCACACACACACACACACACACACACGCAGATGCGGCCACCGTTTCTGTTTTGTTTGGAGCGTTCTGCTGGGCATCTTTGGGTTGGGGCTATGTTTAGGTCCCGCCCCGCTGCTCGGGTCCCGGCGGCCGCAAAGCAGTCGGCAGGGGGGCGCCAGAGAACCTTCTCTGTCCCCGACTTCGACTCGGGCGCGCGTCTTCGGGAGTCTGGGTGGAGGGGAGCGCTCCAGTAGGCGTCTTCTCGCCCTCAAACCACGCTGCTTAGGACGAGCGGCGCCATCCCAAGCCGTGCATCGGCTCGGGGAAGCGAAAGGCGAGTTCTGGTGTCTCACTCCACCGTCCGAAGCCCGCCGCGGAGCTGGGAGGGCCGGGCACTGGATGCTTGCGGGGCGCCCCGGGGCTGCAGCCGCTCCTTCCTGCTCTGCCCTGCGGGGCCGCACGTGGAAGCCTGAGCTCCGTTGCGCGGGCTCGGGTTTCTGTTAGCCGCCGGCGGCCTTCGCGCCCAGCGGGAGTCAGGGACAAAGAAACCCGCCTCCGGGGGCCGCCAGGGGCCCTGCCGGGCCGGGCCCGCCAGAGAGACTGGAGGCGGCGCGCTCTGCGCCCGGGACAGCCTGCCTGCGCCCGGATCCCCAGTGGCGGCGGGCGCGGAGCGCGGCGCCCCCCAACACACACACACACACACACACACACACACACACACACACACTCGCCCACAGCCCTCCCGCGGGGCCCCCCTTCCCTCCCCCTGCTCCTCTTTGTTCACATTGTCTTAGAAACGGCCCGACTCTCGGGTCAAGATGGTGAAAGTTGCCGAGACTTGAGCGCAGCTCCACACTGCGGGGCGTGCAACTGAGAAGCAAAGTCGAAAGCAGAGACTGAACCCCTGCGGTGGGGAAGCGAATCAAAACCTGGTTATGGGGGAGAAGTCGGATCCGCCTTAGTAGTCAGCTAAAGGCTGGAGATGCATAACTGGGGCTGGCCCTACTCCGGACGGGAGGGCTTCGCCTGAAGACGAAAGGGAGCGATGAATTTGCAGATTTCGGGGGCGCTGGAGGTGCCAGCGACCTGGAGCGACCTTCCCCTGCCCTCCGGGGAGGAAGGCGTGCTCCGGCCCGGGCGAGGAGGAAGGAGAGAAGAGCGAGTGGTCCTCCCCTCTTCCTTTCCCACCCCCCCTTTGCCGCAGTCCAGGGTCATTGGGTGTCCGGGGCTGGCTCGGTGCGTCTTGCTTACGTGTTTCTGAAGCATGAGAGCCCTGCCCCGTGGTATTTACAGCAGTCACATCCGCGGTGGTACAGAGCGGGCTTTAACGTTAACTGCTCGGCGGCAGATACAAGAAGCTGGGTATTAAGTGTCACTTCTCATAAACCACCCGAGTCGCTCGCATTAATCTCCGAGGCAGCCAGCAGTGATGGGTACAGCAGGGGCGTTCCTCGACCAGTTGGGTACAGTGCGCCGGGATGGTTACTTAGTGGGGAAAAAAGCGATGGAAGAAACAGAGACAGGCCCAGAGAGACAGGGAGACGCTTCATAAGAAGAGAAACGAGCAGCACGTGGACATTGGACATTTCCAGTGAAGACAAGACTGGGACCATTTCCACCAGCTGTCTCCAACCACATTCTTTCGATCTGAATTTAGATTGTCATCCAATGAGCAAAGACCATTTCCGCTTCCGAATCCTGCAGCGTGTGACTGTCGCTTTAAAAAGCGTTGCAGCAGTGGAAGAGAGGGCGAAGTAGCTGATGGAGCACTTTCCCAGGTTGAGCAGCCTCCCCCACTTGCAGTTGGCTTGATCCACCTTTCATCCGCATCCCTAACTCCAGCTGCAAGAAGCTTTTGCTGCTTCCTCGCCACTTCACCATCAGATTTCTCTTGCTTGGTTTTGTTGGTTGATTTGGTCGGGTTGTTTTTCTTATTGTAGTAAGAGAAACAGTGTCCTTCCTTGCATTGGCCACATCACATTTTTCCTGTACTCACCCCACTCGTTAGGGCTGACATCCTCAAGGTTCCTTCACAGCTCTGGCAAAACCATGAACTCCTATGTCCAGGACTATGAGTATGTTTTACAAGTCTTCTTCAGTGAGTACATAGATGTTAGTACACAAAGAAGACTGAGGCCTTGCCTTCTAGAGACACGTGGTGTAATTGGGTTAATAACTCCTGCCTCGAAAGACTGTTGTTAGGAGTAAAAGGAAAAAAAAATGCACACGAAACAAGCAGCACACAATAGACCCTCAAGACATAGTCGCTATCATTACACTATTCCTTATATAGTTCCCCCATGGATTTCTCCCATGGGGGTATTCAGCAAATACTGTTATTGATTTTAATCCCAAAGCTCCCTGAGGCTCTGTCTTCTCAAAACGTTTTAACTCCTCGTACTTTCCTTTCTTCCCCTTTCCTGTGTTTTCTATCATCTTTGTCATCTGTCTTTTCTGTGGTCAGTTTAGTACTTAGGCCCAAATGGGAATAAATGACAAGAGAAGTAAAAGAGGGCTATGAAGAGGAATGAGCACTGGAATGGGAGTCTGCAGATCTGAAACACATCATCTGACCCTCTGCCTACTCCATGTGTGGCTACGGGCCCTCTCCTCACGGGTCCCAGCTCTTTGCTGTGAAGACTGGTTCATGTAGGTTAAAGTGGCCTGTCAGCTATAAAGTCCTCTGCAAATTTGAAGTGGCCCTTTGGAAAAAGTCCACCTTCCCCTCTTTCTTCATTAGCTTGTCTTCCTTCAGTTTCCCTGGACCCCCAGATGCAAATCAGTACAGAGTCATTTCATTCCTTCTCTGCAGTAAAGGTGTCACTGGGCCTCTGCCCTTCCATCTGTTTCCTTCGTTCTCCTCCTCCCCACCCCACAACCCTTCAATCTACTTATGGGCTTTTGTTTAGGAGCTGTAAGGAGCATGGGATGGAGGGGAATGGTTTGGGAAGGTTGAAGTCTATTCCCAGTGTGACCCCAGGAACTAGGTTTGAGTTTCATGGTAAGAGGATAGAACCTTTGTAGCCACCATTTATTGACTGCTTACTGTGTTTCCAACACCCTGCTAAGTGCTTTTGTGCTTTATCTTCTTAATATTGAAAACTGTCCTATGAGGTATTATTTTATCCCATATTATAGATGAGGAAACTGTGGCTTATAGAAATTAAGTAGCCTGCCTATTGCCACAGTGCTAATAAATGGTGGAGCCAAGTTCATAGACATCAGACCCTCATTGTGTAACACTGCCCTCGATTATAACAGGCATATACTTTTAAATTGTTTAATAGGATGTCTTCTCAAAATACACAGAAATAAATGATGGGCATATATACTTGTATATATCAACAACCAGTTACACTGAGTGTATATGAACAACAACCAATTAGAAGACAAAATGAAGGAAGGAAAAGACCCCAGTTACAATAGGTTTTTTAAAAAGGAAAGGAAAGTGAAGGAAGGAAGGAAAGGAGACATAAGATCCCCAGGAGCAGAATTAACAACAAAAAAATGTACAAGATCTACATGAAGAAAAAAAAAATTTTTTTTTTTTTTTTGAGACAATGTCTCACTATGTTGCTTAGGCTGGTCTCGAACTCCTGGGCTCAAGAGATCCTCCCACCTTGGCCTCCCAAAGTGCTTGGATTACAGGCATGAGCCACTGCTCCCAACCAAGAAATACATATATATATGTGGTTTTTTTGGGTTTTTTTGTTTGTTTGTTTGTTTGTTTGAGACAGAGTCTCACTTTGTCACCCAGGCTGGAGTGCAGTAGCCTGATTTTGGCTCACTGCAACCTCCGCCTCCCGGGTTCAAGTGATTCTCCTGTCTCAGCCTCTCGAGTAGCTAGGATTACAGGCATGTGCCACCAAGCCTGGCTAATTTTTGTATTTTTAGTAGAGATGGGGTTTGCCGTGTTGGCCAGGCTGGTCTTGAACTCCTAACCTCAGGTGATCCGCCCGCCTCGGCCTCCTAAAGTTCTGGGATTACAGTCATGAGCCACCATGCCCGGCCTGACCAAGAAATATTTTAAGATATTTCTTGGAATACAAAAGATGCCCTGAACAAATTGAAAGGCATATCATGTCCTTAGATAGAAAAATTCAATTTCATAAATATATAATCCTTCCTAAATTAATCTAACCACAATAACAATAAAAATGCCAAGATGTTTAAAATTAGATACACTGATGCTACAGGTAATATGGAAAAATAAATTAAAATTGACAAGAAATTTTTTTAACAAGAAAAATTAAGGGGTAACTAGCCATACAATATTTTAAAATATTTTTTAAAGCTATAATAATTAGAACAGTGTCATATGAATTATTTGTATTAGCCTATGAATAAACAGATAAAGCAATAACAGAATAGAAATTACATAGATCCAAATACATATTAGAATTTTATATATGATAATCAACTAATGGGAAAAAGTGAACTATGAGTAAACGGTTTTGAAACAACAGAATAAACAACTAAAAAACACAAATAGTGTTTATTCTTCATACTTACATGAGGATAAAACCCAAATGCAAATATTTTAAATGTAAAAAATAAAACTATAACAAGTCCTAAAGGAAACAATGGAAGAATTTCCTTATGATCTGAATTGTGAAGGCCTTTTTAAATGTGTCATAGAATCCAAATGCCTAAAAGAGAATATTGATAAATGCAACCACACACACACACACACAAATTTTTAACTGCGTGGGAGAAAAACATGAATTCAAAAGATAAATGATGAAATGGAAAAAATGCATCTCATATAAAGGACTCATTTTTCTAATATATAAAAAGCTGGCTGGCGGCCAGGTGTGGTGCCTCATGCCTGTAATCCCAGCACTTTGGGAGGCCGAGGCGGGCGGATCAGGAGATCGAAACCATCCTGGCTAACACGGTGAAACCCCGTCTCTACTAAAAATACAAAAAATTAGCCAGGCATGGTGGCGGGCGCCTGTAGTCCCAGCCACTCAAGAGGCTGAGGCAGAAGAATGGCATGAACCTGGGAGGTGGAGCTTGCAGTGAGCTGAGATTGCGCCACTGGACTCCAGCACAGCAAGACTCTGTCTCGAAAAAAAAAAAAAGCTGGCTGGCACGATGGCTCATGCCTGTAATCCCAACACTTTGGGAGGCAGAGGCATGAGGATTACTTGAGGCCAGGAGTTTGAGACCAGCCTGGGCAACATAGCAAGACCATGTCTCTACAAAAAAATTAAAAAATTAGCTGGGTGTGGTGGCACACACCTGTAGTCCCAGCTACTTGGGAGGCTGAAGTGGGAGGATTTCTTCAGTCCAGGAGGTCAAGGCTGCAATGAGCTGTGATCATGCCACTGCACTCCAGTTTGAGTGATGGTGATATATGTGTGTGTGTATCTGTGTCTGTGTGTATGTGAGCATATATATATTTTTATATGTGCACTCATCTGACCCCGTTTATGTAAAGCTCCTACAAATCAATAAGAAAAGTTGGTGTCTGATCCAACATGTTAAGTGCTTGGAAGTCATCATTCCCATGCACACAAGGAAAAAGATGAATGAACTGAAAATCAAGAACTCTTCTTAGATCCATCAAGAATTAAGGTCATAGGAGAAACTGCTGCCTTGAAAATTGGAGAGGCAGACAGGCAGATACAGAGAATCACAGCTTACCAGAGCAGAAGCAGAAGAGTAGGAGCCCACAGCTGGAGCTGGTATCGGTAGGAACACTTTAAACTGTAATTGCTGGAGGCTCATTGTGACAAGCTTGAGAGTTAAGAATTCATCGAAAAACTCTCCTATGAATTTTCTTACAGGAGTCCCCACACTTTCCTGAGTTTTACCTTCAGGAACCCTACCAGGTTCTCCCTGTGAAGATCTGAGAAAAATCCTCTTCTACATCCCTCAAGAAGAAAGGAAAAGTGACCATTTTGAAATATGCCCAGGGTTCTCTCTTCTTAGCAAGGCCTGCCCTCAAGGAAAACTATTTGAGCAGAGCCTAACCAACCTGGAGAAGGGGAAATATACAACTCCAGCCCCTTCTAGCCTTCAGCGTGGAGATAGGGAAATACCCAGCCCAGGCTGACTAACAGACTGTGCCCTAATCATAGTAATCTATAACACGTCTCCTCACACCTTACCACTACATCACTAGAACTAAACTAAACTACACTAGAACTAAAAGAACTGCAAGACTCAGACACCAGGAATCTCTAGGGAATCCCAAAGACAACAGAGCAGACTGAAACAAGGACATCAGAGGACATTTTAGCCTCTGACACCTACAGCTACAGCAAAGAGTAAACACAGCCTAACCCCTAGCCAGATAAATATAAAACCTCACACTAAAGACCTATCTACCTCAGTCACTTTTATTCAATATATCATGTTTAGCTTTCAACAAAAAATTATAAGACATGCTAAACGGCAAAAAAGTACAGTCTGAAGAGACAAAACAAACAAGAACTAGACTCAAAAACAGCAGAGATTTTGGAATTATCACACTGAAAACTTAAAATAACAATGATTAATTTGCTAAAGTCTCTAATGGAAAAAGTGGACAATATGCAAGAATAGATAGGTAAGGTCAACAGAGAGATGGAAACTAAAGGGAAGAATCTAAAAGAAGTGGTAGAAATCAAAATGACTATAGCAGAAATGAAGAATGCCTTTGATGAGATTGTCAGTAAACTGGACACAGCTGAAAAAGTGATTAGGTGATTAGGGAGCTTGAAGATATGTCAACAGAAACTTCTCAAGCTAAAATCCAAAGATTTTTTTAAAGATTGAAAAAATAGATCAGAATATGAAAGAACTGTGAGACAATTATAAAAAGTATAAATATTCTAATGGGTATGCCAGAAAGAAAAGAAAAATAAATGGAAGAAAATTGGAAGTAATAATAGTTGAGAATTTTTCAAAAGTAATTATAGACTCCAATCCATCAACTAGGAAGCTCAGAGACCTCTAAGCAGGATAAATACCAAAAAAATTACACCCGGGCATATATTCAAACTGCAGACAGTCAAAAATAAAGAGAATATCTTGAAAGAAGCTAAGGTGGAGGAGGGGAGCAGGGGACACCTTTACTATTGCTATGGTTTGGATGTGGTTTGTCTCTACCAAAACTCATGTTGAAATTTAATTGCCAATGTCAACAGTATGGAGAGGTAATAGGACCTTTAAGAGGTGAGTCATAGGGACTTCGCCCTCACAAAGGGATTAATGCAGTTCTCCTGGGACTGGGTTAGTTCTCTCAAGAGTAGGTTGTTATAAGGTGGGTTGGCCCACTTCGTCTTTCTCTTTGCACGCACCTGCCTCCCCCTTCACTTCTCCACCATGCATGATGCAGCGGGTGGCCCACACCAGAAGCTGACCAAATTTAGCTGCCCAACCTCCAAAATTATAAACTAAAGCAACCTTTTTCCTTTGTAAAGTACTCAGTCTGTGGTATTCTGTTACAGCAACAGAAAACGAACTAAGACAGAAAATTGGTAACAACATTGGGGTTGATGCTATAACAAATGCCTGGAAATGTAAAAGCAGCTTTGGAACCAGGTAATGTGTAGTGTCTAGAATTTGAAGGAGTCGGCTAGAAAAACCCTATACTGTGAGCAGAGCATTGAGGGAGATTCTAGTGAGGGATCAGAAGAAGACAAAGACTAGGGAAAGTCTGGAACTTCTTAGAGATTATTTAAGTGGTTGTGACCAGAATTCTGATAGAAATATGGACAGGAAGAACCATTCTGATGAGGTCTCAGATGGAAATGAGGAACAAGGTATTGGAACCTGGAATAAAGGCATCCTTGTTATTCAGTTGCAGAGAACTTGGCTGCATTGTTTTTATGCCCTAGGGCTTTATGGAAGGCGGAATTTAAGAGAGACAACTAGAATATCTGGTGGAAGAAATAGCTAAGCAGGAAAGTGCTCAAGATACTGCATGGTTACTTCTGGCCACTTACAGTGAGTTACAGGAGCAGGGGAAAGCAGAGTGTAAAGATTTGGAAAATTCAGTGTGGCCATGTAGGGAGCAAAAAGTCAATACAAAGATGCAGCCAGACTATTGTTTGCTAAAAAGATTAGCAGACAGAAAGAAGCTAGGTTTTGCTCATCAGGACAATGGGAGAATGGTCCTGAAGGCATTATAAAGATCTTTGAGGCTGCTCCTCTCATCTTGGACTCAGAACCTTAGGGCCTTGAGGGCAGAACAGGCTTGCTGCCTAGGGCCACCTCCAGACTGTTCCCCACATCCCAGGGAAGCAGTTGCCCTGGCAAGGCTCACATGACCCCAGGTGTAATTCGGGCCACTGCTCAAGAGGGCACACACCATAAGCCTTGGTGGTGTCCATGTGGTGCTAACTCTGCAGGTGTGCAGAATACAAGAGCTTTGGAGGCATGGTTTTCTCCACCTAGATCTCAAAGGATGTCACAGAAAGCCCACGGGACCAGCAGAAACTTGCCACAGAGGTAGAGCTGCCACAGAGTTCCCACCATATCAATGCCTAGTAGAACCATGGGAGTGGGGCTGCCACTGGGACCCCAGAACTGTTGAGCCACCAGCAGCATGCAACACCTGCCTGAGACAGTTACAGGCACTGGGAGAGTGGCCACATAGTCTGTACCCAGCAAAGCCATAGCGGTGGGGCTGCCTGAAGACTCAGGAGTTTACCCCAACCCCAGTGTGTCCAAGAGGTGACATATGGTGTGAAAGACTATTCTGGAGCTTTAAAAATTTAATGTCTTCCCTGCTGGATTTGGGGCTTGCTTGGGGCCTGTTACTCCCTTCTTCCTGCCTACCTCTTCCTTTTAGAAGGGGAATGTCTACCCCATGCCTATCTCACCATTGTAGTTTGGAAGTAGATAATTTGTTTTGATTTTACAGGCTCACAGCTGGAAGCAGTCTGCTTTAGTCTCAGATGAGACTTTGGACTTTTGAGTTAATGCTGGAACACATTAAGATTTATGGTACTATTGAGATGGAATGATTGTATTTTGCATGTGAGAAGTATGTGAGTTTTGGGGGTCCAGGGGCAGAATACTATGGAAGTGGTTTGTCCCCTCTAAAATTAATGCTGAAATTAAATTCCCAACATAACAGTACTGAGAGGTAATGGAGCCGTTAAGAGGTGTTTGAGTCATGGGGGCTCTGCCCTCATGAAGGGATTAATGCGGTTCTTAAGAGACTGGATTAGTTCTTTCAAGAGCAGGTTGTTACAAAACAGGTCAGCCAGCTTCATCTTTCTCTTTGCATGCACCCATGGTCCACCATGTTATTACACAGCATGAAGCCCTCTTCAGAAACTGAGCAGATGTAGATGCCCAATCTTGGACCTCCCAGCCTCCAGAATCATGAGCTAAATAAACCTCTTTTCTTTATAAATTACTCAGTCTCAGGTATTCTGTTATAGCAACAGAAAGTGGACACCTATAGAAGAACAAGGTTAAGAATTACATCAGACTTATCTTCAGAAACCATGCAAGCAAGAAAAGAGTGGAATGAAATATTTAAAGTGCTGAAAGAAAAAAATATCAACAATAGAATAGAATAATCAGTTTACAGAAAAGGAAATACAAACATTTCTTAAACATTAATAACTATGCTTAACTCTGTTCATAATAAAAGAAATGCAAAATAAAATTACATCAATATACCATTTTTAGCCTATAAATTTGACAAATATTAAAAAGTTATATAAAACAATATGTGTTAGAGTTTGGGAAATCAGGCACTCTAATATACTACTAATGGAGATTAAATTGACACAGTCTTTATGAAGAGCACTTTGGTAAAATCTATTAAAATTCCAAGTACATGGACCCTTGGACTCAGCAATTTCTCTTCTAGAATTTACGTTATATATGTCTATGCATGCATATGCAGACTTTTATGTGCCAAAGATTCCACACTGTGGCACTCTATACAGTAGCGAAAGATTGCAAACAGCTGTGTGTCCATCCAGAATGACTGATTAAGTGAATTACAGTAAACCTATAAAATAGAATCTTATGTAGCTTGTTAAAAGAAAAAATAGGGAAGCTTTTTGGATAGTGGTAGGGATTAATTGTCAAAGAATATTAAGGAAAAAATACATTCCAGAAGAGTGTATATGGCATGCCTTATTTGTATCCTAAGGAGAAACCTTTTATATTTATACATATCAGTAATATCTCCAGAAACATATATAAGAAACAATTACAACAGCATTGGCTACCTTTGGAAAAGAAAATTGCATAGCTGGGGGACAAGGCGTGGGAGGGAGAATTTTCACTAATACACTTTATTGAATGTGTTATTTATTTACAAAAATAATAAAGTTTAACTTTTCACTATTATTACATATTCCTGTCTGAAAGGCATGGAAGTACCATGCCTGATGCAAAGATCTTGTGAGCAACTGCAGAAAATGACATAATTAGGGAGCACTTTCCCCCACATACCCCAGGTGTGTGCATGGATACATCTCCGAAAATGTGAAGACAAACTCATCAGGCCTTTGGGGAGCTTGGCAAGGTCTGCTGCTTTCCAGCTTTCCACTGTAACTCTTGTCTTTCCTCAGCCATGTCTGGCTTTTTTTTTCCTGGTCATTTTACTTTCTAGCCTCTCTCTATTTCTCCTGTCAAAAAAGATGGCTGACAAAGCCCTGGGATTTTCTTCACTTATCACTGTCCCCATATTACATCACATTGCTGGTTCAAACTGTCCCATCTCCCTCTCTGAGTCCAGCCTGATGGCCAGTAAAGCTGCCCAGCTTCCTGATGTGACCTCCTCCTCTTCATTTGCCTCTTCATTTCCATTGCACTTCACTCTTCTTTTGGTCTCACTCCAGCATAACCCATTTTAACTTTTCCTACTTTCATAATATAGATGGGGCATAAATAATAATATTAACAACAATTATATTTATCAAATACACACTATGTAAAAGAACTTCACATATTTCATTTAACTTCATTACACTACAAGTTCAACATTGTTATCTCTATTAGTTAAAGCTGAGGAAACTGGGGCTTTGAGAGGTTAAGATGCTTGACCAAAGTCACACAGCTAGGAAGTAATGGGCAGGATTCTAACACAGATCTTTCAACACCATAGCCTGTGTTCTCTGCTACTTAGTCCACTGGAATGTAAGAATGAGTTAAAGCAGTTTTTTTTAATCTATTACGTAGCTAGCTTCCACTGAACATGTGAGCGGAGAAGACTTTCTTACTTTTTTGCAAAGACATCTTTAATATTTGCTTCTCTTTTGAAGTTAGTGGGATGCTCCCAGTATTCTCCAAGGATGAGTAGGAACAAACTGCTTTTCACTGGTACTGCCATCATCTCCTGAAATTAATGTCCAACTACGTACATCCAGGGTCAGTTCTCAACCTACTCAATTGACCTCTCGGCAGAATTTGGCAGACTTAATCCCTCTCTTGGCTTTCATATGCTTATTTTTTCATCTGTCATCTATGACAGATGAACACATTCTAGGTTTTACTCCTACATCACAGATCGTTTTTTCCGTTTCCTTGGCTGCATCTTCTTCTCAATATCCAGCATTTGGAGTATCCAACAGCTCTGTTTTCAGGGTTCTTCTTTTCCCTATACTCACTTCCCAGATTTCATCTACTCCCAAAGCTTTACATGCCATCCACTCACTGAGGCTTCCCAAACTACATCTCTAGCCCTTCCCTACTCCAGTGTTTACCCAGCTGCTTCCCTGACACCTCCGCTCCATATTCTAGGAGACCTGCAAAACCCAACAATACATACCTGGAGCTCTTGCATCTCCACAGCCTCTCTCCCCAGAAACCTGGGCTGCAGGTGTTCCCTGTCTCAGCAAACAGCACCGCATCCACTCAGCCACCCATGCAAACCCCAACAGTTCTGCTTTCAAAGAAGATCCAAAGTCCAACCATGTTCTGCCATCTTCTCTGATCCCATGGTGGCTCTAGCCACCAGCATCTCCCCCTGTGGATTACTGCAGTGACTTCCTCACAGTCTCCCTGGATAGGCGTCAAACCCACATGCCACACAACATAAGCCCAGTCTATCGCTCTGTTACCCTCATACCGGATTACCTACAAGAGCATTCACTAGCTGACTCCACCTCCCGCTATCATTCCATCTCCTACCACCATCTCACGTGTTCACACTACTCCTGCAAAATGGGTCTCCCTGTTTTTTCTCAAGATCTGGAACGTTTCCATCTGCTAGCAGACCTACTGGGGGATTGCTTTTCCCTCAACTGTCCATGCCTTTTTCCCTGGCTTCAGTAAGCTCTCTATGGAATTGTGACTGCTCAGAGAGGTTTGCTTTGATCACTCTAAAATAATCCTTCACCTATCACCTACTATCACTATTTTCCTTCATAATATTATAAGTATTATATATTAAATTAATTGTAATATAATTATTATATATCTAACTAGTTATAATAATTTTTACTGGCTGACATATTTACAATGATAAGACAGGCAAGGACCTCGCTGTTGTGGAGCTTACATTTTGTGGAGAGAAACAATAAGCAAGTCAACAGGATAATTCTAGATAGTACTGAGTGCTATTAGGAAAATAAAACAGTGCTGTGGAAGGGGCTGAAGCTTTGCTTTCTAGGGCTTTCTGAGAAGATGACACTTAAATTGAGACTTGAATGACAAAAAGGAGCTGGCCTTGCTAAGATTTCAGTATAGTCGTCCACCCTTATCCCAGGTTTCACTTTCTGCAGTTTCCACCACCCGCTGACATCTGAAGTCTGAAAATATTAAATGGAAAAATCCAGAAATAAACAATTCATGAGTTTTAAATTGCATGCACCATTCTGAGTAGCATGATGAACTCTTGTGCTGTCCTGCTCCATTCCGCCTGAGGCATGAGTCATCCCCTTGCCCAGCAGATGCATGCTGTATACACTCCCCACCCATTAGTCACTCGTAGCCATCTTGGTTATCAGAAAACATGAGTATATGTAGGGTTTGGTACTATCCACGGGGTCAGGCATCCACTGGGTGTCTTGAAATGTATGGCCCATGGTTAACAGGGGAACCTTTGTACAGGGAATTCCAGTGGAGGGATTACTGAGCACAAAGACCATGAGGCAGGAATGAGCTTGAAATGATCAAAGAATAGAAAGAAATAGCAGTGGCAGAATAAGTGAGGAGCCCAGTCGTGTGAAACGAGTCGGAGATAGACATGGACCATATCTCGTAGTACCATATAAGCCTTGCTCAGGAGTTGAGTGTTACTCTAAGCATGGTGAGCAACCCTTGTGATGGATGACGATTCCCTTAAAAGAATCCACAGGCTGCACAATGCAGTTTCTTCACTTTTCAAACAGAACAAATGCTAAGCAGTGTTGAATAACAATCATGAAATCCTCTGCCTGGAACTTGAGTAACTCTCATTAGAATCACAGTCTTTACCTTTCCCAATACTTTCTATCACTAATTATCCTTTTCCAAAACCCTATCTCCCTCCCAACACCCCCCACACACACCTGGTTCCTCTGCTTCTACTTCTCTCCAACTTAAACCTAATTTATAATCCGACTCTCACTGAGTTATCTGCCTATATTCTCTTCTTCTCCATTTGTTTCCAACTCTTGCCTTTGTTATCCTCATTAATGAGGATACTATGAATAATGGAGCATTGGTCTGCTTTACTTCTTATAGTTTTATGCTTTTTTGTGATTCAATGAATAATTACCAAGTTACCATTTTTGTAGTAAGTATGACCTTAAAACATAAGACATAGGAAGAATAGAAAAACTATAAAAGTATAAATTATATTGATATGGTTTGGCTGTGCCCCACCCAAGTCTCATCTTGAATTGTAGCTCACATAATCCCCATATATTATGAGAGGGACCCAGCAGGAGGTAATTGAATCATGGGGGCAGGTTTTTCCCATGCTATTCTCATAATAGAATAAGTCTCATGAGATCTGATGGTATTATAAAGGGCGGTTCCCCGGCACATGCTCTCTTGCCTGCCGCCATGTAAGATGTGCCTTTGCTTCTCCTTCACCCTCCACCGTGATTGTGAGGCCTCTCTAGCCATGTGGAACTGTGACTCCATTAAGCCTCCTTTTCTTTATAAATTATCCAATCTCAGGTATTTCTTCATAGCAGTATGAAAATGGACTAATACAATGGATATTAAGAATAAAATAATATCAGATGTGACTTAAATGTGTACAAGTCATATATCAAATATGATGAAGGATGAGTGAAAAAGAAAGAAAAATGGTAAAAAGAAAATTATTAAAGAAGAGCATCTAACTCCTATTATCTCTCTGCCAACAAAAATTTCATATCATTAAATAATTGCCTTTATAATTAGATCAGAATTTCTTTAGGGGAAAATATCCAGAAAAAATTTTCTGAGCACATACTTTGTATAAGACATTGTACTAGAGTTTGTTTGGGACATGCATACTACATATAAAACATGGTTCTGAATCTCAACTTTTATTTGTTATGGCCTGTATTTACTTACATTTGTGCTTTCTTTTATTCCACACTGAATTTCCCTATTTTCATCTGGAATCATTTTTTTTCTTCTATTTAAAAAACTCTTTGTGGTTTTTCTTTTAGTGAGGGCTACCAGCCACAAATTCCCTCCATTTTTGCTAGTCTGAAATGTGTTCATTTCACCTTTTAAGGACATTTTCACCAGGAATAGAATTCTTGGTTGACAGTTATTTTACTTTATTATTTTAAAGTTGTCATCTTATTGTCTTTAACTTCTGTATCTGTGGATGAGATGTCAGCTGCAAGTCTTATTGTTGTACTTTGCAGGTGATGTGTCTTTTATCTCTGGATGCTTTTAAGATTTTTCTTTTTTAGTATTTAACTTTCAGCAGGTTTAATGTGTTGTCCCTAGATAAAATTTGTGTTTACTCTCCTAGGAGTTTTCTGAGCTTCTTAAATCTATAATTAATGTCCTCTGAATTTGGAAAAATTTAATCATGTTTTTAAATATTGCTTCATCCCTTTTCTCTCTCTTCTCTTTTTCTGGGACTATAATTATGTGTATGTTGGACCTTTTTTTCTATTAGTTTTTCTCACTGTGCTTCAGTTGGGACTTCAGTTTGTGTATTTTCTATTGACCTGTCTTCCAGTTCACTAACCTTAGTCTCTACTTTGTCCCTTCTGCTGTTAAACCAATTCACTTAGCTCTTAATTTCAGATATTGGCTTTTTTCAATTCTAGACTGTCTACTTGAATTTTTAATAGATTCTCATTCTCTGGTGAAATTTTCCATATTTTCGTCTGTTGTTTCCATCTCTCTCTTTCTTTTCTTGAACATTATTTTTAAAGTTCCTATCTACTAATTCTAATAGTTTTATCATGTGGTCTGGTTCTGCTGTCTTTTTTGTCTCTTTATTATCATGCACATTTTCTTGTACTTTTGTATGTCTATATATTGTTAATTGTTATGCCAGACATTGTGCATAAAAGTGGAGCCACCAAACCATGTTATATTCCACCAGAGAATGTGTCTTTTTTTTTCCTTCTTTTAGACAGACTGGGTGAGAGGCTATGCACCTTAATCCAATCAGGAATTGAATTGAGGTGGGGCTTGGTTACAGTTTTAGTAAGACTTCATAGATCTTTGGTTCATCCCTGTCCCTTGGGTATACCCCTCTCAGACCTTTGATGGAGAGTCTGGTGGGTATCAATTTCCTCAATCATGAAAGATTGTGAGAAATGTATCTCTACCCTTCAGAGGTTTTCAAACAAGCTCACCAGTCTCCTGGCCCCGGAAAATTTCAACATCTGGCAAAGGTCTTAATGGGGAAAACAGTCATGTGCTTATAGCAGGCTCTACCCTCTAGATGCTTCTTGTTTCTTAAGAGCATAAGCCTGTGGGAGGTTTCATTTTACTTTAGACATTTTCAGACTCACTCCTCGGTATCTTGTAAAGTCCAAGAACTCAGAAAATATCTTGTGAAGAAAATCAGTTCTGAGTTTGAACCACTCCAAGTTTCCAATTCATCACACTAGCCTCACGTTGGTTAAAGCTTTGCTGGTTTGTCTTTCCTTCACAAGGACCCTCTGCCTGAACCAAGTCCAATCCTCATCCTGTGTCCAGGATCAACAAATGCCCCTAGGGCCAAAGAAAACTGTCAATCATCAGCTTACCTTGGAACAGTTTACCCCTCTCTGTAATTTTAGCTCATCTAGTACTCGTTTCTTCCACAACTCTCAGGTTTTAAAAAATATGATTTTTGTAATTTCTCCAGTTTTTTCTAGTTGCTGCAGTAGAACTAGCTATATTCTATCCAAAAGTAGTAGTCTCATATTTTATTTTTGAAAATGAGAAAATTATTATATCAAGTATTCTACCCTATATTTCATAGTGTTTTATAGTTTTCAAAGGCCTTGCACATTCACTTTCTCAATAAAACCTTTTCCTAAGTCTGTGATGTAGGTAAACCAGGGTATCTGAGTCAGCAGAGAGTCTCTGAAGTCACACCACCTGAGCACAACTGTCCATGTGAAAGGCAGGGAGGGCTTTTCCAGGTTCTTCTGAGGCCTAGCTTGTCTACACTCTCTCTAATTTAAGGACATATACATAAATAGAAGAAATGCACTAGGCCAAAATCTTCAACAGAGTTGCTTTTTTTTTTGAGACAGATCTCGCTCTGTCGCCCAGGCTGGAGTGCAGTGGCGCGATCTCGGCTCACTGCAAGCTCCGCCTCCCAGGTTCATGCCATTCTCCTGCCTCAGCCTCCGGAGTAGCTGGGACTACAGGCGCCCGCCACCACACCCGGCTAATTTCTTTTGTATTTTTAGTAGAGACGGGGTTTCACCGTGTTATCCAGGATGGTATCTGTCTCCTGACCTCGTGATCCGTCCGCCTCAGCCTCCCAAAGTTCTGGGATTACAGGCGTGAGCCACCGAGCCCGGCCCAGAGTTGCACTTATTAGTCTTTGTTTATAAGACTGCATGAATGCAGATTCGAGCTGAGATTTAAACTTACTCCTGAATCATTTTCCTAGATCTTGGTAAAGGCAAGTTCATAATATTTATAAAACCATCACCTCAGGCAGCATTTTCCACTGGGTTGCTGACTGGAGAGAACAGGAAATCAAAAATAGCATTCCAAATTTTTCTAAGGCTAAAATTGTACCCTGTATGAACCTTCTGGCAGGTTAACTCCGTGACTTATGCTGGTGTGTAGGCTCACCTCCTAACATCTATCCTGGCTTCTCAATATTACATAGGACTGAGAGGATATGTTTGTGCTTACCACCTCTCTAGAGAGCCTTACCAAGCTGAAGTTTCAAAGAAGTGGAATGGAAAACATCCTTACGTATCTTCTAGATAGCTTTTGTAATCCAGCAAAGCTCCTTTCATTGTGCAGGGTAGTTGCTACTCAGCTGAGCTAGTCTTTGGCATAGCGATCAGCAGCCCTTATGTATTGTCCTCTGAAGGAGGACCAGAACGTCTCAATGCTCAAAACCTCCACCAGCACTAGCACAATTTTTTTAAAAATCAGAGGGGAGAGGAGAGCAAATCTTGTTCATGAACTAGCCAGACCAAGAAGACACACAGTTAATTTCAAGTTGTATATAAGCCTTTACTCAAGAATAATTGAATAGCATGGGTACCAAGAAAAGTAGGAAAATATGCCACTCTTGCAATACACAGGAGCTACTTGAGGACAAAGGAAGTGAAACTGTGTTTTAAAATGCCAGTAATGGTAATCCTTCCTTCTCTGCAGTGCTATAATCTGATCATGTACATATTTTAATTATCACTCATATTTGGGATTGTTGAGTTTAGTGTTTGTTTGTTTCAATGTGTTGAACACACAATGAAAAGACAATGAAAATTTCTTAGTATTTCTAAGCAGAACCAAACAGGGAGGGAAATCTGTATTTTGAATCACTTCTTGCACCTGAAACATAAGAACTCCCCTGATGGTGCCCAATATTAATCTTTGAACATTTCCTTAACAATAACCAAAATGTATGTATTCATTCATTTATTTTATTTTGCATCCTTCCACTTGGATTACATGACCCTGTAGTACTTTTTCTGTTGGCTTCAAATATGTACCTGATTATGTGGAGTTCAAATGGTATAATTACCAGTGACTGACTCCAAGCCTACAGACTTCATGGCTTTATCCTCAGTAAAAAATTATTGAAATGTGAACTAAATTTGAAAACATGAACAGAAGTGAAACATCAGTAGTCACGCATCTAAAAGAAAAAAGGTATGGTTCACTTTGCTAAGTTTAAGAAACTCTCATAAACTAGATGGTAAAAAATGAAGCCACATGTTGAGTCTTGGCACATGTTCTTTTTCACAGAGCAAGATGAAAAGGAATGCTCTCCCATAGTTCATATATCCCTTCATCCACAAAAGAAAACAACGTAAGGCCGGGTGCGGTGGCTCAAGCCTGTAATCCCAGCACTTTGGGAGGCCGAAGCAGGCAGATCAAGAAGTCAGGAAATCAAGACCATCCTGGCTAGCACGGTGAAACCCCGTCTCTACTAAAAATATGAAAAAATTAGCCGGGCGCGGTGGCGGGCGCCTGTAGTCCCAGCTACTCGGGAGGCTGAGGCAGGAAAATGGCGTGAACCCGGGAGGCGGAGCTTGCAGTGAGCCGAGATCGCGCCACTGCACTCCAGCCTGGGCGGCAGAGCGAGACTCCGCCTCAAAAAAAAAAAAAAAGAAAAAGAAAATATAACGTAAAATTAGCAAAAAGAGGCAGTACAGCAAGGTAGAAGGAGCGTATTCTTCAGAGGTTCTCCCATCCGGCAGATTGAGGGAGCTCTTTATTTGTTCCAAGACCAATTTCCTCATTGGCACACTGGGAACGGTAATAACGCTCACCACATACTTGTTTTGAGGATAAAAAGAGATAGACCATGTGAAATGCATAGTTCAGTGTATGGCATCCAAACACAGCTCAATAAGCCTACATCTTTTTTGTTGTTTTGTTTTGTTTTTTTCAGGCGGAGTTTCGATCTTGTCGCCCAGGCTGCAATGCAATGCTGCGATCTCGGCTCACTGCAACCTCCGCCTCTCGGGTTCAAGCAATTATCCTGCCTCAGCCTCCTGAGTAGCTGGGACTACAGGCGCCCACCACCATGCCCGGCTAATTTTTGTATTTTTAGTAGAGACGGGGTTTCACCATATTAGCCAGGCTGGTCTCGAACTCCTGACCTCAGATGATCTGCTCCCCTCGGCCTAGCTACATCTTATTAATAAGCATAAACTAATTTTATCTCAACAGTAAAGATATTTTCAATAGGAAAAAAAGAAAAAAAATGATGTATATGAAGACTAATAACGAGGGGGAAAGCAGGGAAAAAACGTAAGTATAGTATGATTACCACTAAACAAAGATAAATGCATAATAAGGTAGGGGTTCAGGAGGGAAACCTGAAGGAAATACCCCAAAATACTGGCACTAGTGATGTCAGGATCATGAATTTACTGGTGTTTTTGCTTTGTTTTCCAGAGTTTCAGCTGTGTGATTCTATTACTCAAATAATGAAATACACATATATATTTACACATGTATTCAATACATATATACATATATTCAATACATATATATGAAATACAAATGTATGTGTATATATGTGTGTATTTCATTATTTAAGTAATAGAATCATTTAAGTAATAGAATCACACTACTGAAACTCTGGAAAACAGGGCAAAATAGAACAGAATCACAGGACTTTATATATATATATATGTTTATATATATATGTCTATATATATATGTCTATACATATATATAAAGCTAAATAATGCCTTTTTAAAACAAATTACCTACTTCCTAGCAGATAGTGTTTTATATGCTCCAGAGCTGTTTGCAATTATTGCTAACAATGATTTCATTCAATCCATCATTTACTGAGAGCCATATCCCAGCCTCCAGGAGGAAACAAAATAAATGAGATAAAGTCCCGTCCTCATTATGTCCCTTGATAATAACAATGGTGGTGGTTCTCCCATTGTAAATCAGTGTGAGCATTAAGGGTCACTGTATCAGTCAGGATGCCACCAGGGAAACAGAGAAAGAGGAAGAAGGAGGGGGCTGGGGAGGAGGAGGGAGAGAGAGAGGGGAAAAGGAAAAGAAAGGAGAGGGAGAGGGAGGTTTATTACAAGAAATTAACTGGCTTACCGAAATCTGTAGGGCAGGCTGCAGGCTGCAGGCTGGCAGTTCTGGGACAGAAGCTAACCCTGCAGTCCACAGGCAGAATTTTTCCTTCCTCAGGGAAACCTTGGTTCTGATTTTAAGGTCTTTCAACTGATCTGATGAAGCTCACCCAGATTATCTAGGATCGTCTGCCTTACTAAAGTCAAACGAACACTCATCTCTATCTCGGCAGATGTGATCAACATCTACAATCAGTTGACTTTGCATCATTAGTTCTGAGGTTGAGACACCCTAGTCTACACCATCCTTGTAGGAGTTCGGCCACAAATTACAGTCTCGTTCCTCAAAAAACAGGTCTGCAAAGAAAATAAACTTGTTGGCCAGGCGCAGTGGCTCACACCTGTGATCCCAGCACTTTGGGAGGCTGAGGCGGGCAGATCACGAGGTCGGGAAATCGAGACCATCCTGACTAGCTGCAGAATGGCGTGAACCCGGGAGGCGGAGCTTGCAGTGGGCCGAGATGGCGCCACTGGACTCCCGCCTGGGTGACAGAGCGAGACTCTGTCTCAATAAAAGAAAAAGAAAATAAACTTGTTAAATTTTCTTAACCTTTAGTTTGCTGGCTTTGCTGAAAGTGCCTTTTGTGTCAAAGTTTTGAGTGATTTTGGAAGGGTAAGAGGAAAAAATCGTGTCCTTTTTTAAAACAGGTGAAAATACTAATTTCCTGAATTAGTGAAAGTTATTGTTACTGCCTATAGTAAAAGCATTAAAACTTTAAATACAATCACATGTATAACATGTCTACCAACCTGCCGTTAATTAGTTTATCAGGAAACATAGTTTATGTTATTAATTTTTTTTTTTTTTTTGAGATGGAGTCCCGTTCTGTCGCCCAGGCTGGAGTGCAGTGGCGCGATCTCGGCTCACTGCAAGCTCCGCCTCCCGGGTTCACGACATTCTCCTGCCTCAGCCTCCTGAGTAGCTGGGACTACAGGCACCTACCACCACGCCTGGCTAATTTTTTGTATTTTTAATAGAGACGGGGTTTCACCGTGTTAGCCAGGATGGCCTCGATCTCCTGACCTCGTGATCCACTGGCTTCGGCCTCCCAAAGAGCTGGGATTACAGGCGTGAGCCACTGCGCCCAGCCTATGTTATTAATTTTTAAAGTTACATATCTCCGGAGATTTATTCAATTTTCACTTGACATTTTTGAATTGAACTTACACATTAAACACCATTTGCTCATTTCAAAATCTCTTTTGTCTCAAAAGAGGAATAAGAGGAAGTTTTTTTAGATTGTAACAGTAGCATCCTCATGCCCCATGTGTCCAATGTATAATGAACACAGCACATATTTTCTGCTAACAATCCAATATGTTTGTTGAGAGGAAAAATTGGCTGAAAATACACTGAAAAGCATGTATTTTTCATTGCCCATGATATTAGTCAGAATTCTCCACAGAAACAGAATCAACAGGAGATATATAAAGATATATATAATAAGCTAGAGAGATTTTCTTATAAAGAATCGGTTCACATGATTATGCAGACTGGCAAGTCCAAGATCTGCAGAGCAGATTTCCCGCTTCAAGGCCAAAGGCCAGAAGCTGCTGTAGAACCAGGAAGGGGCCATGTCTCAATCCAAAGGCCATCAGGCCCGCAATTCGGCCACACAGATATATTCTAAATGATTGCTTTTTAGTGTGGTAGAAGATTGTTTAGTGCCATGGAAAGGTTTCTTAAATACTATTGACCAGGTCTCTGCAATCATAGACATGAATGTTTATAGTACCTTGAGATATAACTCATCCCAGCCTATAAATTTGAACCCAGTTAGAGTGCTCAGGTCCTCACTTACTAAACCCATAAAATAGAATCATATGGCCAGAAGGAAACTTTGTGATCATCTCATCCAAATCCCCGCTAAGAGTGACTTAAGGAACAGTAAGGCAGTGCTTTCAATTTATCTGAAATTATTGATGGAGACTTGATTCCAGACACTTTTAAAGTAATAAGCATTTAAATATGAAATCAGGATCTGATGCTGACCACAAAATGAATAGGGAAAGTACAGACCTGTGTTGGTAAATAATGTTCCACTATTGCTATTTTTTCTGAAAGTCAAGATGGCATAGGGAGACCAGTCGACACTCTGTAGAGACTGTTGCTAGCATCCAAAGGAAATTCCAGGAGTAGGTCTTACTCCTGGCTGTACCTCAGGACTATGTGTGGAGTGACATAAAATTACAGTTGCATGGGACCCATCTCAGACTTACTGCTGAGATTTCCCTCCCCTTCAGTAGAGAATGCTAATTGAGAATTCACTGAAACTTTTGGCTTGCTTTATTTAGACGTGCCAAGGCAAAAAGCAGAAAAAAAACACTGGACATGCAAATTACAATTTTTTTAAAGGCCTACAAGTTCAAAAGCAGTGTTTTCAGAATTACTTTTCTCCACCTGTAAAATAAAGTTTTGATCAGAGAAAGTCTTATAAAGTCACTTCTGAAGATAATCACCAAAAAGTAAAAATACAGAGTATTGATTTTAAGTTTATCTATGTCTGGGACCAACCTTTCAGAATTCAGTTATAAACTTAGAATACATCTATCTGTTCACAATACTTATATGTCTAAATGCCACCCCATTGGAGTTTAAAGCTCTGATATTGACAAAAATATTCTTCCCGTACCATGTGGTATGCATGAACTGCAACAAACTCCAAAGAAACACTGGTTCTTATTGCCAGGATATGACTTTTAATTATGAATCTGAAGAAAATGTGGCACATATACACCAAGGAATACTATGCAGCTGTAAAAAAGGATGAGTTCATGTCCTTTGTAGGGACATGGATGAAGCTAGAAACCATCATTCTGAGCAAACTATCCCAAGGACAGAAAACCAAACACCGCATATTCTCACTCATAGGTGGGAATTGAACAATGAGAACACTTGGACACAGGTGTTCACACCAGGGCCTGTTGTGGGGTGGGGGGAGGGGGGGAGGGATAAGAACTTCTCCTACTGGTGTAAATGTAAATGACGAGTTACTGGGCGCAGCAGCACACCAACATGGCACATGTATACATATGTAACAAACCTGCACATTGTGCACACGTACCCTAGAACTTATACTAAAAAATAAATAAATACATACATAATAAAAAAAATTATGAATCTGTTACTTTTGTACTGAGAAGTGAGGACAGTACAAACTCCAACAGAACCATTATAAGAAGAATGACTATAAAACACATTAAGATCATTGGATAAAAGTGCCACATAAAGACAATCTCTGAAGCCACAGCATTATTACAACTGCAGTAACCAACATAATCAGAAAATTTTTCTTTCATTTTGCAAAATCAGTTACTGAAATAAGTTTCCTCTATTGAAAAAGTTGATGAACTAATTATTCTTAAGCTTAATTCAATAATTTATCAAACACCCTCTTTCTCACAGTCAACAGCCTCCTATAACTAACTGGCTGCCAAATGAGGATGCTGCTACTGAACCACTCTCTGGGGACAGAGCGTTCTAGAGCTTTACCTGGAAATCACATGGGATCCTTGTTTAAATGCATGTTCCTAAGATCAGCCTCATAGAGATTCCAATTCAGCATCTCTGGGCGGGGTCGGAGGTAGGGGGAGTGAAACAGCTGCATATTTAATGCATACCCTAAGTGATTCGGAATGGTGATCAGGAAACACATACTTGGAGAGACTCTGCTATACAGTGTAGCCTTTGACTGGTTTCACCTGTTGTGATTTTTGCTGATTGACTTGCATTCTCTCACCTGGCTTCCTTCTTAACCTAATGGTTCAAAAACTTGGCTGAGTGTTGGAATCATGTGGGAGCCAGACCTCACCCTCAAAGATCCTGAGTAAATTAGTCCAGGGGGACCCCACCTCCATGAAGTTTTGTAAAGCTCCCCAGGTGTCAGTCCAGTTTGAGAACGTCATCAGTAGTCTGCAAACCAGCTGTAACTGGCCCCCTGGCACACTCTGCCAGCCTCATCACCAAGTTGTAAGTACCTGAGCCAACTGCATGTTAGGGTGCCCAGGGCCAAGACCCTAACTTCAGGGGACAACAAAATCACAGAGATTACAGACCTTCATGCTAAACAGAGAGTGGCCCTTCTGAACTGAAGCCTCCCCATCCTGGACACAATCCCAGAGAGGCCCTTTGGGGACACTGCTCTTTACTCTCCACCAAAAGAAATCCAAGCCCAGTCAAATAAGAGGGCTTTCAGTCAGAGAAAATAGGATTTTTCCACTAGTAAAGGAGGGTGCCACTCCCTCATGAGAACTCTTCTGCTTTAGCTAGCCAAAAGCAAAGAAAGAAATAATAAATACTTAAGTATTTATTAAATTATATATATTACTAAATATTTATTAAATATTTAATAAATGCTTAAGATATTTATTTATATATTTATTTTTGGCTACTAAAACAGAAGTTTTCATAAGGCTGAGGGACCCTCCTTAACTAGGAATATATACATATTTGTGTGTGTGTATATATATAATACACACACACACACAAAATATATAGGGTATTGCAAAAGTAATGCAAGCTTGTTTTAAAACACTCAAACAACTCAGAAGTGTGGGAAGTAAAATTAAACAACCCCTCCCGTCCTCTCAAAGGCACTCACTAGTACTTGGTGCAGATCCTCCCAGAACTTTTTTGAAGTACTGACATATATGCATAGGGTTGTTCCTTTAATAGGAACAAAGTGTACATATTGATATTCAGCATGATTTTTAAAAATTAATACTATACCCTGGCTATCCTCCTCAGTCAGAACCTTCAGGCTTGTCTCATTCTTTGTTAATGGCCACTTCATTCTCCATAGTATCCATGTACCATGATTTAAGAACTTCTACTGGTGGATTTCTGGATTGTCAACAGTTTTTCAGTCTTCCAGACAATGCCATGATGAACATACTTAAAAACTGAGCACAGTTCCCTCCTGAAGTGAACACCTCTCTTTGCACAACTGCAGGGAGTGGGGCTTGGAGAAGACAAAAGATATGCCCTGGAGTTGAGGTGAAAGGCCTGCCCCAAATGACGGCTCCTTTAGCATAGTTCTTGGTCTTACAGTTCTCCTTGAGGAGGCTTTCCTTGCCACTTTGTAGAATTCAGCTCAGACCCATAAACCTGGACTGAGCGCCCACTAAGTGCTCAGCCCCATGCTAGATGCTAGGGATCCAACACTATGTGGGACGTGGTCTCTGCCCTCAAGAAGCTCTGCCATAATGCCAGGTGTCAAGTCCCAATCTAGTAATAGAAACAGCTGCAAAGGGAGAGCCAAGGGGGACAGAATGGCCTCACCAGCCCCTGATCTAAACCTCTGCTCAAACGTTCACTAATTATGCTGCCAGAATAACCCAGCTGCTATCTCAATACCTGCCTAACTTTCAAGAGATGACATCACTCTAAGAACATCTCAAACATTTCTCCTGTGGGAGATATGTTGACTGTACATCTTGCAAAAACCAATAAATTATATATCACACACACATATATACATTATGTGTGTGCATACAACACACTAGAAGTGATAAACCAGCCTCGTGCATGGATGTTACAGTACTCATTACCTCAGACGGAAAAAACTTTTCCCTCTGTATAATCCCACTCATCTACCTACAAGTTAGACACAAAATGTATTTGTTCTCTAGATGCACAGAACTATGTATGGTTTACTATTTTGTATGTATCTCTCTGAAACAATGATTCAGTATTAATTTATGTTCAATAAGTTTACAGCTGTTTCAAGTGTTTAAGATAGAATAAATAAAGCTTAAATATTCTTCATGGGCTTGGTGCGGTGGCTCACGCCTGTAATCCTAACACTTTGGGAGGCCGAGGCAGGCAGATTACCTGAGGTTGGGAGTTTAAGACCAGCCTGGCCAACATGGTGAAACCCCATCTCTGCTAAAAATACAAAAAATTAGCCGAGTGCAGTGGCACGCACCTGTAATACCAGCTACTTGGGAGGCTGAGGCAGGAGAATCACTTGAACCCAGGAGGCAGAGGTTGTGGTGAGCAGAGATCACACCACTGCACTCCAGCCTGGGCTACAGAGCGAGACTTTGTTTCAAAAAAAAAAAAAGATTCTGTGATGATTAATCTAATGTGTCAACTTGACTGGGCCACAAGGTGCCCAGATATTCGATCAAATATTATGTGTGAGTATGTCTGTGGGGATGTTTCTGGATGAGCTTAGCATTTGAATGAGTGAACTGAGTAAAGAAAATGGCCCTCCCTAATGCGGCCTCATCCAATTCATTGAAGGCCTGAATAGAATACAAAGGTTGAGGAAGAAAGAATTCTCTGTCTGCCTGACTGCCTACAAGTTGGGACATTGGCCTTCTCCTCAGGACTCAGACATGGACACCATCACTTTTCTTGGTTCTCAGGCCTTCAGACTCAGACTGGAACTATACCTCAGTCTCTCCTGGGTCTCCAGCTTGCCAACTGCAGATCTTGGGGCTTATGGGCCTCCATGATCAAATGAGCCAATTCACTACAGCAAATGTCTTTATATATATTTCTGTTTCTCTGGAGAACCCAGACCTCTTCCAGTTTCAGGAAGACTACACATAATTTAGCTCTTGTGTTTCAGGAAGACTACACATAATTTAGCTCTTGTTTTTCCCTGCATCAACATTGCATGCTAGTTCTCATTGCTGCTCTTCCACATCTTCGAGTTTAGATTTCTTTCCTAGCATTTGGCCTGGTTCATTCTGTACTATCCTCCAATGGAGATGGTCACCAAGATAACAATTCTTCATATATGTGAATACCATCAATAAGTCTCATTCTAACTGTGTCTTCCCAAACTGAGTAACACTGATCTCCTTATTTCATTTTCATTTTCCTCACCTTCCAACCTTACACTATATATTAGATTTCCTCGAACTCTCTATTCAGTAGAATATGTTTCCCCATGCCCACCCAATTGTAACTCTTTGTCCTGTTTGCTGATGTATCCAAGTCTTAAGAAAGGGGGCTGGTCCATACTAAGCACTCAATGACAATTTGTTGTCTGGCTAAATGGATCTCCCTGTCTCTCCCTTCTACGTCTCAGGTCTGATTATATCTGACAAGTGTACCAATTAAGGTTATGTGCCAAAAAATTAAGTTCTCCCCTCCTGATCATGATTGTACTGGTTATCAAGATGTTTGATTAGACCTTAAAGCCATCTGCTTGAATATAAGGGGAGAAGTTTTTAAGTTCTATAAAATTATTTTTGTGACCTATAATGCCAAATAGTATGTCTATCTTGCAGATAGACATACTATTGGAAAGTGACTACTTTCCCAACTTCTATCACTCACTCAAGGCATTTTATATTCTTCAACCTTGATGTTACAGCATTAACTTTGCCTTCACCCATGTTTCATTTCTGGTTTCTAAAAAGCAATGCAGTGTTTCTGTGCCAAGTTCCAGCTGTGCAATTATTGATAAGAATGCATAGTTTGGCATTATAGGTCAATGAATATTGAGACTTGGAGTAGAAACCAATTTTGGAACAAAAGGCTAACGCTAACATTTTTCTTTTCCTTTGTGGGTGATTATTTTCTGTTCAACTTTTGTTATAGAGCACTGTGATTTCTCTAAGAAGCTCCTTGGCTTGGAAAAGCTGGGGTAGATTGACTCTCAGATAAACTAAAAACTACCTTCTTCACTTCTTTATGCTAAGGAGTTTTGCTGTTTTTCCTTAGATTATGCAAAAAGGAGAGAAAAACTTAAAAAGAGGAATCTGAGAAACTATGAAGGCTCCATTAGACCTTGGCAGAGGCCCAAAGAGACCACCAAGCTTGCTCATAAATGCACAGTGTCTAATAAAAATGCAATGATTATTATTATTATACATTTATTGAGCAGCAAAAATGCACTAAATTAAAAAATATATGCACTGTGTTTTTCATATCTCCTGATGGGTATGTAGAGACTGCGGCTGTTTGTTTTCCTCAGTAATTGGCACGTCGTCCTCACAGTCCTGTGGCTGCCAGGGGTCACCATTCTGCTCATGTGCTTGAGGTTTTCTGGGGACCAAAAACTGCACCTAATGCCATCACTTCACCTTGGTACCCCTAAATTACGGATCAGTTTCATTCTATGGATTGAGTCAGTGTGGGACAAGAAGGTTTATGAAGCCCATTGGATTTTTTTCTATTTCTCCAAAGGAAAGGATTCAGTTGAGCTTTTGAAGTTGAGGAATTTGCTTCTTAACCCAAAGATCACGTGCAAACGTGACTTCCTGTGCTACCCTACTTCTGATTTAGGAATCAGCGCAGGTAACCACTGCTGTCTTAAGCAAATTCCCATTCTATTTGGAGAATAACAACAAAAAATTGGCTCCTTGGGGAATTTAAAAACTCCCTCAATAACCATTACTTTACAGGCACGTTATGAACTCTTAGGCAAAGTGTTTAAAAAATACATCAAATGTTTAACCAATGGGAAACCATACTTGTATTTCAAACCAGAAATAGCTGCTTCGTGAATTGCTTGCCATCTCTCAATTCTGCGATGAAAAGAGTAAAATTCAGTCCATAGAAAGCTCTTCTTTTAAACACCATTAGGTCTGCTGTTTCTCTTTGCACCTCTTCCTCTTTAAAGCTACAAGTCACTGAAATGACTCAAACCAAAGTTGAGAATGACTGTTGCAGGACCCAGCTTGCCTGGACATTATTACCACAGCACACCTAAGGCCAGTTGCTTGGAAGCTCCCCTCCCTTTTTGCACCTACAATTATTTTCATGCACAAATAATAGAAGTGAAGTTGGTCATTTGGGAGCTGAATTCAGCACTGGCTCCTCATTCTGACTGAATAAGGGATGATCTGGAGAAATCATATTCCATGAGCAATTTTTGTGTCTGCATGCTACAGTTGAGACAAATGCTTAACCCTAAAAATGCCAATCACAACTCTTTTAAAACTTAGTACACGACATATTTGTGATTTTATCTTGTCCTTCATGCTGTCTTTTCTAAGATGATAAAGGAACAGCTATCATACATACACAAATCCAAAAAAATCTAAACCACATCCAAACTGTCTCATTTTTCTTTTTTTGAACAAAAGTAACCAGACGTGTCAGTCAATTATGCTCAAGGAAAATTATTATGGTGGGAAAGACCTAGCTTATCTTTGAGACCACTTAGTTGCTGTCTTAAGTTTTGTTTTCTTATATTAAAAATATTTTGCAACTTGGCCAGGAGCGGTGGCTCATGCCTATAATCCCAGCACTTTGGGAAGCCAAGGCAGGCAGATTATTTGAGGTCAGGAGTTCGAGAGCAGCCTGGACAACATGGTAAAACCCCGTCTCCACCAATAAAATACAAAAATTGGCCAAACATAGTGGTGCACACCTGTAGTTCCAGCTACTCGGGAGGCTGAGGCAGGAGAATACCTTGAACCCAGGAGGTGGAAGTTCCAGTGAGCCGAGATTGTGCCACTGTACTCCAGCCTGGGTGACAGAGAGAGACCTTGCCTCAAAAAAAATAAAAATAAAATAAAAAATAAATATATATATATACACACACACACACACACACACACATATTTTGCAACTCATTCAATACCTATATCTTTCTACACAGAAGATATAGTCTCTATATATGTCCATATTATGTCAAATTTAGCAATGTATTAAATTTAGTAAAAATAAATTAATCACATCATTTAGAGAAAGGATTCCCATGACTGAAAATTCAGTGGTTCTTCTCAGGGCTAAGACTGGGATGAAGCGAGCAAGGTGCTTCTGCTGCAAAATTTGATAGGCTCTCCGTCCCTCCCTCCCTCTCGGGAGCTAGACCTGTACTGGCATGACCCCGAGAGGGAGCACATGAGGTACTTACATTTTGCATGTGGGATGCCTCACTCTGGTCAGACAAGTTCATTTCCTTCTGGGGTCCAGTCAATGCTGCCATGATCGGGCAAGGCTGGTTATTCTCACAGATGAGGCAAAGCCAACCATATGAGCCACCGGGAGCCGTCCTGTGGCCTGAAGATACAGGGCTCTCCTGGGCAAGGACAGGCAGCACTCGTTTTTGTCACACTTGTGTTATTAAAACCTGTGATAGTAGCCTGGTTCAGTTATCCTAAATAGCACTGAACAGCTCTTGCCGCTGGAGTGAATCCAGCCTTCCTTATGGACTAGCGTCAGGTGAACGCCCTTCTGTCTTTTGCCCCTCCATTTTCCCTTCCGAAGTGCTGCAGTTTGTAAACGTGAAATCAGAGGTTGGGGGTTGGCAAATGGATCTGTCTGTGACTTACTGCTCCATACTTGTTGAATGGAATGCCTGAAATCAGCAAGAGGCTAGCTCTGCAGAAGATGGGTTTTGAGAGAAAGCATGGTTCTTTTTTCACTCGCTATTCCAACTTTGTTTTTGCCAATGGGAACAGGTTCGTGTCGCATGAAACGTGTTTGGCTTTCTCAGGAGCTCCTCAACCTCCAGGAGACGTGAAAAACACTTCTAGCCAACAACGCAGAAGTGCTAGTCACTGAATGCACATTGTTGCAGGCCTGTTGTTGCTCAATGAGATTAGTCTCTAACTGATGCACACGGGTCTTATTGAAAAGGCTATTCTGTAATTGTTGCCATTAGTGAGGCTACCATTAGGCAGTTGCCTAAAACTTCCTGGAGGGACTCACTGGAGGCTCCAGCAGCCACGGTTCACTCATGTAGAACAGCAGGAGCTGCGCTAATTTCCACTCTCCCATCCATTAGGGGAGAGAAGCAGCTCATTAGAGGTCCTCCCCTCTCAACTCCAATTACCCTGGGATAATGACAAAACATGGAGCACAGTAGAAACTCTGAGAGCTCCACAGCCATTCCTCTCATTCATGATCTCTGTTGATTACATCCACAGAAATAAACTCCAGACCCCCAAATCTTCGCACAGCCAAGCTTGTCGACATAATCAGCCATGTGAATGCCTGGTCACATTAATTTAAAGGCTGAGCGTTTTAATCTACATATGAGACTTTTAGGGGAAATGCTTAACATAATAGCATAGCCCAGAAAGTTGTTTTGTTTTGTTTTTTCCACGTCTTCTTCCTCTCACAAGGAAAGAAACTCTCACAGCAAGGTGAAGCAAAATCATTAGTCTCAAAAGTTTTAATATTATATTTCTAACCTTTGTAGAGAACTTAAATGCTAACCCAGATATCCCCTCCCAAAGTCATATTAGTTCAGCAGCAAAAAGATTGTGGGGGTGGGGGTACAGGGGGAAAGGCTGGGTGAGAGAAAGAGAATTATTTCCCAGAAAAGCATAAAATTGCAAGAATCTCAAAAAATTGCATCTCCCTTTGCCACTGTATCATACCACCAGGCATAACGGGGCCCTGGGCCGCAGGGCCTGTGACTTTCACACACTTTTGTTCAATGCCATTAAAATTTCAGTTCTGCTTTTATGCTCTCTTATCTGCTTAGTTGATTATTTATGTTGCAATTCACACTAAGTTCAAAAGCCACCACTTTTTGATTTTCAGATGTCTTCATCCTCACTGGTGTCCACCTCATCCCCAGGCCTATCTCTGGGACAGGCAGCCCTTTTCTTATTTCTGGATGGGATCTGAGAAACTGTCATGATACTTGTCTGAACTTGTTAGTGGTAATGTCTCCATAGTGCTGCAATAAGCAAATGTATCATTCAATTGTCTCACTATTTTAAGTGAAGCAACCAGTTGCTTTCTGTGTTATGTAAATATTCTTTCAAATATGCAGAAGCATATTTTGGAGGGGGCTATTTTACTGACATCTTTTTCATGGGCACTAATGAACGAGATATTTTTACAGATAATCTAAATAGCATAGAGCTCATGTATTATAAGGATACTGTTAAAAAGAAACAGTGCTAACCACATATCCCAAAGTCCTGACGGAAAAAAACTGTAACTGTTTGGAATGTAATAAAACTGTCCAAATTTTACATGAAGTCAGCTCTGCAAACAGCAAAACATAAGTCACTCTTCTGTTTATTCTGTGCCAGTAATAAACATAAATTGTTGCTTCCAGATAGAAAATAAAAACAAAGAATAGAGGCGCCCTCTTGTGGAGAGAACCAACACTACCACTTCAAAATTGCTAGCTTTCTCCAATTCAGACCATGTCCCAAATCATATGTTCATTTTTAAAGGAACTCGCCTTCCTAATTATTGCTCAAGTGAATAGTTGTGCTACTAAGCAAGGGATTCGTAGTTTCATTTGCTCTGCAATCAGAGGCCTTGCCTCCCAAATTCTAGTTCTTGGGTTAACTCAGCTGACGCACCTGTGAGTTACCATAACCCCATGACCTCGCCAAGGGCCCATATACATAGTGCCTCCTTTGCTGGAACTTCCCTCAATGCCTGGGGCCAGCCTGGCTAGGGCTGTGACTCTTAAGGGTCTCACTTCAGGTTCTGCCCCTCTGGGGACATACTGACCCTTGTTACTACATGTCTGATGAACTGGTCTTTCTCTGTATTGTACGTTAATTTTATCTTCATTATTTGAAAAAGAAAACCTGTTATCAATAAATCTTGCAGTCATTGTCCTAAGAGCAATAATTGTGCTGTTCTTATGTTTCGAGAACAAGCTAGAGCAAGCAGTGTTTCATAGCATTTATTATGGTTTTCCAAAATTGCTGAGCTTTTTCTGTCTCTCCTCAGATGACAAGCACTGGAAAGGCAGAGACCCTTACCTCCTTTGACTTCACACCGTCAGGGCCTTTCATGGTTTCTAGTATACAGTGGGTGCTTAATAACTAGGTGTTGCACAAATAAATCCCATTTCCACATCCAAATTTGGTTTGCTGAAAGCAGCAGCCAAGACAGCCACATAGGTAGTAACGCGCACAAGGGAGCGGCAATGCAAAGAGGAACTGTGGCTGAGGTGCCCGGAAGCTCCGCTTTGCAAACCGGGGACTGCAGGGGAGAGAGGACGGAAAGGCCGTGGCGGCCGAACTTCCGAGGCTGAAGTATGACACATCCACCTCACTCTGCCGCACCCACACTTCAGTGGGATCAGGCTCCCTTGGAGGGTTTGTTAAATGCAGGGTGCTGGGCTCCACCCCAGAGGCTGTGAGTCAGTGGCTCTGGCGTGAAGCCCAGAATATGCATCTCTACCAAGTTTCCAGGTGATGCTGTTGGTCTGCAGAGCACACTTTGAAAACCACTGAGGTAAAGCAGTGCTTGATTCACACTCCGACTGCAAATAAGGAACACCTGGAGACTTCTGAAAATGTGGGTCGGCCACACCACGTCCAAGACAACTGAAATCCCTATGGGGGAGACTCAGGTGGCAGTCATCTTCAACTCCACCCCCACCCCACCTGGCAGAAGACTATAGACAGAAAGTCTTGGCCAAAGTCCAGGGCTTTGTGTATATGTTATTAGTTTCATGGAAAGAAACATACAATAACACGTCACTTTACTGCGAAGATTTCCCCTACATTATCTCATTTGCACCTCAGACAATCCTGGGGGGAAAAGAAAGCAAAAAATGTAGCTCAATTTTAAAGAAAAAGAATTGAAGTAATAAATGGCAGCCCTTGGACTTAAGCCAGATGATTTCTTTTAAAATACCACCTTTAGAGTTAAGTAAACTTGGAATAGAGGTCAGGGTCCAGCTAGGGAACCAGAAGCCTCTTGGAGAATTTAATAAACAGCTTGGCTACAGAGGGGATGGAAGAGCTGAGCAAAGCAATTCAGGGATTAGCAACACCAGGAAACTGCCACCAACCTGAAGAAAGCGCGAGAGGGGTGAGTGGCCTTCACAGTCACCTGGTGCAGCAGGACCCCGATGGGCCTAGCAAAGCCATGGAAGAGAGAGAATGAAAGGGAGAGATTCACTGGCTTCTCCCTTCCTGCCAAGCTCCAACCAGTGTCTCCTATTAACCCAGCCAATGCAGAAGCCACCTGACCTGGAGCTTGGGAAATGCAGCCGGGCAGGCTCAGCAGAACTGTGAGGGTCCTAGCACAATCAGGCCCAAAGCTGGCCACATGGACTTGAATCTCAGGTCTGCCCAAGTAAATTGGGTAACCTCGGACAAGTTACCTGACCTCTCAGAAATGGAATTCTTCAATCCATAAAATGGAATTCTTCAATCCATAAAATGGAGATTATATCTAGATTCAATAATTGACCCTAGCATGTCGCTGGCCCTGAGCAGGTGCCCTATAAATATTAGTTTCCCTCTCTTCTCCCTGCTCCTCTGCTATCAAAGCTGTTGGTCTTCTCTCTATCCCACAATTAAGAAACCACTGGAAATGATGAGTCCACACTTCAGCGATCTCTATGCTACTTCCACAATGAGAGTTGAGACTTTCCCATGGGGCATGGCGGATATTGCTGCCTAACCGTGGATGTCATCAAACCCCAGAGCTGCTGTTGCTGTCACAGGAGAGCTAGAACAGGACTACAGAAAGGTAGCTACCATAAGCTATAATAAGACAGCGTCTGCTAGGGTGCTTATGATGGGGCAATGGTCAATTGAAAAACCTTCTTACAACACAGCCCAGAGAAGCGATGCCTCTGGTGAATAAATTGACACAGAAGTGTGAGGTACAGACTGGCCCCCAAAATATTGTTACCAGGCCATCAGGTTGGTGACCACAAGCTACGGAGCCAATCTCCCAAAGTCTTCCAACAGAATACCCAGGAGGTAAAACGTTTCCCAAAGACATTTTCAGGCACATGTAGGGCATTTATTTTTAAATCACTGTTTATCATCAATAAAAGCAGTAGACTCACCTTCTTGTCACTTTCCCATTTAAAGAAACTGGATGCACATTTTACAAGAATTAATTAGTAAAGACAGATAAGAAAAAAGAAAGTGTTGGAGGTAGGAAATGTAGCTTCATGATTATTTGGTAAGAAATAAACAAGACTTTCATCATTAACAATCTAACATGCTAGGCTTTGTTTTTATTAGTCTATCTTAGAGTATGCTAAATTATTAAAGCCTAAACAACAATTGATGTTTTTTTTTTTTAAAAAAAGGTAAAATCTTCACTTAGAAGAAAGTACGTAACTAGGAGTCAGTAGATCTGGGTTCTATTGCTGGATCCAATGCAAAAACTTCAAGTCTCTGGGTTTGTTTTATTTCCTTTTTAAAAGTAAAGTTAATAAATACTCTCAAAGATTTCTCCCAGATCTAAAAGTATACAATTCTTTTCCAATTTCAGATGTTACCTATTATCCCACTGAAAATTCATTAGTTGGGGTGGGAGTTTAGTTTTAAAAAGAGCGATGATATATCAATAGTGTAGTTCAATGACTTTCTCCCTGAGAAGTAGCACAACACTGAGTTGAAAAGGAAGACTGAGCATGGCGTGGTGGCTCACGCCTGTAATCCCAGCACTTTGGGAGGCTGAGGCAGGCGGATCACCTGAGGTCGGGAGTTCAAGACCAGCCAGCCTGGCCAACATAGTGAAACCCCGTCTCTACTAAAAATACAAAAATTAGCCAGGCAAGGTGGCACACTCCTGTAATCCCAGCTACTCGGGAGGCTGAGGCAGGAGAATTGCCTGAACATGGGAGGTGGAGTTTGCAGTAAGCCAAGATCTCACCACTGCACTTCAGCCTGGGTGACAGAACTCACCTAACTTCTCCAAGCCTCCGTCCTCAGCAGTCAAACACGGTGACTTCCTCCTAGGGCTTTTGGATCAGTAAGTGAGCCCAAACATGTTGGACACTGCATCAGTGCAAGGCATGAGGTATCGCTCATGTTACCTTTTATTATACCACAGTTAAGTGCCAACAAAAACCTTTTCCTTTTAGTTGGTCATTATTTAAGAAATCTGCAGAATCCTATACCACAATTTACTTTGGGAAACAATATCTTTAAAATTTGAGGTCAATTTTACTAAAAAATATAATTAACTTCTAGAAAACTCAAACCTTCATATAAATGCATATAATGAAAAGAACAAGTCTTTCTCTCTTGCAGTTAGTACAGATGTTAGAATAATCATAACTTTTCCTCTATTCAGATAGCATCTCTTTTCCCAAAGAATTTGATGTATTTTTCATAAGTATTTTCTTTAAGTATCTTGACTAGAGGATATAATCCCAGTTAAAATATGATGTGCTGGCTGGGCGTGGTGGCTCACACCTGTAATCCCAGCACTTTGGAAGGCTGAGCCGGGTGGATCACCTGAGGTCAGGAGTTCAAGACCAGCCTGGCCAAGGTGGCGAAACCCTGTTTCTACTAAAAATACAAAAATTAGCCGGGCATGGTGGCAGTCACCTGTAATCCCAGCTACTTGGGAGGCTGAGGCAGGAGAATCTCTTGAACCTGGGAGGCGGAAGTTGCAGTGAGCTGAGATCGCGCCACTGCACTCTAGCCTGGGAAACAAGAGCGAAACTCTGTCTCAAAAAAAAAAAAACGATATGCTTTGTTGGAAACAATAATTATGATGTAGTTTTACAATCTTAAACTTTATTGAGGGAGAAATATATACTTTGTCATCTTCAATATTATTTTTTAAAGCATCACATTTTAAGATAGACTTTATTAATTATTATTATTATTAACAATAATAATACTAATTATAATCATTAGCCCTTGGCAGCTGCTCAGACAAAGAGAGACTCGATAAGCTGCTTTGAGTTTAGTATTTTTATGCAACATATAATTTTAAAATACTGAAAATAGATTTAAACACTAGTAACTCTATATTTGCTTCCTTAATAGTGTTGTGACATAATACATTTCTTTCCTGTTTAAGTTGTTTCTTCCAGCTGCATACAGGGCAATTATTCAAAACTCTGTAACTCACATTAGACTTAGAGACAGAGATCCTAATAAGCCTTACTAGAGTTTGGAGTAAAATATATCAATTAACTTTGTTACTCTTGACCTGTTTCATTGTGCTTCTTAATTTAGCTTATTTCAGAGCCTAGGGAAAAACATATATAAACTTCTATCACAACATGTTTTTTTAATCAATAAAAGAAGTAAAAAGATTAATCATCTTAATAAAAATTAAAAAGAACTAATTCCACTAATGTTACACATCCTTAATGCTCTGGAATTAATTATTTCACCTGAGTATCACTATTGATGCTTACCTGAGAGGAATCTGAAAATGCTCAAAGGATAGTGTTGAATTACAGCATGTGTGCCTTATACATTTTTCCAAAAATTATTTACGTTTTTCCCAAAAATTATTTACCTTTCCCAGTCCTGTTTAATCCACGTTTGTTTGCTTTTTTTTTTTTTTTTTTTTTGGAGATGGAGTCTCGCTCTGTTGCCCAGGCTGGAGTGCAGTGGTGCGATCTCAGCTCACTGCAAGCTCTGCCTCCCGGCTTCACGCCATTCTCCTGCCTCAGCCTCCCCAGTAGATGGGACTACAGGCGCCCGCCACCACGCCTGCTAATTTTTTTTTTTTTTTTTGTATTTTTAGTAGAGATGGAGTTTCACCATGTTAGCCAGGATGGTCTCAATGTCCTGACCTCATGATCCACCCGCCTCGGCCTCGCAAAGTGCTGGGATTACAGGCATGAGCCACGGCACCCAGCCTGTTTAATCCACATTTTTAAAAAACCTTCCTTTATATTTATATGACCTACTCTATTCTGTCTCTGTCCAAACTCATATCTACTAAATTCCATTTATTAAATTTAAAGAGTACAAGTTTTTGCCCTTAGGTAAATCAAATTATATAGTATCTCCTAATTCCACACATCTCAGAAGAACTAGTCAATTAAATTTTTTAAAAGTCAAAATAGGATTTGTGACACCTATTGCTTCTCAATCTTAGTGCCACATCAGAATAACCTAGGAATTTCCAATCCAGCAGAATGGTAGGCTAGATAGTCTGGTAGGCCCTCTCACTGTGAAACAAATAAATTCTGCATAATATACAATTTTTGCTGCATCACTAGGCTTACGGTAATTAAGATATGGCAGGCATTACTAGAGTTCCCTGACACCTGGTTCTTTATTCTTTCTTGGGCACATGAAAAACTGTACTTCTCAGGTCCCCTGCAGAGGGAAGTCACATAACTAGTTCTGTATGGTTAAAAATGAACAGATGGCAAACATCACTTTTGAGTTAACAGAGTAAAGGTTGCATGTATAATTCTCTACACTCTCTCTTCCTTATATGCCATGAAGTTGAGGCCTCACCTTGAGATAGTGGAGCCAAAAGAACAAAGTAACCTGGGCAGGTAGATCATGGCATGGAGGACAGGTGTGCTGTAGATGCAGGTATTCTGACCTGGAGCAGACCTTGAATGGCTAAGAATTCAACTTGTATTATTGTAAATCACTGAGATTTTTTTGAATTATTTATTAAAATCATGCAAACTATCCTACTCTAATTGATTCATAATAAAAACCCACAAGAATAAAAAATAAACGGTGAGCTACAAGAATAGGTAAAGGGCAGCATTGCCCCAGGGATAAATGTTAACATTAACCTAGCCCGCACAAAGGGAGGGGAGTCGACTTCAGATACAATGGTTTGGCCAGAGAGTCTACAAGGGCCTAATGAAAACCCTGGCCTCCAGCAGAAACAAACAACTTCAACTTAGGTCCCCAGGTTTTCCACACATTAAGATCAACCATATATGAGCCCCCAATCAAAAAATCATGAAGCCAAAAAAGAAAAGATAAATCACCAAGAGTGGGAGTCAGCAGAAATAACAAACAACAGAATTGGATACTCAAGAACTTCAGATATTTACATTACCACCCATAGACTATAAAATATTATGCATATTATGTTTAGATGGAATCAAAAAAATCAAACTATAGGAAATTATCAAAAATGAAACATTTATAGTTTATAAATAAAAAATAGCAATTGTCAAAATAAAAAACAATCAACATATTAAACAGCAGAAAACATGGTGGAAGAAAAAATCAGTGAACTGGAAGGCCGATGTGAAGAAATTATTCAGAATACAGCATAGAGGGCAAAAATATAGGGAAGAGAGAGTGTAGAGAATTATACATGCAACCTTTACTCTGTTAACTCAAAAGTGATGTTTGCCATCTGTTCAACTGGAAAAAGGCATTAATAGATACAGGAGAATGGAAAATAAAAGTCTAATAGAAGGAGGAAATAAAATGGAGAAGAGACAGTAGTTAAAAAGATAATGACAAAATTTTCCAGTACTAAAGAAAGATATGAATTCATAGACATTGGAAGCACCACATTATGTAACAAGACAAGAAAAAATTTACATCTAGATACATCTTAGTAAACTACTGATCACTACAGAAAGACTTTTTAACAGTAGAAAGACAAATCACTAAGAATTAACACTTGGATAGTAAGTAGATATCTCAGAAGCAATAATGGAAGCAAGAATGCAGTCAAATATCTTCAAAATGCTGAGAATAAGTAATTATCAATCTAGAATTACATGTCCAGAAACATTATCTTTCAAGAGTTCAAAATAAAGAAATATTCTGATAAATTAAAAACTGAGAGTGTTTACCACCAATAGACTATACTAGAGGAACTTCTAAAAGATGTATTCAGAAAAAAGAAAAAATTATCTCAGAAGGAGGAACTGAAATACAGGAAGAAACAGTGGGCAAATAACTTGTTTAAATTGTGGGAAAATCCAAGGAAGTATTTGTCTTTTGAATCAACAGCAGTGTCTGATTTGTAATGATAAGCAAAAGGATAGAATGAAATAATGGATGAAAATCACATGTAAGCTGGGAGAAAGTGATCAGTGCTAAAGCATTCTAAGGACCTGAATTGTTCAAAAGGAGACTAAAATATTAATTGGAAGTGTTGATAAAGTCAGTACAGTCAGCCTTCTGTATCCACAGGTTTCACATTCATAGATTCAATCAATGACAGATGGAAAATAGACTTCAGCCTACAGTGGTTCCATCTATACGGAACATGTACAGACTTTTTTTTCTTGTCTTTATCCCCTAAGCAATATAGTGTAACAACTATTTACATAGCATTAACATTGTAATAGGGATTATTTAAAGCATATGAGAGGATATGCATAAGTTATATGCAAATACTATACTATTTTATATATAAGGGACTTGAGCATCCATGAATTTTGGCATCCTTAGGGGTCCTAGAACCAATCACCCATGGATAACAGGGGATAATTGCATGCATAGCAAGATTTCAAGCATGAAAATAGATGTAATGATTTTCTTTTCTTTTTTTTTTTTGAATGTAATAATTTTCAGCCAGTAGACAGGGAAATAATGAATTAAATGAATAAAATTTTTTAAATCAGTATTTAAAAGGCAAGAAGGAAGGGGTAAAAGCATAGGAAAATCTAGACAAATAGAAAGTACCAAGTGAGATGATTGAAACAAAATGAAATATATCTATAATCCCAATAAAAGTGGGTCAAATTTTCCAATAAAAAACAGGCAAAAACCAGCCATATGCAGCTCACAAAAATCAGACCTAAAACATCTGGACTACGGAAAATTTAAAAGTAAAGATATAGAAAAAGAAATTCCAAATCACTGTAATTCTAAAATTTATGTATCTCAAAGTGTATCAAGCAAATGTTGCTAGAACTGCAGGAAGAAATTGAGAAATTACCATCATAAGGTGGGGGCAGGGGAGTTCAACACATCTTTCTCAAACAAAGAAAAAAGCCAAGTCAAGGAAACAAAGAATAAAAACCAGCAGCTATAGCTATAGAGAATTCCAACAACACAACGGCAAGCTTGACTTACTGAACATATTCAGAACACAGTCAATAATTAGAAAATATACGTTCTTCTCAAGCACAAATGAGATATTTACAGAAAGTAAAATAAAGCAAGTCTCTATATTTTAAAGAAATATCACACTGGCCACATTCTCTAAACTTGAGAAACACAGTAACAAAAAGATAAACCAAAGTCTGTATTTGGAATTTTTAAACCTCGAAAAAGGGGTAAAAGAAGATATTGTAACGGAAAATTTTGAGTATGTGTAAATGAATGCTAGAAATACTATATTTGAATACTTGCGAGGATATAGCAAAATTGGTACTTCAAAAAAATGTTAAGACATATGCTTATATTAGAAAAGAATAAAGACTAGAATTTAGACGTGCCCTTAGGAAGTTAATAATAAATAAATAAACAGAAAGTCAAAAGAAGGAAACAATAAAGAGAAGTACAAACATTCACTCAATATAAAAACAAAGAGGTTAACAAAGAATCGACGCCCTAAGAATGTCCAATTAAATTAGTGGCTCTCAAACTTTACCTTGCAATAGAATCACCCGGAGTGCTTCTTAAAGCAAGGACTACTTGGCCGTATCCCTGAAATTCTGATTCAGCAGGTCCAGGACAGGTCCAAGATTCTGCATTGCTAACAAACACCCAGGTGATGCTGATGCTGCTGTCCGAGGACCACACTTTAAGAACCACCAATATAAGTTAATGTCTTAAATTCTCACCCAAATAACCATAAAACTACTTTCAGTTCTAGTTAAAGAAGACCTCTTCCTAAGCCGGCGCTCGGCGAGTTCTCCCAGGAGAAGGCCATGTTCAGTTCGAGCGCCAAGATCGTGAAGCCCAATGATGAGAAGCCGGACGAGTTCGAGTCCGGCATCTCCCAGGCTCTTCTGGAGCTGGAGATGAACTCGGACCTCAAAGCTCAGCTCAGGGAGCTGAATATTACGGCAGCCAAGGAAATTGAACTTGGTGGTGGTCGGAAAGCTATCATAATCTTTGTTCCCATTCCTCAACTGAAATCTTTCCAGAAAATTCAAGTCCGGCTAGTACGCGAATTGGAGAAAAAGTTCAGTGGGAAGCATGTCGTCTTTATCGTTCAGAGAAGAATTCTGCCTAAGCCAACTCGAAAAAGCCGTACAAAAAATAAGCAAAAGCGTCCCAGGAGCCATACTCTGACAGCTGTGCACGATGCCATCCTTGAGGACTTGGTCTTCCCAAGCGAAATTGTGGGCAAGAGAATCCGCGTGAAACTAGATGGCAGCCGGCTCATAAAGGTTCATTTGGACAAAGCACAGCAGAACAATGTGGAACACAAGGTTGAAACTTTTTCTGGTGTCTATAAGAAGCTCACGGGCAAGGATGTTAATTTTGAATTCCCAGAGTTTCAATTACAAACAAAAATGACTACATAAAAATATATATTCACACACATTTATCTTCTCTCTTTTCTGATACTCTGTTAAAATACAAACGTAAGTAATAATGAGATCAGGAGAGACACATCAGCAGGTGAGAAATTACAAAATTCTGGAAGAAAGCAGTTGGAATAGTGGTAGCAGAAGTGCACAGCGAAGAAAAACGCAGGTTTCTTACAAAATAATACGGATACTGGATTACTTCTGACAGAAACCCAGACAGGATCAGAATCCATCTAAGATGTGTGACATCAGACTAAGAAGGATTCAAGGATTGGGGAAGGCAGAGAAAGTAGCACAAAAAATTATCAGTGAAATACTCAAGAAAGTAATTTGGCTTCAAGTACCTTAGCATCTACTTGGAGAGAGATATATACAAGTAAAGACAATTATCAAACTCAGGCAATCTGGGTAATTCGGAATGTTGGGAGTGATTTTATGAAAAAAAAATAATTTGACCTAATATTTAAAAATATATGTTATATGGGTAGTGTATGTTTCTTAAAGTTGTTTTTTAATGCTTCACCTTCCAAAGTATTTTGTATCATTGATGAGTATTAAGGTTAGGTTACAAAACTTACTGAATTGCTAAGGAGAATTACTAATTTTAAGTATTTGATTTAAAAATTAGGATTTGAGGCCGGGCGCGGTGGCTCACGCCTGTAATCCCACCACTCTGGGAGGCCGAGGCGGGCAGATCACGAGGTCAGGAGATCGAGACCATCCTGGCTAACATGGTGAAACCCCATCTCTACTAAAAATACAAAAAAAATTAGCTGGGTGTGGTGGCGGGCACCTGTAGTCCCAGCTACTGGGGAGGCAGGAGAATGGCGTGAACCCGGGAGGCGGAGCTTGCAGTGAGCCGAGATCGCGCCACTGTACTCCAGCCGGGGCAACAGAGCGAGACTCCATCTCAAAAAAAAAAAATTAGGATTTGAGATGTAATCATAGCTTCCATAGGCAAGCAAGAAAAGTAGATAATAGAAGAAATATTTTATTAGCAAAAGATATTCAAGTAATGTGTATATATTCAAAGCAATGTATTTTTACTCCAAAGACCATAAAGTCCAAAAACCACCTGAGCCATACTATACCCTTGTAGATGTTTGGTATTAGGAAAGATTCAAAATAGGCCAGGCGTGGTGGCTTACGCCTGTAATCCCAGCACTTTGGGAGGCCCAGGCAGGCGGATCACGAGGTCAGGAGATCGAGACCATCCTGGCTAACATGGTGAAACCCCGTCTCTACTAAAAACACAAAAAATTAGCTGGGCGTGGTGGCGGGCGCCTGTAGTCCCAGCTACTCGGGAGGCTGAGGCAGGAGAATGGTGTGAACCCAGGAGGCGGAGCTTGCAGTGAGCTGAGACCGTGCCACTGGCCTCCAGCATGGGAGACAGAGTGAGACTCCATCTCAAAAAAAAAAAAAAAAAAAAAAGATTCACAATAAATTTGTCAACCTATAACTAGAAGGAAAAAAATTAAAGAATTAACTTTAAAGTATTCATAATAAGATATTTAGTTGTACTGTTGTACTTGGGTGTTTATATTTCCTTAATTCTTGCTCTAAATCATATATCATTCTTATACAACAGTGGAGGAACATTTAAAATATTCCTCCCTTACATTTCACAAATAAATGAAGGAGACTCAGAGGTATTAAATTAATCCATTGATTGTTGTGCTCTTATTTCAATAAAGATTTTAGTTTAAAGAGAAAATTTAACAGCAATTAGGTTTTTACAAGGTGATATACAATTAAATTTAGCTTATTTTAAAAGAAACCTTTGTGTAGTGAAGGTTGGCAACACTCTGGTGATAAACACCCAAATTGCACTGCTTCTTAAGAAAAAATTAATAAAAGAGTGGGGCATGGTGGCTCACGCCTGTAATCCCAGCACTTTGGGAGGCCAAGACAGGCAGATCTCTTGAGGTCAGGAGTTTGAGACCAGCCTGGGCAACATGATGAAACCCTGTCTCCACTAAAAATACAATAAATTTAGCTGGGTGTGGTGGCGGCTGCCTGTAACCCCAGCTACTCGGGAGGCTGAGGCAGGAGAATTGCTTGAACCCAGGAGGCGGAGATTGCAGTAAGCCAAGATTGCGCCACTGCACTCCAGCCTAGGCAACAGAGGAAGACTCCATCTCAAAAAAAAAAAAAAAAGAAAAGAAAAAGAAAGAGAAAGAAAAAGAATAAGAAAAAATTAATAAAAGTTTCATGTGTGCTAGTTTTACAAATGCAAAACGTAAGTGACGAGAAATGTTGTATGATAATTGTAATCAATTCTCCATCTTCATGGGTTTTTCTCTCCCCTGAGGACATTTTCTTAGTCATCTACATGATCAGCACGCTTTTTACACATTTTAGGAAAAAATAAGCAGAAAGTACATAACACCTTTTTTTTGAAGTTTCAAAGTCCTGGGGCATTTGATTATCATCCCATTTCTACCCTTCTTGCTTTTTCTTCCCCACTCTCTCGTGCAGCTTCTACTTCTGCCAGTGTTGTAGTGCGACACACAGGTACAATCGTTGGTGTCCTCTGTTCTTCGGAATTTATTTTGAGAAATCAGATAGATTTTCTGGTTAGACATTTCCCAAGACAGCTTGTTTTTCTTTCATTTTTCTCAATAAAAGACCAAACTACCTCACATATTTGGGCATTTATGTCCATAGTTTGAAGCGCCTACCCACTGGAGCACAACTCTTATTTCACGTGGCTCCCCAACATATCTGTTCATCAGAATTGAATTCGTTGCCTTCGAGCATTTTGAATATTTTCTATTTCCCTCCTATCTCTTGGTATTTCTGTTGGGTTGAATACAGATGAGACGCTTGTGTGCTGGTGCCACCTATTGTTAGCAAAGTAGATGTGACTATGATGCTTGCTAACGAGACTACACATTGAACTAATACTGACTCTGACTACAAAACGGCAAAACGATAGAACAAAAATCTTATTTTTAATCTATTATAAAAGCACTACTGGAGTAGATGAAGATACTAAGTAGTTATATTTTATCTTTATTTTTATTTAATATGTACAAAGACTGGCTGTCTTTACATGGTGGCTCACACCTGTAATTCCAGCACTTTGGGAGGCCAAGGCAGCAGGATCACTTGAGCCCAGGAGTTTGAGACCTGCCTGGGCAACACAGCAAGACCTCATCTCTATTAAAACAAAAAAAAATTTATTTAAAAAATGTTTTAAAAAAGATTTATGAAGACTATTTTCAGTTTTTCCATTTTCAGTTGGACTAATTATATGACAATAGTGAGCATAAACACATATTCCAAGCACAGAAAAGCAATTAAAATTCAAATAGGCTGAGTGCGGTGGCTCAGGCCTGTAATCCCAGCACTTTGGGAGGCCCAGGCAGGCAGATCACGAGGTCAGGAGATCGAGACCATCCTGGCTAACATGGTGAAACCCCGTCTCTACTAAAAGTACAAAATAAAATTAGCCAGGCATGGTGGCGGGCGCCTGTAGTCCCAGCTACTCAGGAGGCTGAGGCAGGAGAATGGCGTGAACCCGGGAGGCGGAGCTTGCAGTGAGCTGAGATCGCGCCACTGCACTCCAGCCTAGGCTGCAGAGGGAGACTCTGTCTCAAAAAAAAAAAAAGAAAAAAAAAGCTAAGTAATTAAGTGTATCACGTATGTATAGACAAAATTTTCAATGTTGTAGTCAATTCAAAAACATATAAGGCATTTTGTATTGGTATCAAGTTGTCAACTATGATAACATACTTTGATAATTTTTTCATTTAAACCCAAAAAGTTGGCTCAACATTTTTTTTTTAATTTATAAAGAAAAGAGGTTTATTTAGCTCATGGTTTTTCAGGCTGCGAAGTTCAAGGGGCATCGGCTCAGCTCTAGTGCTACTCACAGCAGGGTGGAAAGTTGAAGGCAAAGCAGACACATGCAAAGGGGGATATGCACTTTCAAAGATATTGTTTAAAAATAAATCTTCTCTTCATGGCCCCTTTCAAAATTTAAACAAAGTAAAACATCCATTAAAACATGTTTTCATTCTTATTCTTCACACCCAGGAACTGAAAACGTTAAAGGGTTAGAAAATAAGAATTGGCGGGGCACGGTGGCTTACGCCTGTAATCCCAGCACTTTGGGAGGCCAAGGCGGGCAGATCACGAGGTCAAGAGATCAAGACCATCCTGGCCAACATGGTGAAATCCCCATCTCTACTAAAAATACAAAAATTAGCTGAGCATGCTGGTGTGTGCCTGTAGTCCCAGCTACTTGGGAGGCTGAGGCAGGAGAATGGCTTGAACCCAGGAGGTGGAGGTTGCAGTGAGCCGAGATCATGCCGCTACACTCCAGCTGGGCAACGGAGCAAGACTCCGTCTCAAATTTTAAAAAAAGGTTAGAAAAATAAGAATCATGAGGAAAGATGAAAGGCACTAATTATTTACAATTTTCTGTGGTCCTTTCCACTTTGGGTTCCATGAGAATTAACAACAGGATTGTCAGAGAACAGTAACCAGCTTCTTATAGACAGTGCCTGACACAGTCCTGAGCAACCAATCCTGGAAACAACATGGAAACCTCTCACATTCAGGGTGTCACTGAGGCCAGCTTCCCACTCAGAGTAGGGGTGCCTTTTGAAATATCCTCAACAAATGGCCAATCAGATTTTTCTTGAACATTTCCTGAGTGGAAAATGTAAGGCCTCCCAATGAAGCCCATTCCATTTTGGGCAACCATTGGGGAAATCATAGTCAAATTACATATAACTAGAAATGTCTTTTACTTGATTAGAAGGACTTAATTATAGCAGGTAAAAGTATTTTTCCAGTTCAATGGCTGCCTGGAAAGCCCTGTAATCTGTCCTATCCAAATTTTTGTGTAAATATATTATACAACATTTCAATGACCCATTAGAAAATTTTAAATCCCCCAATAATGAGACATCCTTCAATCAAATACTTCTTTCAATTAGGCCCTGAGGGTGATACATACTTCTTTCCCTAGAATCCTTAAGTCTTTTCTTACCCTATTAATGTTTTTCCTTTTTGTATACCTTTTCCTCTTTAGGCAGTTATGCTTAGTAAATGCTAATGCTTTTGTTTCTGTGTCTCCCAATACAATAAATTTACTTCAAATGTGGATAATATAGCATTTATTTATTTTTATTTATTTATTTATTTATTTATTTTTTTTTTGAGACAGAGTCTTGCTCTGTCGCCCAGGCTGGAGTGCAGTGGCACGATCTCGGCTCACTGCAAGCTCTGCCTCCTGAGTTCAAGCCATTCTCCTGCCTCAGCCTCCCGAGTAGCTGGGACTACAGGCGTCCACCACCACGCCTGGCTAATATTTTGTATTTTTTAGTAGAGACGGGGTTTCAGCATGTTAGCCAGGATGGTCTCGATCTCCTGACCTCGTGATCCACCCACCTCAGCCTTCCAAAGTGCAGGGATTACAGGCGTGAGCCACCGCACCCAGCCAATAATATAGTATTTCTATAGTATAAAAAGAGCTCGTCATCCCCTTTCTTTGTAAACTTCATTCTTTAGTTAATACTCTTCATCTCTGAGCCTAAGAACCTAACCCTGACTGCTCTTCAAAATTCCAAAAATGCATTTTCACTACCTGCTGGACTTCCCTACATCATTATTACAAAAATACTTCAGAGGCCAGGTGCCATTGCTCATGCCTGTAATCTCAACACTCTGGGAGGCCGAGGCAGGCAGATCACCTGTGGTCAGGAGTTTGAGACCAGCCTGGGCCAACATGGTGAAACCCCATCTCTACTACAAATACAAAAATTAGCCGGGTATGGTGGCGGGCACCTGTAGTACTAGCTACTCAGGTGGCTGAGGCAGGAGAATCACTTAAACCCGGGAGGCAGAGGTGGCAGTGAGCCAAGATCACACCACTGCACTCCAGCCTGGGCCACAGAGCAAGACTCTGATTACAAAAAATAATAATAATAAGCTTCAGATACCACTAGACCAAAATGAAGTTGTCACTCTCCCTTCTTCACCCCATCTCTTCTCCCTTCATAAAGCTGCTCCTCCCTGGGCCCTTCCTCGTTCATGGCAAAGCAATGCCAAGATTCTAATTGCTCCGTGGTTTCCCTCATCTTCAACATCCCATAACCTGCCAGGACCTTTTGATTCTACCTCTACCTTATGCCTCCGGGCTCCCCATTCACCACATCCTCTGCTCCTGTCCTCAGTCAACTCTTCATTTTTGGACTCTTAGACCATTTCAACAGCCTTCTAACTGATCTCCTAATCCTCCAATTAGAAACTTTGGTGATTCGCCTCTAAACATAGAATTCAAAGCACAGTGCTTCACTCTTGGATCTTTAAACGTCTTTTCAGCCTTATCTTGCATGACACTTCTCTTGAACCACACTCAACAGTTGTTGGTGTTCTCCCAAAATATGGTCTATTCTGTCTTGCCTCAGCAGCTTTGCTCAAGTAGCTCTAGTGGTAACGTCTTTTGAGGAATGTCTACTATCGGTGTACTTGCCACTTTTGAATTCCCAACACAAACTCTATTACCTCTTCTAAGAACACTCCCAGTCATAATTAATCCCTTCTTTCTCAAATATATCCCAAACACTTTGAACCTTTCTTGCAGCATTTATCCCATTTTACCTTATGTAAGAGTTGTTTATATATTTCTCCCAAAACTGCAAACTTCTTGAAAGCAGGGACTGTCTTATTTATTTCTGTATCATCCACTCATGGTAGCAAAATCCTTTGTTCATAGTGGGCATATTATAAATATTTGTAATAGGAATGACCAAAAGTCTCATTGAAATCAGGGTAGATTAACCAGTAACATGAGCCAACCCTTTAAGAAATGTTAAGAGATGTCCTTCCTGTTTTCTTAATTTGTTTCTATGTCTATATATTGGTTGATAAGATACTGTACATTGCTACCATGTACTCTGGAAATGAGTAAGACAGGATGGAAGATTTAAGAAAACTGGCTCAAGCAAACCTTGGTTGACATCAGGCACAAAGAACTTTACAAACCTGCTCTACAGTTTGTCCTCAAAATGCTGCATTCGAGTTGTTTTGTTCATAAATGATGAAATTTCATAAAGTACTGATAATCAAATGGGGAAACGTAAATGTCCTTTGGAAGTTCTTTGATCACATAATGTATTTCTTCCTTGCTTTGGGGCTCAAAGAATGAGGATGACAGAGAGACTGAATGGAAAATGGAATGGTGAGGGCAGAGAGAGAAGAAGCAAGTGGTAGGAAAGAGTGGAGGGAGAAAATAAAAGGCACAAAAAGCAACTTAAAAGGACCAGAAGTGATTTATGACCCGTTTGGTGTCTAGTGTGCTCATCACTCTGCCCTCTGGTCCCAGACTGTCTTTGATCTTCCTCACGGCTCATCCCATCTGCTGCCTGGAGGAGCTGGAAGGACCAAGGGTCAGAGTAATGTTATTTCTTCTCTTGTTAAACCTCACGCTCTCCTCTCTCTGCTGTCCTGCTTCCTTACTACTTGTATCAGGGCTGGAATCAATGACCTGCCTGTATAGTCTGTATATATATTTGAGGGAACTGTTGTGGGTCGAACTGTGTCCTCCAAAAACATATGCTCAAGTTATAACCCCTGGTACCAGTGAATGTGACCTTATTTGGAAATGAGTCAGATGTAATCCACTTTGCTGATGCAGTCAAGCCAAGATGAGGTCCTACTGGATTAAAATGGACCTTAATCCAGCGATTGGCATTTTTTTTCTTTCTAATCTTTTTTTGAATCTTTTTTTTTAATTTCAACTTATATGTTAGATACAGGGGGTCCATGTGCAGGTTTATTACATGTGTATTTTGCACTCAGGTAGTGATGATAGTACCCGATGGGTAGTTTTTCAACCCACACCTCCCTCCCTCCCGTGTCTGGTGGTCCACAGTGTCTGTTGTTCCCATGTTTATGTCCATGTGTCCTAAATGTTTAGCTCCCACTTATAAGTGAGAACATGTGGTATTTGGTTTTCTGTTCCTGTGTTAATTCGCTTACAATTATAGCCTCCAGCTCCATCCAGTGACGGGTATCTTTTTAAGAGAAAGGAGAAGGAGATTGGGCACAGACACACAGAGAAGGCAGCCCTCTGCTGAGGGAGGCAGGGACTGGAGCGATGCAGCTTAGGCCAGGCAAGCGCCAGCGAGGGCCAGTAACCTGCAGAGCTGGCAAGAGGCAGGGAGGTACGCGTCCCTCGAGCCCTCAGAGAGCCCTGCTGACACTTTGACTTCAGACTTCTGGCCTCCAGCACTGTGAGAAAATACATACCTGTCGCTTTAAGCCACCCAGTGTGTGGTGATTTGTGTGGCAACCCTAAGAAACTGATACAGGGACTTAAGGATGTTGAGTATTCAGAGGAGATCTTAGACCACAGCATAAAGCCATACAAGTTTCTCAGCTCCTGAGATAGATGTTAATCCATTTGGCCCAGATTTCTAAACAATGTGGTTTGCTCTACTTAGAACATATTTTGTAATATTAAGTTCTGGCTTTGCAATTTCATTTTATTAATGTTTAAATCTCAACCAGAACAATGAAGCTGTCACTGAAGAAGAGAAGAAAATAGAAGAGTCAGCAAATGTCTGGTATCTAGTAGGTGTTTAATAAAAATACTTGTTGAATGAATGAATGGAAACAATTATCAGAAAATGTCATAAGACATAAAAGCAGAACCTCTGATCCTGATCCCTGAGCACAAAAGTAAGATTTCACAGGCTGAGCTGAGTAACTCAAGAGCAGATGTCTACCACAGGCGGAGCCACAAAATCTAAGAGTAGAGCACCCACCATAAAAGGTATATAAAGAAGTAGACTAGGCTACAGCACTGCAGAAAGCACTATATGCTCAGGTGGATAGAATGTTTTCCTGAGCGGCTGGGTTCTAGGAAGGATTGGCGGGGTAAGGTGGTGTGTACCCACTGCTCATAGAAAATGTGAGTCAAAAATATGGGTTATAATGTGAACAAGTAATGTTTCATCTTTCTTTGTTTTTCCCCGTACTTTACCTTTTCATCATTTGTGTGTTGCCTTTCTTTCTTTTGAGACAGTGTCTCTCTGCTGCCCAGATTGGAGTAGAGTGGCGTGATCTCCAGCCTCAGCCTCCCAGGTAGCTGGGATTACAGGTGTGCACCACCAAGCCCAGCTAATTTTTTTGTATTTTTAGTAGATACAGGGTTTCACCATGTTGCCCAGGCTGGTCTTGAACTCCAGAGCTCAAAGTAACCCACCCACTTTGGCCTCCCAAAGTGCTGGGATTACAGGTGTGAGCCACCACGCCCAGCCGTAAGTTGCCTTTCAATAGACAGAAGATGTATTAATTGTCAGAGGCTCTGAGGTACTGAGCCATTCATTATCCCTGGCCAACCATGAGAATCTCTCCCTCCCCTGTACACAAAGACCCTTACTGCCCAGTCTAAACCTGCCCATTCCATTAGCTTCCTACTCCAGTTTACATGCTGTCATGAGAGCAACCGCTGCCTAGTTAAACATTCTTCAGAACTTCCAGCCACCACTGGAATCAAGCTTTCATCCTTTCTGTCTCCCTGAGTAGCGGCACTGTCCAGTAGAACTTTCCGTGGTGATGGAAATGTTCTGTATCTGTGCCATTCAATGCAGCAGGCACTGGCCACATGTGGTCATTGATCACTTAAAATGTAGCTAGTGAGACTACTGAACTTGATTTAAGCTTTCCATTTAATTTTAATGAATTAGAATTTAAAAAGCCACAAGTGGCTAGTGCCTACTCTACTGGACAGCGCAGCTTTTAACTATTTTTGAGGAAACTCTAGTCTTTTTCATTGCTTCCTTACCCTGACTCTGGTCTAACCAGAGACAGTTCACAGCCATTTATCTACAGACACTCTGTCCATTGGCCTTGAAATCTGCAGAATCTCCCAGGCATCAGAGAGATTGCCTGCCTCTATGCTGCCTCTGAAGTGGCAAATACTTGGGGAATTAATGAAGTTGCAAAGAAACCCACAACCCAGTCGTTTGGATAATCCATTGCTGAAAGGAATTCTATCACAAGAATGAATTAACCAGGCTCCACCTGGAATTTTCATCTGGTATTTCCAGTGATCTATGATCATGTCCGTCAGGTGGCATTTCTTAACTGTGCTTTTCTAGACACCCTGTAAAAAAATGAAAAAGGTATTGACCGGGAGGGGCCTTCCATCTAATTGGGAAAAAATCCATCATTCACAAAGAAATAATTTACATGTAAAAATCAGATGTTTAGGATATATTTATGTGTCATCTTACTTTTGCTTATTTGTTTCATCTCCTACTGTATATGTCACCTGCCTAAGGTGAAAACTACTCACACCTCCTCCATTCTCCTCCATTCTCAGTCTAAACTCTTGCTACTTGAAGTGGTCCTCAGACTAGCAGCATCAGAAACTCTTGAGAGCTTCTTAGAAATGCCAGCTCCACTTTATTCCTACAGAACCTGAAATTACATTTGAACATGGTGCCCAAGTTATTTTGTTTGCACATTACAGTATTGAAAAGCACTGATCTAAACTAGTCAGAATTTTCCACACTGATTCCAGTAAATATCTGTGCTTATTAGAAAGATAGGCTGGTCCTCAGCTGTACTGTATTTAATGGAATGTTTTAGTTATTTGTAAAAAGCTCATCAACTAGCTAATTTGCTGTAACTTGAATTTGAAAAGTAGTATGTTGTTATGGGAAGGGTGCTAAATTGATACGAGGAAACCTGAATTTTCTGTTTTTGACTCTGTCATTGTCTGTTGGGCAAGCCATTATTTTTGTTCAGTTTCAGTTATTTTGGTTTTGTTTTTAATTATTATTCATTTAAATATATAACATGAGGTTTTTCTACTAATTGCTCCCAAACTGGGCTTCGCAGCTCTTTAGAATTTTACAAAACAGGAATGATAAGACCTCAAACAACTTTTTGTATATAAAAAAAGCCTGACATTGGAATTCTGCCTTTAAGCATGATAAGGTTACCCAGAATTTGCACTTTAGCTACCACTTTAGTCTTCCTTGCTGCCCCAGATTAAAGTCAAGATTTAAGCTGTCTCAGACATGTGAGAAGTTCTCTCATTTTTAAAGACTTCCAGAATTCACATGGAACTGATATTCAACAGTCTTGACTGTAAATGAACCTAAACCCCTCGATCTTTAAGCTGTCTTTTCAGCCTGTGTCCTTGCAGTCAGTGGAGGGATGCAAGTCACCCTTTTCTGAAAAGAGCCTTTTATATAGACCTTACCAGGGATTAGTTGTCAGCTCCGGGCCAGACCCTCCAGGAATGGTACACAGGCTACTTGTCGGGGTTGTCATGAAAGGAGGAAGTAAAATATGACAAAGGACAAAAGTATTCACTGCACAGTATTGCCTAGGGTCAAAGGCCTTTCCAGTCAAAGACAAACAAAAAAGATGGACACTTTTTTCCTTTGCTCACACTTTTGTGTGGCTTATTTCTTTCTTGGCCTTTACTTTCAATGTGAAGCCTTTTTTTCCTCTTTTTTTTTTTTTTTTTTTTTTCCTGTTTGGTTTCAGTGACTCCATACAGTCACTCTTTTGTAAAATCGAAAGCAGATCTATCCCCGATAGGGATTCCTGAAAATTTTCCCATCCCTCAATATTCTAGGGACATAGTAAAGGTTATATTTAGATGCCACACTGCATTTCAGGGAAAATGTGATTTTCCTTTAAGGGTTTGCTTCCACATCTCCCACTTGCACCAAATACACTTTCAAGTTAATAAAAGCTCTACCTGCTGAGGCAGCAAATCAGGCTATAATTAAAAGGGAGGAAACATTTTACACAAGAAAATGTGTGGTTTGGTTTAAGCGTAAATATGAAAAAAAGGCATGAAAGCTGATAACAAGATATAATTTGTATTCGTGGCTTTTATTTATTGAACAAACTGTTAGAAGAAAACTTGCTTTAATTATTAACTTACTATATTCTAATAAGTCTTTAATGTTTCACATAGCTACTGCATTGGAGCTTGTAAAAATAACTTTAAATTCCAATGTCAAGTGGAGCATGAAGATTTGGTTTCATTTTCAAAACTGCTTTGCTGAGAAATATACCCTAAAAAGCAATTCTCATTTTACTTCCTTACAGCTCCAACAGCTGCAGGATGAATTATAAAATGTATTTAACCCAATCTGAAAGTTAGAATTTTGATCTCTGAAGAAAGTATTTTTGAAGACCCTCGCACATGCCAAAAAAAGGATTTAGAACTTTGATAAGGCTTCAGAAAGAAGCACTGTGAAATTTTGACAAAGAGCTACCTTCTTTTTTTTTCTTTTTTTTTCCAAGAATGCTTCAGATCTATACTATACGATATAATACTGTATTATATATGGATGAATAGTACTTTACTTTATTCTTGAATTTTTCATCCTTCTGGGCACACTGTATTACCATAGACAAAAAGGTATTTTATACCAACAAATTCAAATAAGCATTTATTTGTTCCTCAAATAAGCGAATGTTAGACACATACATATACATCAGCATATATATTTATGTTTTCTGAATATTCATTCAGAATGATTATGCTTTCAATCACTGTGTATCTTTCTGAAGCTGCAGACAGCTCTTTGAGGAGTGGCTGGTTAATAAGGACCCACAGCCATGGTGATTTTTCAAAGCCTGTCCCAGGGGAACATCACAAATCTCTAGGGAAGGATGGAAATGGTTTACAGCACCTTCTGTATGGACTGGTGGCCTTTAGGATGCAGAGCTGCCTTCCCATCCAATACTGGCAGCCTTAAGATAGGGCTAATGTCATGTCCTTATCTGCACTTACAGTGCTGTGTCATTCATCATTGCCATCATCTTTGGAAAAAAGTCACAATACCGTGTGTCAGTATGTGTTTCTCCACAGCTATGATAATTTCGGTATTTGCACTAGGGGGAAATATACTTAGACAATTCTTATAATAAAAAATTTTGCATGTGCACATGTGCTATCTCACTGCTTTTCTCCTTTTACTTTATTAAAAGATTTTTAATGAAATTCGTGAGCACTATGTTCTGCTTAAATAATATCTTAGGTTATTGTGCTTCTCAATCTATACATTTGAATGAGAAATTAAATGTTTCTTACAAAATGATTGTAATACATTCTGATATCCTTTGAACTGAAATATAGAAAATATGTAACAAAAGATGTGTGCACCATCTAAATACACCTATAGATTTGTTTCTGCTCTCTAATTGTTTAGTATTATAATGTCCCCTTTCCTAAGTTCTCCTGTTCCATTAGTCTCATCTAATTCCATTTTAAATTTAACACTTTAAATCAACACATATACTAATATCTTTATTAATCAATCAACCAATAAATAATTCTTAAAAATTATGAAGAGAGCTACCAAAAATCTAGAAAACATGTTGCAAACTCTCAAGAAGATAATATCCTAACTGAAAAATATGACAATCCAAAAATTATTGGCCGGGCGCCGTGGCTCATGCCTATAATCCCAGAACTTTGGGAGGCCAAGGAGGGTGGATCACCTGAGGTCAGGAGTTCAAGACCAGCCTGGCCAACATGGTGGAATCCCCTCTCTATTAAAAATACAAAAAAATTAGCCATGTGTGGTGGCAGGTGCCTGTAATCCCAGCTACTCGGGAAGCTGAGGCAGGAGAATTGCTTGAACCGAGGAGACAGAGGTTGCTGTGAGCCGAGATCCCCCCATTGCACTCCAGCCTGGGCAAGAAGCACAGGACTCCGTCTCAAAAAAATAAATAAATAAAACAAAATGATAAAAGTCTACATATTTTAAAATATCTTTATATCAGCTTCTTTACCAAAAAATATTTGAGACATTTGAATAAACGCCTAAAAAAGGAATTGTTTTTATTTTTTAGCAAGAAATTGTGGTGTCGCAGGAAAACAAAGGTAGAAAACTAGAATAATGCAGATCAGAAAGCCCACACAATTACTAGACATGAGCCACAGAGTCAGAACTGAGGAAAACATGATCACAACCAAGATGCAGAGTGTCCAAAAGAGCAGGCTGGGTACAAGGTGAGGGGTCTTTTATTATCACTAGAACTAAGAGAAACTTCCCCTATTGATTCTTATCAGGGCATACAATATGGCTTACTGAACTAAAGCCTCAACAACAGTCTTTTAATAATATAATATTGGGTTTCATTTTGCTGTACAATGTTCTTCAAAGTGATGGCAATGATAGACAGTAAATAATTGAGAGCTGCATTGGAGAATTTACATAGGGAATATTAATAGATAGCCAGTGTATTAGTCAAGGTAATCCATGCCAGCTGCTGTGACAACCAACCACAAAAATCTCAGTCTCTTAACACAAGAAAGTCAGTGAAATGTAGATTGTGTGTTTCTCCTCAGCAGCTCTCCGTCAACAAGAGACCTACCCTAGCTATGCCTGCTGGCATGCATGGCCTCTAAGAGCCCTGCAGAAGATGAAGAGGCGGGGCATGGAGGAAGGTACATTGGCTCTTAGCTACTTCGGCTGAGAATGGACACAGTCAGCTCTCCTCACATGCCATTGGCCAGAGTGTGAGAACATGGCCACACCTCACTGCAGGGGAAGCTGGGAAATATATCTTCCGTGTGCCCCAGAAAAAGAAAATAAAATGAGATTTGGTGAATGTATAACACTGTCTCTGCCACAACTGAGAATGCCAGGCTGTGGAGATTGGATGTGATTGAAAATGCACTAGCCTGGGGTTCTTAAAGGGGAGTGTCATACCACATGGGATAAACTAATGGTATGAGAACAAAATATTAAAACTTCTACGCATTAATTTTAATCAAACAACAAATATTTACATTATATATATATAATATATTACATATATATTATATATATATTTTAAGAACTATAGGCTGGGCATGGTGGCTCATACCTGTAATCCCAGCACTTTGGGAGGCTGAGGTGGGTGGATCGCCTGAGGTCAGGAGTTTGAGACTAGCCTGGCCAACATGATGAAACCCTCTACTAAAAATACAAAAATTACCTGGGCATGGTGGTGGGTGCCTGTAATCCCAGCTACTCACGAAGCTGAGGCAGGAGAATCGCTTGAACCTGGGAGGCAGAGATTGCAGTTAGCCAAGATCGAGGCATTGCACTCCAGCCTGGGTGACAAGAAGAAAACTCCACCTCAAAAAAAAAAAAAAAAAAAAAGAACTATATCTATATATATTATATAGGCCCTAAGTAAGATGACCTCATGTCATGATATGCAAGACAAAAGAGCGTAAGTTCTGTGACTTGAAGGATTCATGAGAGGTGTCGTTACTTGACCGTGAGCTTTCAATAAATTGTTAAGGGTTGCAGTTTCTGTGCACCCAGTTAGGTGGTTTTACCAGTTATATTATCTAGTGTTAACGAAAATAAGCCTGATGAGAATGGATACCTGGATTTTTTTTCTTTTTTCTTTTGAAACAGAGTTTCACTCTTGTTACCCAGGCTGGAGTGCAATGGCATGATCTTGGCCCACTGCAACCTCTGCCACCCAGGTTCAAGCGATTCTCCTGCCTCAGTCTTCCGAGTAGCTGGGATTACAGGCACCTGCCACCATGCCCGGCTAATTTTTTGTGTTTTTAGTAGAGACAGGGTTTCACCATGTTGGCCAGGCTGGTCTTGAACTCTTGACCTCAGGTGATCCGCCCGCCTCGGCCTCCCAAAGCACCGGGATTACAGACTGAGTCACCGTCCCTGGCCAATATCTGGCTTTAAAAGAGTCCTGCGAAAACTCTACAGACTGATGATGCTAAAATATTAAAATGCCAGTGAACAAGAACAAACTAGCAGGGCTCATGCTTCTGCTCTCCAGCTTTATTATAAGATAGAAACAACTATCTAATCAGACAAAATCAGTCCCCAAAAAAGGTAATTTGAAAAAAATGATTTATATCCACTATCATTAATAATGCGCCTAATCCTAAATGTACATTAAGCCCTAAGATATTAACTATTAATGGTATGAAGCCAGAGTAAGAACTCAATACCACTATCCAAAGCATGAAGACCAGCCTCTACAAATACATTTTTTTCAGGAATATTCAATCCAGTACTTGACAAAATTTTACTCAGCTTGCATATTCATTAGTCCCAAGTGAGAAACTCACAAACCCCATTGAAAAAACAGGAGTTTTATTACAACAGGTTTTTCCCATTGTAATAAAATCACTAAGATAATATTCATTCACTCAAGCAGTAATTACTAAGTGCCTACTGAGGGCTAGGCATTGCTGTAGGCATCACAGATTTAGGGATGCACAGAACATGCAAAACTGACTGCCCTCCTGGAGCTGACATTCTAGGGCAGTGGTTCTCAGCTGAGGGTGATTTTGTTCCCTGGGGGATATTTGGCAACATCTGGAGACATGATATTTGCTTTTCACAGTTGAGGCAGGGAGGAGTGGGGGTGCTACTGGCAGGTGGTATGTGGTGGGTAGAAGCCAGGAATTCCACTAAACACCCTGCAGTTCACAGCACAGCCCCCCACCCCCAACAACAAAAAAAATTCTCTGTCCCTGCGTGTCCACAGTGATGAGACTGAGAAACCACCACCGTTTAATTTTGTAAGAATAAAATGGCTAATGTATCTAGTCTTTACAGTACTCCGGAATAAGTCAGAATGTGGCTATGAAACACTTTTTCATTTCATTCGATGGCGTCAAAGAGTCTGAAGACTTCAGAAGACAAACGCCCCCCAAGTGGAGGACGGAAATGTCATAGGAATACCAAGAGGATATTTCGGGCCTGCAGTCAGAAGTGTGGGGCACCCCAGCAGCACCCTCCCTGCCATGCCTGGCACCCGCCAGGCCCCTATGTGAGAGCAGGTCGGACCGCCCACGCGCAGCACCGCAGCGACTGCCTCCTCACCCAGCGTGCGACTGTGTCCGGAATTGGTGGGTTGTCTGACTTCAAGAATGAAGCCACAGACCCTCGCGGTGAGTATTAGTTCTTAAAGATCAGGAGTGAAGCTTCAGACTTTGGCGGTGAGTGCTACAGCTCTTAAGGCGGCGCATCTGGAGTTGTTCGTTCCTCCTGGTGGGTTCCTGGTCTCGCTGATTTCAGGAGTGAAGCTGCAGACCTTCCCAGTGAGTGTCACAGCTCATAAAGGTGGTGCATACCCAGAGTGAGCAGCAATCAGACTTATTGCGAACAGCGAAAGAACAAAGCTTACGCAATGTGGAAGGTGACCTGAGCTGGTTGCGGTGATGGGCTCCAGGGGGGCCTGCTTTTATTCCTTTATTTGGCCCCCACCCACGTCCTGCTGATTGGTCCATTTTACAGAGTGCTGATTGGTTCATTTTACAGAGAGCTGATTGGTGCATTTACAAACCTTTAGATAGACACAGAGCACTGATTGGTGCATTTACAATCTTTCAGCTAGATGTAAAAGTTCTCCAAGTCCTCACCGGACCCAGAAGCCTGGAAGGCTTCACCTCTCACGACCCCGGCACCTGGGGCTGCACCTGCTCGACCCACTGGCCGGCCTGCTCCAGGGCCCAGTGCACACTCTTGGGGTCTGGGTGCTTCCTCATTGAGAACCCCGCCCAGGTTCTGGCACAGGTCCGCAGGTTGGGAAGTGGCCCAGCCCTGCCAGCCACCAGCCCGCAGGCCTCAGGCACCCCAGGAAGCCAGGGGACCTCTTGGGCCTGGCGCCCACCCTTAAGAGGCCCTGGGTGGAAACAGATCACACCTCCCGTGCATCCTGTGGCCGTCTCCTGGAAGACGGACCTCCGTGGTCACCACTTCCCCAAGCAGCCCAGAAGACCCTTTCACTTACCTGGCTGGTGCTTCTGCCTAGGGAAGCCCCCAGGCTGAGGTGCCCCCAAACTAGGTACAGCTCTGCAGCGGACCCCACAGTCCCGGTGTCTGGGCTTCACGTGTGAAGCGCCCACCGATGGCAGGAGCTCCTGTGAGACAGCTCTTTGCCTCTGCCAAACACGTCCTGGCCCCTAGGTCTTTGCCCCCATCTGAAGCACTCCCAGGAAACTCTCAACACCCAAAGGTTGCCATGAAGTCCTCACAACTGGAAGAGGTCACTGTGGCTGTGGCCAGAGGAAGTGATGAGGCGAATGAATCAAAGCTGTGGTATCACCCGCCTGTAGGCCAAGCAGGTGGCAGCAGTCACCAACACTCCCGGCCACCAGTCTGCTTGTGTGCAAGGCGCAGGCCTGCCCACCTGGGAGTTACCTGTCATACCTGGCTCCACCCTCCTTGCCAGGTCTCCACTGTCTCTAGCTGGAGACAAGACCATAAGGTCATTGTCTATGAGAGCCACTGAATGGTGACCATCTCAGTGTATCCAAGTCTCGGAAGTGCAAAAGAAACTCAGGGCAACCCAGTCAATTGGAGAAAGAAGCTCTGGAGAAAAGCCAGATCCTGCTGCCAGATGCCCAGCCTCCTGCCCTGCTGATGGCCTCTGGGTGGTGGTGCCGACACCACGTGTTCACACCGTGCTGTAGACTAAAGACAGCTAACCAGCAGACTGGCTTTGGGGAAAAGGAATGAAAGATGAAATTGAAATTTTCATTTGGGTTTTTAAGAAACAATAAAAATGTCAAAGCATTTGCATTTACTTAGTGGCTTGGTCTTCTGCATAGTTAAGAACAGGCTATTAAATTCTGGATGTCTCAATGCACAAGAATACACATCACAGACTTGAACATTTCTGCAGAAATCTTGGGATCAAGGAACATTTCATGAAATTATTTAGATCTTGTCCCTTGCTCCTCTGGATGTGCTGTCTTTCTTAACTCTTCTCTGTCACCATCTTTGATGTGCTTGAGATGTACATTTTACAGCTGAAAAGGAGCAAAGGAAAGAAAGTGTGAATTGTCTCCTTTGGTGGGCTACACCGAACTTTGGAGATATTATAACGGATTTTAAAATACCAATCAAATTCTTCTGACATACACAATCTGTTCCATAAACGTGTTTCCAGAAAAAATATTTTTTTGCAACCTCAAATGTTGTGCTGTCACTAATTTTCGTAAGTGTACTTTATGAGAACACAGATCCCTCTCCCTGAGATGTGGAAGTGTTACACAACACTCATACAACAGACTTTTTAATCTTCTTTCTGTTAGTGTCCCCCCAGCCTCCTAGCATTTTCAGCAATTTACACAACTTTTTTTCTTCAGTAAATGTTTGTTTCCATTGGATTATAAGCATTATTAAGAAATACAAAAACAAAATATTGGTGTGTGGGTTTTCTTTTTATGAGCACTCATCTTTTAAAAATCCATAATGAGCTGGCCACAGTGACTCATGTCTGTAATCCCAGCACTTTGGGAGGACGAAGAGGGAGGATCACTTGAGGCCAGGAGTTTGAGACCAGCCTGATCAACATGGTGAAACCTCATCTCTACAAAAAATACAAAATTTAACCAGGCAAGGTGGCACACGCCTGTAATCACAGCTACTCGGGAGGCTGATGCACGAGAATTGCTTGAACCTCTGAAGCAGAGGTTGCAGTGAGCTGAGATCGCGCCACTACACTCCAGCCTGGATGACACAGTGAGACTCTGTCTCAAACACACACACGCACACATACACACAAAATAAAAAATAAAAATAAAAATACATAATAAAATATGTAGAATAAAATTATATGAGCCTGGGGGCTATGCCAACATAATCTAACTGAGGGAAAAGGAGAAGGTGGAGATGAAATAAGACTGGCCATGAGTTTGTAATTGTGGAAGTCCAGCTCTACTCATCATTCTAGTCTAATTTTATATATATTTGAATTTTTCATAAGAAAAAGCTAAAAAAAGACAAGTATAATGGTTTCATTACCTCAACTAATAGTACAGTCACTCCCTCCATTCAGATTAATATATTTTTGTGAGGTACCTTTTTGAGCTATGACAGTCATCAAAAACTAATGTATAAATTAACTCAACATAATACCAGACCTTCTATCTCATAAAACCTAAATCAGCATTTTCCAAGTTAATGAAGCCAATTTAATCACATAGATCTCACTAAAATACTAACAGTTTTAGAATAAAACATTCATTGCATCTTTAATAATAAAAATACAATTTTATTTTGTAAATACTAATTCATCTTTACATCACCATTTACATTCTTACTATGTGGCTTTTAACATTTAGTTGTAAATGTGTAGATTTAAGAAATAAGCATACATAAATGGCAGGTTACATACTTTTAAAAGTTTTCAGCATAGAGGGCATAAGCCAATGTGTGAGACCACAGCCCGTGCCCAGGAAGCTCTATCCTATTTGTGCTTGTTGTCTCCAACGTGTGGTCCCATGCCTGGCACATATTTCACATTCGATACAGTTTGTCAACTGAGCAGAAAAAAAAGACACTTCGGAGTGGCATACAAAAAGAATTTTAGAAGTGTAAAAATAAACCAAAACCCATCTCCTCATTTTCCAACTGGGAGACAGAGGCTTAGGAAGGGTAAATCACAGAGCTAATGGATGTATGGTGAAAGAAATGTTTTAGGAAGATTGATCTAACATAGATCTGTGGGATGCTTCAGAGAAGAGAAAGACGAAGCAAAGGCACATGTTAAGAGATGGTCACAATAATCACAGGGCAAGGTAATGGGAGCTGCACTGCGAGGAAGGGAAGGTAATAAGATGCAGACGAGGATCTGAAAGACATACAAAACGCTCCTCTGGGCACTGCTTTCTCACTGTCAGTAAGATTTCACTTTAACCTATTTCTACACATGCTGGTATCAATCACGATACCCAGATATTTTTACTCATGGCCCCAAACTGCACAAAAAGACATAATTAGCAGTTCTTTTGACTCATTTAGGGCCTCTGAGAGTGATTCATACCCTCTGCTACACAATTATCCACCATAAATATAGTTCAACCTCTGACTATTCCAAGCAATGGTTCTTTATAATATCCATGCATATGCTTTTTACTTCATTCCTATAGGAGTCCAACCTCTTTAACTAATCTTTTGAGATCTCCCATATTTTTTCTCCTCCACCTAAGATAATCTGTCTCAGTGCACATTATTCTGGAATAGAGCAGTAAACAATCTTTCAGAATCCAATAGCAATTTTTGTTTTTCTCCCCACACATGCTAAGATCAAAGATGTGTTTGAGTTAATAATTTCTTCTAAAATGGAAATACAAAGGAGTAGATATCTTCAGTAAAAAAACTAGTTGACCTCTTTTGTTCAAGACCAGTAACCCAGAGGGAATCGAAGTTTTGATTGTCAGTAAAAAGGACAATAATTTGAAGAAGCGTGTGGATAGCGGCTAAGAAAGGCCAGGATAAAGTCCGGGCAAGCAGAAGAAATACACTGGTGGAGCATCTGAGATTCAGAAGAGGAGCTCAGCCTCAAGGCGGGTGGGGACGCTGAAAGGGAAGCATGAATACGCCAGTGACAAATGTGCAGAGGGTCAAGGGGGCTGACAACTGTTCCACAGACTGGAGATCATTGTGTGGCCCCTGCCTGGCCCTCAGGACACTCCAAGCCAGTCCCCAGCTAGCCCTTCTGCACCAAGCCTGTCAGCACACACTGTATGCACCCTCCCCCAGGCTCTCACCCTGCCTCAGACCCCAGCAAGTTCCAGATCAAGTCTTCTGTCTTCCCTAGATGCTTTTCTGCCTGTGCCAGCCCACCTCACCCTTGCTTCTCTGTACAGTATAAAAGTCAGAGACAATTGTTTTGAAATTCAAGCCTAGCCTCTCCAGTGAAAATAAAGCTCCTTAAGAGCAGTTTTTCTGACATATCACTTTCGTTCTTCTTCAGAAAAAAAGAGCAGGAGTAAGTGAATTAAGAATACTTTGAAACAATAAGTATTTCCATCCTGTTTTCGTCCAGTTATTTAAAACAGCATACAATGTACAGCTTTAGAAGCAGCTTCTTATTTGGGGGTTGGTTTATAAACTGCATGGTTGAAAATACATCCCAGCCCAGGACTTTACAGCTGATGATGAAGAAATGAACAAAGCTGGAGCCCAAAAAGACCAATATAGTCAATGTGCTTAGACAAATGTCAGCAGCTGCCAAGGAAGATTTCATACTTAGAATGGTTATTCGACTAGAGATTGGTTCTATTATAAGAATTTGTTTCCTCTGCATAAGAAAAGTTTGAATACATTAAATTATAAGTGAGAGTTCTAGATGCCTGGGCACATAATGAAAATTTAAAAAATAACTAATTACACTGTTTTCCAAGTGGGTTCAAAGATTTTTGGCAAAATAAAAAGAAGCTTTTGTTTTGAAAATAAAGTACCCCAAAGGAATAATATACTTCTGTATTTTGGATGGCCAAAGCATAGAAATATGAACCCCTGAGTTTCATTTGTGCCATTTATTTATTCACTTATTTACTCACTCATTGAATGTCTATTACGTGCTGGGCATTGTGCTAGGTGCTAGAGAAACAGGGAAAAGGAAGACATCTCACCCACAAGGATGTCAAATTGTGGGAGAAAGACAATGTTCTTAAATATGCTACATGTTTTAATGGGAATCTAAACTTATCTTGGGCTTAAGGCAATACTGAGTAATAGATGCCAGGTTTCATTAAATACCTAGAGGAACTGTGTGAGGCAGTTAGAAGTATACACGTAAAGACTGTGGTTTCTGGAAATCAAGAATAAACTACAAGGTAAGACATCCAGGGTGTCCAAAATATCCTGGAAGTCCTATTATCACCAGGAAACAAGCTAGATGTCAATAGTCCAGAAAAGCAGGACATGTGCCAAAGCTACCAGAGTTAGCAGAGGTGAAAAACAGTCCAGAGGTTGACAAAGTCAGGCTAGATACAAAAAAGCAGGAAAATCTCAGGTTAAGATGGGCTAGTGATCTGGAATCATGGACATTCAGTCAAGCTCATTTGTGTTCACAGGGCAGAAGTAAACCAAACCTTGACCACAGTAAACGCACATCTGTCATGAGCCTACCATGTGCCAGGCATTTGGCTAGTCACTTTATATAAAATATCTCATTTAGCTTCCCCACCCCAAACTGTAAGAGGGTTGTTCACAGATGAAAAAATTGAGACTCAAAGAGATTAAATACCTTACCCCAAATAGCAGTGATCATCTACCAAATCGTGAGTTATTTACAAATGAGAAAATGGAGACTCAGAGAGATTAAATAATTTGCCCCAAACCACAGTGATCATCCTGGTAGAGCTAAGATTCAAACCTTGAGGTCTGGCTCACAAGTCGGTGAAGTGAGGCTCATCTCTCTACTTCCTACCTGGGAAGGCACACTGAAAAGTAAGTCCAGAAGCTGACGGAAAAGTGAGGAACCTCTGACTGCAGATTAATTTAGACAAGCGGGCTAAGAGAAAGGGAGCAAGGATTAAGGGCAGATAATAACAAAGGGATCCACGGAACTTCCACTGAATGATCAAATTAGATTTCGTGTGACAGGTTTTTGTTTTTGTTTCTTGAAGTTTTGTTTTGTGCAAAACTTCAAGACAGCAGTGATTATGTGATTAGGAGTCTTGGCCCCTTTGATGTTGGCTCCGTTACTGCATGCCCAACTAAAGCTTCTAATAGCTGGGGACATTTCAGAGGCTGAACAAAGAGTTTATTAAAAAGAGTTACTCAGGAAAAGTGAAGACCAAAGAATGGAGGATTGGAGGCTGTTAAATAAAACCAAGTAGTCTGCCTCAGCTACATCACTTATCACCAATGCAACAGCCAGGACTGGAGGTATCGTTCTAAATCTGCACTGGGGAAAACCTCTGGGTCCCTGATGATAGAGACATGGGGCTGGTGTGCTGCTGTCTCTGACTTTTAGTTCTAGGTAGGATAAGAGCTACTATCAAACCTTTTGTTGAAACTGAATTTAAATTCATTATAAGCAAATAGTGAGGGACTGAAATAAACAGAATGCCTTGTCTGAGAGTTGTTTTAGCAGAAATGAAAGAACAGTCAAGACTATAAGCATAGGAAGACATGAACAACACAGATGCAGAAGAGACTATTTCAAAAAACGTTTCACAGTTTTACAAGGTGAAAAAATGAAAAGGAGAAACCTGCCCACACAACCGAGGGCACTATCTTGTTTTGGACTAGGAAGTCATATTATACTGTCTTGATACTCTTCCTGTCATCCCATCCCCACAGCCTTAGAAGGCAGCCCCGGAACCGAAGGCCACCTCTTGCGGCTGCGAGCGTCGCCTCAGCAACCGCACCCACGGCGCAGGCCCGGTAGGCGGGGCGGAAGCCTGTCGGATGTCGCGAGAGTTCCCAAGCGGTAGGCGGCGGCGCCGGGAGAGAAGCGCCGCCTAGCTGCGCTTCCGCAAAGATGGCGGCGGCTGCGGGTAGCTGCGCGCGGGTGGCGGCCTGGGGCGGAAAACTGCGACGGGGGCTCGCTGTCAGCCGACAGGCTGTGCGGAGTCCCGGCCCCTTGGCAGCGGCAGTGGCCGGCGCGGCCCTGGCAGGAGCAGGAGCGGCCTGGCACCACAGCCGCGTCAGTGTTGCGGCGCGGGATGGCAGTTTTACAGTCTCCGCACAGGTACAGGACTAACTCCTTCTGCTAGCCCCAGTCAAGCTCCTCCCTCCCCTGACGCCCTTAGGCGGGGAGTGGTTTGGCTCTGGGCGGCTCTCCCGGAGCCGTGGGTGGAGGTGCCGCTGCGGATCGGAGCGCCCTGCGACTGGTGGGACTCGCTCCTTCCTGGACCGGCCCCCGGCCTGAGTCCCCGAGGGCCTTCGAGGCTGGTGACCGGAGATTCTGCCTCCCTTGGGAGAACCCCGCGGACGCTGAACACCACGGCCCACAAAACTGGCCGCACTAATTTAGTGGTGATGAGTGTGGGCGTGTCTTAATTCGAGGCTCCTAATTCAGAATCTCACTGCGCCTCGCCTCTTGCTACCTCTCTGGTCAGTGAAGTGGCATTCACATCCGCAGGTGGTTTGCGTCCAGTTACCCCTGTGGGATATACCTTTGTTAAGCTTTGCAACTAAGTTTTACGATCTTTTCTTTGTATAGCATGATGAAGTTCTGTCGATTGCTTTTTTAAGTCACGAATGTGTCAGCCACAAAAATTAACCAGTTGATTTCCAGATTTTATTATCAACTTTAAGGAACATTATTGCATGATTATAAACCTTAATATCTTAGTGGACCATAAGTTCTAAGCAAAAATTGCTCCTAAAACCTCCATCTATTAAAGACAAGAGTCCGCCGGGCGCGGTGGCACACGCCTTTAATCCCAGGGCTTTGGGAGGCCGAGGCGGGTGGATCTCCTGAGGTCAGGAGTTCGAGACCAGCCTGGCCAACATGGTGAAGCCGCTCCCCACCCCAGCCCCGCCCCCCCGGTCTCTACTAAAAAATATAAACAATTAGCTGGGTGTGGTGGCGGGAGGCTGAAGTAGGAGAACCGCTTGAATCCGGGAGGCGGAGGTTGCAGTGAGCCAAGATCGAGCCATTGCACTCCAGCCTGAGCTACAAGAGCGAAACTCCGTCTCAAAAAAAAAAAAAAAAGATTCAAGTTCCCTATTTCAGGATAAATGATGTTGTAACGCATTTGAAAATTTGAATGAGTAGTGCTTTAAAATTTTTGTAGACTTAGTAAGTTTTTACATATGAGCTTTTTTGAAAATTGAAAGTAGTAGTTTATTATTTTCTTTTTTAGATTTACATTATGCCTTTCTAGCGAAAAACTCAAGGAACATTCAGATACAACAAAAAAGAGAGGAAAGAAGGCCTTGTGAGTTAAAATTAAGTATTGGCAACTGATATTCCTTATTTGTATTAACATACATTATAATTATATTGTAAACATATATAATGGAAAGATCTATTATCTAGTGTTTTTATAGCATTTTTGTGAATCTTGTGCCAAGGAGTTCAGTGTATTCATCATTAGTTTCTCTCCCCTAGATTCATCCTGGTTTTTTTGTTTGTTTTTTGTTTTTGTTTTTGTTTTTTTTGAGAGGAGTCTCGCTCTGTCGCCCAGGCCGGACTGCAGTGGCGCTATCTCGGCTTACTGCAAGCTCCGCCTCCCGGGTTCACGCCATTCTCCTGCCTCAGCCTCCCGAGTAGCTGGGACTACAGGCGCCCGCCATCGCGCCCGGCTAATTTTTTGTGTTTTTAGTAGAGACGGGGTTTCACCGTATTAGCCAGGATGGTCTCGATCTCCTGACCTCGTGATCCGCCCGCCTTGGCCTCCCTAAGTGCTGGAATTACAGGCGTGAGCCACTGCGCCCGGCCGATTCATCCTGTTTTTAAGACCCTTAGGTTAATCTTCTCCGGAGTATCACTTTAACCACACAGTGTACCCTTCTTCAGAAACCCTTCTTCAGTGTCTCATTTTGCCAAGAGTAAAATGCACTTTTTTTTTGTTGTTGAGATGGAGTCTCTGTCACCCAGGCTGGAGTGCAGTGGCGTGATCCCGGCTCACTACAACCTCTTAACTCCCCGGTTCAAGTAATTCTCCTACCTCAGCCTCCCAAGTAGCTAGGATTACAGGCATACGCCACCACGTCCAGCTAATTTTTTTTTGTATTGTTAGTAGAGCCGGGGTTTCACCATGTTGGCCAGGATGGTCTCGATCTCCTGACCTCGTGATCCGCCTGCCTTGGCCTCCCAGAGTGCTGGGATTACTGGCGTGAGCCACAGCGCCCGGCCAAAATGCACATTTTAAAACTTTGTCTTTCAGAGCCTTTTATAGTCACACTCTGACCTGACACTACTCAGGCACCTTCCCACTAAAGTGATTCACTCACTATCCCTAGAACAAGACTTAAATACCGCTCACCCGCCAGCTGCAATTTGTAGACTCTTGATTTCACTTATCCATCTAATTGTTTTTTTTTTTTCTGGCCCACTTCTAATCTTTCTCCTTTGAAATCCCTGACTTGATTCTAAAAGCTTCACACTAGTGTAGTTATTTTGGATTCTCTTCCCAACTCTCAGCTCTCCTTCCCTGCAGCTTTGTAAGTTTAATCTTAGCTAAAGTAATACAGAAACCATTTTATTATCAATCGTTTTATAAGGTCTGTTGGCATAGCATTTGCCTGATCTGCTATTGGACCGAGACAGTGGTTCTCATCCTTTTGCCACCACGGTGGACATTCCTTTCAGCATCAGTGGCTGAATACAGGAAGGATTGAGAGGACCTATAGGTTGAAAACTTTGCCTTCGCCTCAGTGATTTTGATACATTTCCCTAAGAAGTGGGCCTACTACCACTACTTTAGGGACAGGTGTGCATAGTTGAGCTAGATATATACCAGAATTTTGGCTTGTGATGAATCTTTCATTGCAATAGAATTTTATGCATTAATATAGTTACATTGGTATTCCAAGTTGGTAAACTCTTCCTGACGCGGCCCTATAATAATAGTGAATATGTCCGGCCGGGCCTGGTGGCTCACGCCTGTAATCCCAGCACTTTGGGAGGCCGAGATGGGCGGATCACGAGGTCAGGAGATCGAGACCATCCTGGCTAACACAGTGAAACCCCGTCTCTACTAAAAATACAAAAAATTAGCTGGGCGTGGTGGCGGGCGCCTGTAGTCCCAGCCACTCGGGGGCCTGAGGCAGGAGAATGGCGTGAATCTGGGAGGCGGAGCTTGCAGGGAGCCGAGATCCTGCCACTGCAGTCCAGCCTGGGCGACAGAGCAAGACTCCGTCTCAAAATAATAATAATAATAATAGTGAATATGTCCTTCATTTTCAGTCATTACACTAAGTGCTTTTTTCCAATAAAAATATAAATTTATATTAATGGAGTCCTACACTTTTCTAGTTCCCATTGTGACCAACAGCTTGCATTTGTGAGGGTCAGTCGGGAATTAAGGGTAGAGTTTCATGTCATGAAACAGTAGATAAATTGGAACCTTCCTTTTTTCTTTACTTTCTTCCTTTCACAAGTTTTGAAATCTTACTCTGTGCTAGACAATATGCCAGGAGCAGGGATTAGAGACACAGTTTATGTGCTTACAGTTTAATGGGGAACGGCAGTTTTAATACAATGTGATAAATGCTGTGGTAGGGTTAAATACTGGGTGCTGTGGAAGCATAGTGGAAGAGTATTTCACAAAGTCTTGGTTTCCTGAAGGAATTATGTGTAGGTTGACACCTGGAGGGTGACTGCAAGTTTGCTAGGCAAAGAGAAGGGGAAGAGTTTTCTAGGCAAAGGAGATAGCTTTACAGAGATCTGGAAGTAAGAGTTGGACTCAGCAGAGTAAGAGCTGCAAAAGATGGGGTTCAAAATTGGGTGTGAGCAATGGCTGGGAATCAGATCATTAAGTGTCCCATAAGCCATGTGACAGGAATTTTTATCTTGAGGACAGCAGGAAGCCATTGCAGGATTTCTTAACCCTCATGGACCCCCATATGTCCATGCATAGAATTTAGGGGATCCATGAACTTAGAAAAAAGATTACATTTTTGTTTTCATTGACAAAATTTCATCGACAAAAATTTTGTTTCATTGTTTTCATAAATTGTTTAATGTTTTCTTCATTTAATGAATGTAGGCAACAAGCTATAGTGGTATTACAGTAACTGCCTTTGTCATCAACAGAAATCTCAGATATTTTCGTACTATATTAGAGTTGTTGTAAGTATCTCAGAGTATCACTTCTTCAAAATGAAAACACTTTTTAAACCTGCCACCATATCATACTATTTAATGCATAAATAAGTCCATGTAATACTATGTCACAAATTTGTTTCTGACCTTTGGAAAGAGTATTGGGACTTTAGTAAAGGGAGTGAATTGAAAACTAGATTTAGGGAGCTGTTGCAATAATTCAGGAGAGAGTTGATGATAGCTAAATTAGTGGATGAATTCAAAAGACATTTAAAAGATAAATTCGTAAAGACTCTGAATTGCAAGTCTATGTATGGTGTTGTTATACCTGGCCAACAAAATAGTGCCTCCTACAAAGAAATTCTTAGTGGAACTTGTTTTAGATCATGTTAGCACATCAGTTATTTCTATGTAAACTGCTGCTTTTAAAACAATATTTGAAAACTTTTCTAAGCTTTTAGTATTACTCCCATTACAATGTTATATTTGATTCAGACATGTAAAATCAGAAATCATAGAAGGGAGGAGACAGACTTATTCTGTTGTTCCAGTCCATTCTGCTATAAAAGGATAGCTTCATTCTTAAGCCTTGATACATTTTTTGAAATTATAAAAAGTTATTTCAATGGAGAAGGGAGGTTTAGGAACTAGAGAGTTTTAGAGTTGCAAAGGTATAAGTGTACTTCTTTCCTGCAGGAATTTAAATAATAAAAGTGTTAAGGCAGTGGTCCCCAACCTTTTTGGCACCAGGGACTAGTTTCATGGAAGACAGTTTCTCCACTGATGGAGGTGGGGGTGGTTTTGGGATGCAACTGTTGCACCTCAGATCATCAGGCATTAGTTAGATTCTCATAGGAGTACAGTTCACAGTAGGTTTTGCGCTCCTATCAGAATCTAATGCTACTGATCTGACAGGAGGTGGAGCTCAGGTGGTAATGCTCTTTTCACCTACCACTCACCTCCTGTTGTGTGGTCCGGTTCCTAACAGACCATGGACCCTTACTGGTCCATGGCCCATGGGTTAGGGACCCCTGTGTTGTGGTTACTATTGTATTTCCTTATTATAAGCTAGAATCATATATTGGCAAATCCAAACTGATTAAAACAAACCTCCATTTCACTAAGTAGATACTCAACAGTAGATGATGAGACTAAAAGTAAAGCTTTCTGAACCATTACTTTTTTTTTCTTTTTTTGGAGATGGAGTCTTGCTCAGTCACTCAGGCTGGAGTGCAGTGGTGCAATCTCGACTCACTGCAACCTCCGCCTCCCGGGTTCAAGCAATTCTCTGGTCTCAGCCTCCCAAGTAGCTGGGACTACAGGTGAATGCCACCACGCCCAGCTAATTTTTGTATTTTTAGTAGAGACGGGGTTTCACCATATTGGTCAGGCTGGTCTCGAACTCTTGACCTCAGGTGATCCGTCCGCCTCAGCCTCCTAAAGTTCTGGGATTACAGGTGTGAGCCACCGCACCTGGCACCATTACTATTTTAAGTCATTGTAATAATGCCCAAAACTGGGGAAGAAAAGTAAAAACAGCAAAGCCAAAGTAAAATACAATATAGTTCACAGTTGACAACAGTGATATCAGTGATATTTTATTTGTTATTGTTCACTCGTTAATTGCATGAATATTTCATTTACTCCCTAAATTTTCTTTCCAAATTATACGTAATATTGGATACTTTAGTTTTTTTTAATTCATAACAGGTTTTTGTTGTTGTTGTTTGCTTTTCAATAGAAAATTTTTCCACTACTGTTTGAAAAATAAAATTATTTTGCATAGCATTCTCTATAATGCTGTATTTTTTAATCTAAATAAATACAAATTCCTTATTATACAAATTCATTGATATTTTCTTTGATATGTTTATTTACATTTGTATTTATAAATACGTAAAAGTCTTCTCTGTTATCAGTTGTTGTTTTTTTCTTTCATAGTACTTATCGCTCTTTGAAATTCTTTTTTTTTTTTTTTTTTTGAGACAGAGTCTCACTCTGTTGCCCAGGCTGGAGTGCAGTGGCGTGATCTCCACTCACTTCAAGCTCCACCTCCTGGGTTCACGCCATTCTCCTGCCTCAGCCTCCCAAGTAGCTGGGACTACAGGTGCCCTCCATGACGCCCGGCTAATTTTTTGTATTTTTAGTAGAGACGGGGTTTCACCGTGTTAGCCAGGATGGTCTCAATCTCCTGACCTCGTGATCCACCCGCCTCGGCCTCCCAAAATCCCTGCTGGGATTACAGGCATGAGCCACCGCGCCCGGCCCTGAAATTATTTTATATACTTGTTTATTTCGTCTCCCCTTACTAGAATGGCCTCTTGTCTTTTTCATCTCTGTATTCTTAGTACCTAGAATAATCGCAGTCACATAATGTCACATCATAAATGTTTATCTAGGGTGAATGAAAGAACTGAAATGCATTAAATAACAAAGTGACCTTCTCTAACTTCGGTTTGATTGGCATTTATAGAAATATTAGACAACCAATATCTAGAAATGGTTAGAATCAGCTAAGTTACTAACTGTCCCAGATATATTAAATTACACACTTAGAGCCATAGAGACATGTCATCCCATATTCCCATTAGAAAACATAAGTAAATAAGAGACTTCGCTCTTATCTGCTATGTCCCAAGGGCCTAGAAAAAAGTCTGGCACATAGTAGGTGCAGTAAATATGTATTGAATGGGTGAATTAATTGATGACATCTATAATGTTTTAATAATAGATATACCTTTGTCTCTGAAGTTTAAAGATGGGTCAATTTAACCTGTGACTACATATAAGATAGCATTTTTAATATATATTATTAACATTTATATTTGTCTTTATATAGCAAGATTTTGTCCTTTGCTATCACATTAAAATATCAAATATTCATTTTAGAATTTAAGATTATATTTTCATTTCAATTATTGAGATGCTTCAACTGGTAAACCTCAAGCCAATTAAATTATTTTTAAATTTGGAAAATAATCCTGACATGGCAAAAACCAACTATATTAATAAACTATTTTTGCATTTTAGTCAAATGCATGTTACACATTTTACACCAACTGAAGATATAAATATAACAAGCTCTGTATCTTAACAATTGGCTGAAAATCCTCTTAGCAAGAGAATGGCTTTGGTTTACATACTATGTGTTTGAGGTAGAGAGTAAGCCCTATGAGAACCTGAATGTGAGGCCGGGCATAGTGGCTCATGCCTGTCATCCCAGCACTTTGGGAGGCCGAGGCGGGTGTATCGCTTGAGATCAGGGGCTTGAAACCAGCCTGGCCAACGTGGTGAAACCCCATCTTTACCAAAAATACAAAAATTAGCCAGGCATGGTGGTGCATGCCTGTAGTCCCAGTTACTTGGAAGGCTGAGGCAGGAGAATCACTTGAACCCCGGAGGCGGAGGTTGCAGTGAGCCAGGATCGCACCACTGCACTCCAGCCTGGGTGACAGAGCCAGACTCTGTCTCAAAAAAAAAAAAGAACCTGAATGTGGCTGACTTAGGCTTCAGGGGTGAGAGAAAGCTGCTTTGCATAATGCAAGCAGAAGAATTTGGAGCATATAAGGAAATGTGGGGGGAAGTGAGTCCTGGGAGTGGAGATGGAGGGAGAAGGAAGGACAGGATTGGAAAAGCAACTCTGTAGTCTTAAGATCTCCCCTTCTTTCAGCCCATCTTAAGTAAAGCCTAGCAAATGCACAAGTGCTTTGATAGAGTTGCACAAGGCTCCCGTGGTTTTAAGCAGAAGTAGCACTGAATGGAAGTGACAATCAAAAGAGGAGACGTGGAGAATGTAAGTACCTCCATTGCAAGTACCTCCATTGCAGTTCTTAGCAACACTCCTGGAAGGATTTTGAATATTACTAGATTGTGAAATTAAAGGTAGGATTTATCTCTATCAGAGTCCAATAAGGAGAAAGAAATCAAACCAGTAATTTGAAGAAGGAAATTTAATGTAAAAAAGTAGTAGAAGGTGATTGACTACTAAGAGAGTAATACTCACAGGGGTCCAGAAGTAGCAGGTGTCAAAAAGTAGCTACTGCCTATAGGCTGAAGGAGAGTGGACCGTGAAGGAACTAAAGACTTAGGAGAGGTATCCTCCTCCACCCCAAAGCAGGGATTGAGCCTTTTCCAAGAGGCTGTGCCTATCACAAGAATATAAAGCCTGCTGCAGCTGAAGAAACTTGTCAGATGGCACAGGCCACAACTAGTCTGTAGAAGGAGCCTACCATTGGTGGAAGGGGTGAGTGGGCTGGAACTAGAGTACAGTATTGACCTGCTGGGTGGAAGAATGTGGCCTGAGGGCCTGGCTTAGAGCTACCACAGAGGTGGTGCCCTGGAGCAGCTCATAGCTGCAGCCTGGTGGGTTGTGTGTGGCCTAAGGGCCCCTGGAGCTGCCATGGAAGCTGTTCATTAAAGCTGTTTGGAAGCCACCCACCAGTGTGTCCTGAAGGTGCAGCTGAAGTCACTATGCCTGCCTACCAGTACTAATTGGAAGTGGTTCTGGCTGGTCTGTGAGGGCCTTTGGGCTCCAGTTCTGAATAACAAAAGGTGGACTGAGACCTGAGAGGAAAGTGCCTTTTTGGCTCTGCTGTCTTGCAGTGTCACTCCCATGCCTTCTGTGGACAGAGTTATCCCAGCTGGCAAAGGAGAAGAGTTTACAGAGTCCAGCTCTAGTATCACCAAGCAAAGAAGTGTGGATTTTAGCTGGGAGACAATAAATTGACAGCCGGTATACAGTTCTAGAGAGTTTCACCCAGGTTTCAAGAAGCAAGGAAACCCCCAGTTGACTACTTGTAATGGTACAGGGTAAAGATTTTCTTTTCTTTTTTCTTTTTAAGTTTCTGGTTTTTATTCTTAAAATAAAGTTTCTAATTTTGTCTTTAGTTGGTTTTTCTTTATTCTAAAAAACAAAACAAAAACAGGATACATGTGCAGAACATGCAAGTTTGTTACATCGGTATATGTGTGCCATGGTGGTTTGCTGCACCTGTTGACCCATCCTCTAAGTTCCCTCCCCTCAATCCCCACCCCCTAACAGGCCCGGGTGTGTGTTGTTCCCTTCTCTGCATCCATGGGTTCTCAATGTTCAGCTTCCATTTATGAGTGAGAACATGTGGTGTTTGATTTTCTGTTCCTGTGTTAGTTTGCTGAGGATGATGGCTTCCAGCTTCATCCATGTCCCTGCAAAGGACATGATCTCATTCCCTTTTATGGCTGCATAGTATTGTATGGTATATATGTACCACATTTTCTTTATTCAATCTGTCATTGATGGGCATTTGGGTTTGTTCCATGTCTTTGCTATTGTAAATACTGCTGCAGTAAACATACGTGTGCATGTGTCTGCATAGTAGAATGATTTATATTCCTTTGGTTATATACCCAGTAATGGGATTGCTGGGTCAAATGGTATTTCTGGTTCTAGATCCTTGAGGTCGCCACACTGTCTTCCACAATAGTTGAACTAATTTACACTCCCACCAATAGTGTAAAAGTGTTCCTATTTCTCCATAGCCTTGCCAGTATCTATTGTTTCCTGACTTTTTAATAATCACCATTCTGACTGGCATGAGATGGTATCTCATTGTGGTTTTGATTTGCATTTCTCTAATGACCAGTGATGATGAGCTCTTTTTCATGTTTGTTGGCCGTGTAAATGTCTTCTTTTGAGAAATGTCTGTTCATATCCTTTGCCCACTTTTTGGTGGGGTTGTTTCTTTTTTTCTTATAAATATGTTTAAGTTTCTTGTAAATTCTGTATATTAGACCTTTGTCAGATGGGTAGATTGCAAAAATTTTCTCCCATTCTGTAAGTTGCCTGTTCACCCTGATGATAGTTTCCTTTGCTGTGCAGAAGCTCTTTACTTTAATTAGATCCCATTTGTCAATTTTGGCTTTTGTTGCAATTACTTTTGGCATTTTTGTCATGAAGTCTTTGCCCATGCCTGTGTCCTGAATGGTATTGCCTAGGTTTTCTATTAGGGTTTTTATGGTTTTGGATTTTACATTTAAGTCTTAATCCATCTTGAGTTAATTTTTGTATAAGGTGTAAGGAAGGCGTCCAGTTTCTGTTTTCTGCATATGGCTAGCCAGTTTTCCCAGCACCACTTATTAAATAGGTAATCCTTTCCCCATTGCTTGTTTTTGTCAGGTTTGTTGAAGATCAGATGGATGTAGATGTGTGGCATTATTTCTGAGGTCTCTGTTCTGCTCCATTGGTCTATATGTCTGTTTTGGTACCAGTACCATGCTGTTTTGGTTACTGTAGCCTTGTAGCATAGTTTGAAGTCAGTTAGCATGATGCCTCCAGCTTTGTTTTTTTTTTTTTTTTTTTTTTTGCTTAGGATTGTCTTTGCAATATGGGGTCTTCTGTGATTGCATGTGAAATAGTTTTTGTGTTTTTTTTTTAATTCTGGGAAGAGTGTCAATGATAGTTTGATGGGAATAGCATTGAATCTATAAATTACTTTTGACAGTCTGGTCATTTTTACAATATTGATTCTTCCTATCCATGAGCAAGGAATGTTTTTCCATTTGTTTATGTCCTCTTTTATTTCATTGAGCAGTGGTTTGTAGTTCTTCTTGAAGAGGTCCTTCACATCCCTTGTTAGCTGTATTCCTAGGTATTTTTATTCTCTTTGTAGCAGTTGTGAATGGGAGTTCACTCATGATTTGGCTCTCTGCTTGCCTATCGTTGTAAAGGAGTGCTTGTGATTTTTGCACATTGATTTTGGATCCTGAGACTGCTGAAGTTGCTTATCAGCTCAAGAAGTTTTTGGGCTGAGATGATGCGATTTTCTAAATATAAAATCATGTTGTCTGCAAACAGAGACAACTTGACTTCCTGTCTTCCTATTCGAATACCCTTTATTTCTTTCTCTTGCCTGATTGCCCTGGCCAGAACTTCCAGTACTCTGTTGAATACGAGTGGTGAGAGAGGGCATCCTCGTCTTGTACTGGTTTTCAAAGGGAATGCTTCCAGCATTTGCCTATTGAATATGATATTGGCTGTGGGTTTGTCTTAAATAGCTCTTATTATTTTGAGATATGTTCCATCAATACCTAGTTTATTGAGAGTTTTTAAACATGAAGGGATGTTGAATTTTATCAAAGGCCTTTTCTGTATCTATTGAGATAATCGTGTGGTTTTTGTCTTTGGCTCTGTTTATGTGATGGATTATGTTTATTGATTTGCGTATGTTGAACCACCCTTGCATCCCAGGGATGAAACCGACTTGATCGTGGTGGATAAACTTTTTGATGTGCTGCTGGATTGATTGGGTTTGCCAGTGTTTTATTGAGGATTTTCGCATCAATGTTCATCAGGGATATTGGCCTTATGTTTTCTTTTTTTGTTGTGTCTTTTCCTGATCTTGGTATCAGGATGATGCTCTTCATAAAATGAGTTTGAGAGGAGTCCCTCCTTTTCAGTTACTTGGAATAGTTTCAGAAGGAATGGTACCAACTCCTCTTTGTATTTCTGGTAGAATTCAGCTGTGAATCCATCTGGTCCTGGGCTTTTTTGGTTGGTAGGCTGTTAATTACTGCCTCAGTTTCCCAGCTTGTTATTGGTCTATTCAAGGATTCGACTTCTTCTTGATTTAGTCTTGGTAAGGTGTATGTGTCCAGGAATTTATCCATTTCTTCTAGATTTTCTAGTTTATTTGCGTAGAGGTGTTTATAGTATTTTCTGATGGTAGTTTGTATTTCTGTGGGGTCAGTGGTGATATCCCCTTTATCATTTTTCATTGTGTCTATTTGATTCTGCTCTCCCTTCTTTATTCTAGCTAGTAGTTTATCTATTTTGTTAATTTTTTTTCAAAAAACCAGCTCCTGGATTTGTTGATTTTTTTTTTTTGGAGGATTTTCTTGTCTCTATCTCCTTCAACGCTTCTCTGATATTAGTTATTTCTTGTCATCTGCTAACTTTCGAATTAATTTGCCCTTGCCTCTCTAGGTCTTTTAATTCTGATGTTAGGGTGTTGATTTGAGATTTTTCTAGCTTTCTGATGTGGGCATTTAGTGCTATAAATTTCCCCTTTATCATTGCCTTAGCTGTGTCCCAGAGATATCTCTTTGTTCTCATTGGTTTCAAAGAACTTGTTGATTTCTCCCTTAATTTCTTTATTTACCCAGGAGTCATTCAGGAGCAGGTTGTTCAATTTCCATGAAATTGTGTGGTTTTGAGTGAGTTTCTTAATCCTGAGTTCTAATTTGATTGCACTGTGGTCTGAGAGAGTGCTGTGATTTCAGTTCTTTTGCATTTCCTGAGGAGTGTTTTACTTCCAATTATGTGATCAGTTTTAGAATAAGTGCCATGTGGCTCTAAGAAGAATGTATATTCTGTTGATTTGGGGTAGAGAGTTCTGTAGATGTCTACTAGGTCCACTTGATCCAGAGCAGAGTTCAAGTCTTGAATATCCATGTTAATTTTCTGTCTCATTGATCTATCCAATACTGACAGTGGGGTGTTAAAAGTCCCCCACTAATATTGTGTGGGAGTCCAAGTCTCTTCTCTTTGTAGGTCTCTAACAACTTGTTTTATGAATCTGGGTGCTCCTGTATTGGTGCCTATATATTTAGAATAGCTCTTGTTGAATTGTTCCCTTGACCATTATGTAATGCCCTTCTTTGTCTTTTTTTGTCTTTGTTGATTTAAGGTCTGTTTTGTCAGAGACTAGGATTGCAACCCCTGCTTTTTTTTTTTGCTTTCCATTTGCTTGGTGAATTTTCCTCCATCCCTTTATTTTGAGCCTGTATGTGTTTTTGCACGTCTCCTAAATACAACACACCGATGAGTCTTGACTCTTTATTCAATTTGCCAGTCTGTGTCTTTTTATTGGGGCATTTAGCCCATTTATATTTAAGGTTACTATTGTTACGTGTGAATTTGATCCTGTCATCATGATGCTATTTAGTTATTTTGCACACTAGTTGATGCAGTTTCTTCGTAATGTCATTGCTCTTTATATTTTTGTGTGTTTTTGCACTGGCTGGTATCAGTTCTTCTTTTCCATATTTAGTGCTTCTTTTTGTTTGTTTGTTTTGTGTTTTTTGAGACAGAGTCTCGCTTTGTCGCCAGGCTAGAGTGCAGTGGCGCGATCTTGGCTCACTGCCACCTGCACCTCTTGGGTTCAAGCGATCCTCCTGCCTCAGCCTCCTGAGTAGCTGGGACTACGGACAAATGCCACCACACCTAGCTAATTTTTTGTATTTTTAGTAGAAACGGGGGTTTCACCATGTTGGCCACGATGGTCTCGATCTCTTGACCTCCCAAAGTGCTGGGATTACAGGCGTGAGCCACCACGCCCGACCAATTCTTATTTTCTAACCTTTTAACATTTTCAGTTCCTGGGTGTGAAGAATAAGAATAGGAACATGTTTTAATGGATGTTTTATTTTGTTTAAATTTTGAAAGTGACCACAAAGAGAAGATTTATTTTTAAACAAGATATTTGATATCGTGCTTCTTTTAGGAGCTCTTGCAGGGCAGGCCTGGTGGTAATGAAATCACTCATCATTTGCTTGTCTGGAAAGGATTTTATTTCTCCTTCGCTTATGGAGCTTACTTTGGCTGAATATGGAATTCTGGGTTGAAAATTATTTTCTTTAAGAATGTTGAATATTGGCCCTCAGTCTCTTCTGGCTTGTAGAGTTTCTGCTAAGAGTTCCACTGTTAGTCTGATGGGCTTCCCTTTGTAGGTGACTTGGCCTTTCTCTCTGGCTGCCCTTAGCAGTTTTTCCTTCATTTTGACCTTGTAGAATCTGATTATGTGTCTTGGGGTTGGTTGATCTTCTCATGGAGTATCTTAATGGTGTTCTCTGTATTTCCTGAATCTGCATGTTGGCCTGTCTTGCTAGTGTTATATATAAAGTTTTGGTGCTGCAAAAGAAATAGCACTCAAATATAAAATTTTCTTTTAATTCTCAGCAAGGCAAGGTACTTCTATAGAAGGGTGCGCCCTTACAGACGGAACAATGGTGAGCGCACACTTGGACAAGGGAGGGAAAGAGGTTCTTATCCCTGACGCACGTGACCCTTGCTGCTGTATTTTTCCATTGGCTAGGGTTAGACTGCACAGGCTAAACTAATTTCAATTGGGTAATTTAAAGAGAGTGCACTACGGGGTGAGTGGTTTGGTGGGAAAAATGGTTATGACAGAACAGGTGATCAGAATCATGAAGTCAGGGTGGAATAGGTAATCGGAAGGAGTCAGGGTGGAGCAGGTAATCCGAATGAGTCAGGGTGGAACAGGTGATTGAAATGAGTCAGGGTGGAGCAGGTAATCGAAAAAGGTTGCTTTATGAGGAAGTTAAGTTTAAAAGTAGAAGGCAAAGAATTGAACATACTGACATATTGATTCTTTGAAGAGAAATTTAGAACTCATATCTAACAACCCCTACCCTTGTGTTTCCTTAACAGCTTTCTTTTCAAAGTTTTTTTAACATGTCTTGGCTTAGTTGTTTTGCTTGATTTTCCAAAAGAAGAAGCTTCTCTGGATAAGGTGGAGGATAGTTAAGGGAGGTTTTAGTAAGTGCCGTTTTTATGAGCCTCTGCACCAACCTACGGATGTATGGTATGACACAGCACCTGACAAGAATAAGTACACCCATTACGGCTGTGAGGGAAGTAAGAATTGAGGCTATTATTCCTTTCCATTTACCAAACCACTTTTCTAGCCATCCTGTAAAGGGGTCATTTACCCCTGAGTTGCAGGCTAACTCATTGGGTAGAGAAGTCAGACCTTGCAGTACCTTTGTTATACTTCCATTAGGGGCAGTGTTGTTTAGGATGAAGGTGCAACATTGAGTTTTAATCATGATGCAAACTCCTACTCTTTCTGCTAATATCATGTCTAAGGCTATCTTATTTTCCCAAGCCATCTGGCTAGTAGCCCTTAATTGTTCAGCTTTCCTTTAATAGCATTTTTAGTGTAGTTAATAAATCGCTGTTGGTTGTAGTAGATGTGGTTTATCTAATCTACATTTTTATTGTTACCTATCAAAATATTGACTTAAATCCTGCAGCTATTTGATTTTGGGCTTTAAATTGATCTGGTATTCCCCGCGAGATTCTAATTGTGTCTAAACAGACCTGAGAGTCGAAAGATCCAAGGGGCTTCTCTTGCTTTACGATGTCTTATTTTTCCTTCCTCTGGTTGATGAGATGCTAGGGTGAAAGGGATAGCCAACTGGACTAAAGCACAAGTGCCACTTCTGGTTATTTGGCAGAGTGTCCAGTAAAGGTCCACCACAATACCACCACACATCCGCTTGGGGATGAACAAGGGCTGACTCATTGATAAGCTCTTGAAAATTCTTAAGCTCACTGCATCCTTCCAGTCTCCAAGGAATGCTAAATTTCCTCCCTGTCATGAGAGACACGAAGTGAACTTAGTGTTGGGAGATGGAAGCTAGATGGCCCTTGGGGGCTGACCTGCAGGGTGCTGGACTTCGGGATATAGCAGAGAGAGCTTGGGATGACTTATTACTTGAGGCTGTAGGGTCCTGGAAAAGAACTACCATGCAGCCCACGCCTGGTCAACTGGAGGACCACCTTAGTGGAAAGGGGACAGTTTGGGCCTCTGGCCTGCCATGCACACAAGCATAACAATTGTTTTGTTTAACGTGTGGATGGAATATTTGATCCATTCCAACCAGGCATTTGCATCTTGGTATCCTGTCTTAATTGCCAAAGTTTGTTTTAAGTCTTTAACTTCTATGATCCTCTAGTAAAATGAATGTATGATTTTAGGAAATTACAAAAACCGGTTGGGGCAGTCCATCCTTGCTCTTTAGTGGTCCGCAGAACGTTGGACCAACTATGGCATAAAAGCTCTACATCGGGGGGCAAGACTCCTGGTTGACACTGGGGTCTGTATTGAAATGCTGAATTTGATATTATTTACTTAATAAAATTTAAGTTGGATGTCTTCATGTTCAGAGAAAGCAGAATGCCTCCACCTATGCAGTTCAAAGTCTGACTTCTTTGAATCTATCAAAAAAGAAAAATCAAGATTCAGTATTCACTGAAATGTCATCTACTTAAAGTGCACATTTAGTTTTTAGTATCTTATAACTACCATTCTGAAGTACTTATACCTAACTATTCAGCTTTTATTCATCATTTTACTAATACTTAGTATAGTCCCTAGTTCATCATAGGTACTAATTAATGACTGTTAAGTGAGTGAGTGGTTGAATGAATGGTAAGAGTGTCCAGCTAAAGCTGTGCTTAAAATGACTAAATTCACTTCGAAATCAGCATGCTTTTCCTCCGATCTATAATCCATTCGTATTGTTCCTATGCCTACTTGCATTTGCAGTTTTAAAGCATTTTCACCTATCATTGAGTAGTGGCTATCTCCAGAATCTTCCTTAATTTAGGTTTGGTTAATGTTTCCTCATGATTCATGCACTTTTTTCACAAATAACACTAAAGCCATGCTGTGTCCTTTTCAGTGCATCATATTAGGAGGTAAACAAATTAGATTTCTACTGCTGATAATTACAATTACTTTTATCATTTGGTAAGAAGACATCTGTCAGGTTTCTTCATTAAAAATTTAATAAGTACTTTATACTCATTAATAAGTATTTTGTGGGGAGATAATTTTGTGGCTTCATAGGGCTTTGTCCTCTCCACTGTTTACTCATTTATTCATTTATATCTACGGACTCATGGATTCCCATTTTACTCAAAGAGTCCATTTATTTTGATACTCAATTGCCCCATATGTAACCAGTCTCCTGAAAGCTGGTGCCTTGAATACTCGGTTCTCTCCTCCCCTCGTCCCTGGCAAAGGGGAGGAAGGAAGAGAGGGTGCAACCAAGTCTTGATTAACCCATCTGAGAGAGGAGAGCTTTTAGCTTTGATGTACAAAATGACAGATAATTTTCCTAGGATATAGATTATACTCTCTGGAATGTCAGACAAATAATAATGGGAAAGAGGGAAGAAGATGCCTGGGAGAGCAGCTTCTAGGAAAACAAAATTAAGCATCTTCTCTCACCAACTTTAATGCATCATTTTTACATACTATATTTAAATGTTTGTATATTTATGCTGACCTTGATACTAGAAAGATTTAGTGACTTAGAAAAATGCTGCGCAAGTTAGAATTTTTAAATGGAGAGAAAAATGAGAGTAATAAACATAAGCTTAAGCTATAAGGAAGACTAAAATATATGCTGTAACACGCCAGGTGTGTTGGCTCCCTCCTATAATCCCAGTGCTTTGAAGGCCGAGGCAGGAGGATTACTTGAGGCCAGGAGTTTGAGGCCAGCCTGGGCAATACAGCAAGATCTCATCTTTACAAAAAAATAGAAAAAAAAATGGCCAGGATTGGTGGTGTGCATCTGTAGTCCCAGCTCTTTGACAGGCTGACGTGGAAGGATCTCTTGAGCCTGGGAGGCTGAGGCTGCAATGAACCATGATCACACCGTTACATTCTAGCCTAGACGGCAGACCAAGACCCTATCTTTAAAAAAACAAACAAAAAACACAAGTAGAAAAGTTGGATTTTCATAGCAGCAGGGATATTTTTTCTGTTGCAACAGGAATGAAAGCAGAGGGTATAGTAAATTCTAGAAGCTGATTATAGACTAATTCTACATTTTCCTTCTATTAAAAAAGGCTTAAAGAAAAAAACGGATAGTGAACTGCTCTGAAAAAGTAGATTCAGGGATCTGTAATCATCAGAGGGATCTTAGTCTGCTACTGGAGCGGGTAACCCAGATAGTTAGGGGGAGAGGGGATAATTTACAAAACTGTGAAACTGAACCATGAGAGCTGAGATGCAACAATTATGATAAATATAGGACCAATTGCCACAAACTTCTAATGGCTTTCTTCTAGTGAGTCAGCTAATTGGGGTTTTTTAATGTTGCTGTAAAGTATTATCTAAAAAATGTTTTTTCATAAACCTTGGTATTTGAGTTTAATACAAGTAATATATTGGGCATTAAATTTAAAAATTGTCAAAATTCTAAAATAGAGAATACTAGATGGTTTGCTTTTCTTTGATATTATTTAAATTCATATTTTGAACTCATTTTTTATTTTGTGAGTACAATCTGACTAAAAGAGATGATTACAGATGTTAAATAAAAGCAAGAAATGTGGACCGTTATGTTTAAACAAGCAGAACTATATTATTAATAACTTAGGAAGTGAATTTGCAGTTTTATTAGTTGTAGAATCTTTGTCTATTGCATGTCAGTGAATATTTTAAACACTCAATGTAGTTAATAAGATGGATCTATTTGAATTTGCTATAAGAGCCCTAATCATAAAATTAAATTGGCATTGTTTTCTTTTATTTCAAGCTGTCTGACCATAGATTTGTAGTGATTATTTTTGTGAAAAAGAAAAAATATATATGCTAATAGGACATTAACAGTAGGTAAAACTGGAACTTATTGGAGTGTACTGCTAGTATATTTGTGTGCAGTGCATTGGTTTAATGACAGTACATGTAAAATTGGTAGGCCAAGAGCAGTAAACTTTATAGCAACATACAGAAGTTTAATAACCATGAAACATTGTAATCCCAGTGAAGACTAAAGCTTTCTTGCAACAGTAAAGGAAGAATGCAAAGAAGTTTTTATACTTTACTGCCTCAGGTAAAAATATCTGTAGAAACAGGTGATGACAAAGCTATGATGTTAATAAACCCAAATGGAAGTCAAAAATCAAAGTTGTAAATGGCTAGATTATGAAAAGAGAGATGACAAAGTTATACCCTGTAATTAGATGTAATTTGTGCTTTTGGCATAGCTGTTTGTCCTGCATGAATGAGAGGTTGTCTTACATTCCTTCATTGTGTAATAGGACAGTAGTTAACGATCCTACTGTAAATCTATACAGTGACTCTTCTGGGGGAAAGAACAACAAATTGTAACAGCAAAGTATATTTAACCTTTTCTTTTGCATTTATATTGTTTAGTGGAATCCAAGTAAATATTACTGTTTGTTCTTGTTCTATAAACCATGTGTTTTAGTAGCTAATATATACAAATTATGCTTCTGTTACTGTGAATTTTGGGGTTTTATGAATTACAACAGTGCATAAACACACCATAAGCCACTAATAGTAGCAGTATATGAATTTAAATGTTTTATTTATAGTTTAAAAAGCAGTAAATATTTGGTAGAGTAAATTAGTAGTAAATATATTGTCTCAATAACTTCATAAATAACATTATTAAATGTTTTCAGAGTATAAGTAATTTCAATATAAAAATAATAATGAATCATATTTTTTAAGTATAGCCTGGACTTAAAATTTTCATAGACATCTATGAAAGTTCCATAGATATGTGGTTCCATAGATAGTTCATAGATATTTCTAAGGAAATAAGGTGTTATAAAATCTGAAATTTATCCACATGGATATCATTAACTTTGTGTGTTGTGTACTAGAAACTTGTATACCTTAAGATCGCAGGCATCTTTGTCCTCAGTCCCTCATCACTTAGCTGTATGTACCCTGGAAATGCAAACCTTTTTTTTTTTTTTTGAGATGGAGTCTCGCTCTGTCACCCAGGCTGGAGTGCAGTGGTGTGATCTCGGCTCACTGCAAGCTCCGCCTCCCAGCTTCACACCATTCTCCTGCCCCAGCCTCCCGAGTAGCTGGGACTACAGGCGCCTGCCACCACGCCCAGCTAATTTTTTGTATTTTTAGTAGAGACGGGGTTTCACCCTGTTAGCCATGATGGTCTCGATCTCCTGACCTCATGATCCACCCGCCCCAGCCTCCCAAAATGCTGGGATTACAGGCGTGAGCCACCGTGCCTGGCCAGTGCAAACCATTTTTAAAATTAGGCAAAATGAACCCTTAAATATGAAAGCACAATGTGTTTCTACAAACTGTTCCAGATATTTCAAAGGAAAATATGAATAATGCAGCACATCTACTGTTTGAAATTATGTCATTTTTCTTATTCACTAGTATATGCAATTAGAAGATTATATACAGTGAGAAGCTGTAAATGGGTTGATTTCTATGTTTCTTAAATGTCAGGAGATTAAATCACACTGTTGTTTTAAGGACAAAAACTTTTTCAGTTTAACTTGGTCATAATTGCCCAGTTAAGAAACCAGCTCAAATCAGCACATTTTCAATATGGCTCTGCCTCCATTCAGGCCCAGTCCTGGGAAGTTCTGGAATGCTTGGAATGCTCCAGGATTGAATTTCAGGTCAGGGAACTGCTCTTTCGGTGATGGTAGTAGTACTGCTTTGACTGTTGCTTTAGCGGGAGCCCCATGCATGGAGCTGTGACTGCCCTACTGCAAAGGAAAAACAGGAAACAGCTGAGCACTTCCCAAAGGCTCATTTAATTATCAGATGATAACTGATCCAGCAGCCTACATATGTTGAAGTATATATGAAAGACTTGTCTGTCCTAGTATTTCCTATTCTCAGACATACCAAGTGTAAGATACTTTAATGGCAAGCCAGAAAATAATGATTATGAGGAAGCATTGGGGTTCAACCAGGAAACCGTTGCAATACAAAGGCAATCAGTAGTGTATTTTACAGAGACACACTTTTATTTTTTAAAAAACTTAATACTGACTGATCACTTTTTATCAGTGATTGAAGCATGTTTATTTATTTAATACTGCAACTTTTTTGTTTTTGTTTTTGTTTTCTACTTATATAGACAAGGTCTCTGTCGCCCAGGCCAGAGCATAGTGGTGCAATCATAGCTCAAGGCAAACTCCTAGACCCAAGCAGGCCTCCCTCCTCAATCTCTCGAGTAGCTAGGACTACAGGCATGAGCTAGCCCAGCCTTTTTGTTTTTAAACTAGTACTTTGTATTTCATTAGTAGACTTGACCATTAGGCAGTGCTTAAATCCATCTTAAATTATAGTTGTAAAAAGATTGCTTCCTGAAACACTGAAGAAATGGTTATAAATGAAGTTTCCACGCTGCAAAAGAAATAGCACTCGAATATAAATTTTTCTTTTTAATTCTCAGCAAGGCAATGTACTTCTACAGAAGAGTGCGCCCTTACAGATGGAACAATGGTGAGCGCACACTTGGACAAGGGAGGGGAAGGGGTTCTTACCCCTGATGCACGTGGCCCCTGCTGCTGTGTCTTTCCCCTATTGGCTAGGGTTAGACCGCACAGGCTAAACTAATTCCAATTGGCTAAAGAGAGTGACGGGGTGAGTGGTTTGGTGGGAAAAACACTTATGGCAGAGCAGGAAATTGGAATGAGTCAGTGTGGAGAATGAGCAGGTAATTAGAATGAGTCAGGGTGGAGCAGGTAATCGAAAAAGGTTGTTTTAGAAGGAAGTTAAGTTTAAAAGTAGAAAGCAAATAATTGAACGTACATATTCTTTGAAGAGAAATTTAGAACTCATATCTAACAAAATAATAATTTATGTTTACTGAAATTCTTTGATATATATCAGGAAGGGGGCTAGAGCTGTTGCTTGTTTCTCAATTCTTTTTTAAAAATTACTTATGTTGGCTTTTTTTCTTATTGAAATACATGTATATTATAGAAAAATTAGGGGAAAAGTCAAAAGGAAACTTGTAAAAAACCATCCTCTTCTTATGATGACTTGAGAAGACTAGTTACTGTTAAAAGTTTTGGCTATTGTATCTTCAGTAGATAGAGTTTTTATAGAAATAAAGCTATTTAGTGCTAAAGCTAAGACATGATTATTGTAGTTCCACATTGTGTCATTAGAGGGAAAGTAAGCTGTCCAGGCCCTTTTGGAGACTAGCCCTTGCCCCTGTCTCCTTGCTCTCCAGTCTCTTGTCACCCGTATTTCTCTTTAGTTGTTTCTCTACTAAAAGCTATAAGTATTTATCATAGTTAATGTGATGGCCACTTACTTATATAGAGCAGGGGAAGGCACCCCGCAGTGGCTTTGTTGCCACATCCAGGAAAAGGTATAGTGAAAACAAAAATCAGAATTATGCAGATATGCATGTAAGGTTTTGTTAAAGACCAAGCTTTTATTAAAAAATTTTGTGTAGCAATGATTTCCTGTAGTTCTTTGCTTTATTTGTGCTAGATAGCAGTTGTGTGTATTCTTTATTTTAATTAATCTGCTTTAGCTGGTGACATTTTTAGACGACCTGGAATTAATAGATTTTACATTTCATACTTAGTCATGTTGGGTAAGCTCTTTTCACTTAAATTTTAAAAGAGACCTTTACTACTAGATATCAAAAAGGGACTGAGTCAAATATTCATCTCAGCTGTTTAAACTTCATTAACTATATACATTATTCTAACGTGCACTACTTAAAATTGAGACATTTTATTTTACTAATTATTGTATTTTACCATTTTATCATTCATCTTTGTCATTTTTCCTGATCTTTGAATAGGGTGTGAATCTGATTATGTGGTAAAAGTTACATACTCTTTCCCAAAAAAATGCACAAACATGTTTCACACAGATTTCAGGGAGTTATGAACCCCAGAAGTATGATTATGTCATGTAAGGTTAACAACCTCTGCTGTAGGCAGAGTAGTGGCTCACACCTGTAATCCCAGCACTTTGGGAGGCCAAAGTGGGTGGATCACTTGAGGCCAGGAGTTTGAGACTAGCCTGGTCAACATGGTGAAACCCCATCTCTACTAAAAATACAAAAATTAGCCTGGTGTGGTGGTGCATGCCTGTAATCCCAGCTACTCAAGAGGCTGAGGCACGAGAATTGCTTGAACCCAGGAGGTGGAGGTTGCAGAACCTCTGCTCTAAATTTTCAGGTTACATCCTTGTCTCTTCCTAGTTCTTAGTATTTATCCTTCACATAAAATGTTTCAAAGGCTAGATCTAAACTTATTTTCCACTTCACTGCTTTGATTATGTCACTATATTACTGCTAATTTTTACCTGCTGTTACCTTCAGATCAGGTAATTGTTGATGTTTGCCTCTTGCTCTTCACTAGTTCATCTCTTTTGTTCTGACTCTGTACATTCTCTATTCTAACCCAGTTAGCCCTGTTTTACTAGCTTATCCTGTTTACACCTTTATAAATGGAACAGACACCTTTGTCTGTTGCCACTAACCTTCATTGTTCAAGGGAGCTTCTTCAAGTTTATTCATCCTCCAGCCTGTAAGTGAGTTGGGGTATTCAAGTTTTCACAGCCTAAGGAGTATACCCATAATTTCAGGAATATTATTAATACTGGTAATAATATTTGTTACTTACATGAAGTTTTATAAAGTTATAAGTTAAGAGACTATCTAAACAATAGCCCATAAATATTTAGAAACTAATTTTAGACTAAAAGTGACAAAATTCATTTGAGTTTTCAAATATTTAAGAGTTACTCTTAAATATTTAAGAGTACTTCACAAGCAATTCAAGTTTGGAGATTTAGGTTGCCTGGATCATTGTAGAATATCAGGCTCTGTCTATTCTAGTCTACAAATGTCTGCTCCCCTCTCTTCCCAAGATCTAACTAGGATTATTCTTGATTATAAAGACACAGGAGTAGATTCGCCAATAAGTTTTAAAAGGGAAAGATTACCCAAATGCTAGCTCTGTCCATGCCTACCCTTAAAAGTATGTATGTAACAACTTATAAACTACAAGTTTTCACTGGTTTTGTTTCTCATATAAGATTCCAAAATTCTTGGGGATCAAGGTAAAGATTTTTCTTTAACCTGCACCAGAGAACTTTGTATTTGGTGTAGACCTCACTGCTGCCTGGGCAAATGCTAACAATTTTACTTAGTATATGATTCACTGGCATAATTTTATACTGCTTCCTGTGCTTGAGGTTAAGATGTAGCACTCACATTTCCCCATTTGACACCAACTGTTGTAAAAGAAAAATGGGTAGAGGCAGTTGAAGGAGAAAAGTGACCCTGGTTCTAGTAGTGGTGGCAATTGAAGTAGTAAAGTGAGAAATTGTTTTCTACATATTTAGTAGTAGTTTTACTTTAGTTATGCTTGGTGCTACTGTAAAGCAAAACAGAAAAATAACCAAAAAAACCGCAAAACTTGTTTGGTTTCCGTCGTTATACTGCAAATTCTGCAATGAAATTTTTTAGAATCTTCACTGTTAAAAGTATCCTCAGAAATTACTGAGAGCATAGATTTTTTTTTCAGTTAATGATGTATTTTATTGGATTATATATTTAATATTTTTTTGAGACCATGGGTATCTTACAAAATATTTCAGAAAGAATAAGGTAAAAGCAGAAAGGGAGACTTTGGCAAATTTGTGCTAGATCTTCAATGATTTGCTCTATATGTGTTCATAACTGATATAAAGCAGAGCTTTGAGTCGGGCGTGGTGGCTCACGCCTATAATCCCAGCACTTTGGGAGGCTGAGGTGGGTGGATCGCCTGAGGTCAGGAGTTCAAGACCAGCCTGGCCAACATAGTGAAACCACTTCTCTACTAAAAATACAAAAAATTAGCTTGGCGTGGTGGCGGGAGCCTGTAATCCCAGCTACTCAGGAGGCTGAGGCAGGAGAATCTCTTGAACCCACGAGGCAGAGGTCGCAGTGAGCCAAGATTGCATCATTGCACTCCAATCTGGGCAACAAGAATGAAACTCCATCTCAAAAAAAAAAAAAAGGCAGAGCTTTGCTTAAATAATACATTAATTTGCCAGAATATTATATAATCATATCTGTATTACTTTATTTTTGTATTGTGCAATTTATATGTTTATTTACTGGTGATTTAATTAATAAACAAGAACAGAAATATGAATTGCATGTATCTTAGTACCTTTGCTGGTAAACTACCTGTTTTGGTATAATATCTGGCTCATTCTTTGCTCATTTCCTGTAAGTACATTTTATTAGCAGAATTTTATCTTAGAAATATCTCATTACAGTCTGTTAATGTACTCCAAGATGAAGCTGAAAAACTCCACTAAAACCTTAATCAACCATGGTATAAGGCCTGAAATCCATCAAGTCATTCATTCAGATTTACAGGAGAATGTGAAGCAGCTGGTGTAATCCAGTTTCAGAGCATTCTGTTTCTAAGATTCCATGATTTCTATGCTTAGCGAAAAATAAGGCAGTATCCTTTGGTACAGTTAACACTGCCACCACCTGTCAATGGCTTTACCTCTTTCCTCTTGTTACAAAGGCATTTTTAAAATCTAAAGTAATTAGCAATATGCAGTAATTTACAGTTAAAGGGAAACTAAAGGGCCCCTATTTGTGTATATCTTTAGTGAGGTTGCACATAGCAGAGTATATACCTGGTTATCTAAAGATATTTCAGTAAATTATTAATAAGGCTTTAAAATACATCAGCATAACCCACTTTTGCATATTGGTTCACAGACTAAAATATTTTTTTTTTTTTGAGATGTGGTCTCACTCTGTGACCTAGACTGGAGTCCAGTGGCGCAATCATGGCTCACTGGCTTACTGCAGTCTCAACCTCGCAGGCTCAAGTGATCCTCCCACTTCAGCCTCCTGAGTAGCTGGGACCATGGACATGTGCTACCATGCCTGAGTTAATTTTTTAAATATTTTTTAGAGATGGGGTCTCCCTGTGTTCCCTAGACTAGTCTCAAACTCCTGGGCTAGAGTAGTCTTCCTGCCTCAGCCTCCCAAAGTGCTGGGATTAAAGGCGTGGGCCACTAAGCCCAGCTCTAAAATTATTTTTTAAGGACACACTTTGAGTTTGGAATTGATTCCCATTCATAAAAACCCATGAATGTTACCATGTTAGCCATGCACTAGGCACTGGGGATACAGAATAAAAAAGATACTTTCTATTCTTGAGGACTTCAATGTAGTAAACAGGCAATTCCAGTGCAGGGTTACTACGGCTTTGATAAAAACTTACTCAGGGTTCTATATGCCCACAAGGGAGGACACCTAACCCAAAATAGCTGCTTCTAGAAGGACTCCTAGAGCAGATAACTACTGGAATTTTTTTCTTTTAATTTATTATTATTATTATTATTTTAAATTTTTTTTGGAGACAAAATCTGTCACCCAGGCCGGAGTGCAGTGGCACAATTATAGCTCCTGGTTACCTTGAACTCGTAAGCTCAAGTGATCCTCCTGCCTCAGCCTCCTCAGTGGCTAGGACTATAGGTGTGCGCCACCACATGTGGGTAACTTTTTTTTTTTTTTTTTTTTTTTTGAGACCGAGTCTCGCTCTGTCACCCAGGCTGGAGTGCAGTGGCATGATCCTGGCTCACTGCAACCTCTGTCTCCCGGGTTCAAGCAATTCTTCCACCTCAGCCTCCCAAGTAGCTGGGATTACAGGTGCACGCCACCACACCTAGCTAATTTTTTTGTATTTTTGTAGAGACAGGGTTTCACCATGTTGGCCACTGGTCTTGAACTCCTCACCTTGTGATCCACCCACATCGGCCTCCCAAAGTGCTGGGATTACAGGTGTGAGCCACCACGCCCAGCCTCATCTGGGTAATTTTTTTATTTGTTAAATTTTTGTAGAAACAGGGTCTTGCTGTGTTGCCCAGGCTGGTCTACAACTCCTGGCCTGAAGTGATCCTTTTCCCTCAGCCTCCCAAAGTCCTGGGATTACAGACATGAGCCACCAAGCTCAGCCCAGAATTAATTCTTAACAAGTAAGTTAGCCAAATTAAAAAGGGAGGCTATATTACATGCTTAGCTTTGTAAGGTGTTTTAATTAGAGGCAAGTAAGTGGTTATTTAATCTGTCTTTTGGAAAGGTTTACTCAAGTTAATGTAAGTCAGTCAAGTGAATGCTGAAGCTCTAAGGACACCCCAGCAAGTCAAATCTGTTTTAGGAAAATCTTGTTAACAGTGATCAAAACTGAGATTGACATTGAAGAGAGCTAGTACTATATTTGTTTTACACACGTTTTGTTTTCTGAATTGTACAAAGACCAATTCAGAAATAATGTCAATGGAATTTTTTAAAAGAAGTATAATTTTTTAAGTAAGAAATTGCAAATCTGCTCCTGAATTCAAACCTTCGTTATTCCATTTACCTGAAAGTTTTAAAATTTTTTGTTCTATTTTTGTTTTGGATAAAATTTCTATTTGTAGAGCAAAACTGTCTCAAAAAAATCTATTTGTGTGCAATCAACATACTTTGCAGGGCTTTTTAAAAAATAATTCCAGTATTTAAGCAAATTTTGTATAGGGTTAGGGGTGGGGCATGAGAGATTTGGTGATAGAGAGGCAAACTGCTATCAGTCAGTATTCAGCCATGAGCTTTAAGAATCCTCACTGTCAGTTTCCTGTAAGCTGGGGAAGCACATGGAGGTGACAGCCATTTGCTGAGGACTGGGGTATGGAAGTCTGAGTGGGTCACAGAAAATGGGGGAGCAGGGCAAAATACTATATGAATGAATCACTTTCCTACTGCAGTCACAAACTGTAAAATACAGCTACAGACTGCAGCTGTTCCCCAAGAAGGGATAGAAGAAGAGAGGGATCCTTTAATCCATCTCCTCTTTGCTTCATACTGTGTCATATATTATAGGATATAATATCCTAAATGTTGTTATCCCTAGTGGTAGCCTCTGTTTATGACTCAGCCCCCCAATAGCACCACTTACTTGAAGTTCTCAGTTTCCAGGAAGTCTTTTTGCATGGGTACATAAGATTCCTGAAATTAGAGCTTATATCACAGAAGTTCCTTGTTACTGCTCTGCATCTACTTCTCAGCTGCCCAAAAAAAAGAGATCACAGTCAAGATAAATCAAGATACCAGACCTGTTGCTAGTTTTCTATTCAAATTTAATTATATAACACTGAAAAATATTAGTCTGTTGCATATCTCATTGTGAAAAGTAAGAAATCAAAATGTCATGGTTGAGAAATAATGTGTGAAAAATACTTAAATTTATCCTCGTGGAACATACACATTTGCTAAATGTTTGTTGTTCCTTTCATACTTCTGCTCTAACATCACCTTCTATTATGCCTTCCCCACTAGGGAGTGAGTTCCTCTTCACCCACCATTTTATCTCTGTAAGATGGTTGGTCATGGGAGACAGGTTTATTAAATAAATTGATAATGTTGAATAGTTGTAGAAAGAGTTCACAAGTAGTATTTTACCTTCTCCTGTGGAGGAAAATAAACTAAAGTAGCTCATTCAATTCTTAAGAAAAATGTTATTTAGTTATAGTTGCAATAAATGATATTGATGATACCTTGGTGGGAGTATTCAGATTTTAAATTAAGGCTCTAGCCTTTTTTTTTTTTTTTTTTTTTTTTTTTGAGACAGAGTCTCACTCTGTCGCTCAGGCTGGAGTGCAGTGGTGCGATCTCGGCTCACTGGAGCCTTGACCTCCAAGGCTCAAGCGATCCTCCCACCTCCACCTCAGCCTCCCAAGTAGCTGGGACCACAGGTGTGAGCCACCATGCCTAGCTAATTTGTGTGTTTTTTTGTAGATATGATGTCTCGCCGTGTTGCCCAGGCTGGTCCCAAACTCTTGGGCTCAAGGGATCCTCCCACTTTGGCCTCCCAACATGCTGGGATTACAGGCATGAGCCACCCTACTCGGCCTAGTCTTTTTTTTTTTTTTAATCATTCGAAACCTAGTTTAAACTTTTTGTTTCAAACAGAGACAGAAATATATGTAGTTATGGTGTACCTCTTGGAAGGTAATTATGGAAGAAGCAAAAATGAGTATTCCGTTCAGTTATTTAATCAGGAAAGAGAAAGCACTGAAAGAGAAGATGCTTGTTTATTTACTCATCAGCATCCCCTGACAGTGGCCACTGTTCTCCAGATAGAAATCTATGGGGTTGAAAAAAAAATTATGTGTGTATGTGTGTCTGTGTGTGTAAGCATATGCCATTTCATTTTACCATCCTCATCTAAAAAAAGCCATGCTAGCTTTCTTCCAGTCTCTGGGACAAAGTCTAGACTAGACCATCATAGATCAGACGATATTTCAGAAGCCAGAGAGAGTAGTTCCTAGAGCTTCCAGGTTTCCCAGGAATGACAGTTGTCTCATTGGCTGTCATTTTGTAGAATGTATTGTGAGGCATAGCTTATGCAGTGAATATTTTTAATTTAGTCTGGCAGTATTTTGTTTCATATGCAATAAAAGCTCCCTAATTCAGAACAAAATGGAAAAGTTGTGTCAAATGAAAATTTCTGATTGTAAAGGTTTCTTTAAGAAGGAAAGATAGTCATCCAGTTACACCACAGAAAGTTCAAAGACAACAGAGCAATTTTATATTTTATCCAGATTATTACAAATTCGAAAATAAAGGCCCCAAATGAATAGGTCTCACTATATTTTGTCTAATGCCATGTATATATATATTGAAAGCTATAGGGAAGGCCCTTTCTTTTCCCACTTTCTTCCTGAGAAATGTGGAGACCAAAGAATGTTAAACAAAGAACAGAGAACTAACTTTTTCCAATATGTCACTTCATGGATAAAAAGTAGAGACAGAGTGGTGAAGCACCTGTTGCTTTAGAGGCAATAAACTAGTGAAATGTTTTAACAGAAGTCATCAGCTTTCAAAGATCTCTTTTATCCAGTTCACATCACTCATTGCTCTTAATTCCTTTGTCACATTTTTTACTGCATTACAAGTAATCCTTGAAATCCATGGAGCATTTTATATATAACTAGAACCATGTGGATGGTTCTCATGTGTTCAGTATAGCCCCAAATCCCAGCATTTCTTCTGCTCCTCTTTTTCCATATATTTAGTAGTAGATGCAGGTTTGAGAAGCAAATCATGGCAATAGAAGGAATCCATCCCTCCACTCCCACCACTTTCCACTTCAGAAGACTGTAAGTTGCATCTCGGGTAGGGATAGGATAACAGCCACCAACAGTCCCTCAGCAGCTCTTTGATCTCCACCACTGCATTCCATACCCTTCCTCTCTTCCTGACCAGCTAGTTCCTCAGGCAGCTGCTTCTCCTGCCAGTCCATTGGTTATTTATATGTAACTGTATACACTGCCAACCGAGTAGGTTTGTAGAAGCAACTTAGGAAATCTCAAATGAAGGTTAAGATTAATATTTTTTGTTCCACTCCTTCTGAAATGTTGTGTTTAACTACAATAAGCAGTTTGAGGTGAGGAGGGACAAAAAATTCTCTCCAATTTTGCAGGTTGAATAGTAGCAGTGCTGTTACCCACCTTGTACTGCTTTTATTTCTCCACATAATATATGAAGGCAATGTGTGCCTTTTCAGAATAATCTTAATTATGTCTAATCCTCTACTGTGTCTTTTTTTTTTTTAATTATTAACTCCTTGGACAACAGTTTTTAAAAGGTTGAATGCAGCGGTCAAGGCATTATGGTTCTAACCTTATTTACATTTTCTGAGAAACTAAAACGGATCAGTTTCCCCTGAGGTCCTCTAGGATTGTTCATACTTAGTATGCTTAAACATAAGATGGCAGCAAGCTGGGCGCAGTGGCTCACACCTGTAATCCCAGCACTTTTATAGGCCGAGGTGGGCGGATCACTAGCTCAGGAGATCAAGACCATCCTGGCTAAGACGGTGAAACCCCGTCCCTACTAAAAATACAAAAAATTAGCCGGGCATGGTGGCGGGCGCCTGTAGTCCCAGCTACTCAGGAGGCTGAGGAGGAGAATGGCATGAACCCAGGAGGCGGAGCTTGCAGTGAGCCGAGATGGCGCCACTGCACTCCAGCCTGGATGACAGAGTGAGACTCCGTCTCAAAAAAAAAAACAAAAAAATGTATGTTAACATTGTTAGAAAGGTGAAAGCATTTGCATCATGTGGTATAATTTTATTTGACATGTAACAGTATTTGACAACCCCAAACTGTCTACCTTTATTTTTCTGAAAGACTACGTCTCCACTCACAGCTCTATTTTCAGTTTATGTAGATATAGCCCTGGTATTTTTATATAACATACATTCTACGAAGTACTTTGAATATATAGTAAAATCAGACAATAATGTTGAATTTATATGGCATTAGTCGAGTATGAGGCGTGTGGTGTATGTGAATCTTCCCAGGTAACTAAAATTAGCTGTGTAAGCAGGAAAACATTTTTTTTTTGTATTATTTACATTAACAACAGCTAAAATGTATTTCATATTTTTCTACATTCTGATATTCCCTAATAATAAATTACTCTGGACAGAAAATCATCACCATGTATAGACCTGGGCCTGTTGATTGGTTGTAATAACATCGATTGGTCCAGGCAATTGCAGCTGTGTCTACTATAAAGAAAAATTTAAAATCCCAGGACCCCCAAACTTAAGCCTGGAGGCTGAATCATGCAACAGTATACTTTAGCGAGGTCCTCCTGGAAAGGAAAAAAGCCTTAGGCATGTGGGAAGGGCTACCCCACAGACTATTCATAAGTAAATTCTTTGCTAGCCTCCCATAAACAAGGACATGCCAATTATAACTTTAGGTATACAGTCTAAGTCTAGCTCCTAAAACTAAAGTGTGTTAAATTCTACACTGATAATGTGAATTACAAATGTATCTCCCAGGGGAAGTACAAAGAGAAAAGGACTACTCCCTTTCTCTCCACTCACCTTATCTTCTGTAAAATGTAGATTCACTTGGCACTAACGGAAGTCTCACAGGAATGTAACCATTCGCCTTACCCCTACCTGCCCCTCTTCCTACATGCCCTCCCTCATTTTAAGGAAATGTATAAATACTAAAACTCCTGAAAACCTCCAGAAAAACAGCCACAGATACGTTTGTAGCTTATGTTTTTCCCGGACACAGCGTACAGCTGGCTTAATAAACCTCAATGATTAAAACTTATGCCACAGTCACTCATTTCACTTGTCACTGTTTTGTATTATTTTTCTCTCCTGCCTTACTGTCAGGCTGTTAGATCTCCCTTCTACCATTAGTGTATTTTAATCTAGCACTTATAATTTAATGTTTTTAATATGGCAGGGTTTTGAAACTAACTAAGTTTATTAGATAGGTAGATTAAGAGTGCTGAATCATGGTATCAGATATCCAATTCCAAATTTCCATATAGGCTCCAGTGTCTTACATATTTGGTGGCTATTTTATAGATTAACAAAAGAAAATGTGAAAATTCATGATGATCTTTGCAGTACTGTATGGCTGCTGTTACTTTGCTCTGTCCATTTTTGTCACATAGCTCAAAGACCCTCTACATCATGAATCTGGCTCCCCAGCTGTCAGAGCCACCTTTAGTGGAGCTTGCTCTACTGCTGTTCCCTGTCTTGGCAAACTCCTGCTCATCCTTTAAGATCCAGTTTAAATATCTCCTACTCTGTTTTGCCTTTCTTTTTTTTCCCCTTTTGAGACGCAGTCTCGCTCTGTTGCCCAAGCCGGAGTGCAGTGGCACGATCTTGGCTCACTGCAAGCTCCACCTCCTGGGTTCACGCCATTCTCCTGCTTCAGCCTCCCGAGTAGCTGCGACTACAGGCTCCTGCCACCACGCCTGGCTAATTTTTTTGTATTTTTTGTAGAGACGGGGTTTCACTGTGTTAGCCAGGATGGTCTCAATCTCCTGACCTCGTGATCCACCCATCTCGGCCTCCCAAAGTGCTGGGATTACAGGCGTGAGCCCCCGTGCCCAGCCTAATATTGATTTTTTTTAAAATTTTAATTTCTATTATTTTTATAGAGACAGGGTCTCACTACATTGCTCAGGCTGGTCTCAAATAACTTTGATATCTTGACGTTTATTATATCTCTTTATCCTCCCCATCCAAACTGATATTCTAACTGTGCTTACTTAAGTCTACAAGCCGTTTTCTTTGCCTTAGCTCAGTTTACCAAGCCTAACCTACCACGAATATGCCACAGTGAAAAAGAGATAACAGAGATTAAAGTAAATGAGTACCCGAAGCAACATGGTTAGTTCAGGGAACATGAAAATAGCAGCAACAAAAAAAAAGCAACCTGAAACCTAAGAGGGAAGAGAAAACTGGGAAAAGAGAGAGCACGCACACGTTACCAGGAAAAGCACACGGAAGGAAGGAAGAAGTGAAGAAAGAAAGGAAAAGAACAGATTAAGAAATAGTTTACATTTTCTGCCAAAGGCTTATTGTAAACTATGTTTTTAGTTGTTCAAGTTATTAATAAGGAATAATTTGGCATGCATTTCCCTAGGCTATAAATTAGCAGCATTTGGACCTTAGCCACTTGTTCCCAACATTTATGTGAAGTAGTTAATAAGCAAACTAGTTAACCAAACAGGGTATGGAACTCAGAAGACATGACTTCTGGTCCTTTACACAGAAGTGTTGGACTAGATGATCTCTAAGTCCCTTTTAACTCTTAAAATTCTATGTCGTATGTCAGTTATAGTCGCAATATGTGTAAGGCACCAGGCCAAATGCTTTGCACAGTACAGTGAAACAAAGATGAAATTTATGCTTCAAGAGTTTAGTTGACAAAATAGACAAAAAACAGACTTTTATTACAGTGCATTCGTGGAAATGATATAATAAGGCACCTTTTTTCTTCTTGGGAACAATATTGTGGTTATTACATTCTTGACCATTAAATCTATCAAGTCTGGGATTTGATCAGAATTATTATAAAAATGAAGTAAAGCAAGCTAAGCCTGACAGATGAATAAAAGGTTAAAAATGGCATTGGCAAATTAATCTTCCAAATTCTATGAAATAAGCATAAATATACACTGCACATTGATTATATTAGTGATCCTTTAAAATGTACTTTTAAAATTCTACTACCGTATAATAAAGATGACCTAAAAAAACTATGTTGGTTCATCAACTTGGAATTAGAAAGGCTCTGGTAATTTCAGAACAATACATGTTTTTTCCTTTACATAAATTTTGTTGTAGCAAAGAAACACATTCAGTGCATCCTACTTACTTTAAATTTGATTGAACTAGAGAAGTAATACATACCATTTAGGAAATGGACAACAGTTAGCCCAGGGACTAAAGGATGACTAATTCTAGTTCTGTTGTTATTTATTCTCTGAAGTTTAGCTTAAATCCTATTCTTTTCATAAAAACTTTCCCAACTACCATTACCCACACTGCTTTTTCTATTTTCCTAATTTATATTATTCTAACAGGAGCTAGTATAGGATCGTGGTTGAGACAGTGGGGTTGATGTCATACTGCCTGTGCTATCACTTACAATCTAGGCAAGCTGGTTAACTTTCACAAGCCGTAAGTGTTTTGTTTTTTTTTTTTGTAAAACGAAGATGACAAAAATGGTGTCTACTATTAAGGGCATTGTGGAGACTGAGTAAGAACATGTATGTAAAGATATTAGCACCCTGCTCTGCATATACTACATACTTAATAAACATTAGATACTATAATACAGAGTATTATATATTAATATATAATACTACAGTATATTATAATACTACAGAGTTGCCCCCTTGATTCTTATGTGTTCTGTCTCTTCCTAGAGTCTCCTCAAATTAGTAAATGCTCAATTCAGTGTTTTCTTCAGAGAAGGTGGGGCTTAGGATGAACAGAAAGACTAATAGTAGGAGATGGTGACTTGGGGGCTTCCTCTGCATATTTCCTAAGGAAAATGGTAGGATTACAATCTGCCGTGGTGATGACCTCCAGATGATAGTTTTGTACTCTATAAGCAGAGCATGAGAGGTAGTGGAAAGGATTAGGAAAAGGAGAGACATTATTAGTGCTGCCAGTGGGAGTTGAAAGGTTTGGGGGTAGTAGAATAGGTTTATTTAGACTATAGAGTAGCAGGAAGGAAAAGCTACCATACCAAAATTAATTGGGGGGATGTTGATAGCGTTGTTGGAAGGTTTTATACCTCACCATGTACTGGTAGAGTCATGGCAGTCGGACAAATTCAGAGGTCATTTTTCTATAAGTGACCTTCTAAATTCATGGTCTGCAATTCAATGACAGCCTCAAGCTCGGAAATCAACCTCTGAAAGAAAGCGAGCCTTAGTTTCAATTCCTCTACCTTTTCTTGTTCGCTACAGGGGATATTTACCCAAAATTCAAAGGAGTGACAGTTCACTCAACCTTTCAACTCAGTAAGATGGCACTTCCCTGAATAACTGACTGAAGCCTCTTCAAAAATGTTATCCTGTATGAGTTATAGGCATGTATAAGCATATAAAAATGGTAACCATAAGATAGAGGAGTTTGTGGGGTCTAAACCTCCTAGAAGAAAAAAAAAACAGAATTTCTTTGAAAATAGTTTTCATGTCTTGCTGTAAGAGAGTGGGAGGTTAGTGTTTTTACTTCTTGATGAGATTTGATATTAGTTAGGACCAGGAAAGAATAAGATTGCTACAAGTTAAAGGACAATCAGAAGAAACATAGAGTTAATGGCCTATCTTGTTATGGCACCAGTAGAGGACAGGGATAAACGAGTAGCTGACCTTTTTTAGTTGGTTGAGGTTTGGAAAGAAGAGTTTGTTTATTTTTACAAAAAGGATCAAGTTGTTGGTTGAAAACATGTATATTTGCCCCACGTTTAAAATGTTCAGAAAGTATCAATAAAATTTAGTTTTCTGATTACGGGGATGGTAAGTGTGGACTTACGTAATTAAAACATTCCCCTTCAGCTATTTTTGTAGTAGTCATTTAAGGGAAAAGAAAAGGAAAGGCATAGGGAAGGTGAGGGTACAGATCATTACAATATTATTGATATTCTGTACACGTGCAATATTCTGGTAGACACTGACAACACAAAAGAGGTGTAAAACTAGCTGCTCAAGGAAGCCTGTTGTCTAATTAAGAGAGAGAATTAATACTGGTCAGAGAACTGAAATCAGCCAAAAGAAGGGGTTGACAGCTTTGAATTAAGAGAGATTTAAGCAACTGGAATTCATGTTTTTCCCATTTCAATTCAAGTCAGCAGTCACTGAACATTGCCTGTGTGTCAGAGAGTATTATAGAATCAGTATTCAGTGTGAAAAGAAGGTGATATGTCCAGGAAGGATACTGTGGTCCAGGTTAGAGCAGTGTCTCAGGAAAGCAATCCAGAATGAAAGCCTGCTATTGGATTTCACAGATAATATGTTCTTGTATCAAGATTCGTGCATTGACATAGGTGTCTTTTAACTACTGTGTCATCTTCCTCCAGTCTCCCTAGTTCACAATGCCCAGTCATGTGTAGGAGGATAGTGTGGTAGTTAAGAGATTAAAACCCTTTGAGTCAGACCTAGCTTTTTAGCCTGCCTCTGCCGTTTACTTTTCAGTTTCTGTATCTACTGCTCAAAGTTATTATGAGGATTAACTAAATAATCTATGTGAATACTTGATTAGTACAGTGCCTAATACATAGAAATGCTCAACAAAAAGTTCTTTGTAAAGATTTCAGCACTCTCTTCATTAGCACTTAGTCAAGGTCTAAGTCCTACTGCCTGAGGTGCAGACTCTTCCACCATATTCCTATATATTCTGCAATATTTTACCCATCCTTCTTCTAGCTCTTTCTACCCATGGTTCTCTCACATTTCTGAAAGCAAAGCTATTTATCTAATATGATATATTTTATCTTTATGAAAGCACAACTTCACATGTTCTGTTGCCCTCCTGACTCTCTTCTGCCACTCTCTTCTTTCCTCAGTCACTCTGGTAACGTGGCCTTTCTGCTGTTCCTTGACCACACCAAGCTTGTTCCCACCTCATGGACTTTGTGCTTGCTTAGAATGCTTTTCTTCCAGAGACCCCCCAACCCCAGGACACACTAACTCCACCTCGTTTAATCTCTCTAAGTGTTACCTCTTCAGAAAGACCTTCTCTGACTATCTTATGGTATTACCACCTTATCCCTTTCTTATCCTGCTTTATATTTCTATGTAGTACTTCTTACCGTTTTACATTATTTTATACATTTATTCATTAATTGCCATTCTCCCTTTTTGGAATGTCACTTCCCTCAAGTTAGTCTTATTCACTATTGTATCTTCAGTGCGAAGTAGGCACTCAGTTAATATTTGTTAAATGAATGATTTTAAAAGTTTGGGGATTGTCAGATCCAAGCGTGAAAGTTACTTTTTAAAGATTGTCCTAGAAGTGACTGGGAATAACACTGAAAAAATCTTCAATTGCAATTTATTTTTCTTTTAGAAAAATGTTGAACATGGAATAATATATATTGGGAAACCGTCTCTTCGTAAGCAGCGCTTCATGCAGTTTTCTTCACTCGAACATGAAGGAGAATATTATATGACACCACGAGACTTCCTCTTCTCAGTGATGTTTGAGCAAATGGAACGTGAGTTGGGTCTTTTTTTTTTTTAATTAAAAAAATCAGACTTCAGGGCTGAAAAACCTGTTTTTCAGGATTGATAACAGCTTTTCTTCATTTTAATTATCATCTTTGTACCATGCATTTGCTTATTTAGACTTTTCTTGTGACACTACTTATACTTTTATATTTATCTTAGAAATAGTTGTTTTGTATGTATGTTTCTCTAAAGAGACAGGAAAAATAGTTTAAGTTTTAATTGCTACTAAATATGTCATTAGTAATTACTTTGTCCATGTTATAAATTGGGCCAAAAAAAAAAATGAAACTAGATTTGAGAAGTTAGGAGAGCTGCTTAATGCAGTCATGATGTCACAGGTAGAAAATCCTGAAAAAAATGAGAAACAAGAAGTTGAAAAACTATAATTACATGATTTTATTTAATAAGCAGCCAACGTGCATTTGTTTCAGATTTCAGAAATTCTTAGTTTTATTATCTAAATTAGTCCTCATTTTGCATAGAGTGGATTTGACCCCATCCTCTGTGCCCATATTGAAGAAGTAGTCTGTGAAAACTTGTTGGCTTTCTGACGCCTTCCTAAGTGTACTGGAATACTCTCTATAAATATGCAGCAGCTGAAATGGGTGAGAGCAAGGTGAGCAGTCAGAGTAGTATAGATTGAATTCAAAAAGGCTGAGAGAACATGGGACAGCATTATAAACATTGAGGGATGATGAACAAAAACGAAATGAGTGATCATGGTGTATTCTAGGGACAATAAATTCAGTGATCACTGGAACAAAAGGATTACTTTAAGCAGTAGTGAGGGATGAAATTGAAAAACAGATAAGGTCTGGATTATCCAGAAGACTTCAGTGGCCCTCTCCAACCACCAGATGAATGGTATTTGGCAGGGATGAATGGCATTGAAGGTTTGTGAGCAGAAAAATAAGGTGGTAAAAATATGTTTAGGGTTTTGTTTGTTTGTTTGAAACAGAGTCTTGCTCTGTCTCCCAGGCTGGAGTGCAATGGCATGATCTCAGCTCACTGCAACCTCCGCCTCCCGGGTTCAAGCAATTCTCCTGCCTCAGCCTCCCGAGTAGCTGGGATTACAGGTGCCCACCACCATGCCTGGCTAATTTTTGTTTTTGTTTGTTTGTTTTTTGAGACGGAGTCTCGCTCTGTCGCCCAGGCTGGAGTGCAGTGGCGCGATCTTGGCTCACTGCAACCTCTACCTCTGGGGTTCAAGCGATTCTCCTGCCTCAGCCTCTCAAGTGTCTGGGATTACAGGCACGTGCCACCACGCCCAGCTAATTTTTTGTACTTTTTAATAGAGACGGTGTTTCACTGTGTTTGCCAGGATGGTCTCAATCCCCTGATCTCGTGATCCACCCTCCCCGGCCTCCCAAAGTGCTGGGATTGCAAGCATGAGCCACCGCGCCCAGCCTTGTGTTTTTAGTAGAGACAGAGTTTCACCATGTTGGCCAGGCTGGTCTCAACCTCCTGACCTCAGGTAATCCACCCCCCTTGGCCTCCCAAAGTGCTGAGATTGCAGGCATGAGCCACCTCGCCCAGCCTAGGTTCTTTTATTACAGCTTTTTTGCAGGGAAGTTTGTGTATACTAGCAACCTTAAAGATATTTACCCACATTAGTACAGTAAGTTCATAATGTAAGTAATCAAAGATATGCAAAAAGATTTCTCTTAAAAAGTAGTTTAGCCTCTAACAGGTAAAGCACTTGGACGTTGTGAATTCCTGTTAGATTCATCAGAGAATTGAGGTCACACTTGAGCTGGAAACTGAAGGCAAGCAGATCCATAGAGTCAGCTTACTACCAACAGAAACCTCTAAGAACCCACCACTGGAGCCAGCTTCAGGTAGGAATATTTAAAGGGTAATTAATTGCTGGAATCTGAGTGTGAACTAGCTTGAGAGATAACAACTCCTGAAGAGCCAGCCACGGAGAAGCCCATACGCTTTTGTGAGTTTTACCTTGAGGAACTCTGCCAGGTTCTCACAGTGAAGATCTAAGAAAAATGTTCTCCCCTCTTCCTCATTGGGAGGGAAAAGTAGCCATTTTTAGATACTCCCAGAGCATTTCATTCTCCTTAACAAAGGCCTGCACAGAAAGGAAACTTTTTTACTGGAGCCCAGCCACCCTAGGGGGATGGAAATTCCCAAATCTATCCCCCTCTGGCCTTCTTGTCTCACCAAGGGGAGTGGAAAAACAAAAAAACTGAGAACCGCTTTTGAAGGGTACATCCCTTCACAGTCACACAGTCCGACTGAAAGACTGACAGCTGATCATAGGACTGTACAATACGTACCTCCCTTTTCACCTCACCACCACATCCATAGAGCAGGCCCCTTTGCAATAATAAGGCAGTACTGAAAGAACTTACCTCTTAGATTTTATTTAAGGAGAGAAAAGACAACGGGGGAGAAGAAAAAAAGGCACCAGAGGAAATTTTAGCCTCTGTCACCTACAACTACAGCAAACAGTAAACCCAACCGATTCCTACCCAGATAAACATAAAAGGCCAATCTACCTCAGTAACTTTTACCAAATACATCATGACTAACTTAGAACAAAAAAAGTCACAAGGCATGCTAAAAAGAAGAAGCACAATCTGAAAAGACAAAGCAAATATCAGTATCAGATTTATATATAGCAGATATTTGGAATTATCAGACCAGGAATTTAAAATAACATTAATATGCTAAGGGCTCCAATGGAAAAAGTGCACAGCATTTAAAGTAACGTAAGCAGAGGCAGAGAAATTCTTAGAACAAACCAAAAGCAAATGCTCAAAATCAAAAATAGTGTAACAGAAATGAAGAATGCCTTTGAAATTAGCCAGGTGTGGTGGCACACACCTGTAGTCCTAGCTACTTCAGAGGCTGAGGATCACTTGAGCCCAGGAGTTTGAGACTACAGTGAACTATGATTGCACCACTGCACTCCAGACTAGGTGACAGAGTAAGACCCTGACTCAAAAAAAAAAAAAATGTGTTTGTTGGGCCCATCAGTGTAACGGACCTGGCTGAGAAAAGAATCAGTGAGCTTGAAGATATGTCAATAGAAACTTCCCAACTTGAAAAGCAAAGAGGAACAAAAAGACTGAGAAAAACAGAATATTCAAAAACTGTGAGTCAGTTATAAAAGGTGTAACATATAAGGAACAGGAACACCAGGAAAAAAAGAAAGAGGAAAAGAAGTATTTGAAATAATAATGACTGAGTTTTCCAAAATTATTAACAAATGTCAAGCCATAGATTCAAGAAGTTCACAAAAACACCAAGCAGAATAAATACCAATAAATGCCTAGGTGTATCATATTCAAACTGCAGAATTTTTTTTTTTTTTTGAGACAAAGTCTCACTCTATAGCCCAGGCTGGAGTGCAGTGGTGCAATCTTGGCTCACTGTAAGCTCCACCTCCCGGGTTCATGCCATTCTCCTGCCTCAGCCTCCCGAGTAGCTGGGACTACAGGTGCCCGCCACCACGCCCGACTAATTTTTTGTATTTTTAGTAGAGACAGGGTTTCACCGTGTTAGCCAGGATGGTCTCGATCTCGTGACCTCATGATCCGCCCACCTTGGCCTCCCAAAGTGCTGGGATTACAGGCATGAGCCACCACGCCCGGCCAGAAAAATTTTAGAGAACAGAAGAAAGAGAAAAAAATCTTGAAAGAAGCCAAAGAAGAAAAAACACCTTATCTGTAGAAAAACAATGGTAAGAATTATATATTTCTTTTTAAGCAAGAAGAGGGTGGATAAAATTTTGAAAGAAAAATTTACCAATGTAGAATTCTATATCTAGTGAAAATTATCCTTCAAAAGTGAAAAAGAAATACATTCTCAGACAAACCAAATTTGAGAGAATTTGTCACCAGTAGATCTGATTTACAAGAAATGTTCAAAGACGTTCTTCAGAAAGAAGGAAAACGATATATCAGGAACTTGGCATGAAGAAAGGAAGACAGTTAAGGTAGAAAAGGAATACATGAATATAAAATCACGTTTTTAAAAATTGATATAACAGATAACAGTTTAATCAAAATAATAATAGCAACACAATATTGGATGATCAAATTGTATGGATAAGTGAAATATATAACAGCAACGGTATAAGGGACAGGAGGGAGGAATTGGGAATACTTTTGTTATAAGATACTTGTACCACCCACGAAGTGGTATAGTGTTATTTGAAAGTGGACTTAGATTAGTTGCAAATATATATTGCAAACTTTAGGACAACTACTAAAAAAATATTTTTAATAAATAGAATTGACATTCTAAGAGAGGAGAGAAAATTAAGTTATGTAAAATACTCAGCTAAAATCAGAGAAGGCAAAAAAAGAGTGGAAGACAAAAAAAATGAAACAAAACTCAAGTGCAATAGTTAGATATGGTAGATATCAATCCAGATATATCAACAGTCACTGTAGATATGTATTTTATGCATGTGGTTTATAAGAAACTTTTCCACTGTTGGTGGGACTGTAAACTAGTTCAACCATTGTGGAAGTCAGTGTGGCGACTCCTCAGAGATCTAGAACTAGAAATACCATTTGACCCAGCCATCCCATCACTGGGTATATACCCACAGGACTATAAATCATGCTGCTATAAAGACACATGCACATGTATGTTGATTGCGGCACTATTCACAATAGCAAAGACTTGGAACCAACCCAAATGTCCAACAATGATAGACTGGATTAAGAAAATGTGGCACATATACACCATGGAATACTATGCAGCCATAAAAAATGATGAGTTCATGTCCTTTGTAGGGACATGGATGAAATTGGAAATCATCATTCTCAGTAAACTATCGCAAGGACAAAAAACCAAACACTGCATGTTCTCACTCATAGATGGGAATTGAACAATGAGAACACGTGGACACAGGAAGGGGAACATCACACTCTGGGGACTGTTGTGGGGTGGGGGGAGGGGGGAGGGATAGCATTAGGAGATATACCTAATGCTAAATGACAAATTAATGGGTGCAGCACACCAGCATGGCACATGTATACATATGTAACCTGCACATTGTGCACATGTACCCTAAAACTTAAAAGTATAATAATAATAAAAAAAAAGAGACTAAAAAAAAAAAAAAAGAAACCCACTTTAAATGTAAAGATACAGATAGAGTAATTGCTAACACTAATCAAAAGAAGGCTGGAGTAGCTAGCCTTCAGATAAACCAAATTTCAGAATGAGGGAAATTATCAGGAATAAAAAGAGGCATTGCGTAGTAATTTTTTTTTTTTAATGGGTGAGTACTCCAGAAGACATAACTATCTGTAATGTATGTATACCTAACAACAGGGCATCAAAGCACATGAGGCAAAAACTGATAGAACTGCAAGGAGAAACAGATGTGTTCTTAGAAACTATTATACTTGGAGATTTCAAGAGCCTTCTGTCATTGATTGACAGATTCAGCAGACAGAAAACCAATAAGGATATACCTGAATAAAACAGCACCACCAAGTAACTGGATCTAATTGCCACTTATAGGATATTTCACCTAACGATAGCAGAATATACATTCTGAAGCTAACCTGGAACCACTCACCAAGATAGACCAAATTTGGGATCATAAAACACAGTTTAAAAAAATTTACAAGAATAGAAATCATACAAAGTATGGTCTTAGACCACAGTAGACTTAAACTAGAAATCAGTAACAAAAAGATAGCTGAAACATCTCAGAGTATTTGGAAATTAAATGACACACTTTTAAATAACACATGGGTCAAATAAGGAATCTCAAAAGAAATTTTAAAATATTTTCAACCAATGAAAGTGAAGCTGGCATCTTCAGAAGAGTATTTGGTCCCTAGAAGAGAACTCTAGGCAAGAATAGTTTAGATGACCAAGTGGAAAATTTAAAACCTTACAGGACCAGTCAGAAAAAGAATAGTTTTGAATCAAATCAATATAATATAGTCGGTGGGACAAGCTATATAGCTAACTAGAGTCTAGATGTTGTTACAGGCACTCAAATTGAAAATTTTTACAGAAATTCTGCTACCTAGACATTTCTACAAGCATAATTGGGCCTGTTGACCTAGTTTGTAACCCCTAATCTATAAATTCAGTGTAATTGCAATAATCCCAATGGGGTAGGTAAATGTGTGCTCACACATGTATGCACACGTGTGTGTGTGTGTGTGTGTGTTTTTTGACAAGCTGATTTGAAAATTTATACGGAAAAACAAGGGGCCTGAACTGGCAAAGACACTCTGAAAGAAGGAAAAAAATGGAGAAGTTAACTCTATCAAATAATGAGCTTTATTATAAAACCTCAGTAATTAAGATCAAATGGCATTGGCATAGGGATAGACAAACTGACCAGTGGAACAGAATAAAGAGCCCAGAAACACAAGGGAACTTTTATATATGAGAGAGGTGGCATTATAAATCAGTGGAAAAAGAGGGACTGTTCAACGAATGGTACTAGTGCAGTTGGATAATGGTACTAGTGCAGTTGGATATGCATATGGAAAACAAGCAAACATTTTTCAAAGAAAATTTTAAAATCTGTCTCCTTAGGTTAAAGAAATCTTCCTTAAATAAGCCACAAAAAGCACTAACATAAAAGATTGATAAAATTCAACCATATTAAAATTAGAACTTCTATTGATCAAAAGTTGCCTTAGAGAAATTGAAAAGGTAAGCCAAAGACTTCCAAAATTTAAGACAATACTTAGTATATGTAGAAAACTACAAATCAATAAGAAAAAGACAATTTTTTTAAAAAAGGGACAGAAGTAGTAAGTAGGCATTCACAGAAGAGGAAATGTATGCAAAAAAAGAACATAAATATGTTTACCCTTATTAGTGACTACAATAAGATATAATTTTATATAAGATTAGCAACAATTAATTTTGTTAAAGACAAAAGTTGAAGAGAATGTAGATCAGCAAAGATTTTTATACACTGTTAGTTGGACATGCCAATTGAAACTACTACTTTGGGCTGGGCATGGTGGCTCACCCCTGTAATCCCAGCACCTTGGGAGGCCAAGGCAGGTGGATCACCTGAGGTCAGGAGTTCAAGACCAGCCTGGCCAACATGGAGAAACCCTGTCTCTACTAAAAATAGAAAAATTAGCCAGGCATGGTGGCGTGCATCTGTAGTCCCAGCTACTCAGGAGGATGAAGCAGGAGAATCGCTTGAACCCAAGAGGTGGAGGTTGCTAGGAGCCCAGATCGCACCACTGCACTTCAGCCTGGGCAACAGAGCAAGACTCTGTCTCAAAAAAAAAAAAAGAAAAGAAAGAAACTCCTACTTTGGAAAACAACTTAGAACTGTTATATAAAATTAAACATTAGCATAACTTTTGACATACAAATCCCATTCCTATATATACACTCTATATGCAACAGGAATATTTGCCCCTGTGCAGTGGGATATATGTGTAAGAATGCTTGTAGTAGCAGTGTTATATTAGCAAAAGCTGGAAACAACTCAACTGTCCCTTAATAACAGACTGGATAAATAAACTGTGCTACAGTGTATTCACACAATGAAATTTTACTGAGTAAAAGTGAACAAACTTAGATGGTCGACTTTCATCATGGCAGCATGAGTAACTCCATTGGCCCACTTCCCACTGAAACTGGTAAAAAAATTTTAAGACCTTCCTTTAAAGTCTCTGGAAGTGGTCTTGGAGTCGTATAGCACATTAAAGAACATCTGTTTAAGAAAATCTACTAAAATTGGATAAGAAAACTAAGAGTCTGGGATGCTTGAACCAAGAACTCCCTCCCTACCCTGTCCCAGTTTGTTGAATGGAAATTTATTCCAAACTGGTGCAGCCAAGAACAGAGGGTTTCCTCTCCCCTCAGTACCCATTCAGAGGGCTTTCTTCCCAGAGAAACCGGATACCAGCATTTCTCATCTTGCCCCCAGCTACTTGTTTTTGAGGCTAGTTCTGGGGAGTGCAGCTGAGAAGTGGGAGCTCCCTTCTCCCTGCCATCCCTCACCTGTGAAATGGAGGCTCTACCTTGGGCCTTGTACCCCTAAGAATACTGGGACCCTGATTGCTCTTGTCTCAACTTGTAAGACAGGTTCCACACTGAGAGAGGCAAGTCAAGAAGACCTGAAGTTACACCACTGGTCCCACTCCCAACCCCAGAACCCCAGCCCACAAATTTTGTGGGGTGAGAAGTGGAGGGTGTGGGCAACAGGTAAAACAAATAGCTCCTTATCTCTTCCCAAAGAAACCGACTTCACCATCAACAGAAAATGGAGAAGTTCAAGCCTAAGATCCACACTCAAAAACACGTGGAGGTTGTGGTGAAAGGTAATTGGGAGGACATTAACAAATTCAATTAAAATAACAGGCTAAACTGTAGGCTGGCTGCTTTGCGGAAGAGAACTAGGGAAAGAGACAGCTATAAGGAGCCCTCCTGGGGTCATTACAAATATTAAACACTGACAGTGGAAATTATTCCTTCAAAGGACCCCAAATTAGTGGAGCTTAACATCTTGGTATGGTCAAGAAAACGGAAACTAGAGTGCTGCCCAAATTACTCTCATCCCAGGGTGACTGAAGGCATACCCAAAACTGCCTCCCTGAGGAGCAACATCAGAGGCTTAACACTGGGGGGCGATAGTCTTCATTAAAATAATCCAGCTTGGCACTAAACAAATAGCAAATAAGCAGATAGCAGTAACAACCCTGGGGGAGCAGGGAATTGTTAATAGTACTCAGAGTTGCTACAGTATATTATCTGAAATGTGAGTTTTTATAACAAAATATTATGAAATATGCAAAGAAACAGGAATATATGACTCTACTGGACAAAAGCAGGTAACAGAAACTGCTTGTGATTGCAACCAGATATCAGATATACCAGAAAAAGACTTTAGAATAGCCATTGTAAATATATTCAAAGAACTAAAATAAACCATGATTAAAGATTATAATGTTTCCACTTTTATTATTCATTGGAATGCAATTAAACTATCAGAAGGCATTTAGCTAAATCAAGAATTCAGTAATTTTGCAGGCCAAATAATACATCCTTTATGCATGTGATGTACTTCATCTTCATTTTTCATCATGGATAAGAAGGATAATAATCTTGGTTGCATTCCTACAGATCATTATGAACAGCAAAATAAGGAAAAACAGGGCCAACCCACTGACCCATGATCTCCATGAATAAACAGAAAGATACAAAACAGTCTAAGATTTATTAGATCCTAAACTCATTTTTACGTAGTATGTATCTTTTTGGATTTTTTGCAAATAATACACTTTATTAATAGTAGTTAATGAGGCTTCTGTAAACCATCTCCCCATGCTCCTTTCAAGTAGATACTCATTCTTCCTGTTTCCTTGGTAGGCTTGAGGGAAATCAGTGTCATCCTCAGTCCTCCATTGTGCACTCTAAAAACCATCAAATGTGCTGCTTTGAGACCTAGCTTATCTAGCCAGAATACCATTTCCCTTCTTTACGTTCTTTTCTACTGAATTTCTTTAGCCTTATAGTTCTTTAGTTTTCATTTCCAGTGACCTTCATTCTTATTCACTTCCCACGTCCATTACCTGGAATTGCTCCAGTTTTAAAATCTCAAATTGCAGAATCCCATTCTCTGGCAACAAGTTACTGTTGTCCCCACCCTGCCTACTTTCTAATACCCAATGCACCTATTCTCAGATTTAATAAAAGCTTCTAGTCTCAACTATCCCATCATTCCCAAGCTCTCTGTTCCTCTTGGATATTTTTCCTCCCCTGTAGCTACAGGTTTGTCATTTTGTCACTGTTGAATAACTACTTGCAAATATCTTTCCCCTTTGTTGTTCTTGTCGGACTTAGCCTGCTGTCAACTTTGGGAGAAAATCATGTGATTGTGCAGATCGGAGCCACTAATTTTGATAGTCCTCACCTTCACCTAGAGTTTTCCAATCATTTTACACATGAATTAGCTTTCTCCTATTTCCTTCGTCAGCTCTTCTCAACTCTTGCTGCTTTTTTCAGACTTTTTATCACATCCTTTTTTCACATTTATAATATTATTTCACCTATTTTTGACTGAGCAAATTAAGGCCATAAGCTAGGGAGTTCTTCAGATCCCTCCCTTGCTGCCCGAGAACTTGCCTACATGCTTCCTGGCCTTTTAAACTGGAAGTAGTGCTCTTGCCCTGCTAAGGCTGATTCCTCCGCCCCCTTCTCTAGTTCCATCACTTTTTCTCTCCACTGTCTCATTCTTTAAAACTTCCAAATAGTCTCATGTCTTCGCTCTCCTGAAAACTGCGTAGACATTAGAGATGTAAATTTAAGAATCTTCAATATATACGTGCTATTTAAGGCTAAAATACTTGATGAGATCTCAAAAATGAGTTTGGATAGAAAAGATAAGTCAAAGGACTGAGTGGTGAGTTATTCCAACATTTGGAGGTGAAGAGATAAGGAAAACCCAGAGAAGGAGCAGCTAAAAGGTAGGAAGAAAACCAGGAAAGCAGAGTGTTGTGAAATTTAAGTAAAGAAAGCATTTCAAGGAAGGAGTAATCAACTATGAAAAATGCTGTTGAGAAATCAGGTCAGATGAGGACTAAGAATTGACCATTAGATTTGGCAATATGAGGGTTATTGGTGACCTTTATAAGAACAGTTTTGGTGCATTGGTGTAAACATGAAAGCCTGACTAGAGTGGGTTTAGGAAAAAATGGGGGAAAAACAAAAGACTCCAGAGTGGCTTGCCATAAAGAGAAAGAGAGAGATGAAGCAGTAGATGGAGGTGGAAATGCGATCAAGAGGATCTTTTAATATGTGTTGGTAGGTGAGACAGGAAAACTTGGCAGTGCAGGAAGAATGAAAAATTTCTAAAACACAGTCCTTGTGAAGACAAGAGGGAAAAGAGTTTGAGAGCACAGTGGAAGCTTGGATTAGGTAGGAGCACAGAGTTCCTTCATAATACCAGGAGAAAAGGCATGCACACCACATGACATCTAATGGAAGCTGGTCAAGTTGTTTATTACCTTTCTTTCTTTTTTTCTCAGTGAATTGGGAAGCCAGGTTATCAGCTGAGAGTGAAGAGGGGGGGAAGGTATTGAGGTTTACAGAAATAGCCTTATAAAACAGTGAGAGAGTTGATGGATTGAGAAATACAATATGATTGCCAGTAACCTTATTAAAGTCCCCACTTGAAGTTATTAATTCTGAAGTTAAAATAAGTCTATTTATTTTCAAAGGGAATGCTTCCAGTTTTTGTCCATTCAGTATGATATTGGCTGTGGGTTTGTCATAGATAGCTATTATTATTTTGAGATACATCCCATCAATACCTAATTTATTGAGAGTTTTTAGCATGAAGCATTGTTGAATTTTGTCAAAGGCCTTTTCTGCATCTATTGAGATAATCATGTGGTTTTTGTCTTTGGTTCTGTTTATATGCTGGATTACGTTTATTGATTTTCGTATGTTGAACCAGCCTTGCATCCCAGGGATGAAGCCCACTTGATCATGGTGGATAAGCTTTTTGATGTGTTGCTGTATTCGGTTTGCCAGTATTTTATTGAGGATTTTTGCATCAGTGTTCATCAAGGATATTGGTCTAAAATTCTCTTTTTTTGTTGTGTCTCTGCCAGGCTTTGGTATCAGGATGATGCTGGCCTCATAAAATAAGTTAGGGAGGATTCCCTCTTTTTCTATTGATTGGAATAGTTTCAGAAGGAATGGTATCAGCTTCTCCTTGTACCTCTGGTAGAATTCAGCTGTGAATCCATCTGGTCCTGGACTTTTTTTGGTTGGTAAGATATTAATTATTGCCTCAATTTCAGAGCCTGTTATTGGTCTATTCAGAGATTCAACTTCTTCCTGATTTAGTCTTGGGAGAGTATATGTGTCGAGGAATTTATCCATTTCTTCTAGATTTTCTAGTTTATTTGCGTAGAGGTGTTTATAGTATTCTCTGATGGTAGTTTGTATTTCTGTGGGGTCGGTGGTGATATCCCCTTTATCATTTTTTATTGCATCTATTTGATTCTTCTCTCTTCTTTATTAGTCTTGCTAGCGGTCTATCAATTTTCTTGATCTTTTCAAAAAACCAGCTCCTGGATTCATTGATTTTTTTGAAGGATTTTTTGTATCTCTATTTCCTTCAGTTCTGCTCTGATCTCTTGCCTTCCGCTAGCTTTTGAATGTGTTTGCCCTTGCTTCTCTAGTTCTTTTAATTGTGATGTTAGGGTGTCAATTTTAGATCTTTCCTGCTTTCTCTTGTGGGCATTTTGTGCTATAAATTTCCCTCTACACACTGCTTTGAATGTGTCCCAGAGATTCTGGTATGTTGTATCTTTGTTCTCGTTGGTTTCAAAGAACCTCTTTATTTCTGCCTTCATTTCGTTATGTACCCAGTAGTCATTCAGGAGCAGGTTGTTCAGTTTCCATGTAGTTGAGCAGTTTTGAGTGAGTTTCTTAATCCAGAGTTCTAATTTGATTGCACTGTGATCTGAGAGACAGTTTGTTATAATTTCTGTTCTTTTACATTTGCTGAGGAGTGCTTTACTTCCAACTGTGTGGTCAATTTTGGAATAGATGTGGTGTGGTGCTGAAAAGAATGTATATTCTGTTGATTTGGGGTGGAGAGTTCTGTAGATGTCTATTAGGTCCGCTTGGTGCAGAGCTGAGTTCAATTCCCGGATATCCTTATTAACTTTCTGTCTCGTTGATCTGTCTAATGTTGACAGTGGGGTGTTAAAGTCTCCCATTATTATTGTGTGGGAGTCTAAGTCTCTCTGTAGGTCACTAAGGACTTGCTTTATGAATCTGGGTGCTCCTGTATTGGGTGCATATATATTTAGGATAGTTAGTTCTTCTTGTTGAATTGATCCCTTTACCATTATGTAATGGCCTTCTGTGTCTCTTTTGATCTTTGTTGGTTTAAAGTCTGTTTTATCAGAGACTAGGATTGCAACCCCTGCCTTTTTTTGTTTTCCATTTGCTTGATAGATCTTCCTCCATCCCTTTATTTTGAGCCTATGTGTGTCTCTGCATGTGAGACGGGTTTCCTGAATACAGCACACTGATGGGTCTTGACTCTATCCAATTTGTCAGTCTGTGCCTTTTAATTGGAGCATTTAGCCCATTTACATTTAAGGTTAGTATTGTTATGTGTGAATTTGATCCTGTCATTATGATGTTAGCTGGTTATTTTGCTCGTTAGTTGATGCAGTTTCTTCCTAGCCTTGATGGTCTTTACAATTTGGCATGTTTTTGCAGTGGCTGGTACCAGTTGTTCCTTTCCATGTTTAGTGCTTCCTTCAGGAGCTCTTTTAGGGCAGGCCTGGTGGGGATGCCCTCTCTCACCACTCCTATTCAACATAGTGTTGCAAGTTCTGGCCAGGGCAGTCAGGCAGGAGAAGGAAGGAAATAAAGGGCATTCAGTTAGGAAAAGAGGAAGTCAAATTGTCCCTGTTTGCAGATGACATGATTGTATATCTGGAAAACCCCATCGTCTCAGCCCAAAATCTCCTTAAGCTGATAAGCAACTTGAGCAAAGTCTCAGGATACAAAATCAATGTGCAAAAATCACAAGCATTCTTATACACCAGTAACAGACAGAGAGCCAAATCATGAGTGAACTCCCATTCACAATTGCTTCAAAGAGAATAAAATACCTAGGAATCCAACTTACAAGGGATTGTGAAGGAACTCTTCAAGGAGAACTACAAACCACTGCTCAATGAAATAAAAGAGGATGCAAACAAATGGAAGAACATTCCATGCTCATGGGTAGGAAGAATCAATATCATGAAAATGGCCATACTGCCCCAGGTAATTTATAGATTCAACGCCATCCCCATCAAGCTACCAATGACTTTCTTCACAGAATTGGAAAAAACTACTTTAAAGTTCATATGGAACCAAAAAAGAGCCCGCATTGCGAAGTCAATCCTAAGCCAAAAGAACAAAGCTGGAGGCATCACGCTACCTGACTTCAAACTATACTACAAGGCTACAGTAACCAAAACAGCATGGTACTCGTACCAAAACAGAGATATAGATCAATGGAACAGAACAGAGCCTTCAGAAATAATGCCGCCTATCTACAACTATGTGATCTTTGACAAACCTGACAAAAACAAGCAATGGGGAGAAGATTCCCTATTTAATAAATGGTGCTGGGAAAACTGGCTAGCCATATTTAGAAAGCTGAAACTGGATCCCTTCCTTACACCTCATACAAAAATTAATTCAAGATGAATTAAAGATTTACATGTTAGACCTAAAACCATAAAAACCCTAGAAGAAAACCTAGGCAATACCATTCAGGACATAGGCATGGGCAAGGACTTCATGTCTAAAACACCAAAAGCAATGACAACAGAAGCCAAAATTGACAAATGGGATCTAATTAAACTCAAGAGCTTCTGCACAGCAAAAGAAACTACCATCAGAGTGAACAGGCAACCTACAGAATGGGAGAAAATTTTTGCAACCTACTCTCTGACAAAGGGCTAATATCCAGAATCTACAATGAACTCAAACAAATTTACAAGAAAAAAACAACCCCATCAAAAAGTGGGTGAAGGATATGAACAGACACTTCTCAAAAGAAGACATTTATGCAGCCAAAAAACACATGAAAAAATGCTCATCAAAACTGGCCATCAGAGAAATGCAAATGAAAACCACAATGAGATACCATCTCACACCAGTTAGAATGGCGATCATTAAAAAGTCAGGAAACAACAGGTGCTGGAGAGGATGTGGAGAAATAGGAACACTTTTACACTGTTGGTGGGACTGTAAACTAGTTCAACCCTTGTGGAAGTCAGTGTGGCGATTCCTCAGGGATCTAGAACTAGAAATACCATTTGACCCAGCCATCCCATTACTGGGCATATACCCAAAGGATTATAAATCATGCTGCTATAAAGACACATGCACACGTATGTTTACTGCGGCACTATTCGCAATAGCAAAGACTTGGAACCAAGCCAAATGTCCAACAAAGACTGGATTAAGAAAATGTGGCACATATACACCATGGAATACTATGCAGCCATAAAAAATGATGAGTTCATGTCCTTTGTAGGGACATGGATGAAGCTGGAAACCATCATTCTCAGCAAACTATCGCAAGGACTAAAAACCAAACACTGCATGTTCTCACTCATAGGTGGGAATTGAACAGTGAGAACACGTGGACACAGGAAGGGGAACATCACACACCTGGGCCTGTTGTGGGGTGGGGGGAGGGGGGAGGGATAGCATTAGGAGATATACCTAATGCTAAATGACGAGTTAATGGGTGCAGTGCACCAACATGGCACATGTATACATATGTAACTAACCTGCACATTGTGCACATGTACCCTAAAACTTAAAGTATAAAAATAATTTAAAAATAAAATAATTTTAAAAAGAAGTCTGTGTGCTTGCTTTGGCAGCACGTATACTAAAATTGGAAAAATACAGAGAAGATTAGCATGGCCCCTATGCAAGGATGACACGTAAATTCGTGAAGCATTCCATTTATTTTTTTAAATGTATAAAAAATATATAAGTCTGTTTAGCATGATTGTGGTTCTTTTTCTCCACTGTGTTCAGCTGCAAAAGTGCTGGTATGGAATAGGCAGAGAGTTGGATCTAGGCAGTGTTGGAATTAGCCAAGAGCATATGACAAAGTGAAAGAGAAGCAAGGGAGTCAGTGTGTACACAAGGGAACAGTTCTGGTGGTTGACCATGGAAGCTGAGCCAGGTGGCATGTTAGGACATGAGCAGGTGAGAAATAGTGAAAATGTCGTAGATTCAAAAGATTGTAGGGCCCGTTGAGATCAAAGGATAGTTGGAGTCCACACACATAAGTGAATAACAAAAGAATGGGCATTATTGTATAGTTGATAGTACAGGTCCTGGAATAGGACAGAAAGTGAGTTTGAATACTGACTCCACCACTTAGTAGTATTGTGTCTGTGGGCAAAGTTATATAAGCTATTAGTCTAGGTTTCCTCATCAGTAAAACGGGAGTGCTAATAGTACCTACGTCAAAGCGTTGTTGTAAAGATTCAATAATACAAGTAAAGAGCAGAGTACCTGGCACATAGGAGGCTCTGAAACTGTCACTCTTACTAAGGAAAATGCAAAAATATTGGCAGTTATTATAATTGAATTCTTCAACTATGGGTGATTTTAGATTTTTAAATATTTTCTATATCTAGCTTTTAAACGTTTTATAATGAGCGTTATTCCCATAATTGGTAGACCCCTGCAAAAGTTTTTGTTTATTTTGCTTTGTTTTGTTTAAGAGATAGCGTCTTACTCTGTGGTCCAAGCTGGGGTGCAGTGGTGCGATCATAGCTCCCTGCAGCCTCAACCTCCTGGGTTCCAGCAATCCCCCTATCTCAGTCTCCGAAGTAGCTGGGACTACAGGCACATGCCGCTGTACTCAGCTAATTTTTTAATTTTTTGTAGAGAGAGAGGTTTTGCTTGGTTGCCCAGGCTGGTCTTGAACTCCTGGCTTCAAGTGATCCTCCCGTCTTGGCCTCCAAAAGCACTGGATTATAGGTGTGAGCCACCATACCTGGCAGTAAGTATTTTTAAGTGTAGCTCAGCATAAGTTGAAACTGCAAACCAAAAGTTAATAAATTTGTGTAGCTTTGGAAAACCAAAATGTCTGGAATGAGATGATAGAGTGGATTTTGCCTTAAGTCTTTATTAAGTTAAAGCAAGCAGATATTTGTGGCTCCTGTGTGTGCAGCTAGACCTTACAATCATTGTTGGTAGTAATATTTAAGGGAAAACTAAAACAGTGCTAGCCCTACCCTTTAAAAGTATCTATTCTACCACCTGTTAGACCATGATTTTAGCTTAAGTTCCCTGAAGGTTTTTTTCATACATCCACGAGCCTGAGGTCACAGCTTAAACCTCTGTTAACTTCTTAATAATTAGCCAACTGTAAGCAAAAATGGGTCACAGAACAGATGCCACTATTAAAGTCCCACTTGAGGTTATTAATTATTATAAAGTTAAAGTAAGTCTGTTCAGCATACTTGTGGTTATATTTCTCCACCATGTTCAGTTGCACAGTTGCTGAACTGGGAAGAGAGAAATAAGGCGTTTAGAGAGACACCACAGGAATTTTGCCCTATGCTGGTTTTGACTATTCCTTATACCAGTATATGATATGCCCTTATTTAAACTTACAACATGAGATTTTTTTGCAAATAAATATGTAAATAATAAACAAATGAACAGCCAACCCAGACAGCCAAATTCAGATTAACCAGTTGATTACTCTGAAAGGGTTGTAATTAGGGTGACCACAGAATTTATTATGGTGCACGTGCCAGAGTTGCTCATGTGACCCCATATCTTTGCGAATTTATCTTGGACTTTGAAATTCCACAAATGAATCTTAAATTTGAAAATTAATTGCAGTTGAACTGTGTAGTTCTTGTCTTTGCCACCATATACTGTAGCTTAATCTGATTTGGGGCTCATCTTCCTGCTCTGTAAAACTGAGTATCAATTATCTAATGTGATAATAGAATTTCACAAACTTGCCTGACAGTAAATTTGCTTGGGGCCCTTGTTTAAAAACTCTCAAGCTTGTCAGCTGGGCACGCTAGCTCACGCCTGTAATCCCAGCACGTTGGGAGGCCAAGGCGGGCGGATCACGAGGTCAGGAGATCAAGACCATCCTGGCTAACACGGTGAAACCCCGTCTCTACTAAAAATGCAAAAAAAAAATGAGCCAGGTGTGGTGGCGGGCGCCTGTAGTCCCAGCTACTTGGGAGGCTGAGGCAGGAGAATGGTGTAACCCAGGAGGCAGAGCTTGCGGTGAACCAAGATTGTGCCACTGCACTCCAGCCTGGGTGACAGAAGGAGACTCCGTCCCAAAAAAAAAAAAAAAAAAAAAAACTCTCAAACTTGTCTTCTCTCCTCCCCCACCCTGGGAAGTTTTTATTCAGAAGGTCTGAGATACGGCGATAGAATCCTTGTATAACCCTCCCACCTTCTATCTACCTCCCTCTCTTAGATTCCTGTATGCTTAGCAAGCACCCTCCGGGTGATTGTTTTGATCAAACAAGTTTGAGAAATATTTATAACCTATGTGAAGGTGTCTTGGGATGCCAGGTGTCAATTGTGGTAAAGGGTGGCTTATTGGAGTCAAACAGGACCTGGAGACAGTCCTCTTTCCACAGCTTCACTAGCCCCGTTGTAACCTTGGGTAAACTACCTGACCTGGCCTGTTTCCAGATCTATAAAATAATAGTGTCTACCATATAGTGTTGTTGGGATGATTAAATTAGAGAATGTGAGAAGACCTGTAGCTGCTATAGGTTAAAATTAATATTCTCAATTAAAGGTCTAAAATTTTAAAAGATTAAAGCCTTCTATCCACAAAATCTGTGTTAAGATCTTAACCACACTCATCAGGTAAACATTAGCAGCTACATATTTTAGATTAAGAAATAACACTTTTTTGTAATAAAACCTATGTTCATATTAGAAACTAAGACATTACAAAGTATAGAGCAGAAAATAAAGTCAACCAGATTGTCACCACCATTCAGAAACAACCAACATTAACACATTTCTTTTTACAAAGTTGAGACCATGCATTATGTGCTGTTTTTATACCCTAACTTTTTCTGTATAATGGATCATGAGTTATTTTCCTTGTCAACAAATATTTTTTCTAAAATACTGTTTTTGTGACTGCACAATATTTTATTAATATGCCATAATTTATTTAATTGGTTCCCTAATGGTAGAACATTTGTCTATTTTTTCACTGTTATAAATAATGCTATAGTGAATATACTTTTTCTTGTATCTTTGACTCTTCTTCCTTGATGATCTTATCCACATCAGTGATTGACTTGTTCCCTGAACACTGATTTTCATACCTATATCTCCAGATCAGACCTCTCACCTGACCACGAGACCCATAATATTCCTTGTTTCTTGAACATCTCTAAGAAGTACCAGAGGCATCTCAGGTAAACAACTCTATATGCACTGCAGATGCTCTACCCCCACCCCCACCCCCAAGTACACATGGACACCTGTGCCTACCCCATCCACAGTTCCTCTGTTAACCGCATCAGGGTCTGTCTTACTTGACATCATATTCCCAACCTAGCACAGTGCCTGGCACAGATGTTAGTCAAATAGACTCGTAAATACATCAATCAGTACAAACTCTTACATAATGAAATAATGAGTTATAATCCATACATTTCTTTACATTTTTATTTGATTTACCCTATGTTAACAGGTACTGTGTTAGGCCTTGGGGATATAATGGTGAATAAAACATACTATTATTACATTAATAGAATTCATGATATAGTGTAAGAGTTTCAGTAATAGACTAAAGTCTGATAACATTTCAGCAGAGAGATCTATGAGGGCTGGAATAATCAGAGATTTCACAGAGGATATGTGAAGAATGGATAGAATTTCCCTAGGTAAAGCAGGAAAAGGGAGAATATGCCATATGAGGAGATAAATCATTAAGATGCTGTAGCATTTGCATTTTCAAAATTGAAAAGACAGTTTCTGGTCCCACATGCTCATCCAGAACCTTATCACTCCCCATCAAAAGTGGAGCCTTTGTCCCTCCCCTTGAACCTTTGTGGCTGCCTCAACTCATAGAGCATGTGCAGTAGAGACTTCTGAGACTAGGCAATAAAAGGCAGTAAGTACATAAAGCCAGTTGCTAATATTCTTAATGATGAAAGATTGAATGCTTTGCCCCTAAGATCAGGAACTAGGCAAGGCTGTCCATTTTCACTGCTTGTCTTCAACATTGTACTGGATGGAAGGTCTAGCCAATGCAAAAAGGGAAGAAAAAGAAATGAGACCTACACATTTAAAAGAGAGAAATAAAGCTGTCTTTGTTTATGTACAGGATGATGACCTATGTAGAACATGCCAAAGAATCAATATTAAAGCTATTAGAACTAATAGTAAGTTTATCAGGGTCACAGGATTGAGCAGCACTATATAAAAATCAGTTGTATTTTTTTAAATTAGCAATCTCAGATGTATCATGCTGAGTTTCTGCAAGCCTCTAGCTATCCTTAACACCTTCCCCTACACACTCTATCAAATTACCCAACCACCTAGCTACAGAGAAAATGGAAATCATTAGATAGGAGCCACCTCAGCCTCCTCTGCTAAAACTACTAGCCTTGGCACTTAGCTTCTCCTGCCTTCTCATCACAATAGAGGAGACTGGCAGGACCTGCCATCTGGTCCTAGAACATTGCAACACATACCCATCTCAGAACTTACACATAGCATGTGTGTAATACTTTTAACCTCACTTTTCTAAGCTAATTCGTACACTTAAGATCTTAGCTTAAGCAGCTCATATTTGGAGAAGCTTTCCCTTACCTCTCCCTCCCCCATGTTATATAATCTCTTAGCTGCTGTATTTCTCCTTCAGATCATGTTTAAACTAATTAAATAATTTGTTGTGTATAATGCTCTTATTATTTCACAATGCTTGAGGTTGCAAAAAAAAAAAAAAAAAGTCTTTTTATCCCTTCCAAAACAAATGTATTTGAAGACCATACTTTGGAAATTGGCAAGGAAGCCAGTTTTAGGCATTTTAGGGAATAACCATTTGTTTCCCTTTAGAAAAAATACAACCAGAGACTACCTTTGCATCCACTATTTAAATATTCCAGCAAACATAAACAAGCCATATACTTTGTTGAAGGAAAATAGCACCACTGAATTTGTCCTCTTTTTTTCTTCAGTTACCACTTAAAATGTTTTATTTATTGATTTTTTTTAACTGACCCATAATAATTGTACATACTTATGGGGTACATAGTGATGTTGCAATACATGTAGTATGTAGTGATCATATCAGGGTAATTAGTATGTGCATCTCAAACATTTATCATTTCTTTGTGTTGAGAACATTCAGTTTCCTCCTTCTAGATCTTTGAAACTAGGTGATGTATTATTGCTAATTGTAGTTATCTTACAGTGGTATATAGAACACTAGAACTTTGCCCTCCAGTCTTGCGGTAATTTTGTATCCTTTAACAAATCTCTTCCTATCCCTCTCTTCCTCCCACCCTTCCCAGCCTCTAGTATACTCTGTCCTACTTTCTACTTCTATGATATCAACCCTTTTTTTTTTTTAGATGGAGTTTTCGCTCTTGCTGGAGTGCAGTGGTGTGGTCTCGGCTCACAGCAACCTCTGCCTTCCAGGCTCAAGTGATTCTCCTGCCTCAGCCTCCAGAGTAGCTGGGATTACAGGCGCCCGCCACCACACCCATCAATTTTTGTATTTTTTAGTAGAGATGGAGTTTCACCACGCTGGTCAGGCTGGTCTCGAACTCCTAACCTCAGGTGATCTGTCCGCCTCGGCCTCCCAAAGTGCTGGGATTACAGGCGTGAGCCACTGCACCCGGCTGAGATAAACTTTTTTTAGCTTCCACATATCAGTGAGAATATTGGGTGTTTAACTTTTGGTTCTTGGCTTGATTTCACTTAGCATAATGTCCTCCAGTTCCATCCATGTTGCTGTTAATGACTGGATTTCATTTTTTTAATGGCTGAATAGCATTCCATTGTATGCATATACCACATTTTCATTATCTGTTCTTCATCTGTTGTTGGACACTTAGGTTGATTCCATGTCTTGGCTGTTGTGAATAGTGCTGCAGTAAACATGCTGGGGAGATGCAGATGCCTCTTTGATGTATTGATTGTTTTTTCCTTTGGATGAATGCCCTGTAGTGGGGTTGCTGGATCATATGGTAATTCTATTTTTAGTTTTGTGAGGAACTTCATACTGTTGTCCATAGTAGTATATGTTCTAGTTTACATTCTCACCAACAGTGTATAAGAGTTCCTTTCCTGGCCGGTGCAGTGGCTCACAAGTGTAATCCTAGCACTTTGGGAGGCTGAGGTGGGAGGATTGCTTGAGTTCAGGAATTTGAAACCACCCTGGACAACATAGCAAGACCTCATCTCTACTAAAAATCAAAAAATTAGCCAGGCCTGGTGGTGCATATCCATAGTCCCAGCTAGTTGGGAAGTTGAGCAAGAGGATTACTTGAGCCCAGGAAGTTGAGGACTCAGTGAGCTATGACCATGCCACTGCACTCTAGCCTGGGCAACAGAGCAAGACCCTGTCTCAAAAAAGAATTCCTTTTCTCTGCATCCTTGCAAGAGTTTATTTTTTGTCTTTTTGCTAATAGCCATCATAACTGGGATGAGACGATACCTCATTATAGTTTTGATTTGCATTTCCCTGATGATCAGTGGTATTGAGTTTTTTTTTTTTTTTTTTCATGTGTTTATTGGTCATTTTGTATGTGTTCTTTTTTGAAGTGTCTATTCAGGCTCTTTGCCCATTTTTAATTGAATTTTTATTTTTTGCTGTTGATATTTTCTCCCATTCTGTAGGTTGTCTTTTTACCCTTGTTTGTTCCCTTTGCTGTACAGAAGCGTTTTACATCATCTCACTAATTTATTTTTTAAGTTTGGTATCATCTCACTAATTTATTTTTTGCTTTTGTTGTCTGTGCTTTTGAGGTCTTATTCATAAAATCATTTCCCAAACCAATGTCCTGAAGTATTTCACCTGTTTTCTTAAAGTGGTTTTGTAGTTTGAGGTCTTACATTTAGGTCTTTGATCCATTTTGAGTTGATTTTTATATAAGGTGAGGGGGTTAGATCTGGTTTCATTCTTCTGCATGTGGACATCTAGTTTTCCCAGCACCATTTATTGAAGAGAGTGTTCTCTCCTCAACTTAGGTTCTTGGTACTTCTAACTAAAATCAATTGGCTGTAGATACATGGATGTATTTCTAGGTTCTCTGTTCTGTTGGTCTGTGTTTCTGTTTTTATGCCATACCATGCTGTTTTTTGGTTACTACAGCTTTGTAGTATATTTGGAAGTGTGGTAGTTTGATGCCTCCAGCTTTGTTCCTTTTGCTGAGGATTGTTGTGGCTGTTTAGGGTCTTTTGTGGTTCCATAGAAGTTTTAGGATTTTTTTTCTACTTGCATGAAGAGTGTCATTGTTATTTTGATAAGGATTACATTGGATCTATAGATCACTTTGGATAGTGTGGTCCTTTTAACAATATTAATTCTTCTGATCCACGAGCCGGGGATGTTTTTCCATTCGTCTGTATCCTCCTCGGTTTCTTTCGTCAGTGTTTTGTAGTTATTTTTGTGAAGGTTTTCACCTCCTCAGTTAAATTTATTCCCATTTGTTTTGTGTGTATGTGTTTTTGTACCTATTGCAAATGGATTGCTTCTTGATTTCTTAGTTCATTGCTTGCATATAGAAAATGCTACTGATTTTTCTATGTTGATTTTATATCTGCAACTTTACTGAATTCATTTATTCTAAGAGTTTTTTGGTAGAGACTTTAGGTTTTTCTATGTATAAGATCATGTTGTCTGCAAATAGGAACAGTTTGACTTCTTCCTTTCCAATTTGGATGCCCTTTATTTTTCTTTCTCTTGCCTAATTGCTCTGACTAGGACTTCCAGTTCTATGTTGAATAAAAGGGGTGAGCATCCTTGTCTCATTTCAGTTCTTAGAAGAAAAGCTGAGAGCTTGTAGTATGATGTTAGCTGTAGCATTTACCACTTTTATTAGTGATATGAAGAAGGTTAGTTTTGCTAATGCATCATTTTCTGCCTTGGTTTCCATAATAGCTGTGACTGAATAAAAGCATGTATTAGAGTATAATCAGCTCTGTCTTAGGCTGATTCTAATATTGATGCCAAGTTGTCACATATATTTATGAAAAAGTTATGAAATAAAGAAAATGTGTCTATTGTCTAATTTTTATGTATTAGACTAGTAACCTCTACAAAATGAAATTAAGTTATGTAGTGCTGGTGTTGTTTTTGTAATTATGATTATCAAATAACTTTATTTTGGCCAGGGGCAGATTTATTGGATCTATAAGAACACTTAATGTGTATCAATGCAGCTTTACTATTTTAAGTATTAAAAGGCTCACTTACCTATAACAGGATATGCTGTATCTGGATTTTACTTCATAAATCCTCTGTAAATAGTGAAAACCACATGGTGGAATCTCTAATATGGGTGGAATCCTTTTAAAACATTTTACTTCCTGAACCAAAATTCCTAGTGCTTCAAGATCTATGCCGCCTCCTACAAAAACAAAAACCCCTAATGTGTTTTTCTTGTTTTCATATTCATACAATGAAACATTACAACCTCAATTCTAGATCTTTTTTCCTGTTTTTTGCCCCATTCTGTTATTTTCATACATAAGTGTGTGAATACATATCAAATAGCTGTGAAAATAATGAGACTGAATTTTTTATTTGTGTGAATGTGGAAATAGCCAAAGAAAGAGAGACAGGAGTGTCCCCCTACCCTACATTGAAAAAAACAAACTCAAACAAAAACAGAAGGAAAAATTAGATTATTTGCCAGATGGGTTTTATCCTTAAATAGAAAAATATTGTCCAGAAATACTTAGGTGTATTTAATATGCTCTTGCCTTGTTACTGCTGTAGGGAGAAAAAAGGTCATGGCTCCTGCTGTGCAGGTCAGACCATGGACCTCTTATTTTGCTGCTCAGCCATGAACAAGTAGTATAGAGTAAGCATCCTGGGTGAGACAACTGTCTACCAAGAAAACCCTGCCAGAGTGTTCTGGATTAGAAACACCACAACCTCTCATAATACTCAGGGAGAGGTGCATTAACTGAAGAGAAAGAGGAAGCAGGAGAGAACGGGTGTTCATTCCTAGTATCTTTGCCTTGTCTTTTTTTTTTAATCTAAAAATGAATTTTATGTAAGAGACTAGCTTCTAAACTTTTAATCAAAAAGTTAATTTCTTCATTATTTTCTAATTATTTATTCCATTTGAATTAAAAAAATTTAAAAAGATGTTTTTACAACTTAAACTGCATTAAGTATCTGGTTTTCTCCTTTTTGATGATCAAATTTTTATATACATGTCAAATAGAACTTGTAATCTACATTAAATAATGAAAAGCAGCAAAACTGCCTCTATAATCGTACCATGCATAATTATTCAGTTTTGTTAAGTGTTGAAAGTAGGCCGCAGGCTCTTTTTACTACTGTCATGGAATTCAAAGAGTCTAACACCTGTTTTTGAAAAATCTATATGAGATATGAAAATAAATCCTTCAAGGCCCATATTGTTACCTAATTCCTCTTGCCAATTTGTTTTACATGTAAAGTGGGGATATAATAATTTATCCAAAAGACAGGGACCTGGATAAGAAGACATTGTGAAATCTTTTCTGATTTGTTTATTCAGTTACTCATTCAACAAATATTTAAATGTTTAGCACTGACCTACATAAAAGTAAGACAGGTATGAAATCTGCCTCCATAGATTTTATAATTTACTTTTTACCTGTAATTCTGGTGTTATATTATTCAATCAATTCATGACTTTATTGTGGTATTTCATTCACATAGTATTGAATTTTATTGGCTTACCTGTTTGGCAGCCAGACTTCTAGCTGGAGGGAAGCAAACATTACCTTCTTTACTCACTCAGTTTCAAGTAGAAGGATTTTTTTTTTTAACAGATTTTTGAAAGACCAAAAAGGAATCTAGCCTTCAAACAGATAACACCCCTTAGAAATAATCTGATTTCTAAGAAACTCTTAGACACCATCCATTTTGCTACCTTAAATTCTTGATCCTCTTCTGCCTTCAAAATGTCAATCATTGCTTTCTAGACTACTTTAAGTTGGATGTAAGGATTAATCCGCTTTTTAAAAACAGATAAGACTAATTTTAGTTGTCTAAAAATAAAAGGGTACATGGTAATGACTATTTGTGGCGTAACTTTAGGACAAGCATAGAAATAATGATCAGTTTCTTTTTTAAGTTAATTGACTATGTAAAGATAAGTAAATACATGTATTACACAGTTTTTTGGAGTTCATTATCAGCATTATATGACTACGTATTATATACACATTCACTCACTTAGATTTGTCCAATAAATGGTAATTTTTATCTATTTGATTATCTGATACTATAACAACACCTAACAGTAGAATCTGGGGCTCTTTGTCTTTGGCTGGCACATAATAGTTTCTCCAGTGAGTAAAAATTATCCCAAAATAACAACACCTAAGCTTACAAACATAGTCATAGATGTTTCTAAAAAGTATGTAGTCATATTCACAAGTAATGTTTTGACTAATAATGTAAAAATAAAATCCTGACAGTTTACTAATACCAAATAATAGAATTTGCCCTTGTAGATTTATCGTCCAAATTAAACAACCCAAACTACAGAAAAGCCACATCTAAAAGCACTCTTTTTTAATGTGCCACCTGAATTTCTACAGACTGCGTAATTGTGCTGAAGGAACTTCATAGACAAGATAATTTTGAGAGCAATAAGTAAAGTTAGTGCTGTATATTGCTTATGTAAGAAACAAAATAAAACATTTTTCAGTTTTGTTCTGGATGTTTAAAATGATTTGAGGCTATCATCAGAGTAAGTCCTAAAAAAAAGAAACAATGTAATAGCTTTAGAATTATGGTGGATATTAGGAAAATGATGTAGGCAGTAAAGAGGGTGGCTGAAAACCTGAAAGAATTTTAAATCTCTGTTATCCAGTAGGAAATTATTAAAAATAACTACTTTAGAATGGATGGTTATGTTGGCTAGACTTTTACATTTGACTGGAGAGTTATAAGCCTAAGAGGACTTTCCAGAGTTCAAAAAAAGGAAGCTTTATAAATCATGAGTGTTTTTTTCTAAATCAATGAAAGTAAAAAGAGAGTGATTTTAATAATCATGTGAAGAAATTATGTTTGACAAGAATTAATAATATGATTCATACAACTAGGATAAATCATAGATGGTTATATACAATTTCATATGTATGAAATAGGGTGAGTGAAATTGAAAATGGATCTTGTGAAAAACTGTAGTGTCTTTGTGTTTAGTCTTAGAATTCTCTGACTCATGATTATGGCTTAAGGATATTAGCTAAAATTACAAGCCTTTGCTTTTTAAATAAATATTTAGTTGTTTGTTTTGTCTTTTAAATAATTTTCTTTCTTAGTGCAAGTTGAGTTTTACCAAAGAATATGGATACTAAATAATGTTTCTTATTTGTTGTAGGTAAAACTTCAGTCAAGAAGCTGACAAAAAAGGTAAGCATCATGTTGTGGGGGGCAGGGTTTGTTTTTGGTAAGATAGAAAATGAACTTTTGGCCGGGCACGGTGGCTCACACCTGTAATCCCAGCACTTTGGGAGGCCAAGGTGGGCGGATCACGAGGTCAGGAGATCACCATCCTGGCTAACACAGTGAAGCCCTGTGTCTACTAAAAATACAAAAAGAAATTAGCCGGCTATGGAGGTGGGCGTCTGTAGTCCCAGCTACAAAGAAAATGAACTTTTAGAAGTTTAATTTTAATATGTGTATTCAAAGGACATCGAGGATACACTGTCAGGGATCCAAACAGCTGGCTGTGGATCAACTTTTTTCAGAGACCTTGGCGATAAAGGTAATTTTGGTTTGTTGTTAAATTTCTAGTTATGTGTTTTATTTAACTGAAGTATTATTAAGGAATTAAGGTATGAGATTTGTACCATGTTATTTAATAGGTGTTTTTAAAACATGAAGTAAGGAGGTAACTTTTTCAAAGTCTTTGAGCAATTACAGATAAATTATTAAAACATCAATGTTTTAATGGATGAGGGTATGAGGCAGAGTATCTAAAATAAAAGATGAGAAGCCTTCAAGGGCATCCAGAGGAGCCACACCACTTAGGGGAGTGGACGGAAAGAGGTCATGGCAGAGTAATCAGAGAGGTAGAGGAATGCCAGGAGAGTGTTATCACAGAAGCCAAGCAGAGAAAGTGTTAAAGAAAAAGGGAACTTATCAAATGTCAAAACCAAGTAAATGTAGGGAGTTGAGTGAGCTAAGGACTGAGAAGTATCCTCTATATTTAGCAGCTGGAAGTGTTTGACATTTTAACAAGTACAGTGGTGCCTTGTTATCTATGGGGTATTGATTCCAGGACCCCCCTTGGATACCAAAATCCAAGAATGCTCAAGATCCTGATATAAAATGGCATCATATTTGCGTATAACCTACAAACATCCTCCCATTTAGTTCAAATCATCTCTAGATTACTTATAATACCTAATACAATGTAAATGCTATGTATATAGTTGTTATATTCTGTAACTCTATTTATTTGTATTGGTGTGGGTTGTTTGGGGTTTTTTTTTTTTTTTTTTGAGACAGGGTCTTGCTCTGTTGCTGGGTTGGAGTGCAGTGGCGCAGTCATAGCTCCCGGCAGCGTCAAACTCTGGGACTCAAGCAGTCCTCCTGCTGCAGCCTGCTGGGACTACAGGTGTGCACCACCATACATGGCTAATTTTTTTTAATTTTAGTATAGACGGGAGTCTCACTACATTGCTCAGGCTGGACTCAAACTCCTGGGCTCAAGCAGTCCTCCTGACTTGGCCATTGAAAGTAATGGGATTACAGGCATGAGCCACCACACCAGACCTTTTTTTTTTAATATTTTTGATACACGGTTGGTTGAATGCATGGATGCGGAGGGCCAACTGTACAGATCAGTGATAGGATGAGATCTAAAGCCAAGTTGCAGAGCACTGAGACGTGAGGGCGGATATGAGAAAAGTAAACGCAGACCTCTTGAGAGACATGGTCATGAACAGAGGAGTTAGAGGGTAGTAGCTAAGGGTAGAGAAAAAAGGCCAAGAGAATATTGGTTTATTTTAGGTGGTGAGCATGTTTCTTGTTGATGAGAAGGAGAGGTGGACAATACAAAGGAAGTATGAATAGGACAAAATCCTGGAAAATAGGAAAGAAGGGATTGTCTTCAGAACAGGAGTGGAAGGATCAGCATTCCACAGGGAGGATGTCTTTCCCACTGTATCAGGAGAAAAGGGTGAACAAATGAGCATTTTATGCAGATATTTGCAAATTACTGGCAAGCAAATGAGGGAGGTGTTTTGGAGTAGCCTTGATTTTCTTTATAAAATAGGATTTAGGGTGAGGTGCGGTGGCTCACGCCTGTAATCCCAGCACTTTGGGAGGCCATTGAGGCCGAGGCAGCCCGATCACCTGAGGTACAGAGTTTGAGACCAGCCTGGCCAACATGGGGAAACCCTGTCTCTACTAAAAACACAAAAAATTAGCCAGGCATGGTGGCGGGTGCCTGTAATCCCAGCTACTCAGGAGGCTGAGGCAGTAGAATCGCTTGAACCTGGGAGGCAGAGGTTGCAGTGAGCCGAGATCATGCCATTACACTCCAGCCTGGGCAACAAGAGTGAAACTCTGTCTCAAAAAAAAAAAAAAAAAGAAAGAAAGAAAATGTTGGATATAGTAGGTCTGAGCTTTATGGAGAAAGAAGGTTTGAAGTAGCTTCTGGGATATGGAAAAAGAACTGATGAGAGAAACAGACTTCTGGGAATCCTTCAAGGACTAGAAGAGAACATAGATTATGAAAGAATGAGTCATTGATCAGTGTAGTTGTAGATTAGAATAGTTGGACAGTTAGGATTTGCTAGGCAGAAGAATGGAGGAAGTCACGGCCTAGGGAGTTAACAGTGTTAGGAGCAAGAGAGGTTTTAACTAATGAGCCATGGAGTTTAAGCAGAGACAATAGAGAATAAAGTAAAATAGGAAGAAAAATTTAAAAAGAAAGTAGGAAAGTCAAGAGGGAAAAAAATCCCCTTTTCATGATAAACTCCAGGAATAGAAAAAAGCCTAGAGAGAAAGCTGCCAGTGAGGTTGAAAACAGATGTAGTGGATGTCCAAGAGCAGAAAACAACCATGGTCATAGAGTAGGTGTCTGAATTTACAGTTTCTAAGCTGAAGCACTTGCAGGTGATTTCAGGGTTCAGGGAGTGACCGTAGAAATAGACAGCTAAAATAGAAGTTGGCATAGTTAATTTAGTGAACCTTATCAAGGATCTGAGAGATGGACCACTCTTATTTTATAAGTGTAGAAAAAGTGTTCACCTGAGATTGGTGATAAATTAATTATTGTTTCCTGTTGTCTAAAGAAGGAATTGGAGAATTAAGAAACAAATGTAATTTCTAAATCAGTGGTTTATAACCTTTCATTGAATGCAGCAGAGCTTTTACAGTTATCTCAAGAGATTTACAACATTCTCAAATCAACATTAATTTTATGGCTGAGTGCATTAGCTCACGCTTGTAATCCCAGCACTTTGGGAGGCTGAAGCAAGAGGATAGCTTGAGCCCAGGAGTTCAAGACCAGTCTGGGCAGTATAGCAAGTCTCTATCTCTACAAATAATGTAAAAGAAAAATTAGCCAGGCGTGGTGATGCACACCTGTAGTCCCAGCTACTTGGGAGGGTGAGGTGACAGGATCGCTTGAGCTCGAGAGGTTGAGGTTGCAATTGCAGTGAGCTGTGTGTGGTCACCTGGGCAACAGAGCAAGACCGTGTCTCAAAAAAAAAAAAATTTAGTTTTAAATTGAGAATAAGTTTATCATATAACACTCCATGGAGAAGAAAAATATGACAAAGGTATAATAACTCCATAAAATCAATATTAATCAGTTATTGTTTATTGATAAATATCTATTTCTGTACATTCTGTATCAATATTTAGTGGACTTTCATTATATTCTGTGAGTATTAGTTCCTTATACTAAACTGTCTACTTATCTTTATACCCACTTCACCCCACCCTTTACCAATTCCTTCCAGTCATAGCACCAGAACATCCCTATAGACTTTGAGGTTAACAAGCTCCTAAATTTTTTATAGTGGGAATTTACTGGAATGTAGTATATGGTTAGTGAACAAAAGTGTGTGTTTTGAAGTTGACAGACTTAAATTCAAATTTTTCCTAGTTTTATGACCCGGGGAAATTACTTAATCTCTTTCATCCTCACTTTCATCACCTTTTAAAATAAGATAGTAATGCCTTCCTTATGGGATTGTTGAAAGAATTTAATAAAATAAGATATTTTAAACATTTATAGTATCTGGTATGTAGCCTTAAAAAATATTAAGAACATGGGTTTTAAGCCTGGTTTAGATTCCTAGCTCTATTAGCTGTGTAACCTTGGGCAAGTTGGTTTTAGTTTTCTTGCTGTGTGTCTGGTACATTTTAAGTTTATAATTGGTAATATTGCTATATTTTTTTGTAAGATTTAATATTAACTGAGCCTTAGCCTCTTAATGAGTTTGTAAATAAATGGTATTTTTAAAATCATAGTTAATAAATATTTTGTAAGGTTTTACTTTAGGAAATTACTAATTTGGCATTTTAAAGTAGATTTTAAGCAAGATGTTTAAATTTCAAGTACCAATATTTAGATCAGAGCTATGGCTTTGAGGTACCTTTCCATAATATAGACTTTTCTGGAAGCATTTTGAGACTCTTAAGAAAGATATTTACCAGTTGTGAAAACTCAGATAATCTCTGTGGATATAAACTGAGTTATCTTATGATTATTTGATGTTTTTTTCCTGAAGTAAGGAAGGCTGGGGAGGGTTCTATAATAATTTTGATCTAAAGGCAGAATATGAGAGCCAGAGTAGATTAATTCAGCTTTTGTGTAAAACTCTACATAAATATAATGTGATTTTAGAAATTCTATTAAAAAGTGTTTTCAAGAAAAATGAGTAAAATAAAAACTGAAGAGAGAAAATTTAAATCATCTTAAGGAAAAAAAAATTGAGAGATAAGAGATTAATCTTCAAAAACTGAAAAGACAACCCCATTTCAAAACCTTAGAAGCATACCGTGCTTCTGAAAAGAAGTACCTGTACAGCTTCATTGCTGCATTCACAGTCCAGACTCCTGGTAGTGCCTCAAGTGCTGCCTATGACCTTTATATGGAATTACCATACTCCTGCTCCCTGCTAAACAGCTTCCACTTCTCAGCTACCCTACTCTATGAAGTCATCTGTGAAACCAATAAACAGTCTTATGCTTTCTCATTTTTTGTATTTTGTTACACTGTACTCTCTGATTTCTAATCTTTCTTAATTAAGCCATAATCTCAAAGTGGAAAAATATATGTGGTTATTTTTATATCCCCAGTTGCTTGGTATGTTGCCTAAAAACATTCTCTGACACATAATAGATGCTCATCTAAAATTAACTACATGCTAATTACAAATTATCCTGATCTATTTCAGTGAATCCCTTGAGTATTTTTGCTATGCACTTTTAGCCTTTCTGTGTATTGAAAGTATGAAGACTACGTGTTTTTTTAAATATTTCCCAGTTAAAACTTTCAATAATTTATGTTGGTCTTCTTCCCAGTTAGTATTAATTGGGGCCAGGCATAGTGGCTGATGCCTGTAACCCCAGCACTTTGGGAGGCCAAGGCAGAAGGATCACTTGAGCCCAGGAGTTCAAGACCAACCTAGGCAACATAGGGAGACCCCCATCTCCACAAAAAATAAAAAAATTAGCTGCACATGGTGGCTCACGCCTGTAATACCCTCTATTTGGGAGGCTGAGGTGGGAGAGAATCACTTGATCCTAAGAAGCTGGCTTCAGTGAGCCACGATTGTACCGCTATACTCCAGCCTGGGCAATAGAGTGAGACCTTGTCTTAAAAAAAAAAAGGAAAGGAAAAGGAAATATTTAAAAATTTAAAAAGGATTACTTGGTATTATTTTGTCAGCAAAATTAGATCCATTTTGTAGTAATGCTTTCATACATTTTAGAAATAATGCATCAACTCTTTTTTTTTTTTTTTAGACAGTCTCACGCCCAGACTAGAGCGCAGTGGCGTGATCTTGGCTCACTGCAACCTCCACCTCCCGGGTTCAAGTGATTTTCGTGCCTCAGCCTCCTCTTTATCAGATATCTGAATAAAAACATGAAATTATCCTCTAATTTTTATCTCCTCTTTATCAAAATATTTGACTTTGATGTGAATTATTTCTAAGATATACTAGAAGAAAGTTCTGCCTCCTAATGAGCAATGTTTTATCAGCTTAATAGTTAATGACCTGCAACTGTAGTAGGATATTTTTTCTTTTCCCTAGCTATTTTTTTAAATTAGGGCTATTCGATGTATTACCATATTTAATGTGGTATACAGTTATTTCAAAGTGTATTAGTCACAAAATGCAGTCACTTAATTGAAGAAGAAAAATCTGATTCTGGCAGTATTAAACACAAATAGAATTTTTAAAAATTGCACTGCCTTGTCCGGGCGCAGTGGCTCACGCTTGTAATCCCAGCACTTTGGGAGGCTGAGGCGGGCGGATCACGAGGTCAGGGGATCGAGACCATCCTGGCTAACACGGTGAAACCCCGTCTCTACTAAAAATACAAAAAATCAGCCGGGCGCAGTGGCCGGCACCTGTATTCCCAGCTACTCGGGAGGCTGAGGCAGGGGAATGGCGTGAACCCGGGGGGCAGAGCTTGCAGTGAGCCGAGATTGCGCCACTGCACTCCAGCCTGGGAGACAGAGCAAGACTCTGCCTCAAAAAAAAAAAAAAAAATTGCGCTGCCTTACTATTGATTACAAAAATATATATATAAAATCATTCTATACTCAGAATCATAAAGATAATTATTAAAATTAGTTGGATTCATTATGAAGTATATCCTATACACCGTGGAATTTAATAAACTTTTTAAGGCATTTTTTCTTTACCTAAAGAAAGAAAGAACTCACCTCCAAATCTGCTGTTGCATCTGCATCTTACAGCTGCATCCATCTTGTCTGTCTTTGCTATCTTTATAGATCTATTCTGTACAACATAAGCCCATGTCTCTGTATTTGCTCTAGGCCTCTTTTCTTTCCCTTTCAAGACTTTTCTACTTTGATATTTTTCCCTATTTTACCCCATCACCAGTTTGTTTCTCTCTACCTTATTCCTACCTTATGTAAACTTAAAAGTATGTCCCATTTTTTAGAGTAAAAAATTTTTCCTTTACCCCCATATTCCCTGGTGTGTTGTGTTCACTTCCTCACCTCTCATTCATTCATTCAGCTCATTTCAGCCTGGTACCCACTCCACCGTGGACACTGTTTTGTCATGATCACCAGTGACCTCCTTGTTACCAATTCAATGAGGACATTTTGTAGTCTCAGCTTATGTGACCTCGGCAGTATTTGATATATTATCTACATCAGAACAGCCCCTTGTTTTGGCTTCTATGACCCCATACTTTGTTGTATTGCTTTTCTCACCATCCTAGTTGTTTCTTCTCTGTCTCTTTTGATGAAATTCAACAAGAACCACCTAAGCTGGGGAAGCAAACAATTAGATCATTCTAGTGGGGTGAGTTTGAAGGAAGGGGCTCACTAGTCAGTCCTGAAAGAGCACTGAGAAATTCTCTATCTCGTGAGAGATAATGAAGATATGAATGAGATTTAACAAACTTTGGAGAAAATTGGGAGAGTACTTGGCAAATGACAAGTAAAATGTTTTTCTTTTTATTGACAAGTAATATTTTTGAGGCATAAGTATGAAAAGAGTTGGAATTTCAAAGAGCAGTAAGCAAACATTTTATTTTCTTGGTATGAAGATAGCAAATGGTAGTGGAGATTATATGAAATGGGTTAATGGAAGTTTTGAACGTAAAGAGATTTGAAGACAAGGTAGAAAGTTATTGCAGTTTAATTAGTTTTGACTCTTCAGATAGAAGAAAAATCTGTAGATGTTCTTTAGTTTCTTCTTGAAATTGAGATCAGTGTTCTCTTCATTCGCCCTCTACGTATAGGGGCAAGATTTGTGGAGCAGCTTTTCATATTGGCAGAGGAAGACTTGGGAGGGGTGTTCATACCTCCTGCTAGTCTGCATCAGAGAATCCTGTTAGATTGTTGTCACATCCAGAAGTCAGGATTCTGGTCTCCAGAAGGATTGTAGTATTTCTTTACCAGCTTTGCTGCCTCTGTGCCATAAGGGAGAAAAAATAGGTACTTGTTTTTAGAGGATACTGAGAAAGAATATCGGTAACTTCTTTTTTTGTTCGTTTGTTTTTGTTTTTAGATACAGCTATGCTTTTATTACAAAACCGTTTTTTTGGCATTAGTTGGCTACAGTGATAGCAAGATAACGTGAGTGTGCAGACCAGCTCTGATGGAACCACTGTATTGTATTCCCTGCTTACTGAACCAAACTTCAGCTACCTCATATCCATTACATACAAATGACCTGCAGTTATTACTTCTACAAATCTTGACGCGTGTACTACTGAAGGAAGAGTTGATGCTAAGGGATTTGATTACATGTTGATAAGACTACAAAAGTTCCTTTATGGGACTTTTTCTTCCTCCTCCCATCCAGTGACTTTGCTTTAGAAGAATCCCATTACTTACAGCTAGTCTGAGTAGCAGCAGCACCCAAGGAGCATCAGTTCTTGTTAAAAAGCAATACCTGTGTGATGCACTTTGACACCACAGGCAAAGGGAAGGACCACTCTCGTTTTAAACTCCTGCAGGGTCCCTTAATAAAAAATAAAAGCATTCCATCAAGTTTTTCGGGTTGGTGTTATTGCTGTACATTTGTTGGTGAGTCATTTTCTGTGCTGTGTTTGCTTTGAAGGGATCTTCCAATCTATCTCCAATATTCCTTTCTTATAGTGTCCTTTTCTTGAGCTAGGATCTCACATAACTCTAATGCTTTATTAAGAATGTCTTCCTTTTTGTCACAGTGGTTTTCTAGCATGTCTTCATAGATAACCACAAGAAAGGCAATTAGGTAGGGGGAACTATGCCTTGGTTGTAAATCAAGTAATTGACTTAACAGATTAGGATATTTGGAAAGACCACGATCCTGCAAAATCCCTTTCAAATAGTTGCAGGCACTTTCATTATGTGGTACTAGTTTAATCATTTCCAGAGTGTATATTTGTCACTGTAAATGATCTGGACCACAGGATTGGGGCCAACATTCTGCAGCACTAGATCTATATCAGCCCATTCTGCTCTGTCGCTGTACAGGACGTAGGAGGGTGAGTCCAGGCTCAGAAACCCGTCGTCCATGGGGGCACCACGGCTTGCCTGGCCTCGGCCGCCATCTCTTCCTGGTGCTGCTGCTGGGGCGGTGGTGGGTATGGCTGGGGTGGGGGCTGCTCTGGCTGTCTGGGCTCGCCACCTTGTGCAGCCTCCCCGACCCCCTCAGTGGCCACCCCAGTAACTTATTTTTATTTTTATTTTTTTAACTTTCAGAGAGAGAGACATAGTAGATAATCTTTCTAACTATCAAGGAGATAAATTCATCAGCCTGCACACACATTTTCCTCATTAGATAGTTTTCTTTCTTTGTTATTTACATAGATGGAGGACTGTTTATGTTCTCAGAATGAACAACAGCATTAATCATATATTTCCAGGATTTTTTTTTTTTGAAGGAGAATTAAGACCCAGTATTTCGGATGATTGGGAGAAAGACCTTAGTGATGAACTATTAGAAAAATAGGATTTTCCCCCCTTAGGCAAAGTCTATGAGGATATTCATACGAGAAATAGAGGAATGAGCATGATGAGAGGGGAAGGGGTGAGGGAAGGAGGCTTTAAAAGGAACCAGAAACAGTAAATGGCTGTAAGGATAGAGAATATACATAGCATTCATTACAGAGTCAAAGATAAATTTTTAAAATGCACATGCAGTGGCTGTGGGAGGAAAATCAACTTACATTCCTACATTCATAAAGGACTGGCAGGGAAATCAGGACTGTAAGATGTAACTTAAGGATGACAAGAAAATTAAGCAATTGGCAGGTAAAAGATGAGGCAGAACTGGAGAGTTACAGAATTGGGAAGCGTTAGAAGTATCATGAAAGGGCAAGGTGTAAGATCTGCTCTCTCACCATTCATCCAAATGCTGGCCACCCTTAACTTAGACTTTTCTATACTTAGACTTCTCTGTACTTTTATCCCACGCTGATTGGGGTCTCAACCCTGATCCTTCCCCTTCTCCATCCCTCCAACACATCTACTGTACCACATTCTAGCTGGAAGAAGAGTGTCCCTAATTGTGAGAAGCCTTCACAGGCTGAATATATAGAGTCTCCCAGCTCCTGTGTAGCTTGTGGTTTATGAGCTGCTTTAAAGCCTACTTCATCTGTAAAATAGAGATGATAATATCTACTTCAAGGTTACAGTGACTTACATGAAACTTCTGACACAGTGCCTGAGATCATGTCAACGAAAGATCTGTTAATTAGGCAAATGTTTGTGTCACAAGTCCTCTTGATTTCTCTGAAACCACACTGTCCTAGTCTCTCTCTGTCATTGGCCCTCTTCCACCTCCTGCCTATTAAACATTGGCACTTCATAGAATTTTGTCCTTCACTTACTACTCTTCTTCAGCCTCCTTGGTTTTAGCATTCATGAGATGACTCCCAAATCTCTTTCAGTGCTTCCAGCCCAGGCTACACTCCTGAGCCTCAGCCATCTGTGTATTTACAAACTAGCTGCCAGACACCTGGTTTTGGATCTCTCTCAGTTACCTTGGATTCAGAATATGCCAAACTGCACTCATCGTCTTCCCCCTAAACCAACACTTCCTGTATTCTTGATCTCATTTGGTAGTAAAAGCTTTCATCTAACTCACCCAAACCCAAGAAATATCTTAGAACCCTTTCTCTCTCTCTTTGCCCCTCCCACCCTTCATATTCAATCAAACACAAAGTCTTTCCAATTTTACCTAAGTATTTATCGAATTCATCTTCTCTTCTCCCTACCTCTAGAGAATAGGAAACAGATCAAGTAACTTTGTCACTTAATAAATAAAATCTAACTTCCTTAGTTTGGTGTATATAAGCCCTTTGTGTCCTGTGCCCTGCATAAGCTTCCCTGCTGTCCTCTCTTGCCATTCTGCACAGTGTGCCACGTCTTTTTACGCTTTCATACTTTTGCACACGCTCTTCCCTTTGCCTGTGCCATTCTCTCTCTCCCTCTACTCTCTGACTCACCACCTTCTCCCAGCCTTCTGTTCATTGGAGAATTAACGCAAGCTTCACTTCTTCTGGGAATTGTTTTTAACTTCTTCAGTAGAAAGAATTGTTCCCTCCCCTGCATTCTCATCATTCTTTATATATTCTTTCTCACCACGTTTTATTATAATTGCTGGTTTATGTGTCATCTGCTAACTTCTTAGAATATAAATTCCTTGAGGGAAAAGGCCCTTTTCTTTGTAAACTTGTGAGGTCTAAGCGCAATGGCTAGCATGTGGTATATGCTTAATAAATTGTTTTTGACTGAACAAACAGAGAACAGTAGAATTGTTTATTAAATTGTGAGGAAGCCCAATACAGTGGAAGGGCTGAGACTCTTGTATATCTTGTCTGTAATGTTGATTGTGATCTGATAGTATAGGAAAAAAGTGCTTACAAGTGCAATAGGGAAACATCTTGAGGAAAGACAACAGTTACTTTTTAGTTCCCTGAAATACATGAGTTGACATGTACATTTCCAACTTAAAGAAAAAAACACTAAATGTTTATTTTATAAAAGATTCAGAAGATACACTTTTTAAAGATATACTTTACTGTTGCTGTTAATAGTGATTTGAAGAAAAACAATGTAAAACTTAGTTATACTTGGGACCCTTTGAAATATTCCATCTTACCACATATAAGAACTATCAAAATTTATACTCTATCGTAACTAGCAAAAGGTAGTACATTCCTAAAATAAGAAAATAATTTACCAACACGTATTATTATAAGGAAGAAGAAGTTGTAGTTTACTATATATATATTTTTTAAACTGAGCATAATTTTAATACCATCCTCAAAAATATACTGAATATAAATTATGAGATATGTTGTAAGATATAAATATATTCTTGCAATAGGTGGGATAATCCAATCTCTTTGGAAAACAGGATTCACAAAATTGTACTTAACAGCGGTCATATTTTAGAATGGTTCCATCTTAATATTTCTAGATAAGCATTGTAACTGACAGAATTTATTCATCTTAAGTGTGATGACTGGGTTTTCACATTGATGAGTGAGATGCGCCTCCCTCAAACCTTGTTTACAAGGACAACATATTGGTTGTCTGACGTGAGGAGAGGAAAAAGTCAGAACTTACTCGTTTCTCCTAGTGTCCCTCTTAAGAGATTCTTTAACAAACTTTTAAACATAAATTATTTAAAATACTGTCCTAATGCAGTTTTGAATCATTGCCATTTAACAGCATTTACTTTACAATTAGATATAACAAATATATATTAAGCTGTTTCTCCTGTCAATATTCTCGTGTGTCAGTTTTCTTTAAAAACATTTTCAGAGGGCAAATGCCTAGAATGCTGTTGTAGAACTACCTTGTTTATTTGTAACCCACCTTGAGAGTGAAAGGTACTGTTTTTATACTGTCTCAACTCTGTGATTATTCAAGCTTTTTATTTAAGTCAGTATTTCAAAGAAAGACCCTGGAATTTTCTTTTTCAAAAAGTTCTGCTTGCATAAAGGACCTGTACCTGTGTCTAAAGAGAAGAAAAGCAAGGCCTCCTTCTGGCATCAAGCCCAGTGGAGTCTAGAGGTTTGGCCATTTTTTTCACATTGCCGTATTCCTTTGAAAATGAGAAAAATTCTTAAGGCTGCCGAAGAATGAAATACTTTGATCTTTCAGCTAACATTAGAGCACTTCTCTCAGGTACAAGATATGACAAAACACATTTAATTTATTCTCCCTTTATAGAAGGACTAAATAGTTTAAAGCAAAAGAAAATCTGAAAACGTACTATAGTCTTTTTGTTAAAGAAAAGTACACCTGCTCCAAAATAGAAACAACAAAAAGTTGGTAATTCAAAAAAAGGAAGCCATTGAAAACATTTAAAATATTTACTTATAGTTAAAACATGGAATCATCTAATAATACCATGTTTGCTTTCCTTGCTCTGAACTACCTTTGGCCCTGACTCCCTCCTTTATTTGCTTGGGAGTCATTAGGGTATGTTGTCCTGCACAGAAGGGTAAATACATTCCCACCGTCATCACCCTCTGCAGCTCTTTATTCTTCCTGTCCGAACTACCATAGTAGTTTTTTTTTTTCCCATTGCTGCTTCCACATGAGCATTATTTCAGACAATCACTTTGCAGTTTTCATATTCAGCTTCATCTGTCTTAAATAGCTTTCCCATTTATACCACATCCGCTTAATTAAAATTTTTACCAATCATTCAAAGTTTACTGTTAGAATTACCTCCTCTGTGACATCTTTGATCATCTAAACTCCGTAAATGCCTGCACATTTTTCTAAACTTTTGTAACTCTTACTATTCGTATCTCTCTATGGTATCTAGTATTTTCTGTAAACATCTGCATTTTGGCCTCCTAATGGAAGTATACAATGCCATCTGTGAAGAATTCTTGTCAAAATCAAACCTGAATCTTAGCACACATCTGGATTTAAGTACCATTTGTAGAAAATACAGAAGGTAGAGGAACATGTGAAATGATACCAAGGACATACAGTCATCAGAATTTTATAGACTATTAGAAATTTTATGGGACCAATGACCACCTTTTTCAACAATTAAATTGAAAGGTAGGGGCAAAAAAGACAAGGGAGAAAACGTATATATTAAGAGAGACATAAGAGACAGGAAAGCTGGGCACAGTGGCTCACACCTGCAGTCCTAGCACTTTGGGAGGCTGAGGCAGGAGCATCACTTGAGCCCAGGAATTCAAGACCAGCCAGGGCAACATAGGAAGACCCTGTCTCTCCAAAAAAAAAAAAAAAAAAAAAGTATTTTAATTAGCTAGACATGGTGGCACATGCCTGTGGTCCCAGCTACTCAGGAGGCTGAGAGGTGGGGAGGATCGCTTGAACCTGGGAGGTCAAGGCTGCAGTGAACCACTACTGTGCCACTGTACTCCAGCCCGGGAAACAGAGTGAGACCTTGTTAAAAAATAAATAAATAAATAAATAAATAAATAAATAAATAAGACTACATCACAATTAAGAACATTTGTGAATCAAAGAACACTGTCAAGAGAGTGAAGAAAAGACCCACAAATGGGAGAAAATATTTTCAAATCGTATATATTCATATATATAATAAGGGATAATAACCAGAATATGTAAAGAACTATACAAAACTTTTCTTAATGGGAAAAGGACTCAAGTAGAAATTTCTCAAAATAAGATATACACATGAAAAGCACATGAAAAGGTACTCAACGTCACTAATCATCAGGGAAATGCAAATCAAAACCGCAATGAGATACCACGTGACATTCATTAGGTTGGCAGTTAAAAAAAAAAAGAAAATACAAGCGTTGAGGATGTGGAGAAATTTGGTGGGAATTTGTATTTCCACAGCTGCTGTGGAAAAGGTAGGGCGATTCCTCAAAAATTAAATCAGCATTGGCCAGGCGCGGTGGCTCACGCCTGTAGTCCCAGCACTTTGGGAGGCCGAGGCAGGCAGATCACGAGGTCAGGAGATCGAGATCATCCTGGCTAACATGGTGAAACCTGTCTCTACTAAAAATACAAAAAATTAACCGGGCGTGGTGGTGGGCGCCTGTAGTCCCAGCTACTCAGGAGGCTGAGGCAGGAGAATGGCGTGAACCTGGGAGGCGGAGCTTGCAGTGAGCCGAGATCGCACCACTGCACTCCAGCCTGGGCGACAGAGCAAGACTCCATCTCAAAAAAAAAAAAAAAAAAAAAAAAAAAAATTGAATTACACAGCATTACTGTATGATGCAGCAGTTCTGCTTCTGGGTATATACCCAAAAGAAATGAAAGCAGGGGCTTAGATAAATATTTGTACACCAATATTTGTAGCTGCATTATTCACAGTAACCACATGGTAGAAACACCCCAAATGTCCATCAGCAGGTGAGTGGATAAACAAAATGTGGTACATAGGTACAATGGAATATTATTCAGCCTTAAAAAGGAAGGATATGCTGACATATGCTGCAGTATGAATGAACCTTTAAAACATTATGCCAAGTGAAATAAGCAAGTCACAAAAGGACAAATATCGTATGATTCATCTTAGGTACCTAGATAGAATAGGCAACGTCACAGAGACAGAAAGCGGAATAGAGGTTGCAGGGGCCAGAGGCAGGAATGGGTGGTGGGATTCAGGAGTTAACATTTAATGTGTACAGTGTTTCTGTTTAGCATGATGAAAAATTTCTAATGACGGTTGTACAACAGCGTGAATGTACTTAATGCTACCAAACTTAAAAATGGTTTAAATGGTAAATTGTATGTTATGTTTATTTTACCACAATATTTAAAAACAGGTGATTTAAGAGACCTACTCACCAAGTGCAATGTAAGGACTTTTCTTTGGATGCTCATTTGAACACACTTGAAAACTTGTCTAAAACAGGAAAATTGATAATGCTGATTTGAATTTGAAGATGTTAAGGAATTATTGATACTTTTTTAGGTGTGGTAACTATCTGGCAGGGAGGTTTTTTTTAGATATACAGGCTGAATTTTTTACTATGAAATGATATGTATATGTGGGTTTTGTTTCAAAATAATCCAGTGGGAGGTAGGGAGTGAAAAGGAATATAGATAAAGCAAGACCTGCCATGAATTGATAATTATTGGTGCTGAGTTTCATTGTGTTATTTAATATAATTATATATAATTATTCATCATATTATTCTCTCTGTTGTTGCATATGATTGAAGTTTTCCATGATTAAAAAAGTGTTTTTAATTGTTAATTGTGCATTTTGCTATTATACCAATCTTTTGATCCGGAGGGAACAATTGTTTTTTAGCATATCAGGAAGCCATGGTTTTTGAGATATCGTTTCTGTGTAAGCAGCCTAAAACCTGACACAATGTACTTGAGCAAGCAAGAAAGTTTAGTGACTAGACAGAGTTAGCTTCAAACCCAACTTCATCCAGGGCTCAAACATCACCATATTCATTTTCCAGATCTGGCAATTAAAGATTGGCTACATTCTCGTGCTCTAAATACTGGCTTCTGGCAGTTCCAGGCACTCTCTCCATTGCCTCACATTCCTGAGAATAACATTCTCACATCACCAAAGCCCAGCACAAAATAAAAATGTGAAAGTCAGTGATCCAGCATTTGCATCAGAAATCCTGCTGTACTACTCATGAGTGGCCCAACTTAGGTGTTAGCCCATCCCTGAACCAGTCCCTGGAGCCAGACTAGTGCAACCTCCTTATTAGCTTGGGCCTGAGCTACTTGCCCATCCCTGCATCAGTTCCACAGAAATGCAGTGATTGGCTTCAGCCAATTAGCATTTACTTGCAGAGGCAAAGGTAGGGTCATCCTACCCAAACTGCATATTTGAGACTGACAAAGAATGATTTCCCAAAGGAAAAATCAAGTTACTGCTACAAAGAACTAATTACTACGTTTTAAATAGTGTAATTTGACTCTCAGTATATCCCAAGTCTCTTGTTATTCTACTGAATTTATAAATTTGCTTCACTTGAGATGTTATGCATAGTAAAACTTTAAGTAGAAGTAACTAAAGTGCCATGTAAATAAAACTTGTAGTGGATGCCTGTTATTTGCGAGCCAGCTTCGATTCTTCTGTATTAGTCAGTGTTCTCCAGAGAAACAGAACCAATAGGAGATTTAGATAGAGGTTGGCTGTGAAGAATTGGCTCATGCAATTATGGAGGTACAGAAGTCCCATGATCTGCCATCTGCAAGCTGTAGACCCAGAAAAGCTGATGGTGTAATTCAGTCCACATTTGGAGGCCTGAGAACCAGGGGAGTCAATGGTGTAAACCCATCTGAGGGTAGAAGATAAGATGTTCCAGCTCAAGAAGTGAGGCAGAAAAAAAGGGTGAATTTCTCCTTCCTCTGCTTTTTGTTCAACAGAGTGGATAATGCCCACCCACACTGCGGAGAACAGCCTGCTTTACCGAGTCTACCAATGTAAATGCTAATCTCACAGACACACCCAGAAATGATGTTTAATCTGGACACTCAAGATGTTCAGTCTGTGACACAGTCAAACTGACACTTAAAACCAACCATCACAACTTCCTTACTAGTAACAGTACCTGATGAAACATAGTTTCTTTTTTTAAGTATTAGGCCTCTACTTCAACTATTATAAAAATTTTCCACTGTATCAAAGAGAGGTAATTTAAAGTAAAATTGTTTTTTAATTAGGTGAAATTTCAATGTTAATGTCTCTATATATTCTAAACCATCTAAAGCTTATTTTCTGGTATGTTTTTATCTCTTTCAGGGCTAATTTCATATACCGAGTATCTTTTCTTGCTTACAATCCTCACTAGTAAGTATCCCACAGTTTTTCTCAGAGATCATGTGGAATTCTCTGTTCTTACCAAACAGGATTTTAAAAGTTTGGCATTTATGTCTTTATCATTAAAAACATTATTGATGCCTTAGTTTCTATATCTGCAAAATGATAATGTTGGATTAGGTTATCTCTTTGGGTCACTTCTGCCTCCTGTGCACTATAGCAGCCCATAGCTTTGTCTCTTTAATAGGAAGTTTGTTGAACTAGAGAATCATAGTGGTAGTCTAGGCTTTAAAAATGCTTATCTGACATTATACAAAATTCCTGACCAGTACTCTTCAAAGTGTGAAGGTCATGGAAAACAAGAAAAGACTGAGACACTGATACAGATTAGAGAAGACTCAGGAGACATGACAGCTAAATACAACATGGTATCTTATATTTAATCCTAGAATAGGAAAACAGCATTAGTGAAAAAACATAAAACCCAGATTAAGTCGATAGTGTAGTTCATAATGCTGTGCCATGTTAATTTCTTAGTCTTTATAAATGTACTGTGGTTATGTAAGATGTTAACATTAGAGGAAGACCAGGTGTGGGGGCTCACCCCAGCACTTTAGCTTGAGCCCAGGAGTTTGAGACCAGCTTGGGCAACATGGTAAAACCCCATCTCTACAAAAAAAATTAAAAATTTGCGAGGTGTGGTGGTGCACACCTGTAGTCGCAACTACTTGTCGAGGCTGAGGTAGGAGGATTGCTTGAGCCCAGGAGGTTGAGGCTGCAGTGAGCTGTGATCACGGTACTGCACTCCAGCCTGGGTGACAGGTGAGACCCTGTCTCGGAAGAAAAGAAAAATTAGAGGACTCTGTGGACTCTTTGTACTATCTTTACAAAATTTCCATAAGTCTAAAATGATTGCAAAATACGTTGTTGTTGTTTAAGTACTCTGAGAAAGGGAAATAAAAAGTAATCATTAATTTGAAAATAACCAAGGTACTGTAAGAATATAGAAAAGCCCCTAGTGCAGCTAAAGAAATAAATTAAGCCTACAAACTAATTTTGCATTGAAAGGGAGAACACTTACTAGCAGAGCAGCAGCACCTATGGAAAGAGTGTTGAAGAAGGCAGGGAACAAAGCCATAACACCAAATATCAGCCTTTGGAATTGTTATAAGAAATCATTATTTTTCTGTGTAGGCACTTACTCATACAGTTTCTGCTAGTGTATGTCAAATTTGAAGACCTATCTATCTACAAATAACTTGGTTTTCATCAACATTTAAATATTCATTTTTCACTTCACTGCAGAACCCCATTCTGGATTTCATGTTGCTTTTAAAATGCTGGATACAGATGGTAATGAGATGATTGAAAAAAGGGAATTTTTTAAGGTAAGTGGACGCTAATTATTTTAGGTTTATCATAAAATACCTGGATGTTTGTGTGATAATTTTACATTTCCATTAAAATCAAAATTGTATTCATTGTTTACATATGAACTATCAGGAAATTATTTGGACATTCAAAAATATTAAATTTTCTATAATACAACCATAAGGACACCAGTAAGTGAACAGAGCATAAGATTCCAAAAAGAGAAGTAAGCAGAAGCATCTGTTTTTTAGGGTTACATTTTTATGATTTCAGCAAATAATATGGTAAGAAGAGTTTCATAGGATATATATTTTTTAAAGAATATGTGTTGATATGCTAAAATTATACTAAAAATTATTAAAGATATACAAAAAGAATAGACATAATAAAAACTTAAGCCTTCATAAAGAATTGGAAAAAAGTGAAAATGCTGCAATAGTTATAAATTGGTGCAAATTTTCCAGGAATTTGCTCTAAGGCTAATATTTGAAGAGCTGAAAACGTGTTTAAATGGTATTTTCTAAGATGTAACTCTAGAACACCCAACAAGTAAATTTGACTCCGTTCCCAAAAATTTGGTGCTAATATTAAAAAAAAAAAACAAAAAAACCTCAATGCACATCAACAGTTTGGTATGTGCCAGTTAGGGTTAAGTGTTTTTAATCGATTGCAGTGCCTTATGGAGAAAAGAAAATATAGATATATATATGGCATAGTGCTTAGCACATACTAGCTATCCCTCTTGATGAATTAATGAGTACTTATGTAAATGACAAATTAGGCGTGTACATAAATGACTTACAACATTTTTTTTAAAGCCTTTGTGATATGAAGCAAACGAACCTCTTACATTGCTGGTGGGAATAAAATGGTACACAAATGTTAGAAAACAAAATTGGCAGATTCTTTTAAAGTAACATATATCCTTGGCATATGACCTAGCAATTCCACTCTTACTTAGTCAAGGAAAACATATTCACCCAAGACCTGTATATTAATATGCATAGTTGTTTTATTCATGATAGCCAAAACTAGAAACAACCGAAATGTTCATCAAGTGAGTGGATAAACAAATAGGATCCATACAATAGAATACTACTTAACAGTAAAAAGGAACAAACCACTGATAAATGCAGCAACATGGACGAGTACATACTGTACGATTACATTTATTTGAAATTTTAGAAAAGGGGACTTACCTACTAAAAGCAGATCACTGGTTGCCTGAGGCCAGGAGAGAGTCAGGAATTGACTGCAAAGAAAAATGAGAGAACTTTCTGGAGTACTGGAAATATTTTAGATCTTCTTTGGAGTGGTGGCTACACTGGTATATAAATTTGTCAAAACTCATCCGGTGCATGATCCTGAAAGCAAAAACTGCATTTAAAGGGGTACATTTTACTGTATACAAATTGATTCCAAATCCATCTTGTTCTAGAGCCCCTGCTCTTTCCTCATTGTCAGCCCTCCTCATTTGAAGAATTCTTAGGAGGCCTGAGTTGAGAAAGATCCTGACTCTGAGCTTGGAAATGTTGGGCTTGAGCAACTGAATGGCCATCCCTACAGATGGACAAGAATAGCAAGCAACTGGAGATCAGTAATGTAGCCAGGATTGGGGAACATCCTCATAGGGGTGATAATTAAGTCCTGAAAGTATATGACCCCAAAGGGGAAGAAATAGAGTGAAAAGGGATAAGACCAGAGACTTGGGGAGCAGTGTTTCATTTATGAGGTCAAACTGAGGTTGAGAAGCCAACGAATGAACCTGAGAAGGAGCAGAACAGTGAGCAGAGTACCAAAGAGCCCAGAGAGTGCAGGATAATGGAGTCTGAGTGCAGGATAATGGAGTCTGAGGAAGACAAGAGCAATGGGAGAGGGAGTGTTTAAAAGCAGTGAACTCTCGAGGGTGGGCACGGTAGCTCACGCCTGTAATCCCAGCCCTTTGGGAGGCTGAGGCAGGCGGATCACCTGAGGTCAGCAGTTTGAGACCAGCGTGACCAACATGGAGAAACCCCGTCTCTACTAAAAATACAAAAAATTAGCCGGGCGTGGTGGCGTATGCCTGTAATCTCAGCTACTCAGGAGGCTGAGACAGGAGAATCGTTTGAACCCAGGAAGCGGAGGTTGTAGTGAGCCGAGATCGTGCCATCGCAAGCGAAACTCTGTCTCAAAAAAAATAATAAAAATAATGAAAAAGACACCGAACTCTTAAGAATAAAAAGTGGGCAGCTAGGTAGGGACTGAGTAGAGAGCCTCTGAAATTGTGTAGGTCAGTTGGAACCATTACAGAGCAGTTTCAAAAGAGTCGTGGGGACCGACACCACAGAGCAAAAGGCTAAAGAGGAGTGAATAGAACTTCAAAACTGGTAGCAGTAGATAAAAATATTCATTTGAGATATTTGAGGACTTAATCAAATATCTCAAATAAATATTTGAAGGAAATGTGTTTGCACAAGTGGGACCTGAAATACCAGTGCCATAAGTCACAAAATACCATCCAGCTACTTCACTTTACCTCAGGGACAAGAAATTGATAGATTTAAAACTATTATTATTCATATGGGGGTAATTTGTATGAAAAGGCCATATACCTAAATAAGTGAAATTCTGTTAGGTTAGTTAAGCTGTGAGAATTTGCATTTACCATAATCCTTTCAGACTTGGGAGGATTTTATTTCTGTTTTTATTCTTGGGAGTTACAAGGTACACAGCCAAATCTTGGAATTACTGGACCCACTGTACACACATCCAAGAATAGTAAAGCTGGAGGCGATTTTATAAAGTGGGCATAGCGGAGCCCCTGATAATAATAGTGGGTGTCATACTCATCAGCACCAAAGTTTTGATGCACTGTGGTAATGTTTAGTGATATGTGGCCAAATCACAAAGTCCGTAGACAAAGGAGATCCTGAGCATGAAACTGAACATGAAAAAAGGCAATAGAAGGCATATCGTTGTTGTTGTTTTCACAGAGCTACACTGATGCGCCTTTTACCATACAGTCCTTATTGTACCTACAGCCTCTACTCCTGAATTTGTTATGCATACCTACTTTAAAATTTTTTCAAATACATTTTTTCACACAATAGCTTAACATGCTGAATTTATGGAACAATTTCTGAATACCACAGATATCTCCATAAATGTTGGAAAATTGTTGGGTGATTACCTCATGAATTAAGAAAATATCCAAAAGAATATGTAAGGATACATCATTGATTTTGTTTTTAAGTATATAAAGGTCACTTTTGTAAACATGAAAGAAGGTTCTTTGTGCTGATCATAGAAATGAACCACTAAAGTTGATTACCCATAGAGCGTGATACAGCATGTCATTTTAAAAAAAAACAGCATTGAAGAGGAAAAACTACATTTACATTAATTATTTGAATAGTTTTTTCACTTCCATGATCTTTGTATTAGTAAACCTAAGTATGTAGCGCGTGTGCGCGCGCGCGCGCGTGTGTGTGTGTGTGTGTGTGTGTGTGTGTCCTCGCTCTGTCACCCAGGCTGGAGTGGTACAGTGGCGCAATCTCTGCTCGTTGCAACCTCTGCCTCCCGGGCTCCAGCGATTCTCCTGCCTCAGCCTCTCGAGTAGCTGGGATTACAGGCATGTCCCACTGTGCCCAGCTAATTTTTTGTATTTTTAGTAGAGACAGGGTTTCACCATGTTGGCCAGGCTGGTCTCGAGCTCCTGACCTCAGGTGATCCACCCGCGTCAGCCTCCCAAAGTGCTGGGATTACAGGCTTGAGCCACCATGCCTGGCTGTATGTAGCATCTTATATTTGAGATTTTCTTCAAAGAACCAAATAGTTCTTTTCACATCAAAAAAGCATATTTAAAAGGCAGGGATTTATCTTAGCTTATCTAAATGTTTTCCTAGTAGATTTTATTTATTGCTCTCCCCACCATATATGTACTACAAAAGTAATGAGAATCACTTTAATACCTAAAACATAAATGTAACAAAGTGATTTGAGTAGCAAATGTAAAAGTAATAATGAAGTATGGTAATAAAAGCCTTGTGAAGATGTCCTAAAATACAGATTGCCTCAGTTTGTTACTTTTGTGTTTTGTAAATATTCATGTTTTATTAACATTCAGATCTGAAAACTGTGTTAGTAAGTGTATTGCTTACTTCTTTATCCCAAGAACTCGTAAAATAGCAACTGTCTGTGTGAGCTGTTCTCTGTCAGCTAATAATAAAAAATAGCAACTGTGATCAAAGCCAGGAATGGTTAATCCATTTAATCTTTACCTTGATCAATGGTACATGTGCTTATGTGGGATACATGCCAGGGTTTTAGTGCAATCTCTCTAAACAGTAGATTAATGACAGGTCTGTTTCCTAGTATCGGTTGCTCCTTAGGTGGTCCTTTTATTTCACATTGCTTTCATATTGGTGGGAAGGACTGCACACTTAATATAGTAGCATTATAGTTTTATCATACTAAATACACCTGCTAGAGTTATTTTTAAATAAATATAGGTGCCTTTTACGTGAGTTGTCAGGGAAATGCAAGTTAAAACCACAATGACATACTACTACACTCAAGAGAATGACCAAAATTAAGAAGACTGGTCACATCAAATGTTGGTGAGAATATGAAGAAACCAGAATTCACTTTGGAAAATAGTTTGGCAGTTTCTTATAAAGTTAAACAGATTTGTTATCTCCTACGTGTTTATCCAAGAGAAATTAAAACCCACATCCACAAAATTGAGTTGTAAAAGATGTTTGTGGCATTTTGATTCACAGTAGCCAAAAACTGGAGCCATGAAAACACCTATCAACAGGTGATTGAATAAATAGTGGTATATTCATAAAATGTAATAAAACACAACAATAAATGGCAACAGACTACTGACAGGCAAACAACATGGGTGACTCTCAAGACCATTATGCTGAGTGAAAGAAGGCAGACACAAAAGAATACATACTAGTTAATTTCATTTATTTGAATTTCTAAACTAAGGGAAACTAATTTAGGTGGGGAAAAAAATCAGAACTGTCTCTGTGGGAACAAGAATAAAAGAGAAACCAGGATTGACTGGGAAGAGACACAAAGAAACTTTGTCAAAATTGGCTGATATTTGTACATTTTAATATATGTATTTTTTCCTGAAGAGCTGTAAATAATAATTGGGAGGGGAACAGGGAGCAGGTAGAGGTATAGAAGAGCCAGGAATAGCAGAATACTGGTAATTATTGAAGATTAATAATGTTTACATGGTGACTTGTTGTAGAATTCTGTTCATTTTACTTAAGTTTGAAATTTTCTGTAATAAAAATTTGTAAGAGGTTCCAGGGGAATAAGCACAGGGAGAAATGTTTGGATATTGAACTTGGCATTATATCATTTGATTGTCAACTTTAAAAATAAAAGGTAAAATAAATATAAAGCTTTTTAACTTTTTTCCCAAAAATAATTAAGTAGGGGAAAGGGGGGCATTGAAAACTGGCTGAGAGATTTAGAGAACTAGAAATAAACCACTTGCCTAAAACAAACGTAATAGAAATAGCTAAATTCAAAATAATTAATACGGAATTAATTGCAGCAGTTTTCAAACTGTTAAATAGCCCAGAAAAAAATGGATAGAGGTTTGTCTCCTAATTGATTTGAATCCATAGTTTGGGATTTTGTCTACATCTGATTCTTTTAAAATGCTTTCTTTTTTAAATTTGCTTTCCATATGAGGATTGATACAATTGATTCTGAAAGGCAGGTAGGTTTTTTAATGTACTCAATTTCAAAGTACTATTTACAGTGTCCTAATTAGTAGAAATGTAAGTCTTTAAATTATTTTAATGCTTTATAAATGCATAAAGGGAAAAGGAAGACTATGTGTATGATATAAATAGCTTTTTTAAAACTATAGGCCGGGCACAGTGGCTCAAGCCTATAATCCCAGCACTTTGGGAGGCCGAGGCAGGTGGATCACAAGGTCAGGAGATCAAGACCATCCTGGCTAACACGGTGAAACCCCATCTCTACTAAAAATACAAAAAAATTAGCCAGGCATGGTGGCGGGTGCCTGTAGTCCCAGCTACTCGGGAGGCTGAGGCAGGAGAATGGCGTGAACCCGGGAGGCGGAGCTTGCAGTCAGCCGGGATCGTGCCACTGCACTCCAGCCTGGGTGACAGAGCGAGACTCCGTCTCAAAAAAAAAAAAAACTATATACTTGAAAATGTCACCATAAACTAGTGATACAACTAATTATGAATAAAAATTATCTTGAAAGGACAGCATAATCTTGAAGTTCTTATAGAGTGCTGCCTAAGAACATGTATCTATTAAGTAAACTAGCTTTCTTAGTAGAAGATTGTAGTAATAATAATGTTAATACTTTGTTATCTCTTTTGTCCTTTGATTCTTGCATTGTCTAAGAGAAAAAGATAATAGGAGTTATGATTAGAAAAAATTTAAGGTGGTGGCTCACACCTGTAATCCCAGCACTTTGGGAGGCCGAGGCGGGTGGATCACAAAGTCAGGAGATCGAGACCATCCTGGCTAACACGGTGAAACCCCGTCTCTACTAAAAATACAAAAAAAAAAAAAAATTAACGGGAGTGGTGGCGGGCGCCTGTAGTCCCAGCTACTTGGGAGGCTGAGGCAGGAGAATAGCATGAACCTGGGGGCGAAACTTGCAGTAAGCCGAGATTGCGCCACTGCACTCCAGCCTGGGCAACAGAGTAAGACTCCATCTCAAAAAAAAAAAGAAGTTAATATTTAGCAAATAACTAGTATATATTTTATAACAATAAGTTGGCATCTATTTTTTAGGTTGTTTTGAAAAATCTGGTAGGCACACATGTAAACTCATGTTTGTAATCTTTTTAGCTGCAGAAGATCATAAGTAAACAAGATGACTTGATGACAGTGAAAACTAATGAAACTGGATATCAGGTATGTACAGATGATTTCCAAACAATTGATATTTATAATAGCTACTCTATTTTGTTTGTTCAGATATTCCCGATAGTTACCAATAGATTTGGTATCAGCAATTTAATTTTTTTAATACAGTCATGCACCACATAACTTTTCAGTCAACAACAGACTGCATATACGTGGTGGTCTGAACAATAGGCTATACTTTATGGCAGAGGTGTGTGGTGGGGTATACCATCTAGGTTTGTGTAAGTACACTCTGATGTTTGCACAGTGACAATCACTTAACAATGCATTTCTCAGCAATACATGACTGTATTTTAAATATATGTGCTATATTTACATGTTCCTAACTTCAGGTGGTGCACAGGAGTATGTAGGTAGAGCAGAATTTCCCTCTCATTCACACAGTTCTCCTCCCTGGGCAATTAGTACTTTTAGTTTCTTGTGTATTCTTCCAGAGAGATTTTATGTATATATAAGTATACATGTAAAGAAGTAAATAGATATATCTATATTATTTTTTCTGTTTTAATATAAGAAGTAACATACTCTACATTGTTCCACACTCTTCTTTTTTAACTTAATATATGTAAAGTTGTCTTTTTTTTTTTTTTTTTTTTTTTTTGAGACAGAGTCTCACTCAGTCTCCCAGGTTAGAGTGCAGTGGCGCGATCTCAGCTCACTGCAACCTCCACCTCCCCAGTTCAAGCGATTCTCCTGCCTCTGCCTCCCAAGTAGCTGGGATTACAGGCACATGCCACCCACACACCCAGCTAATTTTTTGTATTTAGTAGAGACAGGGTTTCACCATGTTGGTCAGGCTGGTCTCAAACTCCTGACCTCAGGTGATCCGCCCGCTTCGGCCTCCCAAATTGCTGGGATTACAGGTGTGAGCTACTGTGCCCAGCCCGTAGTTTTTTTAAAAGCACTCATTAAAACAAATAGGGCAGGGAGGTGGGCATTGAACTTGGTAAAGAGCATCTACAAAAAACCTACAGCTAACATACTTATTGATGAAAGACTGAATTCTTTTCCCCTGACATCAGGAGTAAGGCAAGGATGTCCATTCTTGCTACTCTTGTTCAATACAGTGCTGAAAGTTCTAGCCACTCCAGTAAGGCAAGACAAGGAAATAAAAGGCCTATTGATTGGAAAGTAAGAAATGAAACAGTCTCTTTTCGTAGATGGCATTGTCTCTGTAGAAACTCCCAGGAAATCTGCAAAAAAAAAATCACAAAACAAAACAAAGCTTCTAGAACTAATAATTGATTTTAGGAAGGTGACTAGGTACAAGAAAAATGTACAAAAATCAGTCATGTGTATATATCAGTGAACACCAGGGACACAAAAATTTTAAATATAATACCATTCACAATTTTCAGAAACTAAGGAAATCTCTTCAGCAAATGTTGCTGGTACAACTGGATATCTATGTGTAAAAGAATAAAGTCGGACTCCTGTCTCACACCACATATAAAAATTAATTCAAGTAGATGTAAGAGCTAAACTTATAGAGCTCTTAGAAGAAAACATAAGAGCAAAGCTTCATGGCATTGGATTTGGCAACAGTTTCTTAGATAATGATACTAAAATCACAAGCAACAGAAGAAAAAGTAGATATATTGGATTTCATCAAAATTAAAAATTCGTCATTTTGGGAGGCGGAGGTGGGCAGATAACGAGGTCAGGAGATCGAGACCATCCTGGCTAACATGGTGAAACCCTGTCTCTACTAAAAATACAAAAAAAATTAGCTGGGCCTGGTGGCGGGCACCCGTAGTCCCAGCTACTCAGGAGGCTGAGGCAGGAGAATGGTGTGAACCTGGGAGGCGGAGCTCGCAGGGAGCCGAGATCGAGCCACTGCACTCCAGCCTGGGCAACAGAGCGAGACTCCGTCTCAAAAAAAAAAAAAAAAAAAATTAAAAATTTGTGTTCATCAGAGGACACTGTCAAGAGTGTGAAAAGATAACCAACATAATGGAAGAAGATACTTGCAAATCACATATCTAATAAGGGTCTATCAGTATATATAAAGAACTCTTCTTACAATTTAACCACAAAGTGATTAACAACCCAATTAAAAACTGGACAAAGGACTTTTAATATTTCTCCAAAGAAAATAGGCAAAAACAAGCACATAAAAGGATATTCACCACCTTTAGTCATTAGCGCAATGCAAATTAAAACCATAGAGAGATATACAGCCACCCAAATGACTAAAAACAAACCACTGACACACCAGATGGTGGCAAGGATGCAGAGAAACTGAATCACTCATTGCTAGTGGGAATGTAAAACCACCACTCTGGAAAATAGTGATTGTGCTCCTGGGATTGTTCGTACAAAACCTGTACACACATGTTCTTAGCAGCTCAGTTGGGCAGCATCCAGCCCAAACGGGAAACAATCTAGATATCTTTTGTTGAATAAACTGTGGGACTCCATTACCATGAAATACTGCTCTGCAATAAAAAGAAACACAATTGATATGGCAAAAGATACGACAACCTGAATGAATCTCCAGAGAATTATGCTGGGAAAAAAAAAAAAATGCCAGTTCCTGAAAGTTACAAACTGTATGATTCTATTTATATAACATGTTTGAAATGACAACATAATGGAAATGGAGAATTCATTAATTGTTGTCAGAGGCTAAAAAGAGGGTGGGAGCAGGAGGAAAGCTGGTGTAGCTATAAAAGCAACATGAGGAATCCTTGTGGTGAAGGAATGTTCTATATGTTGACTGTGTCAAGTTGTGATATTTCACCATAGTTTTGCAAGATGCTACCATTGGAGGATACTGAGTAAAGGGCAGAGAGGATCTTTTTGTATTGTTTCTTACCATTGTGTGTGAAATCTATAGGTATCCCAAAATAAAAAGTTATTTTCTTTAAAGGTCTCATGAGAAATACTTATTTGTTCCTTGGGTTATCAGTTCTTCTAGACTGGGTTTTTGTGCCTTTTACCTGATTTGTTCTTTTTCTATTTCTTGCTACAGTGTCTTTGTATAGTTGTCATGCCTTACATTTTCCTCATGCCCATGCTCTATCCAGACCCTCTCTGCTCTGGTAGAGCACAAATGATATTCTCCTTAATACTCTTCCCACCATATCTGGAACTAATTTATCTTTTCCCCTGAGCTGCAGGTGCTGCATTTTGCTCCACCATTTTGTTGACTAAAGGAGAGAAGGGAGTTCCCTGGTCTAAATGTAATCCTTACTGGAGCACCTAGACTCTGCTTTCTCTCTGTGATTCTATTAAAATGTTCCAGATCACAGCCCACTCCACCCTCCAAGGTATATCCCACCCTGTGGGCTTCTGATTATTCCCTCAATTTAACATAGTGCCCTGAAAGAAGCCGTTGAAGCCCTTCTTCACTGTGCTCAAGTCCCACCAAGCTCCAGAGAGGAGCTTGCTGAAGAGTTTGCCATGACTTGTCTCAGGGTTGTCTTCTCACCCTGTTAATCTACTTATTGCAGAATTGAAGATTTTAATGAATTCCTCCTAAGGAATTCATTAAATGAATTAATGAATGAATTAAATGAATTCATTTAATGAATTCCTCCTAAGGCAGTAATCTGACATTCTGAGAAGCGGGGTCGGGGTGGTGGTAGGATTAGGAGACATGCTAGACGATCCCACACCTGAGTCTACTGTTTCTCTGACTGCTGTTTTTCAAAATTGTGGCTTAAACTTATACCCCCTTTTGTTGTTTGGTTGCTGATGGTTTTTTCTTTTTTTTAGCAGTTTTGTTATTTTTGTTATTTTATTAAAGAATTGAAGAATGTGTGAATCTGCCTCACTCATTACGTTTAATGGAATTCTCACCTGTTGATTTTATAATTAGGAAAAGCAAGTGTTTTCCAAGTATTTCCAACATTCAACAAAAGCTCAAAGACTTTCTTGCTTTAACTCTCTCAGTGCTGCTTCATTAGTAAAGGCCTAGAGATCATATTTTGAAGTAACATTTATTTCACTATTCTAAACTTCCTTTTTGGCCTGATCTAAGATCTTGTTTCATGCTGAAGTCCACCTTGAGTATTTTATCCCTTATTGTTTATTGCCTACTTGAACAACGATGGTTATGGAGTGTTATGCAAAATAACAGAAGGAATGGCTCTATCCCTCTTTTACAACTTTTGTTGTTGTTGTTGTTGCTGTAAGAAGAATCCTTTCTGGATATTATTCTAAGATTTCTACTCTACAGATTCTATTTTTATTCTTATTTATAATTATTTTAAATTATTGTGATTTTTTTAATAGGAAGCAATAGTGAAAGAACCTGAAATTAACACAACTCTTCAGATGCGTTTCTTTGGAAAAAGAGGACAAAGAAAACTTCATTATAAAGAATTTCGAAGGTAAATGCAAATATTTACATTCATTTAGGGAAATTTTATGGGTAAGAAATAAAGAGAAACAGAATATATTCATTTTCTAGAACTGCAGATCATAAAACTAAAATACTGTTTGTGGATTTTGTGGATCTGTGTAGTATTTATCTCTGAGAACTAAACCTATGAAATAGAAACTAAAATTAGTATGCTCAAAATATCGTACCTTACTATAGAAAGTAGTATCTGTTTCATAGAATACAATAATTCTTTTTAGTAACTTAATGTTTGCAACAAAGAACCATGCGCCTAGCGTCAGTTGTTCTTTAGGCGAAACAAACCAACCCAACTTAAAACAACAACCATTTGTTATTTTTGTGAGTCTTTGAGTCGGTTGGGCAGTTCTCCTGATTGGAACAGGATTGGCTGATCTTGACAGTACTCTTGCATTTGCAGTCTGCTGATGGGTTTGCTGGCTGCTGGCTTTTCTAAGATGGTCTCAACTGGGACACCTCAGCTCTGCTTCATGTAGTCTCTCATTCTCTAGCACAAGGGTTGGCAAACATTTTCTGCAAAGGCCTAAAGAGTAAATATGGTCTCTGTCACAACTACACAACTCCATGGTTGTAGTGTGAAAGCAGCCATAAACAGTACATTAACAAATAGACATGGACATGTTCCAGTAAAGCTTTATACTAACATTAATTTTAAGTACTTATTTAACCTCCCTAAGCTCATTTCTTTATCTAAAAGGTAGACATAATAATGCTTACCTTATATGATTATTATAAACATTAAAATACAGTGTCCTGTCTACCATCTTCCCAATGATAATAATGCCATGCATAGTGAGACAGTGCACCTCCCTGTGCTACTCCACTAACCAAAGTCTTAAAACAGATATCAAAAAGCAGTACAGAATAGTGGGGAAAAACACTGACTTGGGAGGCAGGAGACCTGCATCTTATTCAGCTGAATCTAGTTTAATAAAGATTTATTGAATGTGATATATGCTATTATGTGTCAAATTACCCCTCAAACACTAGGGATAGTACTGGAAACTATCTAGTAAACATGCAGAAAAACATTTAAATACATTGTAGTCAGTGCTTTCTTAGATAAATAGGGTATTTGGGTAGCACAGAAGATCACTTAGTGTACCCTGTGTTGAAGGTTGGGACTAGGTGATCAGGGAAGGCTTTCCAGAAGAAATACTAAGTTGAATCTTGACAAACTAGCTGGGATTAACAGGCAAAAGTGGTTTGGGCAGGGAGGCATTTGAGGGAATGATAACACAGCAAGAGCAAAGACGTAGAGGCATGAAAGTGTATGGTTTGTAAAGGGAATTAGAAGCAGTAGAGTTGATAAAGTAGGAAGCATAAGGTGAGGAGAATGGAGGCTGGGAAGTATGAACTTACCTGTGTGAAGGTTTTATACACCATAAGATAGAGGTAGCTTGTTGATTAACTCAGTGATGAGAGGCCCTGAAGAAGGCCACGTGAAGGGTATTTGGTCAGATGTGCCCATCACTCTGGCAGCAGAGTAAAGGATAGGTTTTATGAGAGAGAAGACCATTCAGATATTCCAGAAAAGAAATAAGAGCCTTGGGCCGGGTGTGGTGGCTCACGCCTGTAATCCTGGCACTTTGGAAGGCCGAGGTGGTGGATCACGAGGTCAGGAGACCGAGACCATCCTGGCTAACATGGTGAAACCCCGTCTCTACTAAAAATACAAAAAATTAGCCAGGCATGGTGGCAGGCACCTGTAGACCCTGCTACTTGGGAGGCTGAGGCAGGAGAATGGTGTGAACCCGGGAGGCAGATCTTGTAGTGAGCCAGGATCGTGCCACTGCACTCCAGCCTGGGTGACAGAGCGAGACTCCGTCTCAAAAAAAAAAAAAAAGAAAGAAGAGCCTTGAACTAGTGTAGTGGCAATAAGGATTTTGAAGTAGAAAAGATTTCCAGACACAGGAGATAAAATTGTAGGGCTCAGTGATTGATTAGATTTAAGGAACGAAGAAGAATGCATGAAAATCCAAGTGCCTCCTGCCCTTCAGCCTGGGTGACAGAGTGAGACTCTGTCAAAAAAAAGAAAGAAAGAAAGAGAGAAAGAAAAAGAAAAGAAAATCTGGCCGGGCGCGGTGGCTCATGTCTGTATCCCAGCACTTTAGAAGGCCAAGGCGGGCAGATCACGAGGTCAGGAGTTTTTAGACCAGCCTGGCCAACGTGGTGAAACCCCGTCTCTACTAAAAATACAAAAATTAGCCGGGCGAGGTGGCAGGCATCTGTAATCCCAGCTACTTGGGAGGCTGAGTTAGGAGAAGTGCTTGAACCCGGGCAGCAGAGGTTGCAATGAGCCAAGACTGCGCCACTGCACTCCAGCCTGGGCAACGGAGTGAGACTCGTCTCAAAAAAAAAAAAAAAATCTAAGTTTCTGAATTAGATTTTTTCTAACCCCACTAATCCCAGTTTACCTGATGGCTACACTGAGTCATTTAAGCTCTCTAGAACAATTTTTTCAACAAAATTTTAAACCATACCTCTTCTTGTATATTTAAAATATCAGTCTCTCAATGTTTTTTAACGTTCCAAAAATATCATAATTTAAAACAAGGAAAGCTATTATCATAATACTGATATTGTCATATTACTGGGATAATTTTTCAAACTGTATTCACAGAGATACTAATATGTCACTCTACTTCACTTTACGATTCCCTAACTTGTTAACTTTTAAGGTTGCTTCTCACCTTACTTTTCTTCAATGGGAATGATTTTGTTTAGAATTCTTACTTTAAATTTTTTTAAATTAGTTCTTCTATAAATTATGGGCACTGTGAAATTTGTCATACCATCATGCAATTTTTTTAATCCAATTAAATTAACAAAAACTTTAAAAATGAAATTTTTCAAGAGCTTTCTTAGATATTGCAAAGTGTCCCTAAAGGTAAAATTGTAATTATACTAGGCTGGAATTTATGGCAATCATAAGATAATCTCTTAAATTTTGCTAAGTCATAAAATAACAGAAAATGGCTTCTAATAATATTTTCAAAAGCTTGCACTAACGTACTAGCCAAATTAATCATTGATATTCCACAAAAATGGTTTCATATGTAATATTTTGAGCTTATACTTTTGTGTTTCTGGGAGTATAATGTTATAACATGTTTAACTGACGATGTAAGGAGGCAAAGGCTGAAAATACAGGAGTGACAGGGTATCGCTAGAAGAGCAAGGTCCCTGAAGGGAGGGAAGTACAGGAATATAGGTGAGATTCAGAGTGCAGCCATCGACAGGAAAAGGGACTCCCCATCCATTGTGACAGGAAGAAGAGGGTGGGGAAAAGGATGAATGTGGATGCTGTTACAATTTTTAGTGACAATAAGAAAATGAATGAATTTATTAAACAATGATTTCTAGTTTCTGTAGGAAGCAGGGGCAAAGTCATAGGCTGAGGATAAACAGAAAAGAGAGTGAAAATGAAATAGCCTCTATGTAAAATCAAAAAGACACATTTCCAGGCTAGCAGAAGAGTGTCTGTAAGGGTCAAGGACCCAGTTGAAAATGTGCACCATGAATTTGTGCAAATACCACTATGTGCAGTTAGTTATAGTATGGTTTTCTTTAAGCCATACTTGAAGAAGGCCTTTTGCAGCCCATTAGAGCTGAGGTTGTGGGTGAGAAAGTGGAAAGCAATTAACAACGGAGTCTGGAGCTGGGCGCGGCGGCTCACACCTGTAATCCCAGCACTTTGGAAGGCCAAGGCAGGCAGATTGCTAGAGTCCAGGACTTCGACAGCAGCCTGGGCAACATGGCGAAACCTCATCTTTACAAAAGAGATGGGTGGGGTGGTGTGCACCTGTAGTCCCAGTTACTTGGGAGGCTGAGGTAGGGAGGATCACCAGAGCCCAGGGAGGTTGAGGCTGCAGTGAGTTGTGATCACACCACTGCACTCCAGCCTAGGCAACAGAGTGAGACCCTGTCTTCAAAAAAAAAAAAAAGTGGAGTCTGGGCATGAAGAATGAAAACGAAAAGATAGTTACATATCATCCTCAGTACCATCACAGCAACTGGCAGGTACTTACATGGTGCATGGCGTCTTTCTAAGTATTTTCCATATGTGTCATCTCACCTATCCTTACAAGGTGAGGTAAGTGTCTTCTCTTTATAACTAGAATCTGATGAGGTTGAGGGACTTGATACAGGATCACATACTTTAGAAACTGAAGAGGCGAGATTCAGGTTTCTCATGAAAGGTTTAAGTGATCATGTAGTTTCTGAAAGAGTTCCACAGTTCCCTGGTAGGTGGTGGGTGCATTGAATGGGCTTTCAAGTACCAGACTAGGTTACCAGAAGGACAGTCATATACAGTAGATACTACCACGGATCAAAAGAAACTCATCAGTTAAAGAAAAATTTGTCACTTCTTTTCTGATTTTTTTTTTACTTATACAACTAATCAAAAAGATTTTCCAGCTGAAATATCACTTAACCGTTTAAGTAAAAACCACAGTGTAATTTAATTCTGTCTCCCAGAATTTTGGTGTGCTTTTATTGTTATGAAAGCAGCAGATAATTTAAATTCTGAAAATTGAGTTTTCTGTCAACCTACTACGTATTGTTCTGGGGGAAAGCATTGACTCTTGGGCTACTCAGGCAGCTCCTGATGGCATTTACCCGCCCTGCATCAGTGCCTTCTGATTTTGTTGTGTTTTTCTGGTCTTTTTTACTCTTCTCTCCTACTCTCTTTGGTGATTTTTCTTCTTCTGCATTTCTTTTCTCTTCTTTTAAACTCCATGATTAGCCTTAAAGATAGTGACCAGAAATAATCCCTGAGTTTATTTCTATTCTGACACATTTGACCTCATTTTTTATTCCAATGAATTTTTTAAACTGAAAATAAACCTGTGACTTAAGATATATAATGGTTAGAGGGAAGAAAATTGGCCTCAAGTCTTCTCGTCAGGAAAAATTGGGGAGGATATTGATACTGATGTACTTTTTAGGGCTGAGTTTGTTAAAAATTCTGAAATACCAATTATTAGTTGAGGATTTCTGAGTTTCATGAAGCGTTTTTATAAATTCAGAGGTGTCTAGAGGCAGTGGTGTGCTAGTAAATATGTTTAACAATCATCTGTCTCAGGAAAAACAGCCTTGATTTGTAGTGTTTGCCAATTAGTAGTATAAATAAATAAATACTCTACCATGCCAATGTCAAGCTCCCCTGCATGAAGCAGAGGTGGGAAGACATGCATGATAGACTCACAGCCTGTACGCGCCACTCCAGTACAACACTGCCTAAACAATTCCAATAAGGAAAAACAGATCTCTCCCATTGTTTCCAATTAACCCACTAATTTATAAAGTATGTAATTTGTTCACAATGTGTCTGGCAGCCTTATCTACTATAAATTTTCCAATTCATATATGCATGTTCAGCTCATGTTCCAGAGTTTCATGTTATAACAAGATAATATGATTTTAGGCTTAAAGGGAAAAGATTATCATCATAAATTGATTTATATTCATTAAAAGTAGTGTAATTAGGTAAGATGAAAGTAGCTTAATCCAGACAATGTATAGTTTAACAGCAATTAAGTTTATAATATTTCAGCCTCTGGTAGAGGCTCGCATAGAGCCTGAAGAAAAAAGGGAAAGGAACAAGTTAGTAATGGTTTTATGCCCTATCTTCTGCTTGCCTAATTCAGTGTACACTCATTTGCAAGTAAAGCATACATTTAACAGTTCTAATAAGAATCAGTTGAATGTCATTACAGTATACAGGGCAGGAAAACTCAACAAAATAAAAGGCAAAGTATATCAGTAAAATATTTTGTTGCTCTATCAGTCCAAATTTGAAATACTTCAAATTTTAGATAAAGTTCTGCTTTGACCCAGAAAGAAACATGGCATTGATGAATCCGTGTATTCAGTACATTCAGAAAATGTTTTAAGTAACAAACTCTTGCCTACCATGTAGACAGAAGTCTAAGATCAAACTCCTCCTTCATGCTTTTAAGATTTATAGGATAAATGTAGAACTTCAAGCAAGTCATTTTTTAAGTGATGATTTTTCTCCCACTGAACTGGAATGTCCCTCTTCTATCACCCCATGTATATTTTCATTTGAATTTGACATGACAGATAGTACCGATCTTTTCACATGTGGAAAAGTGAATAAAGGGATCTGCAGCATATTAAAATGCATGGAGATGATAATACTTTTCACATGATTTAGGTTATAAATAAATCAAGTGCAACGTTTCTGGGTTCTTGTTCAAAGAAGATATATTTTCATCTGATATCTTTTCAACGTGTCCCTTTCCTGGGAAGCCATTGATGACAGTTTGATCGAAGTACCATGTTGTTTTTGTAAGAAAGGAATGTTGAGTCATATCGACATGTATTATTGTCAAAAAGATTATGTTTTTAGATAGAGCTAAGCTTTTGATGCCAAGCCATTGATTACACTGATTAACTTTGGTATTTGAAAAATATTAGGAAGTAGTAATTATGATTAACATTCTAAAAGCAGTGTCCCACCTCAATTTTAAATTTATCTGATTATTGATAATTTTTCTGTATTGGAAAATAGTTTCCATGGAATTGTTATTTTCTATGGATGTATCAAAGCAACATTTGACATATTTTTTTAAGTCTTTAGGTTTATCAGAATGTAGGTTGCCAGGTATAACTTACACAAACAAGTTGAGTATAGAGAGTTACTGATGGAAGCCAGTGTTGGACTTAATCAGTTTCTCTGCATCCTTCCTCTCCCCACAATCCTTGCACAGCACTAATGCTTCATCCTGCTTACCATCAGGAGGCAGCCACTCAGTAGGTAATAGTGAAGGTACTTTGCAGACCCATTTACAATATTTAAGGTTGAATGCCACTAGTTACCTTACTAATTTTGTATTTTAACATTCAGATTTATGGAAAATTTACAAACAGAGATTCAAGAAATGGAATTCCTTCAGTTTTCTAAAGGTTTGAGTTTCATGAGAAAAGAAGACTTTGCAGAGTGGCTACTTTTTTTCACTAACACTGAAAATAAAGATATTTATTGGAAAAATGTGAGAGAGAAGTTGTCAGCAGGAGAGGTTGGTATACCCTTTTATTATGCATGTGATAAAGATGAAATAATAAGTTAGACATGTTTACATAAAGTAACTTCTGAATTAACCAAGACTGTGCTACCCTCGATGGTATATAAAATCAACTTGAGGAATGTTCTCTACATGCTCTTCTCCTGTAAAGGAAAACTGCCTAAGACAGAATCAGTGTAGCAATTACAAGTTTTCCATTTCCAGTAAAGTCAAGAATAAGACAAGTATCACTACTGTTATTTAATATCACTCTGTAAATCTTAACCAGTCCAAATTAACAAGATTATTTAAAAGAGTATAAAAATGTGAAAGGGGGTAGTAGTTGTCTTTGTTTTTATATGATGCAATTATATGCCTAGAGAACCCAAGAGAATCCAGTAGAAAAACCGTAGAAACAATAAGAATTCAATAAAGTACCTGTCACAATGCTAATATATAAGCAGCAGCAGCTCTCCTATATACAAATTACAAGTAGAAAATGTAATGACATGCATATGTGTGTGTATATATATACGAGATGTATGAAATGATGATTGCCAAGCTATTAATAATTATTCATGTACAGTGGTGAGGTTTCAAGTGATTTTTACTTTCTTTCTTTATACCTTTATGTATTGTTCCAAAAAAATGTTTACAATGGACATGTATTTTATGTAACTTTTTAAAAAGTTACTTCTATTGTAAGAAAAAAATAAATTGCAGTAGAAGAACCCAGTTATAACTGCAAGATAAATATATAACAATTAGAAATAAATTTAACAAAAAAAAAGAAGAAAACTTGATAGCCTTGATGGATATAAAAAGAAAACTTATCTAATTATAAGACATCCCCTATTATTGAATAGAAAGTCTTAGAATTATAAATACAGCAATTCTGTCTTCAGTTAGTCTATAAGTGTAATGGTTATATTAGAACAGCCCAAGTTTACTGCAGTTACAAATTAACCCTGAAATCCCCCTGTCTGACACTGAGTTTCTTGCTCAGTCATGCCGCAGTTCCATTGTGGGCTGATAGGAGTCTCTGTCCGCATAGAGGTCTAGACCCATTCAGAGGTCTAGACTCTCTGAGGCTGTGCCATCTTGGAGTTACATCATCTGAAAGAAGTACCACGCTCAGAGGCTGTGGCAGGAAAAGAAGGAGGGGAGTCAAAATCCAGCAACTAAATGTTTTGGCCTGGAAACATCACATGACACTTGGCTATTGGCCAGACTAATCACATAACCCCACCTGAATGCAGGGAGGCAAGGAACTTCAGTCTTTCGTACGTGCAGGAATCAGAAAAGATCCAGATACTGGTGAATACTCGTGGGTTTCAATAAAAATACCATTGAATTATTGGGAAGAAACTAGACAAGCTATAAAACTTTATATGATCACGCCTGTAATCCTGGCACTTTGGGAGGCCAAGGCGGGCAGATCATGAGGTCAGGAGATCAAGACCATCCTGGTTAACACGGTGAAACCACGTCTCTACTAAAAATACAAAAAATTAGCCAGGCATGGTGGCAGGTGCCTGTAGTCCCAGCTACTCGGGAGGCTGAGGCAGGAGAATAGTGTGAACCCTGGAGGCAGAGCTTTCAGTGAGCTGAGATTGCGCCACTGCACTCCAGCCTGGGTGACAGAGCAAGACTCTGTGTCAAAAAAAAAAAAGACTTTATATGAAAAGAATGTCAACATATTAAAATATATTATCAAACCTTGGTAACTAAAACAGTTTGTTACTGACAATGAATTTGACAGACTCCAGAAATAGACTTAAGCATATGAAAAATTTAGTAATTATGAAATAGTATTTTAAATTAGTTGGGTAAAAGAATTATTAATAAATGGCAGTAGGATAATTCACTGGCCATCTGAGGGAGAAAATGAACATAAATCTTTACACCATTCATTACTCTAAAATAAATTTAGGATGAATCAAAAAATTAAATGTTGAAAAAATGAAACTGAGTAAGTGTAGAAGAAAACATGGAAACAATGTTTCATCTTAGGTTATATACCTTTCTAAGCAAAACCCAAAACCTTTCAAAGAAAACTTGATGAAATACCTAAAAATTAAAATCTGTTGCCTCACCTCGTCCCCTGCAAAAATTATAATGAGAGTCAAAATAAAAAGTTAACATGAAGAAGGGGGAGATATTGATATGTAAAGACCAATTTTCTTAATTTATAATGGGATCTTTAAAAATCAGTAGGGATTGGCCGGGCGTGGTGGCTCATTCCTGTAATCCCAGCACTTTGGGAGGCCAAGGTGGGTGGCTCTCTCAAGGTCAGGAGTTCGAGACTAGCCGGGCCAACATGGTGAAACCCCATCTCTACCAAAAAATACAAAAAAAAGTAGCCGGGCATGGTGCCACACACCTGTAGTCCCAGCTACTCAGGAGGCTGAGGCGGGAGAATTGGATGAACCTGGGAGACAAAGGTTGCAGTGAGCCAAGGTCACACCTGGGCAACAGTGAGACTCTGTCTCAAAAAAAAAAAAAAAAAAAAAAAAAAAAAAATCAGTAGGTATCAAGAACTTTAAACGGTCTGAGATTTTTTTTTCCCTATTTAATATATCATGAGAACTTGAAAATCAACATGTGAATAACTGTAAAGTGTCTGAAATTTTATCCCTTTGCAGGTTAGCCTGCACAGTTTCATGGATGCTTGCAGAAGATACAAGACTATTGAGTCAGACACAAAGAATTTTATTATCGTAATGTAGCAACAACATGAGTAACATATTTGTGTCAGTTCCCCCTTGCCTCCCAAGCCCCATGGGCATGATGCTGAGAGGCCCAGGTAGATGCTGCCCACACAGCAGATTCACATCACAGCTGAGGACCCTCATCTTAGTGATCTGAATGTTTTGTAATGGGCAAGTAAACAAGCCTTCCTGAGCTTTGCTGCAGTGGGAGGCATTGTGTATTCATGATACTGGACAGTAAGCAAAGCTGTCCTGTGCTCCTGAGGAACAGTGCTGTCCGCTATACAAACAATTCTCCTGCCTCAGCCTCCTGAGTAGCTGGGATTACAGGCGCATACCACCATGCCTCGCAATTTTTGTATGTTTAGTAGAGATGGGTTTCACTGTGTTGTTGGCCAGGCTGGTCCCAAACTCTCGGCCTCCCAAAGTGCTGGGATTACAGGTGTGAAATCCTCGAAGATATAATCTGGAACAAAAATGCAGTCGGTGCCTCTGATAGATGTACAGAAACGTGAGACCCAGCTGGGCACGGTGGCTCAAACTTGTAATCCCAGCACTTTGGGAGGCCGAGGCGGGCAGATCATGAGGTCAGAAGATTGAGAACATCTTGGCTAACATGGTGAAACCCCATCTCTACTAAAAATACAAAAAATTAGACAGGCGTGGTGGCGGGTGCCTGTAGTCCCAGCTACTCGGGAGGCAGAGGCAGGAGAATTGGTGTGAACCCAGGAGGTGAAGTTTGCAGGGAGCCGAGATTGTGCTACTGCACTCCAGCCTGGGTGACAGAGCGAGACTCCATCTCAAAAAAAAAAAGAAATGTGAGACCCATGGAGAACGGTCTCGCACAGTAAGTTACCTAACAACCCATTAGAAATCTGGGCAAAGGACATAAACAGGACACAAGAAGAGAAATCCACAAATGACTAATAAGCATGTGAAAAATGTTTAACTTCATTCACAATTGAAGACATGCAAATTCAGGCCGGGCCTATGGCTCCCACCTGTAATTCCAGCACTTTGGGAGGCCGAGGCAGGTGGATCACCTGAGGCCGGGAGTTTGAGACCAGCCTGGTCAACATGGTGAAACCCCGTCTCTTCTAAAAATACAAAAATTAGCGGGGCGTGGTGGCGCATGCCTGTAATCACAGCTTTTCAGGAGGCTGAGGCAGAAGAATCGCTTGAATGAGGGAGGCGGAGGTTCTGGTGAGCCAAGATCACGCCACTGCACTCCAGACTGGGCAACACAGCAAGACTCCGTAAGACATGCAAATTCAAACATTAATAAAATACCATTTTTCATCTATCAGAAAAGCAGACATCAAAAAAGTTGCATCCAGTGCCTACTTCGAGGTCATGATAGAAGCAGCCACTCTTATTTGTGCTGATAAATACACTGGTTTTTTTTTTTCCTTTTTTCCCTCTCTATCATCTTGTAAATATACTGTTAAGAGAATAAAGCAAGGTACAGAAATATGTGAAGAGATTGTTCCCATTGTGTAAAACAAGGAGACGTGTGTGTACATGTATACACTTTAATAAGAATAGAATATTAGCCAGGCGCGGTGGCTCACGCCTGTAATCCCAGCACTTTGGGAGGCTGAGGTGGGTGAATCACCTGAGGTCAGGAGTTTGAGACCAGCCTGACCAATATGGTGAAACCCCATCTCTACTGAAAATACAAAAATTAGCCGGACGTGGTGGTGGGTGCCTGCAGTCCTAGCTACTCAGGCGGCTGAGACAGGAGAATTGCTTGAACCTGGGAAGCAGAGGTTGCAGTGAGCCAAGATTGCGCCATTGCGCTTCAGCCTGGGTGACAGAGCGAGACTGTCTCAAAAAAAAAAAAAAAAAAAAAAAAAAAAAGAATAGGATATTTCTGGATGGAGACACAAGGAATTGGTAACTCATGTCTGGGGAATGGAACTGGGAATCAGAGTGGAAGAACTCTTCATCATTTATCCTTCATGTTGTTTGAATTTTTAACCATGTGCACATATTACTTTTTCAAAAACTTTATTGAAATATTTAAAAATAAAAATTTCATGAAGTCACAAAAGCTGGAAACCAGTGAACCTTGAGTAAGACCACACATTACAGAGGGCATGATCCTCAGCATCCTACAAAGAGAAACTTTTTTTTTCAGGCAGGGAAGAATTTACTTTCAAATTAAGAATTTTTAGCTGGACACAATGGCTGACACTTGTAATCCCTGCACTTTCTGAGGCTAAGGTGGGAGGATCACTTGAGCCCAGGAGTTTGAAACCAGCCTGAGAAACATAGCGAGATCTCGTCTCTACTAAAAACAGAAATAAAAACATTAGTTGGGTGTGGTGCTCTGTGTCTGTAGTCCCAGCTACTTGGGAGACTGAGGCAGGAGGATAGCTTGAACCCAGAATTTCAAGGCTGCAGTGAGCTGTGATCTGGACTCCAGCCTGGGTCACAGAGTGAAACACTATCTCAAAAACAAGATAAAAACTAAGAGAATTTTCATACTTTGTTTACTTTTGTTTTGTTTGTTTGTTTTTGAGACAGGGTCTTGCTCTGTTGCCCAGGCTGAAGTGCAGTGGTGCAGTTAGCTCACTATAACCTCAAACTCCTGTGCTCAAGGGATCCTTCTGCCTAAGCCTCCTCAGTCGCTGGGACCACAGGCACATGCCACCGTGCCTGGCTAATTTTTGTATTTTTTGTAGAGATGGGGGTTTCACCATGTTGCCCAGTCTGGTCTCCAACTCCTGAGCTCAGGCAGTCCGGCCACCTCAGCCTTCCAAAGTGCTGTGATTGCAGTCAGGAACCACCGTACCCAGCTTTTATTGTTTTAATGGAAAAAACTGAGTTTTCTTTTAACTTTTTTATTTATTTGTTTGTTTTTACACAGAGTCTCACTCCATCACCCAGGCTGGAGTGCAGTGGCGCGATCTTGGCTCACTGTAGCCTCCGCCTCACGGGTTTAAACAATTCTCCTGCCTCAGCCTTCCAAATAGCTGGGACTACAGGTGTGCACCACCACACCCAGCTAATTTTTTTTTTTTTTTCTTTTTCACCATGTTGACCAGACTGGTCTTGAACTGCTGACCTCAGGTGATCTGCCTGCCTTGGCCTCCCAAAGTGCTAGGATTAGACATGAGCCACAGCACCCAGCCCGTTTGTTTGTTTGTTTGTTATGTATTTTTTGAGACAGAGTCTCGCTCTGTCGCCCAGGCTGGAGTGCTGTGGCGTGATCTCGGCTCACTGCAAGCTCTGCCTCCTGGGTTCACACCATTCTCCTGCCTCAGCCTCCCAAGTAGCTGGGACTACAGGCGCCTGCCACCACGCCCGGCTAATTTTTTTGTTTTTGTGTTTTTAGTAGAGAAGGGATTTCATGGTGTTAGCTAGGATGGTCTCCATCTTCCGACCTCGTGATCCGCCCGCCTCCGCCTCCCAAAGTGCTGGGATTACAGGCGTCAGTCACCGCGCCCGCACCATTTGTTTTATTTGTAAGTGCTCAGATTTTGAAGTCAGATGGACCAAGGTTCAGATCCTGATTGTTCCAGTTAGTAGACTTTGGGCAAACTACATAACCCCTGAAGCGTTACTTACCTAAGACTTAGAGAGGCTAAGGTCATACACGTTATAAAGGGCAGAACCGGAATTTCAGCATTAAAAGTCCATCTAACTCCAAAACTCTGTGCTCTTACTCAGTGCTATGTCCACTAATAAAACTTAGCAGAAGTGGACCACTTAACAGAGTATGTTAGTCTCTTCAAGCTGCCGCCTCAAAACACCACAGGCTGGGCAGCTTAAACAATAAATTTATTTCTCACAGTTCTGGAGGCCAGGAGTCCAAGATCAAGGCACCAGCAGGGCCAGTTTCTGGTGAGGCCTCTTGCCCAGCCTGCACACAGCACCTTCTCACTGTGCCCTTTGTGTGGCCATTTCTGTGTGCACACAGAGAGAAAGGGACAGAGAAAGCTCTGTTGTCTCTTCCTCTTAGAATGATACTAGTCTCTACGGTAGAAAAGAAAGTTCATAGTTAACATTTATAAGATTATTTAATGTACTTACAAAATTGTAATAAAAACTCTTACTTTATTAGAGCATTAGTTTGGATGAATTCAAGTCATTTTGCCATTTTACAACCCACTTGGAAGACTTTGCTATTGCCATGCAGATGTTCAGTTTAGCTCATCGTCCTGTCAGACTAGGTAAGTTATATGAAAAACCATTTAATTTTTATCATCTATAAACAGTTTTACTATATTCTTCAACTAAATGCTACCAATCAAGGAACAAATTATAAGTAAAAATAGTTGATTGACCTTTTAATTCAGTGTGGTTATTCTAGATTTAGAATACCAGTACTCCAGTTTAATGGTTACTTTCTATACTTTTATTTTCTCATTCTCCTAAAAAGAAGGAAGAAGGCCGGGCATGGTGGCTCATGCCTGTAATCCCAGCACTTTGGGAGTCCAAGGTGGGCGGATCACAAAGTCAGGAGTTCAAGACCAGCCTGGCCAACATGGTGAAACCCCATCTCTACTAAAAATACAAAAACTAGCTGGGCGTGGTGGCAGGCGCCTGTAATCCCAGCTATTCAGGAGGCCGAGGCAAGAGAATCGCTTGAACCCGGGAGACGGAGGTTGTAGTGAGTCAAGATCGTGCCATTGCACTCCAGCCTGGGCGACGAGCAAGATTCATCTCAAATATATGTTTAGAGCATTGATTAAATTACAATAGCTCATTTGTCTTGCAGTGACTCTCATGACATTCGTCGGCTTATGGTTTGAATATTTTCTTCATGGGTATTTTTGTTTTTGTTTTACTTCCCAAATAATAAAAATTTGGATTTGCTTTTACTTCTCAAATAATGAAAATTTAGATTAATTTCACTTAGACTATTTCACATAGTTGATAAGTTGTTTTATGTTTGTTTTTTAGCGGAGTTTAAGAGAGCTGTGAAAGTAGCAACAGGACAAGAACTCTCAAACAATATTTTGGACACTGTCTTTAAGATCTTTGATTTGGATGGTGATGAATGTCTTAGTCATGAAGAGTTTCTTGGGGTGTTAAAAAACAGAATGCATCGAGGTTTATGGGTAACAGATTTTTTTTATATAATACATGTTTACATTGTCATTAACTGATATTAAACCTAGAATTTGGGCAATTGTACAGTCTTTAAATGGAGTTTTCATCACTTATAAAAAGACTATAAGCTGTAATTGAAATACAGAAATATATTTTATATATGAGATTAAACATCTTTGCTTTTTAAAAAATAATGTGAATCTAATAAGAAATCACTATTTAAAGTGACTGTGAGCTACGATCGCACCACTGCACTCTAGACTGTGCAACAGAGCAAGCCCTTGTCTCCAAAAAAAAATAATTTTTTAAAAAAGAAATTACTATTCAGAAATGTAGCCTAGCTGGACATGGTGGCTCACATCTGTAATCCCAGCACATTGTGGGAGGCCGAGCCGGGTGGATCACTTGAGGCCAGGAGTTTGAGACCAGCGTGGATAACATCATGAGACTCTGTTTCTACAAAAAAAGGGAAAAAAAATCATAGCCTAGGATTTGACTAACTACATGTAATTAGATATATGTAAATTCAAATCCCACCTCTACTGTTTATTAACTGCTTAATCTTGCAAAGCCACTTAATTTTTTTTAGTCTCAGATTCTTGACCCATACCATGAGGAAACTAATCTACCAGAAAGCATTATTGTTAGAATTTGATGTAAAATACTTAGTATAGTGGCTGAGATTATGAAGTAAATTTCACTATTAGCATTATTCACTCAAAGTCACATATGAGTCTATACTTGTGGGACAAATCAAATTCAGATTTTTGTTCAGATTAGAATGTGCTAGAAGCACTCTCAGAAAAGAAGTCTGCCAGGGGAAGACTAGGGTCCAAAGAGAATCTACATGGTTGGTAGGTAGGCAAGAAAAAAGGAAGGAGAGAGAGAGAGAATATGGTACTATTCATGAAAATAAAGCTATTTACAACTTAGAAAAGCAATTCCATTTCCTGCAACAAACATAACTTAGGGAAAAATAAATATTATTTTCATTAGCAAACATATTAATATTTTATAAACTTTGCAGTTATCCAACACCCATAAATATATTCCGGGAAATTAAGCCAGTCTTTTCAGTTCACAATTGAGTGTACCTGGGAGTCTCCTTGCCCTTTCTCAGAAGACATTAAAAAGAAAAGCTGTAAATCAGTCATAAGAAAAAGAACATATATAATCTGGAGTAGAATTTTGCTTCCACTTGGCTAATTTTCATCAGTGCTATGCTCCTGTGGTCCCCCGGATCCAAATATTTCCTAACCTTTACCTTTTCATTTTGTTGAGAGTAGTAGTAATCCACATGTATTTTTAGCTAACAAAACACGTCCATGAATTAGATTATTTCTTGAAGCTTTTCATCAAATACTTTGTGGCCTTTTTTTTTTTTAATTTTAGCCAATGTTAAATCAAAGCTTTAGGCTTATAATTGTATTCTACATAGCTAAACAAAGTTCACCAGAAAAAAAGGGAAAGATTATAAAACATTATAAAAGGAAAACATTATAAAGTAATTAAATTTTAAAGCCAGTATGTGAAAGAAGAGATGGCCCAAAGTCTTCATTACCCTCTTAGAGAAGAAACTCCATTAATGTGTGCTCAGTCTGGTTCCACTCCCTAGTAACCTTAAGCATAGTTACATTCACTTTTTGTCTTTTACCCCCATTTTCAGTTCTGTTGTGATCATCTTTTACAACATAATTCACCCTCAACTATTTTTGGAGGAGTGTGGGAAGGAAATAAACAGTAACGTAAAGTATATATGAAATCATGTTTAACCTTGAAGACAATGACCCCTTGATTTTTACTTTCGGTTAACAGGTACCACAACATCAGAGTATACAAGAATACTGGAAGTGTGTGAAGAAAGAAAGCATTAAAGGAGTAAAAGAAGTCTGGAAACAAGCTGGAAAAGGTCTTTTTTAATAAAAGATATAATAGTATGGCAATTATATTGTTCCAAATGTCAAAATTTGTGATTTTTTAGAAGTACTTGCTATTTATCTTCTTAAGTCTTCATTGATATTCTGTGTGAAATAAGCATGTCTTGTACTTGCTTTCTGATTCATAATTTTATTAAAGAACTTAGTAGAAAGAAAAGTAAGTATAAAAATAGATATTGGATTCTGTCAGAAGGCCTAGATTTGAAATAATGTTTTGTACTTCGGTAAGATGGAAAACTTAGTGATTCACTGATTTCTTAGACACTCTAATATGATATGCTTTCTGGAAGGATAAAACAAATACATATGGGAAAAAGTACTTGAGACCAAGGCCAGCATCAATTCCAGACATCTTCATGTTCCTAATAGGCTAAATGAAGTTAAAAACTTATTTCAGATTTTTCTCATCTGTACCTTATATCTCATAAATTTATTGCATATTTTATGTCAGTAGCTTAGCTGTTTATTGTCTTTAAAATAACATGTAAACTTCAATGTTCTATCTGGAAGCAGAATAAAATATTTACATAGATACAAAAAATACTGAGGTGCTTTTTATTTTACATGTGTTTTTAAAACTACTTTAAAAAAAATTGTAAATACTCTCATCCCTTGCCAGCCTCATTAGTTCTTAAAACCTGGTGTAGCTGGGAGAAATTTTGACCCCAAGGTCAGGGGCTCATGGGATATATTAGGTTGTGGGAAACAAATGTTGCCAGAAGGTAATTGGCATTAAACTGAATATCAAATGGCATTTTTTAAAACCTGGTAAATAAAAATTATAAAAAACTTGTGTCTCAGACACACAATTTAGAAAATTGCAAATATATAAAACCAGTTCCATTCTCTAGAGAACTGGCTGATCCCAAGGCCGTGACAGGGAAAGTCCAAGATAAGCCTAGAATATATTGTGCCTAAAAGTAAAGAAGGGCTCACAAAATGGTGAAGAGTCAGAAGGACAAAGCCAGCTTGAAGGGGCTGCCCCTGTCAAATCTGGTTCAGTTTGAGGGTCAGAATAATTAATGTCCGTAATAGATTATAGCCTATTGAATGAAATAAGAATTCATGAGTTTACACCAAAAATTAATGAGGCCAGAGAAACCTCTCCCTTATTGTTGAAGGATAATGCCTTGAAATATGTTAATCCACTAAATTGAAAAACTCTCCCTCACAGTTTAATGATTGAAATCGACAAGAGGCAAAAGCTTTTGTCCATTTATTACAAAAAATATTTTGCTCCTGATTCAAAAACAAATTTGCTCTAATGAATTGTTTTATAAATAATTGCTTATAAAATAATTTTTTCTCTCTCTTATAAAACCAAAAGATAGGCAATGCAAGAAAGTATAAGTATGAATGAATGAATCCTCCACCATTTTCTCTGTCAACCACAAAAATGCTGACTCCTCACCTGTCTTTCCAGATGCCCTTATGGGTCAAGATTAGGGGCACAAAAATCCAAAAATTAAGATGGTTTCTCATGCCTTCACAGGCTTCACTTTTTCAGCCTCACCTGGCACTGATTTGTCTGCCCCACTTTCCACAGCATTCCATGAATACTGTTTTGTGCTCCAGCGACATAAAGCTCCTGGCCTTTCCTCATGTACACCATGTGCGTTTCACATACCCCTACCCCTAAGCTTGTTACACATGCCATTTCCTTCTGACAGCGATGCCTTTCCCTCGCTATCTTTTTTTTTTTTTTTTTTTTTTTTTGAGACGGAGTCTCACTCTGTTGCCCAGGCTGGAGTGCAGTGGCACGATCTCGGCTCACTGCAAGCTCTGCCTCCTGGGTTCATGCCATTCTCCTGCCTCAGCCTCCTGAGTAGCTGGGACTACAGGCACCCGCCACCACGCCCGACTCATTTTTTTGTATTTTTTAGTAGAGACGGGGTTTCACCATGTTGGCCAGGATGATCTTGATCTCCTGACCTCATGGTCCACCTGCCTCGGCCTCCCAAAGTGCTGGGATTACAGGCGTGAGCCAACGCACCCGGCCCCCTTGCTATCTTCTTGGTGAAATTCTAGACATCAAGGTGCTACCCACATACCAAGTTTGTATCTACCAAAGTATTAAGAGCAGGAGCACTGCCTTAGTCATCTTTATATACCAGTCTAAGCTGAATCCCTGGCTTACAGTAGGCATCCAACAAATATTTGTTGAACAGAAGGAAAGAAGAGAGGGAGGGAGGGAGGAAAGGAGGAGATTTGGGATGGGAGGAGCTAGTAAAGTTCATGAGTTAATCAAGAAGTATGCCAAAAACCTGCTAGGCCCCAAGCATACAGTGGTGAAATAAATGGTTCCTGCTGTCATGGAACTTGCAGAAGGTGAAGACTGAAAACTAACCAGGAAACATTTTAAGTATATATATACAATTAAAAACTAAGATTTAAAAAAAAAAAAGTGATGTTAGAGATCAGAAGACTTTCTTACAACAAGAGTATTTAGAGGGTTGAGGATAGTTTTCCATTTTTCAAGGCTAAAAGGAAATTACTATAACTGAAAAGATTTCTGAAAACGAATAATGTTTGTCATGTCATTACTACAAAAGTACTTGATCCCATTTGAAAAAAATAGGGATAAATATATATCAAATAAGCAAACTAGATTTGCCAATATCTCCTAGGAGTACGGAGACATTTACCTTGAAAGCAGCTGGACTTCCTAAAAATCTAAACTGCATGAATCTTCAGTCATTTGTTTCTTTACTATCATTTTGTTAAATAAATGATCACTAGGTCTGATATTCTGGTAGATAGCTTGTATTTCTCTGCTTATCCCTTCAAGGTGGGAGACAGTTGCAGGGGGTATCTGAGCCCTGCCTTCACGGATCTTCTCCTCCTTGCCCATCCCCTCAGGAATCTCATCACCCCTCTGGCTTCTGTTCTCTCCTCACCTTCAGGCCCAGTTGCTTTCTAGATTTCTCCATTTGGTTTGTCCAACTCAAGCACATCCAAAACTGACCTGATTATGTCCCCCTCTTTTTCCAAACCTCATTTCTTCACATGTCTTCTGCCTTAGTGAACGGGTCTCCTACAAGAAACCAACTAGGAACCAGACAGTCATCCCGGATCCTCACTCCCTTACTCCTCTATAGTCAATCATGTCCTGTGAATTCTGCTTCCTCAAAATCGCCAGACATGTGCTCCACCTTACAACACTGTTGCCACTGCCTTAGTGCAAGCCCTGATCATTCATTACTTAGATGATCTCCGTGGAATCCTAACTTGCCCTTTGTCCGGCCCCTTGTAAGGCACAGCAATTAAGCATCCAAACTCTGCTGTTAGACTACCTGGATTCAAATCTCAGCTTCACCACATTAGTTATATAACTCACCACATAACCGTTTGGCAAAGTACTTGAGCTCTCTGTGCCCATTTTTAATCTAAAAAGGAATGATTTTAGTTGTGATGTCATAGCCTTTTTGTAAGGATTGAGATGATGTATGAAATGCACTGGAGTAAACCTTTAGCAGCTTTTAAATATTAATGCTGTTAACTTCTTATTTCAGATCCTCCTTCACAACAGACTTATTTTCTGAAACATAAATCTGATCATGTCACTACGCTTCTGATAATCTTACGACACTAAAATCGCTTAAAAAATAAAATTCAACTCTACATGATCTTGCCCCATCTATCTTTCTCATATCCTAACACTTGCCACCACACACTTTACACTACAACAATACTGAATTACTTCTCATCACCCCGCTTGGCCATGTTCTCACTCTCCAAGTGTTTGCACTTACTAGTGCTTCTGTTGAAGATGCTCCCACCTGCCTAACTTCCAGTGCCATTTCATCTGCAAAGTTTTCCATTTTTCTCCCTGCTTTTCCCTCAAATTCATTTAGGGATACATGCTGTTAGTTCCCTCACACGTTTCTGTCCACATATCTTTCAAGCCTCATTAAAGTATACTGGAATTCTTTTATGTATTTGCCTCTTCCCCTTGGCTATGAGCTCATTGATAGCAACAACATGACTCCTTTAACGCTATCTCCCAGCATCCATCAAAGAGCTAGCACATACTCGCTCAAAAAAATGTTTGACCTATGAATTAGTTAACAAAAAGGAAAGTGGAACAAGAAATAACCCTGGGCCAGGCACGGTGGCTCATGCCCACCGCTAATCCCAGCACTTTGGGAGGCTGAGGCAGGCGGATCACCTGAGGTCAGGAGTTCAAGACCAGCCTGGCCAATATGGCAAAACCCCAACTCTACTAAAAATACAAAAATTTAGCGAGGCATCCTGGCACGCACCTGTAGTCCAAGTTACTCGGAAGGCTGAGACAGGAGAATCACTTGAACCTGGGAGGCAGAGGTTACAGTGGGCCGAGATTGTGCCACTACATTCCAGCCTGAGTGACAGAGGGAGATTCTGTCTCAAAAAAAAAAAAAAAAAAAAAAATCCCCATATGTGCTTTAGCTGTTCTCACATACCAGCTTTTCTGTTACAGGACTGGACAGGAGAGAGTAGATGGCTTAAGGGAGCTTTAAGACAGCTCTGGTTTGGCCTCTGCTTTGGACACAGATAGCAAATATCAAGAGAGACTGGCCAGGGGTTCTGATACGGTTAGAAAGCAGAACAGGTTCTGGGAATGGAAACAAATTGAAATGTCCTCCCAAAGTTTGGAAACAAGGTTACCCTCCAGGTGTTAAATCATAAAAATCAAAGCATAATGTAGAGGCCAGGCATGGTGGCTCATGCCTGTAATCCGAGCACTTTGGGAGGCCGAGGCGGGAGGATCACTTGAAGTCAGGAATTCAAGACCAGCCTGGCTAACATGGTGAAACCCCGCCTCTACTAAAAACATGAGATTAGCCAGGTGTGATGGCAGGCACCTGTAATTCCAGTGACTCAGGAGGCCAAGGCAGGAGAATCGCTTGAAATCAGGAGGCAGAGGTTGCAGTGAGCCAAGATTGCACTCCAGCCTGAGCAACAAAGTGAAACTCTGTCTCAAAAAAAAGGCATAATGTAGGGAATGATGTCAGGGAAGATAGCAGAGCAGGAGGCTCCAGGAATCTGTCCCTTCACCTAAACAACTATTGAACTGGCAGGAATTGTCTTATTTTGGAACATTTCTGACATTTGAGGGAGAGTTTGATGAAGTTGCTAGTAAATTTTGGTGAACTTCAGCCTTTTGTGATGTAGCAGCAACAGCAAAAAGCCTGCCACCCAGCATCAGGAAACTGTCAGGGAAGCAGCCCACATTCCTGGGGCAGCTTCCTGGAACCAGTGTGAGCACAAAAGACCTTATCCTCCAGGAGTGGGGGTCATGTGTTCTGCTAGCTGCTTGCTGATTTTGATAAAGTGATGAGGGGCCAGGCTGGAGGCCAACCATTTTTTAATGCCCACTTCACAAGCTGAAGCAGCTTCCCAGCCACAAGAGATTTAAAGAGACAGGATATCTTCCCTCCTTCTTGAAAGTCAGACATTTAAGGACATTTTTGTCAGGTTACTGGCTAACTGTAGAGATAACAGAAAAGAAACCTCAGTAGCCACACACAACAAGGAAGATACATTGTTTGGAAAAGGCACAAATAGGAATGGGTCCAGCCCACAACAAGCAAAAACAAGCAATCCCTAAGGAGTAGAATTAGATTCCAGAGTTACTACAACATAATGCTCAGAATAACCAGTTCTCAACAAAAAATTATAAAACATGTAAAGCAACAGGAAAGTATGATCCATTCACAGGATATAAAGAATTTCACAGAAACCATACCTAAAGAAGACCAGACTTTGGAATTATTAGTCAAAGATGTTAAATCAATTGTTTTAAATATGTTCAATATGTTTTCTAAAGGAAACCATGAATAAACACTAATAGAAATCAAGAAAACAATGTCTGAACAAAATGAAAGTATAAATAGAAATTATAAAAAGGAGCCAAACAAAATCTGCAATAACTAAAATGAAAAATGCAATAGAGGGATTCAACAGCAAGTTTGAACAAGGAAAAGAGAGGACTGGCAAAATTGAAGATAAGACATTGAAAATTACCCAGTCTAGGGAAAAGAAAGAAAGAGTGAAGAAAAATGAAGACAGCCTGAGGAACCTATGGGACCTCATCAAGCATACCAAATACACATTATAGGAATCCCAGAAGGAGAAGACATAGAGAAAGGAGCAGCAAAAAATTTGAAGAAATAATAGCTGACAACTTCCCAAATCTGATTAAAAACATGAATATATACATCTAAGAAGCTCAATGAACTCCAAGCAGGAAAACTTTGAAGAGATACACACTGAGACATATAGTCAAATTATCAACTCCCATAGACAAAAAGATAATTTTGAAAGCATCAGGTAGAAGTGACTCATGCGGCCAGGTGCGGTGGCTCATGCCTGTAATCCCAGCACTTTGGGAGGCTGAGGTGGGCGGATCATGAGGTCAGGAGATTGAGACCATCCTGGCTAACACGGTGAAACCCCATCTCTACTGAAAATACAAAAAATTAGCTGGGCGTGGTGGCGGTCACCTGTAGTCCCAGCTACTCAGGAGGCTGAGGCAGGAGAATGGCCAGAACCTGGAGGCAGAGCTTGCAGTGAGCCAAGATCACACCACTGCAGTCCAGCCTGGGCGACAGAGCAAGACTCCGTGGAAAAAAAAAAAAAAAAAAAAAAGTGACTCATGCATGTACAAGAGACCTTCATTAAGAATGACAGTTTATCTTCCACTAGAAACCATGGAGGCCAAAAGGCACTGGATGACATATTTAAAGTCTTGAAAGAAAAAGACTGTCAACCGAGAACTCTATATACAGCAAAACTATCATTCAAGAATGAAGGAGAAATTAAGATATATCCAGATTTAAAAGACTGAGTCTTATTACCAGTACTGCCCTACAAGAAATGCTAAACGGAGTGCTTCAGACTGAAATGAAAAGACAATAGACAGTAATTCAAAGACAGAAGAAAAAAAAATACTACTAAAGGTAACTTCATAAGTATATATAAAAGCCACTGGGCCACAAATATGTGGAAATTAACAACCCACTCAAACAACCAATGCCTCAAAGAAAAGGGAAATGAGAACATACGTTGAGACAAATAAAAATGAAAACACAACAGCAAAACTATGAGATGCAGTGAAAGCAGTGCTAAAGAGGGAAATTTTTTTTTTTGGGGGGGATGAAGTCTTGCTCTTGTCCCCCAGGCTGGAGTGTAATGGCACGATATCGGCTCACTGCAACCTCTGCCTCCCGGGTTCAAGCAATTCTCCTGCCTCAGCCTCCTAAGTAGCTGGGATTACAGGCGCCTGCCACCATCCTGGCTAATTTTTGTATTATTAGTAGAGATAGGGTTTCACCATGTTGGCCAGGCTGGTCTCAAACTCCTGACCTCAGGTGATCCGCCCACCTTGGCCTCAAGTGCTGGGATTACAGGCATGAGCCATCGCGTCCAGCCTTAAGACAGAAATTAATAGCTATAAATGTTTACATTTAAAAAGAACAATAATCTCAAATCAACAACTTTACACCTTAAGGAACCAGAAAAAGAACAAATGAAATTCAAAGATGGAAGGAAATAAAGAAAACCTAAACTGTGATTTAATGTATTGACAGAGGCTCCTTACGGACAAGTTTGAGAGTTAAAAACTCCAGGCTGGGTGTGGTGGCTCACGCCTGTAATCCCAGAACTTTGGGAGGCCAAGGTGGATGGATCACCTGAGGTGGGGAGTTCGAGACCAGCCTGACCAACATGGAGAAACCCCGTCTCTACTAAAAGTACAAAATTAGCCGAGCATGGTGGCACATGCCTATAATTCCAGCTACATGGGAGGCTGAGGCAGGAGAATAGCTTGAACCTGGGAGGTGGAGGTTGCAGTTAGTTGGTTGAGATCATGCCATTGCACTCCAGCCTGCGCAACCAGAGCAACACTCTGTCTCAAAAAAAAAAAAAAAAAAAAAAAAAAACCTCCAGAGGGCCCTGACATGGTGGCTCATGCCTGTAATCCCAGCACTTTGGGAGGCCAAAGCGGGAGGATCACTTGAGGTCAAGAGTTCAAGACCAGCCTGACCAACATGGGGAAACACCCCGTCTCTACTAAAAATACAAAAATTAGCCAGGCGTGATGGGTTATGCCTGTAATCCCAGCTACTCAGGAGGCTGAGGCAGGAAAATCACTTGAACCCGGGAGGTGGAGGTTGCAGTGAGCTGAGATTGCACTACTGCACTCCAGCCTGGGTGACAGAGTGAGTCTCTGTCAAAAAAAAAAGAAAGAAAAGAAAGAAAAGAAAAGAAAGAGAAAGACAAAGAAAGAGAAAGAAAGAAGACAAAGAGAAAGAGACAGACAGAAAGAGAAAGAAAGAAGACAAAGAAAGAGAAAGAGAGAGACAGAGAGACAGAAAGAGAAAGAAAGAAAAGAGAAAATGCTCTTGTATAAAGTACCTGCATACCCTTGAAGTAGTATAGTGTTATTTCAAAGAGGACATGGACCCCCATCTCTACAAAAAATTAAAAATAAAATAAATTAGCCGGGCATAGCGATGCATACCTACAGCCCTAGTTACTCAAGAGGCTGAGGCAGGAGGATCGCTGGAGCCCAGGAGTTTGAGGCTGCAGTGAGCTGTGATTGCACTACTGCACTCTAGCCTGGGTGGCAGAGACCCTGTCCCCCCCCATCCCACCCCACCTCCCCCAAAAAAAAGAAGGAAAGAAAGAAGACATGGGTTAGTTATAAACATATACTGCAAACTCAAGGACAACCACCAAAAAAGTAAATAACTTCTTTAAGTTATGTTCAAAGGCTCCCATAACAATAAAATACAAACCTTCACCAAGGTCTCAAGGTTCTTCCTGCCCCTGCCCCTGACACTCCCAACCTCACCTTCTCTCCTTCCCACTCTTGCTCAACCACTATGGCCATCTTGTTTTCCCTGGAACCCCTCAAGCTCTCTCCTGCCTCAAAGTCATTGCCTTGCTGTTCACCTGGCCTATAATCTTCCAACTCTGGGTCTTTCATAGGACTCACCCCTCTGCATCAGTCAGGTCTCTACTCAGTTATCCTTGTGAAAAAGACCATCAGGGACATACTTCTGGTGTTTGAAGATGCCTGAGCCAGCCAAGTCTGCTCCCTCCCTGAAGAAGGGCTCCAAGAAGGCGGTGACCAAGGCGCAGAAGGTTGGCAAGAAGCGCAAGCGCAGCCGCAAGGAGAGCTACTCTGCTGAAGCAGGTCCACCCCGACACCCGCATCTCTTCCAAGGCCATTCGTTAATGACATCGTTGAGGGCATCGCGGGCGAGTCTTCCGGCCTGGCGCATTACAACAAGCGCTCGATCATCACCTCCAGGGAGATCCAGACGGCTGTGCGCCTGCTGCTGCCCGGGGAGCTGGCCAAGCACGCCGTGTCGGAGGGCACCAAGGCCGTCACCCAGTACACCAGCTCCAAGTAAACTTGCCAAGAGGAGACAACAGCCTTTAGACATATCTTTTCCAACAGTCGTCACTGCTGGACAGTGCTTCATCTTACAAATAAACCAATGAAAAATGAGTGATCCTAGAAGAAGATAAACGGAGGTATTTTAAACAATCAAGGAAGGACCAATATACACCTGGCTAAGAAAAACTAGCCCCTCTTTTTTCTGGGTATAAAACAATTAAAATGTTCTTCATAGAAATTTATGAAATGAGAAACATAAAGACAAAATTAAAATAACTCCTAGTATCTCCTATTCTTTTTATATGTATATCATATATATTCACATTCATATATACATATATCTCACATCATGTATCCCATATATATAAAATAAACTTAGGTGTCATGCTATATATATATTTAGATAACTAAATATGCTTAGAAATAATTTTTAATGGATGCATAATTTATGGATATATTGATAAGTAATTAGTTCTTCATTATGGACTATTTCAATTGATTCCCATTTCTATGCATTATAGATCATACAGCTCACACATCTTTGTACATAAATCTTTGTTCAAATATTATTTCCTAAGGATATTCATGAAGTGGAAATACTAAATCAAAAGTGAAAAACATTATCTAAGATCCTTAAATATGCATTGCCAAAAATTGCTATTCAGGAGCATGCCAATTTATAATCCCAACATAATGTGGAAATTTCTGTTTTATAACACTCATATTTACAATAAATTTTTAAAAGCATTGTTAACGTAATAGGCCCCCAAAAAGAAAAAATTTGAAATTACATTTCCTTATTTAAATTAATGACTCTATTAGTGAGGGTCATTTTCCCATGTTTTTTATTAGCCATGACCCTATAAGAAATAAACTGTGCTGCAAAATGATAAACATGATTTCAATCATTCCATGGGAAGGCACTATATAAAGAATAATACCTTAGGTTAAGTCCAAATAAATAATATTTATTAGGTGCCTCTTCTGCAGAGGATTCTGAAGGGATAATAAACTGCATTTAGCTGCAGGTAACTGAAACTACTTTTACCTACATTGTCTCTTATAAACATTGTAACTACTCTTCGAGAAAGTGTTTACTATGGACTGAATTGTCTCCCCATCCCCCCAAATTCGTATATTGAAGCCCTAAACCCCAATATGACTGTATTTCTAGACAGGACTTGTAAGAGGTAATTAAGGTTAAATGAGGTCATTAGAATGAGTTTCTAATTGGATAGGATTTTTGGCCTTATAAGTAGAGGAAGATTCTGCACTTGGTCCTCCAAATTAAATAATTCATTTAAAAAAAGTGGAAGAGAGAGATCTCTGCACACACACACTGAGGAAAGGCTGTGTGAGCTCACAGTGAGAAGGCAGCACTTACACACAAGAAAACTAAACCTAGGAGAGAGAAAGTTAAACTTATCCAAGGTCGCAAAAGCCAGAAACGAGTGAGGTGAGAAGTTGACCTTGTTCTCCTCAATCCAAGGCCAGGACTCCTCCACTCCACATGTAGATAGCCACCTCACAGTCAACAACCAAATGTCCCCAGAGTCAGCATTAGACCAAGATGTCTCACCAGGAGACAAATGTCTCATCTTGAATAAATATGTTCTAACATATTTATTGTTTACCCATGGAAAATACTGAACCTCAGGAGAAATAAAATGCAAAGTATGTACAAAATTATGTTTACTACCTGACACTGATATAAAGCCTAATGATATCCTTATAGTCTTGGAGGGGTTTGTATATGTGGTGAAACAGGTGCTCACACAGTGCTAATAGACTGTAAATTGGTCTTAGAGAGAAAAATAAATAAACTGGAAGGAGAAAAAAAAAAAAGACCATAACAAACCAATCCCCATTGTACCCCACCCTCTTTCTCTATGTTGTTTTTCTTACTAGAACTTGATCATCAACTTAAAATGTGTATATATACATATATTTGTATATCTGTTTATATCTGCTTATCCTATTAGAATGTAAGTTCCATAAAAGCAGGGATTTTTTTCCTTTTTAGAGACAGGGTCTCACTATGTTGTCCAGGCTAGTCCAGACCTCCTGGGCTCAAGCAATCCTCCTGGCTTAGCTTCCCGAGTAGCTGGGACTACAGCAGGAATTTTTCTTTATTCACCATTGTGTTCTTGAAACTTGAAACAACACCTGTCATAGAGTAGATGTCCAATAAATATTTTTGAATCCCTGAACAAATAAATAAATCACAAAGAGCATTGAGTCAGTCATGCAAGCATAGAAAAGAGGCCACAGAAACAAGCAATGCAGTGGTCATCCAAGAGCTTTCCAAATAAAGGGAGCCCTAGCAACGAAGCATTCTCCTTTCATGACAGATCTATTTCTATTTAAAGATGAGCACGTTAGATTAGCAGAGCCTGTTGCTGTTAATCACGTTATTATGTTAGTACACCTTGTTCTGATTTTACGGTCTCCGAGCAACCTTCTGATAATCTGGTTTCCATATCATCTGCTTACAGGGAAGGAATACTCTTTGGTACTCGAATCTTTCCTGGCCAAGCTGGGACCTTGATACAGGTTTCTCCATATGTAATCATTAGGACTCTTGGACAGAAACAACAGAAAGTCATCTCGAAATGGGTTAGACAAAAGAGGAGTTGATAGGAAAGGTCTACAGGAGTGTCACAGGGTCAAACCTGGGGAGGTCAGGGGAGCAGCTGGGACGTAGGAAAACTCCAACTGAGGACCTGAAGCCCTCGGAACTCTCACCAGGCTTTTCTCTACTTCGATCTGGGTAGCAATTTCATTCTCTTTTACTGCATGTACACCAGAGAAATTCTAACTATGCTCTCCCTAAGAGTCAAAAATCTCTGGGAAAGGGGCTGATTGGCTGCCCTGTCTGAACCAGGTTCTATTCCAGACCAATCCACTGCAGCCAGGAGGGCAGGGTCTATACCAACACGGCAGCTGCCATGTCCCTGCACTGTTGGAGGGCAGCAGGGAAGGAACATATTCTTTCTTTCTTTTTTTTTTTTTTTTTTTTGAGACAGAGTCTCGCTTTGTTGCCCAGGCTGGAGGCTGGAGTGCAGTGGCGCAATCTCGGCTCACAGCAACCTCCGCCTACCGGGTTCACGCCACTCTCCTGCCTCAGCCTCCGGAGTAGCTGGGACTACAGGCGCCCGCCACTACGCCCGGCTAAATGTTTTTTGTATTTTTAGTAGAGACGGCGTTTCACCGCGTTAGCCAGGACGGTCTCGAACTCCTGACCTAGTGATCCACCCGCCTCAGCCTCCCAAAGTGCTGGGATTACAGGCGTGAGCCACCCCGCCCGGCCGGAAGGAACATTTTCTAAAAGATGGGCGTGACTACTCCCAGACGGCAGCAAGGGTGCTGGGCGGACACAGTGGATTGTTACTCTAAGCTGTGCCATTCTGTAGGCTAAGACCAGCTTAGGAGACTCCAGGGGACCGCAGGGCAAATTACACTCAACACTAGAGGATCAGGGTGAAAGTCACAGGAGAATCTTCTTTTTTTTTTTTTTTTAGACAGAGTCTTCCTCAGGCTGGAGTATGCAGTGGCATGATCTTGGCTCACTGCAACCTCTGCCTCCCAGGTTCAAGCGATTCTTGTGCCTCAGCCTACTACCAAGTAGCTGGGACTATAGGCGTGCACCACCACAACCAGCTAATTTTTGTATTTTTAGAAGAGACGGGGTTTTGCCATGTTGGCCAAGTTGGTCTCAAACTCCTGACCTCAAGTGACCCACAAACCTCAGCCTCCCAAAGTGCTGGGTGGGACTACAGACATGAGCCACCACGGCCAACCAGGAGAACTTTCAAATTGGCTGCCTGGCTCCAAGACTTTGACATACTTATCCCTTTATAGCCAATACATTTGACAGCATGCGATAAATTAAGAGCTATGTACACGGTTTTAATTCAATTCATAATATTTTGCTTTTTCTCTCCCTGGGGCATGTTTTACTTTTATTGTGGGCCAAGAGGTAAGACAGTAGGGATTTAAGTAAGCAGAGAGGAGTCGTCTAGACCCTCAGCTGCCAGCCTTTTGAGTCCTGGGTTTTCATTTTCTGATCCCATAAGTGATATTTCTGCCACCCCTCACCTCTGCCCCAGTGATGTATAAGCAAGGGAAGGAGAAGAAAGGAGAAAAAGCAGCGCCCACGTTGCCAGGTTCATGCCTTAAACAGTTCTCTAGATTCCAATGTCTCTGCCAACATCATGCCAAAGAAGATCCAACATCAAGTGCACATGTTGAACAGCTGAACCTAACTCAAGCCAGTTAGGGAGAGAAGTTTCCATGCTCAGAGGAGGCATCCCCTGTGATTTGTTTAACTTCACATTTTCTCACCTCTGCCTTGGAAGTGACAGGTGTTTAATTCTAAATTGTAACAGTTAATGGACTTTTAAAGACATTTTCCTGATATTTTTCTGAGGGAGTACAAGACAGACTTCAAAGTCAGAGTTCCATGCAGATAAGCACACAGATCCGTAGACAGAGGCGGTAGAGGAAAAGTGAGTCACTAAGTTTTCTTTAATGGAAACTGCATATCTTCAAAAGCTGGAGTGCAAACTGACACTAATACCACATCGATGCCATAGAATGAATGAGACAAAATGATGAAATGCAGGGAGAAAACTCGTATTGAGAAAAATTAAAAGAATCCTGCAAATCACTTGTGGCGTTACAGTTGATTTAAAGTGAAAGCATTCAATACAAATGTTCCACAAGGTGGCAGCCTTGCTTTTCCAAAAAATTTTTATCTGCCTTGCATACACCAAGCATTACTTTCCTTTCCTTTCCCTCCCTCCCTCCCTCTGTTCCTTCCTTCCTTTTTCTTTCTTTCTTTCTTTCCTTCTTTTTCTTTCTTTCTTTCCTTCTTTCTTTCTTACTCTCACTCTCTCTTCATTCCTTTCTTTGTCGTCCCTTCCTTTCTCTCTTTTTTTTTTTTTTTGAGACAAAGTCTCACTCTGTCACCCAGGCTGGAGTGCAGTGGCACCATCTAGGTTCGCTGCAACCTCTGCCTCCCAGTTAAAGCGATTCTCCTGACTTAGCCTCCTGAGTAGATGGGATTACAGGCACCTGCCACCACGCCCAGCTAATTTTTGTATTTTTATTAGAGATGGGGTTTCACCATGTTGGCCAGGCTGGTCTTGAACTCCTGACCTCAAGTGATCCTCCCACCTTGGCCTGCCAAAGTGCTAGGATTACAGGCGTGAGCCACCTCACCCGGCCTTTTTTTTTTTTTTTTTTTTTTTTTTGGCAGGGCCTTGCTCCACCCAGGCTGGAGTGAAGTTGAGGGTTCCTCAAACTCCTGGGCCCAAGCGATCCTTCCACCTCATCCTCCCAAGTAGCTGGGATTAGGGGCATGCACCACTACACCCAGCTAATTTTTAAAACTATTCTGTAGAGACGGGGTTCTTGCTATTTTGCCCAGGCTGGTCTCGAACTCCTGGCTTGAATCTATCCTCCCGCTTCGGCCTCCCAAAGTGCTAGGATTACAGGGTGAGACACTGCACCCGGCCCACACATGATCTTTTTTTTTTTTTTTTTTTGAGACAGAGTCTCTCGCTCTGTCACCCAGGCTGGAGTGCAATGGCGCGATCTCAGCTCACTGCAACCTCCACCTCCTGGGTTCAAGAGATTCTCCTGCCTCAGCCTCCCGAGTAGCTGGGATTACAGGCACTAGCCACCACACCCAGCTAATTTTTTGTATTTTTAGTAGAGATGGGGTTTCACCATGTTGGCCAGGATGGTCTTGATCTCCTGACCTCGTGATCCGCCTGCCTTGGCCTCCCAAAGTGCTGGGATTACAGGCGTGAGCCACCATGCCCAGCCCACACATGATCTTTAACAGAAAAACTAACCATATAATAAAGAAGATATACAGAAAATTACAGAATATCTCAGAGATGACTTGCTTAATGAAGGAGAAACATTGTGGGAGGCTTTGAACTGACATGCCTCAGCTAAATATTGACCAACTCAGAGAAATTAGTGCTTTACCACATTTACCATTAGCACTTGCTGTTTGTGTTTGCTTACATTCGGCAAGGAAGGAAATTAATGTTTGGAATCTCTATGCAACATCTTGTTACTAGCCAGGTTATCTCTTCAGTATCATCAATGTCAAATCTTTATTGAAGCCTGCTCTATTCAAAGCATTCTGCTAGGTGCTAGTCTTCTTTCTAGGAGAGTTCTCTTGCCAAGAGGATGAAATGGGAGAAAACAGTGTGCTTATAGTACTTACCACACCTAGACTTATATAATATTTAAACATTCAATAGTGGGTGAAAATATATTAATAACTCCTTTATGCTTTGCAGAATGTCATGCGAGCTCTTCCCCAAAATTTTATGATCCAAAAAGAATTAAAGGAATGTTCACAGTAGCATCATTTCAAATAAAAATTCAGAAACAACATAAATATCTAGCACCATGAAAATGGATAAATTGTGCTCTAATTGTACAATGAAATTCTAGGCAGCTGTTAAAATGGCGAATGAGTAAATTAAGTTACTAAGCTATTGTCTCTCCGTTCCATCCCCTCGCTTGCACACATACTTGGCTTTGTCATGATGGGGCCGGTCCCAGACCCTGCAAAACCCGTTTCCCTTTGCTTGCTGGCGACGTGCTAGGCTCTGCCGATAGGGGGCAGTAGAGGGAGCCTGCAAGCCGGGAGGAGGGAAAGGGGCTCGTTCCTCTCTGTGTCCGGTCAGTGTTATTTGTGTCTGTACTCAGCCTTCATCCTGGCAGCGGTTAGTACCAGTCTCCTGGTTTTTTTTGTGTGTGTGTGTGGTTTTTTTTATGTTTTGTTTTGTTTTTGTTTTGCACTCCCGGAACCAGCCACATTGTGTCCTCTCCCCGCTCCCGCCACCCGCCCAGGCACTGGCACCAGGCGCCTCTTGGGAACGGCAGGCCTTTCTTTCCAGTTTCTGGATTTTAATCCCCCAGCCTCTTCTCTTAGTACCCTGGACCAGGGAGTGGTAGCTGCTTCCAGCATTTACTTTCTTCTTTGCTTCTTCACTCTTCTAGCACCTGTTTAACCAGCTCCTTCTATTAATTTTTTTTCTGTTAAGCTCCCCTTCCCCAGTCCTAAAAAAAAATAATAATAATAATCTATTGAAATACTTAATGTGGACCCTGACTCATACAATGACCATGTGTCAGGAACTGCAGATTTATAACACAGGTAGATAAGGAGGTAGAGGCATAGCAGACATGCATATATACATATTAGAATATTTCCATATACATATGTGTTATATATAAAATGCAGATATATACACATGTAAGTACATATGTATTTCTTACATGAGCTATATTTAGACCTATGTGTACATATATATAAAATTTCCTGCCAGGTGTGGTGGCTCACGCCTGTAACCCCAGCACTTTGGGAGGCCGAGGCAGATGGATCACCTGAGGTCAGGAGTTCGAGACCAGCCTGACTGATATGTTGAAACCCCGTCTCTACTAAAAAAAAACACACAAAAATTAGATGGGCGGCATGGTGGCGGGCACCTGCAGTCCCAGCTACTTGGGAGGTGAGACAGGAGAATTGATTGCATCCAGGAGGCAGAGGTGAGCCAAGTTTGTGCCACTGCACTCCAGCCTGGGCGATGGAGCGAGACTCTGTAGCAAAACAAACAAACAAACAAACAAACAAAACAAAGAATTTCCCCTAATCCTTACAATAAATGCTATGAGAAAGATACTATTATTCCTATTTTACAGGAGGAGAAACTGAATCTCAGGGAGATTAGTTAATTTCTACAATGCATAGCTAATAAGTGGTAATGCTGGGATTTGAATCCAAATATCCCCAACTCCACAATCTGTATCTTTCCCATATGCTTTAAAGTTGTTTAGACCTCAATTCAATCTATCCTTAACTGTGTTCTGCAATATAACTCAGTCCTTAGGCTAATCCACAACTGTCTTCTTACCTAATAGTGTAAGTAAATATAGCACTATTCTAATAAGTACTAGAGAATATAATCACCATAATACAAGACTGTTTCTGTGACTGAAGTTATGGGGAGGTTGAGAAAACTGTAGGAAAAGCATGGACATTTCTAACTCCAAGTTACTTGTCATTCATTCATTCAGTTAATATAATATAGTGCCTATTATGTGCCTGAAGATGTGCTGGACTCACGGTGATAAACAAAATAGAAATAGTCCTTCCTTTAAAAACTTTCCAATCTAAGGAAAGTGACAGTCTTTAATTAAATAATCATGCATAGGAGAAATACCTAACTATATCACACAGAGACTTAGCATAGACTGGGTACTTGACTACAAAGGCTGTTCTAAATGCAGCCCCCTGCCCCACACACGCACACTCAAGAGCTTGGCATCTGCCCCTCTCAATGTCTAGGACGGCATGCCTAGTCTGATTTTGTTTACCAGGAACTCATCAGTTCTCAGTCCAAAGTAATCTAAGAGAGATATCACAGTAATAGAGAAACAGAGATAGTGCAGCTACATAATGTTTTCTAAAAACCTGCTTTTCTGGTCATTTCACAACTTGCCTCCCATGTGACTTGTGACACTAATCAATGTTTTCAGTGGCAGCCTCTTAGCCCAGACTTTTCCTGTAGCCTAAATACAATCAACAACATATACCTGGACTGATCAGAGAATAATAGCCAGGAAGCTTTGTGAGGGACAAACTTCAAGAAATGCAGAAACAGCCGGGCGCGGTGGCTCACGCCTGTAATTCCAGCACTTTGGGAGGCCAAGGCGGGTGGATCACGAGGTCAGAAGATCGAGACCATCCTGGCTAACACGGTGAAACCCCATCTCTACTGAATATACAAAAAATTAGCCGGGCGTAGTGGCGGGCGTCTGTATTCCCAGCCACTCCGGAGGCTGAGGCAGGACAATGGCGTGAACCCAGGGAGCGGAGCTTGCAGTGAGCCAAGATCAGCCACTGCACTCCAGCCTGGGCGACAGAGCGAGACTCCGTCTCAAAAAAAAAAAGAGAAATGCAGAAACAGAAAATCTAACCAAACCAGAAGCTCATATAGTAATCAGGGCTGAGAATCTATTTATCACCCCACCATGACAGCTAAATCTCTAAACTCCCTTTTAGGTGCATTTTGTAGTCAGGAAACAGATCATTAGACCACCCTGCAGCAAAGAAAAAGAAAAAGACCTTGTGGAGTCAAGGTCCACTGATGGGTACTAAAAATTAGCGGGGGGAACTTCACAGAGAAGCAGGATTTCTGCATAGCCTCAAAATGCCTCTTCCCTAAGGACTTATTAATTACTGCAGTGATTGCACAAATTCTTTGATATTCCTCTTTCAGGCAGTGGAATCTCTTTTGTTTTGGTTTTTGAGATGGAGTTTCATTCTGTTGCCTAGGCTGGAGTGCAGTGGTGCTATCTTGGCTCACTGCAAGCTCTGCCTCTCGAGTTCAAGCAATTCTTGTGCCTCAGCCTCCCAAGTAGCTGGGATTACAGGAACATGCCACCACGCCTGCTAATTTTTGTATTTTTAGTAGAGATCAGGTTTCTCCATGTTGGCCAGGCTGGTCTTGAACTTCTGACCTCAAGTGATCTGCCCGCCTCGGCCTCCCAAAGTGCTGGGATTACAGGTGTGAGCTGCTGTGCCCAGCCAGGAAATTGAATCTAATTCCTCTCTTTTTGAGTGTGGCTGGACTTAATGACTGTTTTCTAATGAATAGTGTAGGGAAAAGGAAAAAATGATAACTTTACATGAAGACAACATCTTAACCAAGTGATCAAGGTTAATATCACCGTAAAAAGTCACATTGATTATCAAATACATCTTGACACGATGACATGGGAAAGGCATGTCACCTCTCTGGTTTTCTTCTCAAAAATCCATAACCCATTTGTTCAGACTTAATTTTTTAAAAAATCCATAATCCCAGGCTAGTCATGAGAAAACATTAGATAAACCCAAATTAAGGGACATTATACAAAATACCTGACCAATATTTTCTTGTTCCTTTTTTCAGGAGTCTGTCTAGTCCACAAAGACTACAACTCCTACGCAAGTCCTAGTGCTGTGCTGGGCTTAGAGCCAGTGGGCCTGGGGGACACCCACCCTAGTGAGACACCAGTCAGGGAAGCTTAGGGAGTGCTTGCATCACTCCTTCCCCAACCCCAGGCAACACAGCTTGCAGCTCCAAAAGAGACCCCTTCCTTCCACTTGAAGAGATGAGAAGGAAAAATAAAGAGAACTTTGTTTTTGTAACCTGGATGTAAGCTTAGCCTCAGTAGGATAGGGCACAGGGCAGAGTCGTGAGGCCCCAGCTCCCAGATGACATATCCAGACACACTATGGGCCGGAAAGAAACCCACTGCCTTGAAGGAAAGGACCCAGTCCTGGCAGGATTCATCACTTGCTGACCAAAGAGCCCTTGGGCCCTGAATAATCAGTAGCGGTAACCAGGTAATACACACCATAGGCCTTGGGTGAGACTTGAGACATGCTGGTTTCAGGTGTGACCTGCATATTCAAAGCTGTGGTGGCTACAAGAAGAGACTCCTTTTGCTTGAGAAAAGGAGAGGGAAGCTTACAGCTTAGATACCAGCTCGGTCACAGTGGGGGAGAGCACCACGTGGGATTTATGGGTCCCCAGTAGCAGGCCTTGGCTCTTAGATGGCATCTCTGGACATACCCTGGGTCAGAGGGGAGCCCACTGTCCTGAAGGGTGAGTCCCAGGCTTGGCAGCATTCATCATAAGCGGAGTAAACGGCCCTTGGGCCTTAACTGAACAGCAGTTGTTCACTGACAGTACTCCCTGTGGGCCTGTGGTGGTGGTAGACATGGGGAGAGACTCCTCTGCCTGGGGAAAGGGGAGGAAAGAGGGGGAAGAACTTTGTCTTGTGGTTTTAGCCACAGTAGAATAGAGTGCAAGGTAAATTTCTAAGGTTTTCGACTCCAGGCCCTGGCTCCTGGACAGCACCTCTGGACCCAACCAGAGTCTGGGGGACCTCACTACCCTGAAGAGAAAGACATGAGACTGACTGGCTGACTTTACTACCTGCTAATTGTAGAGCCCCAGGGCCTTGAGCAAACATAGAGGGTAGCCAGGTAGTGGTTACAGCAGGCCTTGGGCAAGACCCAGTGGTGTGCTGGCTTCAAGTCTGATCCAGCACAGTCCCAGTGATGGTAGCCACAGGGGTGCTTGTGTTACCACTCCCCCAGCTCCAGGGAGCTCAGCACAAAGAAAGAGACTCCATCTGTTTGGGAGAAAATAAGGGAAGAGAACAAGAGTCTCTACCTGGTAGTCCAGAGAATTCTTCCGGATCTTATCCAAGACTACCAAGGCGATACCTCTACAAGTTTGTAAGAACCACAGTGTTACTGGGCTTGGCATGCCTCCTAATGCAGATACAGCTACAGTGACCAAAAACTTAGATCACAACACTTAAGTCCCTTCAAATTGAAAAGACTTCCCAAAAAAGGCCAGGTACAAACAAGCCCAGACTGCGCAGACTACAATAAATACCTAACACTTCAATGCCCAGACACCAACAAACATCTGCAAGCATCAAGATCATCCAGGAAAACATGACCTCACCAAATGAACTAAGTAGGGCACCAGGGGCTAATCCTGGAGAGACAGAGCTATGTGATCTTTCAGACAGAATTCAAATTGGCTTATTTGAGGAAACTCAAAGAAATTCAAAATAACATAGAGAAGGAAGTCAGAATCCTAGCAAATACGTTTAACAAAAAAATTGAAATAATTAAAAAGAATTAAGCAGAAATTCTGGAGTTGAAAAATGCAATGGACATGTTAAAGGATGCATCAGAATCTCTTGATAGCAGAATTGATCAAGCAGAAGAATTAGTGAGCTTGAGGACAGGCTATTTGAAAATATAGTCAGAGGAGACAAAAGAAAAATACAATAAAAAAAGAATGAAGCACACCTATAAGATCTAGAAAATAGCCTCAAAGGGGAAAGTCTAAGGGTTTTTGGCCTTAAAGAGGAGGTAGAGGGAAAGATAGGAGTAGAACGTTTATTCAGAAGGATAATAACAGAGAACTTCCCAAATCTAGAGAAGGATATCAATATTCAAGAACAAGAAGGCTATAGAACACCAAGCAGATTTGGCTCCAGGCATTTAATAATCAAACTCCTGAAAGTCAAGGACAGACAAAGAAAGGATCCTAAAAGCAGCAAGAGGAAAGAAACATAAAATGGAGCTCCAATACCACTGACAGCAGACTTTTCAGTGGAAACTTTTCAGGCCAGGAGAGAGTGGCACAACGTATTTAATGTGCTGAAGGAGAAAAATTTTTACCTTAGGATGGCATATCTAGTGAAAATATCCTTCAAACATGAAGGAGAAATACAGACTTTCCCAGACAAATAAAAGCTGAAAGATTTCAGCTGGGCATGGTGGCTCACGCCTGTAATCCCAGCACTTTGGGAGGCCGAGGCAGGCAGATCGCCAGGTCAGAAGATTGAGACCATCCTGGCTAACATGGTGAAACCCCATCTCCGTCTCTACCAAAAATACAAAAAATTAGCCAGCCGTGGTGGTTCTGTTTACCTTTTAATCTTTCTACTTAGGGTATGAGTAATTTACACACCAGAATTATAGTGTTATACTGTTCCATGTTTTTCTTTGTTACTTACTATTAACTGAATTTTATACCTTCAAATAATTTCTTATTGCTCATTAACATCCTTTTTTGGCCAGACATGGTGAAAACAAGTGAAAATCACCTTCACTAAAAGGAAGACAAGAAGGGAGAAAAGAAGAAGGAAAAGGCCAGAAAACAAATTAATCAAATGGCAGGAATAAATCCTTACTTATCAATAATAACATTCATTAAACATGAATGGACTAAATTCTCCAATCAAAAGACATAGAGTGGCTGAATGGATTAAAAAACAAGACCCAACAATCTGCTGCCTACAAGAAACACACTTCACCTACAAAGATGCACATAGACTGAAAATAAAGGGATGGAAAAGATATTCCATGCAAATGGAAACCAAAAAAGAGCAAGAATAGCTATAATTATACCAGACAAAATAGATTCAAGACAAACACTATAAAAAGAGATTTAAAAGGTCATTATATAATGGTAATGGGGTCACTTCAGCAAGAGGACATAACAATTGTACATATGTATGCACCCAACACTGGAGCAACCAGATATACAAAGCAAATATTATTACAGATAGATAGATCCCAATACAATAATAGCTGGAGACTTTAATGCTCCACTTTCAGCATTGGACAGATTGTTGAGACAGAAAATTAACAAAGAAGGCCAGGCGTGGTGGCTCACATCTGTAATCCTAGCACTTTGGGAGGTCAAGGTAGGTGGATTGCTTGAGCTCAAGAGTTTGAGACCAGCTGGGCAACATGGCAAAACCCCATCTCTACAAAAAAATACGAAAATTAGCTGGGTGTGGTTGCATGTGCCTGTAGTCCCAGCTACTCAGGAGGCTGAGGTGGGAGGACTGCTTGAGCCCAGGAGGCAGAGGTTGCAGTGAGCTGAGATCGCACCACTGCACTCCAGCGTGGGCAACAGAGCCAGACCCTGTCTCAAAAAAAAAAAAAAAAAAGAAAAAGCAAACAAAGAAACATCAGATTTAATCTGCATTATAGCACAAGTGGACCTAATAGATGTTTACAGAACATTTCATCCAATAACTACACAATTCTTTTCTCAGCACATGGATCATTCTCAAGGATAGCCCATATGTTAGGACACAAAACAGGTCTTAAAATATTGAAAAAATGGAAATAATATCAAGTATCTTCATTGACCACAATGGAATAAAACTAGAAACTTGCCAGGAGCGGTGGCTCATGCCTGTAATCACAGCACTTTGGGAGGCCAAGGCGGGCAGATCACCTGAGGTCAGGAGTTCAAGACCAGCCTGACCAACATGGAGAAACCCCATCTCTACTAAAAATACAAAATTAGCCAGGCCTGGTGGTGCATGCCTATAATCCCAGCTACTCGGGAGGCTGAGGCAGGAGAATCACTTGAATCCAGGAGGCAGAGGTTGTGGTGAGCTGAGATCGTGCCATTGCACTCGCCTGGGTAACAAGAGTGAAACTCTGTTTCAAAAAATATATATATATAGAAATCAATAACAGAATAATTTTGGAAACTACAAACACATGGAAATTAAACAATATGCTCCTGAATGACAAGTGGGTCAATGAAGAGATTAAGAAGAAAATTGAAAATTTTCTTGAAACAAACAATAATGGAAACACAACATACCAATACCTATGGGACATAGCAAAAGCAGTAATAAGAAGGAAGTTTAGAGCTATAAGTGCCAATATCAAAAAAGAAGGAAAATTTTAAATAACCAACCTAATGATGCATTTTAAAGAATTAGAAAAGCAAGAGCAAATCAAACCCAAAGTTAGTAGAAGAAAAGAACTAATAAAGATCAGAGCAGAAATAAGTGAAACAAAGAAAACAACACAAAAGATCAATATAATGAAAAGTTGGCTTTTTGAAAAGATCAACAAACTGACAAATCTCTAGCCAGACTAAGAAAAAAAAAAGAGACAAAACCCAAATCAATAAAATAGGGGTGAAAAAGGAAAATTACACCTGATACTGCAGAAATTCAAAGGATCCTTATGGCTACTATGAGCAACTATATGCCAATAAATTGGAAAACCTAGAAGAAATGGATACATTCCTAGACATATACAAACTACCAAGATTGAACCATGAAGACATCCAAAACCTGCACAGACCAGTAACAAGTGAAAATTATTTCCTTTAGATTAAAGCCATAATAACTCTTCCTAGAAATAAAGAAGGAAATACTTCCAAACTCATTCTATGAGGCCAGTATTACCCTGATACTAAAACCAGACAAAGACACATCAAAAGAAGAAAACTACAGGCTAATCTCTGATGAATATTGATGTAAAAATGCTCAACAAAATACTAGCAAACCAAATTCAACAACACATTAAAAACATCAGGCCCGGTGCAGTGGCTTAAAGCTGGGTGCAGTGGCTCATGTCTGTAATCCCAGCACTTTGGGAGGCTGAGGTTGGGGAATCACCTGAGGTCAGGAGTTCGAGACCAGCCTGGCCAATATGGTGAAACCCGTCTCTATTAAAAATACAAAAATTAGCCGGGCTTGGAGGTGGGTGCCTGTAATCCCAGCTCAGGAGGCTGAGGTAGGAACATCACTGGAACCTGAGAGGCTGAGGTTGCAGTGAGCTGAGATAGTGACACTGCACTCCAGCCTGGGCAACAAGCACAAAACTCCATCTCAAAAAAAAAAACATCATCCATCATGACCAAGTAGGATTTATCCCAGGTATGCAAGGATGGTTCAACATATGCAAATCAATCAATGTGATACATCATATCAACAGAATAAAGGATGAAAGCCATATAATCATTTCAACTGATGCTAAAAAATCAATTGACAAAATACAACATCCCTTCCTTATAAAAACCCTCAAACAACTGGGTATAGAAGGAACATACCTCTAGCTGGGTGTTGTGGCTCACACCTGTAATCCCTACACTTTAGGAGGCTAAGGTGGGTGAATTGCTTTGAGTTCAGGAGTTAGAGATCAGTCTGGGCAATATGACAAAACCCCGTCTCTACAAAAAATACAAAAATTAGCTGGGCATTTGTGACTCATGCCTGTAGTCCCAGCTACTCAGGAGGCTGAGGCTGGAGAATTGCTTGCACCTGGGAAGTGGAGGTTGCAGTGAGCTGAGATCATGCTCTTGCACTCCACTCTGGGTTACAGAGTGAGACCCTGTCTCAAAAAAAAAAAAAAAAAAAAGGAACATACCTCAACATAATAAAAACTATATATGACAGACCCACAGCTAGTATCACACTGAATGGGAGAAAACTGAAAGCCTTTCCTCTAAGATCTGGAACATGACAAGGATGCCCACTCTCACCACTGTTATTCAACAAAATACTGAAATTCCAGCTACAGCAATCAATCAAAAGAAAGAAAAAAAAAGCAATCAAATTGGAAAGGAAGAAGTCAAATTATCCCTGTTTGCAAATGATATTATCTTATACTTGGAAAAACCTAAACACTCCACCAAAAAACTATTAGAACTGATAAATTCAGTAAAGTTGCAGGATACAAAATCAACATACGAAAATCAGTAGCATTTCTACATGCCAACAGTGAACAATCTGGAAATCAAAAAAGTAATCCCATTTACACTGAGCCATGATTGTACCACTGCACTCCAGCCTGGGTTACAGAGTGAGACTCTGTCTCAAAAAAAAAAGAAAAAGAAAAAAATAAAATTAGCCAGTCTTGATGGCGGGTGCTGGTAGTCCCAGCTACTCGGGAGGCTGAGGCGGGAGAATTGCTTGAACCTGGGAGGCAGAGGTTACAGTGAGCCGAGATCCTGCCACTGCACTCTGGCCTGGGCGACAGAGCGAGACTCTGTCTCAAAAAAAGAAAAAATAACTAAAAGATTATAATTGAATTGTTTGTAACACAAAAGATGAATGCTTGAGGAGATGGATGCCTCATTTACCCTAATGTGATTATTACACATTGTATGCCTATATCAAAATATCATATATATTCCATAAATAGATATACATACTATGTACCCACAAAAATTAAAAGTTAAAAAAATCATGAGATCTATAAACTTGGAGAGAAGAGCTGCATTTCCTATAAAGGGTTGCAGCCTGCACGTGGTCATCCTGACAGGCTGGGAAACACATCCTCTCTCAGAGACAAAAAGTAGGCACTTTAGAGAAAAAAAGGAGAGGCTGTGATTTGTGCCCAATGAGATTAGCTATATGTACATATTCAGTAGGTTACAGGATAATCTTACAGATATTTGTGAGGGAGGCCTAATGCATGCAGACTAGATAAACATATATGTTACATGTGACCCATGTTCACCTTGAAGTGGAACCTTAATATTTCGGATGAGATCAGGCACATTCAGGTCGTATGGCCGTAGACAAGCCTTAATATTTCAGTGCATTACAGTCAAGCCCTATACGTCAAAAAGTGAGTCAGGGATGCAAAGGCACTCAGTGCACAGCCTCTGTGAACCAGCCAAAGCCAGTCCGTGGTCAGTGGTCTCTTACCAGGAGAAAGGTACTGAAATCAGTCTCTTGTCCAATCAAAGCTGTAGCTACGGCTGGTGGAAAGAGGGTGTGGGGGGCAGGTAGGCAGTGTGTGGAGGTCAGAGGAGTTGTAATTGTTTCGATACTGCTTATCTCCAGGCCAGTGCTTGTTTCGCTGCTAGAGAAAAAAATAAACAAACAAAATCCCTTGTGGCAGTTAGAGCATAATTTATTCTTTAAATGTAGGGGTTCACCACTTAACCCTTGCCTGGCATGGTCTTGTTTATAATTTGGTATCTTATTGCCACAAAGACTCCATTCTGTCAGTCTTATGATCTCTATTTTACCATTAATGCTGGTCAGTTGTGTTTAATCCACAAAAGGGAGGGGCTGTAATGAGGCATGTGACGCTACCATCCCATCATGGTGAGGTACCCCGTTTTTAAGGGTTCTGTGGGGTCCTCTTGCCCAAGGGAGGAATCTGATCAGTCAGGTTGCGGGGAGGGTATTTTTATTTCTTATCCCTTAGTAGGAAGCCAGGTCTGAGGGAGGGGTGGGGAATCTGGGGTGAGGAGGAAGGGGCCAAAATTTTGCAGGCAGAGCTCCCAGATGGAACAGCATGACCTGTGCAAATGTGTGCTGAGGTTCACAGAGAAACGCAGGCTTGGGGCAGGCCGTCTAGAAGGAAGGGCTATGGAGATGAGGTGGGGCAGGAAGGCAGCTGAGCTGCAGGGCCTACGAAGCCTTCGTTAATGCCTCATCATTCGGACCATTCAAGTGTATGAAGCAGATTTAATTTTCTAAAGGCTCACTCTGTGGACCGGAGGCAAAGGGAAAACAAAGAAAGAACCAAAGCTGCACAAGAGCAAACATTTTCTCTCTGTGTTCCCGAGTGCTTAGCACAAAGAAGGTTATCAGAACAGGTTTGTTTCTGGGCGAGCACAGGAATGAAAGAGTGTTTACAGAAGGCTGGAGGAGGGCAGGGGTGTGTGGGGGTAGCAGAGGGGAGGCTGTGAGCTAATCCAGGTGAGAGTTGAGGGCAGGATGTACACGGAGGAAGGTTAAAGGAGTGAGCAAACTGGGTTTCCAGCCACAGGTAATGCCTCTGCTTCCTGAACCGGCTCCACATCCCTTCTTTTCTTCCTCATCCCGCCCTAAACCTGCTCCCTTTCCTTCTCTCCCTTCCCAGAGCATCACTAAAGAGTGCGGACTTGCAATTTTCCCTAACTCACTTGTTCCTAAAGCAAGACGTGGCCCTTCTGAAGTTCTCAATTTTGATAGTTGGTAGTGTAGGGGAGAAAAGATTTCTCACCCAGTGCACATTTCATAGCTGAGGCACCTGTCATAAAAGACAGATTAGCAAGAGGAAAGCATACACATTTATTTAAGTTTTATGTGACACAGGAGCTTTCAGAAATGAAAACCCAAAAAACAGGACAAACTGAGTTTTTTATGGACAGTCATGTAGAATTATGATTGGAGGACAAATAGCAATGAAATAGGGGGGAATTAGCAAGGCCAGTTTGGTTCAGGTTGTTGGCATCTCTGTGTCTTGAAGGATATACTTCCAAATATAGGGAGGGCACCTCCCTAATGAGGGTCTTATGGCCTACTTCAGAGAATTCTTTTATGGCCTGCTTTAGGAGGGAAGGATGGGTCAGAGACACCTTCTTGTTCTGGTTGTTCCCTCAAATGCCAAGGTGCCATATATTGGGGTAACATGTCCTGAACCCCATCAGTAGAAAGACAAAAACATGGTTTTATGGGTTTGTCTTTTTTTTTTTTGAGACAGAGTCTCACTCTGTCACCCAAACTGGAGTGCAGTTGCGCGATCTTGGCTTACTGCAATCTCCACCCCATGGGTTCAAGCAACTCTCCTGCCTCAGCCTCCTGAGTAGCTGGGATTACAGGCGCCCAGCTAATTTTTTGTATTTTTAGTAGAGACGGGGTTTTGCCATGTTGGCCAGGCTGCTTTTGAACTCCTGACCTCAGGTGATCCACCTGCCTCGGCCTCCCATAGTGCTGGGATTACAGGTGTGTGCCACCGTGCCCAGCCTATGTTTTTTCATATATTCCAGCCCACCCCTCCGCCACTTGGATGAGTTGACATATTCAAAGGGCTGCACAGTAAGATTCAGCTCACTGCTGCAGGAAGCAAGACCCAGGACCTTGTGTGCCAAGTCCCTCTTCCACAATGTCCAGATTGGAATTTTATTCTGTCTATTAAGTTTTAAATTTGACAGCAATATTTTCTATTTCAAAGACTTGTAGTTATTATTTTTCAAATCCACCTGTTGTTTTTTGTTTGTTTGTTTTTTGTTTTTTTCTTAGACGGAGTCCCGCTCTGTCGCCCAGGCTGATGTGCAGTGGTGCAATCTCAGCTCACTGCAACCTCCGCCTCCCAGGTTCAAGCAATTCTCCTGCCTCAGCCTCCCGAGTAGCTGGGATGACAGGTGCCCGCCACCATGCCCGGCTAATTTTTGTATTTTTAGTGGAGACGGGATTTCACCATCTTGGCCAGGCTGGTCTTGAACTCCTGACCTCGTGATCCACCCACCTCAGCCTCCCAAAGTGCTGGGATTATAGACATGAGCCACTGCGCCCAGCCAAATCTACCTGTTCTTTTCCCATTTTTGTCTATTATTTTGTTTCCAAATTTTGTGCAATTTTCAAATGGAAGATATTCCTTCATTTACTTCTTTGTACAAGCATGCTGAATACTGTTTTTAAAAGTCTTCATCAGACTGCTTCATATAATTAATTTTATTTTGAGTGAACTCTAGTTCTGATTGTTGATTTTTATTTGCATCCTTTTTCAGTATTAGATCTCTTCATGTGTTTTAAAATTGTGGTTTAATTTTGAACTAGTGAATTGTTTGTATTTTCTTCTTCACTCTTTCCACATTTATATGTACATGGTTTCCATAAACCCCGTCTAATCGTTTCATAGCTGCCTCTACTTGCCCTCATTCTTCCCCAGCTCTCAGTCCAGAACTAGAATTTAAAATGGTATTTTCAGGTTCCTGGATGGTGGTTATAATGGGGAAACCACAGATCTAGTCCCCAGGCTAGTTGGCAGCTTGGTTTACTTCCAGGTTGGGGAGCTGCATGGTGTCCTCCAGTCTCCATGAAAAGCCATTATCCTAGAGATCAATCAGCACAATTCTCTTTTGTTAGAGAATGGAAAGGGATAGAGGTTGGGGATGAGGGTTTGAGGCTGACTTTGTCTTTTGTTTTCTATCTACCATTGCTATGTTTTGGAGTACAGTGGGTACATCAAAGCTGGCCTGAAGTCCTAAGTAGCTTCCTTGTTTTTTTTTGGAGAGAGTCTTGCTCTGTTGCCCAGGTTGGAGTGCAATGGCGTGATCCCAGCTCACTGCAACTTCCACCTCCCAGGCTCAAGCAATTCTCCTGCCTCAGCCTACGGAGCAGCTGGGATTACAGGCGCCCCGCCACCATGCCCAGCTAATTTTTTTTTTTTTTTTTTGTATTTTTAGTAGAGATGGGGTTTTACCATGTTGGACAGGCTGGTCTCAAATTCCTGACCTGGTGATCTGCCCACTGTGGCCTCCCAAAGTGCTGGGCCCACAGGCGTGAGCCATCGCACCCAGCCCTAAGTAGCTTTCTTATTACCTTCTCCACTGCCACAAATCAAGGTCAGGCTAGCATCATCTCTTGCTCTACGACTGCAACGGCCTCCCAACTGGTTTCCTTGCCTCTAGACTTTCCTCCCTCCAATCTGTTCTTCTTACCACAGCCAGAGTGATTGTTATAAAATGTAATTCTGCTCACGTCACTACACTGCCTAAAGTCTTTAAATGATTCCCTGTTGTCAAAACCAGTAGCAAAGATGGAGTGAAATCACAAGCCCAACATGGAAATGGAAGGAAGGGGTTTAAGATACTGGCTTCTATTGCTCACAAGCAAAGAACATTAATTCATGTCTGTAACCATTTACGACAGAAAGAGTCCAAAATAATAAAAATATTGCCTCCTCAAAAATGTGTCTGTCCTCATTGTACAAGGACATAGATCAGAAATATTCTCTAGATCCCACATAAATCACCTTAGAATATGTGGCAGTCATTTAGAAATCAGAAACTGGTCGGGCACGGTGGCTCACAAAAAATACAAAAAATTAGCTGGGCGTGGTTGTGTGTGCCTGTAATCCCAGCTACTGGGGAGGCTGAGGCAGGAGAATCGCTTGAACCAGGGAGTCGGAGGTTGCAGGGAGCTGAGATTGCACCACTGCACTCCAGCCTGGCAACACAGCAAGACTCTGTCTCAAAAAAAAAAAAAAGAAAAAGAAAAAAAAGAAATCACAAGCTAATGTAATCTGGTTGGCAACGCCAGAAGTTAGGAGGAGTAACTGGATAACAATAGAAAACTTTAAATATTTGTTCAACAATTTCTTACTAAATATTTCCTACTGCAAGTCACTGTGGATGTGCAAGAAATACTTTCTACCTTCTAGAACCTTACAAGGTAGTAGGCAAGATCACATATTTCAATGAGTATCAAAACTATTGGCTGAGCGAGGTGGCTTAGGCCTGTAATCCCAGCACTTTGGAAGGCCGAGGCAGGCAAATCACTTGACTCCAAAAGTTTGAGACCAGCCTGGCCAACATGGGGAAACCCCATCTCTAGCAAAAATACAAAATGCAGGCCTCACGTGGTGGTGCACGCCTGTAATCCCAGCTACTCGGGAGGCTGAGGCATGAGAATCACTTGAAGCTGGGAGGTGGAGGTTGCAGTGAGCCAAGATCACGTGACCGCACTCCAACCTGGGTGACAGAGCAAGACTCTACTGAAAAAAAAAAAAAAAAGAATGTGGCCTTATTTGGAAGTGGGCCTGTTGTAGATGTAATTAGTTAAGATGAGGCCATACTAGAGTAGGGTAGGCCCTTAACCCAATATAAGGGGAGAGACAGGAAAGGAGAATGCCACCTGAGGATAGCGGTAGATATTGGGGTGATGCCACTGCCACTGCAGGTCAAGGGATGCCATGGACTAATGGTCACCACCAAAGGCTAGGAAGAAGCAAAGAAGAATTCTCCCCTACAAGTTTCAGAGGGCACATGGCTGTGTTAGGTCATTCTTGCACTGATATAAAGGAATACCTGAGACTGGGTAATTTATAAAGAAAAGTGGATTAATTGGCCCACAGCTCTCCAGGCTGTACAGAAAGTATGGGGTCAGCATATGCTTCTGGTGAGGCCTCAAGAAGCTTCCAATCATCAGTTGGAGACAACATTGGAGACAACAGCAACAGGAAGGTCCCTCTCACCTTCCTCTCGCTCTTCTCCCCTGAAGCAGGCCATAGCACTAGCAAAAGCGTCTCAGGCCTTCCCCTGAAGGCAGACCTAAGACTGTTATTCAAGAGGTGCCCTCCCTCTACCCAGACAAAGGAACATCCTTATCTCTGAAGACACAGGACCACAGAGATAGACTTCTGCCTTCTCGGCAGAAGGCAAAGGGGAGCCAGCATGTCACATGGCAAGAGAGGGGGCAAGAGAGAGAGTGGGGGAAGGATCAGGCTCTTTTAAATAACCAGATCTCATGTGAACTACTAGAGAAAGAACCCCTCATCCAAGGGGATGGCACTAAACCATTCATGAGGGATCCACCCTAATGATCCAATACCTCCCACCAGGTCCCACCTCCAACACTGGGATCACATTTCAACATGGGATTTGGAGGGGACAAACATCCAAACCATATCCAATATCCTTGCCAACACTTTGATTTGGGACACCTACCCTCCTAAACTGTGAGACAACCAATTTCTATTATTCCCCAGTTTTGTGGTACTTTGTTATAGTCACCCTAGGAAACGAATGTGACAGTTTTATAGTTAGGTTATAAACAAAATGTCGTGAAAGATCATTTCTAGCAGCCCTGGAGCTTGTAAAGGACATGGCTTTGTGCTGAGCTCTAGCAGCATGGTTTTGGTACGTAGAGATGACATAGAGGAGAAACGGCTTTATGTTCTTCCATGTCCATCCGAATTCTATGTTGAGGTCTAACCCTCCTAAGCAGCCTCTCTGGAAAACTAGTTGAACTTGAACCTAAACCTACTGTCAACTAGGCCACTAACTAATATGACTTTTAAGGCACAAAATCAGGGAGAACAGAATCTTTTATACATGCTTTATTACTCAAGCAGCAGTGTGCAGTGATTAAATACTTACTCGCTTTTACTACATTTCTCTGACACAGCAAAGGGTGACGTCTTCTTCATGGAGACTTTAGTGAGCAGTAGCTAATTTAAAGCTCAGTGTAGGCCGGTCGTGGTGGCTCACACCTGTAATCTCAGCACTTCTTTGGGAGGTGGAGGCGGAGAGGGGTTGGGATTCCTTGAGCCTTGGAGTTCAGGGCCAGCATGGCAACAGGGCGAAACCTAGTTTTTACAGAAAATACAAACATCAGCTGGGCATGGTGGCGGGCCTGTAGTCCCTGCTACTCTGCAGGCTGAAGCAGGAGGAGTGCTTTAGCAGGGAGGTCGAGGCTTAAATGAGCCCAGGTCGTGCCACTGCACTCCAGCTTGGGCGACAGAGCGAGAAGACCCTGTTTCAAAAAACAAACACAAAAATTCATTCTAACCAAAACTGAATGCTAGTAGCAGGAACTGGTATGAAGATTGCGGTCTGGAATCCCTTCTAATGCGTCTGACCTTGCATTGTGAAGTCTTCACAGTGATGCTTCTGGGTTCTATATGATTATCGTCATTGCTTAGCAACCTCTAGTTGTAAATAAATTCTTTAAATTTCCTTAGTCGTTTGCGGGGCAAGGAGAGGGTCATTTACATGCCCTTTCCTTCTCGCTACTCAATCTTAAATTTGGGTTACGAATCAAACTGATGGACCCTACATGGCTTCTACCCGAAATTACAGGTATCTACCGTTCCATCTTCAAGAAAGGGAGGGGTTCCGCCAAGATGGACGAACATAAAAATCACAGGAGGAGCCTTCTAACAATGTGCATTCTTCGCACACTGAGTGGGGAATGGCCTTGTCATGTTTGAAACAGTGCCCCAACTACTCAATGTCCCAGGAACCCCAGTGGAGCGAGTTCTGTACACAGAGAGGGCCAAGATCCACAAATCAGCTAAGGAATCATTTCCATAGTCTCCCTCCCCTATTGAGTCTCGATCCACAAAAGCTATCCCCTGTCCCTCTCATCCATCAAGGGCGTGTTTTTCGCCTCTCCTTCCCCGGCCTCCCGCGTCCGCCCAGCCTGTCCGCATCCAGCCCCGCCACGCCCCATGGGCGGTCCCGAGCTGCGGCCCCGCCCCCTCACCGCCTCCCCGGCCGCGGAAACCCCGCCCCAACGACGCGGAGACCGGGGGCGGCCCGCGGCCCGCGGCGGGCGGGCTGGCGGGGACGGACGCGGGGGGAGGGGGGCGACGGGATGTGGGGTGGGGGCGGGGCCTGGCTGGGCGCCGGGACGGGAGGAGTCCCGGCGGCGCCTCGGACTTTTGCTCCCACAAGTCCTGCCTCGGAGGCGGGGGAGCTGGACCAGCAGCCGCCTGGAGCGTCCGAGTCACCGTCGCCGGGGCTCCCGCGCTCCCCAGAACGGTGGGACGCGGGGCTCGGCAGCCGCCAGCGGAACATGGCGCCCTGGACGCTGTGGCGCTGCTGCCAGCGCGTCGTGGGCTGGGTGCCGGTGCTCTTCATCACCTTCGTGGTCGTCTGGTCCTACTACGCGTACGTGGTGGAGCTCTGCGTGTGTGAGTACCGTCCCCGGGGACTGCGGCGGGGCGCGGGCCGCGGCTAGGGCGCGAGATAGGCCTCTGCGCCCCACACCCGCCGCCTTTCTGGAGCCAGCGCCGGACGCCGGGCGTCCGGCCCCGAACGCGCTCGGAAGCGCCGAGGTTGCTGCACCCGCCGCTTTGTTCAATCCTGCGGCGCGGCCTTGGGGCGACCTGGGGCTCCTGAAGCCTTGCGGCGGCTTCCCGGGTGCAGGTCTGGCCCAGGGAGGCCCCAAGAGCTTCCTGGTTCCCGCCGACACCGGGGGTCTGCATCCTTCTGGGAAGGAACGTGCAGAACGGGAGTAGTCGAGCTTCTTAGAAGGTTTAGGTTGTGTTTGTGGCTTTTTTGGCTTTTGTTCATTTTTTTTAAAAAACCAAATCTGTTCCTTCTGGATTGTTTTTGTTCAAACTGCGCGAGAAGAAACGCCTGTTACCTGTAGAGCCGGCTGTGGCGGGTTGGGGGAAGGGAGGTGTGTCTTTTGGTGGCCTCGGGCTGGAGGCGGGTCAGACCTGGAGGACGAGTAAGCTCCCACTTTTGATTTTTGGTGGTACTCGACTCATTGTAAAATTCGTTTATTTCTACTCTGAATCCAGCCGGCTTTTGCAGAAGGTTAAGACAGAAAGAATGGGTGGGAGGAGACATAACCTGATTATTTTTTTCTTGGCTGATTATTAAGGAGGCTTATATTTCTTATACTCATATTTTGGCGTGTTAATTTTCGTTACTTCCATTTTCCTGATAAGTTCTTAGCACAAAATTCTCATCTGATTCCCTGGAAAAAAGGAGTAGCATTGCAGTATACTTCAAGGATTTAACCTACTGGCTTGAATTGGTTGCCTTTAAGATTGAAGGAAATTGGTTGTCATTAATCAAAAACACTGTTTAGGGGTGACTGCTACATTTGTGATATTGGGCAATTTCTCCAACATTGTTTTGTCTTAAGTAAATTGTTCTTAGGCTTTGAGTATGTGGGTATTTTACACTTAAACTGGCCTCAACTAGGGTGTTCTGTATACATCTGCTGCCTATATCAATTTTTTATGAAAACCTAGGACCAAATGGTAAGTGGTGTTTGTAAACGTTATTGTTATTCCAGAATGTTCTACTCTTAGTCCTTAGACTGAATCTACCATTTTATGAAGGACTGTTAAGTGTTCTTTGAATAACGAACCACATCAGCTAGAAACTAATGTTATGAATGAGAAGAATCTGTACCACCCACTCTTGAAAGTGGCAGAATCAAGACTTCAATTATGTTTGGATTTGTACAGCTTTCAACCAAGTATTTGGTTAAAACCCTAGTTCTATACATGGAAGAGAATGCTTTGGCTCAGAAAATTTATAAGTTTTGAAATTAAAACATCCAGTTTTAAAATTACTTTGTACCTATAGAACGTTTAATTTTGGGACGACTATCCCTGCAGGTAGGCCCAGAATAAATTAGTTGTGGAATACATTTCCAAATAATATTAATCTTTTCAATATCATTGTTTAGTCTCATGCTTTTGGATACCAGAATGTTTACTAAAAATGATGTTTGAGTCAATTAAAATTACTAGATTTTAATATTTCTGGGAGCTACTTCCAGAAAGTGGTAGTGATCATAGGATTCTCATCAACTTATGATGATACCTCCTTTATCTTCTTATTTACTCTGAAGTGGGCATTTATTCTAAAAGTTATGTCATTCCTATTCTGTCAGAAGATTATTCCTACCGTATTTTAATTCCCGTAGTGGTTTTGAAGTAAAGCTGAAGGAACACTAAAAATGTGCATTTATGTTGAGATTCCACAGCTTAACCTGTAGATGGTTTTTGTCAAAAATATTAAGAAATGAGATCAAACAGTGCTGTGAAAAGTCTTAAATTGCTTCTGATTTCTTTCACCACTTCAAATAAAGAAGGAGAAATGAACATGAATTGAGAAGTGCCATGTGCTAGTGGGCATAGAGGGGACATTTCATTCACCCTCTCCTTTAATTCTTTCAGTATGTCACAGCATAGGTATCTCTACAGGTGGAGGACGTGAGACTGAGCGAATAGGTCCTTTTGGTTAGGTCACACAATTGATTATTGGAATGTGACCCACATCTTTCCGTTCTTTCATATAACTTCAGTAAGCTATGAGGGTCAATGGAACTGTAATTGTTTGGTCCATAATGGTGTGGGGGGATAAAGGGGTTGGCATATTTTTGGAGATCACTTAGTTAGGCTTGAGGCCCATTCTGTAGAGATTATACCCTACAATTTCATTAAGTTAAAACATTCTATAACTATGGCCTGATGCTTGGCAGAATCTTAAAATATTTGGTGGTGAAAGGTCTTATGTAGAGGCTGTATTAACTTCTGAGTTATCTCATTTTAACTAGAGAGAATTTGGGAGGTCTGCAGTGTCACTGGAGTATAAAATAGTTGAGCATAAAAGTGCATTTACTCATATTAAAACTATCCTTTAAACTACTTGTATGTATTTGTTTTCATAAGTACTGACCCTCCCACTGAAATATGTATAGATATATTACTTTATAGGAGGACTTAAATGGAGGGAAGTGTGAGTTTTACTTAAAAGTGCTGTTTTAATACTTTTATAGGATATTCTTTTTATTTATATATGTATTTTTTGAGCCAGAGTTTCACTCTTGTTGCCCAGGCTGGAGTGCAATGATGCGATCTTGGCTCACTGCAACCTCTGCCTCCTGGGTTCAAGTGACTCTCCTGCCTCAGCCTCCCAAGTAGCTGGGATTACAGGTGCCCGCCACCATGCCCAGCTAATTTTTTTTGTATTTTTAGTAGAGACGGGGGTTTCACCTTGTTGGTCAGGCTGGTCTCAAACTCCTGACCTCAGGCAATCCACCCACCTTGGCCTCCCAAAGTGCTGGGATTACAGGCATGAGGCATTGTGCCCGGCCTATAGGATATTCTTAGATTCTGGTATTCTTTATCAAACTAGGAGGAGAAGATCATAATTATATCTTTACATGTATGTATTAATTCATTTAATCTTAATAATGATCCCCATAAGGTTAAGTAATTTGTCCACGGTTATAGAGCCAGTAAGTAGCATGGTAAGAATTGGAATTCAAGGGGTTTGGCTCCAAAGCCCATGCTGTTAACCACTATACAATTAATGACTAATCTATTTGGTGTCCAGATCTGGACACTCAGGGCAGATTTCAGTCCTGTATATGATATATTTATATAAAGTACTTTTCTCCTAAAAGGCAGCTGCAGAAGATTCCTAAATATCTCAGACAATAAAAATACCTGGCCCACAGTTGGCTGTAAGTTGAACAAATTGTTGATTACCAAGAGGCCCTCATTCCATCTTACCCTCTGTAACTTGCTAATTGTGTAATTAGACACACACACACACACACACACACACACACACACACACACCACTTCACTGGGAGTAATACTGAGGACAAAATTGAGGAAGAGGGTAATGCATGTAAAACGGCCATCTCACAGGAGTGATAAGCTGAGAAGCGAAGATTAAGTAATTAGTAATATTGGTCCTTGATTTTAAATTAGACTGAAATTCTCGTATGATTTTTTTTCCCCAGGGTTGATATTTAAAGTACGAATGGATTGAATAACTTCTTCTCTTTGGTCAAGGTGGTTATTTTTGAGGCAAGTGCTAATTCTGGTTCCCAAGGTTTTATCAGAATATCTTGTTGTTCAGGTCATCTTGTTAGTGGATGTGTACCTCTTCTTTGGCATGTAGAGAATCTTAGAACTTAAAGAGATTTTAAAGATAATCTCATTCAGTCCCTTTACTTCTGATGAAACTATTGCTCAAAAGAGCTATGTTGGCCAGGCGTGGTGGCTCACACCTGTAATCCCAGCGCTTTGGGAGGCCAAGGCAGGCGGATCACGAGGTCAGGAGATCGAAACCATCCTGGCTAACACGGTGAAACCCCATCTCTCTAAAAATACAAAAAATTAGCCGAGTGTGGTGGCGGGTGCCTGTAGTCCCAGCTACTCGGGAGGCTGAGGCAGGAGAATGGCATGAACCTGGGAGGCGGAGCTTGCAGTGAGCAGAGATTGCACCCCTGCACTCCAGCCTGGGCGACAGAGCGAGACTCTGTCTCAAAAACGAACCAACAAACCAACAAACAAACAAACAAAAGAGCTATGTTGTTTGTTCAAGGACAGGTATACCTTTTATATTTTTTTCAGACAAATTTGTGGAGTGGACTCTAACCTTTGAGTCTGTATTAAATATTTACTTGTGTCTCCTGCATAACTTCTTCAAATTTAGAGGCAGATTAAGATAAATAACTTAAGCACTATCATTGTACATGCTAGCTTGACACTGTTGATTCTGAAGTATTTTATTGATATTGAAAGAACCAGTTTTCTATTTCATTGATTTTTCTCTTTTCTGTTTTGTTGTTTTCCTGTCTGATCTTTACTATTTCCTTTCTTTTACTTTGGGTTTAATATGCTCTTTTTCTAGATTAATGTGGAAACCAAGGTCATTGATTTGAGCCCTTTCTTAGGTAGGTAGTCCTATAAATTTACCTCCAAATACTGCTTTAGTTTTATTCTATCAATTTTGATATGTTGTGTTGTGGTTGTCATTCAATTCAAATTATTTTCTTGGGCTGGGCACAGTGGCTCACCTCTGTACTACCAGCACTTTGGGAGGCTTGATGAAACCTCATCTTTTTGTTTGTTTGTTTTTGTTTTTGTTTTTGTTTTGAGATGGAGTCTCATTTTGTTGCCCAAGCTTCAGTGCAATGTGGCGATCTTGGCTCACTGCAACCTCCTCCTCCTGGGTTCAAGCAATTCTCCTGCCTCAGCCTCTTGAGTAGCTGGGATTATAGGCATGTGCCACCACGCCCGGCTAATTTTTGTATTTTTAGTAGAGATGGGGTTTTGCCATGTTGGCCAGGGTGGTCTTCAACTCCTGACCTCAAGCGATCCACCCACCTCGGCCTCCCAAAGTGCTGGGATTACGGGTGTGAGCCACCATGCCTGCCAAAACTCCATCTCTACAAAAAATACAAAAAATTAGATGGGCATGGTGGCTTGTGTCTGAAGTCCAGCCTACTCAGGAGGCTGAGACGGGAGAATACCATGAGCCCAGGAGTTCAAGGCTGCGTTGAGCCATGATTGTGCCATTGCACTCCAGCCTGGGTTACAGAGCAAGACCCTTTCCCAAAGAACAAACAAATCCTTTTATTTTGTTTTGTTTTAAGACAGTTTTGCTCTGTTGCCCAGGCTGGAGTGCAATGGCGCAATCTCGGCTCACTGCAGCTTCCACCCTTCAAAATTCAAATTATTTTCTAATTTCACTTTTGGTTTGATCTTTGACCCCATGGATTTAGTTTCCATTTATTTGGGGGTTTTCCAGATATCTTTCTGTTATTGATTTCAAATTTCCTTGTGGTCAGAGAACATACTTTGTATGACTTAAATCCTTTAAAATGTATTCAGGCTTGTTTTATAGCCCAGAATGTGGTCTGTCTGAGCTGTGTTCCATGTGTGCTTACGAAAAATATGTCTGTACTCAGCAATGTATTGTGCTGTTTGTTGCTGGGTGGAGTATTCTGTTATGTCATAATGCTCCATAAATGTCAGTTAAGGCAAGTTGGTAGTGTTATTCAAGTCCTCTATTTTCTTGCTTTCCTGTTTGTTCTCTCAGTTATTAAGAGAGGTATAACTATAATTGTGATTTATTTCTCCTTGTAGTTCTATCAGTTTTTGCCTCGTATTTTACATCTGTGTAATTAGGTGCATAAAACATTTAGGATTGCAATATCCTATTGACCAGTTGGCTCACTTAACATTATGAAGTGACTTTATTACCCCTGGTGATATTGTTTACTCTGAAATCTGCTTTGGCAGATATTAACATGGGCACTAATCTTTCTTTTAATTATTGTGAGCATGATGTATCTTTCTCTGTCCTTTTAATGTGTATGTGTCTTATATTTAAATTGTAATTCTCGTAAAGAGCATATATTTGGGTCTTTTAAAATCCAACCTGAAAATCTCTGCCTTTTAATAGGGGGTTTTGACCATCTACATTTAATGTGATTATTGATATAGGCTTAAGTCTATCATTTGCTCTTTTGTTTTATTGTCTGTCCTCTTCTTTGTTCCATTTTCTCCTTCTTTGACCTTCTTTTGAATTAATTGATCTTTACAATTTTTTTAATTTTGATTTTTAAAAATGATTCTATCTCCTTATTGGCATATTACTAGTAATTCTTTTTGTTACTTTATTGATTGCTTTAGGGCTTATAACATGTGTCTTTGAGTTATCACAGTCTACCTTCAAGTTACGTACTGTTTCATATATAATACCTTATAAAAGTATACTTCTATCTCTTCCATCTTGGCCTTTATGCTATTATGGTGCATTTTATATGTTGTAAACCTCACACTGTATTGCTACTATGTTTAAACAGTTGATTATATTAATAGTTTTTAAAGATTTAGGTTTAAAAAACCCAAAATATATGTATTTATTCCTATAGTTACCATTTCTAGTTCTCTTCATTCCTTTTTGTAAATCCATCTAGTGTCATTTCCTTCTGCCTGAAGGGCCTCTTTTAACGTTTATTGTAGTGCAAGTCAGCTGGACTGAATCATTTCAGTTTTTGTATGTTTGTAAAAGTTTTAATTTTGCCTTTAGTTTTTAAAGACAACTTGATCGAGACATAGTTTGCATGTCATAAAATTCACTAATTTAAGATGTACAATGCAGTTATTTTTAGTAAATTTGCCAAGTTTTGCAGTCATCACAACAATCCGTTTTTTGAAAATTTCTGTCGCACATTAAGATCCCTCATGCCCATTTACAGTTAATCCTTCTTCCCACCCCCAGCCCAAGGCAACCACTAATCCATGTTGTCTCCAAATGCCTTTTCTGAACATCCCATATAACTGGAATAATACATGCTTGCAACACATATACTAAAATTGGAAGAGTACAGAGAAGATTAGCATAAAAACCAAGAAAAATTTAAAAAGGGAAAAAAATAAATGGAATCATACAATAAGTGTTTTTTTGTTTTTTTTTTGGAGATGGAACTTCACTCTTGTTGCCCAGGGTGGAGTGCAATAGTGTGATCTCGGCTCATTGCAACCTCCGCCTCCTGAGTTCAAACGATTCTCCTGCCTCAGCCTCTCAAGTAGTTGGGACTACAGGTGTGTGCCGCCATGCCCTGCTAATTTTTTTTTGTATTTTTAGTAGAGACAGGGTTTCACCATGTTGGCCAGGCTAGTCTTGAACTCCTGACCTCAGGTGATCCACCTGCCTCAGCCTCCCAAAGTGCTGGGGTTTCAGGTTTGAGCCACCGTGCCCGGCCAATAAGTGGTCTTTTTTGTCAGGTGTATTTTGCATAGCATAATGTTTTTGAGGTTCATCTGTGTATTATGTATCAGTATTTCTCCCCTACTCTTCACTTCACATCCTAATTTGTATTTTTCTGTTTTCAAAACATATTCACAGTTTTATTTAGGAATATATTTCTAGTAAGCCTCCTCACATCATTTGTACATTGAATTAGAATATAAATTAAAAGTATGCACTTTCTTATATTTATTTATGTACCTGAATAATCCTGCTTACAAGACTTATAGTATAATTGGGTCCTGTTTGTTCTTGTATCCATTAGAGCCTAGTGCTAGTAGACTTTAAATTAATATAACTTGAATTGAATTGAATCATACTCTTGTAAACTCACTTGAATCGTGTTTGAATGTTAGGACACACAAACATCTAGAATAATAATACTAATTATAGTTACAAAACATGTATTTCACAATCTTTAGTGGTAAAGGCTACGTGAAATGGCTTATTGGTCCTACATACAGTCTTTGTTTTGGGTTATGAAACAGTGATTCTTTGAAATTATGCCGACATGGTTTAAAAAACCTATTTCCCTAAATCTTATCCTCAGTGGTTGGCATACTTATAGGAAAAGTTAAATGTGAATTAGAATTAAAAACAAAAAACTTTTGGCCAGGCATGGTGATTCATGCCTATAATTTCAGTACTTTGGGAAGCCCAAGTGGGAGGATTGCTTGAAGCCAGGAATTCAAGGGCAGTTTGGGCAACATAGCAATACCCTTTACAAAAATAAAATAAAAAATTAGCCAGGCATGGTGGTACCCACCTGTAGTCCCAGCTACTTGGGAGGCTGAAGCAGGAGGATTACTTGAGCCCAGGATTTCGAGGCTGCAGTGAGCTATGATCACACCACTGCACTCCAGCCTGAGTTACAGAGTGAGACCCTGTCTCCAAAAAAAAAAAAAACCACCTTTTTATTAATTTTATCATTTCGCATCTATTTTCAGATGCGAGAGTGTAGTAATTTTCTAGATAACTTGCCTTTGAAAGATACAGTGGCCAGAAGACCTGTTTATTTGAATTCTGCAGTTACCTTAGCCTTCTCTTTTACTTTTTGTTATTTTTGAAGAAAAAGTTTTTTTTCTCATGACTACTAGTGAGTTAATCTGTCCTGGTATTATTTTCTGTGTTACCAGATAGCATACTGGTCTGAGAGAGCTCTGTAAATATATATATTTAAAAACCCACCTAAAATCAAATGAAAAAAAAGATCTGTTTTATTTCCCCACATAAACTCAACCTTCTCTGGGGCTTCCCTGCTTTCTTGAAAGACAAGAAATGTGGAAGAGAAAGATGCTGGACAACCTAGAAACCAAGTCAGACTGTTCAGAAGAACCTTATGCCCTAGTCATGCAAGTAAAAGCCTGGCTGCTTCTCTGCCCGCTCCCTTTCCGGCAGAGAAGTAGTAGTATGCTGAATTCCGGACTCTAATCTGTTTACTTGACATCTCTGCTTGGAGATCTAATAGGCATTGTAGACAAAACTCTTGATTTTCTTTTTTTTTCTCCCTTGAACCTGCTGCTCCTAATAGCTCAGTAAATGACAGCTGTATCCTTCTACTTCTTGGGTTGAAAAGTCATTCTCCATCTGGATAATCAGCTTGTTCTGTCATTAAATGTCTAAAATCCAGCTGCTTCTCACCACTACTACTGCAACTGTTACACTCCTTTAAACCACCATGATCACTGCTTAGTGTAATAGATTGAAAAACATGACTATAATAATTTGCACCATCTGGGTGCAGTGGCTCACGCCTGTAATCCCAGCATTTTGGGAGGCCGAGGTGGGCAGATCACCTGAGGTCAGGAGTTCGAGACCAGCTTCATCAACGTGGCAAAACCCCATCTCTACTAAAAATACAAAAATTAGCACACACCTGTAATCCCAGGTACTCAGGAGGCTGAGGCAGGAGAATCGCTTGAACCCTGGAGGCAGAGGTTGCAGTGAGCTGAGATCATGTCACTGCTCTCCAGCCTGGGCCACAGAGTGAGACTCTGTCTCCAAAAAAAAAAAAAAGTATAATAATAATAATAATTTGTACCTTCTTCCATCAAGAAATAGTCTGTTTACCGCCCATTGAATCTGGGCTGGCCTTGTACTTGCTTTGGCCAGTAGAATGTGGTAGATATGTGAGTTCTGGAACTTAGGCCTCAAGACATCTTCTGCCTTAGCTCTTTTGGGACATTCCCGTCATCATGTAAGGAGTCCAGACTAGACTGCTGAGTGAGAGACCACATGGAGAAGAGGCCCAGCCAAGAGAAGCCAGAACCCCTAATGTGTGAACAAGGCGATTTTAGACTCCCACCCCATTCGAGCTGCCTGATGACTGCTATTAGTAGAGAAACATTCCAGCTGATCATAGCCCAAACTGCTGGCCCACACAATTGCAGGAAATAATGAACAGTGGTTGTTTATTTTTATTTATTTATTTTTTTTAATTTATTTTTTTATTGATAATTCTTGGGTGTTTCTCACAGAGGGGGATTTGGCAGGGTCATGGGACAATAGTGGAGGGAAGGTCAGCAGATAAACAAGTGAACAAAGGTCTCTGGTTTTCCTAGGCAGAGGACCCTGCGGCCTTCCGCAGTGTTTGTGTCCCTGATTACTTGAGATCAGGGATTGGTGATGACTCTTAACAAGCATGCTGCCTTCAAGCATCTGTTTAACAAAGCACATCTTGCACCGCCCTTAATCCATTTAACCCTGAGTGGACACAGCACATGTTTCAGAGAGCACAGGGTTGGGGGTAAGGTCACAGATCAACAGGATCCCAAGGCAGAAGAATTTTTCTTAGTGCAGAACAAAATGAAAAGTCTCCCATGTCTACTTCTTTCTACACAGACACGGCAACCATCCGATTTCTCAATCTTTTCCCCACCTTTCCCGCCTTTCTATTCCACAAAGCCACCATTGTCATCCTGGCCCGTTCTCAATGAGCTGTTGGGCACACCTCCCAGACGGGGTGGTGGCCGGGCAAAGGGGCTCCTCACTTCCCAGTAGGGGCAGCCGGGCAGAGGCGCCCCTCACCTCCCGGACGGGGCGGCCGGCCGGGCAGGGGGCTGACCCCCCCACCTCCCTCCCGGACGGGGCGGCTGGCCGGGCAGAGGGGCTCCTCACTTCCCAGTAGGGGCGGCCGGGCAGAGGTGCCCCTCACCTCCCGGACGGGGCGGCTGGCCGGGCGGCGGGGCTGACCCCCCCCACCTCCTTCCCGGACGGGGCGGCTGGCCGGGCGGGGGGCTGACCCCCCCACCTCCCTCCCGGACGGGGCGGCTGGCCGGGCGGGGGGCTGACCCCCCACCTCCCTCCCGGACGGGGCGGCTGGCCGGGCGGGGGGCTGACCCCCCCACCTCCCTCCCGGACGGGGCGGCTGGCCGGGCAGAGGGGCTCCTCACTTCCCAGTAGGGGCGGCCGGGCAGAGGCGCCCCTCACCTCCCGGATGGGGCAGCTGGCCGGGCGGGGGGCTGACCCCCCCCACCTCCCTCCCGGACGGGGTGGCTGCCGGGCAGAGACGCTCCTCACCTCCCAGATGGGGTGGCTGCCGGGCGGAGAGGCTCCTCACCTCCCAGACGGGGCGGCTGCCGGGCGGAGGGGCTCCTCACTTTTCAGACGGGGTGGTTGCCAGGCAGAGGGTCTCCTCACTTCTCAGACGGGGCGGCCGGGCAGAGACGCTCCTCACCTCCCAGACGGGGTCTCGGCCGGGCAGAGGCGCTCCTCACATCCCAGATGGGGCGGCGGGGCAGAGGCGCTCCCCACATCTCAGACGATGGGCGGCCGGGCAGAGACGCTCCTCACTTCCTAGATGTGATGGCGGCTGGGAAGAGGCGCTCCTCACTTCCTAGATGGGATGGCGGCTGGGCGGAGACACTCCTCACTTTCCAGACTGGGCAGCCAGGCAGAGGGGCTCCTCACATCCCAGACGATGGGCGGCCAGGCAGAGACACTCCTCACTTCCCAGACGGGGTGGCGGCCGGGCAGAGGCTGCAATCTCGGCACTCTGGGAGGCCAAGGCAGGCGGCTGGGAGGTGTAGGTTGTAGTGAGCCGAGACCACGCCACTGCACTCCAGCCTGGGCACCATTGAGCACTGAGTGAACGAGACTCCCTCTGCAATCCCGGCACCTCGGGAGGCCAAGGCTGGCGGATCACTCGCGGTTAGGGGCTGGAGACCGGCCCGGCCAACACAGCCAAACCCCGTCTCCACCAAAACCAGTCAGGCGTGGCGGCGCGTGCCTGCAATCGCAGGCACTCGGCAGGCTGAGGCAGGAGAATCAGGCAGGGAGGTTGCAGTGAGCCGAGATGGCAGCGGTACAGTCCAGCTTCGGCTCCACATGAGAGGGAGACCGTGGGGAGAGGGAGAGGGAGACGGAGAGGGAGAGGGAGAGGGAGAGCGCTCACATCTTCTATCTGTCCAAACTGGGACGAGTCCTCGGCCTCGGAGGCTCCACGCTCCCTCTCTCACAGCCCGCACCTCGGCGGTCTCTGGTTGTTTAAAGTAACTTAAGTTTTAGGGTGGGTTGTTAATGCCACATTATCACCTATATTGTAGTATCCTTGTAAACCTGTCTCTTCCTGTGCTCCACCCCCACCTTTATTCCATGTATTCTCCAGGAAGCAGTCAGAATGGTCTTTTTCAAATTAATACCAGTTTGTTACTCCTATTCTCAAGATCTTGACTGGCGTCCTTTCTTGCTCAGCAAGATATCTAAAAGCCTTACCATGGCCTTTAAGGCATTGTGTATTCATTACTTCATTACTTCTCTGACATAATTTCCTTTCCACTCTTCCTCTAATTTTATCTCTAGCTTAAGAAATCTATTTTCTATAGACAGAGGTGTGGGAGGGTGTGTTGTCTAAGGGAGGGAGCCCTCCACATCATCACCATGTGGGATTTTAAGATTAATACCTGACGCTATTCCTGTAAGCATATAAGCAACACATTTAGATACTGCTCAAATATGTAGAACATATACTTGAACAGATGGGCATTACACTTAAATGACTGATATAATAAAGAATAAAGGTGACTAGTTTTATGGAGAATAGATTCCCTTAAATAGAGATCCATAGGTCTTTAAAATAAAATTTAAAAAAAATTTGGTTTTAAAACATCTCTATTTTGGCTTTCCCAATGCATTTTACTATCGTAAACTTTGAACCACTCATTGGAATCATAGGAAGAATTAATTTTTATGGACATACTAATTCAACAGCATATAAAAACAAACACAAACTTATTAAATGTGAAGTCTTCTGGGAAGCTTTTAAAACTAATTGCATGAAAAGGATATCCTCAGCATCTGAAGGAAATAATACCAAATACACCAAAATATTAACAGTGTATGTTGCTGGGTTTGAGATTATACTGATTTTTTCCTTATGCAATACATAGCCTCTTAATAGACTTTCATATTTTCCCCTTACAGCATATTCTTCCCTTATCCCCCGAAGAGCTAATGAATCTGCTAAAAAAATACAAGTCATGATTATTACTCCTCTGCTCAGCACCCTCTGATGGCTTTCCACTTTGCTTAAAATGAAATTCAAAGTTGAAAATATATAAGGCTCTAGATGCTGTGGCCTGCCACTGCTTCTGACCTAATTTCTTCCTTTGCTCATTCTGCTTCAGCCAACAGGCCACCTTTCTTTTCATCTGTCAGGCCACCTGAGGACCCTTGAACTTCCTGTTCCTTCTGCCTGGAATGCTTTCCTCCCAGATTTCCGCATGGCTAGCTCTCACTTCGTCTAGATCGCTGTTCAGGTAGTCACCTATCAGAGAGGCATTCCTGACTACCCTCTGTAAAAGAAGTACTTCGTCTTTTAGTCTCCTCACCCTGCATTTTTCCCCCCTCATAGCGCCTATTATTACTTGACATACAGTTATTTTTGTTTCTCTCCAGTCGTATATTCACTGCTGTATTTCCAGAACCTAAAATAGGGTCTGGTATAATATGTTCTCAATAGATATTTGTTGAATGAGTGAATTGATTGTGTAGCCGCCAATTCGCATGCTAGTAGAAGAGGGAGAATTGGAATGTTTTCATATAGTAGACAACTTGCAATTATTGATAATCGGTATTATTGATAATCTTAAAGTTGCTTCTGGATTTCAGATAGCCTGTTCATTAGGCAGGTGAGGAAACTGTCTTGAATTGTCAGGAGGAAATGTTAATTATAATAGCTATTGTTATTATTGTTTATTGTATGCCCGTTGTGTGTCTGACATATAGTCTGAGGCAGTTCACTTATGTTAGGTCTTTTTTAATTCTAACTCTATTGGAGAGAGATTATTAGCATTATTTTGTGGATTAAAAACAAAGACTCATAGGTTAAAGATCTCTTTTGAGGCCATACAATTGATACATAAAACCAAAGCTCAGATCCACATCTGTGTAACTCTGTAAGTTTTGCCCTTTCCATTATACATTTGTCCATTAAAATATTTAATAATTTATAAGCTCTATTTGCAGGCCTTTCATTATATTTGTTATAACTAGTCAAATCTTGTGTTTGGGGCATGTAATGCAAATAAGACAAAACCTCTCCCATATATATATATAAATATATAAAACATACATGTAAAACATGTATGTGTGTGTGTGTATGTGTTTTGAGACAGGGTCTCACTGTGTTGCCCAGGCTGGAGTGCATTTGGCATGACCACAGCTCACTGCATCCTCAAACTCCCAGACTCAAGCAATCCTTCCACCTTAGCCTCCTGAGTAGCTGGGACTACAGGCGCATAACACCATGGCCGGCCAATTTTTGTAATTTTTATAGAGACGAGGTCTTGCTATGTTGCCAGGGCTGGTCTCCAACTCCTAAGCTCAAGCAGTCCTCCCACCTCAGCCTCCCAGAGTGCTGGGATTGAAGACATCAGCCACTGTGCCCAGCCCTATATTTTTATACAGGTGACATTTGGTATAACAGTACCTATCAAGAGCAGTTTGGAGGAAAAAGATCATAAAACGGTAGGGGACGGATATACCTACTAACTTTCACGTAGAGAAGGCTGATTTACTGGCTGTTTGTATTTATAACTATTTCAGATGTATCCTTATTTCTTGGGTTTATGGCCCAATACGAATAATTTAATTTAGTAGAACAACATAAATTTACTAATTTTATCATATATAATGTATTTTTTGAAAGTACCCGTTATTATCACTATCATTTTATAAAAGGATATTCTAATATCAAAGTATGAGACATAATCTGAATGAAGACTTCAGTGCCTTTAAATTATTGCAGTTTATGAAAAATTCTCTCCCTTTTGCTTATGTTTCTTGTTTTACTGTGGCCTGGGTCATGGACTTGGATTTGGGAGTCATTTCTTTAGCACGCCAATTTATCTCTCCAACTAGTTTCTATGTTGATGTACATAATAAACAAGTAACCTTCTGTGACTTCCAGGCAGTCTGTTTAGAGCCTAAAGCCTTAACGTGAAACCAGGGAGGTGAGGTATTCCTGGTTCTAACAACAAAATTTTACTCATTTATTTACTAATTTTTTTGAGACAGAGTCTCGCTCTGTTGCCCAGGGTAGAGTGCAGTGGCACAATCTCAGCTCCCTGCAACCCCCACCTCCCGGGTTCAAGCAATTCTCCTGCCTCAGCCTCCCAAGTAGCTGGGACTATAGGCACACGCCACCACACCTGGCTAATTTTTGTATTTTTAGTAGAGATGGGGTCTCACCATGTTGGCCAGGCTGACTCCTGACGTCAGGTGGTCCTCCTGCCTTGGCCTCCCTAACTGCAGGAATTACAGGTGTGAGCCACCACACGCAGCCAAAATTTTAGAACACAGACTAATCATAAGATGATGTTATCTATAGCCACATGTGGAAGTTCTAGAAAAATGAGTGTTGGCAGATAATATTTTAAATCCTTCTGAACAATATTGAAGGACCCCAGGAAATGGTAATAATTATCCTTACTATTCATGCATTTAATGCGCTAAGTAATTAAGTGGTCTGTCTATATCTTTTGATCTTTACAATAACTCTACAAAGGAGATGCATATTTTTCTTCAGTTTATAACTTGAGAAGTTGACTTAGTTCCTCAATTCAGACCTTTCCACATATCCTTCTAAAACCCATACAGATTAGTAAGAGCAAATAAAATCAACTATATAACCTGGGCCTATGGCATAGCTAGGACATAGAGAATTTTTGAAACCACAGTTTATATGTGAGTGGGGAAATAGTCATCTAAGAATAGCTAGGTGAACTCTGGTGACTGTATCAGAACTAAGAGTAAGGGACTCTGCAGAGGATAACAGGCTCTTTGTTCATCCTCAGAAGATGAGAACCCTATCCCGAGTGGGAAATACTGAAAACAGGTCTGTAATCTGGTGGATCAGAGCATAGCAACTGAGAATGCAAAAGAAAAGGGACTTGGAAAAGTGTTTATGACTTGAGATGGCAGCCTTAAAAAAAAACACCACTCCTAGGGGAGAAGGTAGCACCTTGGAAGTTGAAAGTGTCCCATGAAGTATTAATATTTAATAGTAAAGAGAAAGAAGGAAATAGCTGGAAGGATACAGCTGAAACCAAGAGTATCAAAGCGATAGAGGATAAATAAATGCACTGTCCATCTAGCAAATAAACTGTACTTCATTGAAGTAACAGAAGAAGGCACTGGTAGAAATAAGAAATTAAGCAAGCCCTTTTGCCCCAGAGGGTTTCTTGCTGTGGATGGTCCATGAAAATCAGTGTAACTCAGCATGAACAATAATTAAAACAGCATCCATGTAGATTTCTCTGATTCAAAAATGAGAATCAGTCTTTTCAGTAGATGAAAATACATTAAAAGGCAACAAAGAAGAGAACTAATTCAGTATCCAGACATAAATATAAATAAATATCTGCTGAATAAAAGAAACTGCAAGTCAAAAGTTTTTTGTTTTTTTTTTTGAGATAGAGTCTCGCTCTGTCGTCCAGGCTGGAGTCCAGTGGTGTGATCTCGGCTCACTGTAATCTCTGCTTCCCGGGTTCAAGCAATTCTTGTGCCTCAGCCTCCTGAGTAGCTGGGATTATAAGCGCATGCCACCACACCCAGCTAATTTTTGTATTTTTAGTAGAGACAGGGTTTCACCATGTTGGCCAGGCTGGTCTTGAACTCCTGACCCCAAGTGATCCACCCGCCTTGGCCTCCCAAAGTGCTGGGATTACGGGCATGAGTCACCGTGCCTGGCCACGTCAAAAGTTTTTAAAACTCAATAAAAACAGTCAGCGAGCAGGAAGATCTGAAATAAGAGCTGTTCAAACTCAGGAAAGAAATGGAAAATAAGACAGTATCAGAAACGAAGACTAAACTACAAGATGCCCAAAGGTGAACAGATGTGATTGAAGATACAGTAAAGGCATAGAGGATAGAAATGGAAAAAGCCAAGAACCTGAAATCACGATAAAGGGAAAGGTAAAAGGATTGGAGGAAAAAATGATAGATATACAAGCTAGGCTGAGATTCATTATTATAATTCACCATCTTAATGCATCTAGTAAGAAAAATCATTATTTCCATATATACCAAAAAGGAATTTGAAAAGTCCAACACATCCATTCTTGATAAACAATAAAATAGGGATACATAACGTAAACAACGTAAACAAAATTTATGATACCTAACGTAAACAAAATTTATGTACACACAAAATACTTGATAATATTCCACTATAAAACCAGGAATAATGATACCTACTATGTCTATTACTTGGTAACATTGTATTGACGGAATTAATTACCACATTCATTCAAGAGAAGATAATCAGGAGCATGAGACTTTGGAAGAGGGAAAACTATTTCTGTGTGCAGATTATCTGATAGTGTATGTTGAAAAGCCAAGAGAATAACAACAGAAAACCCAGACAAAAAGAATTGAGTAAAACGGCAGAATAAAAAAATTAGCAACAAAACCCAATACTTTTTATATATACAATAATTTAGTTTGAAAATATAGTGGAAGAGGGCTGGGCGTGGTGGCTCATGCCTGTATCCCAGCACTTTGGGAGGCTGAGGTGGGCGGATCACGAGGTCAGGAGATCAAGACCATCCTGGCTAACACGGTGAAACCCTGTCTCTACTAAAAATACAAAAAAAAAAAAAAAAAAAAAAAAAAAGCCGGGCGTGGTGGCGGGCGCCTGTAGTCCCAGCTACTTGGGAGGCTGAGTCAAGAGAATGGCGTGAACCCAGGAGGCGGAGCTTGCAGTAAGTGGAGATCGCGCCACTGCACTCCAGCCTGGGCGACAGTGCTAGACTCCGTCTCAAAAAAAAAAAAGAGAGAAAAGAAAATAGAGTGGAAGAGAACTATCCATATCTGGTAACATCAAAAAGAGAAAATACCTTAGAAAAAAAAACAAGAAAAATGTCACATTCACAAGAGGAAAACATTCTTAAAAGACCCAAAATGTGACTTGAACAAATGGAAAGACATTTCATACTTTACGTTCATAGACAGAATAATTCAACATTACAAAGATGCCAGTTCTCCCCCAATTAATGTATAAATGAATTCTAATTCCAGTAAACATTTTTTTGTTTCTGGTGCTAGACAAGTGGATACCAGAGGTCTTATGGAAAAATAAGAAAGAATAAGCAATCAGGAAATCTCTGAAAAATTAAGAGCAATAAGTAGGGGAAATCCCCCAGATTTTAAACCAAAAAGCCTTATAATTAAAACTGTGGGGGCAGGAAGTATATGAGGAACTTTCTACTTTCTGCCCAATTTTGCTGTGAACTTAAAACTACTCTAAAAAATAGTCTCTCTCTCTCTTTTTTTTTTAAACTGTGTGGTCTGGTGCATGGACAGATGTATTGACTAATGGAACAGTATATAATGTCCAGAAATAGACTAATTAAAGAAATTTAGAATATTGTAAAAATAGCACATCAAATTACAGAGGAAAAGATGGGACAATTGGATACATATTTTCTAAGAGTAAAATCAGGTCCATACCTCATGCTATGTTTTAGTATAAAGTACAAATGGATAAAATCTTTCTTTTGTCATATATATATATACACACACACACACACACACTTTTTGTTTGTTTGTTTTTGGACAGAGTTTTGCTGTTGTCACCCAGGCTGGAGTGCAATGGCATGATCTCGGCTCACTGCAACCTCAGCCTCCCGGATTGAAGTGATTCTTGTGCCTCAGCCTCCCAAGTAGCTGGAACTACAGGCGTGTGCCACCATACCTGGCTAATTTTTGTATTTTTAGTAGAGACAGGGTTTCACCATGTTGGCCAAGCTGGTCTCAAACTCCTGACCTCAGGTGATCCACCCGCCTCGGCCTCCCAAAGTGCTGGGATTACAGGTGTTGAGCCACTGCACCTGCCGTATCTTAAATTTTTAACTTTTTATTTTAAAATAATTTGACTTTTGAAAAACAGTACAAACAATAGTCATATAACCTTCACCCACATTTTCTAAGTGTTACTATTTGTCATATGTGCTTTGTCATTCATTCATTCACTCATTCTCTCTCTGAAATGTATGAGAGTAAGTTGTAGAGCTAATGCCCCTTTACCTATGTTTACCTTTATTTCCTAAGAACAAGAACATTGTCTTTTTTTTTTTTTTTTTTTTTTTTTTTTTTCTGAGAAACAGTCTTACTCTGTCGCCCAGGCTGGAGTGCCATGGCGCGATCTTGGCTCACTGAAACCTCTGCCTCCTGGGTTTGAGCAATTCTTGTGCCTCGGCCTGTTGAGTAGCTGGGATTACAGGCGCATGCCACCAAACCTGGCTAATTTTTGTATTTTTAGTAGAGATGGGGTTTCACCATGTTGGCCAGGCTGGTCTTGAACTTGTGACCTCAGGTGATCCACCTGCCTCAGCCTCCCATATTGCTGGTATTACAGGCATGAGCCACCGCGCCTGGGAATTAGAATATTATATAACCAGAGTGCAGTTATTAAAATCAATAAATTAGTATTGATTAAATACTACTCTTTAATCTGTAGGCCTATTCAGACTTCATTTGTCCACTCAGTTCCTTGTTCTGCTCCACAGTTCAGTCTAGGATCACACATTGCAGATGTCATGTCTCTTTAGTGTCCTTATATTTGGAAGAGTTCTTCAGTCTTTATTTCATAATCATGATTTTTTAAGAGTACAGGTTTGTTTTACTTTGTTTTGTTTTGTTTTGAGACAGGGTATCACTCTGTCATCACTCTGTTGCAGTGCAGAGTGCAGGCTGGAGTGCAGTGGTGTGTTCGTGGCTCACTGCAGCCTAGACCTCCTGGGCTCAGGCAATCCTCCTGCCTCAGCCTCTTTAGTAGCTGAGACCACAGGCATATGCCACCATGCCTGGCTAATATTTGAAATTTTTGTAGAAACAGGGTCCCACTATGTTGCCCAAACTGGTCTCAAGTTCCTGGGCTCAAGCGATCCTCTTGCCTCAGCCTCCTTACGTGTTGGGATTACAGGCGTGAGCCACTGCACTCGGCCAAGGTTTATTTTGTAAATGTTCCTCAATTTAGGTTTATTTGATCTTTCCTCATGATTAGATTCAGAGAATTGCAGGCATACCTTGGTGGGAAAATTGCAGGTTTGATTTCATACCACCACAATAAAGCAAATATCAAAATAAAGCAAGTCATACAAGTTTTTGGTTTCCTACTGCATATAAAAGTTACGTTCACCCTATACTGTAGTCTGTTAAGTGTGCAATAGCATTGTGTCTTTAAAAAATACTTTTTGCTAAAAAAATGCTAGCAATTAGCAGTCACCTAAGCCTTCAGCAAGTCTTGATCTTTTTGCTGGTGAAAGGTCTTGCCTCGATGATGATGGCTGCTGACTGATCAGGGAGGTTGTTGCTGAAGGCTGGGGTAGCTGTGGCAATTTCTCAAAACGACAAGAACGAAGTTTGCCGCATCTGTTGACTCTTCCTTTCACAATATTTTTCTGTAGCATGTGATGCTGTTTGACAGCATTTTACTCACAGTAGAACTTCTTTCAGAAATTGGTATCAGTCCTCTCAAACCCTGCTGATACTTTATCAACTAAGTTTATGTAATATTCTAAATGGTTTTTGTCATTTCATCAGTGTTCACAGTATCTTCACCAGGTATAGATGCCATGTCAAAAAAACCATTTTCTTTTCTCTTCCATACAAAGCAACTCCTCGTCTGTTCAAGTTTTATCATGAGGTTGCAGCAATTCCATCACATCTTCAGGCTCTGTTTCTTATTCTACTTCTCTTGCTGTTTTCACCACATCTGCAGTCCCTTCCTCCACTGAAGTCTTGAACTGTTTAGTGTCATCCATGATCTTGGACTGGAATCAGCTTCTTCTGTAGTCCTGTTAATGTTGATATTTTGACCTCCTCCCATGAAAAACGAGTGTTCTTAATGGCATCTAGAAATGATGAATCCTTTCCAGAAGGTGATCAATGTAGTTTGCCTAGATCCATCAGAGGAATCACTGTGGCATCGATAGCCTTATGAAATGTATTTCTTAAATAAATAATAAGGCTTGAAAGTTGAAATGACTCCTTGATCCATGGGCTGCAGAATAGATGTGTTAGCAGGCATAAAAACAACATGAATCTCCTTGTACATCTCCATCAGAGTCCTTGGGTTTCAAAGTGCATTTTCAATGAGCAGTAATATTTTGAAAGGAATCTTTTTTCTGAGCAGTAGGTCTCAACAGTGGGCTTAAAATATTCAATAAAGCCGCTGGGTGCGGTGGCTCACGCCTGTAATCCCAGAATTTTGGGAGGCCGAGGCGGGCAGATCACGAGGTCAGGAGATCGAGACCATCCTGGCTAACATGGTGAAACCCCATCTCTACTAAAAATACAAAAAATTAGCCAGGCGTGGTGGCGGGCGCCTGTAGTCCTACCTACTTAGGAGGCTGAGGCAGGAGAATGGCGTGAACCCGGGAGGTGGAGGTGGCAGTGAGCTGAGATTGTGCCACTGCACTCCAGCCTGGGCGACAGTGTGAGACTCCATCTCAAAAAAAAAAAAAATTCAGTAAAGCATACTGTAAACAGATGTGCTGTCACCCAGGTTTTGTTGTTCCATTTCTAGAGCATAGGCAGAGTGGATTTAGCATAATTCTTCAGAGCCCTAGGGTTTTTGGAACGGTAAATGAGCATTGGCTTCAACTTAAAGTCCCCAGCTACATTGGCTCCTGAGAAGAGTCTCCCTATTCTTTGAAGCTGGACATTGACTTCCTCTCTCTGGCTAGGAAAGTTCTAGGTGACCTCTTCTTCCAATAAAAGACTGTTTCATCTGCAGCGAGCATCTGTTATTTAGTGTAGCCACTGATATGGCGTGGCTCTGTGTCCCCACCCAAATTTCACAGTGTGAAAATGGACTAATATAGCTACCTTCATCAATTATCTCAGCTAGATCTTCTGAATAACTTGCTGCAGCTTTTACATAAAAACTTGCTGCTTCGTCCTGTACTTTTGTGTTATGGAGATGGCTTATTTCCTTAAACCTCATAAATCAACTTCTGCTAGCTTAAGACTTTTTTCCTGCAGCTTTCTCATCTCTCTCAGCCTTCACAAAATTAAAGAGAGTTAGGACTTTGCTCTGAGTTAGGCTTTGGCTTAAGGGAATGTTTGTGGCTGGTTTGGCTCTCTGTCTAGAAAACTCAAACTTTTTTTGTATCAGCCTCATTGCACTTTCTTATTCATCTATTCACTGGAGTAGTACTTTTTTTAAAATTAATTTTTTTTATTATACTTTAAGTTCTAGGGTACACGTACACAACGTGGGCCAAAGTTAGTGCCACTCCACTGGAGTAGTACTTTTAATTTTCTTCAAGAACTTTTCCTTGGCATTCACAACTTGGCTAACTTTGGCCCAAGAGGCCTAGCGTTTATCCTGTCTTGGTTTTTAACATGTCTTTCTCACTAAGCTTAGTCATTTCTAGCTGTTGATCTAAAGTGACAGGTGTGTGACTCTTCCTTTCACCTGAACACTTAGAGGCCATTGTAGGATTATTAATTGGCTTGATTGCAGTATTGTTGTGTCTCCGGAAATAGGGAGGCCCAAGGAGACGGAGAGAGATAGAGGAATGTCTGGTCAGTGGAGTGGTAGAAACACCACATTTATTAAGTTTTCCATCGTATATGGATGCAGTTGGTGGTACTCCAAAACAATTACAATAGTAACGTCACAGATCACTGATCACAGAGCACCAGAGCAGATATTATGATAATGAAAAAGGTTGAAATACTGTGAGAATTAACCAAAATGTGACACGGAGACACAAAGTGAGCACAAAGTGTTGGAAAAATAGCACAGATAGACTTGCTTAATGCAGGGTTGCCACAACCTTCGATTTGTAAAAAACATAATGTCTGCAAAGCACAATAAATCAAAGCACCTTATGAGATGTGCCTATATGTATTTTCAGCAAGAATGTCACAGAAGTAATGCTGTGTCATTATAACATTTTGGGGACCATTAATGTTGATCAACACCCAAGGTAGTGTGTGCTATGTTTCTCCATTCTATAAAGGTACAGTTTTTCTTTGTAATTAATATTCTATTAGACCACCACATCACACGGATTCCTTTTTGAGGAAGGACTTGTTGCTCAGTTTTGGTCAGTGCAGTCAGCAGATAGCTTCCAGCACTTTCTGCATGACTCATATCACCCAAGGTCACACCCTTCCTGGTGCAGCTTGCACACAATGCCTGAGTGAGATGGGGTGGAACTGCCCACTTCAGAGCTCCCTGCCGGTTGCTGAAGCCAGGACTATATTGCAGTGAGATTGCTCCCTTAGCCCAATTATACCTCTTCCCCCTTCCTTTCACATATGCTGGTCCCTAGTAAATACATTGCACCCCAAACTCTGTCTTAGCATCTGATTCCAGAGAACCCAACCTGAGTCATTTCTTATTGGGAGACATTTTGAAACCCTGTGAATAATCTGTTTGTTATTACTTTCACTTACTCCTTTTAGCATCTATTGAGAATTCTTGCTTGAAACAGTTATTACTGTCCTGGTTGCCAAATGGTGGTTTTCTAATTCCATGATTTCTTCTACATTTACTAGTTAGAATTCTACTGTATGGAAGAGATTATCCTTCTCCCATTTACTTATTTATTGATTCACTCACATATATCAGCATGCACCGGCAAATTCTATTTTGTGAATTATAATCTAACACGTATTTTATTGTTCAATTTGTCCCAGATTTGGCCAGTAGGAGCCAGTTTCCATCTTGTTTCTGTGTGCTTTGATGTGTCCTTATTGTTTTTTTAGTACTTCCTTTCTTTCTGGCAATATATTTCAGCATTGTTTGATACTTTTCCTGCCCCTGGAATTGGTCATTTCAACAGGGACCAAGAATGAATATAAAAAATGGAAACATTCAAGCATTAGAAGAAAATATGGGTGGATGATCTTAAGGCAATGAGGAAAGCCTCTAACATCTCAGAATCACCAAGCACAATAGAAAAAACAAACAAACAAAAAAGTAAGCAGATGTTTCACAGGAAAAAAAAAATGAAAATGACACATAAGCATAAGAAAAGATACTGACCCTCACTTATAAGATAAATACGAGGTAAAATTATCCTGCCATACCAAAAGATTGAAAACTTCATTGAGTAGACTGCAGAGAAACAGTCAGTTTCATTCATTGCTGGTAGAAGTATAAAATGGTACAACCCGTATAAAAGGGTTTTTGCAAAAAGCTAAAGACATGGTGGACAGATTTACTTTTGGTTCAGTAATCCCACTGTTAGGAATCTACACTGAAGATAAACTTCCACAAATAAACAACACATGCACAAGGTTATTTATTGCAACATTGTAGTGGCAAAGGATTGGCGACAACACAGATGCCCATCAATAGAAGGCTGATTGTATAACTGGAATATCCACACAACGGAATATTGTGCAATGCTTTAAAAAAAAAAAAAGGATGTCTCTGTGTGCTAATGGGTAGCGATTTCTAGAATTTGTAGGACATTTCACAAGACATCTGGCCTGATCTTTTCAAAAAGTCATCATCATATGGATTTAGGGAAGATGGTGGTAATAGTACATTATTTTTGAGTCACTCCAAATCACTGCATAAAAACAGAACATGAACAGTATCTGTAGCAAAACTAGTTTGCTAGAGAATGACAATGAGCTTCAGACAACCAAATTGACTGCAGAGATACAAATTAAACTCTAATATGAACATTAAATATTTATTTTCTTGTGGACCCAAGACTAAGACTAAATGAGGAATAATGTTTGTAATGGATACTATATGCTTTAACAATTTTGATTCAGCACAACTACTAGAGAATGGAGAGAGAATATATGAAAAAATTATTCAAACTTTTAAGTAATCATATTACTGGCAGTGTTATTGTCATTATCTCGAGATTATTGGGTAAGCAATATGGGGTATTCTAATTCTTCATCCCTTGTGTCCTTGAGAACCAGAATTCTCAATGGAAAAAGGAGATACAAATGTGAGATAGAAGATGTTAAGTAAAAACCCTGTAGACTTTAATTTTAATTGGAAATATCGGTATCAACTTATCAGGTATTTAATCTTCCTTTTAAAATGGTGTGCACGCACACACACAGACACACAGACACACACACACACACACGTAGGAAAGGAAAACAAACCCTGTTGATTACCAGACTAGTCATTTATGTAGAAAATCCCAAAGAAACTGCAAACAAGCTACTAGAACCGAAAAGTGAATTGAGCCAGCATACAAGGTCAATAAAAAAACTAAAACATATTTCTAAATACTATTCTATAGCAATGAGTAATTAAAATTGGAATTTTTAGAAATGCTGTTTATAATAGCATCAAAAACATGAAATATTTTAGGGATAAGTCTAATAAAATATGTGCAAGATTCTGTGTGATAGAGAAAATCTAAAATGGAGAGCTACGCCATGGTCATGGGCTGTAAGACAATATTTCAAAGACATTACTTCTCCCCAAGTTGATCTGTAAGTTCAGCCAGTCAAAATCCAGGCATCAGCCAGCACTGGATCTCCCAGAACAAACAAACAAAAAACAAAACCAGGCAGATTTTTGTTTGTGAATTCCCGCCTCCCACCCCCACCAGATGGAGTCTTGCTCTGTCACCCAGGCTGGAGTGCAGTGGAGTGATCTCGGCTCACTGCAAGCTCCGCCTTCTGGGTTCACGCCATTCTCCTACCTCACCCTCCTGAGTAGCTGGGACTACAGGCACCCGCCACCACGCCCGGCTAATTTTTTGTATTTTTAGTAGAGATGGAGTTTTACTGTGTTAGCCAGGATGGTCTCGATCTCCTGACCTCATGATCCGCCCGCCTCAGCCTCCCAAAGTGCTGGGATTACAGGCATGAGCCACCATGCCTGGCCTTGTTTGAGTATTTTTTTAAGGAAATCAATAAGATGAGTTTAAAATTTACATGGGCCAGACACAATGGCATGCAAGCTGTCTAGCTACTCAGGAGGCCTATAGTCCTAGCTACTTGGGAGGCTGAGACAGACAGACTGCTTGAGCCCAGGAGTTTGAGACAAGCCTGGGCAATACAGCAAAATCCTGTCTCTAAAAAAGGTAAAAATAAGTAAGTATTTATATGGAAATGCAAACCTAAAATAGCCAAAATACTTTTGAAAAATAATAAGTTGGAGGACCCATACTATCTGATTTCAAGATTTACTGAAAGCTATATGTAATCAAGACTGTAGTATCTGAGTAAGAATGGACATATAGACCAGTGGAACAAAATAGAGTTCAGAAATAAACCCTTACACGTATAGTCAGTTGATTCCCATAAGAAAATTCCAGGTTAATTTAATGAAGAACAAATAGTTATTTCAACTAACACTGTAAGAACTATTCACCATTCATATGTAAAAAAATTAACCTCAACCTTTACCTGTACCATATACAAAGTATCAACTTTTTAAAATGGATTACATGGGGGGGCATGGTGGGTCACACCTGTAATCCCAGCACTTTGGGAGGCCATGGTAGGCGGATCAGTTGAGGTCAGGAGTTCAAGACAAGCCTGGCCAACATGGTGAAACCCTATCTTTATTAAAAATACAAAAAAGTTGTCCAGGAGAGATGTCTCATGCCTGTAATCCCAGCACTTTGGGAGGCCGAGGCAGGTGGATCACGAGGTCAGGAGATCCAGACCACCTTGGCTAACATGGTGAAACCCCATCTCTACTAAAAAACACAAAAAAAATTAGTCAGGCATGGTGGTGGGCGCCTGCAGTCCCAGCTACTCAGGAGGCTGAGGCAGGAGAATGGTGTGAACCCAGGAGGCAGAGCTTGTAGTGAGCCGAGATCACGCCACTGCACACCAGCCTGGGCTACAGAGCGAGACTCTGTCTCAAAAAAAAAAAAAAAATTAGTGGGACACTGTGGTGCATGCCTTTAGTCCCAGCTACTTGGGAGGCTGAGGCAGGAAAATGGCTTGAACCAGGAAGCGGAGGTTTTAGTGAGCTGAAATCGCACCACTGCACTCCAGCCTGGGCGACAGAGCGAGATTCTGTCTGAAAAATAATAAAATAAAATATGAAATAAAATGAGAGCAAGACTCTGTCTCAAAAATAATAAAAAATATGAAATGATATAAAATGAAAATGAAATATATTACAGACCTAAATATAAAACCTATAAAACTTCCAGAAGAAAACATATGAGAAACTGTGACTTTCATAGGTTGGCAAAGATTTCCCAGGCATGAATGATAAAAGAAAAAAATTGATAAATTAAATTAAGACTTCATCAAAATTAAGAGTTTGTGCTCTTCAAAAGACACTGTTAAAAATATAAAGAGGCAAGTTATGGCCTAGGAGAAAATATTGGCACACACATATCAAGATTTGTATCCAGAATATATGAAGAACTCATGACTCAATAAGCAATACAGTTAAAAGAGGGGCACCATTGAACATATAACTTCACAAATAAGGGATAGTGATTGTTAAACACATGAAAAGATGCTGTAGTTATTAGAAAAACACAAAAGTGAAATGAAGATACCACTGCATATTTTTTAGAACAGCTAAATTTTAAAAACTGTCAATTCTAAGTATTGGTGAGGATGTGGAGCAACTATAACTCTGATCCATTGTAAGTGGAAGTGCCAAACACTTTGTGCCAAATACAGCCACTTTGAAAACAGTTTGGCTGTTACTGGTAAAGTTAAGCACATATTTAACATTAGACCCAGCAATCCCATTTTTAGATATTAAGTAATGAAAATTGATATTGTTTGGCTGTGTCCCCATCCATATCTCATCTTCAGTTGTACTCCTGTAATTTCCCCTGTGTTGTGGGAGGGACCCAGTGGGATATAATTTGAATCATGGGGGTGGTTTCCCCCATACTGTTCTCGTGGTAGTGAATGAGTCTCAAGAGAGATCTGATGGTTTTATCAGGGGTTTCTGCTTTTGCATCCTCATTTTCTCTTGCCTCCACTGTGTAAAAAGTGCCTTTTTGCCTCCAGCCATAATTCTGAGGCCTCCCCAGCCATGTGGAACTGTGAGTCCAATTAAACCTCTTTTTCTTCCTAGTCTTGGGTATGTCTTTATCACCAGCGTGAAAATGGACTAATACAAAAATATTATGTCCACCCAAAGGCTTGGTGAATACACGAGTAATCATAATAGACAAAAAGGTGAAATCACTCAAATGCCTATGAACTGATTAATGGATAAAGTTGTCATACCTCCATATAACAGAATGCTATTCGGCAGTAAAAGGACAAGCAGGGACTTCCAGTTCTGAGACAAGATGAAATAGAGACTTCTTCCTTTTCTTAGTAAGTACAGCTAAAATCCATGGAAAGTGTGCAGAAAACAAACCTGAGGAGACTCTGAAAGGTATCAAGAAGAAGCCAGATCAGCTAGGGACCTTGCGACCTGAGGAATAACATGGTGGTGTGTTCCCTAGATTTTTTTTTTCTTCATATATGTGCTAGAGAAGCTGTCAACCTGGAAACACCAATGAATACAGACCAAAACAAACCCTAGAAAAGACCAGTTTTATTAGTCAAGCCAGGAAAGGGACAACCTAGTAAGACAGAAAACTTGTAGACAATAACTGCCCTACTCTAGCCAAAAACAATAGACAAACTGTGCTCCATCCCCCACTCTCACCAGCAAAGACTGAGTATTGAGCTTAAGACCTCTCCTGCTTGCCCAGCTGTAACAAGACCCCCCTCCTGTGTCTCTTCCCCAGTATTCCTGCTGGGATAGTATCAGAAAAGGTGAAGCCCTAGTCAGGAGCCTAGATTTTCATTCCCACTGGGCAGTAATGATGTGTCCCTTCCATCCCCCCACCCCAAACAGTAACAAGTTCCCTCTCATGGTGTCAATGGAGGCTATCTGGGAAGCACTAAGGAGGCACCTCTACCCTTCCCAGCCAAGATATGTGTGCAGAAGCCTAGCAGGGAGCTGGGACTTGGACTCCCACCTGATGGCAACAAGGTGGTGCTCCCACATCTCTCACTGCACGGAGTCAGACGAGGCCTGCAAAAACAAATTTAAATAAGATCTAGAGTCTCAGCATAATACTAAAACATTTCAGGATACAATTGAAAACCATCCATCCTACCAAGAACCAGGAAAACTAAATGAGAAAAGAGAATAGATACTAAAACCAAAAAGACACAGATGTTGGAATTACTTGACAAGGACTTTAATGCAGCTATCTTTAAAGTGATTCAATTTGCTATTGAATTATGAAAAAATAGAATTCTCAACAAAGAAATAGAAGATGTAAAGAACCAGATGGAGATTTTTAAACTGAAAATACAATAGCCAAAATTTTAAAAAGTCAACTGAACAGCAGAATGGAGAGGGCAGAGAAAAAAAGTGAAGTGAATGAACTTGAAGATAAAACATTAGAAATTACCCAATCTGAACAAAAGAGAGAAAATATACTGAAAAATAAAAATGAACAAATCATCAGGGACTTGTGGGACTATTTTTAAAAGTTCTAATATTTGTACCATCAGAGTCCCAGGGGAGAAGAAAGACGATATGGTTGAAAAGGTATTCAAAGAAATGATAGCTTAAAATTTTCAAACTTGGCGAAGGACATATTCAAGAAGAACTTAAGAAGTTCAGCAAACTCTGAACAGGAAAATCCCAAAGAAATCCACTCCAACATACATTATAACCAAATTTCTGACCACTAAATATAAAATCTTGAAAACAGTGAGGACACTTTACCTATAGGGGAAAAACAGAATAACAGCAGATTTGTCATCAGAAACCGTGGAATTTAGAAGGAAGTAGTACATATTTAAAGTACTGAATGAAAAGAACTGTCAACCCAGAATTCTATATCCAGCATATAACTGGCCCATCAAGGTTGAAAGTTGACAGTTGTACATTCAGATAGCACATCCTCACATTATAAGAATTCAAAGCAAAAACAGGATAAAGGAAATAATAGAGCTTCTTTCTCACGTGCTTCTCACTTGTTAAGGAGGGCAAAAAAATTTTTTCCCAGTGACAGTTTTTCCCTCCCTCAAGATGTATCCATTTGCAAGAACTGGATCCCATAGCCATAGTAGATACAAGTATACTGATAAAGTGAGTATCTGATATTTTCAGGCTCAATAAGTGGGAGACAGGCAAGAAAAGGGGGCAATGAAGTGAAGAATAGGACATAGCCAGCCCTCATGTTCACAAAGAACCATAAATTAATGTTGTCTCTAAATGAGGTTAGTGTCATTGACAAGATTGAAAAATGACATTTCTTACATAAAAAAATGTATAAACATTTAGTGTGCCTAATAATTTTTGTTGTTGTTGGGTTTTTTTGTTGTTGTTTTGTTCTTTTGTTTTGTTTTATTTTGTTTTGTTTTTGAGGCAGAGTGTCACTCTTTCACCCAGGCTGGAGTGCAGTGGTGTGATCTTGCCTCACTGCAACCGCCTCCCAGGTTCAGGCGATTCTCCTGCCTCATCCTCCTGAGTAGCTGGGACTACAGGCGCACGCCACCATGCCCAGCTAATTTTTTGTATTTTTAGTAGAGATGGGGTTTCACCATCTTGGCCAGGCTGGTCTTGAACTCCTGACCTCGTGATCCACCTGCCTCAGCCTCCCAAAGTGCTGAGATTACGGGCATGAGCCACCACGCCCAGTCCTAATAGTTTTTATAAGCTTGGTTTTGTCATCAAAAGAATTTTTAAAAAACATAGTTTGGGCCTGGGTGCGGTGGCTCACGCCTGTAATCCCAGCACTTCAGGAGTCCAAGGCAGGTGGATCACGAGGTCAGGAGATCAAGACCATTCTGGCCAACATGGTGAAACCCCGTCTCTACTAAAAATACAAAAATTAGCCAGGCATGGTGGCGTGCACCTGTAATCCCAGCTACTCGGGAGGTTGAGGCAGGAGAATTGCTTGAACCTGGAGGGTGGAGGTTGCAGTGAGCCAAGATCACGCCACTTTACTCCAGCCTGGGTGACAGAACAAAACTCTGTCTCAAAAACAAAACAAAACAAAAAAGAAAAATATATTTTGGGATCCCCATAAAAAGGAATAGCCTCGTCTCACTGAGAGAGGTTCTGCAGATTGCTGTTCCCAGCCATGTCTTTGTCTCTGTAGTTAGAGGTGCCATTAGCAAATATTAAGAGTGTGTTCCATGCCGTACACTGTTTCAGATGCTGGTGAAAAAGTCATGTCCTCTACCTCCAGGAAAAAAACCTAGGAGGAACTATGAACTGTAAACCAGTAATTACAAGTGTCAGGGGTGTTATGAAAGGGAAAGTATAAAGTGTTGTAGGAATATATACCGAGATTTATTTAACCCATTCTGTGGTCAGGAAAGTCCTCTGTGAAGAAGTGATTCTAGCCATTGTTGGTTTGGTTTTTTTTTTTTTTTTTTTTTGAAACAGAGTCTAGTTCTGTTGTCCAGGCTGGAGTGCAGTGGTGCAGTCTTGGCTCACTGCAACCTCTGCCCCCTGGGTTCAAGTGATTCTCCTGCCTCAGCCTCCCGAGTATGTGGGACTATAGGTGCATGCCACCATGCCTGGCTAATTTTTGCATTTTTTAGTGCAGACGGGGTTTCACCATGTTGGTCAGGCTGGTCTCGAATTCCTGACCTCAAGTGATCCACCCATCTCAGCCTCCCAAAGTGCTGAGATTACAGGCGTGAGCCACCGTGCCCGGCCTAGCTTTGTTTTTATATGAAGCAGTTTTATTGTTCCCTGAATATCTTGGTGAGAAGCTGAAAGAGACAACCGCTGGAAACTATTAGCTAGATGTTATTTTAAATTCAGATTTTCTACTTGGAGGAGGGTGATAACACAGTATATTATCAAGTTTTCATCCTTACCAGTAGTCTGAACAGACTTTTAGTTCAAATCCCATCTATACTACATATACTAGCTCTGTGACCTTAGGAAGGTCATTTAATTATTTTGAGCCTTAGTTTACTTATCTGTAAAATGGAGCTAATGATAACTTGCAGGGTTGTTACTATTCTAAGACATGATTCCACACTTCAAGGAGCATTTATTCCAGTAAGGTGAGACAGACATATTGACAAGTAATTGAAAAAATAAAAAGAAAAAAAGAAAAATGAGATGGTGTGGTAAAGATGGAAGAGTGATCAGTGGTGATATAAAGGAGTGATCTACTCTGGCTAAAGAGGGACTCAGGAAGACTTTACAGAGGAGTATTCAAAACGGGCCTTGAAGGGTGAATAGACAAGGTACATGGCACATATGAAACAGCTTGATGCATTTGGGAAACCACAATTTGTTTAGAATAATTACACCAGAAATATGGGCAAATGACAGAAGAAACTAGAGAGGGCCTGGCGCGGTGGCTCATGCCTGTAATTCCAACACTTTGGGAGGCTGAGGTGGGCGGATTCACTTGAAGTCAGGAGTTCGAGACCAGCCTGGCCAACATGGTGAAAACCCATCTCTACTAAAAATAACAAAAATTAGCCAGGCGTGGTGGCACTCACCTGTAATCCCAGCTACTCGGGAAGCTGAGGCAGGAGAATCACTTGAACCTGGGAGGTGGAGGTTGCAGTGAGCCAAGATTGTGCCACTGCACTCCAGGCTGGGCAACAGAGCTAGACCCTGTCTCAAAAAAAAAAAAAAAAGAAAAGGAGAAAAAAAGGAAGAAACCAGAGAGGTAGACAGATTGTAGATTACAGAGGGCTTGTAGTGTTTGCTACCCTGAAGATTTTGGACTTCATTCTGAAAGTGACTCACAGGTATTGAAGAGTATTCATCAGATTTGCTAGTGGTGGTGGTGTGTTACACTGACTGCAGGAAGATGCCTTAAGCTGTTGCATTTGAGGAAGACAGTGGGGAGGGACTGAAGAATAGGTGACATATTATAAAGAGACTTAGATAGTAGAACCAACAGGACTCGAGGCCATTGAATTATCCAGGAAGAAAGAGTAAATAGCAGTTCACAGGGTTTCAGGCTTGGTAGACTGAAGTGGTTGTTGGCTTTATTCATCACAATAGTAATACAAGGTGGAAGAAAACATAAGAGAGGTAGACACTGAATTACCTTTTCTGTGCGTAGTCTGACTTCTTCAGTATTTGATTATTCAGAGGAAAAAAACACTAAAAATTAGCAGGGTAAGTTCCTCTACTTTTTTCTTTAGAAAAATACATTTGTCTTGAGTATAGATTCACAAAGAGGTTGATAAGAGTACATCACAGACTAACAAATAAGTTATGGGGGTCATAGAGGACAGTTCTGTTCATTCTGCAGATATCATTAAGGAAAGAGCTAAAGAAAACATTGCAGCTATAAACATGTTGATACACTTAAAATTAATAAAGTTCTGAAAACATTTAGTGTGACTGTAGCGTTAATGATAAAGAATTTGGATTTTAGTATTTTAATGGTTTTGGAGTTTTTTAAGTGCAATTTTGACTTTGCATTAGTGTCTACAATTTATAACTAAAGTTTATTTTTTTGAAAATGATATTAAGATGAATATTCAACCTGAAATAAAACTTACATACAAAATGTTTAAAGTATATTTATTCACTATTTTTTCTTCTATTCTAGTTACTATTTTTGGAAATGAAGAAAATGGTAAGGCACTTTTAGTTTCAATTTAAGTTAAATGCTTAATGATATTTTAATTGGAACATACTTTTTATTTAGTGATGAATGCATGTGTTTTTGTTTTTTAGAAATAAAATCCCTATCTTTACATTTTAAGTAATTAAAAGGAGATCTAGTAATGGGGTTATTTCCAGACCAAGACATTTCATGTATTCTCATTTTGTGTTATTTATGTAAATTAAAGTAGACATTATTTTGTACAACACCTAGTACTCAAACTTCTTTGTGTATTTATATAAATATTTGTCTCATATGTTCTTCAAAACTTTTTATTTAGATTTTTTTAATATGAGTTCTAGCTAGGTTGAGGAGACAATTCTGCTTTCATGATGTCTAAATTTTATTGATGGTTCTCGTTTAGGCATTTGTTAAAATCGCAATTTACAATGCACAGATATTTAAGAAAATAACCAGACTGTAAATTTGTAAATTGCATTACCAGTTTAAGGAAGCTAAAGTTTTTATAACAACTAAGTAAAAAAGATAGTGCCCAGAGGGAAAAATCATCTCTCAAAATTTCACTGGGATAAAAGCAAATTTCATAAGTCTGTTGAGATTAAATTTAAACAAAATTTAATTGGGCATACAAAACTCCAGAGGATTTCTAAAATACTTGAACAGTTAGAAATTATTAATAAATAGTAATTCCTCTTACTGGAGACAATTAGGCATTAAGTATGTAAATATTAAATTACCTTTAAATTTAATTTGTCAGTAACAGAATAAACGCAGACTCAATCTTGGTTGGCTTATTTTCTTTCTTTAAATCAAAAATGTTTCCTGTATGTTGGAAGCACAGATACAGAAAGCAAAGAATTTCAGAAGTTCTTATAAAAGAACTTTTAACTTAAATCATTATCTCTTGGGGCTATTTTTACCGTGTCTCTCAGAGTCTTTTTTTTTTTTTTGAGACAGAGTCTCGCTCTGTTGCCCAGGCTGGAGTGCAGTGGCGCAATCTAGGCTCACTGCAAGCTCCGCCTCCCAGGTTCACGCCATTCTCCTGCCTCAGCCTCCTGAGTAGCTGGGACTACAGGCACCTGCCACCACGCCTGGCTAATTTTTTGTATTTTTTTAGTAGAGACGGGGTTTTACTGTGTTAGTCAGGATGGTCTCGATCTCCTGACCTCGTGATTCGCCTGCCTCTGCCTTCCAAGGTGCTGGGATTATAGGCGTGAGCCACGTTGCCTGGCCAAAGAGTCTTTCAATACAGTCTTTTGTTGTTGTTAGCTTGTTTGTTTTTAAATTCAGTTACGGGTGATTTTTGAACTTCTGAACACAGAGTTTGGTATATAGGTTTCAGGTTTTTCTTTCAACTTTGATTTAATTTTCTCAGTTAACTATGATTTTACTTCCTATATTACTTGTAACCAATGGTTTAATAGCATGTATATGTAACCAGAAGTTTGCCTATTGATAATCACATTAATTTGAATTTAGTGAAAAGCATTGTTTTCTGTTACTCTTTACTCATTATAAGTTAATGATAACATCTTTTAAGTACTTACCATATTCTAGGTCTCGTGTTAAGAGCTTTATTTTATCTATTTTTTAACAGAATATATTTTTAAGCAAAACCATTTTCTTTTGTTTTCATGAAGAAAGGAAATATTCTAAAATTATATTAAATGTTTTTAAAACTATGAAGAGTATATTGTTTTTACATTTAAAGTATCTCAAAGTTACCATCTATCTCAAAGTTATATGATAGTGTATAGATGAGGAACAACAAGCCTGATTTAATATGGGGTCTAGGCAAAACTATTTATGAAGGAAGTAAGCAAAGTGAAGATAACATTGCATAGTTGTTAAATGGTCTCAGTGTTATCATAGCAGTAGGAAACTAAGTTCTTGCACACTTTTCCAAAGGAAAAACAAATGAAGCAATTATATGTAATATATAAAATATACATATAATATATATATTTTTTCTTTTTCTTTTTTTTTTGAGATGGAGTCTCGCTCTGTCGCTCAGGCTAGAGTGCAGTGGCACGATCTCGGCTCACTGCAACATTTGCCTCCCAGGTTTAGGCGATCCTCCCACCTCAGCCTACCAAGTAGCTGAGATTACAAGTGTGCACCACTACGCCCAGCTAATTTTTTGTATTGGTAGAGATGGAGTTCTACCATGTTGGCCAGGCTGGTCTTGAACTCCTGACCTCAAGTGATCCGCCCGCCCCAGCCTCCCAAAGTGCTGGGAATACAGGCACGAGCCACTGCACCTGGCCAAAGCAATGATACTGAGTCCATTGGGTACACCATGGGGTTCAACCTGAAGGGAACTGACAGGATAGAGAGAGCAGATTTTGAGAAACCAGTTTTTAATGTGTATGACAATCAATGTTAGTGGAAACAAGAAGAGCACATTTGAAAATAGAAGGAAGTTAGGGTTACGATTTTATCTTGGCATCAGATATTGGCTTAGAAGTGGAATATGACCATTAAGATGATGGTTTAAAACGTGGAGGAAACTATAATTTTAGCTAGGACATAGTGAAAAGAACCTTGGATTTTTGTCAAACAGATATGAGTTTGAATTCTGGCTTCATCATTTAATAACTAAGTGACGTTGGGCAAAGTATTAAATTCTCTGAGCCTCACTGTTTACATCTGTAAACTGGAATGATACCTTAGAAGACTTACTGTGAGGGTTAGAAATAAGGCATAGATTATATGCCTTCTAGTTGGCTTTCAGTACATAGGAATGGTGATTTGAGTACCTATAGTCAAATATGGTGACTGAGTAGTCCCAGGGTTTTACTAGGATGTGCTGGTCATGAGGTTGGAATTATTTCTTAGGAATTCCACAGCCAAGAGGGAAAAGAAACTATGAGCAACATATTTTACATCAACCACTGAGATGGATTGGAAGCAAGGAGACCAATTGGCTTTTGCAGCAATCCAAAGAACGTAGGCAACAATTTATGAAGTATGCACTGGCAGTGAAAATAATGATAATTATTGAAATTATTGAAAAATAACGAAAATAATAATAATGAGTTCACTTGGTGAGAAATTTTAGGAGCTAGAATTAGTAGTATTTGTACTGATAAGCTGTGAGATACAAGGAGTCATTTCAGGCCTGGATTTCTGCATTGGTCAACTGCGTGACTGGAGTTTCTGTTCTCTGAGATCTGGCATGAACCCAATACAATTTCAGAAGAAAAGGTTGGGTTGCAACAGGGTTGTCAATTATTATTATTATTTTATTTGAAAAGTACAAGCAATTTTTAAACCAAAAACATAAAGGAAAATAAACCTCAGTCCAAAGGAAGGACAGTACTTCAAACTGAATACATGTTAGCTTTTACAAAAGCTTCCTTACATTGTTCTTGGTCTTTCTTTTCTTTTTTTTTTTTCAGCGCAGACCAGTGAACACTTTATCACTTCTTAAAATTGAGAAACACTGATAAAGGGAATGCACAAAAAGGACCAAATTTTGGAGAAAATCATTAAAATACCTGGATAAGACTAATAGTAATAATATTAATAATCAGTATTTATTGAGGATTTATTGTGTGCCAGGCATCCTTCTAAGTGTTTTGCATGTATTACCTCATCAGTATTAAGCAGCTAACTTTACTGAAATAAGTACTTTAATTGAAATCTAAGCAAATTATTTGGAGAGTGCAATATGAAGAAGTAATGAATTCTGAAAGTAACAGAAAAGACCTTTGTGGAAGGAGTAGCATTTTATCTAAACTTTAAAAATGAGTAGAATTTCAGACTTGTCTGAATTTATTATCTTCAGTGGGTTTATGGTGCTGCATTACAAACTGAAAAAGAGTTTAAGCATCTGATAGATAGTTCTTGCTTCTTAAAGAAATCAGTACTGCTTCTTTCAAATATATAGAATACAACAAAAATCTTTTGAAATATTTTGGAATGTTAACATTAATCTACTTGGGAAACAGTTATGTTAGATATTCAAAATGGCCAAAACTTTTTCTTGTTAGCCTGTATTGAACAGGGGAATGAAATTTAGGTCACTTTTTCTGAACAATACAGGGAATGAGTTACTCAGATGTATTCATCATTTATGGTGATGGTAACTTATTTACTTTCAGTTGACAGTTCCTTGGATGTAATGTTCATAGTAATAGATTCTGTTTTAAATAATTTTAAGTCATTTAAAATGAGCTTTTGGAGAACTTGAAATATAGTGCGTGAAGAAAGTGTTTTAGCTTAAATCTTCAGCAATTTAATACAATCAAATCTCCTCTTAAATCTCATCTTATAAACCAGACTGATAATCCTTAAATATAGGAACAGAATATTTCTTCATATCTAGTAATGTTTCCTCATGCAAGTAAAGTTTATATATTTGATGTTTCAGTACATTTTAATTTAATTGTTTATTGGATTCGGCCTCCTGACCCAATTATTGTGTTTTAATGTAATGCTTTTTGCTGTTTTCACCTGGATTCAATGAACTGTTATTTGTTTTTATTTACCAGGAAAGACCGTTGTTTACCTTGTGGCTTTCCATCTGTTCTTTGTTATGTTTGTATGGTCCTATTGGATGACAATTTTCACATCTCCCGCTTCCCCCTCCAAAGAGGTAAATTTAATGTTGGTAAATTACCAAATGTTTTAACTGATTATGGAATTTTTTTTCCCTTGTGTTACCTTTGTTAAAACTTTACATAATGCATGTGTTCTGTTTCCATTCATAAAACTGCTTGGTTGCTCTGTACTGTGAATGTGAGTCATCAGCCTATTCTCAGATACAGTCCACTGACACAGCATAGTAAAAGTTCAGCGGTATAGAAATGCTTACTATTTTTCTGCCATGCTATGTGTCTTTAAAGACATACTTTATATTACTGGAATAAAAAGTCTCAAGGAACAGAATTGCGTTAGGAAAGTAGAGTTTATTTTTAGAAACTCTCAACATTTATATTTTCTCAGGCATGAACAGATATGCTGCAATTAAAGAAAGTTTTGTGATGGAAACAAATTGTCTAGGCTATTGCTTGCTGCACTTTAATATGACTAGTGTTTCTTCTAATTGGAGGTTCCATTTGGAAAATAATATAGGTAAACATTTATGTGGAGTAGGTTTTATGACCAGTGTCTCTCTTACCTCTCCATAGCTGACTGAATTCTTCCTTCACCGAAAATTTCTTATAGCAAGGTGGTTAAGAATATATTCTCTAGAGTTAGAGTTGTCTGAGTTTGATCTTTTGCTCTAACAATTTAATCTCTCCAAGCTGCAGTTTTCTTATCAAAAAATGGAACTAACAATTGTGCCTGTCTCTGTAGGATGTTTGTAAAGATTGTGAGGTTTATTCAGTTAAAACATGCATGTATTTATATATTTATTTATTTATTGAGATGGAGTTTCGCTCTTGTCACCCAGGCTGGAGTACGATGGCACGATCTTGGCTCACTACAACCTCCGCCTCCCAGGTTCAAGCGATTCTCCTGCCTCAGCCTCCTGAGTAGCTGGGATTACAGGCACGCATCACCATGCCCGGCTAATTTTTGTATTTTCAGTAGAGACGGGATTTCCCCATGTTGGTCAGGCTGGTCCTGAACTCCTGGCCTCGGGTGATCCACCCGCCTCAGCCTCCCAAAGTGCTGGGATTACAGGCGTGAGCCATTTACGCCCGGCCTAAGCTTTTAAAATACTAGTGTACCTGCCACATTGTTAGGACTCAAATATTAGATGATGATGATAATGTAATCGTTTCCCTTTGTGTTAAATTTATCAAAATCATTAAAAATTATAGACCATATGTTTAAAAATAGTATCAACTTCTATTTAACTTTGCAGTGAAGAACATATATACAAAAAGTATGCATATGTGTACACACCTGTGTAACTACCACCCAATTCAAGAAACAGAACATTACCAGAACCCCGTCAACCCCTGATGCTTCCTTTCAGTCATCCACTTCATAAGAGGCCACTCTCTTGCCTTCTAACAGCATAGATTAGTTTTGCCTGTTTTTGTATTAAATATAAATGGAGTTTTCTAGTGGTGTGTGTATGTGTATAGTCATAGTCATATGTGTGTGTGGCTTCTTTCATTAACATTCTATTTGTAAGATTCATCTGTGTTACGTATAGTTGCAGATCATTCATTCTCATTATTGTTTAGTATTCAGTTGTAGTATGTAACACAGTTTGTTTACTCGGTCTACTGTTGATGAGCATGTGGGTAGCCTCCAGCTTAGAGCTGTTACAAATAGGGCTGCTATAAACATTCTAGTGCATGTCTCTTGGATAATATATATGTAGTTCTTTTGGATAGATGCCTAGGAGTAGAACTAGTATATATACATTTAACATTAGCAAGTAATGCTGTATAGTCTTTTGCCTGCTTTTTCTATTAGATGCTTTTGTTTTAAAAGGTAAAGTAAACTATAAGTCAAATTTTAGTGTTGCTTCAAATGTATTCATCAGGCATTTGTTACTAATTAGTCAACCCTTAAAGTTATGTTACAAACTATCCATTTCTTAATCTTGAAATTGAAAAGGACTTAATTTTATTTAATCAATTACTAGTAGTGATGACTATTGAAAACATAGCATGTGTAAAAAGTAAATAATTCTCATTTCAGGAAATAAGAAATAGAATAAGAAAAATAATTGGTAGTACTTTTGAGAAGCAGTATAATGTAGAGGTTAAGAATGCAGGCCAGGCGTGGTGGCTTATGCCTGTAATCCAGCACTTCGGAAGGCCAAGGCAGGCAGGCAGATCACTTTAGCCCAGGACTTTGACATCAGCCTTGGCAATGTAGCAAACCCCATCTCTACAAAGAATAAAAAAAATTAGCTGGGCATGGTGGCATGCACCTGTAGTCCCAGCTACTCGGGAGGCTGAGGTGGGAGGATCACTGAGCCCATGAAGGTTTAGCCTGCAGTGAGCCGTGATCATGCCACTGCACTGCAGCCCAGGCAGCAGAGTGAGACCCTGTCTCAGACAACAGCAACAACAACAGTACCACACAGACTCTGGACTAAAACTGCTCAGGTTTAGCTCATACTTCTGCAGCCTACTAGCCATGTTAGCTGTGTGACTTTGGAGACTTTCCTTAGTTGATCCCTCCTCTGTAAAGTGAGGGTGATACTAGTACCCACCTCATAGGATAGCTATAATAATTGAGCAAATTAGCAATCTATGTAATTAATAATAGATATTAATATATGGAGTTAATAGTGTATATAAAGGGCTCAGAAGAATGCTTAGCACCTAATAAGTACCATCAAAATGTTGTTGTTATTTTTTTTGGTGGTGGTTCTAGCATATTGCATCCATTTAGCATTCAGCCCAGAGCTTAAGCCTTTACATCAACTTCTCCTTCATTCTCCTCTACTCCTATAAGGTCATCTGACTGCCCAAGCCTGTATCCAGTGACCTTGCTGTGGCATGCTCCATTTGCCCTGTCAGAGAACTTATCATCTGGTATTGTAATTGCCTGTTTACTAATATGCATCACATTATTAAATTTTAAATATTGTGAGGGCAGGGATATTTACGTTGCATTCTGCACTATATCCCTTCCCACACTATCTGGCACATAGTGGATTTTCAGTAACTATTAAATTAATTAATTATTAAATCTTCATGGGCCAGCTAAGCTAAGCTCTAGAGACAACCAAGAACAGGAATTTAAGATTCTCTTTGTCACTGAGCTTACAGTGTGCTGACTGAGGTAGGCCTGTATAAGCAATTACAAAGCTGTGAATTTGATGTTAATGTAATACCAAGCTCACAGCTTTGTTAGGAGGATTCTGTCAGCTCAGAAGTTGGTGCTAATATAACACCAAACTCACAGCTTTTATTAGGAGGATTCAGTCAGCTCAGAGGTTAGAACAATGCTTGGAGATCTAGGTCTAGGGGAATTGATTGGGTCTAAAAAGCAAAAACTAGGGCCAGACGTGGTGGCTCACCCCTATAATCCTAGCACTTTGGGAGGCCGAGGCAGGTGGATCACCTGAGGTCAGGAGTTCGAGACCAGCCTGACCAACATGGTGAAACCCCATCTCTACTAAAAACACAAAATTAGCCGGGTGTGGTGGCATGCTCCTGTAATCCCAGCTGCTTAGGAGGCTGAGGCAGGAGAATTGCTTGAACCTGGGAGGCAGAGGATGCAGTAAGCCAAGATTGCGCCATTGCATTCCAGCCTGGGCAACAAGAGTGAAACTCTGTCTCAAAAATAATAATAATAATAAAAAGTAAAAACTATAAATCTTTAAGGAAGTTAAGTTATAAATACGGGTGGGGTGTCTTTTCTTTTTTTCATTGTTTCAATCCAGTACTTCTTGACCACCCACCGGATATCAGACTGTGCTAGGCTTAAAGGTAGAGACAGACAGTAAACAAATAATTAAAAATTGTGATAAATTTAGAAAAATAACATGGTAATATGATAGAGTAGAACAAAGTAAAAGCTACTTTCGGGGAGAAAGAGCTACTTTAGATAGTATAGTCAGATAAATCTCCGAGGAAGTGGTATTTAAGCTGAGACCTTTATAAGTATCTCTTCCACTAAGCTTTTTGAAGGAAAAATCTTTGTTGTTTATTCCTGTATCCCCAGTACTTAGAATCAGACCTCGTATATAACAGGCCGATTGATAAAGACTTAAATGAAGAAATGGTGAGGAAGAGGCGGCAGCATGTGAATAGCTGATAGGTATTTCCCATCCCTTCCCTGACTATAATCCTACAGAGTTTGCCAGTTAGCTGTAAGATAAAGGTCATGTTCGTTTGCATGGTACACCAAATCCCTTCATGAACTAAAATCTTACTAATTTAATCTTCATTGCTTCTTCATGGAACTCTATACTCAAGCAGTGTATTGAGCTGAATATACTGTACTATTTTCACATCCTTGTGCTTTCTGTATGCTGTTCCCTTTGCCAAGATTTTCTTTTCTTCTCTGTCTTCCTGAAAGATTCCTGTTTATCTTTCAAAACTTAGGTACACTGCCTTCAAGAAACTTTCATTGATATCTCCCACTGCCTCCCAAGGGAGCTTTTATCATACCTTGTAATATATTATTAATGTTGTACTTTATGCTGATTCGTATTTTGTAATTCTTTGTTTATATGGCTCTCTTACTAGACTATAGAAATATACTTTTTGAAGGCAATGGTTGTTTTTATTCATCTTTGGATCTCTGATATCTGGGACAACACCTCACTCTTAATTGGCATTTAATATATATTTAAATAGAACTGTCTGAACACTGAATTTAAGACAATAATAGCATTTCATAGTTTGAATTCTGTTCACTAGTTTTGAATAAAAAGACAAACTTGTAGTACTAATTCAAAATTATGATCTGTTTGAATATTTGTTTTGTTCCATTCCTCATCTAAAATTCTGATGTCTCTTGAAATTTTCGTTTGGTTTAAGCTTTTCATAATTTTATAACCTTCATTCTTTTTTTTTTTTTTTTTTTTGAGATGGAGTCTCACTCTGTCACCAGGCTGGAGTGTAGTGGTGTGACCTCGGCTCACTGCAACCTCCACCTCCCGGGTTCAAGCAATTCTCCTGCCTCAGCCTCCCGAGTAGCTGGGACTACAGGCGCATGCCACCACACCCAGCTAATTTTTGTATTTTTTTTAGTAGAGGCGGGGGTTTCATCATGTTGGCCAGGCTGGTCTTGAATTCCTGACCTCGTGATCCACCAGCTTCGGCCTCCCAAAGTGCTGGGATTATAGATGTGAGCCACCACACCCAGCCCATAACCTTCATTCTTAAGGAAAAGTAATGATGTTGAGTAGCAGTAGAGAGGCTTGAGGCCTGGGATACTACTGCAGACTAGGAATAGGATAGCCCAGGGAAATCTGTTGAAGTTTTATAAGGAATCTGTAAAATTTGATCAGAACATCTTCTATTCAAATATATTTAACATGTTACCATGTGATTTTTATACTCTACTATGAATATGTAAGAGACACATCATGTCAGGAAATAACTTTCTAACAAGTTAAAATTCTCTTAAAAGAGAACATGCCATCTTGCAAAATAGAAAAATATTTCTCTCAAAGTATTCAAGAGGGGCCCAATCTGTCAGAAATGTCTGAAGACCCCTGCTTGTGATGGAAGATTAGATAAGGGGCCTCCATTGTCTTTAAGACTTTTTCATCTTTAAGATTATGTGAGTCTTTCCTGACTTCTTACTGTCCTGTTCATCTGTCCATGTTGCTTCTTGTCCCCCATAAGTAATTTGGGGGTTTCTTGTCCCATCACACTTTGCTTGTGGAAGCTGAGCTAGGTAATCTAAATAGACTCTTCTATTTCCTAAAGTATGGTGTTTTAGTCAGGTTAGAGTAACTATCTATAAAAAGCAAAAACATTTATTTTACACTGTAATATAGAGGAAAATGTACCAGAGTAGAACACAGAAGACCCGTATTTTACTGTTGGCTCTGCCAGTAGTTCTGCAATCTTAGAAAATTGCCTAAGTCTCTTAGAATCATAATTTCCTCAACTCAGAGCTCTCTCTACTATGCCAAGCTATTGCCTTGTTTATAGCAGAATACCGTGTTGTTAAGCTAATACCATTAGCAATGATGGGGCAGCAAGAGGAGGAGACATTTTGGTATTTGAGTTAGCAACTAGACCAAATACTCCTTAAACATGGAAAGTCAGGATTCCTTAGGGCTTTTTAAGCAGAACCTTACAAGTAAATAAAAATTGAGGAATTGTATTATTAAAATATAAAACACAATGAAGAACAAATCTCAAGCCATTCTTAGTTTTGTTTTTTTTTTAATCTATGAAATAAAGACTGATAGAAACCTGTAGTTCCTGGTAACATGAAATTAAGGTGTAAAACTTAGGATCCTTGAGATGTTAGGATGACATATGAAAAGAACAATTAAACATAAACAAGTACTCTGAAGGGAAAATGCTATTAAGAGAAACGAACCAGAGGCTGGCCACACATGGGAACAAACAGTAAGAAGTGAAAACAAGAAACAGCCCTAGGCCGGGCGCGGTGGCTCACGCCTGTAATCCCACCACTTTGGGAGGCCAAGGCGGGCAGATCACGAGGTCAGGAGATCGAGACCATCCTGGCTAACACGGTGAAACCTCGCCTCTACTAAAAATACAAAAAAAAAAAAAAAAATTATCCGGGCATAGTGGCGTGCGCCTGTAGTCCCAGCTACTCGGGAGGCTGAGGCAGGAGAATGGCATGAACCCGGGAGGCGGAGCTTGCAGTGAGCCGAAATCACTCCACTGCACTCTAGCCTGGGCGACAGAGCAAGACTCCGTCTCAAAAAAAAAGAAAAAAAAAAGGTCTATAAAGGACTCTGTCCTTGAAAAGGCAACTATGCTTGCCTTGACAATCTTTCATAATTCTGGTGAAACTAAGTCCTATTGGTTAACTTTTCGAAAGCTAAAAATGGTTAAAAAAAAAAAAAAAAAGACTCCTTGGCCTTCATGAGACATTTGGCTAGAAATTAGCGGGACCCCATGACTGTGATTTAGCCTTTCACCCAAAGCAAGTAAATCTTTGGACATTCTTGCAAAAATTAAAAATCTCTTGACAGTAACTTTTAAACAACTAAAATTTTTACTAATGGAGACTATATATTAAGCCTTTCCTGTGTAGAAATTTAATTTTATTTGTGAAAAACGAAGATGGAAAAATATTTAGTTCATATTCTTTGCCATCTGGTGTGGAGGGCAAATATTTTTTAATATGCCAAAGGTATACAGTTTTTGTTAAAATGTACTTGATTTATCTGCTTTTTTTTGAAGACAAGTTTTGTCTTCATAAAATAGTTTTTGGTTTTCTTTTTTCTAGATAAAACTTTTTCTGAGCATGATAATTAACATCATGGGATTAAAAAAATTTAATAGTCCTCTTTCCTTTTATAGTTCTACTTGTCCAATTCTGAAAAGGAACGTTATGAAAAAGAATTCAGCCAAGAAAGACAACAAGAAATTTTGAGAAGAGCAGCAAGAGCTTTACCTATCTATACCACATCAGCTTCAAAAAGTAAGAAAAAGAATAAGTTTTCCTTTTCAAATGATTTTTAAAGTATGCTTATTCCTGCCAGGATATATTTGCATGGTTTGACTATTAAATGGATACTATGATTGCCATAAATAATATCTGTAGCAACAAGACTTTCCTGTTTCCTTACTGTATTTCAGATGCAGAAATAGATATATAAAAATAATAATCAATATAAATTGTTTAAGGGGCCCGCTTTAATATGAATCTCTTCTGTACTTGTTTTTTTCCCCCAACTCAACTTTCATGGCTAAAAATTTTAATTATTATTCTTAGTAAACTGTCATTTGGAAGTCTGAATTTGAGTATTATGTGTCATCACTGAGTAATTAAAAAAAAATCCAAAAGTGTGCTAAGAATGGGGAACAGTAAGAGACACAAATAGGAAGAAACTTGTTCAGATGTATAAGGCTAATATTCTGAGAGTCAGGCTGTGAACTCAGGTTTGTCTAGTTCCAAAGCCCTTGGTGTTTCCTCTGTACTAATGCTTCCACTGAGATCCATGACTGTAACAGCAGCTTCCTGTTCCTAGGTTGTAATCTTATGACAGGGAAGAGTCTATAAGTGGCTGGTCGTTTAAATACAGGGAATTGTTTTATTTTGTTTATTTAAAAGAATTTTTTTTTGTTGTTTGGGAAATTGTTTTTTTTTTTTTTTTTTTTTTTTGAGACGGAGTCTCGCTCTGTGGCCCAGGCTTGAGTGCAATGGTGCAGTCTCAGCTCACTGCAACTTCCACCCCCAGGGTTCAAGTGATTTCCTGCCTCAGCCTCCTGAGTAGGTGGGATTGCAGGCACATGCCACCAAACCCGGCTAATTTTTGTATTTTTAGTAGAGATGGGGTTTCACTATGTTGGCCAGGCTGGTCTCGAATTCCTGGCCTCAAGTGATCTGCCCACTTTGGCCTCCCAAAGTGCTGGGATTACAAGTGTGAGCCACCGTGTCTGGCCTATTATTTTATTTCATTTTCCCTTGATTGTAGGTCTTCTAGGTGGTCTGTATCCAGGGCCTCACTTCCTTCTAGTGAATTCCAGGCAACGGGCTTTCATTCTCCCTACCAGGATCAGTGGCGTTTTGTCATTCTGTCTTCTTGAAACGCTTTCCTCTTTGTGTTTTTCAGTAGTTTTATACTTCTGTTTTTGTTTACTTGTATGATTGTTCTTCTTCATCCCACATTTGTTGTTTTCTCCTATGTCTTAACTTCACAGTGGTGCCTTACCCCATTTTTTCTGTACTGTCCTTTCACCTGTTACTTTTAGCCTTGGAATTCTAGTACCACAATATTGTGATCATTTGCTTATTGTGCTGCATAATTTGTTTTATTTAATAGTTTTCAGTAATGAGTTACCTTCTTAATAGAAATTACAACAGATTCAAGGATGTTAACATACTGGCATTCACCTACATTCCAAACCCTTTCTTGTGTGCCAGGCCCAGGGGTAGATTTGCAGCTGCATTCAAGGATTGCACGTCTACAGAGTGGTCTGCAATCTAGCTGCACCCTGGGATGCAGCACCCTTCCTGTTGTTTCAGAGGTGGGAGCTGCAGACCTCTGCCCAGAGCATCCAATCGCCACTATCAAGACTTCATCATTCACCTTGGCATGTGCCCTTCAATCCAGCGTTTGTAGCTCTCACTAGAGCTCCACTCGTGTATTTGCAGCTTCCAAAGGATAGCTGTACTTGAATGGCCTATTATGCAAAGCTTCAAGCTCCTACAATACTGGATTCATCATTTAAAACCTAATATCTTGGGGGAGGGGCCAAAAGTCTGCCTCGTTCACTTCTATATTTCCTGCATCTAGCAGTATTTGTCACGTGGTAGAAACTCTAAATATTTGTTAATGAAAAACACTACCCTCACACAAACTCAGCTCTATTTCTATCCTTGGCACCGTCATTCTTCTAGCTACCCTAGAAACTCAGATTTCCTTTGATTGCTACTTTTTGAGTTCATTCTGCTCAGTCATCAAGCCTCCTTTTCTTACAAGGTCTGTTTGGTTTAATCCCATCTCAGAGCCTAGGTAATTTCACAGCCTTTGCAATGTCAGAATGTTGAGTGGAGAAGGGTAGGGGAAAGAGAAAAGAAGATACTCATTCCTGATGTTACCACTCGCTTAGCCATACAACCTTCAACAGATGACTTTCTAACCTTTGGGGTGTCTTTGATCTGTAAAATGGAGAGATTGAACTAGGAAATCTCTAAGGTCCTTTATAGCTCTACTTTTTCTACATTATATGGTTTTACCTCCCTAGTGCCTAACCCAGGCAAGGTGTTATAGAAGGCCCTCAATAAAATATAACATACTCGGTCAATCGGGGCAAGATGGCCAAATAGGAACAGCTCCAGTCTGCAGCTCCCAGTGAGACCAACGCAGAAGGCAGGTGATTTTTGCATTTCCAACTGAGGTACCCTCTTCATCTCATTGGGACTGGTTAGACAGTGGGTGGAGCCCACAGAGGATGAGCAGAAGCAGGGTAGGGCGTCGCCTCACCCGGGAAGCACAAGGGGTCGGGGAACTCCCTCCCCTAGCCAAGGGAAGCCATGAGGGACTGTGCCGTGAGGGACAGTGCTATTCGGCCCAGACACTATGCTTTTCCCACGGTCTTCGCAACCCACAGACCAGGAGATTCCCTCGGGTGCCTACACCACCAGGGCCCTGGGTTTCAAGCACAAAAGTGGGTGGCCATTTGGGCAGACACTGAGCTAGCTGCAGGAGTTTTTTTTCGTACCCCAGTGGCACCTGGCACGCCAGCAAGACAGAACTGTTCCTTCTCCTGGAAAGGGGGTTGAAGCTAGGGAGCTGAGTGGTCTTGCTCAGCAGATCCCACCTCCACAGACCCCAACAAGCTAAGATCCACTGGCTTGAAATTCTTGCTGCCAGCACAGCAGTCTGAAGTTGACCTGGGACGCTGGAGCTTGGTGGGGGGAGGGGCTTCTGCCATTACTGAGGCTTGAGTAAGTGGATTTTCCCCTCACAGTGTAAACAAAGCCGCCAGGAAGTTCCCACTGGGCAGAGCCCACCACAGCTCTGCAAAGGCACTGTAGCCAGACTGCCTCTCTTGATTCATCCTCTCTGGGCAGGGCATCTCTGAAAGAAAGGCAGCAGCCTCAGTCAGGGGCTTATAGATAAAACTCCCATCTCCCTGGGACACAGCACCTGGGGGAAGAGGCAGCTGTAGGCACAGCTTCAGCAGACTTAAACGTTCCTGTCTGCTGGCTCTGAAGAGAGCAGCTGATCACCCAGCACAGTACTCGAGCTCTGCTAAGGGACAGACTGCCTCAAGTAGGTCCCTGACCCCCATGCCTCCTGACTGGGAGACACCTCATACAGGAGAGCTGCAGCTGACATCTAGAGGGTGCCCCTCTGGGAGGAAGCTTCCAGAGGAAGGAGCAGGCAGCAATCTTTGCTGTTCTGCAGCCTCCGCTGGTGATACCCAGGCAAACAGGGTCTGGAGTGGACTTCCAGCAAACTCCAGGAGATCTGCAGAAGAGGGGCCTGACTGTTAGAAGGAAGACTAACAAACAGAAAGCAGTAGCATCAACATCAACAGAAAGGATGACCACAAAAAAACCCCATCTGAAGGTCACCAACATGAAAGACCAAAGGTAGATAAATCCACGAAGATGAGGAAAAACCAGTGCAAAAAGGCTGAAAATTCCAAAACCAGAATGCCTCTCCTCCTCCAAAGGGTCACAACTCCTTGCCAGCAAGGGAACAAAACTGGACCGAGATTGAGTTTGACAGATTGACAGAAGTAGGCTTCAGAAGGTGGATAATAAACTCCGCTGAGCTAAAGGAGCATGTTCTAACCAAATGCAAGGAAGCCAAGAACCTTGATATAAAGATATGGGAACTGCTAACTGGAATAACCAGTTTAGAGAAGAACCTTTGACTTGATGGAGCTGAAAAACACACCACGAGAACTTTGTGAAGCATACACAAGTATCAATAGCTGAATCGATCAAGTAGAAGAAAGGATATCAGTGATTGAAGATCAACTTGATGAAATAAAGCATAAAGACAAGATTAGAGAAAAAAGAATGAAAAGGAACGAACAGAGCCTCCAAGAAATATGGGACTCTTTTAAAAAAGATTAACAAAATAGACCACTAGCCAGACTAATAAAGAATAAAAGAGAGAAGAATCAAATAGACACAATAAAAAAATGATAAAGGGGATATCACCACTGATCCCACAGAAATACAAACTACCATCAGAGAATACCATAAACACCTCTACACAAATAAACTAGAAAATCTGGAAGAAATGGATAAATTCCTGGACACATATACCCTCCCAAAACTAAACCAGGAAGAAGTGGAATCCCTGAATTGACCAATAACAAGTTCTGAAATTGAGGCAGTAGTTAATAGCCTACCAACCAAAACAAGCCCAGGACCAGACGGATTCACAGCCAAATTCTACCAGAGGTACAAAGAGGAGGTGGTACCATTCCTTCTAAAACTATTCTAAACAATAGAAAAAGGGGGACTCCTCCCTAACTCATTTTATGAGGCCAGCATCATCCTGATACCGAAACCTAGCAGAGATGTGACAAAAAAAGAAAATTTCAGGCCAATATCCCTGATGAACATCAATGTGAAAATCCTCAATAAAATACTGGCAGACTGAATCCAGCAGCACATTAAAAAGCTTATCCACTATGATCAAGTTGGCTTCATCCCTGGGATGCAAGGCTGGTTCAATATACACAAATCGATAAATGTAATCCATCACATCGAACCAATGACAAAAACCACATAATTATCTCAATAGATGCAGAAAAGGCCTTCAATAAAATTCAGCAACCTTTCATGCTAAAAACACTCAATAAACTAGGTATTGATGGAACGCATCTCAAAATAATAAGACCTATTTATGACAAACCCACAGCCAATATCATACTGAATGGGCAAAAGCTGGAAGCATTCCCTTTGAAAACTGGCACAAAACAAGAATGTCCTCTCTCACCACTCCTATTCAACATAGTATTGGAAGTTCTGGCTAAGGCAATAAGGCAAGAGAAAGAAATAAAGGGTATTCAAATAGGAAGAGAGGAAGTCAAATTATCTGTGCAGATGACATGATTGTATATTTAGAAAACCCCATCGTCCCAGCCCCAAAACTCCTTAAGCTGATAAGCAACTTCAGCAAAGTCTCAGGATACAAAACCAATGCGCAAAAATCACAAGCATTCCTATACGCCAATAATAGACAAACAGCCAAATCATGAGTGACCTCCCATTCACAATTGCTACAAAGATAATAAAATACCTAGGAATAAGCTTACAAGGGATGTGAAGGAGCTCTTCAAGGAGAACTACAAACCACTGCTCAAGGAAATAAAAGAGGACACAAACAAATGGAAGAACATTCCATGCTCATGGATAGGAAGAATCAATATCGTGAAAATGGCCATGCTGCCCAAAGTAATTTATAGATTCAATGCTATTCCCATCAAGCTACCATTGACTTTCTTCACAGAATTAGAAAAAACTACTTTAAATTTCATGTGGAACCAAAAAAAGAGCCTGTATAGCCGAGACAATCCTAAGCAAAAAGAACAAAGATGGAGGCATCACATTACCTGACCTCAAACTATACTACAAGGCTACAGTAACCAAAACAGCATGGTATTGGTGCCAAAACCGATATATAGACCAATGGAACAAAACAGAGGCCTCAGAAATAACACCACACATCTACAACCATCTGATCTTTGACAAACCTGACAAAAACAAACAATGGGGAAAGGATTCCCTATTTAATAAATTGTGTTGGGAAAACTGGCTAGCCACATGCAGAAAACTGAAACTGGATCTCTTCCTTACACCTTATACAAAAATTAACTCAAGATGGATTAAAGATTTAAATATAAGACCTAAAACCATAAAAACCCTAGAAGAAAATCTAGGCAACACCATTCAGGATATATGCATGGGCAAAGACTTAATGACTAAAACACCAAAAGCAATTGCAACAAAAGCCAAAATTGACAATTGGCATCTAATTAAAGAGCTTCTGCACAGCAAAAGAAACTATCATCAGAGTGAACAGGCAACCTACAGAATGGGAGAAAATTTTTGCAATCTATCCATCTGACAAAGGGCTAATCTCCAGAATCTACAAGGAACTTATATTTCCAAGAAAAAAACAACCTCATCAAAATGTGGGCGAAGGGTATGAACAGACACTTTTCAAAAGAAGACATTTATGTGACCAACAAACATATTTTAAAAAGCTCATTATCACTGGTCATTAGAGAAATGCAAATCAAAACCACAATGAGATACCATCTCACACCAGTTAGAATGGCGATCATTAAAAAGTCAGGAAAGAAACTGGGTGTGGTGGCTCACACCTATAATCCCAGCACTTTGGGAGGCCGAGGCAGGTGGATCACAAGGTCAGGAGTTCGAGACCAGCCTGACCAACATGGTGAAACCCCATCTCTACTAAACAAAATACAAAAAAAAATTAGCTGGACCTGGTGGCGGGCACCTGTAATCCCAGCTACTCAAGAGGCTGAGGCAGGAGAATCACTTGAACCTGGGAGATGGAGGTTGCAGTGAGCTGAGATCACGCCACTGCACTCCAGCCTGGGTGACAAAGAAATAGAAACACTTTTACACTGTTTGTGGGAGTGTAAATTAGCTCAACGATTGTGGAAGACAGCGCGGCGATTCCTCAAGGATCTAGAACCAGAAATACCATTTGACCCAGCAATCCTATTACTGGGTATATACCCAAAGGATTATAAATCATTCTGTAAAGACACATGCACATGTATGTTTATTGCAGCACTGTTCACAATAGCGAAGACTTGGAACCAACCCAAATGCCCATCAGTGATAGACTGGATAAAGAAAATGTGGCATATATACACCATGGAATACTATGCAGCCATAAAAAAGAATGAGTTCATGTCCTTTGCAGGGACATGGATGAAGCTGGAAGCCATCATTTTCAGCAAACTAACACAGGAGCAGAAAACCAAACACTGCATGTTCTCACTTATAAGTGGGAGTTGAACAATGAGATCATATGGACACAGGGAGGGGAACATCACACACTGGGGCCTGTCGGGGGGTGGAGGGGAAGGGGAGGGATAGCATTAGGAGAAATACCTATTGTAGATGACAGATTGATAGGTGCAGCAAACCACCATGGCACATGTATACCTATGTAACAAACCTGTATGTTCTACACATCTATTTTATAACAAAGTATAATAATAAAAACATAGAAAAGCACAAATAACAGAAACCTGGTTGAAATGCTTAACTAGAGTCAATTAGATGTGCAGGAGTAAGTAGTATAAGAAGAATCAAGTCCAGGAGTGATCGGGAAATGAGTATTAAACAGTATTTGAAAAAGAGAAGATGTCCCAGGGCCCAAAAGTCAGAAGGGACCCACCAGCCAGGCAAGTTGCTTAGATGCTGTAAGTAGGTGTAGCCAAGGGAAGCCAGGAGTATTTGATATATGGCAGCAGGGGTTTATGGCTGCCAGGGGGAAATAACTGGTCAAGTGTTGGGCTTTCAGTTAAGATCTGATTTAATTTCCTTTCCCTCATTCTGCAGCAATCAGAATACACAATCTTAACCACTCAGTCCTTAGTGGTTTTGTTCCATTTTACGTTGGATGTTTTCACTGCCTCACAGAGTCCGTTTCAAATGTTTTGGCTGAAAGGGCTTTTTGCATTTGTATGTTCTGAGTTCAGATCCTGCTGGTGCACCCAAGCATTATGGAAGCAGGGACTTAACTTAGCCCTTCCAATTAAGTGATGAGGGATTCTGCTTTTAAAATTTGTAGCATTTATCTTTTTATATAAGGTTTTCATTTACAGTTGAATAGGTCTCCATATTTTTCCATCATTAGACAAATACTAAAATGGACTAAATAATTTTAAGCGATAGTGGAGGAGAGGGTGTACAGATTTCCTTCTTAGAGAGTGTCAAAGAATATGCTCCCAGTAGTGGAAAAGGAAGATTTTCAGTCTAGCAGCTAAGTACCTCCTACACATTGCTCATCAATCAGAAAACAGGTGCACTAAAAGCACCCTGAGAACTCATATGGTAATTTCAACACACCCAAAATCAAGGGCCCAGATGCCAGCAGCTGCAGCAAACAGGTTTTTCCTCCCTGTTGATCAAGACAGGTGAGTGAGACAGAACTTGGCTTTCTTATGTGATGTGGGATTATCTTGTGACTTGTGTCTTTTTCCCTAATGTGCTAGAGGGAAAAAAATAGCTGAGCTAGATTTCTAAAGCGGTAGCTCTCTATTTTTAAATGAATTTGAAAAGTCAATTAAATTATGTATTTTATTGCCTCTGTATCATATTAAATGAATATTTTATTTTAAAGGCTTAAATAAATGAAAATGATTTTTGTTAAAAATAACATTTAATAAGTAGATATTTGTGTAAATTCCCTTTGTTCTAGAGAAATTCTTATTTACATTATAGAAGTAATACATGTCCATTATTTAAAAAAAAAAATTTTTAGGGGCACCAAAAAAGATTGAGTCTACACATCTCACCCATGACACCACTCATCAGAGGCTACCACCTTTTCTTGTGTATCCTAGCAGAAATGTTTTATATATAACAGAGTATTGTAGAACTATATACAAGTGACAATCAAATAGCTAAATATTAACTAATGCAAATTTGGTTACCTGGATAGAGCTTTCTATGAGCTATAGCTTCTAACATTGCTTCAAAGTATACTCTGTTTCCCTGTTATATATATTAATTGACATCCGAAAGATGTATGCATTTTATTGGGATAGGGTATATAGTTATAAAAAGAAAATATATATTCTTTTCCCTTTGGAGATGGGAACTCTATTCTGCATGACTTGCTTTTTTTTTTTTTTTGAGATGGAATCTCGCTCTGTCACCCAGGTTGGAGTGCAGTGGCGCGATCTCAGCTCACTGCAAGCTCCGCCTCCTGCGTTCACGCCATTCTCCTGCCTCAGCCTCCCGAGTAGCTGGGACTACAAGCGCCCACCACCACGCCCAGCTAATTTTTTGTATTTTTTTAGTAGAGACGGGGTTTCACCATGTTAGCCAGGATGGTCTTAATCTCCTGACCTCGTGATCCACCCGCCTCAGCCTCCCAGACAGAGTGCTGGGATTACAGGTGTGAGCCACTGTGCCCAGCCCTGAATTCCTTTTTTTCCATGTAATGTCCTTGTATTTTTCCATATTAGGGTTGTCAAAAACCAAAATTTCAACAAATTGAGTTTGAAAGATCTAATTGCCTTTCATTAATGATTTATGAACTAGGCCTCATGCAGTCTACAAAATAGAAAGGAGCTCCAATGAGCTGGACAGGGGAAGTCGGCTTTAGAAAAGGCTGAAGAAAGTGGAAACAAAGAACAGAAAGAAGATTGGTTATTTCCAAGTGAGCCACCGCACCCAGTCATAAATGTATTCTGTATGGAAAATTTTTGTTAAACTCCGCATAGTGTTTCACTGGATATACCAGTAGATGGTTAACTATTTTTATAATTCAAGTTATTCCTAGTGTTTTAGTAAAAACAATGCTGTAATGAACATCACTCTTCTTTGCTAATCCTTGAACAAGCCAAGCATACTCACACCTCAGGGTCCATTCTCTGATTAGAATCCTCATTCTCCCCGCCAGCCACGGTGGCTCACGCCTGTAATCCCAGCACTTTGGGAGGCCGAGGTGGGTGACTCACCTGAGGTCAGGAGTTCGAGACCAGCCTGACCAATATGGTGAAACCCTGTCTCTACTAAAAATACAAAAATTACCTGGGCATGATGGCGCACACCTGTTGTCCCAGCTACTCGGGAGGCTGAGGCAGGAGAATTGCTTGAACCCAGGAGGCGGAGGTTGCAGTGAGCCGAGATCGTGCAACTGCACTCCAGCCTGGGCGACGGAGCGACACTCCGTCCCAGAAAAAACAAAAAAACAAACAAAAAAGCAACTTCTTTCTCCCTGAGGGACATGACTCACTAACTTGCTTCTTTCAATTTCATTTTTCTCACATCTTTCTAAAATTACAATTCCCCAATGTTTCCTTCCCTGCTATCTATATTATCACTGTCTAATACATTATTTATTTTGTTAACTTGTTTATTATTACTCCCCATTGCTTCCTGTAAAATGAAAGGTCTGTGAAGGCATGAACAATATCTGGCACCTAGCAGGTGTTCCATACATTTTAAATGAACATATGTATTAGGCAACAATAGTATATATTAGGATTTAGTGGAAAACAATTCAGAGTTTTTATTCAAAAATGCATTCCCAGTTTTATTGTTTATCTGGGGTAGGGATGGCAGATAAAAAGTGTTTTTTTTTTTTAATAAAACTATTTCAGAATTTCAAAAACAATCCCACAGGATGCCTTAAAAGTCTAAATTTTGATATTACTGTAGGCATTGTGGTATAATAGAAAAAAACACTGGACCTGGGACTTACTAAATCTTGAGTTCTGGTCTAGTTCTGCTACTCACCCTGGTGTTTGACCTTGTATGAGTCATTTATTTGCTTTGCATCTACTTTTCATCTAAAAATTGCTGAGCAAACTACATTCTGATGTTCTCTTTTATCTCTTGACATTTTGATTTGAGAAGCTCTCTAGTATAATACATTTTGGTATTGTTGGTATTGTTTTAAAATTATTAGTTATCAATTACCCAGAGTTATTTTTTTTAGAAAATCAAGTTTTAATGTCAAATTAGTTAAGTTTGTACATCCTTCAGCATCTTCCTTTTACTTCTTTCATGTAGCTATCAGATATTGTGAAAAATGTCAGCTGATTAAACCTGATCGGGCGCATCACTGCTCAGCCTGTGACTCGTAAGTGTTACTCACACATATGCTTAATATCTAGCACTGGAAATCAGTGATGGGAAAGTGCAAGGGGAAGGAACATTTTATATGCTTTACACTTGACAAGAACACTTCATCCTCTCCCATTATTTGCTGTGCATACAGGGCAGACAAAAATATTGATAAAAGCTGGAATATACTCACAAGTTGTATCTTTGATAACAGTTCCTATACCAGTTAATAGAATTTTCTTGGACTTTATGCTGTCTATGCTTGTGCTTAATGTAAGTCTTTGTGTACATGTAAGGAGATAATATGTTGAAGGAAAGATCGTTAGTTTGGAATCCCAGATAATCCTTGACTTTTAGTAACACAGTTACTTAACTTTCTAAGTATTAGATTACTCATTTTGTTATTTTTTTTAGATGATCTGTGGTCTACCTTCATATAAGTATAGAATACATATTCTAGTAGGGAGGCAAATTTGGAGTTTGGTGGGTTTTTTTTATTACAAAAATACAGTAGTGCTTATGCATAGGGTAAAATTTTATAGAATATGTGGAAAAATAACCATCTCCAAGCCCATCAGTGTTAATATTTTGACTTATTTCCTCCTAAACTTTTGTTTTTATGACCTGCATATGTTTAAAATAACATAGGGGCCATCTGTATTGCATTTTATCTCCTTCAGCTAATTTGTTAGCTGGATCTAATGTACCAAGTACTGTGTACCAGATCTGAATTTTGTTTTTTTCAGGACAGGGTCTCACTATGTCAGCCAGGCTGGTCTCGAACTCATGACCTCAAATGATCCTATCGCCTCCACCTCCCAAAGTGCTGGAATTAATTACACGCATGAGCCACTGTGCCCAGCCCAGATCTAAATATTACAGTATTATTTGATGTGGTCTAAGGCAGCTGAATATGTTCAGCTGAATTCCCAGTATAAAAATCATGACTTTTTACCTATGAACATTCTTGTGGAAGCATCAGAAATTATCTCTAACCTAGTTTCTGGGTTGATTCTCTTAAGATGTAGTTGTAAAGGGAATTTTAAGTCAAATAAAAGAAAATTATGAGAAGTTAGAATTAGAAGAATTTTTCTGCATGGATTTTCTTATGCTTGTTTGTTTCCTAGATGTATTCTTAAGATGGATCATCACTGTCCTTGGTATGTATAAAAAAACAGAAGAAATTGCATTGGTGGTGAGAGAGAGAATTTAGAGTAACTTCAGTATTCCTAAATTTTGAAGGCCAGTTTACTCATAGATATTAAGATTGATCTCTTTACATATATGCATAGATTTGTATGTAAACAGTTATATTAAATGGTTTCTATTAAAATATCTGCTGAAATTAACCCAAATAACAATGTATTAAGAATTAACATTAAAATTCCACATTCCTTATGGAATTTATTAAATACAAACATTCACAATTAAGACACCACTCAACTTCCCAGATGACCCATTTCTAGGTAATAATGATTAAGTTTTCTAGTTTTCTGATTTGTCTTTCTTTGTGTTTGTTTTGTTTTATTTTATTTTTGAAACAGGGTCTCTGGTTGCCCAGGCTGTAGTACAGTGGCATGATCTTGTCTCACTGCAGCCTTGACCTTCTGGGCTCAGGTGATTCTTCCACCTCAGTCTCTCAAGTAGCTGGGACTGCAGGCATGCACCACCACGCCTGGCTGATTTTTTGTATTTTTAATAGAGATGGGGTCTCTCCATGTTGCCCATGCTGGTCTTGCACTCCTGGGCTTAAGCAGTCCACCCGCCTTGGCCTCCCAAAGTACTAGGATTACAGGCATGAGCCACTGCACTCGGCCCAATTTATTTTTTTTAATTATTATGTTTTAATTGTTTTAAAAAACATCGAAGAGGTCAGGAGTTCAAGACCAGCCTGGGCAACATGGTGAAACCCCATCTCTACTAAAAATACAAAAATTAGCCGGCTGTTGTGTTGGGCGCCTGTAATCCCAGCTACTTGGGAGTCTGAGGCAGGAGAATCACGTGAACCTGGGAGGCAGAGGTTGCAGTGAGCCGAGATTGTGCCACTGCACTCCAGCCTGGGCAACAGAATGAGACTCCCATAAGATGTACCATGTTAACCATTTCTTAGGGTACAGTTCAGTAGTGTTAAGTATGTTCAAATTGTTGTGCAATTAATCTCCAGAACTTTTTCATCCTGCAAAACTGAAATTTTATTCGCATTAAAAAGCTCCCCTTCCCCACACCACACCAGCCCCTGGCAGCCTCCATCCTACTTTCTATTTCTGTGAATTTGTGATTTGTCTTACTTTTATAATGTGGCTTTCTTTATTTTTCCAGGGTGAATAACTGTGTGGGATTTTCTAATTACAAATTCTTCCTGCTGTTTTTATTGTATTCCCTATTATATTGCCTTTTCGTGGCTGCAACAGTTTTAGAGTACTTTATAAAATTTTGGACGGTAAGTCTTTTTTTCTATCTTGAAACATGTATTTAAGACTTTAAGATGCTATCTTCCTAATAAATTACTTTATTTTTTATGACAAGTAGATATACTTTAATTTTACAAGTTAGAGTTTTATAAATCCATCAGAGGACAGATAGGGCTACAATTTACTTTCATATACACATGTTTATTTGTAAATAAATGTGTATTAAACAGGATATAGTGAGCCTCTTTTAGTGATCCAAATTATTTTCACCCACATTCTAACAAAGACATATTCATTTTAGGGAGGTAAATTGCTTTTCTTTGAGTTGGTGAGACTTACTGCAATTTTATAGTAATAAAATCTATAAAGACAGGAAGCAGTTTAGTGGTTGCCTCAGCCCCAGGCAGCCACTAAACTGCTTCCTGTCTTTATAGATTTTACAGCATTTCTTAAAATGGCAAATGAATGAAAACAATCAAATGTCTTATCAACTGAGGTCCCCTGAAACTATGACACATCTATACAAAGGAATGCAATGCAGCTTAAGAAAGAATAAGGAAGCTCTTTATAACAAATGATGTGAAGTGATCTTTGAGATCTTTTATTAACGTGAAAAAAACAAGGTACGGAAGAATGCATATAGTATGCTGCCGTTTCTACAGCAAAATAACATGTATATATATTTGTATATGTTTTATCTGGAAGAATGCAGTAAAAAATTCTTAACTGGTTGCCTCTGGGGAGGGCACTTAGAAGGGAGACATGCTTTCTACAGTTATCCTTTGGATTTTGTATAACATGGACAAATAGTAATATATTCAAAACAGATAAATATAGCTTTAAAATTTTTTTTAGTATGGAAGTATATATTTTTTGAGGAAAAACTACCAAAAACATTGAAAGTAACTGCCTCTTGGAAGTGGGAGAACTGCTGTTTTTCATTAATAGCTTTTTAGCATTATTTTAATTTTCTCTGTGCATGTGCCATTTTTTAAAAATTTAGAAATTATTTTATATTTTATTTTATTTTTATTTTTATTTGATTTTATTTTTATTTGAGACGGAATCTTGCTTGGTCACCCAGGCTGGAGTGCAGTGGCGCGATCTCATCTTACTATAACCTCTGCCTTCTGGGTTCAAGCGATTCTCCTGCCTCAGCCTCCCTGAATAGCTGGGATTATGGGTGCTCCACCACAATGCCTGGGTAATTTTTGTATTTTTAGTAGAGACAGGGTTTCACCATGCTGGCGAGGCTGGTCTCGAGCTCCTGACTTCAAGTGATTTGCCCGCCTTGGCCTCCCAAAGTGCTGGGATTACAAGTGTGAGCCACTGCACCTGGCCAAGAAATAATTTCAAAATAAATGAACATTTTCTCCTTCATTTAAACTCTCTTTAAATTTCAAGATAATATTAATTCCTTTCTCTTTCCCCTTCAGCCCTTTAAATATAGGTTCAGTCCTGGGCTGTCTCACTGTTGGTTCTTTCTACTGTGTTTCTGGGTTGTTGCGTGTCCCCCTGTGGCATTCACAATTGCTGTTCCTAGCCCTAGCGCTCACATGGGCTGAGCCCATTCCCCTGTTTCCAGTTGCTATTTATTGAACCAGTAGACATGAGGAAGACACCATAAAAATCAGCACGTCTCAAACCAACCTCATTTTCATTTCACTGTTCTTTCTATGTTTATCTGATTGATTGGGAACAACATCTTTACAAATCTTATCAGTTTCCAAGCTAGAAAAATTAATAGCATCTTGGAACTATTGTTATTCCTGTATGAAACTGAGGTATAGAATCAGGGTGGTATACTAGGGGAAAAAAATGAGCTTTCTTTACATGTAAATGCCATGTATGTATTTATTTGCCAGAATCTAAGCTCCATGAGAGCATGAATATTTGTTTATTTTGTTTGTTTATGTTTCTTTCCTTTTTTTTTTTTTTGAGACGGAGTCTCGCTCTGTTGCCCAGGCTGGAGTGCAGTGGCGCGATCTTGGCTCACTGCCAGCTCCGCCTCCCGGGTTCATGCCATTCTGCTGCCTCAGCCTCCCGAGTAGCTGGGACTACAGGCACCCGGCACCTCGCCCGGCTAATTTTTTGTATTTTTAGTAGAGACGGGGTTTCACCGTGTTAGCCAGGATGGTCTCGATCTCCTGACCTCGTGATCTGCCCGCCTCGACCTCCCAAAGTGCTGGGATTACAGGTGTGAGCCACCGCGCCCAACCTGTTTGTTTATGTTTCTTAGTCGCCCAGTACTGAACACACAGTAGGTGTTCAGTAAATATTTGCTGAGTGAATAGCCAGAATCAAGATACTTAAACTTTAGACTCTTTGTTCTTTCATTTTTAAAACTGAGGTAATAACTTATAGGATTGATGTAATGATTAAAATAAATAGTGTAAATACATGGAAAGCAGTCAGTAGATGTTTTTTATTTTGTTTTTTCCAACTCTGTGCCTCAAATCATTCCTATTCCTAATATCACAGACATGGTTTAGACCCTCCATCTCCTAATTTCCTGTCTTTATTCTCTCCTTTCTTAAGTACAATCCCTGCCAATTTATGAGCAGAGGAAAATTTTTTTTGCATATGCTTATGAGGATATGCTTGCTAGCTACTGGCATGTCTTTTTTGTGAAATTTCTATTGTGTTCTTTGCCCATTTCTAGTAGGTTTTCATATTTACACATGAAAAGAGTTTGTCTTATATTAAAGATACTAATCTTTTTTGTTGTTGTTTTGTTTTTTGAGATAGGGTCCCACTCTGTCTCCCAGGCTGGAGTGCAGTGGTGCGATCACGGCTCACTGCAGTTTCAATCTCCCAGGCTCAAGCAATCCCCTGCCTCAAGCCCCCAAGTAGCTGGGACCATGGGCAGGCACCACCATGCCCGGCTAATTTTTGTATTGTTTGTAGAGACAGGGTTTCACCATGTTGCCCAGGCTGGTCTATAAGTCCTGATCTCAAACAGTCCTCCCACCTCGGCCTCCCAAAGTGCTGGGATTACAGGTGCGAGCCACCGAGCCCAGCCACTAATCGTTATTCTTGACCTTGAGTTAGATGAGGATTTCTTTTTTTTTTTTTGAGATGCAGTTTAGCTCTTGTCACCCAGGCTAGAGTGTGATGGCACAATCTCGGCTCACTGCAACCTCCACTTCCTGGGTTCAAGTGATTCTCTAGCAGAGACGGGGTTTTACCATGTTGGCCAGGCCAGTCTTGAACTCCTGACCTCAGGTGATCCGCCCGCCTCGGTCTCCCAAAATGCTGGCATTACAGGCATGAGCCACTGCGGCCAGCCCAAATGAGGATTTCTTACATTGAACATAGCAATCACCATAAAAGAAAAGATCAATAAATTGGACTTCATTAAAATAAAGAACTTTTTATAAAAAGGTGACTTTTGGAGTGAAAAAGCAAGCTACTGACTGGGAGAAGATATTTACAACGCATATATCTCACAAAGGACTCCTAACCAGAATATGTGAGACACTTCTAAAGATATTAATCCTTTTTCTGTCATGGGTTGCAAATGCTTTTTCCACATTTTCTGAGTTTTCTTTCTTTCTTTTTTTTTTTTTGAGACAGAGTCTCACTCTGTCATGCAGGCTGGAGTGCAGTGGCACAATCTCAGCTCACTGTAACCTTCACCTCCTGGATTCAAGTGATTTTCCTGCCTTCGCCTCCTGAGTAGCTGGGACTACAGGCATGCACCACCACGCCTGGTTAATTTTTGTATTTTTAGTAGAGACAGGGTTTCGCCATGTTGGCCAGACTGATCTTGAACTCCTGACCTTAGGTGATCCACCCACCTCGGCCTCCTGAAATACTGGGATAATAGGTGTGAGCCACCATGCCTGACCCACATTTTCTGTTTATGTCTTACATTTCTGCTTTCTTTTGTTTTTGTCACATCAAAGTTTTATATTTTTAAAGCAGTTCTTTTTATATATGATACCTGTCTGTTGTCTATTCCATATAAATTTATACAGATATTGTCCTATTTTTTTCCTCTGGCACTTTTGTTATTTTTGGTTTTACCTTTAAATCTCTGATTTTGGAGGAGGGATTATTGTAGTTAAAAAGTACTTTTACATCTACTCTTTCTAAAAACCTTTTGAAGGTGTTTTACAATGTAGGTTTTGTTATTATTCAGGTATGGTGAGGCCAATAGATCAGGAGACAATTGCCACTGAAAAGATAGTTTGTTACTCACAGCGCCAAGAGGAAGGGGCCCCAGGATAGGAAGCACCACGTGGGAACCAGAGCCTTTATTGTGGTTCCTGTGGGGAAGGCAGGGTAAGCAGATTTTGGATTGGCTGGCTGCAGGAATTGCAGAGGACTCAGGTATCGGGGCTATCTCTAGTTGTCTTGTACCTGGTCCTGGGATGATGAAGGCAGAGGACTGCTGCCTTCTGGAGTGTAAAAGGCAGATAGAAGAGGTGGTTCTCAGTGTGGGATCTGGATTGTTTAGTTTATGTATGAAAGATGTGCTCCTGGGTGAGTGGTTTGCTGTCTCTTAAGAACTGGCTAGCCTGGGGAGGGGCAGTTTCTCCCCAGTTAGTGAGGCCCCAGATGCCAGAGCCTCAGAAATATAGAAAATAAGAAAATAGGGTTGGGGCGCGGTGGCTTATGCCTGTAATCCCAGCACTTTGGGAGGCTGAGGCGAGCGGATCACGAGGTCAGGAGATCGAGACCATTCTGGCCAACAATGGTGAAACCCCATCTCTACTAAAAATACAAAATTAGCTGGGTGTGGTGGCACGCACCTGTAGTCCCAGCTACTTGGGAGGCTGAGGCAGGAGAATCGCTTGAACCCGGGAGGCGGAGGTTCCAGTGAGCCAAGATCACGGATCACGCCACTGCACTCCAGCCTGGCGACAGAGCAAGACTCTGTCTCAAAAAAAAAAAAAAAAAGAAAAGAAAAGAAGAAAATATGGTTTATATAGAAGGGGGCCATTATTATTTCAGTTTTCAGAGTTGGAAACAAATTGGAGAAATTATGCAACTACCGAAGGTCACATACTTAATAACATAGGAAGAATTTAGGCCGGGCGCGGTGGCTTACACCTGTAATCCCAGCACTTTGGGAGGCCGAGGCAGGTGGATCACGAGGTCAGGAGATCAAGACCATCCTGACTAACATGGTGAAACCCCGTATCTACTAAAAATACAAAGAATTAGCTGGGCCTGGTAGCTGGCGCCTGTAGTCCCAGCTACTCTGGAGGCTGAGGCAGGAGAATAGCATGAACCTGGGAGACGGAGCTTGCAGTGAGCTGAGATTGCACCACTGCACTCCAGCCTGGGCTACAGATCGAGACTCTATCTCAAAAAAAAAAAAAAAGAAAGAATTTAAACTAAAATCTGGCTATTCCAGCATCCAGCTACTTTCCACTATAACTTGCTACTCATAGTTAGGAAGAATATAATTATAATTAAAGAATATAATTAAAGTAGGAGATACCTACTACATTTTAGAAGGATTTAAACATCATTAGATGTTTAAAGTTTGGGTATGTAAAACCAGGGGATCCTAACACTTACAATGCCTTTGCACATATTAGAAGAGAACACCCCTACCTGTGTGGTGTCAGCCTCATGAATTTTGGCTTTTGATTTCCCCCTTAGCTGGGCACCTTTGTTCAGTTCACAACATACTAACCATACCCCTTATTTAAACAGATTTAGTGCCAGATAGATGAAATCTAAATTACCTAATTTCACATTTCTCTATCAGAAAATTCAGCAATGTTTGTGTGCAATGATTTATTAAAGAATGAATAACTTTTTTGGATTAATTCTGAGTAAAAAAAGACTTGTAAACGTAAATATACCTTTTTCTTCATTCAATAAATATGTATTTAGTACTTACTGTATGGCAGGTAGTACTCTAGAGACTTGTAGTATATCTCTGAAAAAACGGGCAGAGTTCTCTCTTTGTAGAGCTTGCTTTTGAGAAGGAGGGGGACAAGTAATAAATAATGAGCAGGGTAAGAGATTTAAGTATTGGGCGGTGGCATGATAGGGCAGGTGGCAATATTGAATAGCACAGTCAGGGTAGACCTTATTTAGAAGGTAGGATTTAAGCAAAAACTTGAAGGGAATTAATGGATATCTGAGAGAAGAGCATTCAGGCCCAGAGAACATGATACGTGTCCCTGCCATGTTTCAGTAACACAAGAAGGCTACTGTGGCTGGGGTAGAATGAGCAGAAAGGAGACTGAAAGGAATGGACCAAGAGGGGGCCAAAATGACAGAGGGCCTTGGAGAGTATTGAAATGACTGTGGCTTTTACTAGCAGCCAGGTTGGGACATGATCTGATTTGTGCAAGGCTCACTCTGATTGCTGAGCTGAGAATAGATGGGAGAGGGCAAGTGCCAATACACAGGCTGACATGGTAGGCTGTTGCAGCATCCCGGCTGGAATAAGGTAGAAGCAGTGAAGGTGGTTAGAAGTCATCAGATCTAGTTTTTGGAAACTAGTCAGAGGTTTGTTTGTTTGTTTTCAATATTGGCTAAAAACATTTTATTTTATTCTTCCCCAGACTGAAATGTGTCTGCAGGCCCAGCGCAGGTGGCTCACGCCTGTAGTCCAGCACTTTGGGAGGCCAAGGCGGGAGGATCACTTAAGACCAGGAGTTAAAGACTAGCCCTAGCTCTGGTGCCTTAGTGAGACCTTGTACCTTTTTTTTTTTTTTTTTTTTTTTTTTTTTTGTGAGACTTGCTGTGTCGCCCAGGCTGGAGTGCAGCAGTGCGATCTCGGCTCACTGCAACCTCCACCTTCTGGGTTAAGTGATTCTCCTGCCTCAGCCTCCCAAGTAGCTGGGATTACAGGCGTGTACCACCATGCCTGGCTAATTTTTGCATTTTTAGTAGAGACGGGGTTTCACCATGTTGGCCAGGCTGGTCTCGAACTCTTGACCTCAGGTGATCTGCCTGCCTCTGGAGTGCAGCAGTGCGATCTTGGCTCACTGCAACCTCCACCTTCTGGGTTAAGTGATTCTCCTGCCTCAGCCTCCCAAGTAGCTGGGATTACAGGCGTGTACCACCATGCCCGGCTAATTTTTGCATTTTTAGTAGAGACAGGGTTTCACCATGTTGGCCAGGCTGGTCTCAAACTCAACCTCAAGTGATCCGCCTGTCTCCGCCTCCCAAAGTACTGGGATTACAGGTGTGAGCCACCGTGCCCAGCCAAGACCTTGTATCTTTAAAAAAAAAAAAAAAGAAAAAAGAAAAGAAATGTGCTTGAACAGCTACATGTTCTTGTCTATTTTTTCTTTTGTATTTCTTGAGAAAATGTTATAGATGGCCATTAGAAAGCAACATCTTAGTGTTCTTTCAACAGGATTTATAAAACTAGTGTTTAGGATAATTTTGCATAAAAATTGGTTTCTTAATATATGTCTCTATTTGCACAAGCTTTGCCGCAGGAAGTCTACAGAGAGTTGTCCAAAGGTAAAATACATCATTACCATGACATTCTCATGATCTTTGTGACATTTATAGTGAATATGTTTAATAAAAATTTGCTTCACAAAATGGTCAGAAGACTCACTTGATATGTTTGAAACATTTGAAACATGTTGGTTACTCTGGAAGAAAAGAGAAAAAGATCAATGTCACAATAACCTAATGCTAATAGTCTTCTTTTAGTCTGTAATACTTTTTAAATCAAGCAGAACAGCCTCGTGTTCTGGTGGAGTAGATGCTTTGCCTATATGGTTTATTTTAAGAGCTAACATTTAAAGGCTGCCTCCTTCTATTAAAGGTACTAATTTCTTCTAGGCTCTAGTTTGCTTCTGTTAAAATGTATATAGCCATAAGAAGGGATACCAGAGAAGCTGTTTTCATTCATTAATACCTGTGGTAAATTTATTTATCAAAATTGCTAACTATGCACAAAGGCTCTGTAGACATACAGATGAAAAAAGTAGGAATTGAAGCAGCTGAAGGCATGGGTAAGGTGGTCTGAAAATAGAGATTAAAGAAGTCCAAAAATATTTCACAATTAGTTTTTAGTTAGCAGCAAATCTAAATAAAATAAGCAAATATTTTTGTATAGATATGGGGAGCTTATATATGTCGGATGTTGGAGAAAGCTTGAATATATACATAAAGTACAAAAGAAAATTTGTTGGGTAGAAGAGTCGATCTTTTCACTTTATTACTGGAAGTATTGCTATTGTTTTTTTTTTTTTTTTATGAGACAGGGTCTCACTGTGTTGCCCAGGATGGCCTAGAACTCCTAGGCTCAGTGACCCTCTTGTCTCAGTCTCCCCAATAGCTGGGATTACAGGTATGCACCACCATGCCAAGCTAAAATTAAAAAAAATTTAAGAGCAGTATTTTAAATAACTCTTCCTGAACTCCTAGATAAGCAGGTTGCTTTGGTAATACCAATTCTTTGCTTTTGCCCTTGTTGCATTGGGATATATTAAGTAATTTATTAGTTTTCAAATATGGCAAGTATTTTGATATATTCAACAATCTTTAGACAGAACTAACTTGTAAGTTATATTTTAGAGGTTGACCTCAAAATTAACTTCTTTTTTTCCTCAGAATGAACTGACAGATACACGTGCAAAATTCCACGTACTTTTTCTTTTCTTTGTGTCTGCAATGTTCTTCATCAGCGTCCTCTCACTTTTCAGCTACCACTGCTGGCTAGTTGGAAAAAATAGAACAACAATAGGTAAGTAGGTTAAAATAAATTATAATTACTTAGGACAATGACCATAAATAAATATGAAATCTAGAGAAGAACAAGGGTCAGATGATACAGAAGTGTAAGACAATTCTGACTCTGGAATTGGTGGCACGTGCCTAATAATCCCAGCTACTGCAGAGACAGAGGCGGGAGAATCCCCTGAGCCCTGGAGGACACCCTAGACAACATAGGGAGACCCAGTCTCTAAAAAATAAAAATAATAAAATAATTCTGTAGTAAAATTAATTGTGACTGGATGGGAACAATGGTTTTATAATAAAGGTTCATTATTTTGGAGAAGGTTGAGGAAATGAGATTGACTTTTTAACACATTTTCAGTAATGTGTTATATATAAAAGTGGAGAACTATTTTATAAATTTTAATAAATGAAAACTTTCCTGCATTCATACAGTGTCGTTTCAAAAATTAATCTATAAGAGGCAGGGCACAGTGGCTCACACCTGTAATCCCAGCACTTTGGGAGGCCAAGATGGATGGATTACTTGAGTGCAGGAGTTCGAGACCAGCCTGGGCAACATGGAGAAACCCTGTCTTTACTAAAAATACAAAACAAAACTAGCTGCAGTGAGCCAAAATTGCACCATTGCACTCCAGCCTGGGCAATGAGAGTAAGACCCTATCTCAAAAAAAAAAAAATTAATCTATAAGGGATAGACAGTAGATTTACATGCTTTAAGGAAGTTTGTTCTCAAATAAGAAAACCTTTATATCCTCAATTACAGCTTATCTTTTAGCTAAAACATAACAATGTATTTCATGTATATTCTTTTTTTTTTTTCTTTTTTTTGAGACAGAGTCTCACTCTTGCTCTGGCTAGAGTGCAGTAGTACCATCACAGCTCACTGCAGCCTTGACCTCCTGGACTTAAGCAGTGTTCCCACCTCAGCCTCCCAAGTAGCTGGGTCTACAGGTGTGCACTACCACACCCAGCTAATTTATTTATTTCTTATGGAGATGGGGTCTTGCTACGTTGCCCAGGCCTGTCTCAAACTCCTGGGCTTGAGTGATCCTCCCACTTCGGCCTCCCAAAATGCTAGGATTACAGATGCAAGTCACCTTGCCCAGCCCATATATATTCTTTACTTTTTTCCCCCACAGTTAAACACATTTAACTGGCATATGTTCCATGACTGAGGCTAAGGAATAGTGCTTTTGACATGCCTCATTATTTCCATATTTGTGTCAGTTGTCAGTGAGACTTACGTATTGTGTCACTAGTATTAACATTTATTTCTCTTTTTGTTTGCTCATTTTAAAAAATGAAAATATAGGGGGAAAAGTAAGGTATTCACGTAATTGGACAAACATTCCCTAAACAGCAATGGTGGCATTGCTCACTGAGCTATTGACATGTAAGAAGTACTGCTATGTTATCATTGAAATATTCATGTATCTGCTAACATAACCAAGACACAAAATAAGGATTTTTACGGTAGTGTTTTGTAAAAAAGTTAAAATCCACCTGCAATCTGCAGCCATATATCTGCCAGGTAAGTTGGAGGGAAACAGTTTTTAATTACAGAAAAATTAAGGGATTTGGGGTGAGACATGTAGATGCTTTAGTTATTGGATCATTTTAACGTTGTGTTACTGAGCTGTGTTGTAAGTTATGGTGGGCTTCCAGTGTGAGGATTTGTTCCTTCTCTTCCAGTTCCATCATGCTTTCATCCCTTTTCCATGTAAATAAAATTTCTTATCCCTATTAACTACTTTTTTTTGTCATCTTTATAGAATATTATGCCATCTCTTTACCTTTAATTGAAAATGATAAAAAGGCAGCCTACAGGCAAAGTCCAGCCCTTAAGTTCTCCCCAACCAATAAAATCTATGTGAGTGATTTCACAAAGAAAACCAGATTTCTTCTTTTCAAAACTGATCAATCTAGTGGTAGTAGGCCCGTTTTCCCACTTGGCGTCAGTGAAATGGAGCTAAGCAGTGGTGGACTGCCCAAGATAGGGCATGGATTTAGATAGGGTGTGGACACTGTCATTTGCTGCAGGTCTTGCCAGTCGTGCCTTCTTTGTTTCCTGCCCAGCCCCCGTAGGTATGTGAGAGATTGGCATTTCTAGGGAACCTGCTATTCTCTTGAACAATCTTTTTCAAACTTTTTTTTGCCGGTGGCCACAGTAAGAAATGCAGCATTTCATATCATGACTTAGAACATGCACAAATATTTATAAAATTATATAAATAAAACAAGCAAAAGTTTCACAAAACCTTTTTAATCTCTACTATATGCAGTATATTCTGATATTTTCTTTTCTAGTTTCTTAAAAGGAAATGCGGGTTGCAAGTCACTCAGTTGATTATGTGGTCTGTTAAGGTGTTTTAACCCACACTTTGAAAAAACATTGCTTAGCACACCACTTTCTAACAGCTTCATCTCCCACAGCCCTGGTCTTTAGCTAGTTCTCCACTGATTCAGATGTTTGTTCTTGGGTCTTTTGAGGGTGTCTTATTCTGCTGTATCACCTCTGTCTTCTTCATAACTGTCACCTACCCACCTTGAGATCGTTTACCCTCATTTAGTGAGTTCCTACATTTAAGCTAATGCCATTATCCTGAACAAGCAAGCTAGTCCCTTTGATTCTGAGTTTTTTAATCGCTTAGAACTGAAGAGCCCCTGAAAATGAAATTTTAAACTTGAATATGTTATTCTCTATTTGCTGTATTCTGATGTACTTCCTGAGTCTTCTATTCTCCAACAATTTTCTCCTAAGTTTTTCTTTCCCTTCTGGTTTTATTTCTCACCCATGTCCATTCTAGATCCTATGATAAATGACTTTAACAGCTCTTGACAAAAACAGCTCCTTACATCTTTGGTGCCTAGACTTTCTCCCATTATTCCTTTGCTAATTCATGGCTCTGGTTATCCAGCCATCCTCTATCCGCGTGCACAGTGGGGCTGTTGAAAGCTGTAGAAGGATGTCTTACTCCATAAGGTTTGCTATAGCTACAGATTTAAGATGTTAGGCCTCATGGAGGGCCTTAGCTCTGTTTGGCAGTAATGTCACATGTTTCTGGTCAGGTCCCTCACCTGTTACCCAAGATGGTTATTCCAGATTTTCATAATTCTCCCACTCTCCTTACCCATTTTATGAGTTCCTAGTAGAAAAATTAGAAGGAGTCACAAGTAAACTCTCATCTTCACATCTTTATAGCCTCATACAAACATTTCTTGTTTCACACCCATCACTCTCACCTTCCTCTAACTTCTGAGGAAGAAAGATGTCTTTTCTGGTATTCAAGGTTAACCTTTACAACTTTTCTAGACTCCTTCCCATCTCTTCTAGGATCCCTTTCTTCAGTTTTTATTTTACTTTTTTATATCAGCAATCCCTCCCAATGCCCTGGGTTCTTATCCTTAGCTTATAAAACACACTGAAGTGCCTTGTTTTTAAATTAAAAAACATTTTTTGTGAAGCCTGTATCTTTCTCCAGACCTCACTCTACATCACTTAACAACCAAGCTTGAAATAATGGTCTAGTCATCCTCAGCTTGCTCACCTTTCCCTACAAGCACCCCCGAGGCACACATATGTCTCTATCGAGACAAAATTAGCTTCCTTCACCTCTGTGCTCCCAGTACGTCATGGCCATGTTAGCACTTATAACACTGTAATTTTTGCTAGACTCTAGGTTCTTTGGTAGGAATTTTATCTAATTTATCTTTGAATCCCAAATACCTGGTACAGTGCTATCAGGAACATAGTAGGAAATTCATAAATAATGAGTGAAGTTGCAGGAGTTAGAATATCTTGTAGAAAAAAAAAGCCAAGAGATACTGAGCACACAATACTAGATTTTCAGTAATATTTGATAATTATTTTGACATGTTACTTTATAAGGTTGATGAAATATTAAATGTGCTATTTTTTCCCAAAATAAGTTTCATAAATTTATCTTTTAATTGCTACTAATGTATTATTTATTTTAAATTATATTTACAGTTTTTGTGTCAAAGATATAAGCAAGAAAATTGGTAATTTCCATCCCTCCTATAATTTTTAAATAGATTAATTAGTTTATATATGTATGTATATTTAACAGAATCATTCCGCGCACCCACGTTTTCATACGGACCTGATGGAAATGGTTTCTCTCTTGGATGCAGTAAAAATTGGAGACAAGTCTTTGGTGATGAAAAGAAATATTGGCTACTTCCAATATTTTCAAGGTAATTTATAAAATGTGGGTCTCAGAGATTATGGCATCTGTGGTAGTCTCTTTTTCTGGTTAAATGTCTTCAGATTTAGAGAATATAATATATAATGATATTCTCACAGACTTTGAGAATGAAAACTCAAAATATCTTTTTTTATACATAAAATATTTTATTTTTCATTTTTTAATTAGATAAGGTTAAGGAGAGTTTATATATTTGAATGGGAAGTAGAAGAAAAAGATGATTCACTAAAAAAATAAGATTTTTTCTTCAAAATGCAAATAACTTGTTTGAAGTAAAGAATTATAAAAATTTATAGTTATTAGCCACAACTTCAAAGATCCTATCACAGAAATGAATTGTGTATTCTGTTGTGTCCTAAATCAAAGAAGACCAACCACATACTGCAATTTTACCCCAAATGTAAATGAGAGTATATTCTTGAGATGATTGATAGTTTCCATTTCTTTCCAGTTTCCATCCTTTTTAGGCCAGCTATATACCAAAGTCATCAAAAAGAAGGGAAAAATATTTGAAGATTGAGTGACATATTTGTAAGAGTTATGGGTTTTTTCCCTAGATTAACTGAATTGCCTTTTTTTGGTCTGAAAATGACTTATTTGCTTTCATTTTTTAAAGACATTTTTGCTTGGTATAAAATTCTAGATATTAGCCAGACACAGTGGGTCATGCCTGTAATCCCAGCACTTTGGGAGGCCGAGGCAGGTGAATCACTTGGGGCCAGGAGTTCAAGACCAGCCTGGCCAACATGGTGAAACCCGGTCTCTACTAAAAATACAAAAATTAACTGGGTGTGGTGGCGCACACCTGTAGTCCCAGCTACTCGGGAGGCTGAGGCACAAGAATCGCTTGAACCTGGGAGACAGAGGTTGCAGTGAGCTGAGATGGTGCCAACACATTGCAGCCTGGGCAACAGAGCAAGACTGTCTCTCAAAAACAAAACAAAAAATTTTAGATGTTGCTAAATGTTATGCTTCTGGGTTGCATTTTTCTAATAAGAAATTGTGATAACTCTTATTTTTGTTAGTCTATATATGTTTTTTCTATGGCTACTTTTAAGACTATCACTACTTCATGCAATTTGATTATGGTATATCTTGATCTAGTTTTCTAGTTTCTTGTGCTTGGTATTAGTTGAGCTTTTTGGATCTCTGGTTTTAGAGCTTTAATCAAATTTGGAAAATATTGTTAACCATTATTTTGTCATCTCCTTCCCCCTATTACTGTGAGGACTCCAATTACACATGTTATCAGTCACTCACAGTCCTCCCACAGCTCACTGATGCACTGTTCATTTTTTGTCTTTTTTCTGTGTTTCATTTTGTATAGATCCTATTGCTGTATCTTCAAGTTCATCGATCTCTTTTGTATACTTTATCCATTGTCTCATGTATTCAAGATTGTCCCCCTCCCATTGGTTGGAACACAGATTACTTGTTTTGAAGTTATTTCCTCTAAACAGAAATTTTGAAGTTATTTTCTGTAAACAGTGAATTCTAAGTCGATAGGATTTTGTTGTTGTTTTTTGTTTTCCTTCCTTTAAAGATGTTCCATTATCTTCTGGTCTGCATTGTTTCTAATGAAAAGTCAGCCTGACTCCCATCTTTATTTCATTGTTTGTAAATTACTATCCTTTCCCCTCCTGTAGCTACTTTTAAGAGTTTATCCTTATCATTGATTTTAAGTGGTTTGATGAGGTTCCTTGGTGTTTATCCTCCCTGGGGTTCATTAGGCTTCTCGGATCTGTAAGTTCTTAGTTTTCATCAGATTTGAATAATTTTCATCAGTTACGTCTTTATTTTTTTCTGCCTATTCCCCTCTTTCCACCTCCTCCCTGACCAGCTTTTCTGGTACTCTTGGGTATACATATGTTAAATAGCTTGATAGTGACCCACAGGTCATTGCTATTTTGTCCATCTCTGCCATCTTCTTTTCTCTGCTTCATTTTGGTTAATTTCTACTGCTAATATCCACAAGTTCACTGATCTCTTCTATAATGTCTAGCCTGCTGGTAAGCTCCTCCAATGAATCTTTCACTTAAGATTTTTAAAATATTTATTTATTTATTTAGAGACAGAGTCTTGCTCTGTCGCCCAGGCTGGAGTGCAGTGGCACGATCTAGGCTCACTGCAACCTGTGCCTCCTGGGTTCAAGCAATTCTTGTGCCTCAGCCTCCAAAGAAGCTGGGATTACCGGTGCGTAACACCACACCTGGCTAAGTTTTATATTTTTAGTAAAGACAGGGTTTCACCATGTTGGCCAGGCTGGTCTCAAACTCCTGGCCTCAAGCAATCCGCCCACCTCATCCTCCCAAAGTGCTGCTATTACAGGCATGAACCACCGTGCCTGGCCCAGATGTTGTATTTTTCAGCTCTGGAAGTTTGGTTTGGTTTTTTTTATATCTTACGTTTCTCTTTTAATTGTATCTATTTTTCCTTTTAATTCACAGGTACATTTATAATCATTTTAAAGTCTTGTTTGCTAATTTTCACTGAAATTGCTAATTTTCTGATTTTTTTCTATTGACTTTTTTTTTCTTAGCTATAGATCACATATGTGCTACTTTTCATGTCCAGTAACTTTTGATTGGGTGGTGGACATTTTGAATGCTACTTTGCTGCCTATGTAGATTGGCCTCCCGAAGGGCTAGGATTACAGGCATTACTACTGCACTTGGCCTGAGGCTTGTTTTAAGCTTTATTACGTTGAGTCCAGAGTATTACGTTCTGTAGTGCTAGTTTAGCGCTCCAATAAATGGAATTTCTACCAAATCCATGTGTTCAGTGAGATCGCCCCAGTCAAGCTGGTCAAATTTGAATGCTTCCCAGTGCTGTGAAAGCTCTGTGAATTATTCATCATTCATTATTCCCAGTTGTTCTTTTCCTGGATTCACAAGTGCAGCTTAGTATTTATCAAAAGACTTCAGGTACACCACAGTGCAGATTTCTGTAGCCATTTCTCTGCATATCTTGCTCTCTCTCAACTCTGTCCCATAGATTTAAGTCACCTCAGCCCCTCTTTTTTTTTTTTTTTTTTTTTTTGGAGATAGAGTCTCTGTCTCAAAGTGAGGCAGGCTGAGTGCTCAGGCTGAAGTGCAGTGGTGCGATCTTGGCTCACTGCAACCTCCGCCTCCCGGGTTCAAGCGATTCGTATGCCTCAGCCTCCCTAGTAGCTAGGATTACAGGCGCATGCCACCACACCCAGCTAATTTTTGTAGTTTTAGTAGAGATGGCATTTCACCATGTTGGCCAGGATGGTCTTGAACTCCTGACCTCAAGTGATCCGCCTGCCTCAGCCTCCCAAAGTGCTGGGATTACAGATGTGAGCCACTGCACCCGGCCCACCTCAGCCTGAAAACTCCCACCTCTGTCATCTCAATTCAGTGAAACTACCTTGTTCTGCTTGGTTTCCCACCCCCCATAGTGCCAGGGTCCTGGCAGAAAGCTGTAACTTAACTTGGTTTTGTTTTTCTTTGTTCTGAGACCACAGTTCTCTACTGCCTATTTTGAAAACAATTATTTCGTACTGTTCAGTTTCTGACTATGTACAGTTTACCAGTTATTCCATCTTGGCTAGAAGTAAAAGTCCCTATAGTATACAATTTTGATGTGTTTAGATAATATGAAAATAAGGCATAAGTATGCTCTTTTTAGACCGCAAGCTTCTTGAAGGCAGAAATTTTCTTCTCTTTTGTTCACTATTTCCTATATCTGTAGTGCTTAAAATAATACCTAGAACATCATAGGCATTCAGTAAATATTTGTTTAATGAATATTGTTGAATAAATAAATATGTGGAACTTACATCATGAATTTCAGTTTGAGCCTGAATGATTATGATAAGCAGGTCAGTTACCCAAATACTTGAATACCTATGCTTGGGGTGCTATACTAGGCATCATAATCTTAATAGGCACAGAAGACATTGTTTCTAAATGTATGTAAATTATAAAAGAAAAGGGCTTATGTCTGCAATAGAGGTATTAGTCTGTTCTCACACTGCTAATGAAGACATACCCGAAACTGGGTAATTTATAAAGGAAAGATGTTTAATTGACTCACACACGGCTGAGGAGGCCTCACTATCATAGTGGAAGGCAAGGAGAAGCAACTCACGTTTTATATGGTGGCAGACAACAAGAGTATGTGCCAGGGGAACTCCCGTTTATAAAACCGTCAGATCTTGTGAGATTTGTGCATTATCATGAGAACAGCACAGGAAAAACCCTCCCTCATGATTCATTTACCTCCCACTGGGTCCCTCCCTTGACAGTGGGAATTATGGGAACTACAATTCAAGATGAGATATGGGTGAGGACACAGCCAAACCGTATCAAGGTAATAACCCCTAAATTAGAAATTTTAGGAGTTACTTCCTTATATGACAAGTTATGATAATGTATGCCATGTCTCTGAAAAATGAGTGTTAAATTTGACCATTTTGATTTAACTTAACATTATTTAAATTATTACTCTTTTTCATTATGCAGCTTGGGTGATGGTTGCAGTTTTCCAACTCGCCTTGTGGGGATGGATCCAGAACAAGCTTCTGTTACAAACCAGAATGAGTATGCCAGAAGGTATGCTTATTGTCCTTATGCTTTTCTATATTCATCATAAAGCAAACCGTATACATGTGTTGTGTGTACATCTTATGAGTAAATACAGTAGTGATTTAGTAAGCCAGCATAGTTAGGGAAAGAGAAATTTAAATTTTTTTAACTGAGGTTTAATAAAAGTATATGTGCTAATAACCATAATTTTTTATTATCTAAACCAGAACACTTACGAGTAGGAAAGAGAATGCTTGTTTATTAATAGTTAAACCAGGATAATCAAATAAAGCTGGAAATGTCTGGGCAAGCTGGGGAGCAACTAAGACCTTTCAAGATTTGATTAGATTGGTTTATGTCAGTTATGTTTTTGCAAATAAATTAGTCATTATACTAATCACCATTTTATTTTGATAAATTTTAATATACTATCAAAATAATGAGGATTCAAAAATACAAATTTTTTTCATTAATTCATCTTAGAGGAAATTTTCCCATAATATTTGCATGGCAAGTAAACTTTCATACATTCAGTGTAATAGTTCCTTTTAAATGAAATTTTAAAGAAGCTAGAGATACTTCTGTCCACGTAAAACATTGGTAATTTATTCACTACAGAAATAAGTTGTAGGAGAAGAGAAAATGATAAGTTCTAAGCTAGCATATTAATATTGGAAGAACCATAAATCTTAGAATGTAGCTTAAAACCTTAGACCTTTGAGCTCTAACATTTGTTAGGGTTCTGGCCAAGTCACTTAAACTATGAGCCTCAGTTTCCACCTCTATAAAATTAGGATAATGATACTTACCACCAAAGTTTATTTTGAGGGTTGAGATAATGTGTATAAGATGCCTAGCATCGTGTCTGGCCCATAATAGGGAACCAACAAATGTTAGTTTCCTTTTCCTCTTCCTTTCCTTCCTCCATTCCCTCCCTCCCTGGATCTTTTAGCTAGAAAAATAAGTCTACGCTAAATCACTGAATCATTTTTTCCCCTTAGATCTAAACTGCAGAGGTAGAAAGCAGAAAACTTGGCAAATGACAGGTAATTGTTTTGTACTGGCCACAGATATAGATCCTCACCTGTCCTTGTACTACCTATGGCTCCTGATTAACATATTAAGAACATTTCAGACTGGCCTCTGAAGCTTTTTAAATTTTGACTAATTGTTTTCATTGGCAGTGTTGGAATACAGATTCTTGGGTCTAGAGAGCCATTTAATGGGGGGTTGTGGGCCTATTTTTATTTTGAAGATAGTTTTTTCAGAGTGCTAAGATCTCATGAGTTGCCCTCACATATTTAGGAGAAGGAATACTAATTTGCTGCTTATTAATTTATTAAGTATCCATAGTTGAGCATTAAGCTGTTTACTAAGTTGTTTGCTCTTCTTTTCAGTAGTGGCTCAAATCAACCTTTTCCTATCAAACCACTTAGTGAATCAAAAAACCGCTTGTTGGACAGTGAATCTCAGTGGCTGGAGAATGGAGCTGAAGAAGGCATCGTCAAATCAGGTAATAGTTCTCATTTGAAACACTGCTTTGTCTGGTTCAAATGAAAAGCACCAGATATAATACATGTGGAAAAATCAAAATAATGTAACATTTTAAAAATACTAAAATATGTGAAACTTTTAAATATATGCTGGGCGCGGTGGCTCACGCCTGTAATCCCAACACTTTGGGATGCCGAGGCGGGTGGATCACAAAGTCAGGAGAATGAGACCATCCTGGCTAACACGGTGAAACCCCGTCTCTACTACAAATATAAAAAATTAGCCGGGCGTGGTGGCGGGCGCCTGTATTCCCAGCTACTCAGGAGACTGAGGCAAGAGAATGGCTTGAACCCGGGAGGCGGAGCTTGCAGTGAGCTGAGATCGCGCCACTGCACTCCAGCCTGGGTGACAGAGCGAGACTCCATCTCAAAAAATAATAATAATAAAAAATAAATAAATAAATAAAATATATATAGGGTGTTTGTGTTTCTTAGTAGCTTCTATGAGGAAGGGATAGAGCGAGGAGAGTATAGCGGCTCATGTTTTCTTCTATGCAACTGCAGGTTTTTGTTAACCCAGCCACATATTTCTCCACTGAGATATGGAAAGTTCTTTTGGCATTGGCTGTTCTGAATAAGCAACGTTATTCTTTTTTTTTTTTTGAGATGGAATTTCGCTCTGTCACCAGGCTAGAGTGCAGTGGCACGATCTCTGCTTACTGCAACCTCCGCCTCCCGGGTTCAAGTGATTCCCCTGCCTCAGCCTCCCGAGTAGCTGGGACTACAGGTGGTTGCCACCATGCCCAGCTAATTTTTTGTATTATAGTAGAGACGGGGTTTCACCATGTTGGCCAGGATGGTCTCGATCTCCTGACCTTGTGATCCACCCGCCTCAGCCCCCCAAAGTGCTGGGATTATAGGCATGAGCCACCATGCCCGGCCAGCAGTGTTATTCTTTAGGGTCCCAGCTTTTGCTTAGTTGAAAATAATTCTTGAAAAGCATTACATCCTTTGCTGCCTTAGTTAAAAAAGAGCACACTGGCCAGGAACGGTGGCTCACGCCTATAATCCCAGCACTTTGGGAGGCCGAGGTGGGTGGATCACAAGGTCAAGTGTTAGAGACCAGCTTGGCGAACGTGGTGAAACCCCATCTCTACTAAGAATACAAAAATTAGCCAGGTGTGGTGGCACGTGCCTGTAATCCCAGCTACTCGGGAGGCTGAGGCAGGAGAATCGCTTGAACCCGGGAGGCGGAGGTTGCAGTGAGCCGAGATCACACCACTGCACTCCAGCCTGGGTGACAGAGTGAGACTCCATCTCGGGGAAGAAAGGAAAAAAAGGCTGGGCACGGTGGCTCATGCCTGTAATCCCAGCACTTTGGGAGGCCGAGGCAGGCGGATCACGAGGTCACGAGATCGAGACCATCCTGGCTAACATGGTGAAACCCCGTCTCTACTGAAAATACAAAAAATTAGACGGGCGAGGTGGTGGGCGCCTGTAGTCCCAGCTACTCGGGAGGCTGAGGCAGGGGAATGGCGTGAACCCCGGGGGTTGGAGCCCGCAGTGAGCCAAGATTGCACCACTGCACCCCAGCCTGGGCGACAGCGAGATTCCATCTCAAAAAAAAAGAAAAAAGAAAAAAAAGAGCACACTGAATATATTTTAACCTTTTCTAGGTGACTCTTAATCATTTATGAATTGAGGATTAAGGTATAGAATAGTCAGTAAAATTGAAGTGGGAATTTTCATCAGACCTGGGTTTAAAATATTGTCTGGCTACTTAACTAGCATTACAGTCTAAAACACATCTGTTTTTTAATGATAATAGTAATAACACTGATTATTTCCTTGCACTATAGAAAAGTGGTTTTGGGTCAGGCACAGTGGCTCACACCTGTAATCCCAGCACTTCCGGAGGCTGAGGCAGGAGGATCACTTGAGCTCAGGAGTTTGAGACCAGCCTGGGCCATATAGCCTATCTCTACGAAAAACTTTGGGAAAAAAATTTTCTAGGCCTGATAGCATGTGTCTGTAGTCCCAGCTATTCAGGAGGCTGAGGTGAGAGGATTGCTTGAGCCTGGGATATTGAAGCTACAGTGAGCTATGATCATGCCACTGCACTTCACCCTGGATGACAGAGCAAGACCCTGTCTCAAAAAAAAAAAGGAAAAAGAAAAATGATTCTGGACATTTAGCTCCATTTGTACTAACTAGCAAATACCCTAAATACCCTTAAAGACCTACTGTTCGAATTTCTGAGGTTTTTTTGTTGTTGTCTTGACTTTTAGCAGCATTTAAAACATTCTCTTAAATTAGTATCTTTAGGATCTTCATTGGGATCATTACATCTTTTGTATAAGGTCAAGGAAAAATTCCAAAGTTTAAGGCCAGCCTAGGCAATACTATTAAGGCCCGTCTCTAAAAAATAACAATCTAGGGAAAAGTTCATTTTGTGAACTTCTTAATTATTGCTGTTTAACATCTTTAAAGCCAATAGGTATTTCCACAAGATAAACATAAAATCAAACTTTTGACTGCTAATGTTAGCTCTTTACTTACTTCTAGGTTCTATAAGAAGACAAATGGTTGACACCATAAGCCTATTTTGTATTTACATGATAGTCATTTTTGCTGTCATTTTACCATTTAGCCAGAAACTTAATACTTCTTTTTTTTTTTTTTTTTGTCATGTCATATATAATTATATGCTTACAGGGACAAATAACCATGTAACAGTGGCAATAGAAAATTGAGTACCACTTGTTCATAACTAACCATTTGAATAAGAGCAAGGTAAGACAGTATAAAGGTAATCCTTGAATAAATGCAGCTTATTTGCATATTTCATAATCTTTAAACAATTTGCAGTTGTATTTTTTTAGTCTTTTTAATTATATCAGCAAAATTAGGCAGTACAGGAAAGACTAGAATGTAACATCTGCCCAAATCTCATTTTCCTTATTCCTTATAGAATAATCTTAGTAATTATTTGTTGGTAAATTAATGAAGAAACTAATAAAAATAGTTTAGGACTAGTATGTGGACCACTGGCCTTTTCAGAAGGCAGTACCTTATTAATTAAAGAAAAAAAGGTGGGCAGGCAAGGTGGCTCACACCTCTAATTCCAGCACTTTGGGAGTTCAAGGTGGGAGGATCACTTAAGTCCAGGAGTGAGAGACCAGCCTGGGTCAGATACTTAAATTAGTATAGTGAGACCTCATCTCGACAAAAAATAAAAAATTAGCCAGGTTTGTGTTGATGCACACCTGTATAGTCCCAGTTACGTGGGAGGCTGAAGTGGGAGGATCACTTGAGCCCAGGAGGTCGAGGCTGCAATGAGCCAAGATGGCACAAGCTGCACTCCAGCCTGGGTAACAGAGCAAGGCCCTGTCTCAAAAAAAGAAAAAAGAAAAAAAGGTGACTTTTGTCCACTATTGAGGAAATTCGACCCAGAGAAAAATGACCAAAATTAAAGGCTCTAAGAAAGAAATAAGAGGTTTATCTATGTTATATGGTTTGTAAAAGACACAGCAAGAGAAAATTGCTAAGTAGGAAATTACCACAAACATGGAGCTTATCGCATTTATCATCCTGTTCCTGTATAACAGGAGTTTGTTTTTCTAGAGGCATCTTATCTTTAGTGTCAGCTAGAGGAGCATCTGTTTCCTCACTTGTGGGCTTGTCCTCAGCAGTTAGGTCCTTGCAGAGGACCTGGAGCCTGCGGGCAGGGCTGCAGCCAGAGCCTAAGACCCAGGACGGAGTCAGATCACAGGCACTAGGGGTGGAGGTCACGTCGGGCAGAGTCAGATCACAGGCACTAGGGGTGGAGGTCACGTCGGGCAGAGTCAGATCACAGGCACTAGGGGTGGAGGTCACGTCGGGCAGTCAGATCGCAGGCACTAGGGGTGGAGGTCATGTCGGGCAGAGTCAGATCGCAGGCACTAGGGGTGGAGGTCACGTCGGGCAGAGTCAGATCGCAGGCACTAGGGGTGGAGGTCACGTCGGGCAGAGTCAGATCACAGGCACTAGGGGTGGAGGTCACGTCGGGCAGAGTCAGATCACAGGCACTAGGGGTGGAGGTCACGTCGGGCAGAGTCAGATCGCAGGCACTAGGGGTGGAGGTCACGTCGGGCAGAGTCAGATCGCAGGCACTAGGGGTGGAGGTCACGTCGGGCAGAGTCAGATCGCAGGCACTAGGGGTGGAGGTCATGTCGGGCAGTCAGATCGCAGGCACTAGGGGTGGAGGTCACGTCGGGCCGAGTGCGCTGCAGTCAGAAGAGGAGCTGTGTCCCGCATACGGTGATTGTAAGCCAGGTCCATGCCACCAAGAGCTGGAGCTGTGGAGTAGTACTTGGTCCCCAGAAAAGCCCTCAGTCTGAGGTCCACATTTCTTCTTAATGTGGGCAGAAATAATTGCTGATGCTTGTGGTGGTTGAGAATCCTCAGCTGCAGTTCCTTTAACAGTTGCTGTGGGAAGTTTTCTACATCTTGCGCCAATCTTAGGACAGGTGTAGGTGGACCAGATGTCTTCTCAGATGATGTCCAAGTTAGCAGTCTGGGAGTACTGTAAGATTCTTCCTTTTAAAATACTCTTTTGATTGCTTCTGGGGAAGACAGTAATACCCACTCATTTACTGCTACAAAAATCTTTATTGTTATAATATTAGTAGTGTTAAGGAATTCATTTTCCATCTTGTTATATTAGTAGCTTTGTACCTTAGCCCACAGAACCATTTAGTAAATATTTTCAGAAATAAAAAATCAAGTTTTAACCAATAATTTGTTTCTTTTTTTGTAGGTGTATGAAAACATTATAGACTGGTATTTTCAATTTTCATTTGCAAGAAAATGATCAGTGGAATGAAATAACTGAAGTATAACAGAAGATATATTTTTTAAAACGGAAAGCCTTTGTACAGTTCCTGGGATTCACAGAAGCACTACTCCAGAGCAGAATGATGCCTTAATCTTAAGTGTCCATTTGTGCAGCATTGACTTAGAGCTACAAAAGTGACTTAATGTTATTCTGGAAATAATACTTACCTGTTATGAGTTGCTATAATATGAGCTGTCATCACATTTTAACATGCATATGTATTTTTTGATACCTGAATTACATTATTAGAATAAGTATCCATATACATTTTCACTCCAAAAACACAAGCTTAAAAACTTTAAAGTACATCTAGGGCAAATGGTGGCTGAAAGTGAATAATATTCAAATTACTGTTGCTTGTACTGTATAAGGAAAACTGCTTTTTTAAATTGGGTATTTGCTAATTTATAATTACTATTTTATACTTTTCAACATTTTTAATAACTTTTTTTATTGTTGGCTATAACAGAAGGATTCAGATATCTAAATATCATTTAGAACATAGAACACATTGGTCTAATTCATCGAAAGCTTAGTTATGAGCATTAATACAACCATGTAGTAGAGCAAGTGCCCAAGGTTTAAAGGGAACTTGGCAGTATAAGAAATATTTTGGGTTCTCTCTGCTATTTTATAGCTTTTTTTGTTGAACTTTCAGGGGTATGTACATGGGCAGAGAAACACAAAGGTACATGTGCTGGAGAATACTGGACACAGTAGGAAGAAGTATAGGTGTCCAGAAGAAAATCTAAGAGGAATATTGTAATTTGTTAAAAAAAATAGTTTTGAGTTTTAACAGCAGTTAGAATAAAGCATGCTGTTGACTTCACTTTCAAATTTCAGTGTAGGTAATGACTAAAAATTACTTTGAAACTTTTTACAGTAATACTGTAATAGCTTAAACAGTGATTTAAAATGCAATTTAAACTAGGCAAAAAAAACTTTAGAGTAAGTTTTCCTCCTGGCTGTCAGTTGGAAATTCTAACCTGAGTGGTCATTTTACATTCCCAGTCTCTTGAGAAGTGGATTCTACTCTTAGACGCACAGTCTGAAGTCTGACTTCCTAACGGCAACCCCTTTATGACTAGACACATTTCTCCTTTTTCCTTTTAAAATCTAAGCGACAGGAGGTGTTGCATTAACTCCAAGGAAAAGTACAGAATAAACAATGTAGAAATGTCACTCCTCATTTACACCTTTTAGACAGACAGACACACACACACACACACCCCCCCCAAAATAATTGATTGCTTCCAGTGAGTGGGTGGAGATGAATCTCAGCAGCATCTGTGAGTACTACAGGTTGGAGCTTCCTGTCTGTAAAATGGGACTGCAGGGGAGGGGGTGTTGTGAATAAGTTGGACTGGATGACTTCTAACATTCTGTGATGCCTAATTTTGCAAAATCACTTTTCATTCACCCAATAAATTTTTTTCTTCTTTTTTCCACAGAGTTTTGCTCTGTCTCCCAGGCAGGAGTGCAGTGGCGGGATCTTGGCTCGCTGCAACCTCTGCCTTCCAGGTTCAATAGAGTCTCCTGCCTCAGCCTCCCAAGTAGCTGGGATTACAGGCTCATGCCACCATGCCCGGCTAATTTTCACATTTTTAGAAGAGACGAGGTTTCACCATGTTGACCAGGCTGATCACTAACTCCTGACCTCAAATAATCCACCCACCTCAGCTTCCCAAAGTGCTGGGATTACAGGCGTGAGCCACCACGCCCCGCCCCGGTAAATTTTTTGGAGTACCTTCTGTATGCTAAATAATAAACTAGGAATAGCTCTGTCATTTCCTAGTACAGCATAAATTTTATGGTTGCTACTGTAGGTTTATAATTTGTTTATAATTTGGCCTAATTTCCATCAGCCATACTAATATTGGATTTTAAAAGGAGGCAACTTTTTTTCTTTTTGAACCAAAGGAATGAGTTAGCTTTGAAAACATAATTTGGGATATTATAGTATGGATTCTTCTACCTTTGTTTCAACTCCTTAGTAATCTTGATTCTAGCAAACTAGAATGAGATTTAAGAGATACCAATTATTGCTGGGTGTGGTGGCTCATGCCTGTAATCCCAGCACTTTGGGAGGCCAAGGCTGGCGGATCACCTGAGGTCAGGGGTTCGAGATTAGCCTGGTCAAAATGGCAAAACCCTGTCTCCACTAAAAATACAAAAAAACCCCAAAACTGTCCAGGCATGGTGGCACACGCCTGTAGTCCCAACTACTCGGGAGGTGGAGGCAGGAGAATCACTTGAACCCAGGAGGTGGAGGTCGCAGTGAGCCGAGATCGTGCCACTGCACTCCAGCCTGGGCGACGAGTGAAACTCCATCTCAAAAATATATATATATATCAATTACCAACTAAAAACATAACTCCAGTTTGGCAGTTTGCATATTATAAGGAGATAAATGTTAAAACATACTTGACTACTTTCAGAAATGTTCTCCTGGTACTTTTTGCATTTCTACATTCAGATAAAAAGATTTGCATGCACCTGGCTAACGCCAAGGGAACTTCATTTTTTTCTTCACTATTATGCACTTTCATGGTATAGTCTTTCTCAGTTCTTTTAATTTTTGTTATTTAACATCTTTAATAGCACAGCAAACATCTTTTCAGAAATTTTCAGTTAAAGCCTTTGAATTACTTATCTTTGATTTAATTTACAGCCAGCATTTTGCCACGTTCTAAATAATATTTAGCTCAACTGATTCATACGTATTAATGACCATTCTAGCAAAGGCCTACAAGTGGTGTGGGAATCAGGGAAAGGCTGCCTCTTTGGTATCTCAACTGGTATTGATTATTGCTATCAACTATTTGGGGAGAAAAAATCAAAATGAAGCCCTGTCAAATTTTAGAAGTACTATCTTTGGTCCTTCAAACACTTTGTGATGACACCTTAAGAAAAATAAAGTTGAAGTTCAGGTCTTGCCATTGCCATTACAGACAAATTAGGAGACTTGGTTTACCTGGGAACAAATTTACTTGAATATTCAGTACCTGAAACTATGCCAAACCAAAGAGCAGCTGCAGTACATTCGTTATTTTAAATGAACAAGTTTACAAAGTTTATTTTCATCTATACGTAAGGATGATTTTTTTAAAACTTTTTACATATTAGTGGTTATGATCCAATGTGTCATGAGTGAATTTAACTGTAAGGTGGTTTAAATCAAATATGCAATGTTTACTTGAATTGTATTTCTATTAGCAGATTTTGACTATGTTTACAGGACGGTTTAAATTAAGGATTATCAGGCATGTGAGATCTTTCAGTTATCTTTAAAGTAGATGTATATTAAGGGCTTAGATTTAGGATCTACATATTCTGGGCATTGAATAGGCAGTAACTTACAAATAAGTTTTGCTTACCTTTTGTTCTAGGGACTAGCACTGCTATCAATGGAAAGTATTTTTAACTAATCTGTTATTAAGAAAGTCATATTTTTGCATTTCAGCCAAAATAAAGACCGCCTGTAATAATCTGTTAGAAACAGATAATACATGTCTGAAATCCATATGTTTCATATGATCTAAACTGTATTTTCCAATTTAAATTAAAAATGTAATATAGATTCAGAAAGGTTCATATTTTTCTAATGACTTCATTCTATATTATTTTGTTAGGTTGCATAAAGAAGCAAGGAATTGTACTTGTATTAAAAGATGAAGAAAGCTATTAGGTATATTTGTACATGACTGCAAATGAGTCTATGCCCGTTTAAAAGAAAAGATGGACACTATTTTAAAGTGAGCTTTAATATGCTTTTATATAAACAAATTTGAAGTACAGTTTAGTTTGGTTGTGTTTACCTAACAAGTACCATAAGCCTTGTGTTTGTTCTTATTTGTATAATCCTAGCCTGTGACTTAATGTTGATGCTTTGCTTTGTCTTTTGGCTGGCCTAACCTACATTGACATGTACACAGAACATTTTAAAACTTTTTTTTTCAAAAGTCATAATGAATTACTTTATTAATAAACAAAGTCTTGTATTTGAAGTGTTTTCTTTGTTATAAAGTGGTATTTACCAAATGAGAGAGTAACTTATGTTTATCAACTTGAAAATCTGGTAAAATAGTGCTTGGTTAGAGAAAGAGATTGGCTAATAGTTTGGGGAAACCACTTTTAAGATAGGTATTATTTTAGTGCAACAAAATTGTTGTTTACTTAGGTTTATTCAAAACCTAAAGAGTTTAACTTAGCTTTTTACTGAACATAATTTAATTTCAGAAGTCATTTAGGATCTTGAGAACCTTCAGATCACTGTAAGTTGTTGAATTGTGATTGTTAAAATGCTGAATAATTAATAGATTTTATTATGTAGAATTATTTTATGGCATCTGTGTTCCAGTGCCCTTCCAAAGAGGCCAAGTTTGTTATTAAAGCCATTTAAAGATTTCCTGTAGCTATATTTATAAAAATTGAAGTATCTCCACCAGAAAGGAAAGATCTTGAAGACGGGTAAAAATATCAAATTGCAGGCCGGGCACGGTGGCTCATGCCTGTAATTTCAGCACTTTGGGAGGCCGAGGTGGGTGGATCACTTGACGTCAGGAGTTCGAGACCAGCCTGGCCAACATGGTGAAACCCTGTCTCTACTAAAAATATAAAAATTAGCCGGGTGTGGTGGTGGGTGCCTGTAATCCCAGCTACTTGGGAGGCTGAGGCAGGAGAATCACTTGAACCCAGGAGGCACAGGTTGCAGTGACCCGAGATCGTGCCACTGTACTCCGGCCTGGGTGACAGAGCAAGACTCTTGTCTCCAAAAAAAAAAAAAAAGTCAAATTGCTGAAATCTGCAATCTGCATATAATGTGATCCCACTTAAGAGTTTTACAGTATCCATGCTGTGTACCTGTGTGTTAAACTCAGCCTATTAATTGAGCGCCTACTCCAGGGAATGGGTGAGTAGTGGAAATAGAGCCACAGGCATCCTGCCTTTCCAGGCAGTGGTCCTGTGTGGGGTACAGGCATACAGGTACAACACCCCTCTGGGTGTTAATTGATAGAGGGAGTGAGAAATGATGGCTTATGGTTTGTCTCATTCAGCCACCGGAAGTGACAACCCTCTATTTAGAAGATTTACCAACTATGATCCTGTGCATATAATGTGGACCAGCTGCTGTTAAGTTTTTACCGCAACCTTCTAAAATAAATGTGAATTATTTGCAACATGTAGAGCCTCTCTAGATGTGGAGAGGTTGTCAACGATGCTAAAAGTAAAATGAGAAAAACTTGTTTTCCAACCCTTTTGTTAAGATTCACTGGAAAGGAACATTGCCTTCTGGAAATCACTTACGGGAATGCAATTTTTACAGCATTTCTTGGACTCATGCCCTCGTTCGTTTCATGGGTTGAAGGAAGGGCAAAAGGCAGTGAAGGAGGGGAAAGGTTCCCGCCAGAATGTGCATTTAGAAGCATTGATCCACAGGCGTGCTATTACTCAGCACTCCTGTGGATACAATGATAAACTTCACTCAGCACTCCTGTGGATACAATGTTAAACTTAGGTCCTTCATTCAAATGCCTGTATCTAGCTTTTCTACGTGTTTAGATGTGCTCACCACATATTAAAAATAGATGTGGAGTAGTGTTTGAAAAATATTGAAAATATTGAAAAATATTTTCAATACAGTCATCTCTTGGTATCCATGGGGATACTGAGGTCTGCTTGAGCATCCTCGGATTTTGATATCCGTGGGGATTGGTCTAGGACCTCCCACAGATACCAAAATCCACAGATGCTCAAGTCCCTGATATAAAATGGCCTAGTATCAGGCACAGTGGCTCACGCCTGTAACCCCAACACTTTGGGAGGCCGAGACAGGTGAATCACTTGAGCTCAGGAGTTCAAGATCAGCCTGGGCAACATGGTGAAACCCTGCCTCTACAAAACAAAAAAATTAGCCAGGCGTGGTGGTGGACGCCTGTAGTCCCAACCATTCGGAAGGCTGAGATGGGAGGATGAATTGAGCCCGGGAGGCTGAGGCTGCAGTGAGCAGTGATGGAGTCACTGCACTCCACCCTGGGTAAGAGAGCAAGATCCTGTAAGTAAATAAAATGGTCTAGTATTTGCATGTAATCTATGCGTATCCTCCCATATACTTTAAATCACCTCTAGATTACTTATAATACCTAATATAGTGTAAATGCTATTAATACATATAGGAGTTATATTTTTTATTATTATAATTATAATTATTATTTTTGAGACAGAGTTTTGCTCTTGTTGCCCAGGCTGGAGTGCAATGGCATAATCTTGGCTCACCGCAACCTCTGCCTCCCAGGTTCAAGCAATTCTGCCTCAGCTTTCCAAGTAGCTGGGATTACAAACGTCCCACTATGCCCGGCTAATTTTGGTTTTTTTTTTTTTTTTTTTTTTTTTTTTTTTTTTTTTTTCAGTAGAGACAGCGTTTCTCCATGTTGGTCAGGCTGGTCTCGAACTCCAAACCTCAGGTGATCCGCCCGCCTCAGCCTCCCAAAGTGCTGGGATTACAGGCATGAGCCACCGCACCCGACTTTTTATTTGTATTTTTTATTGCATTGTTATTTGGGTGAAGGGTTCCCTGAATATTTTTGAGCCATGGTTGGCTGAATCTGCAGATGCAGAACCCGTGGATATAGAGCATTGCTTTAGAAAGATTGTCTCCCTAATAGAAAGTGCTAAACCACCTACAGCTGTACCGCCCTAAACATGCCTGATGTCATCTGATCTTGGAAACTAAGTAGGGTCGTGCCTGGTTAGTACTTGGATGGGAGGATGTTAAACCACTGAAAATTACATTAATCTATGCTCTTCTCTGAGTGGTTGGAGGATAGGGAGAAGGGAATTATGCACGTTTATTTATTAGAAGTATATATTCTAATTTCATATGACACATTTAATGTTGCTGTATACATAGGGTATATAAAAGTATATGTTCTAATTTCATGACAAATATCGAGTTAGCAAATATATTTTAGGATACTGTTGGTTAAATTCAGAGGAAAGTCTTTTTTGTTTGTTTGTTTTTTGAGACAGAGTTTTGGTCTTGTCACCTAGGCTGGAGTGCAATGGTGTGATCTCAGCTCATAGCAACCTCTGCATCCCAGGTTCAAGTGATTCTCCTGTCTCCCGAGTAGCTGAAACTACAGGCATCTGCCACCACACCTGGCTAATTTTTGTATTTTACTAGAGCCAGGGTTTTGCCATGTTGGCCAGGCTGGTCTCAAACTCCTGACCTCAGGTGATCCACCTGCCTTGGCCCCTCAAAGTGTTGGGATTATAGGCATGAGCCACTGCACACAGCCAGAAGAAAATCTTTTAAACATTGCTTTTTTAAAAATTTTTAAATAATGTCAACATATTTATTTGAGAACAGGTGATGAGACTGGCTAATTTTTGTATTTTTCTGGTGGAGACGGAATTTCACCATATTGCCCAGGCTGGTCTCGAACTCCTGGGCTCAAGTGATCTGCCCACCTTAGCCTCCCCAAAGTGTTAGGATTACAGGCGTGAGCCACCACGCCCAACCTTCAACATTTAGATTGAAGGGGAACGTGCAGATTTGTTACATAGGTACATTGTGTTGGTCCTGAGGTTTGGGGTACAGTTGATCCCATTGCCCAGGTAGTGAGCATAGTACTTGATAGACCTACTGTCTACTGTTGCCATCTTTATGTCCATGTTTACCCAATAAACATTGCTTTTATTTTTTATTTTTTTGAGAGGGGTCTCAGTCTGGTGCCCAGGCTGGAGTGCAGTGGCACAAACATAGCTCACTGCAGCCTCAACCTCCTGGGCTCAAGCAATCCTCCCACTACACCTTCCTGTGTAGCTAGGACCACAGATGGGCATCACCATGCCCAGCTCATTTTTTTTCTGTAGAAACAGGGGTCTCACTTTGTTGCCCAGGCTGGTCTTGAACTCCTGAGCTCAATCTTCATACCTTGGCCTTCCAAAGTGTGGGGATTACAGGTGTGAGCCACCATGCCCAGCCCCAAACATTGCTTCTAGAAATGAAATTTGTAATCTACCTCTGTAGTATAACATATCTGTACTTTGCCCATTGGGAAGTGTTCTGAACCAAAATGTCCATATTCGGATTATAGCCATTATCCCCAATGTGCACTTCATTCTACAAACAGCTGTGTGTAGAGTGGATATATTAAGTCCATATTTTAATATCTAGTACTAGGTATTTTGAAGTGAAGATGTTTGTGACAAATTTTTAAAAATGAGATGGTGAACTGGAGTTGGCCCACAGGCCATAGTTAAGCAACCCCTATGTTAGCAGCTCCATGCATTCCACACCAGTCTCTATAGTAGCAAACAGGAAGCCCTGCTCCTCCCCCACAAAAAGTGACATTTTTGACACATTTTTGGGTTGTTAAATTCAAAACCCAATGTCCTTTGGCAGCATTTGTAAAGGAGGAAGGACTCTCTCCAACTGATGGTTTTTTTTTTTTTTTTTTTTTTGAGACGGAGTCTCGCTCTTTCACCCAGGCTGGAGTGCAGTGGCGTGATCTCGGCTCACTGCAAGCTCCGCCTCCCAGGTTCATGCCATTCTCCTGCCTCAGCCTCCTGAGTAGCTGGGACTACAGGTACCCGTCACCACAGCACCTGGCTAATTTTTTTTTTTGTATTTTTAGTAGAGACGGGGTTTCACCATGTTAACCAGGATGGTCTTGATCTCCTGACCTCATGATCCGCCTGCCTCGGCCTCCCAAAGTGCTGGGATTACAGGCGTGAGCCACTGCACCAGGCCAACTGATGTTCTTAAGCCATCTCTTTGAGCTGTAACTCATTAATGAACGCTTTACTGGAGAAATCAGAAAAGCATAAAAGGAATGGTTCTATTTGTTTTTAGAAAACACTCCAGATTATACTGTAGTTCCACTTAACACAGCTGTGTTGCTAGTGGATGAAATTAAGTCCCTTGTTTTGAAACACCTTAGGCTTCTGGGTGTTCGGAGGTGATGACACATGATAAAGTACAGCTAGTAGAATAATACATGTTATAAATATCTCTAATTATTTTAACAAATGAAATACTATTTTGTAGGTGGGATTGTTCATTCAGTACTTATTCCTGGGTTTGTGAGTGGGAGGGAGAGGCAGCACTAGGGTAGGTTTCTACAGATGTGTCTTTTTTTTTTTCTCTTTCTTTTTTTCGTTTGAGATGGAGTCTCACTCTGTTGCCCAGGCTGGAGTGCAGTGGCGCAATCTTGGCTCACTGAGACCTTCACCTACCGGATTCAAGCAATTCTTCTGCATCAGCCTCCCGTGTAGCTGGGATTACAGGCATGCACCACCATGCCCGGCTAATTTTTTGTATTTTTAATAGAGACAGGGTCTCACCATGTTAGCCAGCCTGGTCTCAAACTCCTGACCTCAGGTGATCAGCCCACCTGGGCCTCCCAAAGTGCTGGTGAGCCCCTGCGCCCAGCCAGATGTGTCTTTTTAGATGACAGGTGCAGAGTGATCTGTGCCTGTATTTTATATGGCTCTGGCTGTGTACACACTCTTTTTTGAGACAGAGTCTCACTCTGTCACCCATGCTGGAGTGCAGCAGCACAATCACAGCTCACTGCAGCCTCCACCTCCTAGGCTCAAGCAATCCTCCCACCTCAGCCTCCTGAGTAGCTGGGGCCACAGGTGCACACCATCAGGCCCAGATAATTTTTTGTATTTTTTGTAGAGAAGGGGTTCCACCATGTTGCCCTCACTGGCCTTGAACTCCCGGGCTTAAGCGATCTGCCTGCCTTGGCCTACCAAAGTGCTGGGATTACAGGTGTGAGCCACTGCGCCCAGCTAACACTGTCTCATTTACCATTACATTCCTAGTGACTAAAACAGTGCCAGACACATACTAGGCGGTCAATACTTTCTGAATGAATAGTGTAATTCCCTATATATGAACAATCACTATGTATATATGGAAACCTGGGAGGATGTATACCAAAATATCAACAGTAGTGTTTTCTGGTTGGTAGACATTAGGGTAATTTTACTTTCTTTTTTTGTTTAAATTTGCTACAACAACTACATATTATCTTTGTAAACAAGGTAGGGAAAGTTTATTCACTAATTCCTTCTCAGAGTATGATTATGGTGGCATAAATTGATGCAGTATTACAGGCACAAAGCCACTTCAGCAAACCTTTTTTATAAGGGCCCTAATACATTCATGAGGGAAGAGTCCTCATGACTTAATAACTTTCCAAAAGGCCCCGCCGCTTAATACTACCACAGTGGGGATTAAGGTTCAACACGAATTTTGGAGGGGCCACCATCATTCAAACCACATAGGTGGTATCAGAGAAGACTACGTGGAAAATGGGAATTTTTATCACCATCCAGCGATAATGAGGCCTCACACCTCCCATGGTGACATTAGAGACCACATGGGGAGCAGTAATGAGGCACCCCTCCCCCGCCCAGCAGAAGTGTTGTCAGTGGAAGCCAACTGGGGGGTCCCAAAATACCACTGCTACCAACAGTAATGAGATACTCCTCCTACCTACTGGAGTATCAAAGGAAGGCAAAGGGGGAACTTTCAAACACACACCGTAGAAATGAGATATGTGTGTGGTGAGTTCAGTTCACATGGCTGTGAGTGTTTAGTGGGTCTGGGGTTAGTCGAGGGAGGAGGCAGACAGAGGGGAAGGAAGGTGCAGCACAGAGGTAGAAAGAGGCCAGAGGTGTTCAGATCTGCAGGTGGCTCCTGGGGCGGAAGATAAAATGGGCCTGGAGGGGCAGGTCAGGGCTCTGTTAGGTAGGCCTCCGTGACAGGCTCATGAGTGGAAATTTCACCCTGAGAGGAGACCGCAGACAGATTTTAGGCAAGAGCCTGACATCAGAGAGACAGAAAGGTGTCATGTGGGGAAAAGTGCAGGGAGGAAATGCTGCTGGCCTGAGGCCACACAGGCAGTGGTTGGAACTCAGGATGTCATGAGACCCAAAGCAAGCCAGGCCTGGTGGGGCTGAGAGGTGGGCATGGGTCTGAGATGTGTTGTAGAAGGCAGAGTGTGCAGGGTTTTGTGCTGAGAGACGGGGGAGGTACTGAGGTCAATATCTGACGTTTTAAGCTCCAGGAAACTGTGAAACATTAAGATAGTGTGATGGACAATTTAACATGTCATCTTGGCTGGGCCACTGGGTGCCCACGTATTGGGTCAAACATTATTCCGGACATGTCTGTGAGGGAAGTTTTGGATGAGGTTAACATTGGTTTATCATCCCAAAAATGTATTATCGTGGATATGACTTATGTTTTAAATATGTGAGCATTATTGTGCTTTCTTGGACATCCACTGCCTAGGGCAGACCTCTGCCCTGATGGGTGTTCAGGCACTGAACTACCCATGTCTTTACTTTTCTCTATTCATTCATGATACTTTGACATCTGGGGCATTGCTGACTCTGGGGGGACTGCCCCACCTTCCCTATCAGGCTCTCACACGAGGGCTACTATCCATCCACCTGCTTTAGTCACCCCAGGGCCATTGCCAGACATTAGGGATAGTCATCTGCCCCAGAGCCCTGAAATTAAACTAGACAATCCTAAGCCTGTGTGCTCCGCTCACCCACTCCTCCCGTGGAAACCATAAAAAGGCTCCAGCCCACAGTTCCTCCGTCTCCCTCTGTTCCTGACTGGCCCAGTGTCTCCTATGAGGCCCCGTGTGCTGTGCTGGGCCTCCTGTTTCTAGGAATGTATGAGCAGAATAAGCTTCTTCTTCATGAGAGTCATTTTTGTGTCTGTGTGCCTTATCATCCTTAATTAAAACAGATCCTGGGGACCCTTAAAACACAGGTAAGCACTTGCTCATCCATTCTTCAGGAGGCTAAGTCTGGATCATCCGCCTCTGTCTCTTCTCAAACCCTTTCAGGGCGTAGCCTGGGGCTGGGGTTGCAATAAGAGCTCAACGAACGTGGCTGGCTGAGTTCTCCTGTGCTGTCCACCAGGCCTCCCCATCGGGTCTGTGCCTCCCATGGGGCTGTCTGTGTGTGTGTCTGATGTGGGGTGCCAGCAGCACAGACACACCAGTGTGTTGTGTTTCCCTCAGAGGCAGCCTCGGGGCTCAGCCTGCTAAGGGTGAGGACAAGGAGGTGCTGGGTGGTGACGTCTTAGACTTCATCTGAGCCTTCAGTGAATCAATCTTTTTGCTAGTGGAGGGTCTTGCTTCACTGTGGATGGCTGCTAACTGATCAGGGTAGTGGTTGCCAAAGGTGGGGGCGGCTGTGGCAATTTCTTAAAATAAGACAACAATGAAGTTTGCCTTGGCAATTGACTCTTCCTTTCGCGAAAGATGTCTCTGTAGCACGTGATGCTGTTTGATAGCATTTCACCCACAGTAGAATTTCTTTCCAAATTAGAGTCCATCCTCTCAAGCCCTGCCACTGCTTTATCAACTGAGTCGACGTAACATTCTAAATCCTTTGTTGTCATTTCAACATGTTCATGGCATCTTCACCAGGAGTAGATTCCGTCTCAAGAAACCACTTTCTTTGCCCATCCATATAAAGCAACTTCTCACCTATTTAAACTTCATCATGAGATTGCAGCAATTCAGTCACATCTTTGGGCTCCACTTTTAATTATAGTTCTCTTGCTATTTCCACCACATCTGCAGTGACTTCCTATGGTAAATTGACCAAAGTCTCAATTGAGCTTTTCGAAGGCATCCAGGGTTGGAATCGACTTCTTCCGAACTCCTGTTAATGTTGGCATTTGACCTCCTCCCATGAATCATGAATGTTCTTAATGGCACCTGGAATAGTGAATTATTTTCAGAAGGTTTTAATTTCTTTTGTCCAGATCCATCAGAGGATTCACTATCTGTGGAAGCTATAGCCTTACAAAATGTATTTTTTAAATAATAAGAATTGAAAGTCAAAATGACTCCTTGATTCCTGGGCTGCAGAATGGATGTTGTGCTAACAGACATGGAAACATTCATCTTCTTGTACATCTCTATCAGAGCTCTTGGGTGACCTGGTACTCAATGAGCAGTCACATTTTCAAAAAATCTTTTTTTTTCTGAGCAGAAGGTCTCAACAGTGGGTTGAAAATATTCAGTAAGTCATGATGTAAGCAGATGTACTGACACCCAAGGTTTGTTGTTCCATTTATAAAGCACAGACAGAGTAGATTTAGCATAAGTTTAAGTGCTTTAGGATTTTTGAATGGTACATGAGGACTGGCTTCAACTTCAAGTCACCAGCTGCATTAGCCCCTGACAAGAGAGTCAGCTTGTCCTTTGAAGCTCTGAAGCCAGGCATTGACTTCTCCTTTCTAGCTATGAAAGTCTTAGGTGGCATTTTCTTCCAGTAGAAGGCTCTTTCATCTACATGAAAAATCTGTTGTTTAGTGTAGTGACCTTCATCGATGATCTTAGCAAGATCTGGAGCACTTGCCACCTCATCTTGCACTTGATGTTACGGAGATGGCTTCTTTCCTTAAACCTTATGAACCAACCTCTACTAGGTTCCAACTTCACTTCTGCAGCTTCCTCACCTCTCTCAGCCTTAATAGAACCAAAGAGATAGGGTCTTGCTCTGGATTAGGCTTTGGCTTAAGGGAACATTGCGGTTGGTTTGCTCTTCTATCCACACCACGCACACTTTCTCCATATCAGCAATAAGGCTGTTTCGCTTTCTTATCATACGTGTGTTCACTGCAGTAGCACTTTTAATTTTTTTCAAGAAATTTTTCTTTGCTTTCACAGCCTGGCTGTTTGGCACAAGAGGGCTAGGTTTCAGGCTGTCTTGGCTTTCAACATGCCTTCCTCACTAAGCTTAATCATTTCTAGCTTTTGATTAAAGTTGAGAGACATACCACTTTTCTTTCACTTGAATATTTAGAGGCCATGGTAGGGTTATTAATTGGCCTAATTTCAATATTGTTGTGTCTTAGGGAATAAGGAAGCTTAAAGAAAGAGAGAGAGAGAGAGAGAGAACAGCCTCAGTCGAGCAGTCAGAACACACACAACATTAATTGATTAATTCATTGTCTTATGTGGGTGTGGCTTATCATGCCCAAAAACAATTACAGTAGTAACACCAAAGATCACTGATTACAGATGAGTATAGCATATATAATAACAATGAAAAAGGTTGAAATATTGCAAAAAACTACCAAAATGTGACAGAGACAGGAAGTGAGCACCTGTAGACTTGCTCGATGCCATGTTGCCATAAACCTTCAGTTTGTAAAAAATGCAATCTCTGCAAAGCACAATAAAGCCAAGTGCAATTAAAATCAGCTATGCCTGTATAAAAAGTGCCCGGCATATGGGAGATACCCCATGTGTGGTACTTATTAATATTGGTAGTTTTCATGTGCTGCCCCCAGGAATACATAGATAGATTAACTCAAATGAACTCTAAGGAAACTTACGTTAAGTCTTATGTCTCTTTCCTCCAGATGTCATGGGAACAGACATGTCTTGGAGAGGTGCACCCTGGGATCTGTCCAGGATCAGAAACTCTTGGAGCCAGCCCAGCCAGAGGTACTGCCCAAGGACTTGTTCTCCAAAGCTTCCAGTCATGAAAGTGCTCAGCCCAAGGTGGGTGCCAGGGTGACTGTGCCCCAGGGATGGCTGGGCTTCTTTCTCTATCTGGTTCAGCCCAAGCCACTTTAGGCAACTGTGGATTCACAGCAGTACCTCTAACTCTTCCCACCCCATGGAGACCTGGGCATGCATGAAAGGCTAGGAGGACAGCATAGAATTTGGCCACTGGCCCCTACGGCCATGGGTGGTGGTTGGTGACTGAAGAAAGAGATGAAGGCTTGTCAGGGAGGTGCTTGAACCCTGTCTGGTAGCCCGCAGAACCGAGATCAGAGGCTGTGGAGGCACTGCTGCCTCCTGGGCTCTAAATGAGCAAATGTTTGGGAACGACGGTGCCAGAACAAAGCTGCCTGCGCTCCTGTCCTGCCCTTCTCAGCTCAAGTCACACACGTGCTAAGAGGCTTTTGGCTCCAAGTGGCTGGTAGACATTGGTTGACAGATTTGGGATGTGATAAGAGGCTGTTGATTTCATTCGTTTGTGCAATGTCGGAGATAAATTTTAACAGTTAAAACGGGGAAAGAAAAAAAAAAGCCCTAGAACTTTGCCAGCATCACAACTCTGCCTGTTTCTTCTAACGGATTTCTTGAAACTGTCAACTGCCTGAGCTGGAGAAGCCCACTTATAAGGAACGTTGTCATGTGTCTCCAGGGGAGCCAGGACCGTCCGTGGGGTTGGCTGGCCCTTCACAATGTGACCCCACTTCCATGGGCTCCCTCTTTCCTCCTGCACAGCCCTGGGGTGCAGGGCTCCCTCTGGAAGGCAACAGCTTCCAGCGACTCAAAGGCCTGCAGGGTCGTGTGATCCCAGCATCACAGGTCTACCCATAGAACCAGCAATTTTATCAGTAGTATTAATTATCCTCTGCAAAAAGAGACACTGAAAACAAAGTTCCCTTTCTCAAAGAACTCTGATGAGAAATTAAAAAATATATTTGACCTTGGAGGATTCGTTGTTTTGGAAGCCACAGAGACCTGCCTCATGCAACTCAAAAGAAGGATTACATCTGTGATGTGTGGGACGGGCACGAGGGGCCTCTACAACCAATCTACCCTGTGTCTTGACTTCTCTGAGAGTTGCATTGGGTTCAACAGTGATTCCATTTCCTCCCAAAGGGCCACTGGGAGATAAGCAGCATCGAGCTTATATCCAAAAAGCTCTATGTAGTTTCAAGGTGTTTCCAAAGCACCTCCTCTGATCCTCATACCCTCCAGGGTGGCAGGCAACACAGGGCATTTGCGTTTGCTCTGAGATGAAGATACGACCATAGGGTTGTACCCAGAAGTTCTCATGACTGGACATCCAGCTCTTTGCACCACACTCCGAAGGGAGAAGTGATCCAGGTTGCCCTTCTGAGAGTGAATATCACTTCCAGCACAAGCGGCAGCCTGCATCCCAGCCAGCCCTGCTGATGCCTCCAAGGATGTGAGTGAGAGTTGCCCACATCATGGGAACCCTTTGCTGGTCTGCAAAATATCCCAGAGGTTGTTCCTTTGAACCCTGTGTGGGGAGAGCTTTGACTTAAATGTGTCATGCATAGAATGAACCCCTGCAGGAGTGTGTCACCCCTTGGCTTCCCAGGAAGACCACCCGCTTTTCTGACACTGTCCCTGGAATGACCAATTGTGGCCTTTTTACAAACTCTTCAGGCTCGAGAAGTGCACATCCTCATTTACAAGGGACATGTGGAAAGTCTTGAAATTGGATCCGAAAAGTGTGGTTTCTCCAAGAACTAAAGCTCCCGAAGCAGTTTTGAGAAGAGAGGGACATAGGCTAGCATGGATTCTTTTCCTTTGCTCTTAGGATGTGTGTGATCCCGAAGAGTTTGCCGGCAGGCTATGGGAACTCCATCCCCACACACTCAGCCACTACCTCAGGTGGCAGGGGCCCTGGCTAGGGTTTGGCTGTAATATTCAGGACTGACTGAGCATCCTGCACAGTGGTGAAGGGAGGGGTCCTCTGGAGACCATGCCTCTCCTACAGTAAGCCCCACCCCCAGGTGGGAGGGATGTGCCAGTGCCTTCTCACCCCCACGTGCCTGCATGTTGCCCTTCGTTCTGCTGTTTCCTAATCACACCTGCTCTCAGGAACAGGTGCAACACAGTCCCACTAGGTGCATAGCTACTCACACTGTGACACGGACACTCCCAGGAACACCAGCCCCATAAAGCCTCGGAGGAGAGGGCTAGAATTCTAGGCAACCTTGAGCTAGGGAGGGCTCCTTTGAACTGGGAGATTCTCAATGTCTTTGGCGTCTTATTCTTATCAAAAGTCCCTCTGCAGAAGCCTCGTCTTGGGGATTGGCCAGAGGGAAAAGTTTATGGCAGCACTTGCATCAAAAGACACCAGAGCATCACATCAACCAACGACCAACTGTAATGATTTCACTTTTATCAGTATACACATGATTAGAAATTTTGGAAACTGGACCACTATTCTGTTCTACTAACCAAACACTCAATACCATGAATCATGTGAGAGGACTGTTGCCCATGTTAGGTTATGTGACCTTTTTCTTTTGGCTGGGGATGGCATACTTCATTGATGGTGCATGACAAGCTGGAGCTGCCTAAGCCCCTGTCCTTCCTCCAGGAGTCTGGAATGGAAACTGACTTTGGGGAGCCTGAGTGGGGCAATGACTCCCCAGCAGCTGGGGGTTCACTCTTCCTCTCATGCTCTTGATGGAGCTGGTGGTCTGGGGGTCTTACTCCTTGGAGGCCGTGTGGACCATAAGGTCCACCACCCTGTTGCTGCTGCCAAATTCATCCCAGGAAAGGAGCCTGACAAAGTGGCCATTGAAGGTAATGCCAGTCGTGGCATTGAAGGTAGAAGAGTGCAGGTGCCACTCTTAAAGTCAGAGGAGACAACTTGGTCCTCAGTGTAGATCAGAATGCCCTTGAGGGGGCCCTCCGATACCTGCTTCAGCATCTTCTCATGCCATCATATTTGGCAGCTTTCTGCAGATGGCAGATGAGAGCCACAACCAACATATTATGGGTGGGAACACAGAAGGCCATACCTGTGAGCCTCTTATCTGGCTCAGGGATGACCTTGCCCATAGCCTCGGCCACACTAGTAGATACAGGGATGATGTTCTGCAGCAGTCACGCCAAAGTTTCTCCAACAGTCTTCTGGGTGGCAGTAGTGGCATGGACTGTAGTCATAGATGACCTTGGCCAAGGGTGCCAAACGTTGATAGTGCAGGAGGCACTGCTGACAATCTCGAGAAGATAATTCATACTTCTCATGGTTCACACCCACCACAAACATGGATCTGCACAAGAGCACAAGGGGCAAAGATGACGACAGTTTTGGCTACTTCAAGTGAGCCCCAGTCTTCTCCGTAGTGCTGAAGACGCCAGTGGGCTCTGCACCATATTCAGCACCAGTGTTGCCTCATTTGATGTTGGCGAGATCTTGCTCTTGGAGGATGGAGATGGGCTTCCCTTTGATTACAAGCTTCCTGTTCTCTTTCCTTGACTGTGCCATTGGACTTGTCATGAAATATACTGGAACATGTAGACCATGGAGTTGAGGCCAGTGAAGAGATCATTGATGATGACAGTGTCCATTTTGCCGAGTTGAAAGCTGCCCTGGTGACCAGGTATCCAATATGGCCAAATCCATTGACTCAGACTCTCACCATTGTATCCTGGATGAGGCTGACACTGCATGAGCAGATGGAGCTGTTTGTCGAACGAGGAAGAGAAGAGAGCCACAGCTTTTTTCTTTTAAAAACAGACTTCATTTTCTGAGCAGTTCTAGATTCACAGAAAAATTGAGCAGAGTACAGAGATATCCCAGGTACCTTCCCCCCTACACATGCACAGCTCCCCTCATTATCAACATCCCCCACCAGACTGGCATGTTTGTTTCAATTAATGAACCAACATTGACACATCTCTATCACCCAGAGTCCATGGTTTACCTTAGGGTTCACTCTCTGTGTTGGACATTTTATGGGTTTTGACAAATGCATTATGACATGCATCCATCATTATAATATCAGAGTAGTCTCACTGCCCTACAAATCCTCTGTACCCTACCAGTTCATCCCTTCCTCCCGCTCCCCCCTTGGCAACCACTGATCTTGTTATACTCTTCATAGTTTCACCTTTTCCAGAATGTCATACAGTTGGAATCATACAGTATGCAGCCTTCTCAGATTGGCTTCTTTCACTCAGTAATATGCATTTAAGTTTCCCCCATGCCTTTTCATGGCTTCGCAGCTCAATTCTCTTTGGCGCTAAGTAATACGCCATTGTCTGCATGTACCCCAGTTTATCCCCTCACCTACTGAAGGATATCTTGGTTGTTTCCAACTTTTAGCAAATACGGATAAAGTGGCTCTAAACATCCGTGTGCAGGTTTTTGTGTGGAAAAGGTTTTCAACTCCTTTCATAAATAAGGGGCGTGGCTGCTGGAAGTTAACGCAACTTTTACTTTGCCTTGATGGCTCTCAAGCGGGGCTGCCCATTATAACCACCTGGTGAGCATTTAACAAATCCCTGTACCCACCCCCACCCAGGCCACTTTAAACCAGACTCGGAGATGGGTGGGGCTTGAACAAAGTGTTAACCAACCCATTGGGAGGTCCTGAAGTGCAGCCGGTGTTGAGGATCACCAATTCAGAGGCTGACACTAGATTCCCGAGTTTCTGCAGATTTCTAGTCAGCTTCTCTACCAAGAGATATTTAGACATTGAGAGCAATAAGAAAATGGTTAAATGACCAAGTATTTATGTTTTATAAAACATTTTTTAAAAAATTTATATATATGTGTGTATATGTGTGTGTGTGTGTATATATATGTAGAGAGAGAGAGAGAGAGAGAGACTCACTCTGTTGACCAGGCTAGAGTACAGTGGTGTGATCATGGCTCACTGCAGCCCTGAACCCAAGGGCCCAAGTGATCAAGTGATTCTCCTGACTCAGCCTCTCAAGTAGCTGGAACTACAGGCACATGCCATCACGCACAGCTTTTTTTTTTTGAGACTGAGTCTTGCTCTGTTGCCCAGGCTGGAGTGCAGTGGTGCAATCTCAACTCACTGCAACCTCCACCTCCCAGGTTCAAGCAATTCTCCTGGCTCAGCCTCCTGAGTAGCTAGGATTACAGGCTTGCGCCACCCTGACCAGTTAATTTTTTTTTTTTTTTTGTATTTTTAGTAGATATGGGGTTTCACCATGCTGGCCAGGCTGGTCTCAAGCTCCTGACCTCGTGATCCTCCTGCCTCAGCCTCCCAAAGTGCTGGGATTACAGACGCCCTGCTAATTTTTAAAACTTTTTTGTAGAAACGGGGTCTCCCTATGTTGCCTAGGCTGGTCTCAAACTCTTGGGCTCAAGTGACCCTCCTGCCTCGGGCTCCCAGAGCGCTGAGATTTCAGGTGTGAGCCACTGTGCCTGGCCTATGAAACATTTCTATTTTCATTTCTAGAAAAATCAATGTCATTTTTCTAGAAAGTTTCTATATGAAATTCACATCTGCCCCTTTTCACCCCCTTTGACTGACAACAGGCCCCAGAAGGTCCCCTTTTCATGAATTTCAGCATCCCTGGGCCCAGCCAGGCCACCATGGGCATTCCAATCAATTCCAACTTCTCCCAGCTCCCAGGGGCAACAGTTCTTGGTGTGAGGAACATGGACTTGCCCTTCCCTCTGCACCAGCTTGACCTGGCCAGTTCCTTGTGGCTAACAGAGTGGACATCTGTCACTGTCTGCCTGGGGCAGGGTGAAGACCAGGAGATGTCTGAGGTAGAGGGGTCCTTGGTGGGGGGTGGGGGTGGGGTCTAGGCCAGTCATCTATGTGTTTATGTTAAAGCATTTACATATTTATTTATTTATTTATTTATTTATATATTTTTTGAGACTGAGTCTCGCCCTGTTGCCCAGGCTGGAGTGCAGTGGTGCAATCTCGGCTCACTGCAACCTCCGCCTCCTGGGTTCAAGTAATTCTCCTGCCTCAGCCTCCTGAGTAGCTGGGATTACAGGCACCTGCCACCACGCCCGGCTAATTTTTTAAATCTTTAGTAGAGACGGGGTTTCACCATGTTGGCCAGGCTGGTCTCGAACTCCTGACCTCGTGATCTGCCCATCTTGGCCTTCCAAAGTGCTGGGATTACAGGCATGAGCCACCGAGCCCAGCCCCAGAACGTCCTTTTTAAACACATTGAACAGATATAAACTGAGTAGCTCTCCTTGGATAGTGGGCTGGAGGGTCAGGCCCCCCATGCAACATCCCCTGCTTGACGACCTGGTGGCTCAGACACTTTTAAGAAACTTGTAGAGTCCCAAAGGAGACATGTTGAGCCTTATTTTCCACAGTGACATGGGGGTAGGAGTGGGCAGCAATCCAAGAAGAAATCCCCTCATTTCACAAGATCTGTTGGGGCCAGCCTTTCAGTCTTTAGATGTGTCTGTGTGCGAGGCACTGTAGCTGCTCTCCAAATGGTGTCAAGTGTCTCCCTACTCTCCTCCACCTTGTTCCTCTCACCTGTGCTCTGTCCTTGCCCTCCCTGCTCTCTCCTTCCCCTCCCCTCCCCTCCTTCCACCTTCCCTCCTCCCCCTCCCCAGGCTAGCTCTGAAGGACAGATGTCTTCCCCCGAGAGGCAGCTGCTCTCAGATGAGGAGCTAACCTACGAATGCATCAGATGTCCCAATGTTAGGGGAAATCATCTTCCTTGAAAGTCAGAGCCTAAGCATTTGGGCTCTCCCAGGCTTCCCTCTGCCCGAGTGGAGCCTGGAGCCACTGAATTCAGATCCAAGTGAAAAGCAAGTCCCAGGGCAGCCGAGCAGGCAACTTGTAAGCAAACGAGTGTGGGGCTCGGAGTGGGAGAGAGGAGGAAGTCTGAGAGTGAAAAAGGAGTCTGTTGCTCTTCCATTTCTTCCTCCTCTCCTTCTACTTTCTCTGTTGCTTTCTCTGCCTTTGTTGCTTTGACTCTCCAGAAAGTCTCCCTGGAGCTGGAAAGTGGCATTACTGAAACATTCCAGAAACGAGCTGAAGTCACTCAAGGAAGGCCTTGGGAACTAGGGTTTGGCCCGGTGGGCAGCGCATGGTAGACATTCACACGCGCTCCAGCACTGAACACTGCGACCTGGCAGGTAAGTACTCAATCTTTATGATGGCGGTAATGAAGCCCGGTGACACCTCCAGTGCACGCTTCCTTTCTCTGCCCCTGGAACATCGCTGACGTGCGTGTGATGCAGAATCTTTGAAGCGGTAATTATGAAATGTTTGGCACTGGGCTCTCTGCTCTGACCCAGGAAGAGGTGTTAGAGGAATTCTGTGAAAGGTTTGCAGAGGTCATTGACCCAGGATGCTGCTGGAACCCCAAGCAGGAGGGGAGGTCCCAGGAATAGCACATCACCTGTCCTGCATAAAGGGAACCACTGGGAGCCCGCACCAGAAAACACCATGCGCTTCTTACTCCTGCTGCAAGGGAAGAGGAGAGACCCGGAGAAGGTTGCAACAAGAGCAGCTGAGATGACCACGATTAAGGAGATGTGGCTGCAGAGGTCAGACTCCAAAAGGACTCTCAAAGGTGAGTGGCTGGGGGTTGTTAGGGCTTATTCATGAGGATGCCTACCACAAAGAGCTTTAAAATAGGCAGCAACTCCAAAAAGTCAACAATGAAAGCACAAACGTCCCAATTAAAAAGCAGAGAGAGGACTTGAGCAGACATTCTTCAATGGAGACAGCCATCAAACACATGAAAAGGGGCTTAACCTCGATAATCATTAAGAAAATGCAAATCAAAACTACAATGAGATCCCACCTCACACCCGTTAGAATGGCCATAGCTAAAAATAAACAGAAAATAGCAAGTACTGAAGACATGGAGAAACTGGAACCCTCATGCACAGTCAGTGGGAATGTAAAATGGTGCAACCACTGTGGAAAACAGTATTGAGGTTTCTCAAAAAAATAAACATAGAATTATCATATGATCCAGCAATCCCACCTCTGCGTATACAACCAAAGAATTGAAAGCAGGGGCTCAAACAGATATTTGTACACCTATGTGCCCGGCAGCATTACTCACAATAGCCTAAAGATGGAAGCAACCCATATGTCCACTGAAGGATGAATGAATAAACAAAATGTGGTCTATCCAGACAATGGAGTATGATTCAGCCTTAAAGAGGAAGGGAGGCTGGGCGTGGTGGCTCACGCCTGTAATCCCAGCACTTTGGGAGGCCGAGGCGGGTGGATCATGAGGTCAGGAGATCGAGACCATCCTGGCTAACATGGTGAAACCGCGTCTCTACTAAAAATATAAAAAATTAGCCGGGCATGGTGGCGGGCGCCTGTAGTTCCAGCTACTTGGGAGGCTGAGGCAGGAGAATGGATGAACCCTGGGAGGTGGAGCTTGCAGTGAGCCAAAATCGCGCCACTGCACTCCAGCCTGGGCGACAGTGTGAGACTCTGTCTCAAAAAAATAAAATAAAATAAAATAAAGAAAGAAAGAGGAAGGGAATTCTGCCACATGCTACCACATGGATGACCCTTGAGAACATTATGCTCGGTGAAACGAGCCAGGCACAAGAAGACAAATTCTCTGTGATTCCACTCACATGTGCACCTACAATTGTGAAATTCACAGACAGGGAGTGACATGGTGGTTGCCAGGGACTAGAGGGAGGGAGGAATGGGGCGTTAGTGTTAATGCATTCGGGGTTTCAGTTTGGGACAGTGAAAAAGTCCTGGAGCCGAGTGGTGGTGATGGCTGCACAACAACATGCACGTGCTTAATACCACAGAACTGTGTCCTTAAAACTGGCTAAGATGGCACATTTTATATTATGTATATTTTATTGCATGATAATATTTAAAAGATGGGCAGGGAAGGAAGTAGTGATGAGTGTGGGCAGGGGTTTGAATTTGTGTCCCAGAAACCAGAACAGGGCAGGAGACCAGGAGAGAGAACTTACAGGAGAGGCTCCCACACACGGGCCCTGCAGAGGGTCCTTCCCCCAGGCCTGTGCGTAGGTACCCAGGGGCCCAGGTGCCTTGAGGGTGGTATGAACCCCCTGCAGGCAGGGCCTGGCAGAATCAGAGCAGCAGAGGATTCCAGTAAATGTCCCCAGGGGCAGGAGGATGAGGCTGCGCTGAGGTCCCTGGCCTCATCGGTCAAGGGGTTTAGAGAAGAATGTCAGATAGCACTAGTGCCCCTGGGGCTTCTGGAGCGAGCACCGAATCTTGGATCAGCTTCCTCCACAGGATCGGCTTCCTCCACAGTCACATAGAAGGCTGGAAACGCGTCATACAGGGTCCTGAACTCTCGGGGGCAGGTTGGGGAGTCTAGGGACAGGGAACAGAGTCTCTATTGGCCACCACTGCCATGACGGGAGGACCTGGGTGGGAGGTTTCTGGAGCTCAGTGACAACCACCAAGCCAGCATGTGTGACCAGGGCTGGGTTTGAAGGAGGGGCTCAAGGCAGTAAGAGAAATGCAGCCTCAGTGGTTGAGGTCCCTCCACATTCATGCCTTTAACCAGCTTGACCCTCTCCAGCCCCTTAGCAGAGACAATGAAGCATCCCTGCTTCCCTGCCCATTGGCTGGACCTTCTGTGCTCAATCCCACCTCACTTTCTGCTCCCAGTTCCTCGTTTCAAGTGGAAATCTCACAGTTTCTAACCCTCTTGGCAGGACTTCTGTCTTCTGCTCTTAACTCTTCCTGAGACTTCATGTCAGGATTCAATCTCTCTAGTTTTGACCCCTCTGGTTCTTCCCATCCTTGAACCCACCTCGCCTGGCTCTGGCCCCTGGGTCTTCTATATGCATCTGCCTAGACCCTGTCCCCTGTGAGAGAAACTGACCATGGGATGATGGGTGTTCAGGGCTGCCTTCAGGACGTGGCTTCAAAAGGCAACCGCCCCTGAGTCCCTGCGGTGATGAGGAAGGTAAGGAATGGGGAGAAGGGGGACAACCCACCCTGCCCCAGAGCAGGCTGCTGAGGAGGTGTCGGGGAGGACTCTCCCCCTGTTATCACAGGCCCCAAGGCTTGCTGGACGGGCCTGGTGGTGAGCAGCAGCGTGGTGTGTTCGTGCTCTTGTGGGAGGTAGCAGGAAACGATCCCAGAGGCAGGGGGGAATTGCCCCGGGTCACCCACAGGCCAGCACTCAAGACCCAGCCGCAGCACTGGGCTTCAAGCCACCAGCCATCCTCTCCAGATGCTGCTCCCTCAACAGGAGAGCAGAAGGCTCCATTCCACCCCCACCATTAGTGCCTCTTCTCAGACTGAAGCTCACTAACTTCTCAGAGTGAGGCTCACTAATGTTCACTAACTGAGCCTTGAAGCACACTTAGGGGAGGCACGAAGGAGGAGCGCCAGGCTCTGAGTCCTGGGGAGAAGGTGACGCTGAGCACTGTTTCTGCACTACATGCACGTGAATCAGCCTGTCACTTCCTCTAGCTCAGGACTTGTCCCTGTCCCTGTCCCTTTTTTAAGACGGAGTTTAACTCTTTTTGCCCAGGCTGGAGTGCAATGGCGTGACCTTGGCTCACTGCAACCTCCGCCTCCTGGGTTCAAGTGATTCTCCTGCTTCAGCTTCCCGAGTAGCTGGGATTACAGGCTCCCGCCACCATGCCTGGGTTAATTTTTGTATTTTTAGTACAGATGGGGTTTCACCATGTTGGCCAGGCTGACCTCGAACTCCTGACCTCCGGTGATCCACCCACCTCAGCCTCCCAAAGTGCTGGGATTACAGAGGTGAGCCACCATGCCCGACCATCCCTGTCACCTTTAAACAGCATTGTCCACAGCTCCGTCTGCAGGGTCAGGGCATGGCCTCTCTCCGTGTTCCTGTGAAGAGCCTTCATTGGAATCATCCCGGGACATACAGCTTGAATGTGCTGTCTGGCTAGCCCCTCCACTAGGGCAGCAAGGAGAAAGAAGCTTTTTAATTTATCTTAAGTTAAAGCAACAGGAACTCAACTAAATGGCAAGGAAACAAATCCAGACAGTCTCCCACTTATGATGTTTCCATTTACAATTTTTCAACTTTATGATGATATGAAAGTGACATGCATTCAGTAGAAACCATACTTCCATACCCATACAACCATTCTGTTTTTCACTTTCAGTACAGTATTCAATAAATTACGTGAGATATTCAACACATTACTATAAAATAGGCTTTGTGTTAGATGATTTTGCCCAACCATAGGCTAATGAAAGTTTTGAGCACACTTAAGGTAGGCCAGGCTAAGCTATGATGTTGGGTAAATTAGGTGCATTAAATGCACTTTTTAATTTTAATATTTATTTATTTAGAGACAGGGTCTCACTCTGTCACCCCAGCTGGAGTGCAGTGGGTCCATCTTGGCTCACTGCAACCTCCACCTCCCAGGCTCGAGCAGTCCTCCCACCTCAGCCTCCTGAGTAGCTGGGACCACAGGCATGCTCCACTATGCCCAGCTAATTTTTGTATTTTTAGTAGAGATGGGATTTCGCTATGTTGCCCAGGCTGGTCTTGAACTCCTGAGCTCAAGTGATCTGCCTGCCTCAGCCTCCCAAAGTGCTGGGATTACAGGCATGAGCCACCATGCCTGGCTTAAATATACTTTTGGCTTACGGTGTTATCAATGAACAATGAGTTTATTGGGACATAACCCCATTGTAAGTCAAGGAACATCTGTAAATCAATTAAAAAAATGGACACCGGACCTGAATAGACATTTCTCAAGAGAAGACATACCAATAGGTGTATGAGAAAACGCTCATCATCAATCATCATGGAAATGAAAATTAAAACCACAATAAGATAGCACCTCACACCTGCTAGGATGGCTAAGGATGTGGAGAAAAGCAAACCCTTGCACATTTGTTGGGGATGTTAGTACAGCCATTATGTAAAACAATATGTAGGTTCTGCAAAAAATTAAAAATAGAACTCCTGTATGATCCAGCAATCCCACTACTGGGGATATGTCCAAAGGAAATGAAATCAGCATGTGGAAGAGATATCTGCACTCCCATGTTCACTGAACATTCTTCGCAGTAGCCAAGACAGGGAGTATCCATCAATGGATGAATGGATAAAGAAATTATGATGTATATACACAATGTAATACTATTCAGCCTCTAAAAAGAAGGAAATCCTGTCCTTTGCAACATGGATTAACCTAGAGGACATTAGGTAAGTGAAATAAGCCAGGCACTGAAAGCCAAATACAGCATGATCCCAGTTACATGGGGAATCTACACTCACAGAAACAAACTCATAGAAACAAAGAATAGGATGGTGGTTACCGGGGTCAGGCTTGAGGAGATGTTGATTAAAAGATTAAAATTTTCATTTAGACAGGAGGAAGTTCAAGACATCTATTGTACAACATGGTGACTATAGTTAGTAACAATATATTGTATACTTGAAAATTGCTAAGAGTAGATTTTAAGTGTTCTCATTGCAAAAAAAGTATGTGAGATAATGCACAGGTTAATTAGCTTGGGTCAGCCATTCTACATGTCAAAATATCAAAACACGCTGTACACACAAATATATACATTTTTGTCAATTAAAAAAAGTTATGGATTTTACTTTATCTAGAAAAAAACAAGAGATACAAGAGAACAAACCAACACCAGAAGCCACTGTGACCACTTGAGCCCACCCATGGGGGGACGGGTACTTTACATGTGTTATATCTTATCTGGCTCTCTCTCTCCAACCCTGCAGGGCAGGTGGCATCTCTACTTAACCATGAGGGAACAGAGGCTCAGCCAGCACATTGAGGCACCAGAATTCAAAAGCCCAGTATCCTCCCAGGACTCCATCAAAGCAGATGTGCAGAGGGCAGTAGGGCCTGAGCCAGAACCAACACCCCTGGGGGAGGCCCATGAGACCTTTAGGAAAATGAGACAGGCACAGGAAAGAGATGTCTAAAGCCACCATTCTGGGTTTGGGAATGTAAAGAACTTCAAATCAGATAAATGAAGACTGCAGAAGAAAGAGGAAGAAATGGAAGTTGCTCTCTGACAGGACATGAATTTGGCAAGGGGTGGATTAGGCCGAGTGCTATCTGCAGTGATGAAACGCAGCAGCTGGTGGTCATGAAATAGTTATGAATGGGGAGAGGACACTGTATTCTGCAGTGTAGCACAGGGGAAAGCGAAGTTTCAAGAATACTGTAATAGCAAAACCCTCCATTAATTATCGGAAGCAAGCTGTAATGCCAGTTCCTATGGCAACGGGGTCCCCAATGGATTTTGTACTTTTTTTAAAGCTGCTCCCATTTACTATGGTACATTGTGTTTGTTTTTTACCAGAGATTTTGTGCTTGTCCTCTGCAAATGAATTCATCCTGTCCTCACAATGGCTGGTGTGGAGACCCACAGGTGGGGCCTGGGGAAAGTTAAAGATGATGCAACTTAGAGCTAAATGCTCTGTAAGGGCATTGATGACCGCTATGAGCACCTTCACTTCTGAGGGGAAAAGGAGGGGAGGGCAGGAAAGAGGTGTGGGAGGGAATAACTAGGGTGCATGGCTAATTATAGGGCATCTATCCTAGCCCCCACATGCATGGTCTTTGCAATCCAGGCTTGCACCAGGGAAGAGTCCTTGAACCCAGCTGGGCTCTCCAACAACGTGCCTGCTGCAGCTGCAGTGGAAGCTGATAATTGCTCAGAAAGCTCAGACACAGAGTCCTCTGGGGTAAGGGTGTTGGAGAGAACAGTGGCTTGGTTCCCAGGGGAGCAGGCTGCCCCTCCCAGAGAAGCACTGCAGGCCTCCTCCACCTGTAGGCCCAATCTCTCTGCACCCCGTGCCCCATTACTTATCACTTTCCCCCCCTCAGTGTGAAGTGGGAGTTTAATTTGGTGGCCCTTTGAATGCAGGTCTTCCAGGGGAGATGTTCTGTGCTTGCCTGGCCATGGGCTGCTGTTCACAGAAACATTCTGTCCCAGGCCACAGGAGCGCCTCAGAGCCACTCCGGGGCGTGGGCGAAGCGGTCAACAGCGGCTTCCTCCATGCTGCCCTGGATGAATGACTCTGACAACTTGATGGCGGGGCAGCCTGCCACTCACTCAGGAAGAGGCTGCCTCCAGGTGGGGAGCTTGTATGTTTCCCTCTCCGGGCTGCAGCTGTGGCTTGGGAGGTGTCCTGTCTCTTTGGCGGCCTCATGAGGGCTGTGTCAGTCCTGATAAATGGCATAGGATGGGGAGTCCCCTTAATGGGGGACAGTACAGGTCTCCTGTCCATGGGGCTATTCCAGGCCAAAAATAGATTCTACCACTGCAGAATGATTATGCTGGCTCTACTGTGCTTTCTAAGTCATCAAAGGGACTCACAAACGGGTGAGTAGAACTGGGAGGACGCCAGAAGAGGGATGAAATAAAGATTGTGTATGTGTATGTTTCCTTTTGTGGAATTCTACCTGGAGCCATAGGAACGCGACTTACCACTCATGGGAAAGGCTGTGCCCAGAGCCAAGGAGGAGCTGTGGGGACGTCTCTCCCAAGTCATCCGTTCTCCCCATTTAGACTTCATCCTTAGGACGGACCTTCAGGCACCCAGGCTGCCTACTGACCTCCCTGGCATGGGTGGGAACCGGGAGCTCGTTGGTAAGCAGGAGGATTCAGGACTATCGACTGAACCCCACCTCCTCTGTGGCACGCACCGTGCTGTGTCTTTGCAGTCATCATCTCATCACCTCTGCACAGGAAGATTATCTCCCCCATTTTGTGATGAGGAAATGGAGGCTCCAGGTGGTAAGTCATTGCCCAGGCCACACTGCTCCTCAGAGGCAGAGATGAGATCAGAACCCACTTCTGTCTGACCCCAAAGCCTGTGCCAAATGCCTTGCTCAATGGCCTCTTGCAGGAAAGGGCAGTGTCCCATTACAGCCAGACCCTAGCATAGTACCAGGCTCTGCAGGCTCTGTATCACTTTCCCAAGGCCCAGAGGGGGCACACCACAAAATGCTGGGGGCGTAGGAAGAAGATATCAGAAATTCTAGTTGTGATTTCCTATTATCCTAGTAAAATATCAACTTTTATGTCATTTGTGATGCATTTATTAGCTCAGTAGCACATTTATAGAATTTATAAATCAATAAACCTTCGCATTGTGGAACACATGCTTAAGTTCATTTTACTGATATTGAAAATGAGGAAAAAGACTAGAGTCACATGTTCAAGACAGTGACCAGGGTCCACCCCAGGGCTCCTCGGGGGCCAGAAAGGACGGCTTGCCGAGGGGGCCTCCATCTTCCCTGCAGCATTGTTTGTTCCCCGGGATCCTTCCAGGCCTGCTCGACTCTCATCTCAGTCCCCTGTGCATTTCTGTAGGAAGCTCACTTTTACTAGACCTGAGAGGGCTGGTTGTGTGCTCTGCTGCTGTTTGCCGTCTGCGGGGGCTCTCCAGTGGTCCAGTGGGCATTACAGGAGCACAGGGAGGATGAGGGGAATGAAGCGGGGAGTGAAGGGCACACACACTTAGACCCCACCGGCCACCTACAGAAGGCCTGAGGGGACAGCCCTTTCTGAAGTGATGCCTTCCTCTGTTGGGAAGCCAGGAGCCTCCCCTGGTGGGATCCATGAGGCCCTGGGTGTGGGGCAGGATATGTGGGACGGGCACAGAGCCCCTTCCATTTCCTTCTCAGGCCAGAATCATAACTGTCCATGCATTCCTTAAAAGCAGAGAGGGACCCTCTCCTTCCCCATCCATCAACAGCCTTCGGAGTCTAATTACATGCACGGAGCTTCAGTTCCCTTCTCTGTAAAATGGGGCTAATACTAATAAGACCTCTTCAGGGCAGTGTAGGAAGTCAATGAAACTCCAACATCTCCAAAACCACCCAGCAGATCACAGGATCTTGAAGTAAGCACAGTGTTTGGCATACAGTAGGCGCTCATCAATGCTGGTTCCTTTCACTCTCTGCCACTTGCTGGCTATGTGTGACTTAACCTCCCAATGCCTCCGTTTCTTCATTTTGAAGTGAAAGATGATGCCTATCCTCAACTTCAGACGAGATCCGGCACGTTCAGGGTGGTATGGCCGTAGACCCCAACTTCAAAACAACAGGCACACCCATTCAATTCAGGTAGCACCCTCCAAATGTGCCATGGGCTTAAGAGGCAGGAAGAGAGCCTGGTATGAGCCCACGGCTTCGGCTCCTGTTGCTCACTCTCTGCAGATCCTTGTGCAGTTCTCTGGGGTCACTTGCTGGTCTTTTTGAGTTTCAGTTTTCTTATTTGTAAGCTGGGGATGGTCATATCTCATTAGATTTTTTGGAGGACTAAATGGGACAATAAATATAAAACGCTCAGTACAAAACTTAGTCTATGGTCAGTGTTCAACAAATACTAGTCACTGGTAATAGTAGAACCACCTGCATTATGACACTATTATTTCTAGGCTCTTATGAGGATTCTCATTTACCAGGCATACTAGCCCTGCAAAACGGACACTATTGCTTCCATTATACAGATGAGGAAACTGAGGCTCAGAGAAGCTAAGTAACTTCTTCAAGGTTGCCCAGGCTGGGCGCAGTGGCTCATGCCTGTAATCCCAGCACTTGGGAGGCCGAGGAGGGCAGATTACTTGAGGGGAGGAGTTTGAGGACAGCCTGGCCAACATGACAAAACCCCGTCAATAAAAAATATAAAAATCAGCCAGGCGTGGTGGCACATGCCCGTAGTCCCAGCTACTCAGGAGGCTGAGGCAGGAGAATCGCTTGAACCAGGGAGGCAGGACTTGAGCATGCCACTGCACTCCAGCCTGGGCAATAGAGCAAGACTCTGTCTCAAAAACAACAAAACAAAACCAAACCAAAAAAAGGTTGCCCGGTTGCCCAGTGACAGAGCCAAGTCTTGCTTTCCAAGCTTGGGCTCACTCTCCTACACTAACTACCTGGCCCCATGCTGCCCAGTCCTGGGCTAGCTGCAGGAGGCTGCCGCATTACCCACCTCAAGCCACACAAGCACTGGCAGTAACAAGAGGCCGTAGAGAACCTAGAGTTCTCCAGCGGATGTGGTTCTCTGGCTGCCGTGGGCTGCCAGGGATCCCTTAGATCGCGGACTCCACAGTTCTTTCTTGCCACCTCCAGAAGGAGGCTGCAGCCCCATGAGCCAGGCAGCAGGAAGGGAGGAAGTCTCGCTTCTTGCCAGACACATTGTTTAACTGCAACAGTCAGTCCTCCAAAAACTCTGCCGGAAGTCCACCCCAGAAACTCAAGGGAGGAAACTGACTGCCTTCTTGGGGTTTTCTTAACTGTGCTTTTTCTGCTCTGCAGGAAAGATGCAACCTGGGCCAGAGGCCCCTGGAGGTTGTGCCTGAACCCAGACAGATCACACAAACCTGAGCAGCCATTAGCCGCTGTGTGGGCTCCTTTGCACTGTGGGGCTGCTCCTGGGGTAAGTGTGTGTCTTTGTGTGTGTGTGGGGTTCGGGGGCTGGGATGGCTGACTTACAAAGGACACGCTGTGGCCCAGCCCTGGGCAGCATCCAGCCTGCTTAGGTGGCCTTCTGTGGGCTTGGCCAAAAACACTGAGGCCTTTCTCTGTTTCACCTTCTTGTGCCAACTTGGCTGTGTGTGAACAAAGAATCACAAGCACACACCTGAGTTCACACTTGTGTAAAATTGGACTGAAGAGCTTGGTGAATCAAAGTTCAAGAAGGGTGACTTGGCCGGGCATGGTGGCTCAGTCCTGTAATCCTAGCACTTTGGGAGGCTGAGGGGGAGCAGATCACTTGAACCCAGGAGTTCAAGACCAGCTTGGGCAACACAGAAAGACCCTGTCTCTACAAAAAAATTTAAAAATTAGCTAGGTGTAGTGAGGTGTGCCTATATTCCCAGCTACTCTGGAGGCTGAGGTGGGAGGACTGCTTGAGCCTGGGAGGTTGAGGCTGCAGTGAGCTGTGATCATTCCATTGCACTCCAGCTTGGGTGACAGAGTGGGACCCCATCTCTTAAATTTAAAAAAGAGAAAGGAGAAGGAGAAGGAGGAGAAGGAGAAGGAGGAGGAGAGGGAGAGGAGAAGAAGAAGGAAGAGGAGGAGGAGGCGGGGGGGAGGGGGAGGAGGAGAAGAAGGAGAAGGGAGGAGATGGAGAAGGAGGGCACCTCAGAAGCCCTCAATAAAAACAGGGAGGAAGAGAACAAACACATCAAAGCTGCTGAGTCTGGTGCCAAGAGCAGGGGACTTAAAAGCTGTGTGACTTTGTCATTTGAGTTAACCTCTCTGATCCTCAACTTCTTGTTTGTGAAGTAGGAATAAGATTTTTTTGTGAGTTTGTTCTGAGGCTCATTAGTAACGTACGTAAAGCTGTTGGCTCCTGGTCTCTCTTATCATTCAGGGTTAAGCTTCGAAGTGGGCACAGGTGCTGGCAGCTATGGAATGGTGGGGAGGTTGCAGGGTGGGTCCCCTGGTCACAGAGAGCTTCTCACTGCCAGGGCTCAGAAGCCCCCTCACTGAGAGGCCTCACTGCCAGGGTTCAGAGCTCCCTCACTGGAGAGGGACTTCTTGAGTGTTGCAAGCTACATGGACAGACCATCTATGAGATCAAGCGTCCAGGCCCCTGGGCCAAGCAAATCTTGGGCCAAGATTGTGTGGCTTTAGGGGACATTATGGAGCCTCTGAGGGCCTCAGCTCCTCCTCTGTGAACTGGGGACTGTGGTGGTGATAATGGTACCTACGCATACAGAGATTGACAAGTACTGCTGAAACACAGCTAGGGATGTCTGTCTCACATCAAAAGGCTTTCAAACAGCTGTTTTTAATAATAATAATTATTAATTATATTATAGTTATTAATATTTACTTATATTATTATATGTAATAATTATATATTAATTACATTATCATATTAATTATTAAAAATAGAATAATAATTATTATTAGCCCTGGGAGAAGGTTATCATGAATTTTTTTTGGAGGGAGGTCAGATGACAGCTTGTCAAGGTAACAGAGTGCAAGAGAAGAGCCTGCCTCGGTTGGGGGTGGTCAGGGCCTGGGCACCCCACGGAGACACAGGGGAGCCTAGGGGAGGACTGAGACCCCTTCTCTTGCTCAATCAACTTTTTCAAGTCAACAGTGACATGTGTGCCAGGCTCTGACCCCTGATCACAGCTTCCCCTGACAGGGGCCTCTGTGGGGATGTCTCACAAGGCCAGGGAGGACCTGGAAACACATCCCTCCCATAGGCTACATCCCATCGTCAAAAGGAGACCTCGGGGGACCCACCTGCTCCTCCTGCCTGCCCCTGCCCCCAGCCCAGAGAACCAAGCTGAGCCACCTGCCTGTGCTCCCAAAAAGACACCCCTTCTGTCCCAGCTTGATTTCCACAAAATTACCTGTGGGGCATGTGCTGGCCAGAGGCCAAGTGGGCTCATCTATCTGCCCAGGGCAGCATTTTAGAACAGGGAGTGGAAATAGTGTCCAGGTTGTAACGAGTTTTTGGAAGAGGGGAGGGGGTGGAGAACAGAGAAGGAGGGGGCCAGGGAGCGGGAGAGAGGAGTCACCCGAGGCTTCTCCTCTGCGGCGTTTAATGGGAAAATGAGATATTTCCTAGGCAATTGCTTTTAGGTGACTATTGAAATTAATGCCTCGTTCCAGCAGCACATCTTTGTTAGAACATTAGTCTCTCAGAGGGAGCAAGAAAATGAGAAGGGAAAACAAAACAAAAACAAATTACCTGAAATGAGCCCAGTAGAGAAGGCTGAGGACAGAGGACTTGGGACCATGGAGAGCTTGAGGGTGAACTGACTGTGGGATCATGCGAGGGGCCTAAGCGCTGAGGAGCCTTGGTGGCCTGGCGAGACTGTCCCGCCCAGGGGCTGCCCTCCTCTGCCACCTGGGGCTGGGGTATGGTTGCTGAGTGACAGGGCGACTTGGGGTCCACTGGACGGGTCCTGCCGAAGTCCCTGCTTGGCCTCTGGGCTCCCTGGCCTTCTGAGGTGACGGGGAGGCTCTGAGCCCACACGTGGTCTCTCACAGGCTTTGGGGCTGCATTCACAGTTTCTCAGTTTCCCTGACAGTGGGGGTTCACTGAGATGTTAGGGACCCCTGTAGTGATAATATCCGCTATGACTTATGAGCGCTCCCTACCTGTCAGCCACAGTCCCGGGAGGAGCAGCCTGGGTTCCTGCTGGGGAGAACCCCTTGAGCCAGCGTGAAGGCTGTGACCTTCCCAGGTCTTATGGGCGGGGATTCCTCAGAGAGACTCGTGCCTTGCTTCACTTGAGGCCTGAAAAAGCTCCTGTTTGTTCTTTGATTTGGGAGGGGGCGGGGGTTGCATTTTCCTTGTTTTTTGCTTTGTTTCCGTGCATGTATAGAATTGAGCCAAATGGAATAGATGCTTTAAACTCTGAATGCATTTTGCCATTGCTGTTTAAAAAGCTTGTTCTCGTTTAAATTCACGTCATCAGTGAATGAGAGTGTTTACCTCACAATATCCTCACCGGTTTTATATATCATGCTTTTCAAATTTGTGCCAATTTTAGAGTGGGAAAATGGTTGTGAATGTGAACTTATAAAGGAAATAATTGTTGGCTGTTGTGAAAAATGAATATTTGTGTTCATTTCCTAAAAACTAGAGTTGGATCCCTAAGAATACCCAACATTGTCAAACAACAGCAGGCGGGCCAGGTGCGGTGGCTCATGCCTGTAATCCCAGCACTTTGGGAGGCCGAGACAGACAGACCACTTGAGGTCAGGAGTTCGAGACCAGCCTGGCCAACACGGTGAAACCCCGTCTCTACTAAAATACCAAAATTAGCCAGGGGTGTTGGCGGGCGCCTGTGATCCCAGCTACTCAGGAGGCTGAGGAAGGAGAATCGCTTGAACCCAGGAGGCAGAGGTTGCAGTGAGCTGAGATGGCGCCACTGCACTCCAGCCTGGACAACAGAACAAGGCTCTGTCTCAAAACAAAACAAAAAAACAAAAAACAACAACAGCAGCCACCTGCTTCTTGAGCAGCCTTGAATGTCTGTTCTCCTGTAAGCTCTGGTGAGGAAAATCCTCTCGGAATTTGCTGCCGTCCTCCCCTCTAGGGCTGGGACATAGGATGAGTACTCCAGGCTGGATTTAATAGAGATGCAGTTGGATATCTGAAACATGGACTCCAGCCGGAGGCTAGCACACTCTGTCCTGCCTTGGAAACTCCAGAACTAGAGTTTGGGGGTGAAGTCAGCACAGTTGACACAGTTGTCAGGGGAGGGGGGTTGGTTGGCTGTGATTCTGGGCCACTGGGGACACTTGGGAAGGTTGGCTTTGCTATGCTGCAGTAGGAACTTCTTGGACACGCAGTCCCCAAGGTTTGGATATTCCCTTGCTGGGCTACATGCATCCAGGATGAGCTAAACCCTGGTCCCACCTGCTCTGACCATAGCCCTCTCTGGAGCCTCTTCCAAGCCTCAGTGCTACTGGGTGGAATTGAAGGAGAGACCCTTTTAGGCTTGAGGAAAAGGACAGTCACTGGATAGCCAGAGCTGTGGAAAATAGGGACAAGGCTTGGCCAGGCAAAGCCATCGATTCAGGAGAAGGCAGGAGAAGCTTGGGTCAGGTGGGGCTCCAGAGGGGCTTCTTGCCCCCAGAGGGGCCTTGGACTACAAGGTCCCAGAGCTCCCCTGATTCCAGGATTCTGCAAAAGAGTGAACCAAGAACAACCTAGAGCAAACGTCTCTGAATCAAAAAAGGGACAGCACCTCGGGGCACAGAGGTGGGCATAGAGGGAACAGGCTGTTACGCACCTGTGTGACCCCAGGCATGTCACTTAACCTCTCTGGGCCTAACTTCTTCACCTAGAAAATGACAGTTAGGGCAAACTCTGAGGAATGATTTTATTTTGGGATTTGTGCATGCAGCCAGGTCTATGTGAGCCATAAAGATAACTCTTCCCTCTCTGCATCTTCCAAACCTACCAAAGAACCGAGGCTGACAGAATAGAAACGGGGACGCTGAGGAGGTGGGACTGGAGGCGTCCTCCTTCCTTTCTTGGTATGGCCGGAGCTCCCTCTGCCTCCAGACAGGCCACTCCTTGGGCTTCCATTTGCACATCTTATCCCTTTGATGATAGAACATGCCCTACCTGCCCGCAGGTTTGACAAGGCAAACATTTGGTTCCGTTTATTGGGGTAGCTCAGGTCCACTGCTTCGTAGGTGTGATTTCACTCAGTCCTTCACACAAACCGTGAGGTTGACCTCATGTTCATCCCCACAACACAGATGAGAAAACCAAGGGTTAGAGGACAGGCAGTGAGGGGCAGGCAAAGCCAGGGGTCAGATCTGTTCTGGCTTCAGAGCCTCGACTCTGTCTCACAAATAGAATATTTTCTTCTAAAAGTCATAGCACTGTCTTTGGGGTGGGGTGGGGCCACGGATTTTCTTGTCGAAAAAGATCTAGAGCTCTCATATGGAAATGGGTCCACAGGGGCAAGGAGCCTGGCCAGGAGTTGGAACACTGATGGATGGATACTTTTGGAAGGTGCTGGGAATGGGCACGCTGTCAAAGTCACTGGCCACTGCTCTCACCTGTACATGGTATTGAGTACTGGTCCACGTACTCAGCCAGTTCCTTCACAAGTCTGCGAGAGTGGGCACATACCTGAAGAATGAGGATGGGGCGGGGAGGGTGAGGAGGGAAAATGGGAGCATAATGCAGGGTCCTACCTGGGGGACTGGATATTGATTGGGAGCTTCCCGGACAAGTGAGGCAGGTAAGACTAGGTGAGGGCTGGTGAAGACAGATGAGGCTAGGTGAGACTAGGTGGGGGCAGGTGAGAGCAGTGAGACTGGGTGAGGGCAGATGAGTCTAGGTGAGGGCAGCTGAGGGCATATGAAGCTAGGTGAGTCTGGGTGAGGGCAGGTGGGGCAGGTGAGAGCAGATGAGACTGGGTGAGGGCAGGTGAGGGCAGATGAGGCTAGGTGAGACTAGCTGAGGTCAGGTGAGGGCAAATGAGACTGGGTGAGGGCAGATGAGGCTAGGTGAGACTAGCTGAAGGCAGGTGAGGACAAATGAGACTGGGTGAGGGCAGGTGAGGTCAGGTGAGACTGAATGAGGGCAGATGAGGGCAGGTGAGGGCAGGTGAAGCCAGGTAAGGGCCTGGGCTTTACTGGGAGATGCAGAAAGGCAAGGACAACCCTGAAGAGCAAATGCAGACTTGCTGAGCCTGAGGACATCCAACCACATGCCTTCCCGGAGTCCCTCTGTTTCCTGCTCCAGCCTCATATGACGACCCTCCCCCCACCCGACCTGCCTCCACAGACACAAAGGTGTCATGTGACACTGGCTGAAGAGAAACCTGTGCTCTGTCCTGAAGAGAATCTTCACAGTGAAGGGACTAGAAAATAGAGTGAAGATGACCACCGAGGGGAGCAGGTACATGGGCCCTGCTTGGGGCTGATGGGAAGACAGGAGGGAACTACATGGGCTGCCAGCTCCAGAAGGACATGAGCCAGTATGTGACCCTGCTCTGACCACTCTGAATACTGCAAGTGTCCACAGAGGCTGCACTGTGGCTCCTTACAGATGTGACGCCTGCTGTCACTGCCTCAGTTGTTCCACATGCCAAGCATCCAGGAGAGACGACAGATTTTCTCAGGTTCCAATGATACACTGTAGCAAAGCAGAGAGATGAGCTGAACACCACTGCTGCTGTCAGAGATGCCAGGAGAAGCCAGCAATTTCTGCCCCTCCCCTGGAAGGACTTTGGGAGTCCTGACACCTGGTGGTAGTCAGCCACCGACCAGCGCAGCTCTTCAGGACACTACTAGAAAAGTGTCCCCTCGCCTCCCCGCTACTGCTGCCCAAACAGAAGCTGAGTTTCTGCTCTACTTTTCTGCAAGTGACCTTCTGCCAGCAACTAGGGTGTTCTATCCTTTAGAATTCTCATCCTTTCACAGATCTCTCCAGCCTTCCCTGTGGAAACAGATCAGCAGACACTCTTGAAACCACAACCTGTAGTCATCCATCCAGGGCTTAGAGGAATTCCTTGATTTCAAAGAAACCTGAAATGTCATGTGTGTGGGGCTGTTGCATTAGGAAGCCTGGATTCCCTTCATACTTCTACTTACACAGCTGTGTGACCTTGGACAAGTCACTTAACTTCTCTGGGCTTGTTTCCTCATTGATAAATGTACACCAACCAGATGACCTGGAAGGTTCTAGCCAAACTGAAACTCTGCGACTCTTGCTGAGATCATGCAGCAGTTTCTCTTCCCCAGGCCTAGGGAAGCAGATAGTGCAGAAATTTGTCACTGGAGGTTGGCTTAAACATAATGCAGGGTCCTACCTGGGGGACTGGATATGGATTGGGAGCTTCCTGGACAAGTGAGGCAGGTAAGACTAGGTGAGGGCAGGTGAAGACAGATGAGGCTAGGTGAGACTAGGTGGGGGCAGGTGAGGGCAATGAGACTGGGTGAGGGCAGATGAGTCTAGGTGAGGGCAGCTGAGGGCATATGAGGCTAGGTGAGACTGGGTGAGGGCAGGTGGGGCAGGTGAGAGCAGATGAGACTGGGTGAGGGCAGATGAGGCTAGGTGAGACTAGCTGAGGGCAGGTGAGGGCAAATGAGACTGGGTGAGGGCAGGTGAGGCAGGTGAGGGCAGGTGAGGCATTGGGGTCTGGGGACAGGTGACCCTGGGCACAGTGACTTATGTTCTTCCCACCCTCACCTATGACATGCCAATTTAGACACCACCTGTGAGGCTGTCCTTACTGATTTCCATGACAACAGCAGAGCACTGGGCACAGGACAAGCTTGCTACCCCTGGGTGTGGGGCTGAGCAGGCCTGGAAGAAACAAGGCTGCTGGGCTGAGCTTGGGGCCAGCCGCTCATTTCACCAAGCTGAGCTGTAATCACATCCCCAGGTAGCACTGTGCCTTCAGAATATGACTGAGCAGCATTATGTCTGCAGTGCTAAGCAGGTGTGATCAATAGATGGAGAGCTGTGACCAGCTGGGCTGTGATGCGGAGCCTGCAACCAAGCTGCCTGGGGGAAATTCAGGAGGCCAGCCATCGTCTTTAACCAGGGCAGCCCCGAGAGTGTCTGCAAGGGCTGCATGCCCTGAGTAGATCCTCGCAGATGCTGATCAGGGTGTCTTCTGGGCTCCACCTGGCACAGAAAAGCCAGCAAAGCTCCAGGGGCTTCCCTTCTTTCCTGGCAGAGAAAGAGCAGGCAGATTCAGAGCCCCGTGAGGCTGTCTTGAGCTCCACCGGGATCTAGGGAGAGCCAGCAGCACCACCAAGTGAGTCCTGATAGATTGTCTCAGGCTCTAGGATGGAGGAGGGGGCATCAGAGCTACACACTGCTGGCCAAGGACAGCAGCAGCCCAGGTGGTTACTTGCAGAAGAAAGGCAGCCACTTATGAACATTAAAATCGCAGGGGAGGCCTTCTCCAGGAAATGCTGGGCAGTATGTGTGCCAGTGGAGGCTGGCCGGCTCCTGGTGCCGACTCATCACTTCCCAGGGATGTGGCCCTTTGGGGAATGCCTCACAGTTTTCTCCTCAGTAAAATGGGCCTAGGTTACAGAGTGTGTGGGGGTGAACTGAGATGCTTCCCATGAGCTCCCAGGATGTAATAAATGCTCTCTTTATAAGGGACAGGGAACCTGCCTTAGAGATTTTTCCATGACTGTGTTAGAGGACTAAGGAATCCTTCTCTCCAGCCAAGCGCTGTGTTCCTTTGAAGAATCCTTTGGTCAGTTGGGCATTGAGAAAGGGGTGGCTTGGAGATGCAGGAAAATGTAAAATGTTCCCTGTCCTCTGGTTCTCAATTTGAGTGTGTGGACATGGAGCAATTAGAAATAACACTCCAAAATGCAGGATCCGATGTCATGCGTATACGAATTGTTCCCTAATGCTTAACTCAACTCCCTGTCCTTCCAGAATTAATAAACTAGTGAAAATAGTGGGAGGGACAATACTCAATCCATTTGAACATAGGTGCTGCATTTCACTCTGGACAGCAAATATGTTTCTAGAAAGTTCCACATGGCATGGGCATTTTGTAAATTGAATTACGTATTTAAAAAAAAAATGCTTTTTGTTGATCTATAATGCACGTGCCCAAAAGCGCACCAACTGAACACACCTATGTAACCAGTCTAGATCAAGAAACAGAACATTATCTAAACCCCTACATTTCCTCCAGTCATTTACCCCCTCAGGGTAACCACCAACGTGGCTTCTAAGAATATAGAATAATTTTGCCAGGTTTTACTTTGTTTAAAAGGATTCATATAGTTTATACTCTTTTGTGTCTATCTTCTTTGGCTTAACTTGGTGTTTGTAAATTTCATCCATGGTGTTCTATGTAGTTGTAAGTTTGTGCTCATTGCTGTAAAATATTCCATTGTGTCAATATATCACCATTTCTTGATATCCATCCTACTATTAATTAGCATTCATAGAACCACCAGTTTTATTCTATAACAAATAGTGCTGCTATGCATATCCTAGTACATGTGTTTTGGTGAACGTATATGTGCATTTCTGTTGGGCATATGCCTAAGAGTGGAGTCTTTGAGTCAAGGTTATGTGCATACTCAGTTGTACAGAAGTTGTACCAATTCAGCCTCTCGACAGCAGTGTGTAGGAGTTCCAGTTGCTCCACATCCTTGACAACACGTACTATTTCCTGTTTTCCATTTTTTTTTTTTTTTGAGACGGAGTCTCACTCTGTCACCCAGGCTGGAGTGCAGTGGCTCGATCTCAGCTCACCACAAGCTCCGCCTCCTGGGTTCATGCCATTCTCCTGCCTTAGCCTACCAAGTAGCTGGGACTACAGGTGCCTGCCACTACACCAGGCTAATTTTTTGTGTTTTTAGTAGAGACAGGTTTTCACCGTGTTAGCCAGGATGGTCTCCATCTCCTGACCTCGTGATCCACCTGCCTTGGCCTCCCAAAGTGCTGGGATTACAGGCGTGAGCCACCACGCCCAGCCCTGTTTTCCATTTTAACTATTATGGTGGGGGTCTATTGGTATTAGATTATGTCTTTAACTTGCAATAAGCATATTCTATGTTTATTGGCCATTTAAAGGTTAGATCCCCTAACCTTGTAAAGAAAATGCCTATCCAAATATTTTGTGCATTTTTCTATTTGAATATCAATCTTATTCTTGTTGATTTGTAAGAGTTCTAGGAAGACAATTCCTTTGAAATTGGAGAACTTTTTGTGATATGAATAATGTTTGGGTCTACGTTTAGAAATCTGAATACTGGATTTTCTTAGAAGCAGGTCACTGTATACATACTTAAGAATTTCAACAGCGAGGTAAATCTAAGCATGGGGAAAATCAGCCTCAAATGTTCCCAGATAGAAAGCTTCCTCTCGAAAGATGAGAAGATTACTGCTTTTTCCTCCAGTTTATTTCATGGTGGTGTGGCAAATGGGGATGGGCAAGGTCATTCCATATGGTGTGCTGGAACAAGGACAGTGAATTAAGTGGCTGGTGGACAACGAGGAAAGAGATAAATGGGCCAACCAAAAAAGCACCTACAGTTCCGCGACTGGGCTTGATTCCCAACTGGGCACATCAATGTGCTCAACAGCACGAGTGGGATGAAATTTCATCTGATAGGGGATTGCTGACAAATAACAAATGAGTGGCAGGGGATTTACAAGTTAGATAAGCAAGTATCTAGAGAATCATTGTTAGCTCAGCTAAGAAAAATGCCTTTGCTTAATTTGGGGACCGTCGTAAAAGCCAAAACATGGAACAAAAGTATCTCTGGAAGCCACCCAGAAGAGTGCAGATGTGCTACCAGGCATACTTTAGGACTTCTCTGTTATCCTAGGTGTGAGGCACAAGGACTAGCCCTCAAATCCTAAGTCCACGTTTCAGAGAGTGGCCCAGCCACCAGCTGTGGTCTGTCACCTACCCTGCCATATGCAGCCCTTTGGTGCTACTATTAAAGGAATTTCCCTTTAATTTCCATTTTACACGATGTAATATAGCAATATAAACATAATTATCCTTAGTGAAATTAAAATGAAACCAAGGAAAAGTATTCTTGGCTTTCATTCATTCAATAAACTTAAGCACCTAATATATGCCAGGTATCATGCTAGAAGACAGATAAATAGCACAAGTTCTTCCCCTCAGGGAGCTCACAGTATTGTGGGAGAAATGAAGAAGTAAATAGTTAATTTTAAGATAATGTAGTGGCTGTGAGATGGAAGTTTTCAGGGTGTTAACAGGGATGGGGGACCTAACCAGTGGCTGAGGAGGAAGACAGGCAGGGGTGAGAAGTATTGGGAAAGGCTTCCAGAAAGAGTTAATGCCTTCAAGTCTATTTCTTCCTATCATCCGTGAGGGGGATATGTGGGAGAAAAGTTAGGAATTCACAAACCCCACCATGCATCCGATGAGAAGGAAAAAATTTTCCTTCCAATTTTCTATGCGATGCTATTATTCCTAGGGTCCTCATGACTTATATTAGTGAACATTTTTTTGCCTCTCATTTTGAACATGAATTCAATGAAAGTTAATTAAAATGATGTAAAATGTGACCTTGTGTGAATTAATTAATGTTAGTAAAAATGAGCCTTTTTCCCCCTTTTTTTTTTTCAATTACTCACATATGGAAACCCAAGAAAACATTTGCCATCACTTGACTAAGCACTGTCAGGACTCATGGTTTTCAACATCTTTCTCCTGCTTACAACCATAAGAACAGGCAGGTGGCCAATGAGGGGAGGAGGGTAAAAGCGAGAATTTGTTACGCTGGAATTCAGCAGAGCCTCTCTCTAACATGTGGGGTTTAAGATTAGTGGAATCATGAGTAAGAGAAGTGGGAAAGAGTATAAACTAAGAATCTACTTAGAAAGCTGACTGAGCCACTAAGAAAGGGGTTGTGGTAGTCAGAAACTCTTTCTCTGCTCTTCTCAAAGAACATGGAACAAAATATCAGTTGAGTCATTTGGAATGCATTTGGCTGCAAGTAATAGAAACCCTAATTCATCATAATTGGAACAATTAGATGGTTTGTTATCTCACATAAGAAGAAGTCCGGGGGGATGGCAGTTCCAGGGTTGATTAATTCACCAGCTCACCAGTGTCTTAAAGATCCAGGTTATTTCGATGTTTCTACCCTGCCATCCCCAGTGTTCTGGTTTATCCTCATAGGCTGCTGTCTTAATGGACCCAAGGTGCTTTGGTTCCAGGAACAACACACAGAGCCCAAGTCCAGAGGCAGAAAAGCAAACATTTTTATCTTGTGGCTTTTTCTTTTTTTTTCCAAGAGAAACCTTCCCAGAAGCCCCATCAGCAGATTTCCTTTTTTAGCTCCATTGGCCCAATTGCGTCACATGCCTGAACCAATTGTTTAGCAGGGGAAATCACTCCGTCCTCTCTAGCTTCAACCATGAACTCTCAGTCCTGGGTAAGAGGGCAGCCTAGCCTTCCCTAAAGGACTTGGTAACTTGGAATAAGATGAACAAAATCAGAGTTCTATGAACAACGAAGTTGGGGGATGGCAGAGGGGACAGCGACTAACACGTCCATGTTAAACAAGAGTTCTCTGCTTTCTCTTCTTGAACTTGAGGGGCACAGCCTTGGGGATTTGGGGGATGCCCCTTTGATCATCTCATTTCTTCTCCTTGGTAGCAAGTAATTGATAGAATCACACCAGAAAAAAGAGCAAAATATGACAAAGAAACAACTTTAATACAGTGAGGATACTGGGGAACAGACCAGATGTGAGCAGACAGGGAAGTCTTTAGCAAAACTGTGGAGTGCCCAAAGCTTGGCTTCTGATGCGTGGAGCCTTTCCGTTTTGTGTTCTTCCTCCTCACTCCACATCCCACCCAAGAAACCTGGTATTTTAATATTCTCCTCTTTGCTCCATTAAAGCATCAAACATATTCACACAAGGTTTACGTGACCAAGGAGTGCAAGATAGGGATTAAAAAATAGACTTGAAATACCAGCTCTGCCATCTGCTAACTTTCTGACCATTTTGGGCCTCAAGTTCCTCACCAACAAAGTGAGAATAATGATACTACCCAGCAGGTTGTTACCGCTATGTTTATTAGTGTTCATCCTATTGGAGCAAGCTGACTGCTAACAACTTTAAAATCATGATGGCTTAACACAAGTTTGTTTCTCACTAACACAGAGTCTAGTGTCGATGGTCCTGATCGGGTGGCTTTCTGGTGACCTGAGGACTCAAGGATACTGCCCTTGCATTTTAAGGTGCCACTGTCTTCAACACAGGATCTTTAGGTTTTCGTTTGAAAGTTGTGGCTGCTTTAACTTGGCTTGGAAGCATTTCGTTGTTGAGAACTAGGACCCGAGATCCAGGGTGGGAGCTGGAATAGAAAACTTTGCTATGTGCCCAGGTAGAGATGTGATGAGCATCAAGCTAGTCTCTGCCACATTATTATTATGGCTGTTGCTGTTATTGTAACTAATCCTGTGTATTGAAACGGCAGTCATTTTCCAGATGTAACTACGGACCCTAACAGTTCACTGATGTTCATGGCCATAATTCCAGGAAGCCATTTCTGAGAGCTTATGTACCTTAAATCCCAGTTTGAGGTGTCTAGGGAAGAGACAATAGTCCATTAAGGATGACAGCAGGGAAGTCTAGTAACTTCTCTCCTCTCCACGATACTTAGCATGGTGTTGGACACAGCAGGTGCTGACCCAGTGACTGTGGCACTTACTCATGGTGGATGCACTACTCTATTTCCTTGGGTCCCTTTCCCATTTTCACACCCCTTGGCTCCACGTTTGCTTTTACTCTCGGTATCCAGAACCCATGCTTCTTTGTGAGAGGGCTGCCCTCATGCTTCTGGAGTCTCCTTTACCTGTGTGCAGAGAGAGTGGGGGATACCTAGAAACATGCATCCCTCTGAGATGGCCCTTGACCAATGGAGGGAGGGGCTCTCAGTCTCCAAATCTCCTCTGTGGGAGGAGCCAGTGCCCTGCAAGCACGGGACCTTGCTTGACATTGCACTCTTGCTTGGCTTCCTTCTCACTGTCTTGCATCCTCACTTCCCTGCAGGGGACACTGCCCAACACATCACTTTCTCACAAATCTGCATCTCTGGGATGCTTCTGGGGAACCAGCCTGAGACAGGAGGTAAGCTGAAGAAGCAGAATTTTGAAGATTCTGGGCTCTGTTTGAATGGAATAGCTGAGACGGGTCTTTGAGAACATCAGTATTTGCCTCCCACCTCAGTTTTTACATTCACAAATTAAAGGATCACACAGGCAGACTTTGGTATGATATGCAGTTCCTGAGCAGTGTTGGGACTCAAAGACGTTTATGGCAGCTCATCAGCCTGCATCCAGTGCTTCAAAGGGTTCTAAGAGACTGGCTCAGCCAACTGCCAGCCTGGTCATTTCGAAACTGAAATGAAAGCAGCAGAGAGAGTTATATTTATCAACTGAGTGAGACTTGCTTTTCTCAACAGGATATTTACGTTGTGAACTGGTAAAATCTGAACTGCAGAATATCAATTTCCAGACATTCTTCCTAGATGATGCCGTCTGCCACGGGTGAGTGTTTTCAGCTTTATGCTGACTATGTATTAATATAAAGCCATTCCTTACTCTTCTACCTTAATATATAGTCTCCTTGGTTTTAATTAGGTCTCTCCTTGCTTCTGAACTTCTGGTTTTCCCCAGTAATGTTTAGGAATGACCTCAGACCAGGTACATACAAGGTACAACGTGGTATGTACAAGGCTGTACCTCAAGCCACGTGAGAGGCTACCTTGGCCTTGGGCACTATGGTGAACACTGTAAAGTGCCACGTAGATCCCCTCAATAAGGACTTGCAGTCCCAGTGGTGCAGAGTGCTGCTGGCACACAGAGGTTGCCTGGGCTGCAGAGAGCAGCCTTACTGATGTCACACCCCTGCCCATGGCACCCAAATCTAACAACTGATTGATGTGGACACATAAAGATCTGGCCATCTCAGACCAACTTAAAACAACTCTGAAGGGCCATTTGAGCTTCCAAGCCCTGCACCTGTGGGACTGACCAAGGCTCTCTTTGACCTTGGCTCAATTTCTGTTTCTGCATACTGCTTCCTCCTCTTTACACAGGTGTTGACCCCTTAATAGGCATTCTACACAAAAAACTCCATCTTAGAGTCTGCTTTCAAGGGAACCCAACTTGTAACAGTCACATTTCCCTCCCTCACCAGCCAGACTCTCCCTGAAGACATCAGGGAGGAATAAGTAGAGTGGTCCTTCAGTGCTGGATGCAGCTTGGCTCTTGCTTTCAAACCCTCTGGGTGTCTGGTAAGGATAGGATAAGGAGAAAGAAGGGTGCAGTTTGAGGATTGTATGATGGCAGGGCTACCTCATTTTGATGCAGGGAAAGGGGTAAAGAGGCCTTCGCAGTCTCTGCAGGGGCCCTGCATTATAATCCCTGAGCATCTTTAACCGGGGCAGCTCTGTGTTCATTCCAGACATCGTCCCTGAGGGCTCCTTCTCCCTCATCCTCACACTCAAATGCTGAAGAGGTTAGCAAGTCCTGCTGACTCTTCAAACTGTATTCTGAATCCATCTACTCTTCTCCCTTTCCTCTGCCTCCACCCTAGCCAAAGCCACGACCATCTCTTACCTGGCTAAAGTGTGTCTTACCTCCTTGCAATTCATTCTCCTCACTATAGCCAGAAAGATTTTTGAATACTGATATTTTTCACTCCCAGGAATTTCACTGTTTCTTTTCATAATTGCCAGCTCTTGATTGTAATGATCTCCTCTCATTTGACATATAGATACCCACCCACATCTCTCCAAAATACGAAGTATACAGATTATAAGTTTCTGTTCTGATTTGACTATTAGCTCGGTTTCCTCAGTTATAAGTTTTTTCTTTTGTGGAGTCTGGTGATGCTCTTGTATGGAGTTTAGCATCTTCAAATGGTTGATGTATTTAGATTGTGTGTAAAGCTCTGTGCTTTCTGCTTGTTGTTGAAATGCAGCCTGGTTTCCTGCAGGTCCCTTGGGGTGTGGGTGGGAGCTGATGCCTTGGCTTGCATTGTGGGGAAGCTCAGCACAGACCACAAGGCAGGGGCTCACTGTCCCACCTGCGTGTAGAGGCTGCCTCTTCCTCCTGGGTGTCATCAGCCATCCAAAGCTCTGACCTGGTCTCCACCCCAGATTTCACACTGACAGGTACTGCTGGGTGCAGAAGCATCACTTCCTGACCTGGAAATCGTTCCTAATAATGCAACCGAAAGGCCATCCCACATTTTTTTCCTTCACGACACTGACCATAATGAAGAGTTAGTAAATATTTACTCATTTATGGCTGTATTTGCCCACTAAAGCAAGCTCTATGAAGGCAGAGATAAAGTCTGTTTGGGTTACCACCAGGTACCCAGTTCTCGACACTGCATTTGACACACACTTATTTCAAGAAATCGTTATTGAATAATGTGTTGTTTAGGCTTCCATAACACCTTTCATTTAAAGAAAGGGTTCTTAGCTCAACACAGTTTGAAATCAACCACGAGAGAGGACACCTTATCAAAGAAGGAGCAAAGGACCTTGTGCTTCTGTGTAGGTTCTGTGGGGAAAGGTACCTGGTGAGGTCTGCTGCACAGGCCCCTTGTCCAGAGGGAGCTGCAGTCCTGCCGCTGTCCTAGGCTGACTTCACCTTCCCGAGAGCAGGGAGCTCATTTTCCTCTGAACTCGCAGACTGCTGCCTGCAGAGAGGCGGAGCCTGCAGAAACTGCTGCAGGGCCATTATGGGGCATTCCAGGAGACGATTACATTAGCTGCTGGGTCCTGGGGGGCTCAGCAGGCAGGAGGTAGAAGGAAGGAGGGAGGAAGGGCTTCAGCCTGCACCGCTTTTGAGTTATCCTGAGGTGCCAGCACCCCCAACCCCTCATCAGCACCACTGCCATCTGCACCCACCTGCCCACTGCTCTTCGCAGTGGTTGCCAGCAGTTGGTAAGGGACCTTCCAGAAAAAGAGAGTGTTCATGCCACTTGAGGAAGAGGGGGCTGTAGAGATCACAGCTTCTCTCCGCACCTCATTCTATAGCTAAGGGAGCTGGCCCAGAGCACAGATGACTGGCCCAACGTCACACAGGCAGTAATAAGTGGGGCTAGGGCCAGGATGCAAAGTTACTGATCCCCAGGGCACTGGGACTGCAGCAGACTGCCCTCTCCTTCTCTCTCTTTTCCTCCTGTTTCATCCCCTTTCACCTTGTCTGCTTCATCTTGTTCCCAGCCTCTTACCACTTCAGCCCTGTGCCACCACTACAAAGACACTACCGCACCACTGACACCCCAGGCTCCTGGGCCACTACCATGCATTTTGCCTACTCCTGCTTGGGGCTGAGGGGCTTGCTGGCCTCTGACCAAAGCTCTCTCTATGGTTTCAAGCAGAATCTGGGAGCTGCAGTATTAATAGCAGGGAGGGCCTGCACCAGCCCAGGATTCCCACGCCTCTCCAGGAGCACTGGTGATTCATTTTACTCCCAGGCTCGCTCTTATCCCAGGAGAACAAGAGCCTGATTCCCAGATTCCAGATCCGATTCCCTGAGATGAGAATATTCCTGAAGCCCCTGGACTGTGCATGGCTTTCATTTGACAATCTCGAACACATACCTTTGTCTTTATCCTCTCTGATCGCCTTCTGCCACAGCTCCTCCTGCTTGCCCACCTCCCCCAAACAAGATCATTCCCTTGAGTCACTCTCATATCTGACATTACGCCTCGACTCTTGTACCCAGCACACTGTATTGCAATGACCTGCTTCTTTCTCTGTTTCTTAGTCCTTTCAGGGAGCACCTTCAGTGCAGAATATGTCTCCAGCACCTAAAGAGCTGGCGCTGAGAAGGTCCTCAATCATTGTCGGTTGCAGGGGATCTGGCCACCTGGGATCCAGCTCTGTGGTGCAAATGGGAGGAAGGGAGGCAGAGCCAGGTTTCCCATCCCCAAACCGCCCAACCCCACCTCCCACCTCCCACCCTCAGTTGGAGCCTAAGGTGACAAGGGGCTGCTGCTCCTACCTTGCTATGTTACAATTTTCTAACTAACCAGAGCCTGTCCCCTCAGATGAATGTGTGGGAGGGAGAATAGCCCGAGTGAGGAGGCCCTCCCAGCATTCCTGACCAGCTGGGGATCCTGGCGGGACGGATCCTCCACAGGAGCGTTTTTCTAGGGTGTGTTCTATGGAACGCTGGACCTGTGATGTGCTCCGGGAATAAAAGGTTCAGAGGTTGCTTTTGGGAAATGCCGCTTCCTACAAACCTGTCTGTCCCTGTTGTAGCTTCACGGTACACCCTGCAGCACGAAATGTGAATTGTAAAACAGTAAAAACAAAACATTAACAGCGGGGGACATTCCTCTGCTGACCCCAAAGTTCAGCAGGTGCGGGACAGGGGAGGGGCGGGCTCTCTTGTCTGCATCAGGCTTGGGGAGCCATCTCCGCCTCGGGGCTCGCAGACAGGGCTTCTCTGCCAAAGCAGCACCTCGGGGCGTGTTCTCCCACCCATCTGTGTTCAGGCATCCCTTCCCTCGCATCTGGATTTTGTTTAGGCCTATTTGCAATTCCTTAAAAAAAATCTAAGAAATAGTTGGAGCCTGAAAGAGAGCTGGCCAATGAAACGCCCCGTTGGGGCATTACCGCATCGGTGAGTGGCTGCCCTGAGGCGATGGCTGCGTTTCCGGGGCACCGCCGTGCGCCGGTGCCCACGCGTACCAGGCTTCAGGGGAGCACTCGGGAAGCGCGGGGGGTCGCGTGCCCTTGGCCGGAGGCCTGGTCGCCCGCTGGCCTCGCCATTCTCGGCTCCGCTGCTGTTGCCTGCGCGCCTGTGGCGGAGCAAGCCTGCCTCCAGGGCAGCCTCACTGCCGGGATCCTGGGCAGACCTCCCACGTGATAACCGTGATCACGGTGTTGATGCTCACTCTGGGGCAAGGGTGCTCACGTGTTCTCGTAATTGGGCGGAGTAGCCCTTCCTTCAAAGTCAGCCCCGGTCCCCTTGCACTGTGCAGCCCCTCTCTGCCGGACCCTGCCCGCATTAAATCTCCCCTTAACCTCTAAAATGCTCATTGCCAGCGCCCTTCGTTTGGTATTTGTAGCAGATACTGTCTCCTGCTGTAGCGCCATGTCTGTTCCCCCTTTCTACCATGATATAAAACCTCCTGATTTTTAGCTGGGCGCATGGTTCTGGAATCATGACTATGTTCCCAATTCCCTTGCAACTAGATGTGACTAAGTTCTGGCCAATGGGATGGTCATGTTCTACTTCCAGGAAGTGTCCCTAAAATAAGGGAATATGTCTTTTTAGGTCCCTTCCTCTCTCCAGCTGTCTGGAATGGAGCTACCATGTCTGGTGCCCAAGCAGCCAGCTCTGACCCAGAGTTAACATATTATGGATTGTGGAGCCACAGGATGGAGTAGCCTGGGTCTGATGGTTCTGTTAGTCAAGGCTAGTCAAAGAAGCAGGACCAACAGGAAATACATATGTTTATGTATGTATATGTTATGTATATGCTATGTATACACATACACACACACACAGATACACAGAGAGAGAGAGAGTTAAGAAAGTGGATCATGTGATTGTGGGGCTGGCAAGTTCAAAATCTGCAGACCCACAGAAGAGCTGATGTTGCAGCTCAAGTCTGAAGGCAATTTGGAGGCAGAATTCCCACTTCTTCAGGGGACCTCAGTCTTTTCTCTTAAAGCCTTTTACTGATTGAATGAGGCCCACCCACATTATGAAGGGTCATTTGCTTTACTCAAAGTTTACTGATTTAAATGTTAATCACATAAAAAAAACCTTCACATCAATGCTGGTGGGTGATTGAAGGTGGTAAGCAAGGAGTGCCAAGGTCAAATTTGGATTTCAGAAAAATCTCTCTGAAACCAGTGATGGGTAGAGGAGAGTGAGATTGCAATCAGAGAGTCCGGTTAAGGGTTGATGTATAAAGATAGGTAGAAGATAGATACAAAGGGACAGTGGATGGTGGGAAGAGGAGAACTGAACAGCACATTGGCAGGAGGAATAAGGAAGAGGGAAAACCGAGGGAAAATCCCAAGTGTCTCATTTGAGAGGCTTAGGGGGATGATGATGTCACCAACTAAAGTCGAGAATGCAGCTGATTTCCCCTTTTGTGGTGGTGAGCCTGGTGCAGCATGAAACAATTCATTTGCTTTTAGGCATGTTGAGTTTTATCTGCCTTTGAGACATCCACACAGGGATTCCAGCAGGCAGTCTGATATGCTAGCATGGAGCTCAAGTCTGGTTGGAATCCAGATTTCTATGTCTGTTTCCATCCAGCAATTAAATTTCCAAGAGCAGTGAACCTTCCCATCACACTTGCATGTCTCGGTCCTAGATCTTCCAAACACGCATGACTATTTGCTTTTGTTTTCCTTTTTGGCCATGTTATCCCAATAAGATCAATTTCAGAAAGGATGTAGGCACCATTGAGGACCCCTTGCTGCACGATAAAGACCCAACTGTAATTCATAACAGACATGAATCGTATTCTACTGTTCTGGGGGTCTAATTTTTTTTTTTAATTCAGAATCTTTGAATCTCTCCCCCAAAGACCTAAGACTAGCTTGAATGTTAGAAGGATCTGTCTCTGGGCTGTATGGAGAAGTGTGGCTGCTATATGAGAGCAGATTCTCATGGAAAAAACATTTTTCCCCCATGGAATTTTCTTCCATGAGTCTAAACCCATCCTGGCTCAGGGCCCTCCCAGTCTCCTGCACTGAGCAAGCAGGTAGGGAGAGAGAAAAGAGGGGTGGTCTGGAGTTTTAGGATCTGCATTTGAATCTCTCCTCTTGATTTGTGACCCTGGGCAAGGCTCTGCCAATCTCTTGTTACCTAGCACCTGGTCTATGCCAGGTCCCAGAGCTTTTTGGGTTCTATCTGGGCCTCAGCATCCACATTGGACAAAAAGGGTAAATATTCCTGCCATGCAGGGTTATTATGACAAATGCAATGAAATAATAAATGTGGAAGGGCTTCTCACAGTGCCTGCCTCAGAGTGGAAACTCAATAAATACTAGGGCATTCTGTGTCTGAAAATCTCACCTCTAATTATTCTCTTTTCCTTCCCTATTATACAAAACAGCAGCAGCAGTAACAGCGACCACAAAATGCACTCCAAGATACTTCTAACCATTTCTTGCTGGGGGAATGTTTGCATCCTTGGTTAGTTAAAACTTTTGTGTTCCTCCCATGTCAGAAGCCCCTGGATCTTGTGTGAAGCTGTGCATTCCCTGATTAGTTTGTTTCTGTCCTTCTGTGGCTTGTTCTAAAGGGCTTTGCTGCTGCCTTCATCTGGGGAAATTCACACACTAATGCAGTGGTATCTCATCCCAATCTATTAGGTGTGACAACTACTGGCAAGAAATAGATTTGTGTTTAATTCTTTGTTGCCCAGCAGGGACCTCTATCACCCAAAGGGAAACAGCCGTCTATCTACGAAGCTGTGATCTCCCCTACAAGCAAGAGAACTCAATTGCCAGGAGGTCTTTGCTTTTTCTGGCTTCCAGAGAATGCAGAAATTTCAAGGAGCCACTATTGGGCTCCTTCCCTATAGGATGTTGGGCCAGGCAACAGAACAAACCTCCTGAGGCACTTCTACCTGGGAATGCCCTCCTGAGGCCAATGGCAGCCCTCTGATGAAGATACTATAGTATTTATTTTTTGTACACGCTGGTGATCATCCAGTGTACATCTCTGCTTAGTGAACCTTCATGAACTGGAGGCTGAATATTCTCATCCTGCATTGATAGAACCACGTAGGCTGGTTCTAGGCTGTTTTCTGTGCAACACTCAACATGACAATAATAATGATGATGATGCTAATGATGATTGTAAAATCCGCAGTAGTTGCCATTTATTGCCCTATTTGGCTTGTAAGACTTGGCAGATCACAGTGACATACACACACACACACTCTCTCTCTCTCTCTCTCTCTACTGTGTGCCAGGGACTGGACAAAGCACTTTGCATGCATTATAACACTTTTCCTAACAATCCTGCAGCAGGCAGCAGTAGCATCCCCGCTTTATAACTAAGGAAGGTAGAGTTCAAAGAGGTGAAGAACTTGCCTTGAAGTTCAAGGCCATACAGCCCAAAGTGGCAGAATCAGACCTGTACCCAAGTCCATCTGCACAAAGCTGGCGCTTCCACCCTGTACAACATGGTGTGTTTCCAGTGGGCTGTGACTCTCTGGTGGTGGAACCAGCCTTGTCAATTGCTGTCTGCCACATCCAGTCTGACCTGGCTGCCTGGGCATTCTCCCACGCCACGGGCAGCAGTGGTTCTTGCTGCCAGGGCTCCAGGGCATGGGCAGCAGATGGGAGGGAAGGAAGGCCAGCTGTGCAGCTCTGCCAAGCTGAGAGGCGGGGTGCCTATTGATTGACTGAAATTCGATTTGTTGACACAAACTGCCAGCATTTCACAGTGATGAAAGGATGGCCCACCAACCTCATAACAAGCAGAGATTTCCCTGAGGGTCACCAGAGCTGCTGATGTGGCTCCTCTGTGAGGAGAAGAAAGCAATTAGGAGAATGGATGAGGTTATTAGGTCTTATTGCTTCCCTCAGCTCCTGCACACACTGAGTGCTGTGCGGCGTGGGATTTCAGGCTCCCTGTCCTACGTGCTGCGGATTCTGTTTGCGCCTCTTCCACTGCAAAAAGCCAGCTGGGGGACAAACAGCTCATGTACGCTGACTCCAAGCATGTGGAGAATGCACACACAGATTTAGGACACCAAAAGAAACCTGCAGGTGGAACCAGCTTTAGCAGACTTTAAAAATAACAAGATCATTGGAGTATAAATACAAATCCATGAATGCATGAGGCACACCCGTCTCTCCCTCGCTTTCTCCATCCCTTTTTATGTTTTGTCACATTACAAATATTTAGACTGGTTTGATTTAAAAGATCTATTCAGGTAAGCTGGCCAACTACACGTCTATGCAGATGGGCAGGGGAGGAAGAGGAGAGGAGGGTATGTTCTGTGAGGACAGCATTGGTTTAGCAAGTGTTTATCAAAATCTGGAATATGCACAGCAGTAGGGGTGGGTGTATGAGGGGGAGAGGTAAGAAAATATCAGGAATAATGTCACCTTATATTGTATAAGTGGGTTTTTGCAGCAAAATATACATAACATAAAATTTACCATTTAACCATTTTAAGTGCACAGTTCAAGAACATTAAGTACTTTCACATTATGTATGGCACAGCCATCACCACCATCCACACCATCCATCTTCAGAACATTTTTATCTTCCCCAACTGAAACTCTGCCCTCATTAAACAATATCTCCCTATTCCCCACTGCCCCCAGCTCCCGACAACCAACATTCTACTTTCTGTCTCTATGAATTTCACTACTTTAGGTGCCTCATATAAGTGAAATCACGAAGCATTTGTCCTTTTTTTTTTTGCTGGGCACATGTGTCTAGTGTTATGAGAGGAGTTGGGAATGTTTGAGGGTTGGCCAGGGATGCCCCACCCCCTCCTAGGGGCTGGGCTCGGGCGTTTCTGAAACGTCCCTGAAAGCATCAGGGACCAGGCCCTGGGAGCTGGAAGGTAGAGGCAGACCTATCTGGGCCGGCCGGGGCAGTGGGCTGATGGGTCTCACAGCCGGCCCAATCTCTGGCCACTTTGGCACAGGCCTAGGGGATATACAGGCCCCAGATCCAGCTCTGACAAGTACTGAGAAGGGACAGCTTTAGTCCCCAGAGGGCAGAAGCCTGAGTCCAGGGCAGCAGGGGCAGGCACAAGTCTTACTCAGAGGCTAGGGGTGGTCAGCACCGTGCTGAAGGCTCAGGGGTGTGATCCTCAGCCATCCAAGCTGGGTCGGAGGAGCCTTAAGTTTGGCAGTGGCTCCTCTGCCAGCTCCCGCTCTCCCAGCCAGGGCTGGCTGCCCCCAGGAGCCAAGGAGGGGGCGCCAGGTCTGTGGCAGGAACTAAGAATGCCCTGGTCACTATATACATTGGTACAAATACATAAATACAGAAAGCCCCGAGCTCCACGGAGAAGAGCTGAAGGGACGCACCTTTGTCCCAGGGATGGCCCAGGCCCTGCCAAACTCAGGCAGGCCAGGGGCTGAGGGGGCAGAGGACACTGGGGACAGTTCCGTCTGTGTTCCCCAGGCCACAACTTGAGTGGACAATGGGGAAGTCCACTGTGCAAAACTGTAAAAGGCACTCGGAGTAGCTACTACCGCCCACTGCCCGTGGGGGCCTCTGGCTGGGGGCTAGAGGCGGGTAGGGAGCTCTTCCTCGCTGTCCCCGCAGTTTCCACAGCAATCCTTTGGCGACTGAAGAGTCTCTGCAGCAGTCCCTTGCAGGTGGCTGGCCCTTCCAGTCCAGGTCTGGGGGAACTGAGCCATCCAGCCCAAAGACATTCAGCTCCTGGAAGCACTCAGTCTCCACCATCCCCTTCTGCCAGGGGATGGGCACACTGCCTGTGGCAAACTTCTGGTAGAAGTCTTGGTCGGTAGCCTCCAGCTCCACACCCTTGACCCTAGAGAACTGTTTAATGTCCAGAATATCCTTGCAGTAAATGGCCCGAGGGTCAGGCTTGAAGGGCGGCTCCAGCATGCCGGCTCCCACCCGCTTGAAGTTCAGCTTCTTCAACAGGGGGTGCTCCTTCACTTCGCGGGCACTGCCCCCACGACACCCCAGGCGTTCAGCGGGGTCCTTGCAGAGGAGCTGTGAGCAGGCCTGCGGGGAAAAGCGCTCGGAATACTCCTCGGGGTCCTCCTTCACCAGCCGCTCCACCTCCTCCCGCTTGATCATCTTCTTCCTCTGCTGGAAGAGCGACTGGCCTGCAATCATCTCCTGCGGGAGGCAGCCTAGCGCCCAACAGTCAGAGCTGAAAGTGTACGGTTCATTCTTCACCACCTCTGGAGCCATGTAGCTCACGGTGCCCACACGGCCTTTGATGGTCTGGCCCTCGGGCACGTGCACAGCCAGTCCCAGGTCGGAGACGAGGATGTGGCCGTGGTCATCCAGCAAGATGTTCCTGGCTTCAGGTCCCTGTACACTATGCGCTCCCGGTGCAGGTCCTCCAGACCGCAAGCAGATCTCGGGACGTAGAAGACGGCCTGCGCTTCGGGGAAGCCAGCCCGGCCCATGTGGCAGATGTGGAAATTGAGGTCGCCCCCGTTCATCAGCGTCAGCACCAGGCACAGCGCCTCCTTGGTCTCACAGGTGTAGGCCAAGCTCACTATAAACCTACTGTTCACTCTCTCCAGGATCTGCTTCTCGTTCAGCGCCATGGCCTCCCCTTTCTGCTTCTTGATCCGCTTTTTTTCTAGCTTCTTGAAGGCGTACATCTTGCCTGTGGCCCGCACCTGGCAGGCGCACACCTCCCCAAAGCCACCTTTGCCCAGGACTCGGTACTGCCTGAAGGTATTTTTGGTCACTGGCTGCCTTTCCAGCCACTTCCACTGCAGGAAACGGTTGAAGTAGATGCTGTTGAGGTAGTCGGCAAAAGGGGCCATGCTCAGGTACCCGTGGGTCACCCGGGTGAGTTCCTGGGAGAGTTCTTTGCAGGGCCCCTGCTCCAGCCGCTGGGTGCAGTTCGTCACCAGCTGCCGGGGGGACCTCAGGGATGAGGTCAGGAACCTGTGGCTCAAGAAAATTCTGCATTAGCCGCCGCCCACATGCCTTCCGCTTCTCATCCGGGGTCGCTTCATACTCGGCCATCCCATCCTGGAAGGCGATGCAACGGCTCAGCTCCGGCCTGGTGGCACAGAACTCTCAGAACAGCAGGCGCCCGATGGGCTGCCGCTCGCACAGGCTGTGATAGTCACGTTCGAGACTGAGCCGCAGCTCTTCGCACTGGCTGATGTGGGGGAACTGGAGCATCTGCCGCCATTTCTTGCTTTTGCCTTTGCGATTTCCACCGCTACCTTCCCGGGCCTTGAGGAGCACCGTGTCCGCTACGATGTTCTCGAGCTCCATGGGCCGCGCTGCCGGCCGGGATCGCGCGCGAGTGCCCAGGCCGGATGGCGATCGGCGCGGCTCTGCTCGGCTCCCAGCGCGGCGGCTGCCACCCACTCCCCCACCTCTCCCGCCCCGCCTCCCCAGCCATCGCCTGCGTTTGTCCTTTTGTGACGGGCTTATTTCACCGAGCATAATGTTCTCAAGGGCCATCCGTGTGGTATAGTATGTGTTGGAATTTCCTTCCCTTTAAAGGCTCAGTAATATTCCATTCTATGGCTAGGCCACATTTTGTTTATTCATCATCGGTTGATGAACACTTGGGTTGCTTCCATCTTTTGCCTATTGTGAATACTGCTACTATGAACATGAGTGTAAAAGGATCTGCCTGAGATCCTGCTTTCAATTTCGGGAGATAATTTCCAGAAGTGGGACTGCTGGATCATACAGTAATTCCATGTTTAATTTTTTTGAGGAATTGCTGTAACTTTTTTTCTACAGTAGCTTCATCATTTTACTATTTTACATACCCACCAGCAATGTGAAAGTGTTCCAATTTCTCCACGTCCTTGTCCACACTTGTTATTTTCTGGGTTTTCTTTCTGGTTCTTTTTTTTTCCATAATAGTCATTCTAATGGGTGTGAAAAGGTATCTCATTGTAGTTTTCATTTGCATTTCCCTAATGATTGGCGATGTTGAGCATCTTTTCATGTGCTTATCGGCCATTTGTATATCATCTTTGGAGAGATGTCTATTTAAGTTCTTTGTCCATTTTTAATTGAGTTGTTTTTACTGTTATGTTGCTTTTTATTTTTATAATGGCTAGGTTTAGAGTTGTGGATTTACCCCATTTTGTGGAGAAAATGAAGGTCATGGAAGTTCAGGAACTTGCCTGATGTCTCCCAGTTGGGTGGGACTGAAGTGCAGCCTTTTGGCTTCTTTTTTTTTTTTCCGTATTTTTCTTTTATTTTATTATTATTATACTTTAAGTTTTAGGGTACATGTGCACAACGTGCAGGTTTGTATGGCATATGTATACATGTGCCATGTTGGTGTGCTGCACCCATTAACTCATCAGCCTTTTGGCTTCTGACCCTGTCTTTCTCCTCTGCTCATGCTGTCTACTCCCAGATGGCGAGATGTGGTTCACACCTTTCAGACTTCACATTTGACTTAGGAACAATACAGGATGACGTAAAAGATGTGTCAAATGAAGGTTACAGAAGATGAATTTTATGGACATTCAGAAAAAGGGGCCTGCTGTATGGGTCATTTGGGAAGGTTCTGTGACAAAGGGGAACCAGAGGTGAACATTAAAAAATAGTGTGATAGCAGCTAACGTCAAAATCAATGGGGAAAAACTGAAAGCTTTCCCTCTAAGATCTGGCACAAGGCAAGGATGTCCACGCTCACCACTTCTATTCAACATAGTGCTAGAAATCATAGCCAGAACAATGAGACAAGAAAAAGAAAGACATCCAAGTTGGAAAGGAAGAAGTAAAATTATCCCTATTTGAAATGGATGATATGGTTATATACATAGAACCCCCTAAAGACTCAACCAAAAACTGTTACAGCTAATAAATACATTCAGTAAAGTTGCAGGATATAAAATCAATATATGCAAATCAGGTGCATTTCTATACATAAACAGTTAGCTGACAAGGAAATCAAGAAAATAATCCCATTCACAAAAAAGATGAGAATACTTAAAAATAAATTTAACCAAAGAGATGAAACACTTGTACACGGAAATTGTAACAACAATGAAGGAAGTTAAAGAAGATACAGATAAGTGGAAAGATACCCATGTTGACTGAAATAATTAATATTGTTGAAATGTCTAAACTACCCAAACTGATTTACAGATGCAAAGCAATCCCTATCAAAATCCCAATGATGTCCTTTACAGAAATAGAAAAAACTACTCTAAAATTCATATGCAGCCAGGTACAGTGGCTCTCACCTCTAATTCCAGCATTTTGGGAGGCCAAAGTGGGTGGCTCACTTGAGGTCAGGAGTTTGAGACCAGCCTGGCAAACATGGTAAAACCCCACCTCTGCTAAAAATAGAAAAGTTAGCTGGGCATGGTGGCAGATGCCTGTAATCCCAACTACTTGGGGGGCTGAGGCAGGAGAATCACTTGAACCTGGGAGGCAGAGGTTGCTGTGAGCCGAGATTGCTGGACTGCACTCCAGCCTGGGCCACAGAGCAAGACTCTGTCAAAAAAAAAAAAAAAAAAAAAAAAATCATATGGAACTACAAAACACCCAAGTAGCCAAAGCAATCTTGAGCAAGAAGAACAAAGCTGGAGGCATTACCCGCTCTGATTTCAAAATATATTACAAAGTTATAGTAACCAAAATAACATGTACTGGCATAAAAACAGACACATAGAACAATGGAAAAGAACAGAAAGCCCAGAAATAACTCACACATGTGGTCAACAAATCTTCAACAAAAGTGCCAAGAATATATAATGGGGAAAAGTCTCTTCAATAAGTGGTGTTGAGAAAACTGGATATCCCCAGGCAAGAAAATGAAACTGTATCTTTATCTTACACCATACACAAAGATGAACTCAAAGAGACTGAAACATAGCCCTGAAACTGTAAAAACTCCCAGAAGAAAATATAGGGGAAAAGCTTCATAACACTGGTCTTGGCAATGACAGTTTGGATATGAAACCAAAAGCACAAAGGAACAAGTGAGACATCAAACTAAAAAGTTTCTGCACAGCAAAACAATCAACAGCAACAAAAAGCAACCTACAGAATGGGAGAAAATATTTGCAAGCCATACACATTAATATCCACAATATATGAGTAACTAGTACAACTCAAAAGAAAAAAATAAAACTTGATTAAAAAGTAGACAGAGGAGTTGAGCAGACATTTTTCCCAACAAGACATACAAATAACTAACAGGTACATGAAAAGATGTTCAACATCACTAATCATCAGGGAAGTGATAATCAAAACCACTATGAGATGTCACTTCACACCTGTTAGGATGGCTATTATCAGAAAGACAAGAGATAACAAATATTGGTGAAGATGTGGAGCAAAGAAAACCCTTGTCCATGGTCGATGGGAATGTAAATTGGTAGAGGCATCATGGAAAACAATATGGAAGTTTCTCAAAAAAAAAGGAAAAATAGAACCACCATGTGATCAGCAATCCCATTGTGAGGTCTATATCCAAAGGAAATGAAATCAGTATCTTAAAGAGATATCTGTTCCTTGCAGCATTATTCACCATAGCCAAGATACAGAAATCACCTAAATGTCCATTGACAGATGAATGGATAAAGAAAATGTTGCATATACATATGCAATGAAATATTATTCAGCCTTTAAAAAGAAGGAAATTCTGTTACTTGTGACAACATAAACCTGAAATCCAAAAATGTCAAACTCATAGAAACAGAGAGTAGAATAGTCGTTACCAGAGGCTGAGTGGGGAGGGATATGGGAAGATGTTGGTCAAAGGGTATGAGCGAGGTCTGTTATGTAAGGTAAATAAGGTCTGGAGAACTACGTACAACAATGTGACTACAGTTAATAATATTGCAGACTTGAAATTTGCCAAGAAGTTAGCTGTTAAGTGTTCTCACCAAATCAAAAAATGATAATGATGTGAGGTGATGAACGCATTAATTTGCTTGATTGTTGTGGACAGTTTACAACATACACATATATTGAATCACTGAATTGTACACCTTAAATATATACAATTTTTAATTGTCAACTATACCTCAATAATGTTGGAAAGAAAGAATAGTGTGAAATATTTTATATAAATGTATTAGCTTCTTAGGGTTGCCATAATGAAAGTACTTCAAATTGGGTGGCTTAAAACAACAGAAATTTAATTTCTCACAGTTCTGGAGGCTGGAAGTCCAAAATCAAGGTGTTGGCATGACCATGTTCCCTCTGAAACCTGTAGGGGATTCCATGCCTCTGCTAGCTTCTGGTGGTTTGTGGGTAATCTTTGGCATTTCTTGGCTTGCAGCTGCATAACCTCAGTCTCTGCCTCTGTTGTCACATGGCATTCTCCCTGTGTGTGTCTCTGTTTTCACAGGGCTGTCTTTCATTCTTTTCTTTTCTTGTTTTTGTTTGTTTTTTGTTTTTTTTAAGACAGAGTCTTGCTCTGTTGCCCTGGCTAGAGTGCAGTGGTGCAATCTCGGCTTGCTGCAACCTCTGCCTCCCAGGTTCAGGTGATTCTCTTGCCTCAGCCTCCCGAGTAGCTGGGATTACAAGTGCCTGCCACCGTGCCCAACTAATTTTTTTGTATTTTTAGTAGAGACTGGGTTTCACCATCTTAGCCAGGCTGGTCTCAAACTCCTGACCTCATGATTCACTCACCTTGGCCTCCCAAAGTGTTGGGATTACAGGCGTGAGCCACCGTGCCCAGCCCGTGGCTGTCTTTCTGTAAGGACATCAGTCATGTCAGACCAGGGCCCACCCTACTCCAGTATGACCTCATCTTAATTTAAGTATACATTTGCAACAATCCTGTTTCCTAATGAAGTCAGTTCTGAGGTACTGAGAGTTAAGATTTCAACATCTCTTTCTTGCACGGGGAGGGGAGACTGATTTAGCCCCTACCAATAAGAGAAAAAATACTATAGCACAGTCTGGATGTAGTGATTTCTTTCTACAGTCCACACACACACACACACACACACACACACACACACAGAGCTGATGCAAGCACATGCTGTCAATGCAAAGGAAAAAGACAGATGTCTCCCTACGCTTTTCTAAGCTTTTATATATTATACCTCACATTGTCAGCTCTAAAATCCTGTATCTAATACATTTATCTATCTAATAGATTTTTTAGATCTAATACATTTATTTATTTGGTAATAAATAAATAATAAATTTACCAACTGTCTTGGTGAAAAGGAGTGCATGCTGGATGACGGATGAGGCCTTGAATAATGGCCTTCCCTGTCACTATGGCCACTCTCCACTCAAGGATCTATTGTACAAGAATTGGGGTGGCTGGGGACAGAGATGACTGACATCTACCAGCCAGTTAGCCGGTTCCTCTGTCTACCTGCTTAGTGAGTGTCCTGTCTGTGCCAAATCTTCTCTAGTGGCAATGATGTGAGACACAAAGATCTGCACATTTTGTGGCCACTTTCAACAGTTCATCTACATGCTTCTTCCCAGACCACTTTGTCTCTGATCATCTAAACTTGCCCCTTCTAAACCCCAGACCAAGACCAGCCAAGTTATTTGCCACTACATGGAAGTCCATATATATCCTTATCTCATACCACTTCTGGCATACAAAGTGGACAAACAAGAATACTGCTCACAGCTCTACCCTCTAGGAGGGTTTCCCCTCATCACTGTCCTTTAGGGCCACCACTGAGTTGGGTGGTAGTGTTGACAGCTGCCCATTCTCAGGCAGCATTGAGTATCTGAACCAATCTATCCATGAACCAGGAATGAGCTGTGTTGTTCCTCCTTCATCAGTGAATCATAGAGTTCCCTCACTCCTGCCCCCATATTTATAGATGTGAGCTGAGAGACATGTCAGGACAGCAGAGGTAGGTGACATGGAGCCCTGGGCCACCCTATACCCTCTGGACTTGCTCAGATCTGGTCCTGAATATACCATTTCCATCATACCTTACCACCTTGTTGGATCTGACAATGTCCAGCTCGTAATAGGAAACTCCTATCATATAATCACTTGATGTCCCACTTTCAGGTGCTTGATCTCTCTTGACCCCTTATCACATCAGAAGCTGTTTTTCTGAGTAGTGAGTAATTAAACAATAAATAGTCTCTTGAATGGAGTAGACATGCCTTTCTCCAGAACCCTACCCATTCTGTACTGCAAATCTATTAGGGTTTGTCCAAGATTTCCTATAGCATCCTTTCCTACCATGGATACCCCGAGCACTGTTGGATCTGTTGAATTATATGGCCTCAACAGCAGAGTATGTTGTCCTGAAGCCTAGAATTTCTTCAGTTTTCTTATGCTTTGGGTTCCACTCAAAACTGGTAGACTTCTAATGACCCAAGAAATGAGTCAAAGAAATAATCTCAAGTGCAATATTGGCTGCCTCCTAAAATCCAAAGTCGCCCACCAAACCATATAACTTTTCATAGGGGTAATTGTTTACCTTAGGATGCTGCAAACCATGGGACTCCTAAAATCTTCATCAATATGGCAGGACTTTGATACTGTAAATGATTTATGTTTCACCTTCATGTGTTTTACTATGACATCCAGAGTACCGGCCACTTTCTGTTCACCAAGTCCAATTAGCATAATGTCAACAACATAGTATACCAGCATGATATGTCAAGGTGACAGAGAGAAAGAGAATACATATAGCCTTGGGGAAAGACAGTGAATGTGTACTCAAATCCTTTCTTAATGAGACAGAACTGATCTTGACCATCCTTCCTGAGGAGGTTGGAAGATGACTTGTTTGCCAGATGGATAGCCACAACCCAGGAACCAAAGGCTGTGCTGCTCTGTTCCAGTAAAGATACCACATCCAATTAGGTAGCTACATACAATTGGGACGCAACTTAGATAACGTTCCGGTAGTCTGCTGTTATTCACGAAAATCCATCTGTTTTTTGCAGAGACCATGTAGATGGATTGAATGGGGATATGATGAGGATGACCACCCCTGCATTTGCTAAGTTCTTGGGAGTGGCATCGATCTCAGCCATTCCACTGGAATAGGGTATCGCTTTGATTTTCTATCTTTGGTGGGAATGGGCACTTTCTGGGTTTCCATTTGTTTCTTCCTTCCTGGTTCTTATTTCACAGGTCAGGAAACAAAACGTGAGGGCTCTACCAGCTGCTCAGTCTATCCTTTCCAATTGAGCACACTGGAACTGAGGAAGCAAAGACAGGGTGAGCCCTAACACCCTCATCATCACTGCTGAGCCTGCCTTGACAAGAACTCCATTTATCACCCGCCTCCATAATAGCCCATTCTAACTAGCTGTCATCGTGGCATTTCAGGTTCTGCTGATGTCATTGTAAGGTTAGACCCTGTATACCCTGAAAAATCTGTATATTTCCATTTTCTTAGTGTAAAGTTACACAGGTCCCTTTGGGGGAAGGTTTGTGGCACTGCAGGGTTTTTTTTTCAAGGGGGCCCGGCCTCCCCTTCAATCACTAGGCCAGGGGCCCGAGAACTGACTCAAATCTGGGAGCTAGGTGAGGGATTATCATTTTTCTTTTTGGCAGCAGACATCAGATTTCAGCTTACCTTCTCTTAATATTTTTTCTGGTTACACAAGTCAAGAAATATTCACAGTGGGTACTCACCCATCTTTCTTCTAGAAATGCCCTATGTGTACAGGACCCTGGCTGGCACGTTGGCCTTGCTGCCATATGGTAGTCATATTCACTTTGTGGTAGTCATATTCACTTTGATGGCAAATGCTGCGACTTGGCCTCTGCTACTCCAAAATATCTTCATCTTCAGTAATATTAGAGAGGTCAGTTCTGTGGCAGCATTTTCTACTGTGAACCATAGACCACGGAAGACAATCACTAGTGAGATTCCCAACAATGCTGGTGGCCCCTCACCAGTGAGTTTCTTGTTTTTGTATAAAGGGCATGTCCTCTTGGCCTCACAGGGAACAAGATCAGGGTCTCTGGTCTTGCATAATAAAACCTCCCTGGACTGTCTGACTCCTTCCTCAATACCATGCCATGGCAAATATGGCATCTTTCCCCCAGGGAAAGATGATAAGGCTGTCATCTTATCCAAGCTTCAAGAAACCTCTGACCAGCATTATTAGGATAGGCACAATTGTCCTTTTGAGGACAGTGAATTATAGGATAGAGTCAGTAGACCTTCCCTAGTCAATCTTATGTATAATACCCAAACCTCCTGACCCAAAACTCTCAAGATCTGCCCCCTATGTGTTTCTCTGACTTCTCCTGGTAAGAATTAGGCCCTTCAACTCCTGATGAGTAAACCAGTCATCAAATACTTGGTGAAGAGCTTTCATCAACTGCCTTTGCAATGGGACTTCATTTCCTTCTCTGGGGTTTTGCAGATAATGGACCTTAACTAGTGGGCTGAAGGCAATGAGGGGATGTGAGGATGCATCTTGTGAAGGACAAAAGTCATCCTGTAAGTAGTCCCCTCAGGTGAGGACTTCCTGTGGTACCCAGGTAATGGAAAACCACAAATCTGACTGGAGGTCTCGACATCCTTTATAGCAGTAGACCAAATGTTAGCTACATCTACCAACACTTCCAAAACTTTTTATGGAACAAACAGCGACAAATACCAAATGCCAAGTAACCAAGTTACAACACCTCACTTCCTTTAGGCGGTGCTGTCAGAAGCATGGTTCAATTCTCACTTTCAAGTTTGAGGTAACTCTAGACCCACGCCCTGCCCTCCAAAACTGTAGAAAAAATACTGCGAAAGATGTCTTCTTCATGTTCCTCAAGGTAGTTATTCTCACCCAGAGAGCGGCAAGTACTTGGAATCTTCCTGATATTTTTTTCTCCTCCAGAGTTTTAGTGATGAAAGATGTTGGGAGAACACAGAATGCTAAGCCCCACAAATCTTGCTGGAGAGATCTCCTAGAGAAATCAGAATCTTTCAAGATTGTTTTAGAGAAATACGCTACCACTCTGACTCCATTCTAACAACTCCTCTGTGACCCAGCTGGCCTGACAAACTAAATCATGATACTCTGCAAAACATATCCTTTCACACATGAATGCCCACGGCAATGTTTCCTAACCATTCATGAGTCATAAAACCTATGGCAGAAACCATTCTACGTGTTCACCAAAACATTTCATTTTCCCTCTGGGCACCAGGAAAACTTTTTTTTTTTTTTAACTTTTTCTAATCTAAGTGAGGCTATGTAAGGAGTTCTGCATAATAAAATGTGGGCAAAATTGATGTCAGCCACTTCCAGATCATGCCCTTAAAGTGTCCTACAGAATTATCATCCACACTCTATGTCTGTTATCATTAGCTGTCAGGATGCAGAGTATCAAAAAAGGACTTTAACTTATTTATTTATTTTTTGAGACGAAGTATCACTTTGTCACCCAGGCTGGAATGCTGTAGCGTGATCACAGCTCACTGCAACCTTGACCTCCCAGGCTCAAGCTATCCTCCCACCTCAGCCAAAGTAGCTCACACTACAGTCGCATGCCACCACTCCCGGCTAATGTTTGTATTTTTTATAAAGAGGAGGTTTCACCATGTTGCCTAAGCTGGCCTTGAACTCCTGGGCTTGAGTGATCTGCCTGTCTTGGCCTCCCAAAGTGCTGGATTACAGGCATGAGCCACCATGCCCAGCCCAAATGAAGAACTTGGAGTCCATGGTGAAAGGCAGAACCTCCCCAACTCAACTGAGCTGGTCATGAGTGAAAAGTACATCTTTAAGCCACACCTTTCAAATGGGTCAGCAAATTTGATAAATTTGGCAAATTTCAGCTATTCCCACCCACTACGTATACCTCTCTTACAATTTATAGTAAGGGAATTAGCACTTTCTATGGGAATTTAAAAGGTGTTAAAATATATACTGGGGGGAAAGAAATTTAAGAAAAAGTGGTGGTTCTTAATGGTTTAAGAAACTTAATGGTCAAACATTTCTAAGAATGCTTGCCCCTGGGTAATATTTCTAACTGGTCAAGTCACAATTATTACAGAATGGATCTCCCCAGTATCAATTGCTTCCCTATAGCTTCTATGTGCAGCATATTTATGCCCTGAGTGTATAATGTCTGGCCGTAATGACAGGAAAGGTTGGATTCTAGGGGTGGAATACATCAAATCGCTAGGATGTCACCAAGCCCACTGTGTGGGTTAAATGCTACAGGCAGAGGGTTGTGCCACCCATTCCCCACCTTCCCTAACTCCCATCCTACCCAAAGCTTCAGCCAAAAGGAAGAAAATGCCTCCCACATGGCCACAGGCTGAAGTGCAGCCCCTCGGTGGCCAGAAGTCACTCACATGCAGGCAAAGATGATGTTAACAATACAAAGAATCAGAAAAAGACTGAATTCCTTAGATCAATCTGTTTAGCTTCAAAAGCTAGAATCTCAAAAGTCTATCTCCTGCTGACTTTATTTGTCTTTCAACTTTTCAATGCCATTGCTCCTGCCTGAACAAAAGACAAGAAAGTCCAGTCTCATCCCAGAATAGACAGAGCTCTACACCACTGCGGGACTAGAGATTATTCCTCATGCTGGGCAGGGCAGGGTAGAAAGAATAGAACCCATCAAAGCAAGAGGTGGCTAATTCCCCCAACAAAACTAAATTAACAATATTAGCCCAAGTGAGGAAGCTGAATCTTCTCAGGGTGTTAAACAGTTTGTTCTGTTTTCTATATTAAAGACCCAAGTGTAGTTTATTGTTTTTATGGAGCTAAGTTAATTCACATGTTAAATTTAAAAGGTTGGGTGAGACAGGAGATTTTGTTTGTTTCTAGTATTATTTGGCAGAGTATAAAAGTCCCTGGACTTAGAATTGGAAGGCTTGGCCTCAAATCCACACCCTTCCTGGTACCAGCCCAGTGCCCCTGGGCAATCACTCAACCCATCTCCTTCACTGGCGGTTGTGGCAGCCCTTCTCAAGCAGCGTTGAGAGACCTTAGCTCCCTAACCCAGTGGTTCTCCAACTAGCGAGTGCTCAGAATCACCTGGAGCGTTGGTTAAAACAGCACTGGGACCAGTCCCGAGTACTCCTGGAATACAGCCTGAGAATTTGCCTTTCCAGCAAGTCCCCAGCCTGGCTGAATGCCATTCCCAGCCCACCCACCCCTGGCTCCACTTTCTCTTGTACTAGCTGATATCGGAAATTCCACCGAGAGCCCCAACCCAATTTAGCTGGGAAGCTTTACTCTTATTAAAAGGTACATACACGAAACAATATTAGCAGTTAGACTGTATCTTTCACGTCTTATCCTTCTTTATCATTCCCGTGTCTCCCTTGCTGTATTGCGTGCACAAGTTCACACGTTTGAGGAACGAAACTTCAAACATAGTCTGTACCAAGAGGCTTTACTCTTTTCTTTTTCCTCTCTACCCCTTTCCCCTAGAGCTTGGTCAAGATGTCCTAATGGTCTAAAATGTCAAAAGAAAACTAGATGAGGAAAAAGTAATAGAAAATAACTCTATTATAAGCTTCCTTATAGTTCAGATTCATCTCTTTCTTGTAAGAACCACCCACCAGTTCCTACTCAGAGACTCAAGGATACTCCTGTTCCTCAGTTGGTTCAAGATAAAAACACTGAAGATTTACATCAATCGAAGGGTTTCTGTTACCATTCACATGGGCCTTCCCGAATGCTAGTGAAACGTAGATAGTCATTACCCATCAAAAAACACTCACCAAGAAGGGCCAGACTCCCACACATGGATCCCAGAAGTCAGGGAGAGAGTGAGTGTGGAGGCCTACCTCCTCCCAACCTGCTCACCCACGGAGCCACTCCATGGCAAAGGAACAGTAGCTCAGAGGCTGCCCGCACTGCCCCCACTGCAGAGGTTTAAGGAAATCTCCCAGTAGTATGTTTTATGTTGGAAGACCCTGAGATAAAGCCCATACTTCAGTCTGTATTTGTCCTCCCACAAAATGAAGAGTGCTTGTCCATGAGACCAGCCCACGTCTAATTCGGCAGGACACAGCATGCAGAGAGCCTCGAGCAGGCAGCCCACTGCTGACTCCTTCCCAGGGGCCTTTCCCCGAGAGGCAAAGCTTTCTCCCAGGGAGTCCCCACTTTCAGCCCTGTCAGCATGCCCAGTGTCTGCACTCTGCAGGGCCCCGTTCTGTCCCATTACGCAAGTTGGTTTTCAGCGGCTATGGGGAAAGTCACACACGATTGTGCCAAAGTGAACAAATGTTGGCGACCTGGGGAAAAGCAGCAGCTGCACATCCTGAAGCGTTGGGTCTTCCAAGGAAGCCTCGTCTAACCAGAGAAGCCATCACTCTCCTCCTCCAACAATTTCTGGCATATGAAATTGTCTTATCGTGTTACCCCCTTTTCCCTGTTGTAAATCCACGCTGGCGAGCCCAGGGCTCTCCCTAGCTCTATACACTGCCTGGCATGGTGCCATGCAGCTAAGTGTGTTGGAATACAGCGCTGTCCACCATTCAGTTATTTTAACAAGCACTATGGAGCTCTTATAAGTGGCTTAAAAACACTCACATTTACCCCAAAATCACTTTAAAATAATTCACTCCATCACAGCCTCAGCCAGAGCCTGCTCCAGCTCTCCCACAGACTTTCACAGCCTCCCTAGACTCCCCTAATTCCAACTCAACAGGGACCACAAGGACACTGTTTATAGAGCGTTTTGGCTTCTCGCCCCGTGGCCCACAGCCATTGATGCAACAGCAATTTAATCAAGCGATAATCTAGTAAGTCCAACTTGCCACTAGGACACTAAAAAGCCCTTATTTAAGGTAAGTGATAATGGTGATGACAAGAATCCTGGGTGTCTGTCATCTCAGATTATCAAGTGACACCTTTACATTGATCTCATTTAACACTCACAAGGACCCTGAGGCAGGGTTAACTTTATGACCCCATTTACAGAGAAGGAAATGACTGAGAGAACAGACAACCAGCCCTGAGGCCCAGTGCCTGCCTGCAAGGTGAGCCAATGGCCTGTCCTGAGACCTCCCTCCGGCCACCCCTGGTCACACACACCTCCCACCCTGCTGGGCGGGGGACAAGCACTATGGACAAAACTGCCTACGGCACAAGTCCATGAAACCGGATCACCCAGGACTTGGCACGGAGGTGGGGAGGGGAACAGCACATACTTCTCTACCATGGTGCCAATACTTCTACAAGCTTCTTCTGCGACTTCCCTGAATGCTGGCTCAGGGTGAGCGATTTTCACAAAATCAGCCTAATAAAGGGGAAAGACGAAACCAAAAGGGAATTTGATGGGAAGCTTTCTTCCAGGATCTGGGGGTGAAAATGAAAACTGGGTTTTAAGATGTGCCATTGGCTTGGCCTATGCATTTCCATTACTGACTTTTTCCTAAGCGAGTAAAGCAAAGCAGCTGCTTTCTGAACATTTATTTAATTCTGTTATTCCTTGAAACCAAGTTTGTTTCTTTCCAAAAAAAATAATTTTATTAACTTTGTTTCAGAAAAGTTTTTCTCCTTCAAATATAAACACCAAGCAAATTCTTCCTAACCCTTTATTAAATCAAAAGAGCAGACACTGGTTTCAAATATTCTACAACTTTCTGGCTAAAATTCTTTGCAGTATGGTTCTCACAGGTTAACCTAGCTCCAAAAAACAACTCTTAGAGGCTTGTTTTCTTTAACTGACACATAGTATAGTTTCAAAACTCATTTAACTACACTTTAGTCTTTAACTACATTCTAGTCTTTGTGCAGAAAACAAAGGCACAGTCTCTTTAGTCCTTTTAATAAAATATGAGTTCAGTCTCCATGTAATACTGTGTACAACTACTACTGCTGCTGCTACTTAAGTCATTAGAAATTAAAATGAGCAACAATTTTTTTAAAAAGATAAAATGATGTAAAACTAAATTTTCGTTTTCATGTCAATTGTAACAAAAAGCAGAGAAACTACAAAACACTACATATTTTATTTGCCAAGAAGATGTGTGACTATAACATGAAATAAAATCACCACAAGGTAAAATTTCCTGATTTTATTATCAAATAGTTTTTAATGCCAAAACATTTAAATCCATAGTTTGGTATATTTGTTGTAAGAATTGGTAACGATAAAATAACATTAGTACCAAAGTATCTGAAAAATGAGTTACATAAATTTACATTTTTTTTTTTACAAATTACTAATCTACATGTGAATTTATAATCAATATTAAAATTCAAAACACTAGCATGCACATTAACAACTGATTTCTAATAGTGATGAGGAAAACAGTTCTGTTACGTAAAAACTGTGTTGAAAACAAAGAAAACAAAATGACTATTTAGTGAAAAAGTTTATAAGACGATTGCCTTATAATAGTACCAACATTACTGGTAGGTAACATCTCAAAAATTCAAAAAGGAGAAAGGTTCTTTTTTACCCGGAGAACTACATATATAAATCACATAGTTTTTTTTTTTTTTTAAGTTTTCAAAATGAGATATTATACATAATATTAAAAATGTCAAAATAAGATAAGATACAGGGCAGAAAAGTTAAAATATTTTAGTGAAGACCACAAGCAAAAATGTAGAAAAAAATCCTAGAATACTGATTAAGATGAAGACTAAGACAACAAATACACAGTGAATTCTGGGATTTGTGACAGCCATGCCAACAGTCACCCCTCAGTATCAGTGGGCAATGGTTAGATCTTCCTACAGATACCCAAATCCACAGATGCTCAAGTCTCTGATATAAAATGGTGTAGTACTTGCATATAACTGACGCACAGCACACTCCATACATCAAATCATATAACTGACACACAGCACAACCCTTACACTGAATCATCTCTAGATTACTTGTAATACCTAATGAATGTAAATAATATGTAAATAGCTGTTACACTGTATTATTTCATGCAACAGCGACAAGGAAAAAAGTCTGTATGTGTTCAGTACCGATGCAATTTTTTTTTCCAGATATTTTTGATCCAAGGTTGGTTGACTCTACAGATGCCCGAATCTGGAGGGGTTGACTGTACTTGAATAGTGAAATTCACTGACACAGATTTTCCTTTTCTGATTTCTGTGACACAATCAGGTGAACAGGGTATGAAACCTCCTTTTGGCAGTGCGTTCCACAGCTCCCCCATCATTCAAAGACACATTTCCTATGCACATACGGGAGGCACAGAACAAAAACCCAGCACAACAGAACTACCCAGAGCCTGCAACTTCACTCCAGAGAAAAACCCTTTACAATAAGATACTTTATCAGTTTCCTTAAGAGCGGGAGGCTTGTGGTGAACATATAATCATCTGAAAGGTGTTAATGCTCAAATCAGGTGTATGGGTGGAAGGAAATTTTCCAAAAAAGGAAAAAAAATAAAGATGGGGATGAGTTATGCTGGGTGAAAGAAGTCAGTCAAAGGTATACAGGATTCCACCTATGTGACATTCTAGAAAAGGCAAAGCTATAGGGAGAGAGAACAGATTAGTGGTTGCCAGAGGTTAGTCGGGGGGGGGTGTGGCTATACAGGGAGATTTTTGGGGGTGGATGGAACAGCTTTGTATCCTGATTGTGGTGAGGGCTGCACAAATTTATACGAGTTAAAATTCATAGAACTGTACCATCCTCCAAAAGAAGTCAATTTTACTGTATAATAATTTTAAAAACAAGTATACATTTTTTTTAAAGATGGAGAGGCTAACAAACTTTGCAACCTTTCCAGGTAAGGATTCATGAGACCTGAGCAGCCAGCCAGCCCTGAAATGGTTGGAACAGGAGAAAGAAGAAGAGCTCGACAGATACCCTGCCTGGGCTGGCAGCTAGCTGCACCACAAGCTGGCCAGCTGACAGCGGGCACATCCCTTCATCACCCAGTGCCTTTCTTCCCTCTTGTGAAAATGGAGATATGCTGAGAAGGTTACTTCAGCTCATCCAGAGAAAGCTTCTTCAGCTAACTAGGCTGTAGAAAGGGCCTACAGCCTAAATTTTCAAAAACAAGTTAATGCCAGAATATAAACTCCGTGAAGTAACAGATTGTGTCGGTTTCATTCCTGCATGTATCCCTGGTGCCTAGACAGTGTCTGGCACACAGTAGGTGCTCAACATTGACTGAATGTGAGGGAAAAACCTATGTAGTTCAATACTATGTAGACAAGATCATAAATGATCACTATTTAAATTGTGTGTGTTTTCCTTGACATGAGTAACCAAGAGTCGGCTCCTTCAGGCTGATAGAAAATCCTGCTTCCTGGAAATGAGCAAATAGAAGAGATATCTGCATTTCCATGGTTGTTGCAGCTCTGTTCACAACATCCAAGATTAGGAAGCAACCCAAGTGTCCATGAACAGATGAATGGACAAAGAAAATGTGGTACTTACAATAGAGTGCCATTCAGCTATAAAAAAAGAATGAGATTATGGCCAGGCATGGTGGCTCACACCTGTAATCCCAGCACTTTGGGAGGCAGAGGCGGGTGGATCACGAGGTCAAGAGATCGAGACCATCCTGGAAAACATGGTGAAACCCTGTCTCTACTAAAAATGCAAAAAAATTAGTTGGGCATGGTGGCGCATGTCTGTAATCCCAGCTACTCGGGAGGCTGAGACAGGGGAACTGCTTGGAACTCAGGAGATGGAGGTTGAGCTGGGACTGCACCATTGTACTCTAGCCTGGGCAACAAGAATAAAACTCCATCTCAAAAAAAAAAAAAAAAAAAAAAAAAGAGATTGTGTCATTTGCAACAACATGGATGGTCATTAAGTGAAATAAGTCAGGCACAGAAAGACAAACATCGCATGTTCTCACTCATTTGTGGGACCTAAAAATACACACAATTGAATCATGGAAATAAAGAGTAGAAGGATGGTTACCAGAAGATGGGTAGGGTAGCAGGGTGGTATGGGGGAGGTGGGGATGGTTAATGGGTACAAAAAAACAGGAAGAATGACTAAGACCTACTATTCGATAGCACAACAGGGTGACTACAGTCAATAATAATTTAATTGTAGATTTTAAAATAACCAGAAGAGTATAATTGGATTGTTTGTAACACAAAGGATGCTTGAGGGGATGGACACCCCATTTTCCCTGATGTAATTATTATACATTGTATGCCTCTATCAAAACATCTCATGTACCTCATGAATATATACATGTACACACAAAAATTAAAAATAAAAAAAGAAAAAGAAAATTTTGCTATCTCAGCAATGGATTTCCTAGTTGGTGAAGAGATCTAGGTATACACTTCTATTTCAAATTTAAAATGTTAAAAAAAAAAGTCTTTACAATCATTTTGATGTGAAAACTTGGTTTTTAATTAAAAAAAAAAGCATTCCTGAAAAGGTTTATGAAAACTGGTTTTCACACCTCTTATGAAAAAGAAGTGGCTCACACTTATAATCCCAGCACTTTGGGAGGCCAAGGCAGGAGGTCACTTGGGGCTAGGAGTTCAAGATCAGCCCGGGCAACACAGGGAGACCCTGTCTCTATTAAAAAAAAAAAAAAGATAGAAAAAGAGGAATTTTGTTGTAAATGCACACATAAAGTGTTCTTAGAATTTTGGGAGAAGCTTTCATAAATAAAGAATCTCTGTCAAATGAATATATATGTAAATATATATTACCCAAATATAGCAAATATTTGCCATATCAGTAATCATTCATTCATTATATATTACAGGTATATTTTATTAAATACACATATTAAAGTACAAGTTCTAAATGTCACCTTTTCCTATAACATTTTCCCCATTCCTAATGATGTATTTCATCACAAAAAATTATACCCAATGGATCTCAAATAGTTTCAGACATTTTTAACTTTATAATCTAATATTAACAGTAAACAACAAAGGATAAATTTCACTTAAATTTTAACAGGTTGAAAGAGAGGTAGCTTCAAGTCTGAGGCAAAGCATCTTACCAAGTCGGTCACTCTGCACAAGGAATCCGAGAGCTCATCAAGGATCAGCACGGTCTGGGGCCCAGGTGGGGTGGAACACGCACGGTCCACAAGCAATTCTGTCTTTCTCAAGGCTTTTTCTTGTGCAGTATGAAATCCTTCATATTTCATATGAAGTATGTGCCTTCTGGGGCACTGAGCTCAGGAACTCCAAAAAGACCCTTAGAACCAAGGAATACGTCCAATTTACAACCAAAATTCAAAATTGTGCTTTTTAAATATTTACTAAAATTACTTTTGTCACAAAGCAAATCTTGACTTTCATTGGTATATCATGTTATACCTGTGATCACGAACACCACTATCATACTCCTCATATCACCCCACATAAATTACACCAAAAATGATTTCATAACATCATTTTTAATTTTTTTTTTGAGACGGAGTCTCACGCTGTCACCCAGGCTGGAGTGCAGTGGCGTGATCTCAGCTCACTGCAACCTCCGCCTCCCGAGTTCAAGCGATTCTCCTGCCTCAGCCTCCTGAGTAGCTGGGATTATAGGAGCGCACTACCACGCCTGGCTAATTTTTGTATTTTTAGTAGAGATGGGGTTTCACCATGTTGGTCAGGCTGGTCTCCAACTCCTGACCTCAGGTGATCCGCCCGCCTCAGCCTCCCAAAGTGCTGGGATTACAGGCTTGAGCCACTACGCCCGGCCAATTTTTTTTCAATTTTTAATTATTTTTCCGAAAAACAAAAACTGAATGGTATGGGTTCAAAATCCAGCTCTGTCACTTCTACAGAACCTAAGAGTGGCCACAAGGATTAAATGAAATAATATATATATATATAAAGCAGTGTTTGGCACAGAGCATTTACAGATGTTAGCCATAATTATTATTAGCTTATAACCCTGGTCATGTTATTTCTCCTCCTAGGCCTCATATTTTTTTCATCATGTACAATGGGAATGACGATACATACCTTACAGCATGGATACAGGTACTAAGTATATGTAAAGTACTAACAGCAGCATCTGACAAAGTGAGATCTCAGTACATAGTACCAATTATTCTACAACTATCAGAGAGGATGAGTTCACTATGAAGCAATAAATATTTTAGAAAAATTTAATGAACATATTAAAATCATAGGCTGAAACTGGGAGCAAATTTTATACGTTCCAAAGACATTTCAATATCTTGATAAAAACAAAAATCACTGATCTAATGGGAATGACCATTCTTTTGTTACCTATTCAATCCCACTTGTTAGCACACTCAGGAAGGCAGGGAAAGAAAGCATTTAATATGCACCTACCGCATACCATGAAGTGTACCTGCTACTTTACATAGGTTCTCATTTAAATCACACAATCCTACAGAACAGAGTATCATTCTTTCACAGATCAGGACACATGCTTTAAGAGGTTAGAAAAAACTTGTTTGAGGTCACAAATTAATATTGGGAAAGACAGAACTCGAACCCGCTCTGTACATCTGTAAAGCCCACACTTTTCCATACTTCTCTATTACAATTTATCTGTTTGAAAGTCTTCTCTCCTGAAAAGGTGAGCTTCCAGACCCAAGAGCCCTGCCCTTCATTTCTTTAACCAGCTATCCAATAGAATGTCTAACACATGGGGGAACTCAATGAAAGAAACAAGTGACCGGAGCAGATGCTAGGCTTTGTTAATTCACTTTGTAGGTGCTTAACACATAGATTTTCAGAAATACCAACAGGTAAACCTTCAGGCCTGACAAGCCCTACTGTTTCTACAAGAAGGGATGGATGAAGTTAAGCTAGCAATCTCTCTTCAAAATATATTACAAATTAAAAAAAAAAAAAAGAAAGTCAGTGGGGGACAAAGCAGAATCAGAACCAAACACAAATGTCATCTTTATAGTGATTTAATTTGATTCAAGCACAGACTACTTCCACTTCCCAGTACAACCTGCCCATATTGTTCTCAGGAATTCTAACTCTCGGATTACCAGTGACCGTAATGCTAAAAAACTGAATAAACCTTTTTTTTTCAAGGCAAAAACCAACTCTAAAATTTGAAAATCTGCTATTAGTGCCGAATATCATGATACAAAAGAGAAAAATAAAGCTAAAATTAGTTATATCTCATCTACCCAAAATCAGGCTTCCCCTCACGTCTTTCTGCTCAGCGCCTACAAGTAGTTCTCACACCAACTATGTTAATACCAACACTACATACCCTTAAGGAAGGTGGTGTAGCAAATTTCACACAAAATAATTTTAAAATCGACAAAGCTGATAACGGAGATAAAACAAGAATTATACACCCTTTAGCTCAGTGCAACAATACCCCAGACTCCTCTTTATAAGGCAATACAGTATAATGAAATTTTAAAAGGCAAAAATAAAAGTAATCCTTAACTAAAATGGACAAAATGTACAAACTCCAAGTAGAACAGGCATCAGGTAAGTCCTTTCCAACTTTGCCTTCCTCTCACCTTTCATTCGCTCACTGAACAATTACTGAGTGCCTACTGAATGCCAGGTACGACACTAGGCATGGTACATATAAATAAGAAGCAAACAATGCAGTCTAGTGACTTCCTGGGGTAAGAAATCAAAGTGGCCAATTCCATGGCACTATATGAAGTCAGACTCGTCTCAACAGAGTTTTGTGTCTTAAAACAAGAAAGCCCAAAGCTTTGAAATAAATTAATAGGTGATGGAATTTCAGGTATCAATTAAATTACTATTACTTGACTGCAGGCAGCCTTGTCCTTGGAAAAAGACCATGTGATGCCGCCTGTGAAGGCACAGGTATAAAGAGGCCTCTTAAGACAGGCCTGTAGCGATGGAGCTAAAGGGCTTTAGCCGGGGTGCCGCTGAGTGTAGGCAGAGGGCGGGTCCTGGCAAGCCAAATTCACCGCCACTGCCAGGACGAACTATTCAGATTCACGTGGAGCAAGGGGCTAACGCAGGCAGTTCCTAGATCCAACACTCTGGGGAGAAGACCACTAAACCCGGCCCCTCAAAGCAGAGGTAACCTTGCCTGTCACTGAGAGCGCACACAAGACCCCACTGTACAAGTTGGGTTCGCTGCCTGCCTCCTCCCAGGCCCAAACAATCTCGCTCTGAGTGTCGCTGGCCGCGCGGAGCAGGGGCCGGCTTTCTTCCGGGACCTAGGGGAGCTCCTCCTGCGCCGCTCACTCCGCGCTCGCCAAACGGGTCCAAGCGACTGCCCTGGAACTTGACATTGAAGGCGGCGCCCACCGGAGACGAGCTGGTGCTCACCCTTCGGGCCGGATCCCGGCTTCAAGGCTGCCCCGACCCGCCGCCTGCGCCGCAGAGCCGCTGCTCTGGCTCCGAAGCCGCCCGGCTTTTTGGCGCACAGCGTGGTATCCCGCAGAAGTCCTTTCCTCCACCGTGAGAACCCTGTCCTGGGCGTAGCAGCCTTTACCTGGAGCGCGCGCTCTGCGTTTCCAAGGCAGCGGCCCACGCTGCCCCACGTGACGGCCCCGCCTCCGGGTCTGGGCGCGGCCTCGACGTGGGCACGTCGGCGTCCAGAGCAAGAGCGTCGCTCCCACGCTTTCTCTGCCGCCGTCGCTGCATAGCGCCTCCTGTCTCTAGAGTAAGGAAAGGCTAGGGTTGCGCTTCCCTCCTGCTGTGACTGGGGGCGCGGGGGCAGGCAAAATCATGACATAATCGAATTCCAGTGGACATTATTTTGTGAGAGATGGTAGGTTCTTGAGTAAACAAGAAATGCCCACCATAGGCCTGAAGGAGAAGTTTCCCTTTTAACCTACTCTCTTGGTAAATTCATCCTGCACTTCTAACTCTAGTTTCTCTGTCGGATAACTTGTTTTTACTCTTGCATAGCTCATTTAAAAATTTTAGATGGAAAATAGTGAAAGCAGTCTAATGGGATTTTCCCTGCAGGCTTTCAGACTTACTTGGGACCCATGATCCCTTTTTTCCTTCCCCTTTCTCTCTTTTGGAATGGACTGTCTGTCCTATGCCTGCCCCTGGCCCCCACTGTCTTTTAAAAGCCAATTAACTTGTCTGGTTTCACAGGATCACAGATGGAGAGAAATTTTGCCACAGGATGAATCACAGTAGGTCTCCTCTGTAACTTAAATGATGTAGATGGTGAGAAGAGTTGATGTGGAAAGTGTTAAGACTTTTGGAAATGTTGACATGGGGCGAAAATGTATTTTGCACAGGTGAAGGAAATCAACTTTGGGAACCAGAGGGCGGATTGTTACGGGTTGAGCTGTGTCTCCCCAAAAAGGTGATGAAATCCTAACCCTTGGTACCTGTAAATGTGACCTTATTTGAAAATAGGGAGTTTGCAGATATGATTAAGATGGGTCATACTAGATTAGGGAAGCTGTCCTTGTAAGAGGAAAATTTGGCTGATACAGGAGGAGGACAGCCACCTGAAGATGGAGGCGGGGACTGGAGTGATGCTGCCACCAGCTGCCAGAAGCTGGAAGCAGCAAGGCCGGATCCTCCCTTAGCCCCTTTGGAGGGAGCACGGCCCAGCTGCTGCGGTGATCTCAAACTTCCAGCCTACAGAACTGTGAGAAAGTCCATTTCTGTTGTTTAAAGCCTCCCAGTTTGTGTACTTTATTAGGGCGATCCTAGAAAACAAGTAGAGATTCAAGTCTTATTATTTTAATAATAAGATATTGATTTGTTGGCCCACAGTTTGAAAAGATGCTGAATTACGGGAGGGACAATCAGTAGTTCTAATGTTGGGATATAATCAGAAAAATTAACCTCTTATTCCCCAGAATTTCTAAACCAATAGGACTCAAGACAAATGAATGTGATCCTAGGTTAGAGTGTGAATGGAATTTACATTATGTATATACGTAGAAGAGCTGGATATATAGTTGTTTAGTTTTTTATATAATACCAAATTATATTTCAGAGATACTTATTTTTGTGTTTCTTGGAAACTTAGACAAGTTATTTTAGAAAAATCCTAATGATTTTTTTCTCTTCACCCACTCCCTTCTCACTAAAAAAGGATTGCTTCATTGTCATGAAAATTAAATCTAGAATCCTAAAAAAAAAATCAGAATTCTTTTTTAACCACTCATTTCAAAATTACTAAAAACATTAAAATTATCAGATTTTATTGAACTCATAATTAAGCAGCTGATCATTTGGTAAACTTTGGATAAACTATTTTGCTAGTTTTACTATACCTTTTGAGATACTGTTTCAAAAGAGAAAATATAAAGAATATAAGCATAATCCCAATTAGAAGAGTCAACAGGTGCTGCTTTCTGATGCAGGGCAGTTCAATCATTATAATTCTAAATTACAAACCCTTTCAAGTCTGGCAGAAGAAAATGAATTGCCAGCGCATTTTCCTTTTTCTGCTTCAATTTTTAAATTATGAAGTACAAAGAGGATTTTTTTTTCTCTTTATCTTTAAAGATGTTTTCTTTTTCTTTTCAAAATTTGTTCTCTGTGTTTCCAGGTGCAGCAGTTTTTCCTGTTAGCCTTCGCATGTTAGTTGAGCCCATCAGTCCCAGACTTCTCGGACCCTGAGAGAACTTACGGTTCTTGTTCCAGTAGAAGAAAATAGCTAATCATTTGTTTGATTTGACCTGTATGATGTGATATTGAAAAATTGGTTACTAACACTTAAAAGTCTTGGAATTTCATAGAAAAATACAGATTTTTTAGTTCTTTTGCACCTTCCTGCATGGCAGTAGTCTGTGGCACTAGGCTATGATAATACAGGCTTTTCTCAGCGAGGAATGGGCTTGCTGGCTTAATGACATTACAATCACTCCATTTTCTTTCATATTGTCCTTGCTTCACTCGTTTTCATTGCTTGTCTTAGACCTGTAAATATTCAAGGTTTTGTAATGCCTTGAGTTATACAAACCAAATTTCTTAGAATTTAAAAAATTCAACATTTATCTTAAATATTTTAGTTACTGTTTTCTCATAGTATACTCGCTGGACGGTGGTCAAGTTTTCTCATTCACATTTATCTTTTCCTGTCACTTTAGACTTTCTTAGCATGCAAAAAAATTCAACTTTTTAATATATTTAATTTTTTTGTTTTTTTTTTCAAAGAACTAAATTCAGTTTGAACCTTAAAAGGAGAAATTAGGAAATGTTTTAGAAAAAATTTTAATTTTTTTAGTGTAAACATTATAAAAAGCATGTTGACATTTATGGGATAAAAGAGACCAACAGGTTTATTTAACATTTTAAGTTTTTTCTGACTTTATTTTTCAGTTTACTACATAGTTATAATTTTGTTTCTGTTTTAGCAAAAGGAATCATTTTACTTCCAAGAAAAACATTTTTTTGCTAAAAGTCATGTTAAAATATTTAGAAGATTCTTGTTTCATGTAAAATCTGCTCATTATAGAAAGACATTTAATATTTTACAATTAAGTAGCTAATCAGTTTTGTTTTCTCTTCTCTTGGATTATATGTGATTTATTTCAAATATATATTGTGCTTTACATAGAGAATAATCTGGGGACAACTTTGAAGCTCTAGAGTAGTTCATTAAATTATAACCATTATATGGAAGAAAATACAAGCTCCTTTGTAGAAGATGCTATTTTTTATATTGCCTCACTAACTTTGTTACTGATTCAGTGATACCTATCACTTGTTTTCTCAGCTTTGTTTGTAAATTAGATAAAAGTGAATGCCTGAAGTGCTAAGATCATCAAGAACTAATGACTCTTGATAGTGAGAGGTAGGAAAGTAGAAACAGAGTGAATAATTAGACTCCAAATAATTCATAAATGTAATTTTGGACACAAAGTTATGTTTATTCTGTAAGCAAATAATTCAGAGTGACAGCAAGTGAGAGAGAAGAATTGACTTGTTTTAATTTCTGATAACAGTAAATGGTAGGCCAAGTTTGGTGGTTCATGCCTGTAATCCCAGCACTTTGGGTGGCCAAGGTAGGCAGATCACTTGAGGCCAGGAGTTTCAGACCAGCCTGGCCAACATGGTGAAATCCTGTCTCTAACAAAAATACAAAAAATTAGCTGGGCATGATGGCACATGCCTGTAGTCCCAGCTTCTTGGGAGGCTGAGGTGGAAAGATTGCTTGAACCCAGGACGCGGAGATTACAGTGAGCTGAGGTTGTACCACTGCACTCTAGCCTGGCCAACAGAGCAAGAATATCTCAAAAAAAAAAAAAAAAAAAAAAGAAAAGAAAGAAAAAAAAGAAAAAAGGAAATGGTGAAATGGCCCAACATTTGCAAAAAGAGAGGGATGAAGGACATCTATAAGTGGCTCCCAAATCCCAGAGAATTCATGGTCTCTGCGATTAATATTTTGCCATACTTTTACTGTCCTTTGTTACCACATTTCCTAGGTGTAGATTTAGATTGCTGGTGTTCTCTAAACTAAAATAGATTGTTATCTCAGTTATCATGCATATTGCAATGACATAGAAAAATATAGGAAATTATTTAATCTGACAACTACAATGAAGATAAAACCAATAGAAAGTCAACTCGAAACAGAAGGTCATCTAGCACATTTACTCACAATTTCTCTAAGTCCTAACACATATACCCTGTAAGTCAAAAAGAAAAAAATTCTTGGAAATAAATTGCATTGTTTTTGTTTTACTAAAGAAAATAAATTTAAAAGAATATGTCTGTATTTTAATTGAAACTTCTCAGGAACAGAAAGTCAAATCCTGCTTGTTCTCACTTACAAGTGATAGCTAAATAATGTGTACACATGAACTTCGAGTGTGGAATGATAAACACTGAAGACTTGGGAGGCTGGGAGAGTGGCAGGGGGTGGGTACTGAGAAATTTCTTAATGGGTACAATGTACATTATTCGATTGATGGATGTACTAAAAGACTAGACTTCACCACTACACAATATAACCATGTAACAAAATTGCACTTGTACCCCTTAAACTTATACCCCCCAACAAAGAGTGTGCCTATTTTTTTTCAATTGGATGTTTCTCTTCTTTTCCTCAAGGGCACTGGCACTAGCACACAGAGTTGGCATGATCCATCGGGAGACACGTCCTGGGAGCCCCACAGCTTCTGACACAGGTGGTAGTCTTCTCCACAGGTGGCCGAGCTATCCTTGGTGTGGACTCACGATGGAAACCTTGGAAGTGTCTCCTTGGTGAATCACTGGAATTCTTATAACCACTGACTCTCCGGGTTCTTTGGGTTCAGTGACGTTAAATTTGGTTTCTCCAAATTTAATAAGTCTCTAAAATTGTGGAAAACACAGACAAATGAAATTGCTAGTAAGGGGAATGCTTTTCCTCCTTTTCTATGTTTGTTTCCATGTGGGAGGGGCTTAATAACTATTACACTCCTGGCTTCTGTCTCCTCCCTCAAAATTAGGGTATGTGTGGAAGGAAAAGCTGGCATGTGTTGCCCAGCTCCTTCCTGGGACTTAACCAGCCCCCAGAGAGCATGTGCTCCCAGCTGTCCCTATGTGCCATAAAGTACATGTGAACAGGCCATGAAGGTGGGTGGGGAGGGAGGAAACTGTTGGTACCCCTATACCCAAGGGTGTGTATAGAGGAGAGGGCAGGTATGGATGTTTGGGATTCAGTGTTCAGATATAAGCCATATTCTCCAACATCAGCTTTATCAGTTTTAATGGTTTATTCTGTTTCCCATTTGCTTTGTCTTTTTCGTATTTCTCAATTGCTTAAAAACCCTAGTCAGAAAGCAGGGGAGGGGTGGCGGGTTTCTGAACCCCTTAAAACCTGGATTTGGATGGATTTCACTTCCCAACTTACAGCTGAAGCACAAAAAATGACTTCTTACTATCAGCATCATCTTGGATCCTTGAGAGTTTCTTTTTGTTCACCAACTGCAGCCCCAAAGGGAGAGTTGCTTTGTGGAGTGTCGAGTACCAGGCGGAGCTCCTCTACTGCCTCATAGAGCACATCGTCCATGAGCTCAAGGATGCAGGGGTTTTCAGTCTCACCTGGAAGAATAACGTCAGCAGGTCAGTCACATCCCATGGGGATATACCTACAACTAGAATGTGAGCACCGTTAGGGCAAGGATGTTGATTTTTCCTTCCGTATCACTGGAAGAAATAGAGTTTGGCATGTAATAAACCTTCAATAGGTATTTGCTGAATAAGTGAACAAATGTTTGAATATGTGCAATGACCAGCCCTTATTTGTATGGGGAATTTATTTAATATCTATCTTTAAGCTCTGCTGCTCATCTTAGAAAATAAGGGGAAAAAAGCAAATGCCAATTTTGTTTATGAATTTCTAGCATTACATTCAGAAAGCAAGATTAGTAGCCTTGCACTGGTTGGTCATTGTTAATTTGACCTCAGTACTAGTTTCTAGTATTATTAACTTTTGACTTAGTAGACAAATCATTGCACCAAGAACCCTGCCTTACGTTTAATTCCCAGCACAGTGTTTTCTGTGTGGGCCTACTGTGCTCCGAATTGTGTCTTTGGAGATTTGACAAGGTGTGTCTTTAAAAACTGCTCTTAGTTAATACATGTGTGATTCAGTGAAAGAAAGCCGCATGTCGTACATTCTTTGTGTGCCATGTGTTGCTTATAGCCTTTAGGGCTGCATATGCATATCTTCTTGGAAGCGCTAACGTGGCTTCAAAAAAATTTTCCCCGAGCCTGTACAAAATGCGTTTTTGAAAAGTGATCAATGTCAACATCTTGAATTCAGTGAAAGAAAACAGGACACCATCTGGGTTTTTGGCACAAAGCTTGCATTTACTTTTTAAGACTAGATACATTTTCTGTATAGGCCTACTATGCTCAGAATTGTGTTTTCTGAGGTTTGACAGGATGTGTCTTTGAAAACTGCCCTTAGTTAATACATGTTGAATTCAGTGAAAGATCACGGCAAATAATAAATTATTTTTGTGCCATATCTTTCTTTTAGCATTTAGGGCTTTATGTGCATATATTCCTGAAAGCACTAACTGAGGTTTGAAATACTTTATTCTGAGCTTGTGCAAAATGTGTTTTTAAAAAGCGATCAATATCAAAATATGTTGAATTCAGCGAAAGAAAAGACCACGGCATGTAGGATTTTGGCACAAAGCTCGTGTTTACCTTTCAGGGCTAGATACTCACATTTTCTGTGTAGGCCTACTGAAAAGCCAGGGCTGCATGAGTACGCTCAGACAGTTGCAAAGTGGTTCCACTCTCTCACCTTGGGGTTCACTCCCATTCCCACTATGTCCGCTGTCAGCAGGAAGAAGCCAGAGTGATCAACGGCCTTTTCCCATCTTCATAGCCTGCACCTTAAGATTAAGGTGTTATAAAACTCAAAGGGAGGGATTGAAACTGCCTTTGCAAAATTATGACTGAGACAGTGAAAGAGATCTAACCTGACTCCGCCTTGCTTGTAACCTCCTTGTTCATTCCTGGGTGTAGGCTGAACTAATGTTGGGAGAAACTTAACTTATAGTTTAAACAAAGACGGTAACAGCCCTTTCCCAAAGCAGACCTCTTTCTTGCCTGGGAACTAGATTGCCTTTCTAGGACTAACATTAGCCACAAGATTAGAAATTGTGCTTTAGGAGTCATGTAGCTGGAGGCTACAGGATTCTGACCCTCCCTAAACTGAAATGACTGGAAAGTAAATTATAAACAACCACATCAATACCATGTCCGTAAAGCAGAGACAACATCAAACTTCATTACAGAAGCCAAGCCCGACCCAAATCAAGGTCATTGGAAGCTGTGTACCAAGCACCCTGGTGAGAGTCTGGATGCTGTATCGGCTGACATACTAGTATTGCAAGTGTCATGTCAGTCTTGGGGGTGTCAGTATTACGGGTGTCATATGAGTCTTAGGGACGTCACAGCAGTCTTGCAAGTGTCATAGAAGTATTGCGGGTGTCATATCAGTATTGCGGGTGTCATATCTGTATTGCGGGTGTCATATCTGTATTGCGGGTGTCATATCAGTATTGCGGGTGTCATATCTGTATTGCAGGTGTCATATCAGTATTGTGCATGTCATATCTGTATTGTGGGTGTCATATCAGTATTGCAGATGTCATATCAGTACTGTAGATGTCATATCTGTATTGCGGGTGTCATGTCAGTATTGCAGGTGTCATATCAGTATTGTAGATGTCATATCTGTATTGCGGGTGTCATGTCAGTATTGCAGGTGTCATATCAGTATTGTAGATGTCATATCTGTATTGCGGGTGTCATATCAGTATTGTGGGTGTCATATCTATATTGTAGATGTCATATCAGTATTGCGGGTGTCATATGAGTATTGTGGGTGTCATATCTGTATTGTAGATGTCATATCAGTATTGTGCATGTCATATCTGTATTGCGGGTGTCATATCAGTATTGTGGGTGTCATATCTGTATTGCGGGTGTCATATCAGTATTGCGGGTGTCATAGCAGTATTGCGGGGGTCATATCTGTATTGCGGGGGTCATAGCAGTATTGAGGGTGTCATATCTGTATTGCGGGTGTCATATCTGTATTGTGGGTGTCATATCTGTATTGCGGGTGTCATATCAGTATTGCGGGTGTCATATCTGTATTGCGGGTGTCATATCTGTATTGCGGGTGTCATATGTGTATTGCGGTGTCATATCAGTATTGCGGGTGTCACATCTGTATTGCGGGTGTCACATCTGTATTGCGGGTGTCACATCTGTATTGCGGGTGTCATATCAGTATTGTGGGTGTCATATCTGTATTGTCGGTGTCATATCTGTATTGGGGGTGTCATATCTGTATTGCGGGTGTCATATCAGTATTGCGGGTGTCATATCAGTATTGGGGGTGTCATATCAGTCTTACAGGTGTCATCAGTATTGCAGGCATCACATCAGTCTTACGGGCATCATATCAGTATTATGGGTGTCATATGAGTCTTAGGAGTGTCATATGAATCTTGTGGGTGTCACATGAGTCTTATGGGTGTCATATCTGTATTGCGGGCGTCACATGAGTCTTATGGGCATCATAGCCCTCTTGCAGGTGTCATCTGTATTGTGGGCATCACATCGTCACATCAGTATTGTGGGTGTCACATCAGTCTTATGGGTGTCACAGCAGTCTTATTGGTGTCACAGTAGTCTTGTTGGTGTCACATCTGTATTGCGGTATCACATTTGTATTGGGGTGTCACATGTGTATTGCAGGTGTTATATGAGTCTATGGCTGTCATGTCAGTATTGTGGGCATCATATCGGTCTTACGGGTGTCATATCAGTATTACAATATGTCATGATATGTCACACCAGTATGACACCTCTTCCGAAAACACCCTCACAGACATACCTAGACATAGTGCTTTAGCAGCTCTCTGTGTATCCCTTAATCCAGTCATGTTGACACCTAGACTTAACTATCACAGTAATTCATGGCAAAAATTTTAGAATTTTTAAACATTGTATAATGAAAGCTGGGCAACATAGCCAGACACTGTCCCTACAAAAATATTTTTAACAATTAGCTGGTTGTGGTGGCACGCATGTGTAGTTCCAGTTACTCTGGAGGCTGAGGTGGGTGCATCTTTTGAGCCCAGGAGATTGAGGCTGCAGAGCTAGGATCGTGGCACTGCATTCCAGCCTGGGCAACAGTGTGAGGCTCTCTCAAAAACCAATCAGCAGTACTAATATTCTTAGGAATAAATTTAACCAAGGTACCAGACTTGAACATGGAAAATGTCAAAACATTGCTGAAATAAATTCAAGAAAGCATAAATAAATGGAAAGACACTTCATGTTCATAAACTAGAAGACACTAATTTTTAAGATGGCAGTACTACACAAAGCAATCTACAAATTTATTGCAATTCCTGTTAAAATCCCAAAGTCCTTTTGGCAGAAATCCACAAGCTGATCCTAACATTTACATGAAATTTCAAGGGATCCAGAATAGCCAAAATAATGTCAAAAAAATGACCAACTCAGAGGCTCACATTTCCAAATTTCAAATCTTACTACAAAGCAACAGCAATAAAAACAGCATGATGCTGGCATAAGGACACATGTATAGATCAATGGAACTGAATGTTGAGTCCAGAAATAAACCCATACTTCTATGATCTTTTTTTTTTGGCAGGGAGACTCACTCTGTCTCCCAGGCTGGAGTACAGTGGCACGATTATGGCTCACTGCAGCCTCTATCTCCTGGGCTCAAGTGATCCTCCTGCCTCAGCCTACCAAGTAGCTGGGACTACAGGTATGCACCACCACACCTGCCTAATTTTTTTATTTTTTTGTAGAGGTGGAGTCTTGCTATCTTGCCCAGGCTGGCTTGAACTCCTGGCCTCAAGTGATACTCCCCTCTTGGCCTCCCAGAGCATTGAGATGATGGGTGTGTGCCACCACGTCTGGCCTGTTGATTTTTAAAAATGGATTTTTTTTCTTTTCTGTCTTTTTTTTTTTTTTTTTTGAGGCAGGGATTCACTCTGTTGCCCAGGTTGGAGTGCAGTGGTGTGAACACGGCTTACTGCAGCCTCAACCTCCCAGGTTCCAGCAATCCTCCCTCTTCTGTCTCCCGAGTAACTAGGACTACAGACATGACCCACCACACTCAGCTAATTTTTAAATTATTTGTAGAGACAGGTTTCCTTGAGTTGCCCAGACTGGCCTCAAACTCCTGGGTTCAAGCAAGCCTCCAACCTCAGCCTCTCAAAGTGCTGGGATTACAGGCATGAGCCACCACCTCCAGCCTGGAATCGTTTTCATCATTACATTCTGATGTTTGTTGCTAGTGTCTAGAAATACAACAGATTACCATGTGTTGACATTTTGTGCTGTAACTTTGCTGAATTTATTCACTAGTTTTAATAATTGAATAAGGAGGAGCAGCGAGGACGGCGTGGGCTGTGGAGCCGAGCACAATGACAGCGCCTTCCTGGAGCCTGGGTACGACGTCTGCCTGGAAGATCTTGGCGATCTCCACAGAGCTGCCTGGAGGGGCATAGTCCCCAGAGTGGAGCTCATTCTCATGCTCAGGGACCCTGGCTTGGACAAGAGAGACAAGAAGAAGAGGTAATGGGCCGGGCGGGGGCTGGGAGGGTGGGGAACTGGGAGAAGCCCTTTCCCTGGGGGATGGGGTGGGTTGCGCCCTCCTGTCACCGGCCCAGCTTTCTCGCCCCCGCAGGTCCCGCAGCACCTGGGATGTGGAATCCCTGGAGGAGTCACAGGGCCCAGGCCGCTTCATGAGCCCCCAAAACGAAAACCACACGCAGCCGTGATTTCCCTATTTCTCCTGATTTCCCTCTTTCTCCTGATTCCAACTGCATCTTTATATCTAAAAATTTTTGGCTTACCACACGGGGAGCTAAAAAAGCAACTCTTACCTGATATGTACTCAGAGGTGCTCTGGGTTTTAAACTGTCCATCACACAAGCCAAACCAGGCTCCACAAAACAGGAACAAGGAACCTAAGTAGTTCCATTGTTTTGTGCTCAAAAACATGGGGTGCTGTATCCCGAGTTCTGAAGCAACTGAAATCTATGTTGTCACTTGCAATACTAGTGAGAGGATGACTGGAGTAAGCTATTTTGTTCTGCAGCAGAAGACTCTTGTGATCAAACTGATACCTTAGGTAAACTGTTGGAGTTATTTTCAAACCTTCATAAAAGCATGGCCAGTTAAGGTTGTGTCCAGATTCAAATAGAGTTTGTACCAGGTCAAAAAGAGTCTCGTACTCTTTATTTGGTTGTAGAGAAGAGAAAATTAAGTTTCTTTACCTATGACTTCTCTCATGTTTCTCTGGAGGGCTCTCTTAGAGACTATTTCAACAAATATGACATTTTCCCTTCCTTTGGCTGCGGTTGTGAGAGCCTGGATGAAACCAACTGGCTCTGGAATGTTCCTGTATCAATATTTGCCAGTAGTCAAATCTTCACAAGCTGTTTTTCCTGTTGTTATTGAAATCAGCTCCATTTCTGGCTCCATCCTCCCCAAATTCCCAATGCTCTCTTTAATGTCTTTGCACACTGGATCCATCATATAATTGTGATTAGCAGCTGGAACTGACAGAATATATGAAAATATCCTGCTTTTCTCAAACTGCTGAGCCACCTTTCATGACACTTGGCTGTAGCTTCTGCCTCTCCTGACAGGATATAGGAGCAAGGACTGTTAAAGGCTGCCATGCACATTCTTCTGGAGAAGGACACTACAGCCTTCGAGATTTCTGTTCTCGGAATCTATAAAGGCTCTAAAAAATGAAGTATATATCTTTTAAAAATAAAAAATAAATAAATCATAACTGCATACAATTAGATCTAGTACATACTGCACTATTGTAATGATCTCATAGCCACCTCCTGTTGCTATTGCAGTGAACTCAAGTGTTGCAGGTATCCACTTAAAACGCCAAATGATGCTCATCATCTCCACAGATGCAGTTCGTCTTGCCAGCAAATCATGTTTCATAGTGAAAGTGACCTCTTGTGGTACTCATGTAGTTTTCTTTTTAAAATTATTTGTATGAGGCATAGTAGGTATATATTTATAAAATACATGAGATATTTTGACAGAGGCATACAATCAATGCATAATAATTATATCAGGGTAAATGGGTATTCATCACCTCAAACATTTATCATTTCTTTGAGTTACAAACATTCCGATTACACTGTTTTATTTTTAAATGTACAATAAAATATTGTTGACTGTAGTCACACTGTTCTGCTATCAAGTAGTAGATCTTATTCATTTTATCTAACGATATATTTTTTACCCATTAACCATCCTCACTTATCCCCAACCCCCATTACCCTTCCCAACCTCTGGTAACCTTCATTCAATTCTCTATGTTCATGAGTTTCATTGTTTTAATTTTTAGCTCCCACAAATGAATGAGAAGTCTTTCTGTGCCTGGCTTATTTCCCTTGACATAATGACCTCTAGTTCCTTCAATGTTGTTGCAAATGACAGTATCTCATTCTTTTCTATGGTTGAATAGTGCTCCATTGTGGGGGTGTGTGTGTGTATATATATGTGTGTGTGTATATCTCACATCTTCTTTATCTGTTTGCCTGTTGATGGTCACATAGCTTGCTTCCAAATATTGGTTATTGTGAATAGTGCCGCAGTAAACTTGGAAGTACCAATCTCTCTTGGACATACTGATTTCCATTCCTTTGGATAAATACCCAAATGCTCTCTTTAACATCTTTCCACACTAGATCCATCATATAATTGTGCATAATAGCAGCTGGAACTGACAGGATATAGAGAAATATGCTGCTTTTCTCAAACTGCTCAGCCACCTCTTCATGATACTTGGCTATAGCATCTGCCTCTCCTGATGGGGTACAGGAGCAAAGACTGTTAAAGGGGGATTGCTGGATCATACGGCAGTTCTTTTTTAGTTTTCTGAGGAAGCTCCATGCTGTTCTCCATAGTGGTTGTACTTATTTACATTCCCAACAACAGTGTATGAGGGTTCCCTTTTCTCTATATCCTTGCCAGCATTTGTTGTTGCTTGTCTTTTGTATCAAAGCGCTTTCTAGTGGGGTGAGATGTTATCTCATTGTAGTTTTGATTTGCATTTCCTTCATGATCAATGATGTTGAGCACCTTTCTATATACCTATTTGCCATTTGTGTGCCACTGTGTGCCTGTTTGCCATTTCTTCTTTTGAGAAATGTCTATTGAGATATTTTGCCCATTTTAAAATCAGATTATTAGATTTTTTTTCCTATTGAGTGGTTTGATCTCCTTATATATTCTGGTTATTAATCTCTTGTCAGATGGATAGTTTGCAAATATTTTCTCCCATTCTGTGGGTTATCTCCTCACTTTGTTGATTGTCTCCTTTGCTGTGTAGAAGCTTTGGAGTTTGACATGATTCTATTTGTCTATTTTTGCTCTGGTTTGTGCTTCAGGGGTATTACTCAATAAATCTTTGCCCAGACCAATGTTCTGAAGTTTCCCAAATGTTCTCTTTCAGTAGATTCATAGTTTGACATCTTAGATTTAGGTCTTTAATGCATTTGATTTTTTGTGTGTGATGAGAGACAGGGGTCTAGTTTCATTCTTCTAAATATGGATATCCAATTTTCACAGCACCATTAATTGAAGACACTGTCTTTTCACCAATGCATGTTCTTGGTATTTTTGTTGAAGTGAGTTCCCTGTAGAGGTATGCATTTATTTCTGTCCTCTCTATTCTGTTGCACTGGTCCATGTGTCTTTTTTTTATGCCAGTTACCATGCTGCTTTGGTTACCATAGCTCTGTAGTATAATTTTAAGTCAGGTTATGTAATTCCTTCAGTTTTATTCTGCTCAGAATGGCTTTGGCTATTCTGGGTGTTTTCTGATTCCATCAGAAAGTTTTAGGATTATTGTTTCTATTTCTGTGAAGAATATCACTGGTATGTTGATAGGGACTTCATTGATTCTGTAGATTGCTTTGCATAGGATGGACATTTTAACGATATGGATTCTTCCAATCCATGAAAATGGAATATTTTTTTCAATTTTGTCTCCTCTTCCATTTCTTGAATCAATGTTTTATAGTTCTTACTGTAGAGGTCTTTCACTTCTTAGGTGAAGTGTATTCCTACATATCTTATTTTGTTTGAGCTATTGTAAATGGCATTAGTTTCTGATTTCTTTTTCAGATTGTTCAATGTTGGTATATACAAGGGCTACTGATTTTGTATGTTTATTTTTTATCCTGCAACTTTACTGAATTTGTTTATCAGTTCTTAGGGAGAGTCTTTAGGTTTCCCAAATATAAGATTATATCATCTTCAAACAAGGGTAATTTTACTTTTTCCTTTCCAAATAGATCCCCTTTGTTTCTTTCTCTTGTCTCAATGCTCTAGCTAGGACTTCTTGTTTTTTTCATCATGTTTAATTTAATAGTGTAAATCATAGAACCCAAAGAAAGTACCACTAGTGATGCATAAAGTGCTTCCAAGAAGCAGAGAAATAACATAACAATATAAGAAAAAGCTGATTTGCTTGATATGTACCACGGTTTGAGGTCTGTAGCTTTGTCTGCATTTTTAGAAAGATGATTCATCTCAGAAACACATGAAGTAAACTTATGGTATTGATAAATTCAGTACAGTACTGTAAATATACTTTATCTTCCTTATAATTTTCTTAACATTTCCTTTTCTCTAGCTTACTTTTGTACAAATATGGTATATAATACATAAAACATACAAAATATGTGTTCATTGACTGTTTATGTTATGGGTAAGGCTTCTCATCCATAGTAAGCTATTAGTAGTTAAGTTTTGGGCAGTCAAAAGTTATATGTGAATTTCTATGATGTCCCTACTCCCCAGATTGTCCAAGGGTCAACTGTACTTAAAAAAAATTAGAATGAACCATGTGGGATTGAATTGAAATAGAAAGTATCAGCAAAAACTCATGGTTTTGAATATATTTTGACACTGAAATGTGGATTAATGTAAGCATGTATGCCTGCGTATTTATGTATATCCATATATTTCTCTGCTTTGTTCATGGAGTAGGTCTCTGAGCAATGACAATCCCAATGCAAATATCCACACCTACCTCAACTAGTGGCCAGAATTTGGTTTCTAAATACCATTCTCCCCCAGAAGAAATCTAGTCTTCTAGGAAAATAGCTGATTTCAGATCTGGGGCCGAGAAATAGATGATAAGCTTGGAACATTGTGTGCCATAAAATAAAGAAATATTTAAACGATGGCAATGAATTGATGTCCAAAAGACATGAAATCAGCTTGAAATGGTGACCACTGGCTGAGTCTGGGAGTATTTGAGCACCAAAAGAATATTTTCCCTTCTCCCCTGTTTATTGCTTTTGTTTTGTTTCATTTTTTAATCCATGTAGAAGGCATGACAGAATAAGAAAATCATCATGTGGCCACCATCATCATAATTAATTCAAGTAAGAATCATAAAGCAGCCAGGCCCAGTGGCTCATGCCTATAATTCTGGCACTTTGGGAGACTGAAGGGAGCTGATCCCTTGAGCCCAGGAGTTAGAGATACAAGCCTGGGCTACATGGCAAAACCCCATCTCTACAAAAAATACAAAAATTAGCCAGGCATGATGGTGCATGCCTATAGTCCTAGCTACTTGGGAGGCTGAGGTGGGAGGATTGCTTGAGCCTGGAAGATTGAGGCTGCAGTGAGACAAGATTGTGCAAGTGCACTCCAGCCAAGGCAATAGAGCAAGACCATGATCTCCAAAAATACATACATAAATAAATAAATAAAATAAAAGGAAAAAATCAATGCAATGCTAAATCTAGTGGGTGAAATTTTGAGGAGTAACTGGAGATTTATACAGCCACAAAGTATTGCCACACAGGATATTGGTGAAATACAAAAGGTAAACAGTAACTTTACTATGGACAAATCTGACTGACGAAACTCCTTAACCAAAGAATCAAAGTCAACACTGGCCAGCAATGAAACCAAGTGACAGCCTACAGACATGCTGCATTCGGAAGAAGTCAGCATTACCTGTGTGACATTCCTGCCTCAGTGACATAATCTGAATCTAATCATGAGGAAACATCATATGAACCCAAACTGAGAGAAAAATCAGTAAAATAAGTGACCCATACTCTTCAAAAACATGGATGTTATGAAAATCAAAGAAAGAGTACAAAACTGTCCCAGATTAAAGGAGAATAAAGAAAGAGGACAATTGGACTCAACACATCATGAATTGTAAAAATCTCCCATCTTGGATTTTCTTTGGCTATAAAGGATATTATGGGGAAAATTGGCAAAATCTTAATAAGATCTGTCGATTATATATTAACATTGAATCAATTTCAATTTCTTGCTTTTGATAATGATCACCATAGTTATGTAAGAAAATTCCTTCTTTTTAGGAAATATATAGTAAAGTATTTAGAAATAAAGAGGCATCATGTCTGTGACTCACAAATAATTCAGGAAGAAAAATCTATATTATGTACCTATATTTATATTTGTCTAGAAAGAGAAGAGGAAAAGAAGGAGAAAGAGTAAAGCAAATGCAGTAAAATATTAAAATTTGGGATATGGAACTCAAGACTTTTTGGTCCTATTCTTTTAATTTTTCTTTAAGTCTGAAATTGCCAAAACAGAACATGTCTAAAAAGAAAAACAAATTTTTAGAAATATTAACAAATTATATCCCATTGTATGAAATAAACCATGCATCCATGTTGATCTAAGTAAATGAATAAATTGAAGATTTCAAGAGGAACAGAGATATTTACCTAGTCTTAAACTACCTCCCCACAATATACTAACTGATTACAAGATTAAAAAGCAACACTGCAGAAAAGAAACCCAGCAGATACCACCATTAATGATCAATGCTAATATCACTAGTAATAAGACAAATCAAAATCAAGGTCAAATGACAGGATGCAATGAGAAGATCAGAGGATCGCCTCTGAGATACTCTTGCCAAAAATAATACAATCTAAGCCTATTCATAATGAAACATCAGAAAAAACCAGCTGAGAGACATTCTTTATTTTGAACTTTACTCTTCAAAAGATTCAGAGTCATGAAAGTCAAGGAAACCTGAGGAACTGTTCAGACAGAAGGAGTGTAAGTGACACAACAACTAAATGTAACCCATGGATCTAAATGGGATCCTTGTGCTATAAAAGACATGGCAGACAATTAATAAAAGCTCAACAGAAGCTGAGGATTGGATGATATGATGCTTTGATGTTAACTTTCTGATTATCAAGGTTGCATTGTAGTTATATAGAGTGTCCTGACTTGTGGGAATACCTACTAAAGTAATCAGGAGTGCTGGCCTAATGTCAGCAATTTACTCTCACATGCTTCAGGGGAAAGAGTTACTTGTATTAAAACTTGGAACTTTTCTATAATTTCAACAGTACTTCCAAAAAGTTCATAAATATAAAGATAGATAGATAGATAGATAGAGTGAAAAGCCTTAGGGAAACTTTATTTTTCCTGAAGAAAAGATGTGTATAAATCAGTGCTTAAAGCTGAAATTATCTAAGTTTGATGGCACTGTAACTATTGAAATACATTGAAACATTGCAATGGCCACAGTATCAGTATACCAAAATGATGTCTGTCTAAATCAGAATCTATCACTATATATATAGTGATAAAAATTATAAAATAAGAATAAATCATCACTTCACTAAAGTATTAGTGACAACTTAGTTATTTGACTGTTTAAACAGCTGACATTTTGGCAGTTTGAGTATGCAAAACTCAAAAATACTAGTTTTCATTTGCAAGATCTGCTTGAAAATTAGTTAAGGAGGCCAAGAAACATCATTTTAAACACAATGTAAGTTTTCACAAGACATGCATGATACAAAAACATTTTCCTTCAATAAAGACTTACCCATGTCAGGGATGCCCTCTCTCACCACTCCTATTCAACATAGTGTTGGAAGTTCTGGCCAGGGCAATTAGGCAGGAGAAGGAAATAAAGGGTATTCAATTAGGAAAAGAGGAAGTCAAATTGTCCCTGTTTGCAGATGACATGAATGTACATCTAGAAAACCCCATCATCTCAGCCCCAAATCTCCTTAAGCTGATAGGCAACTTCAGCAAAGTCTCAGGATACAAAATCAATGTGCAAAAATCACAAGCATTCTTATACACCAATAACAGACAAACAGAGAACCAAATCATGAGTGAACTCCCATTCACAATTGCTTCAAAGAGAATAAAATACCTAGGAATCCAACTTACAAGGGACGTGAAGGACCTCTTCAAGGAGAACTACAAACCACTGCTCCATGAAATAAAAGAGGATACAATCAAATGGAAGAACATTCCATGCTCATGGGTAGGAAGAATCAATATAGTGAAAATGGCCATACTGCCCAAGGTAATTTATAGATTCAATGCCATCCCCATCAAGCTACCAATGACTTTCTTCACTGAAATGGAAAAACCTACTTTAAAGTTCATATGGAACCAAAAAAGAGCCCGCATTGCCAAGTCAATCCTAAGCCAAAAGAACAAAGCTGGAGGCATCCACTACCAGACTTCAAATTCTACTACAAGGCTACAGTAACCAAAACAGCATAGTACTGGTGCCAAAACAGAGATATAGACCAATGGAACAGAACAGAGCCCTCAGAAATAATGCCGCATGTCTGTAACCATCTGATCTTTGACAAACCTGACAAAAACAAGAAATGGGGAAAGGATTCCCTATTTAATAAATGGTGCTGGGAAAACTGGCTAGCCATATGTAGAAAGCTGAAACTGGATCCCTTCCTTACACTTTATACAAAAATTAATTCAAGATGGATTAAAGACTTACATGTTAGACCTAAAACCATAAAAACCCTAGAAGAAAACCTAGGCAATACCATTCAGGACATAGGCATGGGCAAGGACTTCATGTCTAAAACACCAAAAGCAATGGCAACAAAAGCCAAAATTGACAAATGGGATCTAATGAAACTAAAGAACTTCTGCACAGCAAAAGAAACTACCATCAGAGTGAACAGGCAACCTAAAGAATGGGAGAAAATTTTTGCAATCTACTCATCTGACGAAGGGCTAATATCCAGAATCTACAATGAACTCCAGCAAATTTACAAGAAAAAACCAACCCCATCAAAAAGTGGGTGAAGGATATGAACAGACACTTCTGAAAAGAAGACAGTTATACAGCCAAAAGACACATGAAAAAATGCTCATCATCACTGACCATCAGAGAAATGCAAATCAAAACCACAATGAGATACCATCTCACACCAGTTAGAATGGCGATCATTAAAAAGTCAGGAAACAACAGGTGCTGGAGAGGATGTGGAGAAACGGGAACACTTTTACACTGTTGGTGGGACTGTAAACTAGTTCAACCATTGTGGAAGTCGGTGTGGCGATTCCTCAGGGATCTAGAACTAGATATACCATTTGACCCAGCCATCCCATTACTGGGTATATACCCAAAGGATTATAAATCATGCTGCTATAAAGACACATGCACACGTATGTTTATTGTGGCACTATTCACAATAGCAAAGACTTAGAACCAACCCAAATGTCCAACAATGATAGACTGGATTAAGAAAACGTGGCACATACACACCATGGAATACTATGCAGCCATAAAAAATGATGAGTTCATGTCCTTTGTAGGAACATGGATGAAGCTGGAAACCATCATTCTCAGCAAACTATCGCAAGGACAAAAAAACCAAACACTGCATGTTCTCACTCACAGGTGGGAATTGAACAATGAGAACACATGGACACAGGAAGGGGAACATCACACACCAGGGCTTGTTGTGGGGTAGGGGGAGGGGGGAGGGATAGCATTTGGAGATATATCTAATGTAAATGACGAGTTACTGTGTTCAGCACACCAACATGGCACATGTATACATATTTAACCTGCACGTTGTGCACATGTACCCTAAAAATTAAAGTATAAAAATAAAAAGAGTTATCCGTGTCATATACATAATGAGAAATAAAATGTCACGTAAACAGCCCAGTAATCACATTTTACTGTCTTTCCACTCATATGTATCTGGTTAAAATCAGTACGTATTTCTATAGTATTTCCAAATTATATCTTAATTTATGTTTGACTTACCACCAGGTCCTAGATGAGGAAACACATGTGATCCCAATTCAAATTCAGCAACGTCTGGAAAGAAAAAAGAAATAATTATATTTTTATCTAAAATATTCCATATTTAAAGTAAGTTTAAGTTAGTAATAAGAGTTGAGAACTTTATCAGTGTTAATAAAAATAAAAAATACATATGTAAAATTACAACACAAAATTACTGTGATATATAATTGGATGATAGTCACAGATTGAATTAATTGTCATTGTGGTTAAGTATCAGAGCTTCTGGTTTTCTCATTTTTCATTCATTTATTCAACAACCATATGCTCAGGGACAAGGACTAGCACTGGAATTACAAGATGAAGATGATACAGTCCACCCCTCAACAATTGCATGCTACAACCTGAAAAACAAACAGACACACATGCAATTTCCACAGAGAGTCACAGAAAAGAAAAGATAAAATAAAATATACTCATAGAACATTTTTTGTCTTACCAGTAAACAATTTTCCAGGCTGGGCATAGTGGCTCACGCCTGTAATCCCAGCACTTTGGGAGGCCAAGGTGGGAAGATCACTTGAGCCCAGGAGTTTGAGGCCAGCCTGGGCAACATAGTGACACCTCATCTCTGAAAAAAAAAAAAAAAAGTGCCTGTGGTCCTCCTTACTAAAAAGGATGAGATGGGAAGCTCACTTGAGCCCAGGAATTCAAGGCTACAGTGAGTCAAGATCCTGCCACTGCACTCAAGCCTGGGTGACAAAGTGAGACTCTGTCTCAAAGAACACCAAAAAACAAAACAAAAAAACACCCACACATTTCTCCATAGTCATATTAGTGTAAACAATGAATACAGATCTAACAAAAAATTGTGATGTATCTATATTGGAAGGATGAGGAGAAGATATATACACTAGATGACATCTAAAATAGATAGAAGCATATAATTTAGAAATATAAAAAGTAAAATACATCTAAAAGATTAAAAGACGTTGACTCTGAGAACAGGCCTAATAGGTGATAAAAAGAACTGCTTCATAAGCCTTGTGCTTTATATTGTCACCTTTTATATTAAACCAAATGCTTACTATGATTTTTAAAATCAAATTATTTTAAAAGAAGGCAAAGAGACAGACTGGGAAACATATTTCCAACACATGTAAGAGTTTAAGAATTAAAGCCCATAATATATTGAGTTCCTACAAACACAATTAACAAAGAGCCCAACAGAAACAGTCAAAGGATGTAAAAAGGTAAGTCACAGAGGAAGTACAAATAGCCAATAAACATATGAAAAGACGTGTAATCTGGTTATCAATCAGCGAAATGCAAATGAAAACACCATTGATATCAGTTTTTACCCAGAACATTTGCAAGATTAACAATATCCAGTATTAGTTAGACTGTGGAAAAATAGGATTTTTACATAGTTGGTTGGAGTGGGTCAACTGGCTATCATTTCAGAAGAGAATTTGTAAGTATTTATTGCAATTTAAAATACACCTATTCTTTGACCCTTCTAGGAATTGAAAGTATTCAAACATGTACACAAGAACATGTGTAAAAGGATCTACTATAGCTCCATTATTCAAAAGGAAAATGGTAAAAGAAATTATGGTCTGCGTTCAGAACAATGGGACATATAGAACTATGAAATGAATAAGGTCTATCTGTATGTACTGACAAGGAAATGCTTTCAAGACATACTGCTATGTAATAAATAAATAAATAAATATATATATATATATGCACACTGCAGGACAATATATGTATAGTATGTTCCCATACAAGTCAAATAAAACAGCAGATAAATGTGTAACTGCCATTTAATGTGGATTGAGAGAACACATATCAAACTATCGAAAATGCTTATTTCAGAAAAAAAGAGAAATGACAGGTAAAGTATAATTTTTTTACACCATTTGACTTTTTTGCAGGTAAACTTTCATCATTATTTATGTAATTTAAAATATTTTTAATAAACCAAAGAAGCACAATACAGTAAAGAAAACATAAGAGATAGTGAAACATTAAACATAAGAAGGAAATTCTATATGATGCACAATCAAATAAGGTGATAGGTTAATTGTGTCTAATTCTGCTTTAAGTATTGAATAGACTTTAAAAATATGGTACAACAAATAAAGGGTGAATTGCAGTTAGTAGCAATGACCAATTCTTTTTGAGAAGGGCATAGTAGAGCACTGAACCAAATTCAGTCATTTTCACTTTGAATTGTTGTTTTCCACTTCTATGTACTATCAAAACTATTATTTCTTTTTCTGTCAGTACTTTAAGGCTCTTGTTCCCAGGCCATAATCTCATCTAAAACAACAAACAGATCCTGCTACCTTTCAGTTAGCACCTACCTAATAATCTTTACACTTTCCCTAATTTTCTCCACACTATACTTGCCCAAATAACAGAGCCCTTCTTTAGGGTTTTATGGTAATTTGAACTTATCTCAATGTTCTTCTTGGCTCATATTACAGCATATATTTCAGATACCATAGAGGATATGTAAGAATTGAAAAGGTTTAAACCAACTAAAGAATACAAACAAAAGTGTGATTAACATCCATCCTGACCTTCTTTCGCCACTGAAGCCTCTAAATTGAGAGTTACTCTAGGAAAGCATATCAAAAATAGCCTTAGACTAGCCATATGCAGAAGACTGAAATTGGACCCCCACCTTTGACCATATACAAAAATCAACTCAAGATGGATTAAAGGCTTAAATGTGAAACCTAAAACTATAAAAACCCTGAAGAAGATCTAGGAAATACCATTCTAGACAACAGCCCAGGCAAGGACTTCATGACAAAGTCAAAAAGCAACTGTAGGCCAGGTGCGGTTACTTACTCCTGTAATCCCAGCACTTTGGGAGGCTGAGGCGGGCAAATCACCTGCGATCAGGAGTTCAAGAGCAGCCTGGCCAACATGGCAAAACCCCGTCTCTATGAAAAATACAAAAAAAATTAGCTGGGCATGGTGGCGGGCCCCTGTATCCCAGCTACTTGGGAGGCTGAGGCAGGAGAATCACTTCAGGCTGGGAGGCAGAGGTTGCAGTGAGCTGAGATCGCCCCACTGCACTCCCCTCCACAACAAGAGCAAAAACTCTGTCTCAAAAAAAAACAAAAGCAGCTGTAACAGAAATAAAAATTGACAAGTGTGATCTAATAATGATCTAATAAAACTAATGAGCTTCTGCACAACAAAAGAAATTTCAATAAACAGACAACCTGCAGAATGAGAGAAAATATCTGCAAACTATGCATCCAACAAAGGTCTAATATCCAGAATCTATAACTCAAACAATTGAAGAAGCAAAAAACAATCAACACTATTAAAAAATGGGCAAAGGACATGACCAGACGCTTCTCAAAAGAAGACATACACATGGCCAGCAAACATTTGAAAAAATGCTCAATGTCATGAATCATCCGGGAAATGCAAATCAAAACCACGAGATACCACTGCACACCAGTCTGAATGACTATTATTAAAAAATCAAAAACAACAGATGCTGGTGAGGTTGCAGAGGAAGGGGAATGCTTATACACTGTTGGTGGAAATGTAAATTAGTTCAGCCACTGTGGAAAGCAGTCTGGAGATTTCTCAAAGAACTTAAAACAGGACTACCATTCGACCCAGCAATCCCATTACTGGGTATATGCCCACATGAATGTAAATTATTCTATCATAAAGACACATGCATATGTATGTTCATTGCAGCACCATTCACAATAACAAAGACATGGAATGGAATCAATCTAGGTGCCCATGAGTGGTGGACTGGATAAAGAAAATGGGGGACATATACACCATGGAATACTATGCAGCTACAAAGATAATGAGATCATGGCCTTTGCTGCAACATGGATGGAGCTGGAGGCCATTATCCTAAGTGAATTAATGCAGAAACAGAAAACCAAATACTGCATTCCTCATTTACAAGTGGGAGCTAAACACCAAGCACATATAGGCACAAAGAAGGGAGCAACAGGCACTGGGGCCTATTCGAGGGGGGAGGGTGGGAGGAGAATGAATATTGGGAAACTACCTACAGGTATTATGCTGATTACCTGGGTGACAAAATTATCTGTACACCAAACCCCCATGACACTCAAGTTACCCATGTAACAAGCTTGCACATGTACCCCTGAACCTAAAAGTTGGAAATAAAAAAAAATAGGAGGAAAACAAAAATTAGAGACACAAATAAATGAGAGTTTTAAAAAGAAGACATAAATTAAAAAGTGAAAATTTAGCTATTTGAAAAAAATAATTTCCAATTCCCTAACAACACATGATGTTTTCATATGCCATCCTTATATGTTCTTTGGTAAGGTATCTGAACAGATATTTTACCATTTTATTTTTATTTATTTTTATTTTTATTTATGCATTTTTTTTTTTTGAGACGAAGTCTCGCTCTGTCACCCAGGCTGGAGTGCAGCGGCACAATCTCAGTCAATGCAACCTCTGCCTCCCGGGTTCAAGCGATTCTCCTGCCTTAGCCTCCCATGTAGCTAGGATTACATACATGTGACACTATGCCCAGCTAATTTTTGTGTTTTTAGTAGAGATGGGGTTTCACCATGTTGGCCAGGCTGGTCTCAAACTCCTGACCTCAGGTGATCCACCCACCTCAGGCTTCCAAAGTGCTGGGATTACAGGCGTGAGCCACCATACTAGCCCATTTTATTTTATTTTATTGAGACGGTCTTGCTCCATCACCCAGGCTGGAGTGCAGTGACAAGATCTCAGCTCACTGCAACCTCCCTGTCCTCAGTTCAAGATATTCTCATGCCTCAGCCTCCTCAGTAGCTGGAATTACAGGAGTGTACAACCACGCCTGGCTAATTTTTGTATTTTTAGTGGAGACAGGGTTTCACTGTGTTGGCCAGGCTGGTCTTAAACTCCTAACCTCAAGTGATCTGCCTGCCTCAGCCTCCCAAAGGGCTGGGATTATAGGCGTAAGCCACTGCACCCAGCCATATTTTGCCATTTTATAATGGGATTTTTCATTTCTCATTGTTGAGTTTTAAGATTTTTATTTTATTTATTTATTTATTTATTTATTTAGAGACAGAGTTTCACTCTTGTTGCCCAGGCTGGAGTGCAATGGCACAATCTTGGCTCACTGCAACCTCCACCTCCTGGGTTCAAGTGATTCTCTCGCCTCAACCTCCCAAGTAGCTGGGATTACAGGCGTCCACCACCATGCCTGGCTAATTTTTGTACTTTTAGTAGAGACGAGGTTTTACCATGTTGACCAGGCTAGTCTTGAACTCCTGACCTCAGGTGATCCACCTGCCTCGGCCTCCCAAAGTGCTGGTATTACAGGCGTGAGCCACCACACCTGGCCAATAATTTTTAATATATATTTTGTATACCTGTCCTTTATCACAGATATGTGTTTTGCAAATATTTTCTTCTACTCTGTGGCTTGTCTTTTTATTTATATTTATTTATTTATTTATTTATTTATTTATTTATTTATTTATTTTTGAGATGGAGTTTCACTCTTGTTGCTCAGGCTGGAGTGCAATGGCATTATCTCGGCTCACCACAACCTCCACCTCCGAGGTTCAAGCAATTCTCCTGCCTCAGCCTCCCAAGTAGCTAGGATTACAGGCATGCACCACCACGCCCGGCTAATTTTGTATTTTTAGTAGAGATGGGGTTTCTCCATGTTGAGGCTGGTCTCGAACTCCTGACCTCAGGTGATCCATCCACCTCAGCCTCCCAAAGTGCTGGGATTATAGGCATGAGCCACCGCGCCTGGCGTCTTTTTATTTTTTAACAGTATCTTTTACAGTGCGGACGTCTTATTTTAAATATAGTTCAACTTACCACTTTCTTCTTTCATGGATCATGCTTTTATGTTGTATTAAAGAAGCCCCCCCACAAATCTCCCCTCCCCCATAAAAACCAGCCTTAGAAACACTCTGTTACTGGGTAGGCATAAATGTGATTAAATTTAGTTAAAATCAAAGTAGAAGCTAAAATAAAAACGATGTCATTAACAATCTAACATATAAAACTAGTACCAAATCTAAGTGAGAACAATTCCACCTAATAGTTCTTGTAAATCTTTATGCAGGCAAAGCACAAGAGAAGGGACTAACAAGTTCTTAAAACAGAAACAGAAAGCTATTCTAAATTGGAAAAATAATTTATACGCATTAAGTGGCAAAACAACCTTAATTTTTATATAATGGAAAAACAACATAGTGCGCATTAAATTGTAAATACATGACATGTCATTTTGTCATTTTCAATATTATGTTCCAACACTGACCCAGTGAGCTACTAAAAACAAAACAAAACATCTTTCCCCAAAAACATCCAAGTAAATCTTCATAAAGCTAAATATTAGTAGGGAAAGAAATGTATTTCAGTAATCTCAACATTTAAATATAAGAAATATCAAAGAAAGTTATTGAATTGTTGAGGCTCCAGGTTACAATGCCAGTTTCTCAAAGTACAAGTTTCTAAGTGTGTACCCAGGGCAGTGATCAAAGTGAGAGTTTCCACAGTCCTTTCCTGTTTTTACTTCAGATAACAATTGCCTTAGGGAGCTGGAAATGAGTTACCCACCACCTCCTTTTCCAACCCTGAAATATCGATAATATGCACAGTGACATGTGGACAATTGTCACATTTATCTCCTCAACCTGACCAAAAAAACCATGTTTCTCTCCTTTTTTAGAAATTAAATTTTCTCAGAAACCAGGTCAAATTTAAGATAAATTCCATTGGAGTTTGATCACTCATGATTTTGATGCAGTGTTTCACTGCTGATGACAATATACTACCAGTTCGTGCTTTCCTAGCACCCTGTTTGGTGGTTCCCAGATAATACATACTATCCTTGTTAATATTCTAAGATTTAAAATGTTCCAGTATAAAGTAAAATTTTGAAAAATAAAATGTTACTGTATACAACGGAAAACAGTTACAGAAGCAAACCCCCTCACAATGTTGTTGCTGTAGAAACAGGGACGATGATGGTGATGATGCTTTACTGGTTAACCTCACTTACTCCTCATGCCAATCTCATATAATGACCACTATTATTATTATTCCCATCACTTTAGAGATGAAGGAAGTGAGGCTTGGAGAGATCAATTCTGTAACTCACTCAGGATCTTGAACTTCTAACCACTATGCTTCACTGACTCTCCTGAATAAAGTCACATTATTATACCTCAATACTGTTATTTTTTCTTTCTTCCTTATGTATGTATGTATTTATTTATTTATTTCTTGAGACAGAGTTTCACTCTGTCACCCTGGCTGGAGTGCAGTGGCACAATCTTGGCTGCAACCTCTGCCTCCCGGGTTCAAGCAATTCTCCTGCCTCAGCCTCCCAAGTAACTAGGATTACAGGCATGAGCCACCGTGCCTGGCCTAATACTGGGTTTTCAAATTAGGTTTTTAAACATAAGGACTTGGAACACCCAAGTTTCTTCAAATAATGAAATCCAAACATGTTGTAAGAGTAGACCAAATCTTTCCTTAATATCAGATATTATTTTACAGAAGAGGAAACTAAGGCCCAGGTGCTTAAATAATTTCCTCAAAGGCAAATGGCCAATAATGGACAGAGCTGGTACTCAGGTTGGTACAACTTAAAAAGGCGTTGGTCTTTTTACCTTACCCTGATATCTTCCGGAACACAGAACCATACTTTAAGCAATACATACATTATGTAATACATGAAACACAGTATGCTGTATTATTGCAAGTACAATATGAATATACAGGCTGGCTATGGTGGTTCACGCCTGTAATCCCAGCACTTTGGGAGGCCAAGGCGGGCAGATTACCTGAGGTCAGGAATTTGAGACCAGCCTGGCCAACACTGCGAAACCCTATCTCTACCAAAAATACAAAAATTAGCTGGGTGTGGTGACACACGCCTGTGATCCCAGCTACTCGGCTGGGGGATGAGAATTGCTTGAACCCGGGAGGCGGAGGTTGCAGTGAGCCGAGATCGCACCACTGCACTCCAGCCTGGGCGACAGAGAGAGAATCTATCTCAAAAAACAAAAACAAAAATATGAATATACAAAATATTAATAATTTGCTAAAAGAATCTGTAAGTCTCTAAAGTTTTCGTATAAAAAGCAACACTTTATATTAATTATATTATTTACATATAAGACTAAATATTTCTGATATTTAAGCTTCCGTTCCACCTATTAATCCAACAAATTAAAGATTATCAAAAATTAAGATATTACAATGATACCACAACATTATGAAGGTTAAAATATGGACTACATTTTCCTAAGACTTATTCAGGCTCTTCCAACTTCTAGCTAATCTTACCCTAAAAGTAAATCAATCTTTTCTAATTCAAAATACTTCTATAAATTCAATTAAAATGTTTAACTGATGACAACATGGGTATCATAAAAAATAAATAGCATAGTAATACTGTTTTCCTTTTGATTTAGGAAGAGGTAACATCTCCAAAAACTACCCAGTGAAGTAGATGATATTCTGTTGCCAGTTCAAAGCATCTATATTATGCAGGCAAAGATTTCCAAAGCCTACGATGTTTTTGCTTTGAGTTGCTCATACAAATTCCCTGCACCTCATTAATGCAATGGTTTTATGACTAAAGGACACCAGCATGAGACTTTAAGAGTTGTAATGTTCTCCAAAATTGAAGTATAATCTCATACCCCTTATTTAATATATAGAAGATTCATCAAGTAATATCCTGTTGAGCGATTAGAAAACTGCAATCATTTGCAGTTCTCAGTCCTTTTATGTCATAGAAATTCATGATGCATTTTTGCCATCTAGTTTTACTTCTTCATTTTCCTTATCAAGCATCTAAAAATAAGTGAAATTCTAACGTCGTTTTAAAAAAACCTTGTCAGATTTCTTTTAGGACACCATGAAGATATCTACAAAGTGTTTTGAAATTCATGTAAGTATCTACACTCTGAAAGTGAATATCTGGCAGAAATAATTTCAGTCAATAAATTTTATAACCCCCTGAAATTAACACTTAGCTGCTTCATTGTTAACTGGGAACTCCCACAGTTTCCCCTCTTTTGTCCACAGGATCAGCTCTTCAAAGCCATTCTGAAGGGGTTGTTCATTGACTGTGGCTAACTGCTTAGCAAATTCCACATCCCAAAGTGAAGGTGATGTGTCGTATAATAAAAACATTTTAAGTAAGAACAAGTCAATGTAAATATCTTTCTTTAAAAAGTTATAACCAATCCTGAATTGATCATGTATTTTTCAGACCTTGACACTCATAATTAAATAGTATATAATAAAAAGTTACTGAGAGATAACTGCAAAAATTATATTAAAAATTATAACTACAATAATGGCAAGCTTAACTTTTGTTTTACAACAATGCCAGGTAATCACTGCCCCCTCTACTGGAAAGAAAAAAATAAATTTTGTTTAAGGGTATTTTTATGAACGTGAATGTTTTTTGTACAATATGTGAGTCTGGTTTTTAAAGTCTAGCCTGTTTATCTTTATTTTTAGTCTATCAAAATTAGTCACTAATGTACTACTGTTAACAACCAAAGAAGTTAAATTAACAGAATGATGATAAAACTGCCAATGAATACTGAGTACTTCCTCTGTGCTTAAATGCTTTTTATGCATTAGTGCACGTCATCCTCACAACCAACCCTATGAGTAACGTATTATCATGTTGGCTAATTACCACCATCATATTACATGTTTCAATAACTTATTTACTTTTGAAACTTCAGATCATCTTTTGAGAATGAGCCATATTCCCACCAGTTACTGCTGCTGGGAACGTAAAATGGTACAATCACCTTGGAAAACAGTTTGATGGCTTCTTAAAAAGTTAAAAATATATCTATTATTCAACATAGCCATTTGATTCCTGGATATTCACCCAAGAGATAATACATGTCCACACAAAGATTTGTACACAAAAGTTAATGGCAGCTTTCTTTGTAATAGCCAAATGTGGGTTGTAATCTGGGAAACAACCCAAATGTCCACTAACAGGTGAATAAGTACAAAAATGTGATACATTCATACAATGGTATACTACTCAGTAATAAAATGTGTTACTGGTACATGTAACAGCATGGATGAATCTCAAATCATTATGCTGAGTGAAAGAAGCCAGATGCAAAGGAGTACATACTGTGTGATTTCAGTTACGTACAATTCTAAAAGATGCAAAGTAGTCTATTGTAACAGTAGATCAATGGTTGCCTGCATACTGTGTGTGTGTGTGTGTGTGTGTGTGTGTGTATTGCAAATGGACACAAGGAAACTTTGGAGGGTCATGAAAAATGTTCAAAATTATAACTGGCAGTTTCATGGGTGTATATATTTGTCAAAACTAGTCAAGTTATATACTTTAAATATGTGCAGTTTATTGCACACAAATTATACCTTAATAAAGTTGTAAAAAGAAAGTGAATAACAATATCTATCCCTTGGCTACCTTTTTCCCTATATTTTTATTCTTTAGTTACTTTTACCAACATTTTTTATCTTTCTTATTTTTTTATGTGTGATCTTGCTTTTTAAAACAAATGAGGATTGGCCGGGCGTGGTGGCTCACGCCTGTAATCCCAGCACTTTGGGAGGCCGAGGCTGGTGGATCACGAGGTCAGAAGATCAAGACCATCCTGGCTAACGCAGTGAAACCTGGTCTCTACTAAAAACACGAAAAATTAGCCAGGCATGGTGGCGGGTGCCTGTAGTCCCAGCTACTCAGGAGGCTGAGGCAGGAGAATGGCGTGAACCTGGGAGGCAGGGCTCGCAGTGAGCCGAGATCGTGCCACTGCACTCCAGTCTGGGTGACAGAGTGAGACTCCGTCTCAAAAAGTAAAAAAAATAAAAAAATAAAAATAAAAAATAAAATAAAATAAATGAGGATCGTATGGTTTGGTAATCTACTTTTTTTCACTGAATGCTTGCATCAGTATCCCATTTTATATATATATGTATCACAATCCCCTACTGTTGAATATTTTGATCATTTATATATTTTCTCTTTTAAATACTATAATGACAAATACCCTTGTATTTACACTTTTGTGCATATCTGTAATATTTCCTTAGAACAAATTCCTAGGAACACAATTTCTGGGTTAGAGGCATAGATTGCATATGATCTATCCTCCAGCTTACCTCTTTACTCACTCTTGCCAAGCCCACTAAAGCATATCAACAACTAGCTCATTTACTCTTCTAACTGTGTAAGCCTTATTTTATCTATTTTGCTTTTCCTGAATCTGTTTCTGAGCCTTTACGTGCAGAAATGTGTCTAACCACACTGCTAGATATTAAGTATTTTGGCCTAGATCATCTGATACTGGGAAACAATCAGTTGTTAGCCTTAACTAGCCACATTTACAGAGCAATTACACCACTAAAATAACTTAATTGTCTCAGTTATCTTTTACTTGGTGGTCACTGACTGACCTATGTCTTTTCCATCATCACTGGGATCATCACTATATTTTTACACTTGCTAATAGTTGCAAGCATTTATTAAATATGTACTATGTTCTAGGCACCTCAAGCATTTATTAAATATATACTATGTTCCAAGCACTATGCCTGACACTTTCTCAGATTACCTCATTTAATCCTTGACATGTATGTACTAGCCCTCATTTTATAGGTGGGGAAAGGTTGGTGTGTCAGAATCTGAATTTGAATCCAGTTCTACACAACACCAACACTCTTTCTGTTAAGCTATATTACCTGTCGACTCTAGGATAACCACTGGGGCCTATGACTGTATCCTCTGTAGCAGTGGTAAGAACTTAGTGTGGAAAAAGACGTGGGAATCATGGAACAGAATAACTCATTCAATCGGTCAATAAAAAAAAATTACTGAATGCCAAGTATATTTCCAGCATTATGTGAGGTGGTTGGAAAACAAGAGTGAACAATTGCTAAATTTACGTTTCCACATTTTGCTATTCTTGTACTTAACTGGGAACAAAAATCACTCTTTAGACATATGCAAGTGTAGCATATTCAAACAGTACCTTCATTAGAGTAAATTATTACATAAACTTGTGTGCTATTTTCCTCACTAGAGTAGAAACATTTGATACTGTTTGATAGAATACATAAAACTTGAATGCTTCCTTGCCAACTAACTTCAGTTTTAGAAATAAGATTTTTTTATTTTAAAAAGTAAGCTGGCTCCTTCAAGAATCTCAAGAATCTTCAAGTGTCTGTTTTGGCTGGACAACAGCCGCTGCCCTGCCCTGACAACAACAAATTTCTTTCTTTCTTTCTTTCTTTCTTTCTTTCTTTCTTTCTTTCTTTCTTTCTTTTTTTTTTTGAGACGGAGTTTTGCTCATTGTCCAGGCTGGAGTGTAATGGTGCAACTTTGGCTCACTGCAACCTCCGCCTCCTGGGTTCAAGTGATTCTCCTGCCTCAGCCTCCAGAGTAGCTGGGATTACAGGTGGCTGCCACCATGCCCAGCCAATTTTTGTATTTTTAGTAGAGACGGGGTTTCACCATGTTGGCCAGGCTGGTCTTGAACTCCTGACCTAAGGTGATCCACCCACCTCAGCCTCCCAAAGTGCTGAGATTATAGGCATGAGCCACTGCGCCCGGCCAACAAATTCCTTTCCGATGCACGCTTAACCATTTGAGCTGGGGAGAGACGAGAGTCATTGTCCCTATGCATTTTGCACTTCCTTTTTATCATACACAAGAGAATGCAGTTTTCAGAATACAAGAAGGGGGTTGTTCTTTTAGCTTCACTTTCAGTTCAAATGAACAAACACTGAATTAACTTCTTTCCTCTATAGGTGTATATTTTATAGTACAATTTGTTCAAAAAAGAATTTAAGATTTAAGATAACTAGTTGCTATGATCTGTAAGCCACATGAGTAGGTGCTACATGAATGAGATATAGCCCCTAATAGTATATTAAATAGGGGGAAAATCCAAAGTTTGTATAAGTAACTGGTAGAAAGATTAAATGAGCCCTTGGAGGCCAGCCTAGGAACTTATCTATTATGTACAACATTCTCCCCCCCACCTTTGAGTTGGAATCTCACTCTGTTGCTTAGGATGGAGTGTTATGGCATAATCGTGGCTCACTGCAGCCTCAAATTCTGGGCTCCAGTGATCCTGCCACCTCAACCTCCCAAGTCGCTAGGATTACAGGCATGTACCACCATGCCCGGATAATTTTTTTCTATTTTTTAGAGAAAGGGGCTCACTATGTTGCCCAGGCTGGTCTTGAACTCCTAGTCGCAAGCCATCCTGTTGTCTCAGCCTCCCAAGTCCATATACAACATTATTTCTACCAAGATCCAAAAAACTTACTTCTATTCTTTAGAAATGCTCATCATTTATACACTGGAGACCATTTGTATTGAGTTTCTTCATTGATTTTACTGGTAAACCAAATTTAATGTCAAGCAAGAGGACACTCTTATTTCTCTTTTAGACTTAAAATGGCAAATTACTTACCCAAAGAAAACACTACAAGTCTGTTAAATATATTCCTTGAATGTTCTTCCCATCTCCTGAACAATCACTAAGTCACTTCAGTAAGTTTTTTTTATAAATGCTATCTCCTCTTCTAGGCAGTAAGCTGCCTAAGGGCAGGAACCAGTATATCTTTATGTAATAGCATAGAGGTACACTGTAAATGGTAGTTGATTATTAATGTTCTAATCCAAATTAGTAGCTAATCTGAACCTCTGGATTCGGTAATTGGTAGTACTTACCTCCCACTGTCTCACAGAATGCAACATTTCATGGGGGAAACCTGACCAAAACTAGCAATATTGACAACTGTAGTGTGATGTGTCCCCCACCAGGTTACTTAAGAGTGTACATGTGTTGCTTGGATCCTGAATGCTGGGCAGGGAGTCAAGGCCCTGGTGCCCAGCTGAGGAGCAGGGATCCCTGAGAACCCAAACATCCCAGGGCATACCTGAGAACATGTCAAAGAAAACACTGTCATCGTGCACACAGAGTAGGCAAACAGTCAGAACATTAGCTGAAAGGCAGCTTAGAGACGGGAGGCAGGGTGACTCTAGAGCTGCTTAGGAATGTCCAGTATGTAAGTCCTAGTAAACTCATCTATTCATCAAGCTGGACTTGCCCATATTATTCTTTGGTCTCTCGACGCTTTCCCAGTTTGGGGGGATGTTACAGTGCCAAGTTTTCCTTATAACAACCACCACATTGTAAGCAGGATCCAGGCCAATGACAGGATGGAATATTAAAATATTCAACTATTATACCGTCAGAACACTAAGGAAGGACATCTTGGAAAGATGGAATGTTTCTCCACCTGAGAAATAGTGTTATTCTTTCTTTTTTCAAGTTTAATTTTTAATTTATTAGAACCCAGTAAATGATGATTTTTAAAAGCAGAGTTTATACCAAATTAACACTTAATTCAGGGCAAAAATACACTTAAAAAACCTAAATCTTAAGGCAGAAGTAAAACACTATAAAAACAGTATGTCTAATACAGACTGTAAAATGTCAGATTTTTAAGAGATTCACATAGTATTTTATAGCACTAAAATATTAATAGTCAGAAATATTATCAATTGGTCCAAGATTTCTGTTTATAAAATGCCTAGACTGCTAATTGAAGAAGTGTTGCTGTATAAGTAATAGCTACAATCCAACAAACCAAGGGACTGTTTTTATGACAAAAGAACTAAAGTAGGTAATTACATGGTTTCTATTTGTAAAGCTTTTGCAGTATTAAATATAAAGTATTACTAAGGGAATATTTTGATTCATCTCCCTACCCTAATGCCCCCAGAATGTACATCACTTCCCTTTAACTCTATTTTTAAAATTCTGTGAACCACCATACCTATTAATTGTAGGCCTGACCCTATAAAGGCATGAATTGTTTACTTTGATATGGTGGAAGAACAAATTTGGTAAACTACTACACCTTTTCCTAGTCATTGAGCAATTTCAAACAGAAGTCTTAAGAATTGTTGCACCTCGACAAGTGAACAACCTGTTTCTTTACCACTATTAAGTTTGAATTTTGTCTGGAATCTGTTAGAGTTGTCGATATTGCTAGTTTTGGTCAGGTTTCTCCCAAGAAATGTTGCATTCTGTGAGACAGTGGGAAAACACATTTCATGTTTATGTGCAATTAACAGTAGCCCTTCTGAAAAACAGGGTTAACATTCTTACATTTCCCCTTGTGATCAAAACCTTTTGTTTTTAGGGAGCAGGATAAGATTTAAAAGTGCTTTAAATCAGAAAACAAGAATTAGCTAGCTTACACATTCCACTGAATAGTGTCAAAAAAGATAAACGCATTTAAAATAAGTTGTAAGTCCAGCAAATATAAGCTTGATGGGTTCTTAACTAAGATATTAAGTAATTACAAAGATTCATTTTTTTACAAACTTTTAAGCTATTTTAATAAAATGGCTATAGACCTCACTATACTTCTATTTATCTGTGCATTAATAAAAACCTGTTAAAATTCCTTATTTAGTACTTCTGAAAAAGTCTAGTCAAATAAGATCACTAAAATTACCAGAAAAGCTTTGAAATACTGATTGCAGATTCATTTCAAAGTAGATTTAATGCCTTTCAGGATCTGGTGTTTAAATCATGAATGTCTTCACCGACTTCAACTCTGAAAATATAAAAATTTTAGTCAGTGCTGGCTATAGTTAAACAATACTGATGTTACTTGAAAAAATAGAAATAAAAAATACATTGTCAATCATGCATTCCACAATTTTCTTTTTGAGCTCGATAGTATATATATTTTTTCTCATTAAAGATTCAAAACCAAAAGCGGTTTCTCTTTGCAGCAAATATACATTAAAATAGAGTCTCTGTACAGCCAAAGGCTCTGGGCCCTGGCTTGCCCCATGTCCGTGCGCCTCCCTGGCCAAACCCAAAAATAAATATAGTGTTACTGCTCTGCAGGGCATAGAGGCAGTGCTCTCCTACCCCCTGAGGAGGCTGGGTGGGAGCTGATGGGGAAGCCCTGGCCACCCCAGGGGTCCAGGGGCTGGAGCCTGCTTGGAGTTATTGCTTCAAGGGGGGGCACTAATGCCCAGTGCAAATGATGAGAGGAGGAGCAAAGGGAGCATGGGCCTTTGCTCTCCGAGTCCCACTCTGCTCTGAAGAGGCGGCAGGATTAAGCAGCAGCAAAAGCATCACCCACTGGGAGACTGTGGCCTGCATCCCCTTCCCTCCCTGAGATAGGCTTCTGCCTCCCACACATCCCCTGCAGCCCCCTGTGGCTTCGGCAAGGCCCCCTACACTCTTGGGGCACGCTATGGCTTGCAAGGGGCAGCACTGTGCCCAGAGCCCGGACACACGTTTCCAGCTTCTGACATCCCCTAGGAGGGGGGAGGGGAGGGAGTGGGGCCTGCTCCCAGGGGCTGATGGCATTGCCCTGGCCCTGCCAGCAGGCTGTGGCACTGCCCAGACCCCAGCTCCGCCCCAGCCCTTGGGGCTGACCCCATGCTAGGCAGGTCCTGCCAGAACCCCCACCAGTCCCACCCCTCGCCTCAGTCCATCATGGCCTCGAGCATCTCCAAGAACAGCTTGTGCATGGGCACCTTGCCCTCCAGCTTCACCCCATAGAAATGGGCCAGCACTTTGCCCGCTGTCTGGTGGAGGAGCGGTAGCGTGAACAGCAGCCTGCCTGGCCGCCGCCGCTCAGCACCCCCTCCGGTGCCAGCCCGGCCGGCTTCATACTCCAGCAGGGCCTCGTGCGGAGCTTCTGGCAGCTGCTCCACAGCCTCGGCATCTTCGATGGGCACAGAGTCTGAATTGGCAAGGGCCAGGGCCTTCAGTAGAACGTACTCCCCTCGCTCCAGCCGCAGGGACTGCAGCCGCCGCACCAGTTGCAGCAGGGCAGTCCCCAGTTCCCCCAGGCCAGCTGCCCGTGCCCCCTCTTCATCCAGGACTCTGTCCTCAGTGAAGGCCAGCTCATCCTGCAGTGGCAGTGAGCGCTGGGCCACACCGGGCACCAGCACCTCCATCCACACGCTCTGCAGTACTGACATCTGGTCAGACAGCGACAGCAATGAGAAGCCTGGGATGCTCTTGGCCCAGCTGACGGTAAATACGATCTCTCGGTCAAAGAGGTCACAGAGGGTAGCCACGGCTTAAAGGTGCCCATCAGGGCCCACGGGGTCGGGCATGGCATAGAGCTTCTCAGGCTCAACCACCAGCAGATGAGACACCAGCGCATTCACTGGGGTGTCTTCTGGGGGCCTCCAGCGACTGCCAGGGGCCCAGCAGGGAAGGCGCCCGGGAAGGGCAGCGGGTCCACCTCTGGCACCGCTTGTACTTCTTCCGCCCACCCCGGACGCGATCCAGGCGCACTCCCGCAGGCACTTGGTGAAGCGGCAGGCCTGACAGGCCTTGCGTCTCCGCTTGATGATCTCACACTTGTTGGAGGCCGGACAGCTGTACTTGATGCTCCCCTGGATGGTCCTCTTGAAGAAGGCTTTGCAGTCCTCACAGGATGACACACCGTAGTGGTAGCCGGAGGCCACGTCCCCACAGACCAGGCAGAGGCTCTTGGACAGGAAGCTGAGCACCAGCTTCCCACCGCCCAGCTCGCCAGGCCCAGCCCCTTCCCATCCTCCTCTTCCTTGTGGCCTGGGAGGCAGTGGGTGGGAGCTGGACCAGGGGCCAGGGCCACAGGAGGCTCGGGTCTCCGTCTCCGAGGAGCCCTTTGGACTGTCAGGCCTGGCCGGCTCTGCCATGATGTAGAGAGGCTCACTGCCCACCACCTGGCTGGACATGGTTCTGGTCACCTGACACGCGGCTGCCCTCCTGCCCCAGCATGCCGATCCCAGGCACAAAGCGGGCGCCACCCACTCCACCTCCTCGCGACCGGCCTGCAGGTCCACTCTTATACTTCCGCTGTCGCAGAGGCCGCCACCTCCCGGGGCGCCGCGCCCCGCCCCCCAACCTGCGCACACCTTTGGGAAGTTCCCTGAAGTTGCTACGCCTCCCCCCAAGCCCCGACGCCCGCGGGAGACCGCTACCAGGTTATCAGGAAGTAAGTGGGGAGAGCCAAGGAAGAGGAAGTTCTTCCCGGCCATTGCGATGACCTTTGACCCAGAGAGCAGGGTGGCCCCAGACCCCTTAGAGCGCCCCCACGTGGTCTTCAGAGCCCCTTTCCCGACATAGAGCCCTCCGCGTCTTGCACCCTTGCCAGCCCCAGGGACTTCGGCAAGTGCGGGATTGAACCCTGCCCTGGGGCGGGCTGGATAGGAGGCCCAACCCTGACCCGGGCCAGGACCCGCAGCCAGAGCCAGATCCTGCCCCAGGCCTGCCCACCAGAACTCGGACGCCGGATCCCGCCTGAACCCTGACCAGTCCGGCCCTCCACTGGGTCCCGACCGTGGCCCAGACTGGCCCCAGAGCCAGACCCCGCCTGCAGCCCGCCCCGCCCGCCTCCCTGCCGCCGCATTCGACAATTTCAAGAACTAAGTGGTCGGGCGCGGTGGCGGAAAGTAGGATATACCAATATCTAACAGTAGCTTTGGATCAAAAAGTAATTAGATTGCCGTTGTATCTTTTATTGTGTTCTCTTGCAAATATTAATCTTAATGTTTCCTGAAATGTGATAACACTTCCATTTCATTTGGATAATAATGAATAATAGTTAAGTCCTCTTGTGTCTGCCCCAATACCTTCTTCCTCAGCACCTGTTTGGTGCTGGTGTCCAAGAGGGAGTTATCAGCCAGGGCCCCCAGCCGCTGCTCCCTAACCCCCCCCCCCCCGCACCCCGTCCCCGGTAGCAGCTCACACAGTGGCTCCTTCTCACTGGGCAGGGAGTGAACTCTGGGCTGCGCTGAGCTGAGGTTATATGTTCAACCAAACTCCTCTTCACGGTACCCAGCTTGTGTCTCGCTCCATGTGTGACTGGCCATGAAAAAGCCTGGATTCACGGGGTGGGGGCTGGAAGGTGGAATTAGTACCTTTTCAGTTTGTTTTAGAAAGTTATTTTCCAATAAAAAGATAACTAAGCAAAAAGAAAATAGTGTTAAGACATGAGCTCTAAAGCCAGACTGCCTGAATTCACGTCCCAACTCTACTGCCTTATGACATTTCTCTGGCCTGTTTTCTCATTTGTAAAATGGGAATAATGTTAATGCTTACGTGGAGGATAAGGTTTTGTGAAGATTAGTGAGTTTCAGTACACACAAAATTCTTAGCACAGTACCTGATATATAGAAAACATTGCCTTAACTATTATAGCTATAAATGTCCATGTTAGTGTATTAAATAAATGCTTTACATGTATTTAAATGAGTATATTAGGGCTTGTGTATAAACTTCTTCTTGCCTTGCTAGGAGTTGCTGTATGTACTTAAAGGTGTAAATAAATATTTCAAAACACGTTTTTCACTGCTCTTACATTTTACCAATGATTTTGCCCATCTTTTTCTTTTTCTTTTTTTTTTTTTTAGATAGAGTTTTGCTCTGTCACCCAGCCTGGAGTGCAGTGGTGCGATCTCGGCTCACTGCAACCTCTGCCTCCTGGGTTCAAGCAATTCTCCTGCCCCAGCCTCCCCAGTAGCTGGGATTACAGGTGCCCACCACCACGCCAGCTAGCTGGGATTACAGGTGCATACCACCACGCCCAGCTAATTTTTGTATTTTTAGTAGAGATGGGATTTCACCGTGTTGGCCAGGCTGGTCTTGACTTCTTGACCTCAGGGATCTGCCTGCCTCAGCCTCCCAAAGCTCTGGGATTATAGGCATGAGCCACCGTGCCCAGACTATTACGAGGTTGTAATGCCTATTATCTGGGTTTAGCAGAAGGACCAAGTTATTTTTCCCCCAAACCAATATTTTTCTTTGTCCATTAGAACATGCTTTATACTGCATGTGGAGAGATATGTGTGCCTGACAGTCCCTGACCAGCACCTTGTATCTTGTTGAGTTATTAATGATTTCTCTATGGTTATTTCTTTTCTGAAAATAAGTAATCACCATGGCAATGCTGTCACTTATTAATGATGCAATTAAGACTTTACGCATCTCTGCAAATCTACTTAAAAATAAAATAGTTTTTAAAAAAATTGCCCTCACATTTGTATCAATTACTCATCCTATCTTGTGCTTTGTTTGTTTGTTGTTGTTGTTGTTTTCTGCCTTTAGTTTTGCCTGCTTTTGCTTTGTCAGAACATAGGGCCTATAGAAAGAAAGCATAGGCCAGGTGCGGTGGCTTACGCCTGTAATCCCAGCACTTTGGGAGGCCTAGGCAGGTGGATCACGAGGTCAGGAGTTCGAGAGCAGCCTGATCAACATGGTGAAAACCCGTCTCTACTAAAAATACAAAAATTAGCTGGGCGTGGTGGCACGTGCCTGTAATCCCAGCTACTCAGGAGGCTGAGGCAGGAGAATCGTTTGAACCCAGGAGGTGGAGGTTGCAGTGAGCCGAGAGCATGTCACTGCACTCCAGCCTGGGTGACAGAGCGAGACTCTGTCTCAAAAAAAAAAAAAAAAAGGAAAGAAAGAAAGGGTAGAGTTTAAGATGGTTTGATTCTCTAGATTGTGTTATTCTCATTTTTCATTTGAAGAAATGGAGGCACTCTGAGGCATATTTATTATACTGTAGTCTGGTCAACCAGAAAAACAACCACACAGAGACAAGGTACCCCTGTCCTAACAGCTGCACCCACCTAAAACCCAGATACCCACATGGCCAGCAGCAGCAGCCCCCATATGTCTCTGCAGCCACGTTTGCCTCAGTTTCTCTCTGTAAAGTGGGTATAATGCCTCCCTCACTCATATCACCAGGGTAACTGAGACCTTGCCTGAGAGATGGCTTTGTGTGAAGGGGTAGTGCTAGACAGTGCTAGGAGGATGTGATTGATCGTCATGCTCTGGGCACTGCCATTCATGAGATGAAAGTTGGGAAACCATTCTCAGGGAGAGGCCTCACCCTTCCCAGTCCAGGCAGCCCTCTTCACATCCATATTGGATACTGGTTCCTGTCCTCTGTTACTATCTGTGGATATAAATATCTATCTGTCAGTATGCACAATTAGTGGAAGACTTAGGTTGCCAAAAACCATATTTGTTTAGTATGAAAGATAAACAGGACCTTTGGGAAAGTTGTCTATTCATTGGTTCTGGAAAGTTTTCCCTCTGTGTGCATAAAATTAAGAATTTGGAATTCACGGCAGCATGACAGAGTTTACAGGAAGCTGAAAAGGCCCATGATTGTTGTTTTGAAGGCTTGCAGCCTTAAAAGTGTGCAAAATTACAGAGGCCAAGAAGCCATTTTCACAACTGGATTTGCAGCATCAATTATTCAGCATCTGTTTACTGAGAGCCTGGTATGTGCCCAGCACCAGGGATGGCTCCTGACTTAGCACCAAGTGCAGCTGAGGAGAGAAAAGCAACGCCCAAGAAACAGTTTCAGAACATTTAGTGCTCTCTTGACTAGGAATACAAAAAGAAGTTAAAAACAAAACCCACGCACACACATAGAGAAATGAGCGTCGGCCATCGTGGGCAGCAAGGGGATTTCAGAAAGCCTTTAGATGAGTTATATTTTGCTTTTTCTTAAAAAACCAAAATCTGTCATATGTTGGCTAGTGCTGCTCCTGAAGAAGTTGAACATCGTCCCAGAGGGCAGCAGAACCCTCAGCATCTCACACAGGCAGTTTCCAGCAGGTGTGTGCCAGTTGCTGGGTATACTTGTTTGCTCTGAACCCTGGCACCCCCCTCCAGCTGACAACTGCTTTGTTGAAACCACTGTTAATGCTGAAGAGGGAGTGAAAAGAAAGAAGGGCATCGTGAGGTGTCCTGCCTCTGCAGGTTGGGGCATGAAGGGGTTCTTTCTGAGGAGCCAGGCCCTTAATTCCTGATGCACTTTTAAAAATGGTCACAGTAAAATACTTTCAGTTTAGCGTCAGAACCAGATGCTAATATTATGACTACAAATAATGACTTAGTACTTATGGACCCACGGTGACTACACTAAAAACTTTTCATGTATTTCTTAGAATCTTTACAATAACACCGTAAAGAAAGTACTAAGAGTGTCCCATTTTGCAGGTGAGGAAACTGATGTTTAGAGAATTTCAAAATCTGTCTTACGTTACACAACTATCAGGTGGCCCATATGAAATTGCTTTTTTAGGTATCAAAAAACAGTCACTTATTAAAAATTTCATGTACTTTATGCTGACAATTTCTGGCAGAGCCATTTCTACCTAAGTTTGTGTGTATATATCAATGTAAAACTCTCCATGGCTGGGCTAACTTTTAGTCAGATTTCACCAAATTAAAAAACTGACCTTCTACAAAGTTAAAAAAATTTTGTTTGCACTTTCAGCAACATAGCTCTTTATGTTAAACTCTGAGACATGGAATACTAAAGTTTATGATATTATTGTGGTTGCAACAGTGTTGAACTTGCAGATTCCATGATGGTTGATGTTTGACTACTTGAATGTGTTGCCCTGCCTGCAGGGTGAGCTGTGACGCTCACATAGAGACATTTGAGTTGTATTAAAATGGAGCCAAGGCCTAATGGGCTGTAAGAAATAAATGTGCTGTGGCTGTGTGTCTGGTGATTTCCAGCCCTCATTCATTCATTGTTAGACCAGTGACATTCTCTAAACAAACATCTTACCAGTCGATGGATGAGTGCTCCCTGTGTCCAATACATAATTCTCATGCTTAAAAAGTAATTGTAAAAACAAAATGGTCAGTATGCCTAATACATCACTGTTCTTCCTTAGCAATTAGAATCTCTAAAATGAGTGAAATTAGAATAAAGAAGAACATTTCTATCTTGGTTGCATGGGCAGCTAGGTCTTGGACCTCTGGAAATTCAGCTCAGTCCACCAGTGTTTACTGAGCACCTGCAGCCAGGTGAGAGGCATTCTGCAGAATTTGTGGAAGATTCGTACATAAGTGTTCCCTACTGTGTCCCAGTCTCCCTATTTATAAAATGAATAAAGACAGCTCTACTTCCAAGAGATTTCATTTGTATGGCAGCTTAAAATTTTCCAGAGAAACATGGCTGCCATTTACATTATTAATAAATCAAATTGTTCTGTAACAGAAACCAGCTCAGTCAACCTGTCTATATTTACAATTAGAGTGGTTTGTTTGTTTAACAGATCCTTAAGCCTTACTTCCAGGTACTGTTTTAAGCATTTCACGTATTTTAAAAAATCCTGTTACATAGATATTGTTACTGTTCACATTTTACAGATGAGGAAACTGAGACCTAGAAAGGTTAGATAACAGTCCCAAGGCCACAGGACTCTGAAAGTAAGCGAGGAAGCCAGGTTAAACCCAGGCAGTCTGGTTCATACCCTTCCTGAATGTGATAACCCTGCAGTCTGTTCCATCCCGGGCACAGGCAAGTGGCTATTCTCACTGTGGACGTCTGTTTTGGAAGAGTCCTTCTTTGTGTCCCTAAATATGATGCATTTTTCACTTATTTCCTGAGGAGACTATTGCTGTTTCTTAAAGGTTCAATGGCCTTTTTTATCCAATTTTTGATGGATTAAAAAATGGAAGGAAGGATTTTTCCAGGAGGTATCTCTGTTTCTGTAATGGAATAGCCATTAGTTCTAGTTTCTCCACTTAGCTAGCTCCCCCCGATATTCTCTCTCTCTCGCTCTCTCTCTCTCTCACACACACACACACACACACACACACACACACACCCCTTGAGTGTTCGGATGAGGACCCTGCGGCCCGTGAGTTCCTGCCTGACAACATAAGAAGTTGGCGTAGAGTCAGCCCCTTCCCACTGCCTGTCAGAATTCTACTTTCTTCCTTTTAGTTTTATAAACCCATTCATCCAAGCTGTAAGATTAAAAAAAGCAAAATTACTACCCCCTTAAAGAATTGGGTAATTTTTGCAGCAGCATCATCTCTTCTCCACCTCAGCAACCCACCATCAGAACAAACAAGCAGACTTTTGGTTTGACTTTTCAACACTCAGCCGTATTTGGAAGTAATGATTACTTCCAAATTTCGGAATTTCATATATTTTAAATGTGGTTTCAAAGGTCTTTTTAAAATTAATTCCTCCTTCCAGCTTTCCTCTCTCTTTTTCTCTCCCCTCTTCCCTCTCTCCTTCCCGTGTGTGCCTGTGCATGTGTGTATGTTTCTGTATTTTAAATGTATTCTTTGAAGACAGACCATGTTAGATTTTGTCAGTGGCACATTTCCTTGATGGCTATTTTATCAGCATGTTTTTCTTCACCTTCCATAGGTACGCATCTGCCCCCAAATAGTGTTTAATGAAGAGGTCTTCGAAATAAATCTCTCAAAACAAAAGTTACTTTATTTATTATCTGCATGGAGAGCAGCCAGGGAAACTCATCTGTGAAATGCATCGTTAGGAACCAGAGGACTGTGTTTGTGCATTTGCCGGAGAGTGGGGAGATATCGATGGTGTTCATAAAATCCTGATTTTCAGTTCCTTCTTCTCCGATCAGAATAAGAATTAGGTTACACAGAAACTGAGTGACAAGAGGCAGCATAGAGAAGAAAAATGCATTATTTTTCTTATTGTAATGTCCTTCTTCCCATATTCTTTTTCATACCAAAACATGGTGCTAAAGGTCTTTAAGATTCAGATATGTAAGCTATATAGGAAAAGAAAGCAGAATTCTGTGGGGAAAATAAATATTTACTTTTCTGTAGACTAAAAGTAAAAATCTTCATATTTCTGTTTTACTGTTTTTTATTTTAAAATATTTAATTGACAAACATTTATGTATTCAAGGTATACAATGGGATGATGCGATGTCTGCATACCTTGTGTAATGATTACTACAATCAAATTAATTAACATATCCATCACCACTCAGTTATCATTTTTGTGTGTGTGTGAGTGTGTAAGGACAATTAAAGTGTGCTCTCATCAAATTTCAAGTAAACAATACAGTATTATTAACTATAGTCACCATACTGTATATTAGATCCCCAGAACTTATTAATCTTATAACTAGAAGTTCGTGCCCTTTGACCAACACCTCCCCATTCCCCCACCCCCAGCCCCTGGCAACCACCTTTCTACTCTTTGCTTCAATTAGTTCGACTTTTTAAAGATTTCACATATAAGTGAGATCATGTAGTATTTGTCTTTATATGTCTGGCTTATTTCACTTAGCATAATGTCTTCCAAGTTCATCTATGTTGTCACAAATGGCAGGATTTCCTTCCTTTTTGTGGCTGAATAATATTCCAACATATTATATGTATAATATTCCATTATACATATAATATTTCAATATCATAATCCATTATATATAGAATATATACACACATATTTACTTATATTTACATACACACACTTATATACACATACATATATATGTCAATTTCTTTATTCATTCATCAATGACACTTAGGCTGTTTCAAGGTATTAGCTAGTATAACTAATGCTGCAATGAACATGGGGTACAGAGCTCTCTTCTAAATACTGATTTCATTTCCTTTGAATATATACCTAGAAGTGAGATAGCTAGATCATATGGTAGTTCTGTTTTCAATTTACAGAGGAACCGCCATACTATTTTCCATAATGATTTTTTTTCAGGTAGTTTATTATTAGTGTATAGAAACACAACTGATGTTTGTTGATTTTTGTTTCCTGCAACTATACTGAATTTGTCTATTAGTTCTAACAGATATTTGGTGGGATCTTTAGAGTTTTCTATAAGTAAGATCATATTATCTTCAAACAGACAATTTATCTTCCTGCCATATTTGGATGCCTTTTACTTCTTTTTCCTGCTTAATTGTTCTGGCTAGCCCCTCTAGTACTATGTCAAATAGAAGTGGCAAGAGTAGGCATCTTTATCTTTTCCATAATCTTAGAGGAAAAGCTTTCAGCCTTTCAACTTTGAGTGTGATGTTTACCATGGGCTTGTCATATATGGCTTTTATTGTGTCTAATTTATTGAGTGTTTTTATGATGAAAGGGTTGCATTTTGTCAAATCCTTTTTCTACATCGTTTGAGATGATCGCATGATTTTTATTCTTCATTCTGTTAATGTGGTGAATCACATTTATTTATTTGTGCATGTTAAACCATCCTTGCATCCCAGGGAGAAATTCCACGTGATCATGGTGTATGATCCTTTTAATGTGCAACTGAATTCAGTTGACTAGTATTTTGTTGAGAATTTTGGCATCCATGTTCATTAGAAATACTGGTCTGTATTGGAAAAAACTACTTTAAAGTTCATATGGAACCAAAAAAGAGCCTGCATCGCCAAGTCAATCCTAAGTTAAAAGAACAAAGCTGGAGGCATCACGCTACCTGACTTCAAACTCTACTACAAGGCTACAGTAACCAAAACAGCATGGTACTGGTACCAAAACAGAGATATAGATCAATGGAACAGAACAGAGCCCTCAGAAATAATGCCACATATCTACAACCACCTGATCTTTGACAAACCTGACAAAAACAAGCAATGGGGAAAAGATTCCCTATTTAATAAATGGTGCTGGGAAAACTGGCTAGCCATATGTAGAAAGCTGAAACTGGATCCCTTCCTTACACCTTATACAAAAATTAATTCAAGATGGATTAAAGACTTACATGTTAGACCTAAAGCCATAAAAACCTTAGAAGAAAACCTAGGCAATACCATTCAGGACATAGGCATGGGCAAGGACTTCATGTCTAAAACACCAAAAGCAATGGCAACAAAAGCCAAAATTGACAAATGGGATCTAATGAAACTAAAGAGCTTCTGCACAGCAAAAGAAACTACCATCAGAGCGAACAGGCAACCTACAGAATGGGAGAAAATTTTCGCAATCTACTCATCTGACAAAGGGCTAATATCCAGAATCTACAATGAACTCCAACAAATTTACAAGAAAAAAACAAACAACCCCATCAAAAAGTGGGCGAAGGACATGAACAGACACTTCTCAAAAGAAGACATTTATTCAGCCAAAAAACACATGAAAAAATGCTCATCATCACTGGCCATCAGAGAAATGCAAATCAAAACCACAATGAGATACCATCTCACACCAGTTAGAATGGCGATCATTAAAAAGTCAGGAAACAACAGGTGCTGGAAAGAATGTGGAGAAATAGGAACACTTTTACACTGTTGGTGGGACTGTGAACTAGTTCAACCATTGTGGAAGTCAGTGTGGCAATTCCTCAGGGATCTAGAACTAGAAATACCATTTGACCCAGCCATCCCATTACTGCGTATATACCCAAAGGACTATAAATCACGCTGCTATAAAGACACATGAACAAGTATGTTTATTGTGGCACTATTCACAATAGCAAAAACTTGGAACCAACCCAAATGTCCAACAACGATAGACTGGATTAAGAAAATGTGGCACATATACACCATGGAATACTATGCAGCCATAAAAAATGATAAGTTCATGTCCTTTGTAGGGACATGGATGAAACTGGAAACCATCATTCTCAGCAAACTATCACAAGGACAAAAAAACCAAACACCGCATGTTCTCATTCATAGGTGGGAATTGAACAATGAGAACACATGGACACAGGAAGGGGAACATCACACTCTGGGGACCGTTGTGGGGTGGGGGGAGGGGGGAGGGATAGCATTAGGAGATATACCTAATGCTAAATGACAAGTTAATGGGTGCAGCACACCAACATGGCACATGTATACATATGTAACAGACCTGCACATTGTGCACATGTACCCTAAAACTTAAAGTATAATAATAATAAAATTTAAAAAAAAATAGAGACACTTCTCTTTCTAATGAAATGAATGGCACTATGTATATGCCTGACAATTAATTCATGCCCTAATGATGCCAAACAACCATTAAAATGATGTTGCCGGATATTTGATTACCTGGAAAGATGATCAGAATATATTGTAAGATGGGAAAAAAAAAATACTGGTCTGTAATTTTCTTTCTTTTTTTGTAGTACCCTTATCTAACTTAGGAATGAGATAATGCTTGTCTCATAAAACGAGTTTGGAAGTGCTCCTTCCTTTTAAAATGTTTGGGATAGTTTGAGAAGGGTTGTTGTTAATTCTTCCTTAAATTCTTGGTAGCCATGTTTCTGTTTTAAAGAGTATTGGCCCTTAGGATTGGCTTTTTGGAGTTTTAAAGTCCTTGTAATCCTGATATGCCAAGCCACATTACTTAGAAGACTTATTATAATATATTCTCTATAAACTACCAAGGTTGAGGAATGGAATTATCAAAATGTGTGGCTAATGGAAGCTATATGACTTAATAATATGAATCATCTCCTGATAAGAGAACTAAATGCTTTTATTATAAAAACTGTATTAGTATTTAGTCAGTACATTAATATCTGGCAACATTTAAAGATGTACTGTCACTTACTGGGTTGCTCTTTGACCTTTGTCAATTCATTTAACCTTTTTGGGGCTAATTTTCTTCATCTATAAAATGGAAACAAAATCATTTCTAGTTCATAAAGGTTATATTAAGGAATATGTAAAACAGTAAATGTCAAAATATCCTATACATATGTGAGATTATTTTTTGTTATCTTGCTATGGTTGAAGTTTTAGAGTCACAGTTGATAGAATTTCAGATTAATGGAATCATAACAACAGGATTTATTTTAATTGAGATTTTAGGTTAGTGAGGAAAAGGTGGGATCGTAAGCTAATAGATTTCTATACCTGAAGTACCGTTTCCAAAAATATAAGGTTTGCAAATAATTGATTTGGCTTAGAAAATCCACATTGCTCAACCCATAATTACAAGTTTTCATTCATCTTGCTTTAGAAGTCATCCTTTCCACCACAGTGTATTCCATGCTGTGTTTCTGGCAAAGATTTCATGACTCAATTTGGAGACATAGATTTTCTTACTTGAAGATTCACAAAGCCCATTAGTATTTTAAAGATTCTGAGAATCTTAAGAAAGAAACCTGAAATGAATATTTCCCTAACTTACTTGACCATGAAAAATCCTTTTAAAGAGAGCATCTATTAACATTCTTTGGGTCTAATATCCTATACCACCTCAAGTTCATGAGCTCTGGAGGTGGACTGCCCTTGTTCAAATCTCCATTGTGTGACCTTGAGCTTATTACTTAACTCTCTAAACTTCAATATTCTCATCTGTAAAAGGGCAACAAAGATATTTATCTCATAAGGTTGTTAACTAAGCTAATATATCTTTTAACACATGTTGTTTAATGGGATAGTATATGTAAATTATGAAATAACAAATTTTAAGATAGGTAAAACCCTGACTGTGGTGGGAATGGGAGGTAGGAGCAGGCTGGAAGCACTCGTGGGCTAGTGGTCCTCGCTGGCCTTTAACTCCCCAATGAAGGTGACAGCTGGACCTCTTCATAGTGAAGATTCCCCTTACTGTGAAGCATGGGTCCTTATTCTTCCCCAAGGCAGCCGTATTCCCTCCTGTTCTTAGTCTCTGAACTTAGGGTCACCTATTCAATTGTGTACATGGGCCAGGCAGGGGATGCAAACATGTTAAGGCGCCCAGGGTAAAGGGCAGGGGGAAGTGGTGTGGGCATGGGCAGCAGGGCATTGCCAGCCTGTCCTGCACAGGACCACGCTGTGGCCCCCTGGAAGCCCAAGGCCAATCTGCCTTGACTTTTATTTTTTAAAAGATAAGTTAGAAATCTGGAAGATGTTAACTTTCCTGATTTTCCTGTAGACAAATTGTTCAGATTAAAACACAAAGCAGCACACTGGCTCATGAGCTGTCAGTTTTGCAGTGTCTGCATATAAAAGCAAAGTCCTAGGGACCTCTGCTAATGGGCTCCTGGGCACTCCCCTCTCCCTCCCCTGCCAGCTTGCTCACCTTTTAGCTTTGCTCTGACCTCTGCCCTTTCCCCTTGCTAAGAAGAAAGAAAACCCATGTCTTCTGTTCAACCAATGGGTTCCATTAGTTCTGACTACTGGGCCTCTGTTTCCATCACAGGACTCTTTCTCCAAGTGTTTCCTACCCAGTAATCACCATTTATTTGATTGTCCACCAAGCTCCAGACTTGCTAGGTTCTTTCGGGTGCAATTCTCTGTGGGGATCCAGCTGCCTCATCTGTGATCCCCAGGCAACCTGACATTACAGCCTTCAGTTCTGTTTTCATCCCAAGGCCACACCTGCCTGTTTCTCTATGCCTTTCTCTATATTCACATCATCGCCATAGGCAATCAGCTCTTTGGGACCATTTTCCAGGAATTAATACTCTATGAAAGGGAACTTTTCCTGATAGTCTTTCTTGACAGTTTTAGGTTAGTCTTTACTATGTTGCTCCTTTAGACTTAAACAAACAACTGGCCCTCCAAGTCCCAGCTCCACGGTGATGGGTGTGTTTCTCCGCTTCTCAAGGAACTGCATCTCTGATATCGTTATAATCCCAAGGCCTGTCACACAGCCTGGTCTGCAGGGAGGGGGTGGTAAAAAGCCAAGTAGCTGGAGCCAGCTCCCCCCACCCAGGTCCCCCAGCTCCAGTTTGGCTGCTTCCTAACTTAACCCTGGGCAAGTTTCTTAGCCTCGCTGTGCCTCAGTCTCCTCAGCTCTGATGAGGGGTTGGTGTGAGGATTAACAGAAAGCCCCAAGACAGCACTTGGCAGGTAGCTAGAGCTACCCTTAGTGGTAAAATTAGTATTCATGTGGCAGGATTGCAGTACATGCTTATCAGAGGACAGAGCTCCGAATACTAGTTTGTCTTTGGCAGTAATCTTCTCTTGAACGATACAAGAATCATCTTTTATTTTGGAGACAGCAAGAACCGCGTAGCTTCACTTGGCAGTGTCATGTTTTTCAGAGCCTGCTCGATTTGTACACTGAGTGCGGCTACTTCTGCAGATGTGCCATAATGCAGCAGGCTCACTGCAGTGATTCCTTAAGTGTTAGATGAAGCACGTTGCAATCTGCTGAATCTGGGAACGCCAATGGTATCCTGCTAAGAGGCTGGATGCTGAGACTGGACAGAGATAAGTGGCAAAATATTTTATGAAAATAAATGCTGAATATATAAACTTTTGGTAAATCATTTCCAAGTAGATACTATATTTTTCTCTATTTTATGGATAATTATGTGTCAACTAGCTTTTTGTTCATAGATGCAGAGCACATTAAAAACCTGAATATTCCATACATGTAAATGAGCTGCTATATCCTAGTGATTAGAGGCATAAACTTGGATGCCGAGCAGAGAGCGTTTCCATCCCCAGCTCCATTCTGCATAGCTATGTGACTGCACAGTCACTTAACTTCAAGTTACAGTTTCTCCATCTATGAATTGGGAAACCAGTATAGTACTTAACTCCTAAGGTGGTTTTTGAAGATTATATATCAAAATGTATGTAAGGTCCTCAGTTCAGTACCTGGCATACTGTAAGTGCTCAGTAATGTTAGATAATATATTTAAAGTTGATGGTGCTACTGGACTGGATCTCAGTGCAGGCAAATGTGAGAGTGAAGAATGATTCATAGATGACCAGCAGCATTTTATAGAGTGAAAAAAACACATTGTATGAGGCTCGAGCAGTGCTTCCCCATGCTCCGTATGTGTCCAGGTTCTCTGTGGAGCTTTCAGAGGAGACTGATGCCCGGTGCTATTCCTGGAGATGTAGATTCACTTGAAAAGAGTCTCAGGTACCCACCCAGCCCGGTTGAGAGCCCTTTGGCTCCAGCACAGTGCTCCACAGTTACTGAGGTCACAGCTACCAGCTGTTCCTTGGTGTCATCTAGCACAGAGGTGTTCACTGTTTGAGAAGAGACAGGCTGGGGATCTGAACATTCATTCAGATCCATCCCCATCTCTGAGAAAAAGATTCCAACATAGCATCTGTTGATATGGATTTGAGTAGGAAATGGGCCTCATGCACTATTCACATTCATCTTTTACCCCTCAATCCCATATGTGCAGTCCTCATCCCAGTAGACTTTATATTAGTCAGTGGAAGGACAGCTTTGTACATTGTAATGAAGCTGGCCAGCACTTTAATTTTTTGAGGGAAGAGGTATTTTGCTCCATTTTTGCATTTGGCCTATCATGTCTTATAAACATTTCTAGGCTTTTCTCTTTCTCTAAATTTCAAACTCCTCTTGAAGAATACCTATGTCTTACTTATTTTAAATTTCCTAACAGCTCATTGCTTTGCACATTGCAAGCTTAGAGTGAAATTCCTGGGAAATGGATTAACCATGAGAAATTACTAAGCAGTCATGGAGATGAGCTGTGAAAACGTATTCTGGTGATACGGTGTAAATTATCCATATCAATCACACATAAAAAACATGTAGATTTAAGAAAATAAGGCCGGGCAGGTGGCTCACGCCTGTAATCCCAGCACTTTGGGAGGCCGAGGCAGGCAGATCACGAGATCAGGAGATCGAGATCATCCTGTCTAACATGGTGAAACCACATCTCTACTAAAAATACAAAAAATTAACTGGGCGTGGTAGCAGGCGCCTGTAGTCCCAGCTACTCAGGAGGCTGAGGCAGGAGAATGGCGTGAACCTGGGAGGTGTAGCTTGGAGTGAGCCGAGATCACGCCACTGTACTCCAGCCTGGGCGATAGAGCGAGACTCTGTCTCAAAAATAAATAAATAAATAAAATAAGTGCAACATTACACTTTCACAATAAACCCAGACTTCTGTTTATTGGACCTTTGGGAATGGATGAGGGACTCTTTTGGTGTTAATGCCATTGAGTCTTGGATAAGAAAACCCTACCTTTTCATCTTTTATGACAAAGTTATAAATTAATTTCCTGGAACTTAGAGAAAATAATACCATACTTAAATGAAGTTTAGGTATCTGAAAGTCACACTAAGGCCAAGAAACAGCAGGAACAAGGGAAAACACTAGAACCAAGTGGTCCTAGATGAGGTGGTCAGTTTTCTGTATTTGAGAGTTGATTGAATATGAGAAGAAATTTTATGTCCCCTCCACAACTTACATCAGCTTCTCTCAGCACAGTTGTGACCACTCTGTTGGATTCTTTGGGGAGGATCACAGAAAAACAAGACGTGACTTTTCTGCTCTCACGAGGTTTGCCTCTGGCCTGAATGCCTCCTCCAGATATAGGCAATCCAGGTGTGTGCTGGCATGTCCACTCGGATGACCTGTTGTGTTTCACATTCGACATACTAAACCTCATTCATCTAAACCATGGCATGTGGAGCTTGGAGGAAACTTAGCTTTACCTCCTAGGGTTTGCTGATGGAATATTGTTGCCGGACTCATTTCTTCTTGCCCTGAGGATCCTTTCCCGTTCCACTCCTGCCATTATACAATCATCAATTCACACAGCCCCTCACTGTGATCCTCCCAACAGATCATGATTGCACTTTGGATTCCTATAGTACTATGTTTGTACTTCATTCCTTAACTTAGTGTAACCAATGTTTAAATTAAATATTTAAATGTATTTAACCCATACTTACTTCCCCATCACTTTGCGAATGTCTTGTGGAAAAAGAGTATCTTACTAATCTTGTGTGCCTTTCATGTTTCTTTGCACATAGTGTACTATAAATATTTGTTGAATGAATGAGTGAAGAGAAAAGGAAGACTGTCTAAGATGGGTCAATTGATGCCAAAGTATTTGCAGACAATACATTTTGTAGATGCTCATATTTTTATATCGCTGCTCTAGCCTTTTAAAATATGCCATATTTGGCCGGGCGTGGTGGCTCACGCCTGTAATCCCAGCACTTTGGGAGGCCAAGCTGGGAAGACTGCTTGAGCTCAGGAGTTTGAGACCAGCCTGGGCAACATGGAAAAACTCCATCTCTAAAAAAAAAAAAAAAATTAGCCAGGCATACTGGTGTATGCTTGTAGTCCCAGCTACTTGGAAGACTGAGGTCAGGGAATCACTTGAGCCCAGGAGGTTGAAGCTGCAGTGAGCCATGATCACACCACTGTACTCCAGCTTGTGTGACAGAGTGAGACGTTATCTCCAAAAAAAACAGAAAAAAAAAAAAAAAAAAAAAAAAAAAAAAACAAGAAAAAACAATCCTGCCAGATTTACTTTGATTGGTTCAAATCTTTAGAGACACAGCCTCTACTATCACTTGTAATATTTTAAATCCCTTGAAAACAGTGGTGTGATCTTACAGTGGAAAATTCACCAACCTGCCAACCCTGAAATAGACTGAGCCTCTACGCCAGACTCTTTCTTTGTTTATTGGATTTATCTAGTGCCTTTGATTTAGAGCTGAGAGCACATATGCTAGTCACCTGGAGAGATCCCGTATTTCAAAACAACCGATAGCCAATAAGAATGGGGAAGACAGCAGACACTGTCTCTGATGTTGACATATCCTGCTTTGTCTCCCCTCGCTTTCCCTTAGCAAAGAAATATTTCATATTCACAGCACAGTCAGTACTCCTTGCCTGCCACCAGGCCCGGAGCGAGAAAAGCCCAGAAAGGAGGACCTAGCAGGTACCCAGGCCTCTCGAAGTCACAGCTGGTGGCGTGAGGGACCAACCATCCATCACACCAGACCACACAGCGTCTGGTCTCAGCCTGCTCATGGCCCAGCCTCTTAAGGCGATCGGCTCTTCTCCTCTCTCTGCCTCATCTCACAAATCTTCCCTCTGGCCCTCACCCTCCTCCCATCTCTGCTTTCTGCCTTATCTCCTTGTCACAGTACTAGAAAGGGCGAGCCGACCAAAGCCGTCCTGAGAACTGCCGTGGTTCTGGTCCATTAGCAGCACACAGAACAAGTGAGGAGGGGTGGGCAGAACAGACAGGATCCTGCCAACTGTGAGTGAGTAACAAGCGTATCCATGCAAGGTTTTCCAGCTCACGTGAAGCCGTGTCTCTTGGAAGGTTACCCCTATGGCTCCTCCAGGAAGGAACTGCACCTCCCGCCTCTCAGCCTCTGCTGGCACCTTTCCAAACACAGAGGTGCTCTGCCGTACCCAGCAGACAGTTATCTTCACAGTGCAGGGACAAAGTGATACCTGTAAGAGAAGGTGAAGCAGAGAAAGCTAGAGAAAATGTTGCAGAGAAACCCTTCCAACTGAAATGATGAGCCAGTAGTCGTCTTTTTATGCCCATCCTCTTCCACCTCCCTCTCCACAAAAATAAATAAATTAAAGAAATTCAGCACCTGTGGAAAACTCTGCCAAGAGGAAATTACCTCCTGTGTGGTTTGTCAGATTCATGTTCTTCACACTTTCCATGGGAACAAAGGCTGTCTACATATTTCCTGTCAAGTGAAGACAATGGTGAGGCTCTGAAAACCATTTTGAATCCTTGGGTTATCTGGGGAGGAAGTTATTGAAAAAAAAATAGCCTGTAGGAAAATGTTTGATTCCATTTTATTCAGGCTCGGGATAAATTTCTTATGGCATTTCAGGGCAGTGGAGAAGTCACGGGGACAGGAGAACAGTGGGTGAGTCCTGTGTCAATCAGAGTGCAGGGCTGTGTTTTCTGGCTATTGCCATGTAACAAACTGTTTCAAAACTTTGTGACATAAAGCACTGATTTTATTATGCTCATGTGTCCTTGTCTCCATTCTGTGATGCTGGGGCCTTGTCACTGGCTGTCGGCTGGGACGTGCTGGGGTGATGGCTGGAGAACATTTGACCTCTCCAAGCGGCCTGGCCTTCCTCACTGCAGTGGCCTCTGAATTGTTAGCTTCCTTACATTACAGCAAGTGTGCGAGTCGGCAGGTGGAAGCTCTGCTGTCTTTGTCACCTAGCCTCAGAAGTCACATAGCATCACTTCCGCTGCCCTCTCCTGGTGGGAACAGTCATAAAAGCCCACCCATTTTCAAGGCAAGAGGACATAGCCTGCGCCTCTCAAAGGGAGGATTGTCAAAGCCGCACTGGAAGATCACGTAGGTTGGAAGATAGCATGGCTGCTGTATTTGAGAGATTGTGCTGTGCTCTATGTAGAGGTTTCTGTAGGAAATAAACGAGTTGAGTTCTCTGGTGAAAACACATCTGAAAACGTGTTAATAGGAATATAGCTAATCCTTAGCATTTCTTGTAGTAGCTAAGGTCAGTGTACCTGAGCAGTAGTCTTGATGCTAAGCTAACAACAGGTAGCCAAAAGGAGTGTTTTCTAGCTATTTGGAAATTGAAATTCAACCAAAAAAGCTACTGCCGCTCTGAATCAGTTACATCATGATACCTTAGATCTAAGCTACCTTTTTTCCTGAATAATAGAAGGTTACATTGATTAGAAATTATGGGAAAAGTAGATTCCTTCATATAAAAATTGATTAAAGTTTGATTCTATTCTCTGTTAAAGTAAGAAGCTTTTTAAATAATTGAGTTCTTTGAAAGAATTTTTATATTTTATATTTTTTTACCTATTTAGCCATGATAAATAGAATCAGATAAGAGACCAAGTGTGAATATTCCCCACAACCTTCAACCAGGTGTACGTATGTATTTCTCTCTATGTTCTACAGGACTCAGCAATGTGTAGTGCTTATGAGTTCTCATTTGACAGAGGAGGACTCCTGTGTGGAATGCCATGTAATGGCCAGGTGCGGTGGCTTATCCCTATAATCCCAGCCCTTTGGAGGCCTAGGCAGGAGGATCGCTTCAGGCCAGGAGTATGAGACAAGCCTGGCAACATAGTGAGACGCCCCCACACACACATACCACTACAAAAAAAAAAAAAATTAGCCAGACTTGGTGGCACATGTCTGTAGTCCTGGTCACTGGGGAGGCTGAGGTGTGAGGATCATCTGAGCCCTGGAAAAGTTCGAGTCCTCAGTGAGCTATGATCACACCATTGCACTACAGCCTGGGTGATAGAGCAAGACCCCATCTCTAAAAGAAAAAAACAGATATATATATAAGTGCCATGTAATCATTTACACTTTTATTTCTTGTCTCAATTCTGGTTTTTTTTCTTGAGCAATTTCTTCTTTTCATTCTCATGAAAGTTAAGGTGATGATATTTTATAGATATAGGAATATCTATAAAGATACAAGGGAAATGATTAACAATTATTATCTACTGAGGACTGGAATTGGGGGTATTGTCTACTTTGCAGTTCATATGCATACAATCACCCACAAACTGTGTATCCACGTAGCCTTCGCTGCCATTTGTCCTGAGCCTTTTCAAGAAGCTCAAATCCTAGAATGATTGAAACATCTTAGATCCCAAAGTGACTTAAGAACCATGCTAGGAATTAATCCTGCTTCCTAGAAAGTTACACAACAGCAGCATTTGTGGCAGTGCCACAGCAAGCCGGGGACTGGCCCACGGGCGGTACGCTGTCATTCCCAGTGCTCTCTCTGCCTTCCAGAGTAACAGGAATTTGCCTCACGTCTGTGACTCATTTGCTGGAGCTGTTAAGTGATGATGGTTTAAAATCTCAGGGAAGTAAAGCCACCACTTACTGAGCACTTCCTGTGTGCCGTGCACTCAGTTGTAAACACATGATTTTATTTCATCTTGACGATAATCCTTTAAAAGAGCTTTTATTATCCCAATTTTCCAGATGAGGAAATTGAAGTTCTGGGAGGATGGGTAACTTGTAGAAGGTCACACCGTATGTGAGTAATGGACCCAGCCTCTCCACCTACTCTCAGCCAATTATAGAGATTAAATTAGAAGCAGCTCTTCCTTTCTTGGAAAAGTAAACCTAATGGGAACCTCAGAAGCCATAAAGGAAAAGAGTGATTAATTTAGCCACATAAAAATCGAAGGCTTCTGCTCAAAAAACTGCACCAAAAACTTGGATCAGGGATGTATAACAAACTAGTGGGGTGGGGAAGGAGACTGCCAAGCTGTGATAAAAGGCCAATTTTTAAAACATAACAAAGAACTTTTTAACAGTCAGTAAGCACGAGACATACAGACTGCTGTGAACATGGGACGGGATGCTCAGCTTCACTCGTGATTAGAGAAATACAAATTATTTGCTGCAAATTACATTTTCAGCTGTAGGTTTGACAAGGATTTTAGAAGTGGATAATGTTAAGTGCCGTCAAGCGTGCAGGACAACAGGTACCCTCCATCTCCATTATCTGTGGACATGCAAATCGGTACAATTCTATATAAAAACTGAAAATACACATACTCTTTGACTCAGCATTTGTTTATTCCACAAATATTTTAGTATAGGTATTCAAAGATATGGGTACTGTTCTATTCATTGCCATGCCAGAAACTTCATCAATAGATGACTGATTAAATAAATTGTAGAATGTTTATACTACCAAACACTAGTAGCCATTATTATTTTTTTTTACTTGAATCTTGTTTTTTATTTTAGCACTTTATACAGCTTGTCTCATTAAGTGTCACCTAGCTAAGATTTTTTTTATAGGGCAAGGCACATATATTTTGTTTTGTTTCATTTTTGCTCTGGATCTCATGTGTAGCAAGTAGAGATATGAAATTAAATATTCCATAATAGGTATGCCCCCTAAGTAGCCATTATAAAGTGTTCTATACACCATTAAGTAAAGAAGACAAAGATATATTGAAAGAACTAAGGTATACAATATTCTATAAATTATTCCATTTTTTGTTTGTATAAACATGTAGACTTTTGTGCATAGGAAATATCTACAAAGATACAAGGGAAATCATTAACAATTATTATCTACTGAGGACTGGAATTGGGGGTATTGTCTACTTTGCAGTTCATATGCATACAATTTAAATTTTTTACTATGAACATGTATCATCTTTTATAATAAAATGCTAATTTCTAAAAATACAGTGTAGAGGACATTCATTTATTAGGGCGCTATTTGCAGGAAGCAGCATAAGTAAATCATCCCATGTTGACAGATAGAACTTATCCAACCGTAGTGAACAGATATCAATGACTTAATAAGCAGTAAAGATAATAAAAAATTTAGCAAAACCAACTAGAACCTCTTGGGAGTGAGTTTCTCTAGCTAGATGAGTTCTTCAGCCTAGCAGAAATAGGAGAAAATAGTTTTTTTGGAAAAATACTTTCTGAAATCTTATCCAATTCCCTGTATATGTTAATACCTTTTTTTTCTATTTACTGAAGTGACACATTCATTGTCAAAATCTGGAAAATACCAGTAAACTCACATGGGCTTTATTTTTAACAGGCTACAAATTTAAATACAGATAACAATTGCAAGATTATGTCTAAGCATAGAGAGGAAATTGATGGCTGAACTGATGATTGATTAGAATGACTTTTGTCTTTTTAAAACTGAGTTATATAAGAGGTAAAGGAAACAGACTGATGGCTGGAGAATTTGACAACGTATAAGAGAATCTGAGAATTCTTTTGAAAAATACTCAAATTTCCAGCCAAGATAGAGTCACATCCACCATTGAAGGGAATCTTAAACCATCATTGCATTAAACTTTGGAGATGAAAGTCTTCTTACTCCTTCATTTTACAAAGAAAAATCGGGGTCTATTTTTTTCATTAATTCAATTTTAAAATAACAAGTATCCAATGCAATACTCTTTCCACTTCCTGATCCTGTCTGATGCAAGAAGAATATTTTTCTAGGACATTGCCCATTATTCACTTGAGGAATAAGTATGGCTTTCAACAAACAAAGGCAAAATCATGAGATATAACTAAAATTGATGATTCACCTTTGAAGTAGTTTCAGGTCATTATTTTAATACCTTGTTCACACAGAACCTGTTTTACATTCATTTGCAGACTTCAAATAACTCATTTCAGGGTGAAGTTTAGATGAGTGACGTTAGAGCCCTCTGAACTCTCTTTGGTTTGGCATGAAGTGAGAGGTCTGAAGAGAATATCAAGCTAAATGCTCAACTTAAAAGCAACACTTGTTTTTTTAATTTAAAAAATCCAATATTATTTCAATTTTCTTAACGACAGATTGTGTCATGCTCTTTAGTTAGAACTCAATGTAGAAAATGGAGCATGGGTTGAAGTAGACAGCAGAAGTGAAAGCCAAATAAAGATGTCCAATTCTCACTCGCTGTGATATGGGAGGACAAGGGAAGAAAAGGTAAAGCACCGCAGCCAACAGCACTGATTGAGGAAATATCTTACTCGCAAGGTTTATTAGGCCATTCTTGCATTGCTATAAAGAAATACCTGAGACTAAATAATTTATAAAGAAAGAGGTTTAATTAGCTCTTAGTTCTGCAGGCTGTACAGGAAGCATGATGCTGGCATATGCTCGGCTTCTAGGGAGGCCTCAGGAAGCTTACAATCATGGTGGAAGGCAGAGGGGCTGCAGGCACGTCACATGGTGAAAGCAGGAGCAAGTGAGAGAGAGTAGGGGGAGGGAGGTGCCACACACACCAGAACTCATGAGAACTCACTGTCCCAAAAACAGCACTGCGCCATGACGGATCCACCCCCATGAGGCAAACACCTCCCACCGGGCCCCACCTCCAGCAGTGGGGATTATAATTCCGCATGAGATTTGGGCAGGGACAAGTATCCAAACTGTATCACAAGGAAAACTTCAGGAGCTGAGGCAACACTTCTAACATGTGGGGTCTTGCCAAGTTTCGCCAGTGGTCCTGGAGGTTAGGTGAGTTACTAGGATCAAGATCCTCATGCAATATCCCCCATATAAATGGAATCTGGGCAGTCCTCCAGCAGGCTCACCAGGCCTCAGATCACCTCTGCCAGGTTCCTGGAACTGGCCAACAGGGTGTGGGTCCAGCTGATTAGTGTAACAGTCAGGGTCAGCCAGGCTTGTGTTGCAGTAACAAATCACCTGAGAATCTCTGTGAATTTACCCAACAGAAGTGTGTTTCTCACTCTGGCCATGTGTGGGTGGGGTGCCCTCTGCATCATTCTCACACACAGCTGGTCTGTGGGGGATCTATTCTCTCGGTTGTTCCTGGGGCTGCTGTGCTGCGGGGAACGAAGCCACACCACCTGCGTGCCCTGCCAACTGCTAAGGGGCGGGCACAGGCAATTCGCCCATGTGCCTGGAAGCAGAGGGAAGGCACTGTACTGTGCAGGTAACTCAGACTGCCGGGAAGGACTGTATATCAAAGTAGACTACAGTTCACAGGGTCTTTGGGATCCTGGTAGGGCCTTTTACAAGCCCACCCCATAGCAACGGCCCCCTGTAGAGTGGCGTTGAATGTGATAGGGTTACTTCTCCACAGGGAGCCTGCTACCAGGATCATTCAGACTTCTCCAAGCCCATCTTCTCATTAACTTTTTTAATGGTCTCCCACCTCATTCCTTCCCCTTTAAGTCTACTTCTGCTAAGGGATGCTTGATTCCTCTTTGCAGAGTTCAGCTTTGGTTACATCACTCCCTCACACAGAAATGTTTGGAGGTTTCCCATTCTCTACAGTTTTGCAACTCAAACTTGTCCATAGACCAGCAGTATCAACATCAGCTGGGGTCTTGCTAAAATGCAACCTCTCAGGCCCCACCCCAGAACTGCAGAATCAGAGTCTGCATCTTAACAGGATCACAGGAGATTTCTTTTCTTCTGTTTTCTTTTCTTTTTTGATGGAGTCTCACTCTCTCACCCAGGCTGGAGTGCAGTGGTGCAATCTTGGCTCACTATAACCCCTGCCTGCCAGGTTCAAGCAATTCTCCTGCCTCAGCCTCCTGAGTAGCTGAGAGTACAGGTGCACGTTACCATGCCCGGCTAATTTTTTGTATTTTTAATAGAGACAAGGTTTCACGTGCTGGCCAGGCTGGTCAAGATTTCAAATATTAAAGTTTGAAAAGCATGTATGCCTAGTATTGGGTCTCAAATTTGGCAGCACAGTTGAATTATCTGGAAAGCTTTAAAAACTGCTAATTCCCACTTTCCAGGTCTGGAACGGGACCTTGCACCGAGATCTTTTAAAGCTCTCAGGTGACTGTCGTGGGTGAGAATTTGAGAACTCTGGAGTTAGGGAACTCAGGTGACACTCCCAACCACCCATATTGTGGCTCCCAAACCTTCCCTGTGCCATCTTTCACTCTAACTATATCAGGCTGACCTCCAGTTTCCGAACACCCTATGCTTTTATATAATGTGTTTTAGCCTATTACCAGAAGTCACCAGACATTGTACATGCCTTCTTCTCATGACTGGAGAGGGTCTAGGATGACTGCATATAAATTTATCATTGAAAATGCCATGGCTACAAGGCACAGAGACATAAATACATGAATTTACTCAATTGTACATTTAGTTTTCCTGATTAATAAAATGTAAGACCTGATTCCTCCAGATGACAGCTTACTATGGTACTACATATCTTTTTTTGTTTTAGTCTTATTGAACATCAAAAATATGAGGGTAATTGGAAGAATATGCTTGTTTCATTGATTTAACATTGGGGGTTATAAACTGAGGAGCTTTTAAAAACATACACAGTGCAGTAGCAGTAGCAACTGCTTTTCCTTTTTTTGTTTTTTTTTTCATTTTGTTTTGTTTTGTTTTTGTTTTTTGAGATGAAGTCTTGCTCTGTTGCCCAGGCTGGAGTGCAATGGCGCAATCTCAGCTCACTGCAACCTCCACCTCCCGGGTTCTCCTGCCTCAGCCTCTCGAGTAGCTGGAATTACAGGCACGCGCCACCATGCCCAGCTAATTTTTGTATTTTTAGTAGAGACGGTGTTTCACCATGTTGGCCAGACTGATCTTGAACTCCTGACCTCGTGATCCACCCCCCTCTGCCTCCCAAAGTGCTGGGATTATAGGCGTGAGCCACCGTGCCTGGCTGCAACTACTTTTCATTACTCTCACTGCTTCACCTCCACTTGTGATCAGTGACGCATGTTTGAGAGACACCTGGCTTTGGAGACAGAAATCAGGATCCTTGACCTCTTTATTACCTTTCCTAATGGAATGAGGTTGCACACATGGGCCGCGCTCTGCTGCACACATGGGCCGCGCTTTGCTGCGCACCGGCAGTTCACAGAGCCCCGTAGTTTTGGGGAGCACTCCTCTGTCACTACAGTGCCTATTGTAAAACCTTAACCACGGGATTATTTTTTCCAAAAGACCTCAGATAAATACTTACTTGATGTTTTTATTCACACAAGGTGTTAATTTCTAACAAGACTTTTATGAGCACAGCAAACAGCAGTTGCTTTTTCATGTGAACATTAAGTAAGACTCAAGGTATGAAAAGCCTGCTGCAAAGGATCCAAAAGGATCTGTGGGATTTGGTGGGCTGCAGCAGACAAATGGCCTGCCAGTCTGTGACAAGTGTGCAGTCACCGTGGGCGCCACCCTTGGGAGGCACAGGATCCACTAAGTCGTCGGGATTACCGGGCTCTGTCCGTAGCAGCTCCTGGACAGTTAGGGCCCTGTATGCACATCTCTGCAAAGGCTGTTGGTCAAACACATGAAAAGCCGGTATTAGTGGTGTCTGCCTGAGCCACCGTAAATCACCTCTCCCTCTGGGCTGCCACTGCATTGCCTGTGCACAGCCTGGAGGCATGGGGCGTGTGTCACTGGGGGAAGCATGCAGTTCAGGAGTCCTGTTATGTCCACATGAATGTGAATATGAAAGCATGCCCTGGCGCCTCTGTGCTGGGCTATTATTGGGACCAAGGACTCACACACAACAGTGATGTCATCCAGATGCACAATAGAAGATTGTACTGAAACGTCAGAAGCCAGATACCAGGTTTTCTCTCACAAACGGTTGTTTTAAGTGCCGATATCACGGCTTGACAATGTTAGTGCTGGCAGGACTTTTGTTTTTCATTATCCCCATCTTCATCCTTAAACGAACTGTAGAGATGCAGAGAAATAGTCATTAGAATGAACTAAATTAAAAGCAGGAAGCGGTTAACTTTATGTCGACTCTAAGATAATGTTAGTAAATAAAAAGGCTAATTGGAATTCTCTGTATTCTGATAAGAACTTTTTATTAGTAAGTTATTTGTGCTTTAATGGGCTGCTTGTGGCATGTGGTTGAGTTGTGATGCTTTCCATTACTCATTTTTATTAACACATACAGTAAATATTAAAATAGATCTTGGGAGTGATAACATAGGTAGAAAATGATGGGTGGCTTGTCAGATACAAAATACAGCAGCATACTTACAGATGTGTTCTCATGCCATTTTCAAATTTATATTGGCTATTTTTAAACTATGTCAAGCCTTTCTCTGACTTCTGTTTTACTGTACTGCTGTTCTTGACATTCCCATCCCGCAGCCCACCAGATTGAAATTTTGGTGCAGCTTATAAAAGGTATCCCCAAAGCTAGGACTTTGACAGCCAGTGATATGTATCTTTTTTAAATGTTTCATTCAGGGTAAGCAAATGAGCAACAGCAAGGGAAAATCACATTTTAGTATTTTTCTCCCTGTTAAAGATCGTTTTGTGCTTTTTAACTAGGATACCAGAAAGCAAAGTATTTCAGTATTCCTTTTAGCAAACTACATATACTCAACCAGATTTCTAGTAGCATTTTTCTTCAATGTTTAAAAAAGTGAACTTTTTAAACTTTTACTTTCTATTCTTCTTATCCTTCTGTGATATGTGTACTTTTTGCCCTGTTTAGAATAGATAAAATATAGCTTTAATTTTTCTAAAAACATTAAAATGTTTTTCTAATGGTCTGTAATCTGTAATGTTTCTAGAATTTGGTAGAAAGTCAATTCACTAATTTAATGGATTAGTGTAGGTCAGTTCTTACTGTAAACTTTAAAAGGTATAAGAGCTCCAGGCTAGGTTGGAACTTGTCCCTAAGTCATATTTAGGGAGTTTCTGTTTTATTTTGTAAAAACATTCATCTCACATTTCCTAAAAATGAAATAAGGCAGCAAAATAAAACTCATCCAAGGACTCTGGTTACTTGGGTTTTATAGCTAACTAAGACTTTATTTTGGCTTTCCTTTCCCTTTCATGTTCTGACATGTCCCCAAACGTTTAGGACTAAGAGAATGAGAGGGGAGGCCCAGGCTGGAGAGCTCCTGGACAGGGTCTTGGGGGGGACTTGTCTTTCCTGTACCCCCTGGGATGTCACTGTGTTCCCCCTTAGGGACACCAGGAAATTTCATATGAAGGGACTTTGGTGCACCTCCCACAGGCACTGCTTTGGTTTTATGAATATCGGCTTTTCGGTGTTATGGGATCCTTCTGCTTCAAAGTGAAACTAGTTCTGAAATTTTCAAGTTCAAAAACTTCCATAGGCAAAACTTTTCATGGAAATAAAATATTTTTTTATCCTCATTAAGTAAAATTCAGACATTTGTCAAAAGCAAATATAGCTCTCAAGCCTTGTGGATTATACATTTTTGGTTCCAAAGAATGAGGAACCTCTGGTAGCCCCAGGAATGGGAGATTTTCACACTGTTGTGATTCTGAAGTCACCAACTTAACAACTAGAACCAAACAAAATCAGTGCTGTTCAGTGCCTTCTGACTGTCTGCTTACTCTCCGCTGAGTGCTGAAAAGCCCCAGCCGTGTGTTGCTTAAGGTCCAGTACATTACTGTAGAAAATAAGGTTTGTGGGTTCCTAGTGGTCTCTGTGGACTAACTAGTGGATCTGCTGGCAGCTTGGTAATTTTAGAGGAAATATGAAGTATAAGATCAATTGGAGGCTCACCGAGCCTGGCTGGCAGGTGCTACTTACCCTGCCTGGGAGTCCTGACAGTAGCCCAGGAAGGTTCTTTTAAACTCGTGACTGTATCGACTATTGGGTTATCTGCAAGGAAGAATATATGTAGCTTTTGAAGGAGGCCTTTGGCTGCTACCCCAAGCAAGCCAGCTGCGAATCACTGGCCACGTTTTAACTTTCCGTGTTGTTGCTCCTTGTGTTTGGACTGAGAAATGCATTCAGCAACTCCTCCTTCTATTAATCCTATTGTTACATCTCCAGCCTTGAGATTTGCCAAATGTTGCTCAATGAAACACTCAGAACAGCATTTAGACAAGGCTTTGTGAGACTTTGATGCGGTCTGAGAAATTACGATCTTTCCATCTGTAGATGGGGCTCCTGTTGTTTCCATGTCACAGTCAGCGGAGCTGTGATAGAGTCTGAGCAGCAGCAGCTCAGCTTTCTCCAGCGCACCTTGATGAACCAAAATGTTTTGTTTTTGTTTTAGCAGAGGCATGATCAGCACAGAACCTGTAAGCACTTGCTTGTTCTCACTCACTTCTATTCCGTATGTGCTTTTCCTGCATTCCTTTATTAGAGACCTGTTGGATATCATCATCTTGTTGCCATATTTGCTGAAAGGAATGAATGTGTCCGTGCAGTTTCCCGTTGATCCCTGTCTGGAGTTAGCAGCATGGACCTACCCCAAGCTGTGCTGGCGATGCAGGTTTCACTCATAAAAACAACTTCTCATTACCAGTTGAGGACCAGCCATTATTCCAATATTACATGGATTTGAAAAACAAATTCAGCACCTGAGAATGAAGTGGCACCAGGACCTTTCACAAGCTGCTAAGCATCTGAAAACCTTGATGCTAGTTCAGGCGTCACCACTTAGGAACACATGGCCTAAGGGGAGGCATAGACGATTGCAACTGGATCAGAGATAATGTAGATAATTCCTTACAGCCCAGGCCCACAGACTTGCTCACAGTCACTCAGAATACCCTGGAGGAAAGCCAAAACTAGAGCCCAAGTCTGTGGTCTAGTTTAGGTCTCCAGGCAGCATCGGGCTCCCTCTCGTTTCACATTTTCCAACACTCATGTCCTTGTGAGTGGAGCATGAATAATACTTTTTCTGCCTCCCCAGGAGGGGAAGGGCAAATCAGAGTGCACATGCCAGTCTACTTTGAAAACCCTGAAGCCCTACACTGCCAATGTAGAGCAGCCACGTCCTTCCGTCCGTGTGTCCATCCCCTGGTGCACATCTCGCAGGGCCCCTGGGTAGCCTCGGGGCCCCAGACAGGATGAATCTCAGGCCCTGCCATCAGGGGACTCACAGTCCAAAACAGAAGGCAGGAGTTGGACAAGCAGTGGGGTGCAGCCGCAGGAGCCCAGGGAAGAAAGCCTTGGCTACTAATTCCTTACGGCTGTGGCAAATATCATGGGATCTTAGGGACTGCCTCACAGGGAATGTGCCATTGGAACTGAACCTTGGAGAATAAGCAAGAATTCCCCCAGGTGGAGCAGGTCAGGGGCTGTTGTGGGTAGAATGAAAACATGTGGGCCTCAAAGTCATGGTGTGATTGTAGAACAGTGAACTCTCTGGGTGGTAGAAGGGCCGGGTAGCAGACCTTTGAACCAACATTGTCCTGGAGGTAATGACCAGTTTTTGAAGAAAATAGCAGCTTAATTTTATGAGAAATTTTCATTGCTTAGATTTGCCGGGGAGATGGGATTTCCTTATGGGTTGAGCCTAAATATTGCATTGGAAGGATTTTTCTCTTTTCTTTGTTTTGGCCTCGTTCCACTCTCTTATCAGGATGTGAGATCCAAGGGGACCTGCCACTGGCCAGCTCACACCATTACTCAGGAAGTCCTATGTGGTCAGTGAGCTCCAGTTTGTCCTGTGCTCCCCTAGGCGGTGGGAGTCCACAGCTATGGCCCCAGGTGGATGTCCTGAAGGAAATCAGGTGAAAAGGGGGTTCGTTCATGGAAACTACTTCAGTTTCATCCAGGACAGATCTGTGAGTGCCAACTGAATGTAAAGCCTCTGGTCACACCACTAAAGGCAGGCTTCATAGTGAAGCTGAGCTCATGACAATCCCCCCAAATCCTTCTACACCCCCACATACCCTTCCCCTACTTTATGGTTTTTAGAGACAGGGTTTTGCTCTGTTGCTCAGACTGGAGTGCAGTGGCAGTATCATAGCTCACTGTAGCTGTGACCTCCTGGACTCAAGCCATCCTCCCACTCAGCCTCCTGAGTAGCTGGGACTACAGGGATGTACCACCGCACCCAGCTAATTTTTAAACTATTTTTTGTAGAGACAGGGACTGACTATGTTGCCCAGGCTGGTCTTGAAATCCTAACCTCACGTGATCATCCTGCCTCAGCTTCACAAATCACTGAGACCCTTTCCCTTCTTAAAGGTGAATATATTAATTAACTCTAAAGCCAGGGTTGCTGGCCCTCATCTGTCTTAATGGGACACTTCCTCCATTGTTGTGAATGACAGGAAACAGGTCTTGAAGAAGCTCCATGTCTGAAACAAGGAGTTCCATGGTCATTTATGGTTGCTTCACTAATTAGAAGTCTTTTTTAATGAGGAGAACATTTTCATTTCTCCAAGGGCTTTCTTGCTTTGGGTGGGCCAGAAGGTGTGGTTGGTGGGAGGTGTGGAATGAGACCAAAGATGGGGGTGAGGCCATAAATGCTGAGAGTGGACCTCACCCTCAGGACAGTTGAGGCCTGGCAGGCGGGCCCGAGCAGAGAGGGCAGTGCCACTCATTGGCAGCTTCTCCATCCCAGCTGCACCTGCCCTCACAGCTAGTTGAAGGACAGAGAATGTGGTCTCGTTAACTCACTTGGCGATGGCTTTGTGGTTCTTGTTGCAAACTACAGGTAAATCTCCCAATTGGAGGAACTCTGATGTACACAGTGAGCTGCCTGAAGAAAATTTCCTTTGCACTCACCCTTGGAAAGCATTCTTTCCTTTAGTATAACATTCCTGGATTTAAAAAAAAAATGTTGTTTGCAAATCTTTAAAGCCTGCCTTACTGTTTTAGAAGGAAAGTTTCTAAGATCTGAAGACAATGAAATTGAGACCAGGAAGAAAATGATGGTCCCCTGTTGATATTCCAAGAGGATATGTGTGTGTGTGTGTGAGTGTGCACGTGGGGTGTGTGTGTGTATGTGTGTGTGAGTGTGCATGTGGGTGTGTGTGTATTGTGGAGGGTGTGTATGTGTGTGAGCGTGCATTTGGGGGTTTCTGGGGTGTGCGTGTGGGTGGGTATGTGTGTGAGTGTGCATGTAGGGGGTTGTGGGGGTGTGTGTGGGTGAGTGTGGGGGGGGTGGGAGGGTTGTGGGGGGGCATGGGGGGGGTATGTGTGTGAATGTGCATGTGGGGTGGGGGGGTTGTGGGTGTGTGTGTGTGTGTGTGTGAGTCTGATGTAGTGGAGCTGAAGGAAAGATGCTGAGCAGAGGCCCAGGGGGCATTCGCAGCCCTGTTCTCCACCTTCCATCCTTGTTAGCCAAGTGGGTTTTCAAGCTCTTGGTGAGTGCTCATATTAAACAGCACTTCTTAGCTTGCCCAGGATAAGGGGAACTCCTGTGAAACCAGTTGATCTCCTGGGATCTTGAGGCTACTTGTGCCACCACGCATAGCACTTCTATGGGCCATTTTCATTAAAATAGTGGTGGTGGCTGTTGGCCAGTGCAGGCCCTTGTCTCCTGAGAAGAGTGGTTGGACCTGCCCAGCAGCCCTCCCCACAGCCACCTTCTGATGGTCCTGTAGAGTAAGTAGGAAGGCCTTTGGCTTTCAGAGCCTCTCGGTATAATCCTTTCCCATTTTGCACCACCAGCAACCTCATATGTGACAGAGACAGATGAGTGCCACTGTACAACGCTGCATGGTCCAAGCTGTGTCCCTCCCTTGGTCAGGTGATTCACTATGGGTCACTGACTACGATGAGACTACTTAGCATCCCAGGAAAGTCAATCTCATTGCTAAATGGGACCCTTTGTTTGGTAAATGTTGGAGTCAATTAGAAGTTCTACTCAGGCCAAGATAGAGTCATAAGGACTAGATTTACCTTCTCATCTTAAACAACAAAAAACTAGGCAAAATAAATGCAACAAGGGTTTTCAGATGTTGGACATCGAGTCGTGCAGGACGGTGGTCCCTGAGAGGGAGAGCAGTGGAGGTGAGCCCTGCGGCTTCCCCCGCTCACTGCCTGGGGGGCTTCCTAGGCCACAGCATGGGGAGGGGACCCCACACAAAACCCAGGAGTCTCTAAATTCATGAGACAGAGATAGGAATCTGGGACTCTGAAGCAGCTGTAATTCTCAAGGCAGAGTGCCAGACAGGCAAGAGGTGCCCAGAGAGCGAGCTCTGGAATTCCGGAGAGGATCCCTCAGTCCTCGGCTGGGCACTGATGGACACATGTGTGTGAGCGTAAGGGCCCCCATGGCAGCTGCGGAAAGAACTCCAGAAAGGACAGGCAGAAAAATCTCTGAGCTCATGTGCATTAGGCAATAGTTTGTGCTCCCAGCAGCCACGGGAGGATGAACTTTGGGTACGATACTCAGAAGGGTATTACTTCAATGGTGGTGAACAAACAGCCCTGGTCTGAAAGCTGTTAACTGCTTAAAAAGCAAGTTTACAAGTCTTCTTGGAGAAGTGATTGATTCTAGGACTGGGCCAGGAAATATATGAGCCAATACTTAATGCAATAATAATATAATGCCAGAAAATAAGAAAGTGCTCAAAAAAGGCCACCATATTGGGCGATGGGGGGATGTCAAAGGGGAACAGGACCCAACTGAAAGAGTTTCAACAGCCAGAGCTGGAACACATAAGAAGCAAAATAAACAATGGGGTGTTGGATTATAACACAAAGTACAAAATAAAAATCCATTTGTTTATACCGATATAAATGAATCCCAGATGAATGAATGCATGAATGAATAGAGAAATCTCCCATGCAGAGGAATTCCAAGTAATTCATGCTCTTCCCTCAACGAGGTGGAACATAAGTCTCCACCCTTTAGTGTGGGCTGTACATAGCAGCTTCCTTCCGGAGGATGGGTTGGAAAGGGAGCAAAAAGAGTAACTTCACAGTGGAGGAAGCTAACGACCACTACTTCTGCCACGTGACCAAGGCCAACATCAAGAGTGAAGCCATGCTGATAGCATGTCCCCTTGATATGGTGTGATGAGAATGGTACTCAACCTCTGTGATCTTCCACAGAAAAGAATCCCATAACCCCATTCTAATCATGAGGGGAAAAAGTCAGACGCATGTCAATGGAGGGCATGCAACATTCCTGACTAATGCGCCTCAAAGTAGTCAATGCCACCCAAAACAAGAGAAGTCTGAGAACTTCTCTTTGTCAATGCCACCCAAAACAAGACAAGTCTGAGAAAGTGTCACAGCCAAGAGATTCTGAGGAGGCATGACAACTAATTGCAGTGTGGGATCCTGGACAGGAAGAGGACAGCAGGGGAAAAGTAAGGAAATCTGAATAAAGTGTAGATACTGGTGAAAACAATGTAGTGACGTCTGTTCACTCCTTGTGACTAACATACTTGTGTACGAGGCTAATGTGTGATGTTAATATCAGGGGAACCTGGGTGGGGGGAATATGAGGACTCTGTAGTATTGCAAATTTTGGACAATTTTTCTGTAAATCTAAAGCTTCTAAAATAAAAAGTTCATTAAAAAGTAATTATATAAACTTAATTACATAATATTTAAAACAAAGGCAATAAATATTTTTAAAGAGTTCACTTTACCAGATTATTTTAAATATTAAAAAGGGACCAAAATAAAATATCCAGCCCAGCCAAAGTAGCTACTTCCCCCTTCTTCTTTCCCTCCTTCGCCTTCCCATCCTCACTATGACAGCCATTCCTGACATCACAAGTGATGTTAGTGGCTCCATAGAGTAATATAATGAATTTAGATTTGAAAACCTGAGTTACTTCATTACAAAAATAAATCAGGCCACTCAATGCCTTCAGCTTGAGCTATCCCTTGAGATAAGCCATCAGCCCGTCCAGGACCCTTCTGGTTTCCAGGCCTCCCAGTCTCTTGCGAGTGGCAAGTGTCCATGATGGAGTGGGTAGGGCTGGATACGTGGCATGGACCTCCACGGCTTCTGCACCCACCTTTTACAGCCACCGTTACCCCTACTGTGCACCTGCTGTTCACTTTCCATCTCCTCGGCAACTCGGAAATGTAGGCGGTTCCTGTTTCTCATGTGACACACGTAGGACTAGGAGAAGTGAATTCACTTCCCCCCTCACAAAGCTGGAAAGCGGCAGAGCCAAGCTTCCACCTAAGGCATGCCTGACCATAAAGCCCGCAGTCTTTCTACTGCAGCACCTGCCTCTCTTCCAGCTCCCTGCCCACCTGTCCCAGTCCTTGCCGTCCTTGCTTTGTAATCCTGAACGGCTTGGCCTAGGGAGCTCCTGCACTCACACTGCCAAATCACTGCTCTGCAGCTGCTGTGGTCACACCGACACACAGTCAGGCATGCACAGAGGAACCTGTAACTAATGCTTAGTCCTGAAGCTCACACAGTAGACGCACCTACCTGTATCTAAAATGGAGTGTACAAAAAGCGTACCTGTAGAACTTTCACCGTCGCCATTGTGATCATTCCATCTGATAAGCTTTCTGAAAGTAAGAGAAAGAGCTATGTTACAATGTACAGTCTGTGCCCTAGCTTATCCTGACCTTTGCCTCCAGTGTCCAATCACAAACCTTTAATGGCCCTGGCAATTTGGCATTATGGTGGAGCCACTGATTTGTGATTTTGTCTTTAAACTTTTACTCTCTTTAACTTGACCTGGAAATGGATACATTTGACAGGAAAGAAGGCAAGTTATACACAGTGTATGTCAGGTTACACTATGTACCTAGAGGTGGTAGCATTTTGGTTGTAAAACATCAGTGTCAATGTTGCATCTGGGCAAAGTAATACAGTACACAGTTCTATTTTCAATTTCCAAACCAGAGGGATACACAGAGCCTATGTAAGTCAATTGTAAAATCATTACTTATTTTGGCAAATGCTTAAAAATGTGTGAATTCTGGATATTATAACAGTAAAATGAAGTTCATTTCCGGCTCACTCTTTTGTAGGACATACTTGCTCACCTTACAAAAGGAATAGAGGTCTGGAGACGTCGGCACTCAGGAAAATAAATTTAATTAACACCACCTTTATTTTTCACTGTAAATGACAATCTCTTCCCCTTGTAGCATAGCAAATGCAGGCACCCACAGAAATTCAGGACCGTGGATTGCTTTGCTAATCCTGGTATGTCCATGGGCAGGTCTTGCATGTGAGTGAGCATTGTTCAAGGTGCAAAGAACACCGCTAAGCAGCACCACAGAGCTTTCAAAGGGGGCTTTGCATATTTGCACAGGCCGCTGCAGACATGAGAGTGGCGCTTTGAGTGGGAGACCCAGGATGATTTGGCCCAGGTGTAACATGTCCCCTCCTCAGCCAAGTGGCAGCCCCAGAGAGCAGAGTGGAAGAGCTTATTGCTGTCTTGCTCTACCATGTTTTCCAAAGACATGAAATTTAGTCCATATGTTTAAATCTCTCTTTGGCTGATTGCCTTGTGCAGTTGATACATACAGTACAACAAAATAAAAATTAAAAAATAAATCCGTTTGGGAGCAAACTTGAAGGGGAGAAAATGCTGCAGCCCTGTGCAGAGAGCGCACGTGAGCATCTAAACACGCCATTGTGTGTGCGTGTAAGTGCGCACGTGTCGAGCTGTGCTTTCAGAGAGCCGTTTATAAAATATTTGTCATAGTTTCACTGATGAGGTTCAAAAAGAGCCTTTGTTATAGAAAAGGAGCCAAAGCACTTTGCTAATTTAGGAGGCCATCGTTGGGTTACAAGAATGAGGACCCAGGTAGACGGTGATGTTGGGATCCAGGGGAGAGTGGGCAGGTCTGGTAATGTCAGGAACAGCACGCAGCTGCCTCCAGGTTGAGCCAGTCTTCTAATGGCATCGCCAATGGGAAGAGTCTGAAGGACGATCCGTGGGATTTATTATCCTTTGCTGTCCCCGCATGTGTGGCCCTGGGGTGGAAGAATCAGGCCCTCTAGCACAGAGTCCATGAATGTGGCTCAGTTGGTCTCCTTCTTCCATCTCTTGCTGCTGCTCCTACATTTTCATCTATAGCCTAAAATCAAAGAGAAAACAAACTTACTAAGTCACAAAAAACAGAACCTTTTGAAGATAATGCCTTGGTAAGGAGCATCATAAACATTAAAAAGGTCAGAGCCAACAAAGGAAGACTTTTGTGAACCCTACTAGGTGTCCCTAACGACTGTGGTTCTGAGGGAGATGCTGAAGAAATGGGCACTCCTGAAGTAGCCGACCCAAAGCAAGCAGATGAAAGTAACAAAACTTCACATCCGGCCGGGCATGGTGGCTCACGCCTGTAATCCCAGCACTTTGGGAGGCCAAGGTGGGTGGATCACCTGAGGTCAGGAGTTCGAGATCAGTCTGGCTAACACGATAAAACTCCGTGTCTACTAAAAATACAAAAATCAGCTGGGTGTGGTGGCAGGCACCTGTAATCCCAGCTGCTGGGGAGGCGGAGATGGGAGAGTCGCTTGAATCCAGGAGGTAGAGGTTGCAGTGAGCCAAGATCGCGCCACTGCACTCTAGCCTGGGCGACAGAGTGAGATTTCATCTCAAAAATAAAAAATAAAAACAACTTGATGTCCAGTGGGCATCGTACATGTGCAGGACACTGTTCTATGTGCATTAAATATATCAACTTCATTTAACGTGTGCATGCCTGTATTACTATCCTCATGTTACATTTGAGGGATCTAGGATTCAAACTGGTTAAACATCTTGCCCAAGGTCACATGGCTCATAATTTTGAGAGCGAGGATTTGATCTGGAGGGTCTGATGATAGAGCCTACACATGTAAAAACTTTCAACACATGGCATGTTATATTTCACCTGTACCCCTGCCCACACCTGCCCCAGCATGCTTTTTTCAAGGCATACAATTCACTGGCTGTTAGTATAGTCACAGAGTTGTGCATTCATCACCACAGCTGATTTTAAAACATTTTCATTACCCCCAAAAGAAACCCAAGACCCCTTAGCAATCACCGCCCTTTCCCTGCCAGTGCTCCCAGTCTCCTTGTTCCTGACACCACAGCCCTAGGAAACCCCGATCTATTTTCTGTTTCTACAACTTACCTATTCTGGACATTCATATATAAGGAATCATATTTTATGTGGTGTCTTATGATTGGTTTCTTCTACTCAGCATAATGATGTCAAGGTTCATTTATGTTATAGCATGTATCAATATGTTGTTTATTTTTATTCCAGCATAGTAGTTTATTGTATGAATATGCCATACTTATCCATTCATCATTTGATGGACATTTGGACTGCTTTCACATTTTGGCTATTTATAATGCTGCTATGAACATTTCTATGTGCTTTTCTGTAGACTCATTTTAATTTCCCTTGGGTGTACACCTAGGAGTGCAATTGCTGAGTTACACATGATAACTATGTTTAATGATTTAAGGAATTACCAAACTGTTTTCCAAAGTGGCCACAGCATTGTACATTTGTACTAGAGTGTATGAGGGTTCAAATTTCTCCACATCCTCACCAACACTTGTTATTATCTCTTTTTTATTATAGCCATCCTTGTGGGTACAAAGTGTTACCTCATTCTAATTTTGATTTGCATTTCCCTGATGGCCAGTAATATTGAGCATTTTTCATCTGCTTATTTTTCCAGCTATTCTTTTGAAACTAATTTGGGATGTGATTTCATCTCTAAATACTCATATAGTATACCTATAACAGGATAAAGACACTTTTAAAGAACATAACCACAATATTGCTATCACTGCCTTAAAAATGTCTTTAATTATTACATCTAGAGTCCTCAGATTTTCTTGTTTTCCATGTTTCTTTCATGCTTTAAAAAATTAATTGGTTTAATCTAGAACCAAACAAGGCCCACACTTACATTTGGTTAATATTTCTCTTGGGGGTCTTGTTTGTTTTTTTCCAGCTCAGGGGAATGGAGGGTGGGTCCTAGTCCCCTGAGCTGGAAAAAAAAACAAAACAAATCCCGAAATGTCTTTCCTCTGCTCTCATTCCACAATAATCAACACAGCGGACTTCTGTGGCCAGATGTGCAGGGATTTCTCCTCACCAACAAGCAAGGAATCAGTTCTGCAGCAGACACCAGCAGGTGTCCTCCAATTCAGTTCTGACACTGTCTACCTGGAGAGCCCACAGGTTGAGGGCTCCATCTCACCAGACTGCTTCCACTTAAGATGCCTTCACAAGCCTCAGCCGGCTATAATTCAGGGAACCCACAACTCCCTCCTTGGGTTTGATTAATTTGCTAGAGCAGCTCACAGAACTCAGAAACATGTACCAACATCTACCGATTTATTATGAAGGATATAACAAAGGATACAGATGAAGAAGTGCAAAGGGAAAAATATGGGGGAGGGGGAATGGGGCTTCCATGCCATCCCTGGATGCACAACCCTGTAGGAGCCTCCACATGCTCAGCTATCTGGAGGCTCTCTATACACTGTTCTCCTAGAGCTTGTATGGAGACTTCATTGGATAGGCATGTTGAAGCATGGACAACCATGTAGATATGTGATTGGACAAAAAGGGTATGATCTAATACCAGTAGACTGAGTGGGGAACCCAGCAAGTCCTGTCCCTTCAGATTCTTCTTGGTCTCTCTGTACAGCATTCCTTCCTCCTGGGATGATGCAGGGCCCCTTCAGAAATGGGGAACTTACAACCGACAGTCAGACAAGGTAGATCAGAGAAAGGTGGGGGAAGATTAGAGTCCTGCATTGGGGAGAAAAAGGAGCAGGGAAAAGAAGGTAGGAGAAGGTCAGAGAGAGATTCTGTTTTCTGAGGCCTGCTTCTGAGAACTAAAGTGCCCCAAAGTTCCAAAGTTGTAACAAAAGAGTGTAACAAAGGTCATGGGAGTTATGAGCCAGGAACAGTGGATAGAAACATACATACATATATATGTGTATGTGTGTGTGTGTGTCTATGTATATCTCTCTCACAACCCCCTCTCTGGTCATTCTGTTGTTTTTGAAGAAACTGGATTGTTAGCCCTGTGCAGTTTCCCATGTTTGGAATTTTGCCAGTTGTATCCCCATGGTGTCATTTAACATGTTCTTCTATCCTCTGTATTTCCTGAAAACTAGTAGCTGAATCTAGAGTCTTGATCAGATTTAAGCTCATTTGGTTTGGGTTTCAGCAAGACTACTTCATGAGTGGTGCCTCTACTTACTTCCACATGTCTCTCCTTTCATGCTATTGAGATTGATCAATAGATTCAGATGTTGTTAACTGAATATATATAATTATAAAATTCCCCCATCAGCGTTTTACCTAATACATTCCACAGCCATTGATGAGCACTGCCTAAGTCCATTATCCATCAGGGAGCTGGCTTTCCTCATAACTCTAGTAAATGCCTCCTAAGAATGCAACAGTGCTTCTTCTACCATGCCCTAGTTCCCTCATATTGCAAAGGCATGAAAATGAGAAGGTGTCGGCTATTTTTTCTTTTTTTTTTTTGAGACAGAGTCTCACTCTGTCACCCAGGCTGGAGTGCAGTGGCACGATCTCTGCTCACTGCAACCTCCATCTTCCAGGTTCAAGTGATTCTCGCACCTCAGCCTCCTGAGTGATGGGATTACAGGCATGTGCCACTACACCCAGCTAATTTTTGGATTTTTAGTAGAGACGAGGTTTCACCATGTTGGCCAGACTGGTCTTGAACTCCTGACCTCAAGAGATCTGCCTGCCTCAGCCTCCCAAAGTGCTGGGATTACAGGTGTGAACCACCCCACCTGGCCAGTATCAGCTATTAAAGGGCCATTTTATTTTTGTATTAATTATGTAACAATTTACTTAACCCTTCCATGCTAGACTGAAAACTTCCCAAAGTCAGGCACTAGGTCCATCTTGCTAGTTCTCAGTGCCCACCCACCCCCAACTGGGCCCATGGTAGGATCTTGCTAAGTAGTTGTTGAGTAAGTAAATGACTATCAGGTACTTGTTACAGTATACCCTCTTTGAAGATTTCCTGTGATACAAGTGTTGGTGGCATTTTTGCTGAGAGCTTTTCAACAACTTCTTTATTTTCAGACGAGCCACTGTTCAACAGTAAACCAGGTGAAACAGGCTGTAACTTACATATACACACAAGAGACATTTGAAATATCAAATTCAAGCCTGGCAATTCAGAATGCAAGCTCATTTTTTTTAAAAAAACCAAAGCCTCTTTTACCTAATTGAACCAGAAAATATGTGGCCCTTTTCCCTCCCAATGTGCAGCTCCAGTTCTCCTTGACTAACTGAGTAGCTAATGGAAGATGGGGCCTGTTCCTGCTCAGCTTGTGAAATCTGACTCTCAGCCTAAGGCTGTGTGGCTTTGTATTTTGGATCTGAAAATAAAATGCTTTTATTTAATCCTGGTTTATTAACTTCAGGTTAGGTGTGTTGCAAAACAGGGAAATGTTATCTAGAATCTTCCTGCTAATACTGAATCTTTGGTTCTTCTGAGCCACTGTGTCTCACCAGTCTTCCTACGGAAGATGGCAGGAATGTTTCTAATCCCACTTTGAGCCTGAGTGCTTGCAGCTTATGCAGAACAAATCACAATTCGTATCATAGTCAGGATCTGAGATTCGTCTCTCACCTCACTTCCTCTCCTACTGATTTAGTTATGCTCATCTGAAGTAAAGGCTGCCTGACTGGGTGCAGTGGCTCATGCCTATAATCCCAGCATTTTGGGAGGCTGAGGCAAGAGGATGGCTTGAGCCCAGGAGTTCAAGACCAGCCCAGACAACAAGGTGAGATCCCCTCTCTACAAAAAATTTAAAAATTAGCTGGGCCCGGAGGCACACACCTATGGTCCCAGCTACTTGGAAGGCTGAGGTGAGAGGATCTCTTGAGCTGAATGGTCAAGGCTGCAGTGAGCTGTAATCACACCACTGCACCACAGCCTGGGCGACAGAGTGAGGCAAGACCCTGTCTCAAAAAAAAAAAAAAGAAAGAAAAAGAAGAGAAGAAAGAAAGAAAGAGAAAGAAAGAAAAAGAAAGAAAGAAAGAAAGAAAGAAAGAAAGAAAGAAAGAAAGAAAAGAAAGAGAGGGAGGGAAAGAGAGAGAAAGAAAGGAGAGAAAGAAAGAAAGAGAAAAAAGGGAGAAGAAAGAAAAGAAAAGAAAAGAGCTGCCTGCTGTAGCTGAAAGATAGCACTTAGATGCTAATGTGGAATTTTGAAAGCAGGAGACCTTTTTTCAGAAAACTCAGGCGAGGCAGTTGCGAGGGCACAACTCAATGCCCTCGTGAGGCCTCAACTCTCTGGGGCCTCACACAAAAATGAGCTTTATGTGGACTTTACCAGAAGTTCTGGGGATGTGGCCAGCCAAGAGCTGTGGCTGTCACCAATTTGTCATTGATGTGACACTAACAGAGAGAAGGTGCATCTTACCAAGACAAGGTAGTTCCAAGTTCAGGTTCTGTAGCATCATTCAGCTCATCTGAAAGCTTGTAGTTGATTTTATATATTGTAGCCCATTCAAAAATAATCTTGTAAAGCATAGTGTTTGCTTAAACATGAGACAGCTTCCAATGTGGCTTCCGTTTAGTGTGACACAAACCCGTTGTGGACTCTCTGTTATACCACAGAAACTGTTATAACCACAACATCTGTTGTCTTCCAGAAGGACACTTGAGAGTCACTTTTAAAACTTGGCGTGTGCTTTCCTGTTAAAAACTGTTGTTTAAATGGTAGTTAGGCCCCTGTTTGGTATGCAGTGTAGCTAGGTCACAATGCTCAACAGTAAAAACAAAACAAAACACTGCTGCAATACCAATAGTTAAAATAAAAGCAATTACATTAAACACATTGCAAACTAGTTTTAAATTTTTATCTTGATGTAGGCACTTAAGAAAAAGGAAAGGATAAAAAATAGTTGGAGACATTTATAGTGATTCTGAGGGTAACTTCTGAGTTCTGGGGCTTACGCTCTAGTCATTAGGTCTTCATCTAAGCTGCGCTACTCGAACATGTATGAGCTACAGTTAAAGCATTATGGCTCCCAAGAAAATAAAACAAACAGATCAGTTTTCCAGATGTTAATTGGAGACGTTTTGAAAGACAGAAGCTTCAGAAGGCAGACAAATATTAAAGAGAATGTGCCTTTACAACATTCATTCAGCATTTAGTGAGTACCTAGCATGCACTAGGCACTAGAGAAGCATTCTCAGACCACTAGTTTTCTAGATCCCCTTTCCATTCATAATAGTCTCAAGATTATTAAATTTAAATAGCCTCAAGATCCCCTTTACATTCTTAAAAATTATTGAGGACCCCAGAGAGTTTTTGTTTATGTGGGGTTATATCTACTGATATTGACCATATTAAAAATTAAAACTGTATACAAATGTTTAAATGTTTTGGCTGGGGATAGTAGCTCATGCCTACAATCCCAGAAGTTTGGGAGGTGGAGGCAGAAGGATTGCTTGAGGCTAGGAGTTCAAGACCAGCCCAGGCAACATAGCAAGACCCCCATCTCTACAAAAAAAAATTTTTTTTTTTTTTGAGACGGAGTCTTGCTCTGTCGCCCAGGCTGAAGTGCAGTGGCACGTCTCCACTCACTGCAAGCTCCACCTGCTGGGTTCATATCATTCTCCTGCCTCAGCCTCCTGCATAGCTGGGACTACAGGCTCCCGCCACCATGCCCGGCTAATTTTCTTTTGTATTTTTTTAGTAGAGATGGGGTTTCACCATGTTAGCCAGGATGGGCTCGATCTCCTGACCTTGTGATCCACCTGCCTCGGCCTCCTAAAGTGCTGGGATTACAGGTGTGAGCCACCGTGCCTGGCCAAAAAAATTTTTTTAATTAGCTGAGCACGGTAGCACACGCCTGTAGTCCCAGCCACTCATGAGGCTGAGGTGAAAAGATTGGTTGAGCCTAGGAGGTCAAGGCTGCAGTGAGCTGTAATTATACCACTACACTCCAGCCTGGGTGACATAGTGAAACCTGTCTCTTTAAAAAAAAAAAAAAAAAGGTTAAATGTTTTAAGTAAAACATTTTAAAAGATTTTATTAATTTATTTAAACATATCAATAATAAAACCATTGTATGTTAACCTAATATAATTTTATGAAAAATAACTATAAAAATTTTTATGAAAGGAATGGCATTGATTTATGTTTTTGCAGATCTTTTTCAGGTCTGGTCTAAGAAGACAGCTAGCTTCTTATATCAGCTTCTGTATTCAGTCTGATGCTCTAAGTTGTTTTGGTTACCCCAGGTATTTTGTTAGAAAAGGAGAAAGTGTGTTAATAGCCTTTGGAGAAAATCATGGCTATTCATTCTTGGACATTCTACCAAAACTGGACCAGTAGTAGTTTTTTAAAAGTTAGTTGCATTGTGAAATCTGAAATTATATCAATGACTGATATAATTTTTCACTTGTTACATTGAAATCCATTCGTCTATCTTGCAATTTTGAATGGATCATTTACTCTTGCATGATTGTGTGAAATCAGGCATCACTCAATTAGAACTATTAGTTCACTGAGTTATGTAACTCTTTTGAGCGTTGACACATTTCATTATCTAAGATTAAAAAAAATCACATTCATTAGTGTCATCACCAATCCTGTCAGGAATGCCTTAAGTATTGGGAAATATGGAGACACACTTTCCAACGTTGAGAATTTTCCAAATTTGCTTGAATTTTATCATTGGCCAAAAATACTGTCAGTTCTTGAAGTGGCAGGCTCACTGCATTTATTATCTCTGCCATCATTGGTCTGTCAGTACTTCTTTCATGTAAAAATAACGTTCCATGAAAAAGAGTTGCTAGTTCAGCTCACAGTTGAATCGCAGATGCACATTTCCTTGAGACAACCTTGTGCTTCGGTGTGAAAGGTAAACAATTCCATTACCAGGGGTTCGCGGCAGCCCAGTTTTGTTAGAGGCTGTATTGTAGGAAAGCCTACGATAGTATGTCAAACGCTGGACCATTCTGAGTGCCTGCAGACAACGTCTCCGGAAGCGCTCCCTGCTCCTTTCAACCTGGCGTTTCCCCCCTCATTTTCCAGCCATTTAGGAATCCCTCCTCCAACCGCTGAGCCCTCAAGGCAGTGAGAGAAGCTGTACTTTCCACATCAGCCCCAGAGGAAAGCCAGGCAAACGCTCATCCTTACAGACGGACACTCTTCCAGTTTCTGCCTGTTCTTATCCACTTTCCAATAGTTCTTTAAGAAACTTCAAATAGTTTCTTAACTATTGGAAGAACTATTTAAAGAAGAACTGTTTATTAGTTTCTTAACTATTTGAAGAACTATTTAACTGAAGAACTATTTGCCTTCAAATAGTTCTTTAAGAAAACATTTTTTTGTCCAGAGTTTATACATCAACACACACACACACACACACACACACACACACACACACATTCACAGACACATATAATTAGGAATGCATCTTGTTTATGTCTAATTCCGTAATATGTTACTATCACTCGAAATAGTACAAAGTCGACCCTAATATGACAACTTTTAATTCTGGTTGGATTCACCAGATTCAATTGTTTATTTATCTGATTTCATTATTTCATGATCTCTCCTTAACATTTCATGAAAAGGGCTTTTGGGGACTTAATGTAAGTGACAACAGAATTCAGTGTGATGAAACCAAACATATATGAAATGAACCAGATGCCATATGCTTAAACCTATGAATATGTCAACCAGCAATTCACTGGCGCATAAATGTGCAAATGAGGAAACGTTGTTCAAACACTTCAGCTTGTATTTTACAAAACAGCGTTTAAATATTTGACATTGTTTAGTAATATTTTAGAAAAATGGCCTACCTAGTCTGGATGATGTATGCGTTTGCTGGGGTTACTATAAGGAAGTTACACACACTGAGGGCATAAACAGCAGAAGGTTATTGCTGCGTAGTCCTGGAGCCCGGAAGTCCAGGATCAAAGTGTCAGGTTTGGATTCTCCTGCAGCCTCCTCTCCCCTTGGCTTGCAGACTTCCCTCTCTATGTGTCTGTATCCTAATTGCCTCTTTTTTTAATGTTTATTTTAAGTTCCTGGGTACAAATGCAGGTTTGTCACATAGGTAAACTTGTATCATGGGGGTTTGTTTTACAGATTATTTCATCACCTGGGTATATTAAGCCTAGTGCCCATTCATTATTTTTCCTGATCCTCTCCCTCCTCCTACCCTCCACTCTCTGATAGGCGTTATTCCCCTCTATGTATCCATGTGTTCTCATCATTTGGCTCCCACTTACAAGTGAGAACATGTGGTATTTGGTTTTCTGTTCCTGTGTTAGTTCGCTTAGGATAATGGCCTCCAGCTCCATCCAAGTTCCTGCAAAGGACATGATCTTGTTCTTTTTATGGCTGCATAGTATTCCATGGTGTATGTGTACCACATTTTCTTTACCATTAAAGAGATTTAGGTTGATTCCATGTCTTTGCTATTGTGAATAGTGCTGCAATGAATATATGCATACACACAAATGATTTTAGATTAGGACAGACCCTCATGGCCTCATTTTAACTTAACCACCCCTGTAAAGACTTCAGAAGATCAGGACTTCAACAGTGAATTTGGGGGGACACAACCCAACCCATAAGAGATGGACAGTCTCTCCCCCTGCCTGCCTTAGGTATATTAACTCCTATTTTATGTAAGAGTGGAGTGGACTCTATCTTAGGAAGGGTGGAAGCTGTGCCCTGGAAAGCAAACCCTGACCAGAAAACCCATTCAGAGTTGCTGGAGATTCTAGGGGTGCTCCTCACACCCTGTGTCCGCGTGATTCCCTTGCCCCAGGAGGCAAAGATGCAGGATGAACTCTGGGGTGCTTCCATGCACTATCTCTTAGGACCAGCTCATTCTTAATCTGACCAGCATCCGCTTTACATTCTTTTTTTTCTACTTAAAAATATTAACAATCATGGTCAGGTGCAGTGTCTCACGCCTGTAATCCCAGCACTTTTGGAGGCTGATGTAGGAAGATCACTTGAGGTCAGGTGTTTGAGACCAGCCTGGCCAACATGGAGAAACCCCGTCTCTACTAAAACTACAAAAATTAGCTGGACGTGGTGGCGGGTGCCTGAAATACCAGTTACTTAATTTGCAGTGAGCCAAGATCATGCCATTGCGCTCCAGCCTGGGCGAGAGAGGGAAACTCTGTGTCCAAAAAAAAAAAAAAAAAATTGTAATCATGGACATGGTAACCAATCAAATGCCACAAAAGAACTTATAATGAAAAGACCCCATATTCCATCATTAAAAAATTACATAGTTGGGTGTATTTAATGTGGCATTCATTTGAATGAACTCTCTTTTTTCCCAGCTTTATTGAAGTGTAATTGACAAAAAATGTTTACATTTATGGTGAACAACATGATGTTTTGATATACATATACATTGTGAAGTAATTACCACAATCAAGCCAATTAACACATCTTCCACCTCATATATCTGTCATGTTTTGTGAGAGGAACATTTAAGATCTACTCTCTTAGCAAGTTTTAAGAACACAATACATTGTTATTAACTATACCCACCATGATGTACAATAGGTCTCCAGAGTGCACTCCTCCTGTCTAACTGAAACTTTATACCCTTTGACAGCATTTCCCCATTCTTATCACCCCCGTATACTGGTACCCACTCCTACTCTCTGCCTCTTTAAAGTTCAACTTTTTTACACTCCACATATAAGTGAGATCATACAGTATTTGTCTTTCTGTGTCTAGCTTATTTCACTTAGCATAATGTCCTCCAGGTTCATTCATGTTGTTGGAAATTTTTTTTTAAGGCTGAGTAGTATTCTGTTGTGTCAGTGAGGATGTGGAGTATACCTATCATGTGTGCATATACCACATTTTCTTTATCCATTCATCCATCAATGGACACTTAGAGGTTGGTTGCATGTCTTGGCTACTGTGAATAATGATGCAACAAACGTGGACTTGCAGATATTTTTTCTAGATACTGATTTCATTCCTTTGGATATATCCCCAGTAGTGGGATTGCTGGATCACGTGGTAGTTCTATTTTTAGTGTTTTGAGGGACCTCTAAACTGTTTTCCATAGTGGCTGGTCTAACTTACATTCCCACCAACAGTACAAGGGTACCTCTTTCTCCACATCCTCACCGACACCTGCCTTTGGTCTTTTTGATAATAGCCTTTCTCAAGGTGTTAGGTGATATCTCATTTTAATTTGTAGCTCCCCAATGATTAGTGATGTTGAGCATTTTTTCATAAACGTGTTGGTCATTTGTATATTTCATTTGAGAAATGTCCATTTAGGCTATTTGTCCATTTTTGATCAAGTTATTTGCTTTCTTGCTGTTGAGTTGAGTTCCCTATATATTTTGGACATTAACCCCATATAGGATATATGGTTTGCACATATCTTACTCCATTTGGCAAGGTGTCTCTCCACTCTGTTGTTTCCTTTGCTGTGCAGAAGCTTTTTAGTTTGATGGAATCACACTTATGTTTGTTTTTGTTGCCTGTGTTTTTGGGATCATGTCTAAAAAATCATTGCCAAGGCCAATACCAAGATGCTTTTCCCTATATTTTCTCAAAATGGATTAAAGACTTAAACATAAAACCTGAAACTGTAAAGCCACATTCCATCATTTTAATCAGTCCCTGGCAAATATTTACAACTCAGTTGCCCTGCCTGTCACTCTCATGCTTGCCTGGAAAAATCCCTCCCCTGGTGTCTGCATCTCTGCACCACCCACACGTGTGAATCCAAACAGCCTGGAGAAAAAAACCCAACCAATGCCAATGGGTGTCACTCTGCATTGCTGACTGAACCTCACTGGCCCCTAATTATTGCCAGCCAATCCCACTGCAGTTTGTTAATCAGCTGGCTCCTCCTTTTCCTGGATTCCAGCTCATACTCCTCTGTCCTGGAGCCTCCAATGCTCCTTCCTCCTGTTCTCACTCGAGGGGAGCTGGCTCCCATTCACAACTTACCTGGGACATGAAAGCCGTCAGAAGAGAGTGCCTTTATGCTCCCGTACCTCACCTCCTGTTACCTAGACAAGTCACTTGGTGTCTACCAGAGCTTGTGTCCCCCCGACCTATTCCAGGATTTCACTCAGCCCTTGTCCCCTTCAATAAGTCTGATACGCCCACACTTTGAAACTGCTCAGCCTAAAGAGGGTGAGGCTGTGCTTTGACGCCATGAAACCACTTTTTCCTCCTGGGCCTCCAGGCCTGTGATGGGAGAGCCTGCCCTGAAGGTCTCTGACATGCCCTGGAGACATTTTCCCCATGGTCTTGGGGATTAACATTAGGCTCCTTGCTACTTATGCAAATTTCTGCAGCCAGCTTGAATTTCTCCTCAGAAAATGGGTTTTTCTTTTCTATTGCATCGTTAGGCTGCAAGTTTTCTGAACTTTTATGCTCTGTTTCCCTTTTAAAACAGGATGCCTTTAACAGCACCCATGTCACCTTTTGAATGTTTTGCTGCTTAGAAATTTCTTCTGCCAGATACCCAAAATCATCTCTCTCAAGTTCAAAGTTCCACAAAACTCTAGGGCAGGGGCAAAATGCTGACAGTCTCTTTGCTAAAAGATAACAAGGGTCACCTTTGCTCCAGTTCCCAACAAGTTCCTCATCTCCATCTGAGACCACCTCAGCCTGGACCTTATTGTTCTTATTATTATCAGCTCTTTTGCCAAAGCCATTCAACAAGTCTCTCAGAGTTCCAAACTTTCCCACATTTTCCTATCTTCTTCTGAGCCCTCCAGACTGTTCCAACCATCTGCCTATTATCTAGATCCAAAGTCACTTCCACATTTTAGGATTATCTTTTCAGCAGTGCCACACTCTACTGGTACCAGTTTACTGTATTAGTCCATTTTCATGCTGATAAAGATATACCCGAGACTGGGAAGAAAAAGAGGTTTAATTTGATTTACAGTTTTACGTGGTTGGGGAGGACTTAGAAACATGGTGGAAGGCGAAAGGTACTTCTTACATGGCAGTGGCAAGAGAAAATGAGGAAGAAGCAAAAGCGGAAACCCCTGATAAACCCATCAGATCTCATGAGACTTATTCACTATCATGAGAATTGCATGGGAAAGACTGACCCCCATGATTCAGTTACTTCCCCCTGGGTCCCTCCCACAACACACGGGAATTCTGAGAGATACAGTTCAAGTTGGGATTTGGGTGGGGACACAACCAAACCATATCAGAGAGTGTCCTTATAAATGGAAAGGGGAGGACTTAGGTTCTTGTTGGGTGTGTTAAGTTTGAGATGTCCAAGAGTAGATGTTGAATACATGCCTCAAAGTGTAAATCTGGAGCTCAGGGGACAGTTCTGGGTGGGAAATATGAATTTGATGATGACTGTAAAGATAGTTTGGGGAAGCTACAACCACCACTGAGCTCTCAGACCTGTGATGTAGAGTCTGACAGGCCAATGCCAGCCAGAGTTTCTAAATCCTGTATGGAACAATTAAGTACATAGCTATGGCTTGAATGTGTTCCCCAAAGGTCATGTGTTGGAAACTTAATCCCCAGTGCAATGATGTTGAAAGGTGGGACCTTTTAGAGTTGATTAGGTCATGAGAGTTCTGCCTTCGTGGATGGATTAATGCCATTTTCAGGGGGGGTGGGTTAATTATCTCAGAAAGTGGGTTCCTGATGAGAGGATAAGTCTGGCTCTTTTCCCTTCTCTCCCTCTCTCTCCCTTTCTCCCACCCAATGATGCCTTCAACCATGGGATGACACAGCAAGAAGGCTCTCCCTAGATGCCAGCACCTTGATATTAGATTTCCCAGCCTACAGAACTCTGAGAAATAAATTTTTTCTCTTTATAAATTACCCAGTCTCTGGTATTCTGTTATGGCAGCACAAAACAGACTAAGACACATACCGAACAGGTTTTAGTCTCCCACCCCAGAGGGAGCAGGGCCCAGTCATTCTCCTGCCTCAGACTCAGAGTCCTTATCCCGTGAAGGCAGGTAGAGACTTACTAAGGACTGGCCTTTTACAAAGAAAGAAGATGCTCATGCCCCTCCCAGGTGTTAACTGAATAAAAATATTTCTTTTGTAGTAATGCTTAAATTTATGTAATTATACAATTAAGTATAAATACTGTCTTAGTCAGTTCAAGCTACTGAAACTAACTACCATACACCAGGTGGCTGATGAGCAACAGAAATTTATTTCTTACTATTCTAGAGGGTGGAAGTCTGCAATCAGGGTGACAGCATGATTGGGTTCTGGTGAGGGCCTGCTTTCAGGTTGCAGCCAGCCAACGTCTCACTATGTCCTCACGTGGCCAACAGAGATTATCTCTCACATGTCTCTTCTTACAAATGCATTGTCTTAGTCCATTTGTGCTGCTACAACAAAATACCCGAGACTAATAATTTAATTGTGCATTTAAAAATAACTAAAAGAGTATAACTGGAATGTTTGTAACACAAAGGATAAATGCTTGAGGGAATGGAGACCCCATTCTTCATGATGTGATTATTACGCATTGTGTGCCTATATCGAAACATCTCATGTACCCCAGAAATATATATACCTACTATGTACCCACAAAAATTTAAAGTTTAAAATTTTTTTAAATAAACAAAATACCTGAGACTGGGTAATTTATAAAGAACAGAAATTAATTTTCCCCATTCTGGAGGCTGGGAAGTTCAAGATCAAGGTGCCAGTGGATTCAGCTGTCTGATGACCATCCAGTCACTGCTTCCAAGATAGTGCCTTATTGCTGTATGCTCCAGAGGTGAGGATGCTGTGTCCTCACATAGCAGAAGGCTGAAGGGCAAAAGGGATGAACTTCCTCTACCAAGCCTAATGTAAGGGTGCCTAATTCCATGCAGGAAGAAGGAACCCTCATAGCCTAATCACTTCTTAAAGGCCCCACTTCTTAATATTATCACATTGGCAACACCTGAGTTTTGGAAGGGACACATTCAAAGCATAGGATTCCACCACTCCGACCCTGGCACCCCAAATTCATGTCCTTCTCACATGCAAAATATGTTCATGCCATCCCAATAGCTCCAAATCTCTTAACTCATTCCAGCATCAACTTAAAATTCTAGAGTCCACCGACTCATCTAAATCTGATACGGGTGAGACTCCAGGCAGGAGTCATTCTAAGACAAATTTCCCTCCCTCCCACTGTGAGCATGTGAAATCAAACAAGTTATATGTTTCCAAAATACTTTGGTGGTACAGGGACAGGACAGACATTTCCACTCCAAAAGGGAGAAATAGGAAAGAGGAAAGGAATAACAGATCCCGAGTAAGTCCAAAACCTAACAGGGCAAATGACATTAAATCTTCAGGCATTAAATCTTCTTTGACTCTACATGTTGGTATCTGAATTTACTGGGTGGGGGTTGATCCCCCACAGCCCTGGGCAGCCCCATCCCCATGGCTTTGCTGGCCTCAGCCCACACAGCCACTCTCAAGTGTTGGAGTTGGGTGCCTGTGGCTCTCCCCAGTTGGCATTGCTTGCTGGTGTGAGTTCCAGAGTCCAAAGACTGGAGAACCTGGAGTACGGATGTCCAAGGGCAGGAGAAGAAGGGCATATCAGCTCTGGTAAAGACAGGGAGAGAACTCTGCTGTTCTTCTGCCTTTTTGTTCCATTCAGGCTCCCAGTCAGTTGGCTGGTCGCCCACATCGAAGGCAGATTTCCCCACACTTAGTCCATTGACCCACAAGCTGGTCTCCTTGGGAAACACTCTAGTCCAGAGTAAAACCAGCTGGGTGTCCCTTTCAGCAGAAGAGGAATAGCTCAGTGCCTGCTGAAACATTCAGAGTAAATGATGCTTTATCAGCTTTCTGAGATTCCTCAATTCAGCCAAGTTGACACCCAAAGTCAACCATCAAGAGCATTAATCCCATTATGAGGGCTCTGCCATCACGACCTAATCACCTCCCAAAGGCCCGACCTCCTAATAACATCACCTTGGGGGTTAGGATTTTAACACACGAATGTTGGAGGTACACAAACATTCAGTCCATTGCAAATGCCTTGTGCTTATAGCTATTATAAAATTATCAATCCAAAGTAAATTGAAGGACTATGTAACAACAAAGCCATATACCTTCCTACCTCCAAGTGACCTTGGTTTGAGAAACCTTGAACAGAAGAATTCTAGCATCCTTTACAGTTCTTTTTTACAGTTATTTTTTGGAGATGGAGTCTCACTCTGTCGCCCAGGCTGGAGTGCAGTGGCATGATCTTGGCTCACTGCAACCTCCACCTCCTGGGTTCAAGCGATTCTCCTGCCTCAGCCTCCCGAGTAGCTGAGATTACTGGTGCCCACCACCATGGCTAGCTAATTTTTGTATTTTCAGTAGAGACGGGGTTTCACCATGTTTACCAGGCTGGTCTCGAACACCTAACCTCAGATGATCCATCCTCCTCAGCCTCCCAAAGTGCTGGGATTACAGTGTGAGCCACCATGCCTGGCCCCATCCTTCACAGTTCAAACATGCAATGATTTTCTTTTAATTTTAATTAATTAGTTAACGTTTAAGAGACAGGGTCTTGCTATGTTGCCCAGGCTGTAGTTCAGTGGTTATTCAAAGGCACAATCATCATGCACTACAGCCTGGAAATCCTGTGCTCAACTGATGCCCCCATCTCAGCCTACCCAGTAGCTGAGACTACAGGTTTGGGCCATCATGCCCAGCTAACATGCAATGATTTTCTGAGCCTACAGTGGTGAGAGAGAGGGACCAGCTTGATGCAGCGAGGATAAGAGGGTTAACTGGAAAATAGTTACCTAAAGATCTAAAGTCTGCATGGAAAGCAGCATTTTAAAAAAATAGATAATAAAAATTAGCATTTAACTCAGAGAAACTAAAACAAAATGAGGGTAGGAAAAAAAGCAATTTTACTGCTTTGGTGAAAAGAATTCCTTCTTCGAATTTGAAAAGGCTGAACTTTCAATCTTTTCTGACTCACTTGGCGCCATACCTAACAGGCTTAGTTAAAAAGAAATCATAAGAATAGTTAGATTTTCTTAAATAATTTCTAAATAATTATGACATTTGGTTTATACTTGAAGAAGCTCAGGGGTGCTATTTATTTTATTAATCATACATCAGAAGGGAATTCATGTTTACAGCTACTCACCTAGCATTACTAGTGTTATTTTGTGCATTCCTTTCTGGCACTTTGTGTGTATATATACATATATATGTGTGTGTATATATGTATATATATGTGTATATATGTATATATGTGTATATCTATCTATATATGTGTATATATGTATATATGTGTATATACGTATATATGTATACACACACTCATATATACGTATATATGTATACATACACGCATATATACGTATATATGTGTATATACACGCATATATACACATATGTGTATATACACGCATATATACGCATATGTATATACACGCATATATACGCAAATGTATATACACGCATATATACGCATATGTATATGCAGGCATATATACGCATATGTATATGCACGCATATATACGCATATGTATATGCACGCATATATACGCATATGTATATGCACGCATATATACGCATATATGTATACACATACACATATACGTATACACATACACATATACGTATACACATACGTATACACGTATACACATACGTATACACGTATACACATACGTATACACATATACACATACACATATACATATATGTATACACATATACACACACATATACATATATGTATACACATATACACATACACATATACATATATGTATACACATATACACATACACATATACATATACACATATACACATATACATATACATATACGTATACGTATACACATATACATATACGTATACGTATACACATATACATATACACATATACGTATACACATATACATATACATATACGTATACACATATACATATATGTGCGTATACACGTATGTATGCACATATACATATATGTGCGTATACACGTATGTATGCACATATACATATATGTGCGTATACACGTATGTATGCACATATACATGTGTGCGTATACACGTATGTATGCACATATACATGTGTGCGTATACACGTATGTATGCACATATACATATGTGTGCGTATACACGTATGTATGCACATATACATATGTGTGCGTATACACGTATGTATGCACATATACATATGTGTGCGTATACACGTATGTATACGCACATATACATATGTGTGCGTATACACGTATGTATACGCACATATACATATGTGTGCGTATACACGTATGTATACGCACATATACATATGTGTGCGTATACATGTATGTACATTTACACATATTTACGTATACACATGTACATATATGTATCTATATGTATACACATATAGATACATATATATGTATACAGATACACACATATATATATTTCTTTTTTTTTAATTGAGATGAAGTTTTGCTCTTTGTTGGCCCGGCTGGAGTGCAATGGCACAATCTTGGCTCACTGCAACCTCTGCCTCCTGGTTTCAAGCGATTCTCCTACCTCAGCCTCCCAAGTAGCTGGGATTACAGGCTCCCGCCACCACGCCCAGCTGATTTTTGTATTTTTAATAGAGACGGGGATTCACCATGTTGGCCAGGCTGGTCTCGAACTCCTGACCTCAGGTGATCTGCCCACCTTGGCCTCCCAAAGTGCTGGGATTACAGGCATGAGCCACCACGCCCGGCCTATATCGTTTACTTGCTACAATCGTGTATTCTTTTAAAACTTAAGATTGTAAGACATGTTGTTCTCTGTTGCCACAGTGTTAGTTATACTTTTGTTGAATGTAATAATATATTGCCTGGATATACCACAATTCACATAATCATCTTCCTGTCATTTAACCTGTCTCTGTCACAGGTATAAAAAATTCTGCAATGAACATCTTCATGCATACAGCTTTTATTATCTTGTGAATTAATTTGTTTGGGCCAGATTCCCAGGTGGGAATTTCTGGGTTAAAGGGTGCTATTTTATTTCAAAAAAATGTTTCTGATGATCTAAGTATAGATTTGAGGATACAGTAGAAAGAAAGGCAGATTTGCAACAGATAGGAGCAAATTTTAAAATCCTGAGGGAGAAGCAGGGCTGTGTCACCAAGGCATAGATAGTCCTCTCAACATAGGGGTGTTTGGTGCTCATCTTTCTAAACCTTTCTTGATGCCCCCAGGCAAAGCTGCTGGGAGCTGAGCAATAAGAGTGATTCAGAAGCACTCTGCTCAGATCCACCGGAGGTAGCAGCTCCAGCCCGGGAACAGACATAGTTACCAAGGAGACCTCTGCATTTCCCCTCTTTTCCAGGTTAACAGTCCTGAGTCTGAGCTAGATGGTTGGATGGAATTAGTTAAAAATAGGGAGAAGAAAGGAAATGGCTTTAAAAGACAATTTAACTATTAACCTCAGGAACCAGCACCAAGCACAACACGGGAACATTCTGATCCATTCCTTTTTCTGTGTAACTTCATGATTTGATCTTTTCTCTGAGATGAATTTATTTCCATGTTTCTTTAACAAAATAGAACCACCAGCATCTTCCATATGCATCCAAAAATTAATAATGGTTATGTCAAATGTCGCTGCCACACAAGCCCACAGGGGCCCCTATGGGAAATGCTCTGAGGCCTAATACGATGATTATTATTGCCTTGTAAGGTATCTCAAGCTCACATGCTCCATCCCCAGCATGACTCCACCGCTGCCAGACTTATTACTATGGAAGTTTCAGGACCTGGGAACATGTTGCTCCTAGCTACTCACAGAGTGCTCAGAAGCCTCCATGGCTTTCTTCTCACTGGATTTCTACATTCCTACTGGCTTTTCTTAGCTTTAAAAGCCAGCCACACAGAGGCTGAGAACTGGGTCCTGAGGTGGGTGGATCGCTGCTGTTGCTTGGGTATGTCTTTGCAAGACCAGGATTCAGGATGTTGCTGCCTTCTACCAAGTGGGTTGTCTGTAGTTTGCAATAACAGCATTCTTTAGCTTCGGGCTAACAAGACAGAACAGTAGAATTTACCACTTAATGATGTGTGACACGTAGCCCACAAACTGGGTGTGCAAAAATATATACTTTTTCACATTTTCTTTTTTTTTTTTTATTTTTTTGAGACGGAGTCTCGCTCTGTCTCCCAGGCTGGAGTGCAGTGGAGCGATCTGGGCTCACTGCAAGCTCCGCCTCCCGGGTTCACGCCATTCTCCTGCCTCAACCTCCCCAGTAGCTGGGACTACAGGCGCCCGCCACCACGCCTGGCTAATTTTTTTTTTATATTTTTAGTAGAGACGGGGTTTCACCGTGTTAGCCAGGATGGTCTCGATCTCCTGACCTCGTGATCCGCCTGCCTCGGCCTCCCAAAGTGCCGGGATTACAGGCATGAGCCACCGCGCCCAGCCCCTTTTCATATTTTCTAACTCTGAACTTCTGTTCAGTCAGATAAGAAACATAATGATGTTTGTTCCTGGGGGGTTCCCCCCTTCCTTAGCATTGGGCTACAATCATGGGGTTTAACAAAGTACTATTGGCCACGGGGGCATCCATTTGGTCTTTGGACAGATAGGAGCAAATTTTAAAATCCCGAGGGAGAAGCAGTACACACAGGATGTAGCTGGGATGCCTGGTGACTGTCGCTCCCATATCACACCTGAGGCAAGGAATTCCTGTGCATCAGCCTGTGGCCCCATCTGTCTGGACCCCTCATGCGGCCATTTCCTTCCTGGAGTTTATTGACCTCTCTGAGGGGCATGCGTGGGCTTGGTGGGGGGCAGTGGCAGAAGTGGCAGGAGCATTTCTTTTAAGCCTGCATGCTTCTTTCTTCCTTTAGGTTTCCTCAAGGTGCTCTGTGAATTCCCTTTCCCTAAGTGTTTAGGGTTTCCTACAAAACAAGGAATCAAGAAGTGAGTTTCTTTGGTTGCAGGCCCTATTTACAGTATTAAGCACATAGCTTCTCTCTCTCTCTCTCATATTAATATCTTAAAATAGCACCTTGCCAAATTATTCTTCTTGCAAATCCTTATGTTCACTTAAAGAAGTGTACTTCTCATCCAGGTTTCCCATCATCTCTCAATAAGGTTGGACCTCTGTCTCTCCCAAATTGAGCTCTCTCTCTCTCTTTTTTTTTTTTTTGTGTGATCAAGTCCTGTTTATTTTAGAAGCGTAAACAGTAGAACTAGGCTGACTCAGCAGCCTCAATCTGCCTTTTCCTGTGAGGACAGGGTGTGAGGACAGCCTGCACACAGAAGAGTCTTCTATAAGGGTGAGGTTGAGGTAAGTTGGCTCTGGGTGTCTTTGGATCAGTTGCAAAAGGCCAGAGAGCCCCCAATACCCTTGGCCAAGAGCATCCCAAGCAGGTTCTGTCTGCACCCAGGCAAAGCCACATTCTGGTGAGGAAGTCATAGTGCCTGGTGGGCACCAGGAAGGGTTCAGGTGTTCAAGAACAACTTGCAATGAGGCTCTGTGGCCAGCAAGCATTTGCTTCCCCAGCCCAGTCATCGCTGCAGAGCCTTCAAAGAGGGGGCATCCCAGGCAGCTGGACTTCACATGCATATGCACAGCAGCACTTGGCTGTGTAGGAGACATGTTCTCCAGCCACCCTCAGGGTGGAGATGTGAACATAGACACTGGGTAAATATGGGCTTTACAGCAGATGACTGAGACACAGACATAGGAAGAGAGGCAGGCACAGCCACAAGGCAGTGACCTACCTGGGGAGGGAAGGGCTGTTCCAGACGTGAGCAGGGCTCTGTGGCTAGGGGTTAATGGTGTCTTTGAGGGGGATGGGAACACAGAGAGGTTTGGGTTGGGGGCCAGGTAGCATGACAGGCTGGTCATGCTACCCACCCTTGAATTATACATGGCCCTTCAAGGAGGTTCCTGACTCTTGGAAAAGGCCACCTGCCACCCATGACTGCAAGTCCCTGTGTAAAGTTTCAAGTCAAATAGAGTAACTTATAAAAATAAAAGTACATCATGACCACATTGGGCTTTTCCCAGGAATGCAAAGACGATCAAAGAATGTTTATAGCAACATTCTTTGAATTACAAAACAAAATCCCAACAGCAAACTGGAAACATCTTAAATGTTCATCTGTAGAATAATAGATACATGAAGTATGTTACAGTCATATAAGAGAGTAGTATGCAGCAGTGAAAATGCATGAGCTAGTGTTATATATATTAACATGCATGAATTTCAAAAATGTGTTGAGTAAGAAAAGTTGCAGAAGAATACGTATATCAAGATTTATTTCTAATGAGTATAAAACATAAAAAAATACTACATAATATAGTTTAAATATTTGTACTCACTTAAATATCTTGTTGAAATGTGATCTAGTCAGGCTTTGTGTCCCCACCAAAATCTCATCTTGAATTTCAATCTCCATAATCCCCATGTGTCAAGGGAGAGACCAGGTGGAGGCAATTGAATCATGGGGACAGTTTCCCCCATGCTCTTCTTGTGGTAGTGAGGGAGTTCTCACATGATCTAATGGTTTTATAAGGGGCTCTCCCCCTTTGCTCTGCACTTCTCCTTCCTGCTGCTTTGTGAAGAAGGTGCCCTGCTTCCTCTTTGCCTTCTGCCATGATTGTAAGTTTCCTGAGGCCTCCCCAGCCATGCTCAATTGTGAGTCAGTTAAACTTCTTTCCTTTATAATTTGCCCAGTCTCTGGCAGTTCTTTATAGCAGTATGAAAACAGACTAATACCAAATGTAATCCCCAAACCTGGAGGTGAGGCCTGCTGGGAGATGTTTGGGTCAATGGGGTGGATCCCTCATGGCTTGATGCTATTCTTATGCTAGTCAGTGAATTCTCATGAGATATGGCTTTTTAAAAGTGTGGCACCTCCCCCACCACTCTTGTTCCCCCTTTGCCTTTTGTCATGATCATAAGCTTCCTGAGCCCTCCCCAGAAGCAGATGTTGGCACTAGACTTCCTGTATAGCTTGAAGAACCATGAGCCAATTAAACCTCTTTTCTTATAAATTACCCAGTCTCAGGTATTTATTTATAGCAATGCAAGAATGGCTTAATACAGAAAATTGGTACTGAGGAGTGGGGCATTACTATTAAGATACCTGATGATGTGGAAGTAGCTTTGGAACTGGGTAATGTGCAGAGGTTGGAAGAGTTTGGAGGACTCAGAAGAAGACAGGAAGATGAGGGAAAATTTGCAGCTTCTTAGAAACTGGGTAAATGACTGTGACCAAAATGCTGATAGTGATATAGGCAGTGAAGTCCAGGCTGCTGAGGTCTGAGATGGAAGTGAGGAACTTATTGGGAACTGGAGCAAAGGTCATGAGTGTTATGCCTTAACAAAGAACTTGGCTGCATTATGTCCATGCCCCAGGGATCTGTGGAAGTTTGAACTTAAGAGTGATAATTTTGAGTATGTGGCAGAAGAAATTTCTAAGCAGCAAAGCATTCAAGATGTGACCTCGTTGCTTCTAAAGAACTATGCTCAGATGTGGGAGCAAAGAAATGCCCTAAAGTTGGAACTTAGGGAAACAAAGAATAAAAATTTGGAAAATTTGCCACCTGAATGTATGGTACAAAAGAAAAGTCTCTTTTCAGGGGAGGAACTCAAGCAGGCTGTGGAGAAACCACTTGCTAGAGACATTTGCATAACTAAAAGAGATCCAAGTGCTAATATCCAAGACAATAGGAAAAAGGCCTCTAGGGCTTTTCAGAAGTCTCTGAGGCAGCTCCCCCCATCACAGGCCCAGAGGCCCAGGAGGACTGAATGGCTTTGTGGGCCAGGTCCAGGGTCCCTCTGCTCTGTGCAGCCTCAGTACACTGCTTCTCACATTCAGGCCACCCCAGCTTCAGTCTCAGCTCAGAGGACCCCAGGTACAGCTTGGGCTGCCACTTTGGAGAATGCAAGCCATAAGCCTTGGCAGCTTCCATGTGATGTTAAGCCTGCAGACATAGACTGCAAGAGTAAAGGAGGCTTGGCAGCCTCTGCCTAGATTTCAGAGGGTGTATGGGAAAGCCTGAATGCTCAGGCAGAAGCCCACTGCAGGGGCAGAGCCCTCATGGAGATACTCTACTAGGGCAGTGCAGAGGGGAATTGTGGGATTGGAGCCGCCACACAGAGTCCCCACTGGGACACTGCCTAGTGGAGCTGTGAGAAGGGGGGTCACCATCCTTCAGATCCCAGAATGGTAGATACACCAGCAGCTTGCATCCTGCACATGGAAAAGTGGCAGGCACTCAATAAGCTGTGAGAGCAGCTTCAGGGCCTGAACCCAGCAAAGCCACAGGGTCAAAGCTCCTCAAGGCCTTGGGAGACCACCCAGCACACCATGTGCCCAGAATGTGGGACATGTAGTCAAAAGAGATTATTTTGAAGATTTAAGACTTAGTGACTGCCCTGGTAGGTTCTGAACCTGCATGGGGCCTGTAGCTCCTTTCTTTTGTCTGATTTCTCCCTTTTGGGTTGGGAGTATTTACCCAATGTCTGTACCCTCATTGTATCTTGGACGTAAATAACTTGTTTTGATTTTATAGGTTTGTAGGTGAAAGGAACTCATTCTAGATGAGACTTTGGACTTGGGACTTTTGAGTTAATACTGGAATGAGTTAAGATTTTGGGGGACAATTGAGAAGCCCTGATTATATTTTGCAATGTAAGAAGGACATGAGATTTGTGGGGGGAGGGGGCAGGGGCTGAATGATATTGTTTGGATATTTGTCCCCACTGAAATCTCTTGTTGAAATGTACTCCCCAGTGCTGGAGGTGGGGCCTGTTGGGAGGTGTTTTGGTCATGGGGATAGATCCCTCATGGTTTGATGCTGTTCTCAGGCTAGTGAGTGAGTTCTCATGAGATCTGGTTGTTTAAAAAGTGTGGCATCTCCCCTGCCACTCTTGCTCCCCCTTTGTCTGCTGCCATGATTGTAAGCTTCCCGAGGCCTCCCCAGAAGCAGATGTTGACACTGTGCTTCCTGTATAGCCTGCAGAACCATGAGCCAATTAACCTGCTTTTCTTATAAATTATCCAGTCTCACGTATCTCTTTATATCAATGCAAGAACCACTTAATACACTGCATACTAGAGATACAAGCATATGTACTAAAGGTATGAAGTATGATGATTATAAACCCTAATTTCATGGTGGTGTTTATCTGTCTGTGGGGAGGTCAATATGCAGCCTGGGACTGGGTACCCAGAGGGCTTCCAATGTACTGATAATGTTTTATTTTTTCCATTGGATGGTGGATGCACAGTAGTTCATTGAATTATTCTATATGCCTTGTGTACATTTTAAATATTTCACAATATTTCCAAATAAATATTGAATTAGTTATAAAATGAAAAGCAAAAAGAGGAAGCAATAAAGGGAACTCCAATTTGGATTTATTGTTGATCTATGAAGATGAATTGTGTAAGAATCTTGGCAGAAAGGAAAATTTCAGAACAGATTCATGATGCTGAACATATTTACATATACCCTAGACTTTGGGGAAAGGAATTTTAAAAAAGAAAATATGTAAGAGTTACATTGACAGAGACTCAAATTTAAATTATAAGTATTCAAGTCCAAGGGATGTAAAATCCAACCAAGTGGTCGACACACAGCCCTTCTCCAGTGCCCCTAACCACCCCTGGGGGTTTGTGCAGAGCTTGGATTTTACAGGCCCTCTTCATAAGGTGGAAACAGGGCATCACCAAAAAGAAGCAAAACAGAGGCAGGAGCTATAGAGCAAGAAGACTAAGCCGAGAATAAGCTGATGCTCGCCAGAATACTGGAGCCCACAGAACATCCCTGCAGAGCAGAAAGCCTCCTTAAAGGCCCTGGCACCTGCCCGGGATGTGGGAAGGTCTGGTGATCTCCAGTAGCTCACAGAGGCTGAGAGCGGTCACCTGGCTCCTGGTGGCCCCTGGGGAGCTCTTCCAGCAGGAGAGAGAGCAGAGTCTTCAAAAGCCCATCACCAGCCAGCTGGCCTGAGAGACAGCAGTTCCTGAGTGGCTCTCTGCTTTCAGGAACTCAGATCAGAAGGCACGGAAGGAACTCACAGCAGGATCACACTGCTGTCATCTGGATACCAAGGACCAGGACATGGGCCAGGAAGCTGGTGTCTGGCAAGTGTCATTTTGTTTCAAAAAAGGCAAACAAAAAGAATGTCAAAAATTTGATTTTAATTTTTTGGCAGAAGACTTCCTCCCTTTCTCCTGTCCTTTCTTTTTTCCTCTTCCTTCTTTCCCTCCTTCCGTCCTGTCATCCTTCCTTTTTCCCCTTCTCATTCCCTTCCATCGCACTTTCTGTGCCCAGAAAATGACAGCAAGCTGCCATGCACCACTGTGCGAGTCCTCTTGCTCCTTGCATTGTCAGCTGCATTTCCATATCGTATATCTAGACTCCCAATTATAGGCCCAGTGCTGTTTTTCTTTATTATCTCCAGTGTCTGGCACAGTGCTAGTCATGAAATACACTTTCTGAATATGTTTGTGGAAGGAAGGAAGGAAGGAAGGAAGGAAGGAAGGAAGGAAGGAAGGAAGGAAGGAAGGAAGGAAGGGGCAACCCCCCTGGGGTTAATGCTGCCTGTGCTCCCTGAAGTTCATGAGGCTATGAATAAAGAATGAGGACCCCCTGTTCCCCACCCTCCCAGCCTTGTGGTGGTGGCTGGGTGTGCAGGGATGGAGGCTGTGTCTTTTGCAAAGTGTCCTCCACCCGAGGGCAAAAACTACATCATAAGTCAAAACCAGCAGGGGGGCCTCCCGAGCCATCGGTGCACGTAGCTCCATGCAGTGCTCTGTGAATGCGCCTCTGGATGTGTGCAGGTGCATGCGATGGAATCTATCTGATGCTATGAAGGGTGGTAACATTTGAAAAGGGGTGACGGGGAAGGAGAAGAAACACCTGTGCTCCTTTGTAGGTGAAGAAGCACCCTGCTTCCTTTGTAGGGGTAGTTTCAGAGGAGGCTGCTCAAACTGAAGGTTTAAAGAAGATCCAGGATCTCATTATACCTAAAATCTCCAAAATATAAAAAATCATCATAACAAGAACCAGGACAGTGTCCATTTGAATGACAAAATACAAGAGGCACCAACCCAGATGTTGGAATTATCTCACAAGGGTTTTAAAGCAGCCTTCATAAAAATGTTACAATAAGCAATTACAAACACTCTTGAAACAGGTGAAAAAGAGAAAATCTCAGCAAAGAAATCAGACACATAAGAACCAAATGGAAATTTTAGAACTTAAAAATACAATAACCAAAATAAAAACACTTAATGGATGGGCTCAACAGAATGAAGGGAACAGAAGAAAGAATCAATGAACTTGAAGACAGAACAATAGTAATTAGTCTAAACAACAGAAAGGGCTGAGTGGGGTGGCTCACCCCTGTAATCCCAGCATTTTGGGAGGCCGAGGTAGGTGGATCAACTGAGGTCAGGAGTTTGAGACCAGCATGGCTAGCATGGTGAAACCCTGCCTGTCTCTACTAAAACTATAAAAATTAGCTGGGCATAGTGGTGGGTGCCTGTAATCCCAGCTACTCGGGAGGCTGAGGCAGGAGAAACACTTGAACTTGGGAGGCAGAGGTTGCAGTGAGCTGAGATCATGCCATTGCACTCCAGCCTGGGCGACACAGGGAGACTCTGTCTCAGAAAAAATAAAATAAAATAAATTTTAAAAATGGCAGAAAATAGACCAGGCGCGGTGGCTCACGCCTGTAATCCCAGCACTTTGAGAGGCACAGGTGGGTGGATCACGAGGTCAAGAGATGGAGACCATCCTGGCCAACATGGTGAAACACCGTCTCTACTAAAAATACAAAAATTAGCTGGGCGTGGTGGCACCCACTGGTAGCCTCAGCTACTTGGGAGGCTGAGGCAGGAGAATCACTTGAACCCGGGAGGCAGAGGTTGCACTGATCTGAGCTCACGCCACTGCACTCCAGCCTGGAGATAGAATGAGACTCTGTCTCACAAAAAAAAGAAAAAAAAAAATGGCAGAAAATAGACCTGTGGCTAGGGATGGTTGGAGGTTGGAGAACATAGCCTCCAGGGACCTGTGGGACTGTAACAAAAAATCTAACATTCTCATCACTGGAATTTGAGAAGAAGCAGAGAGAGTGGGAGCTGAAGAAGTATTTAAAGAAATATGGTTGAAAGTGGTGGCTCATACTTTGGGAGACTGAGTTGGGCAGATCACAAGGTCAGGAGTTCGAGACCAGCCTGGCCAATATGGTGAAACCCCTTCTGTACTAAAAATACAAAAATCAGCAGGGCGTGGTGGTGGGTGCCTGTAGTCCCAGCTACTCGGTAGGCTGAGGCAGGAGAATCCCTTGAACCAGGGAGGCAGAGGTTGCAGTGAGCTGAGCTAGCACCCCTGCACTCCAGCCTGGGCGACAGAGTGAGACTCCGTCTCAAAAAAGAAAAGAAAAAAAAAGAAATATGGCTGAAAATTCCCCAAATTTAACAAAAGACATAGACCTTCAGATCTAAAAACCTGGGTGAACCACAGACAAAATAAATACAAATAAATCCAAGCCAAGACCCAACATAAACTTCTGAAAACTAAAGACAAAGGGAAAAATATCAAAAGTGGTTTGAGAGAAATGACACCCTACTTATAGGGCAAAAACAATTTGAAAGACAGTGGATTTCTCATCAGAAAACATGAGGCCAGAAGGAAGTGGCACATTTCTCAAGTGATGAAAGAATAGAACTACCAGGGTCAGGCGTGGTGGCTCACACCTGTGATCCCAACACTTTGGGAGGCTGAGGCGGGCAGATCATGAGGTCAGGAGTTCGAGACCAGCCTGACCAACATGGTGAAACCTTGTCTCTACTAAAAATACAAAAATTAGCTGGGCGTGGTGCTGCGTGCCTGTAATCCCAGCTACTCAGGAGGCTGAGGCAGGAAAATCACTTGAACCCGGGAGACAGTTTGCAGTGAGCCGAGATCGCGCCACTGCACTCCAGCCTGAGCGACAGAGCAAGACTCCATCTCAAAAAAAAAAAAAAAAAATAGAACTACCAATGTGTAACCTGTATCTGATGAAAATACTGTTCAGCAATGAAGGGGAAATAAAGACATTTTTGGACAAAAGAAAACGGAGAATTGGCCTGGTGCAGTGGCTCATGCCTGTAATCCTAGCACTCTAGGAGGCCAACGTGGGAGGATCGCGTGAGCCCAGGAGTTCGAGACCAGCCTGGGAAAGATGGTGAAACCCCGTCTCTACCAAAAATACAAAAATCAGCCGGGCGTGGCAGCATGCGTCTATAGTCCCAGCAACTCAGAAGGGTGAGGTGGGAGGTTTCATTGAGCCCAGGAGCTCAAAGCTGCAGTAGGTTGCGATCGCACCTCGGCACTCCAGCCTGGGCAACAGAATGAGACCTTGTCTAAAATAAATAATAAATAAATAAATAAATAAATAAATAAAAAGGTGTTTTCTTAGAGTTGGTTCCATTTTCCATGTGATTGGAAAACTGACTGCACAGCCATAGTTACTAATATTTGAAGGTTCATATCCAATAGAAACACAAAGTGTCCTTATCTCAGCATGCCACAAAAAAGCATCATTGCATACCAAGGACTTTGAATGGATCACATAGCCATCCCTGAAGCAATCACGGTAGCCACAGAAATGTGATGTGCTATTTGGCTGAGCTCCATTCTTGAGGCGGAGGAAAAGCCCCACCTGAAGCAAAGGGCTGAAAAAGGAGGATGGGTGGATTCCTGGAGGAAAATCAGAGATGTTAGCAGAGAATGTATGCTGGAAAACAAATGACAGATGTTTCACTATGATGAATAAATAAATGATGAATGCTAAAACAAAAGCAAAAACAAAAAACTTCCCCACAAAGACAACACCAGGCCCAGATTGTTTCACCGGTGAGGTCTATTAAACATTTAAAAAAGAAATAATACCAATCTTACATAAATTTCTCAGACAGTAGAGAAAAGAGGAAAGCGAGGCCAGCCACAGTGGCTCAAACCTGTAATCTCAGCACTTTGGGAGGCAGAGGCGGGCGGATCACCTGACGTCAGGAGTTCAAGACTAGCCTGGCCAACATGGTGAAACCCCGTCTCTACTAAAAATACAAAAATTAGCCAGGTATGGTAGTGTGGACCTGGGTCCCAACTACTCTGAGGCAGGAGAATCGCTTGAACCCGGGAGACGGAGGCTACTGTGAGCCAAGATCGCACCACTGCACTCCAGCCTGTGCAGCAGAGCAAGACTCCATCTCAAAAAAAAGAAGAGGAAAGCTTCCAACTCATTTTATGAGTACGGCATAAACCTAACACCAAAATAGATGATGGATAAATTTTGTGTATATACCACAATTTGCGTATCCATTCCTCAGTTGATAGATGATACTTCTTGCTTTTAGTTTTTTACTATTATAATGGAGCTGATAGAACATTTAAGTACAGATCTTTTTCCTTTGCTTTTTTTTTTTTTTTTTTTTTGAGATGGAGTCTCGCTCTGTTGCTCAGGCTGGAGTGCGGTGGCGCGATCTCAGCTGACTGCAACCTCTGCCTCCCGGGTTCAAGCGGTTCTCCTACCTCAGCCTCCCAAGTAGCTGGGATTACATGTGCTCGCCACCACGCCCAGCTAATTTTTGTATTTTTAGTAGAGATGGGGTTTCCCTGTGTTGGCCAGGCTGTTCTCGAACTCCTGACCTCATGATCTGCCCGCCTCAGCCTACCAAAGTGCTGGGATTACAAGTGTGTGCCACCTCGCCTGGCCAATTTTTGTATTTTTAGTAGATACGAGGTTTCACCATGTTGGCCAGGATGGTCTCAATCTCTTGACCTTGTGATCCACCTGCCTTGGCCTCCCAAAGGGCTGGCATTACAGGCGTGAGCCACTGCGCCAGGCTGATAATGTCAATCTTTTACATTTGAGACCTTCTAATGGATGTGTATATCATGGTGGTTTTAATTGGCATTTTCCTTTTGACTAATGGTGTTGAATTTGTTTTCATGTGTTTTCTTTGCAATCCATATTTTTTTGAAGACTGTTAAAATATTTTGCCCATTTAAATGTTTTTGGTTTTTCTTTTATTATTGAATTTTGAGAATGACTTATATATTCCAGATATGAGTCCTTTATCAGATATTTTTCTCCCAGAGTGTAGCTTGTTTTTCCATTCTTTTAACAGTGTCTTTTAAAAAGCAGATGTTAATTTTGATTGACGTCTAATTTCTCAAATGTTGGTTTAATTAATCACTTTGGGTCATATTTAATAAATCTTTCCTTAACCAAAGGTCACAAAGATTTTTCCCTTATGTTTTCTACTAGAAGTTTTATAGTTTTAGGTTTTCTATTTAGTTCACAATCCACCTTGAGTTAATTTTTATATAAAGCATGAAGTACAGATCAAAGTTCACTTTTTGGCCAGGCGCAGTGGCTCATGCCTATAACCCCAGCACTTTGGGAGGCCGAGGTGGGTGGATCACCTGAGGTCAGGAGTTCGAGATCAACCTGACCAACATGGTGAAACCCCATCTCTACTAAAAATACAAAAAAAAAATTAGCTAAGTGTGGTGGCATGTGCCTGTAATCCCTGCTACTCGGGAGGCTGAGGCAGGAGAATCACTTGAACCCGGGAGGCGGAAGGTGCAGTGAGCTAAGATGGTGCCACTGCACTGCAGCCTGAGCAACAAGAGCAAAACTCTGTCTCAAAACAAACAAACAAATAAACAAAAAACAAAGTTCATATTTTGTTTAAGAATACCCATTTGTGGCCGGGCGCAGTGGCTCACGCCTGTAATCCCAGCACTTTGGGAGGCCGAGGCGGGTGGATCACGAGGTCAGGAAATCGAGACCATCCTGACTAACGTGGTGAAACCCCGTCTCTACTAAAAATACAAAAAATTAGCCGGGTGAGGTGGCGGACGCCTGTAGTCCCAGCTACTCGGGAGGCTAAGGCAGGAGAATGGCGTGAACCTGGGAGGCGGAGCTTGCAGTGAGCCGAGATCACGCCACTGCACTCCAGCCCAGGCAACAGAGGGAGACTCCGTCTCAAAAAAAAAAAAAGAATACCCATTTGTGCCGGGCGTGGTGGCTCACGCCTGTAATCCCAGCACTTTGGGAGGCCCAGGCGGGCAGATCACAAGGTCAGGAGATGGAGGCCATCCTGGCTAACACGGTGAAACCCCGTCTCTACTAAAAATACAAAAAAAAAATTAGCCGGGCATGGTGGCGGGTGCCTGTATTCCCAGCTACTCGGGAGGCTGAGGCAGGAGAATGGCGTGAACCCGGGAGGCAGAGCTTGTAGTGAGCCGGGATCGCGCCACTGCACTCCAGCCTGGGTGACAGAGCGAGACTCCATCTCAAAAAAAAAAAAAAAAAAAAAAAAAAAAAAGAATACCCATTTGTGGCTGGGCGCGGTGGCTCACGCCTTTAATCTCAGCACTTTGGGAGACCAAGGTGGGTGGATCACCTGAGGTCAGGAGTTCAAGCACCCTGACCAATATGGTGAAACCCTGTCTTTACTAAAATTACAAAATTTAGCCGGGTGTGGTGGGGGGGTGCCTGTAGTCCCAGCTATTAGGGAGGCAGAGGCAGGAGAATCGCTTGAACCCGGGAGGTGGAGGTTGCAGTGAGCCGAGATCACGCCACTACACTCCAGCCTGGGTGACAGAGTGAGATCCCATCACACACAAAAAAAAAGTTCAGAAGAAGGTTGGAAGCAGTGGCTCACATCTGTAATCCCAGCACTTTGGGAGACCAGGATGGGAGGATCACTCAGGAGTTCAAGACCAGCCTGGGCAACATAGCAAGACCCCATCTCTACAAAAAAAAAAAAAAATTTTTTTTAATTAGCTAGGCATGGTGGCACATGCCTGCGGTCCCAGCTACTTGGAAGGTTGAGGTGGGAGGATCGCTTGAACTCGGGAAGCGGAGGTTGCAGTGAGCCGAGATCATGCGCCTGCACTGCAGCCTGGGCAACAGAGGGAGACTCCGTCTCAAAAAAAAAAAAAGACTACCCATTTGTTTCAGCACAATTTTTTTTTTTTTTTTGCAAAAGACCATTCTTTCCCCACTGAATTACCTGTGTATCTCTGTTGAAAATTAATAGCCTATATATGAATTGACCTACTTCTGAACTCTGTTTTATTCAGTTGCTTTTTTTTTTTTTTTTTTTTTTTTTTTGACAAAGTCTCTCTCTGTCGCCCAGGCTGGAGTGCAGCGGTGCAGTCAGAACTCATTGCAACCTCCGCCTCCTGGGCTGAAGCAATCCTCCCACCTCAGCCTCCCAAGTAGCTGGGACCACAGATGCTGCCGCCATGGCCGGCTCTTTTTTTTTTTTTTTTTTTTCAGTAGAGATTGTAGAGGTGGGGTTTCACAGTGTTGCCCAGGATGGTCTTGAACTCCTGAGCTCAAGTGATTTGCCCACCTCAGCCTCCAAAAGTGCTGGGATTACAGGTGTGAGCCACCGCGCCCAGCTATTTGTCCGTCTTTATGCCAACATCACACTCTCTTGATTACTGTAGCTTTACATTTTGTCTTGAAATTGAGTAGTGCAAGTTTTCCAACTTTTTTTTTCAAAGTTGTTTTTGTAATTCAAGGTCCTTTGAATTTCCACATGAACTTTAGAACCAACTAGTCAATTTCTACACCCGCTAACCCCCACAAAAATACCTACTGGATTTTAGCTGGGATTGCATTGAAAGTGTAGATCAGGCCGGGAGCAGTGGCTCACACCTGTAATTCCAGCACTTCGGGAGGCAGAGGCAAGAGGATCACTTGAGGTCAGGAGTTTGAAACCAGCCTGGGCAACATGGAGAAACCCCATCTCTACCAAAAATACAAAAATCAGCCGCTCATAGTAGAACGCACCTGTATTTCCAGCTACTCAGGAAGCTGAGGTGGGAGGGTCACTTAAGCCCTGGAGATGCTGCCATGAGAGCGCCACTGCACTCCAGCCTGGGCGACAGAGTGAGACTGTCTCAAACCAACAACCAAACCAACCCAAAACAGTCATTTTAGCCTTGTTCTTGATTTTAGGGAGGAAAGAATTAGGTTTTTTACTATTAAATATGATGTTAGCAGTTGGTTTTTCATAGGTGTACTTTGTCAGGTCAAGGAAGTTTCCTTTTAGCCCTACTTTGCTGAGAGTTTTTATTAGGATTGGATGTCGGATTTTGTCAGATGCTTTTATCTACATCTAATGAGATAATCATGAGTGTGTGTGTGTGTGTGTGTGTGTGTGTGTGTGGTAATAAGGTAAATTAGAGTGATTTGCAAATGCTAAACCAACCTTGCATTCAAGGGATAAACTCCATTTGATCATGATGTTGTCATGTTTCTATATATTGTAGGGATTCAAATAAAATTTTAAAGTTTTGCATCTATGTTCATAAAGGATATTGTTCTGTAGATTTTTCTTGTAAAGTCTTTTTAAAGCTTTCATATCAGGATAATACTGGCTTCTTACACTGAGTTGGGCAGTATTCTCTCCTCTTCAATTTTCTGTTAAGAGTTTATATAGAATTGGTGTTATTCCAGAAATGTTTGGTAAAATTCACTAATGAAACTGTCTGGGCCTGGAGTCTTCCTTGTGGGAAGGTTTTTAACTACAAATCCAATTATTGAACATATAAGTCCATTCAGTTTATCTGTTTCTTCAGTGGGCTTTGGTAGTTTGTGTTTTTCAAGGAATTTGTCTATTTTATCTAAGTTGTCCAATTTATTGGAGTAAAGTCGCTAATATTTTGTTATATTTTTAAAAATCTGTAAACATTTTAATGATGCCATTTTACTAATTTCTGATCATGGTAATTCATGTCTTTTCTCTTCCTGATTATTCTGGCCAGAGATTTATCAATTTTATTGATGTTCGAATATATCCTTTTTTTTCCCTATTGTTTTACTTTTCTAGTATCATTGGTTTCTGCGCTGATCTTTATTGCTTCTCCCAACCCCACCTTACTTTAAGGCAGACAGCTTTTTTAAAAACTTTCAGGCCAGGCACGGTGGCTCACGTCTGTAATCCCAGCACTTTGGGAGGCTGAGGCAGGTGGATCACCTGAGGTCAGGAGCTCGAGACCAGCCTGACCAACATGGAGAAACCCCGTCTCTACTAAAAACACACAAAAAAATACAAAATTAGCCGGGCATGGTAGTGCATGCCTGTAATCCCAGCTACTTGGGAGGCTGAGGAAGGAGAATCACTTGAACCCGAGAGCAAAGGTTGCAGTGAGCCAAGATCACACCATTGCACTCCAGCTTGGGCAACAAGAGTGAAATTCCGTCTCAAAAAAATAAATAAATAAATAAATAAATAAATAAATAAATAAATAAAAATTAAAAAATAAAAAACTTTCAGTACTTTAAAAGTCATGTTCCTGGCCAGGCACAGTGGCTCACACCTGTAATCCCAGCACTTTGGGAGGCCGAGGTGGGTGGATCACCTGAGGTCGAGAGTTCGAGACCAGCCTGACCAACATGAAGAAACCCCATCTCTACTAAAAATACAAAATTAGCCAGTCGTGGTGGCACGTGCCTATAATCCCAGCTACTCTGGAGGCTGAGGCAGGAGAATCACTTGAACCCAGGAGGTGGAGGTTGCAGTGAGCCGAGATCGTGCCATTGCACTCCAGCCTGGCTAACAAGAGTGAAACTCTGTCTCAAAATAAATAAATAAATAAATAAATAAATAAAAGTCATGTTCCCCTGTTGGCTTGCATGGTTTATGTCAAGAAGTTTGTTGTCACTCTTTCTTTGGATTTCCTGAACACTTATCTTTTTTTCCACCTCCTTTACAATATTCTCTTTTTTTTTTTTTTTTTGAGTCTTGCTCTGTCACCCAGGCTGGAGTGCAGTGGCTTGATCTCGGTTCACTGTAACCTCCGCCTCCCGGGTTCAAGCGATTCTCCTGCCTCAGCCTCCCAAGTAGCTGGGATTACAGGCGTGCATCACTGCACCCGGCTAATTTTTTTATTTTTAGTAGAGACGGGGTTTCGCCATGTTGGTCAGACTAGTCTTGAGCTCCTGACCTTTGGTGATCTGCCCACCTCAGCCTTCCAAAGTGCTAGGTTACAGGCATGAGTGACCACACTGGCCCAATTCATTGTTTTCAACAGGAACCCAGGCAGGGCATTTGAAAGGAGGGTATATCCTTGATATCAACAAAGGATTGAAGATGAGGACAGACAGAGGCTTAGGTGTTGTGAAGGTGAAGGGGATCCACAGTGATGAGATTCCATGTTATCAGGGTATATGAGGTTAGGTCACAGATGGGGATGATGATGGAGGAGGGCCTGAAAGCAGAAGGCTACTGCAGGGAGGAAAAGGTATGAGTTATCTCAATGAATAGGATAAATTACAACAATTCAATCAATATGGCATGGTGTTATGAGCTGAACTGTGTCCCTCAAAATTCTACAGTATGTTGAAGTCCTAACCTCCATCACCTCAGAATGTAACTGTCTTTGGAAATAGGTCTTTAAAGGTGGTAATTAAGTTAAAATTAGACAGTTGTGGTGGCCCTTAATCGAATATGGCTGCTAGCCTTTTAAGAGGAAATTTGGAAATACAGATTTGACACCAGGCTGGTGCATGAACAGAGACAACCATGGGAAGAGAGTGAGATGATCATCTGAAAGCAGAGAGGTGTGTAACAGATCCTTACCAAAGGATCAAGAAAACCAATCCACCCTTCAGAACTGTGGAAAAATAAATTTCTGTTGTTTAAGCCACCCAGACTGTGGTATTGTTAATGACAGCCCTAGCAACATAATACACATGATAAAATTGCTGGGGTGCTAGGCACTGTGGTTCACACAGGTACTTTCAGCACTTTGGGAGGCCAAGACAGGAGGATCAGGAGTTTGAGACCAGCCTGGGCAACATAACTAGATCCTGTCTCCACAAAAAAATTAAAATTAAAAAAATTAGCCAGGCGTGGTGGTGGGCCTGTAGTGTCAGCTACTTGGGAGGCTGAGGCAGGAGGATTGCTTGAGCCAAGGAGTTCAAGATTATAGCAAGCTATTATTGTGTTTGTAAATTGCCACTGCACTTCAGCCTGGGCAATACAGTGAGACTTGGTCTCAAAAAATTTTTTTCTTCAATAAAAAATTTAAAAATAAAGATTGCCCCCTCTCCCTCTCCCCTCTCCCCTCTCCCTCTCCCTCTCCCCACGGTCTCCCTCTCCCTCTCTTTCCACGGTCTCCCTCTCATGCTGAGCCGAGGCCGGACTGTACTGCTGCCATCTCGGCTCACTGCAACCTCCCTGCCTGATTCTCCTGACTCAGCCTGCGGAGTGCCTGCGATTGCGGGCTCGCGCCGCCACGCCTGACTGGTTTTGGTGGAGACGGGGTTTCGCTGTGTTGGCCAGGCCGGTCTCCAGCCCCTAACCGCAAGTGATCCGCCAGCCTCGGCCTCCCGAGGTGCCGGGATTGCAGACGGAGTCTCGTTTACTCAGTGCTCAATGGTGCCCAGGCTGGAGTGCAGTGGCGTGATCTCGGCTCGCTACAACCTCCACCTCCCAGCCACCTGCCTTGGCCTCCCAAAGTGCCGAGATTGCAGCCTCTGCCCAGCTGCCACCCCATCTGGGAAGTGAGGAGCGTCTCTGCCTGGCCGCCCATCGTCTGGGATGTGAGGAGCCCCTCTGCCTGGCTGCCCAGTCTGGAAAGTGAGGAGCGTCTCCGCCCGGCCGCCATCCCACCTAGGAAGTGAGGAGCACCTCTTCCCGGCCGCCATCACATCTAGGAGGTGAGGAGCGTCTCTGCCCGGCCGCCCATCGTCTGAGATGTGGGGAGCGCCTCTGCCTCGCCGCCCCGTCTGGGATGTGAGGAGCACCTCTGCCCGGCTGCGACCCCGTCTGGGAGGTGAGGAGCATCTCTGCCCGGCCGCCCCGTCTGAGAAGTGAGGAGCCTCTCCGCCCAGCAGCCACCCAGTCTGGGAAGTGAGGAGCGTCTCCGCCCGGCAGCCACCCCGTCCGGGAGGGAGGTTGGGGGGGTCAGCCCCCCGCCAGGCCAGCCGCCCCATCCGGGAGGGAGGTGAGGGGGTCAGCCCCCCGCCCGGCCAGCCGCCCCGTCCGGGAAGGAGGTGGCGGTGTCAGCCCCCCGCCCGGCCAGCCGCCCCGTCCGGGAGGGAGGTGGGGGGGTCAGCCCCCCGCCCGGCCAGCCGCCCCGTCCGGGAGGGAGGTGGGGGGGTCAGCCCCCCGCCCGGCCAGCCGCCCCGTCCGGGAGGGAGGTGGGGGGGTCAGCCCCCCGCCTGGCCAGCCGCCCCGCCCGGGAGGTGAGGGGCGCCTCTGCCCGGCCGCCCCTACTGGGAGGTGAGGAGCCCCTCTGCCCGGCCACCACCCCGTCTGGGAGGTGTGCCCAACAGCTCATTGAGAGCGGGCCAGGATGACAATGGCGGTTTTGTGGAATAGAAAGGCGGGAAAGGTGGGGAAAAGATTGAGAAATCGGATGGTTGCCGTGTCTGTGTAGAAAGAAGTAGACATGGGAGACTTTTCATTTTGTTCTGTACTAAGAAAACTTCTTCTGCCGTGGGATCCTGTTGATCTGTGACCTTACCCCCAACCCTGTGCTCTCTGAAACATGTGCTGTGTCCACTCAGGGTTAAATGGATTAAGGGCGGTGCAAGATGTGCTTTGTTAAACAGATGCTTGAAGGCAGCATGCTCGTTAAGAGTCATCACCACTCCCTAATCTCAAGTACCCAGGGACACAAACACTGCGGAAGGCCGCAGGGTCCTCTGCCTAGGAAAACCAGAGACTTTTGTTCACTTGTTTATCTGCTGACCTTCCCTCCACTATTGTCCTATGACCCTGCCAAATCCCCCTCTGTGAGAAACACCCAAGAATTATCAATAAAAAATAAATAAATAAAAAATAAAAATAAAAATAAAAAAATAAAGATTGCCAGGGAGTGTTGAGTTCTGAGTGATTGTGATCATGAATTTTAACAGAAAGTAATAACCCTACTTATGTGATTTTTTTCCAGCAGCAAGCTTGGTTTCAAACGAAGAAAAGCAAATGGTAGAGTTCATCCCAGGGAACTTTCCAATGAATATATTGGAGAAACAGTCACTGAAGCTATTTGCATTATCCCATATAAATCATAAAACACCCTCCAAGGCAGAAAATTAGAAGTCATCTGATTGGTTGCAACTTATGTTAATTCTACCTTTTCACCCCCTTATGCTTCTACCATCCAAATTCAATACTTAGCTGGATTACCGCACTAGCCGTATGTTCTATTCCCAATCTCTACCTCCACCAAACCACTTCCATCATGCATTTTTTTTTTTTTTGAAACGGAGTTTCGCTCTTGTTGCCCAGGCTGGAGTACAATGGTGTGATCTCGGCTCACTGCAACCTCTGCCTCCCGGGTTCAAGCAATTCTCCTGCCTCAGCTACCTGAGTAGCTGGGATTACAGGCATGCGCGCCACCAAGCCTGGCTAATTTTTTTGTATTTTTAGTAGAGATGGGGTTTCTCCATGTTGGTCAGGCTGGTCTCAAATTCTCGACCTCAGGTGATCTGCCTGCCTCGGCCTCCCAAAGTGCTAGGATTGCAGACATGAGCCACTGCACCTGGCCCTCTTTTTTATTATTATTATTATACTTAAAGTTCTGGGATACATGTGCAGAACCTGCAGGTTTGTTACATAGGTATACACGTGCCATGATGGTTTGCTGCACCCATCAACCTGTTATCTACATTAGGTATTTCTCCCAATGCTATCCCTCCCCTAGGCCCCTACCCCCCAACAGGCCCCAGTGTGTTCTCCTCCCTGTGTCCATGTGTTCTCACTGTTCAACTCCCACTTATAGATGAGAACATGCAGTGTTTGGTTTTCTGCTCCTGTGTTAGTTTGCTGAGAATGATAGTTTCCAGCTTCATCCATGTCCCTGCAAAGGACATGAACTCATCATTTACATGGTTGCATAGTATTCCATGGTGTATATATGCCACATCTCCTTTATCCAGTCTATCATTGATGGGCATCTGGGTGGGTTCCAAGTCTTTGCTATTGTGAATAGTGCTGCAATAAACATACGTGTGTATGTGTCTTTATAGTAAAATCATTTATAATTCTTTCAGTATACACCCAGTAATGGGATTGCTGGGTCAAATGGTAGTTCTGGTTCTAGATCCTTGAGGAATCGCCACACTGTCTTCAACAATGGTTGAACTAATTTACACTCCCACCAACAGTGTGAAAGAGTTCCTATTTCTCCACATCCTCTCCAGCATCTGTTGTTTCCTGACTTTTTAATGATCACCATTCTAACTGGCTTGAGATGGAATCTCATTGTGGTTTTGATTTGCATTTCTCTAATGACCAGTGATGATGAGCTTTTTTTCTTATATTTGTTGGCCGCATAAATGTCTTCTTTTGAGAAGTGTCTGTTCATATCCTTCACCCACTTTTTGATGGGGTTGTTTATTTTTTCTTGTAAATTTGTTTAAGTTCCTCCTAGATTCTGGATATTAGCCCTTTGTCAGATGGATAGATTGCAAAAATTGTCTCCCATTCTGTAGGCTGCCTGTCCACTCTGATGATAGTTTCTTTCGCTGTGCAGAAGCTCTTTAGTTTAATTGGATCCCATTTGTCAATTTTGGCTTTTGTTGCCATTGCTTTTGGTGTTTTAGTCATAAAGTCTTTGCCCATGCCTGTGTCCTGAATAGTATTGCCTAGGTTTTCTTCTAGGGTTTTTATGGTTTTAAGTCTTACATTTAAGTCGTTAATCCATCTTTTTTTTTTTTTTGGAGACGGAGTCTCACTCTGTCGCCCAGGCTGGAGTTGGAGTGTAGTGTAGTGGCTCGATCTTGGCTCGCTGCAAGCTCCGCCTTCCCAGTTCATGCCATTTTCCCGCCTCAGCCTCCTGAGTAGCTGGCACTACAGGCGCCTGCCACCACGCCCGGCTAATTTTGTTTTTGTATTTTTAGTAGAGACGGGGTTTCACTGTGTTAGCCAGGATGATCTCAATCTCCTGACCTCGTGATCCGCCCACCTCGGCCTCCCAAAGTGCTGGGATTACAGGCGTGAGCCACCGTGCCCGGCCTTTACTCCATCTTGAGTTAATTTTTGTATAAGGTGTAAGGAAGGGGTCCAGTTTTCTGCACATGGCTAGCCAGTTTTCCCAACGCCATTTATTAAATAGGGAATCCTTTCCCCATTGTTTGCTTTTGTCAGGTTTGTTTAAGATCAGATGGTTGTAGATGTGTGACGTTATTTCTGAGGCCTCTGTTCTGTTCCATTGGTCTATACATCTGTTTTGGTACCATTACCAATGCATTTCTTTTTTTTCTTTCTTTCCTTTTTAAAGAGATGGGGTCTTGTTCTGTTGCCCAGGCTGTTGTGCGATGGTACAGTCACAGTTCACTGCAGCTTCAAACTCCTGGGCTCAAGCAATCCTCCTGCCTAGGCCTCCCAAGTAGGCAGGATCACAGGAGCACCACTACGCTTGGCTTCATCGTGTTTTTCATTATTCCACTAATTAAAAATTTTCAATGGCTCCCCATTACTGATACAGTTTTATAAAAGTTTTTATAAAGTTTTATAAAAGTTTATAAAACTTCTTATAGTGTCATGCAAGATCTTTTGTGTTCTAGTCCCTGCCTACTTCTTCAGCCTTTTCTCTCTTTTCTTCCCCATTCTCAAATATCCTATCCTCTAACAATACTAAAATACTATCAACTTCTTAAACAATCACAAGATCGTTCCCTCTGCCTGTAATTCCTGCCACCCACTTGCTGGCAAGGCAAACTATGAATTTGCTTAAGGATCACCTCTTATGAAGCTTTTCCTGACCGCTCAGGCAAGGTTGAGAAATGGCACTTTCCCTCACTCAACAATTGGATAAAACAGAGCCCCAGGACATCTATTACAGATATAAGACAGGGACTGTGCATAACGCCCAGGTTGGCAATGATGTATTTTGTTACATGTGTGATTATGAACATCTCTGGGTGGCCAATTAGCCTCTGTTGACAAAAAAGATCAAGAACTATGATGACTATGATGGTAACAGTTATAGGTTTTCAAAGAGAAAAGTTACATGTTTCAAGGCCGGGCATGGTGGCTCATGCCTATAATCCCAGCACTTTGGGAGGCCGAGGCAGGCGGATCACGAGGTCAGGAGATCGAGACCATCCTGGCTAACACGGCGAAACCCTGTCTCTACTAAAAATACAAAAAATTAGCCGGGCGTGGTGGCGGGTGCCTGTAGTTCCAGCTACTTGGGAAGCTGAGGCAGGAGAATGGTGTGAATCCGAGAGGCGGAGGTTGCAGTGAGCCCAGACCACACCACTGCACTCCAGCCTGGGTGACAGAGCAAGACTCTGTCTCAAAAAAAAAAAGAAAAAAAAGAAAAAAAAGAAAAGTTACATGTTTCTACAACATTGCCTTGGCCAATGGCTGTATTTTATTTGTAGCACCTAGTGTGCTGTGTTAAAATGACTATGGTCTTTAGTAAGCCTAGTCCTACATTATACATTTACTGTTTATGGGAATGTTGCTGACATTTCTGAGCTTCAGTTTCACATCTGTAGTGTGGGGATATCTATGTTACAAGATTGTTTTAAAACTTAAAGATAATTGTACATTACAATGCCTATCTTTTCATTTGTTGCCTTCAATTTCTTCATACTCACAGTTTTATTTTGGCATCCTTTTGCTTCTCAAATGTCCTCTGAGATTCAAGTTAACCATTACCGTTTTACAAATTCCAAATTCAAAGGTTTCTGACTCATACATAGATTAGAGCAATAGTAATAGCAATGCTTAAGCAGGTCCCCCTGGCAATCTTTCTCCACCTTTCTCCTCAACAGTATCAGCAGCCACTATTTCCAGGTATGAAAAGTTCAGAGATAATATTATAATCATTTATTAATTAATTTATTTTTTGAAACAGTGTCTCGCTCTGTCACCCAGGCTGGAGTGCAATGGCACAATCTTGTCTCACTGCAACCTTCACCTCCTGGGTTCAAACAATTCTCCTGCCTCAGCCTCCTGAGTAGCTGGGACTACAGGTGTGCGCCACTACACCTGGCTAACTTTTCTACTTTTAGTAGAGATGGGGTTTCACCATGTTGGTCAGGTTGGACTCGAACTCCTGGCCTCAAGTTATCCATCTGCCTCGGTCTCTCAAAATGCTGGGTTTACAGGCGCGAGCCACCTTGCCTGTTCAGAGATATTAAATTGCCCATATGCACCACAGACATTTCTGTGAGCAATGAAAAGAATTCAACAAGTATTTATATACTAACAAGAATATGACACATTAATAAGATAGTTAACTTGGTTAAGCAACTGTGAAACACTTATTACACTTCAGGCACTTTGTTAAAAGATAACAAATAATTTTTTCTTTTTGAGTCTTGCTCTGTCACCCAGGCTGCAGCGCAACGGCTCAATCTCTGCTCACTGCAACCTCCGTCTCCCAGGTTCAAGCAATTCTCCTGCCTCAGCCTCCAGAGTAGCTAGTACTAGAGGTGCACGCCACCACGCCCAGCTAATTTTTGTATTTTTAGTAGAGCCAGGGTTTCGCCATGTTGGCCAGGCTGGTCTCGAACGCCTGACCTCAGGTGATCCACCTGGTTCGGCTTCCCTAAGTGCTGGGATAACAGGTGTGAGCCATTGTGCCCAGCATGAATAATCATTTTTAAAAACCTAATGTGTCGGCTGGGCACATGATGGCGCCACTGCACTCCAGCCTGGGTGACACAGCGAGACTTGATCTCAAAAAAAAAAAAAAAAAACAATGTGTCTTCACCATAGCCTATACAAATTGCAGATATTAAAATGTGAATGGGAGCTGGGCATGGTGGCTCATGCCTGTAATCCCAGCACTTTGGGAGGCCAAGGCAGGCGGATGGCTTGAGCCCAGGAATTGGGGACCAGCCTGGGCAACATGGCGAAAACTTGTCTCTACAAAAAAATACAAAAATCAATTGAGCATGGAGGTTGAGGTTGCAGTGAGGCAAGATGGCACCACTGCAATCCAGCCTGAGCAACAGAGCAAGACCCTGTCTCAAAAAAAAAAAAAAAAAAAGTGAATCATCTAACAAAACACAGTAATTTTTGTTAATGAGGAAAAACATTTAATGCTGGCAAATAAGACTCCCACTCTCATACATTAGTCTTGAAATTTTGCACTACCTTTCTGGAAAGCCATTTGTTATCAGAATATTTAAATGTTACAGTTACAGCTTTCGGCTCTAAATTCTATTTATCTATCTCAATACATTTTTGATTCATTTCATTTTAGAGATAGGGTCTCACTATGTTGCCCAGGCTGGTCTCACACTCTTGGCATCAAGCAATCCTCCTACCTCAGCCTCCCGAAGTGCTGGGGTTTCAGGCTGAGCCACCATACACAGCAAAAAAAAAAATTGAGACATTGTTCTGTTCCCCAGCCAGGAATGTAGTGGCACAATCATAGCTCACTGCAGCCTCAAGCTCCTGGGCTCAATATCTCAATATATTTTCAAAAAGCGTATGTATAAGGAGACTAAAAGAAAAAAAAATGAAGATTATCTCGTTAATGGGAAATAGTGAATAATGGGATTGAATTTTTTTTTCTATATATTTAACAGTCAACAAGATTTCTTTTTTGGCGGGGGTTAATCCATCGCTGCAAGCATTTATCCTTTCTTTGTGTTACAAACAATCCAATTGTAGTATTTTAGCTATTTTTTTCTTGAGACAGGGTCTTACTCTGTGGCCCAGGCTGGAGTGTCGTGGCACAACCACAGCTCACTGCAGCCTCAACCTCCCCAGCTCAAGCCATCCTTCTGCCTCAGTCTCCCAAGCAGCTAGGACTACAGGTGCACACCATGGGCCTGGCCAATTTTTTGATTTTTTGTAGAGTTCTCACTATGTTGCCCAAGCTGGTCTCCAATTCTTAGGCTTCCCAAAGTGTTGGGATTGCAAACGTTAGCCAGTGTGCCAGGCCATCTTTCAGCTATTTATTTTTATTTTTTTGAGATGGAGTCTTGCTCTGTCACCAGGCTGGAGTGCAGTGGCACAATCTCAGCTCACTGCAATCTCCAACTCCCTGGTTCAAGTGATTCTCCTCCTGCCTCAGCCTCCCGAGTAGCTGGAATTAAAGGCATGTGCCACCATGCCCAGCTAGTTTTTCTATTTTTTAGTAGAGATGGGGTTTCACCATATTGGCCAGGATGGTCCCGATCTCCCGACCTCGTGATCCGCCTGCCTAGACCTCCCAAAGTGCTGGGATTACAGGCGTGAGCCACCACACCCGGCCTCAGCTATTTTTAAATGTTCAATAAATTATTGTTGACCGTACTCACCCAAGATTTCTGTATTATACAGCAATTCAATCTCAAGTCCATCTCATCACTGGCTGTAACTGTGGACAGTTCCTTAAATGTTTCCTCAAATATAAAATAGTTCCAACCGTATAGAGTGCTGTATACTGTGTCACCAAATGCATATTGTATAGGGTACTGTATTACACTACTATATACAGTATGTATTTAGAAACACAAAGTTTTTGACTATTTTTATTATATTCTGAAAGCGAACATCTTCAACTGGTAAATTACATGGTATATTAAATTATTTTCAAAAAAGATATTTTTATTTATATTATTATATGTATTTTTTGAGATGGTGTCTCACTCCCGTCATGCAGGCTGGAGAGCAGTGGCACGATCTCAGCTCACTGCAACCTCCACCACCTGGGTTCAAGCAATTCTCCTTCCTCAGCCTTCCCAGTAGCTAGGATTACAGGCATGCATGACCAAGCCTGGCTAAATTTTTTTTGCTGATTTTTATATTTTTAGTAGAGATGGGGTTTCACCATATTGGCCAGGCTGGTCTCGAACTCCTGACCTTGTGATCCGCCCACCTTGGCCTCCCAAAGTGCTGGGATTACAGGCGTAAGCCACCACGCCCGGCTAATTTTTGTATTTTTAGTAGAGATGGGGTTTCGCCATGTTGGCCAGGCTGGTCTGGAACTCCTGATCTCAGGTGATCCTTCTGCCTAAGCCTCCCAAAGTGATGGGATTACAGAAGTGAGCCACCGTGTGGGCCTCAGCCATACAACTTTGACAAAGTTCTTTGTGTGTCTTCCCAGTCAATAGTGGTTTCTCCTTTATTCCTGTTCCCACAGACGCAATTCTGATTTTTTTCCCCACCTAAATTTTCTTTTTCTGTCGCCCAGGCTAGAGTGCAGTGACACAATCTCGACTTACTGCAGCCTCCACCTCCTGGGTGCAAGCGATTCTCCTGCCTCAGCCTCCTGAGTAGCTGGGATTACAGGCCTCACCACTGCACCCGGCTAATTTTATGTATTTTCAGTGGAGACAGGGTTTCACCATGTTGGTTGGGCTGGTCTTGAACTCCTGGCCTCAAGTGATCTGCCCGCCTCAGCCTCCCAAAGTGCTGGGATTACAGGCGTGAGCCATCCCGCCTGGCCATATATTATTGTTATTTTAGATAGGGTCTCGCTATGTTGCCCAAGCTGGACTCAAGCAATATTCCTGAATAGCTGGGACTACATGCAAGCACCACAGCACCCTGCCAAAATAGCTAAAAAATACACCTTCCTGTAACAGCTCTGATAAATATCTTTTACTTCGTTTATTTTTCTTTTTTGAGATGCAGTCTCCCAGGCTGGAGTGCAGCGGCATGCTCTCGGCTCACTGCAACCTCCGCTTCATTGCAACCTCTGCCTCTGAGGTTCAGGCGATCCTCCCACCTCAGCGTCCCAAGTAGCTGGGATTGCAAGCCTGCACCAACATACCCAGCTAATTTTTTTTGTATTAGTAGAGACGGGTTTTATCACCTTGGCCAAGCTGGTCTTGAACTCCTGACCTCAAGTGATCCGCCCGCCTTGGACTCCTAAAGTGTTGGGATTACAGGCGTGAGCCACCGCACCCGGCCTCTTTTACTTCGCTTAAATGTCCAATTTTAGTAGTAAAATCCCGGAAAATGTTTTTAGGAGTATGTTTAACTGAAAAGCTCATATTTTCTTTCATTTTTGGGCAATTCTTAAGGTAAGCAAACTAATGTTGCATGATAAAGCCCCCATCAAGTATCTCATACTTAAGCAAAGACCTCAAATCATTGTGGCTTTATTGCAGCTTTCCTTCAAAATATCATCTGTGACTGAGGAAATCCCTATCTTCCTATCAGACTAATGAAACCACAGGACAGCAATTAGACTTTTAAGTATTGGGGGTTTAGAGCTCTAGATATTCGATATGCAGACTACTCATGTTTGTTTGTTTTAATAAAGACTGGTCCAAAGGCTCATTTTCACACAAGCTACAGTTTTTCAGTTCCAGGACCAGGTAAAGATGGTCAGCTCCGTGATCCATAAAATCCAAGGGTGACGACTCAGGATTAGGACCATTTCTTGGTGACATTGAGATGGTCGAGCTGGTCCGCAATGAATCTATGCGGGGGGAACTTGGAAGTGGCGGCCGCCTTTATGGCCTCGAAGGCCTCCCTCCTGCGCACCGCGGCGTGGCCGCGCTCCTGCTCCCGGGTCATGTAGGGCATGCTCAGCCAGTAATGGTTCTCCGCCTCGATCTCCAGGCGGCGGATCATGTTCTGCTTGGCGCGCAACGACACGAACCGCGGCCGCCGGTGCTTCCCGATCCACTGACGGCCGGGAATGCGGCCGCGCCAGAGGAGCGCAGTCAGGAACATGGTGCCTGCGGAAGAGAGGGACGGGCTTTGCGGAGGCGAACTGGCGCGGCCGGACCTGGAGAGAGCAGCGGGCGCGCGCTCCAGCTCACGCCTACGGGAGTTCCCGCACCGCCTCCCCTCCAGAGAAGCGGGGAGCCCAGGTAAGGCCAGCAGGCGAAGAAGGAGCTCCCTAGAGAACCGAATTCGCACAGCTACTCACCTGCCGCGCTGCTCAAGACTCTGCGTCTCCGCGGCCGCCAGCAGACGCCGTGGCGTAAGCGCACCCGTCTCGCGGGGTCTCCTGGGGCCTCGGCGAGAGACTTCGGCTCTCGCGAGAGAGGACTGCGCCTGCGCAGAGCCGAGGACGCGTCCGGCGCCGAGATTCAAACTAGTGGCGGGAGGCTGTGAGCTGAGCGGTGGGGTCTGCGTACGCCTGGAGTCCTTCCCCGCTGTGCTCAGCATGGACCCTATCCGGAGCTTCTGCGGGAAGCTGCGGTCTCTGGCCAGCACGCTGGACTGCGAGACGGCCCGGCTGCAGCGAGCGCTGGACGGAGAGGAAAGCGGTGCGTGAGGCGGGCGGCCAGGGCACGGTGCGTGGGGTGCGCCGCGGGCGGAGGGGCGTGGCGAGTGGACGGTATGTCCCACGGGAACCGCCAGGCACTGACGGCGTGGACGGCTGCCACCGAGGCGCAGGGCGGGTGCTGCGCGTCTCACTGCTCGGCGTTTGGCGTTAGCGTAGCTCCCGGGCCTGTTTATGGTTTATTCCTAGGAACCCTTGTCGCGTGTCCGTTTTAGACCCATGTACAACCCCACGGCTCTCTTGAGATAATGAAAGTAGCACTATTACGTTATAAACAGAGACAGCAGCACTTAAGAATAAGAACCTAAATTAACAGATTGAGCTCATAATACATATACTAATTTATACGTGATATGCTTTCGTCACATACAATATGTGTGCTTGTCAGTAAAATACCATGTAAACCTAAACAGTTTCTCTTAGAATCAAGCTATTTAACGTTCTTTACACAATACTTTACACATATAGTGACTTTTTTCTCACTCACGTGGTCCACAGTTGCAGTAAACCTCTGTGTTTTTCCCGCTAAACCATGTTGCCAACACAAACACTAGTACTCAACAGTGCTGGGGTTTAAAAAAATATGTGTATATAAATAAAGCAAAATTCACCATTCCCCTTTTTATTAGAGATTTTTTAAATTGTTGAAAAAGTAGTTCAGATTTTGGAATTATTTCATAAATGTCATAATTGTAATGTGCTTTAAAATATTACACCCTGCAGACTACTTTTACTTTAATTATATAATGAATGATCTCCAGTCACTTGAAAATGTCTATTTCTGCCCGGCGCGGTGGCTCACGCCTGTAATCCTAGCACTTTGGGAGGCTGAGGCGGGCGGATCACAAGGTCAGGAGATCGAGACCATTCTGGCTAACACGGTGAAACCCCGTCTCTACTAAAAATACAAAAAATTAGCCGGGCGTGGTGGCGGGCGCCGGTAGTCCCAGCTACTCGGGAGGCTGAGGTAGGAGAATGGCGTGAACCCGGGAGGCGGAACTTGCAGTGAGCCGAGATCCGCCACTGCACTCCAGCCTCGGCGACAGAGCAAGAGTCCGTCTCAAAAAGAAAAAAAGATTTGGCCGTGCACGGTGGCACACGCCTGTAATCCCAGCATTTTGGGAGGCCGAGGTGGGTGGATCGCCCGAGGTCAGGAGTTCAAGACCAGCCTGGCCAACGTGGTGAAACCTCGTCTCTACTAAAAATACAAAACAATTAGCTGGGCATAGTAGTGGGCGCCTGTAATCCCAGCTACTCGGAGGCTGAGGTGGGAGAATCGCTTGAACCCTGGAAGCGGAGGTTGCAGTGACCCGAGATCGCGCCACTGCACTCCAGCCTGAGCGATCTTAGACTCCATCTAAGAAAGAAAAAACTATCTTCAGATGGTCATCAGGAATGTGAAAAGACATCAATTTCATTAGTCATCAAGGAAATGCAAATTTCATTAGTCATCAAGGAAATGCAAATTAAATCTCAATGTAGTACAGTTGCATACCCAGCAGGATAGCTAAAACGAAAAAGAGAAAATTACCAAGTGTTTGGAAAGATGTGGAACAAATGCGCTTTTTGTTGTTGTTGTTGTTGTTGTTGGAGCAGTACGCACTTTTTTTTTCTTTTTTTAAAATTATTATACTTTTAAGTTCTAGGGTACATGTGCACAACGTGCAGGTTTCTTACATATGTATACATGCACCATGTTGGTGTGCTGTACCCATTATCTCGTCATTTACATTAGGTATATCTCCTAATGCTATCCCTCCCCCCTTCCCTCACCCCATGACAGGCCCAAGTGTGTGATGTTCCCCTTCCTGTGTCCAAGTGTTCTCATTGTTCAATTCCCACCTATGAGTGAGAACATGCGGTGTTTGGTTTTTTGTCCTTGCAATAGTTTGCTGAGAATGATGGTTTCCAGATTCATCCATGTCCCTACATAGGACATGAACTTATCCTTTTTTATGGCTGCACATGGTGTATATGTGTCACATTTTCTTAATCCAGTCTATCATTGATGGACATTTGGGTTGGTTCCAAGTCTTTGCTATTGTGAATAGTGCGGCAATAAACATAAGTGTGCATGTGTCTTTATAGCAGCATGATTTATAATCCTTTGGGTATATACCCAGTGATGGGATGGCTGGGTCAAATGGTATTTTTAGTTCTAGATCCTTGAGGAATTGCCACACTGTCTTCCACAATGGTTGAACTAGTTTACAGTCCTACCAACAGTGTAAAAGTGTTCCTATTTCTCCACATCCTCTCCAGCACCTGTTTTTTCCTGACTTTTTAATGATTGCCATTCTAACTGGTGTGAGATGGTATCTCATTGTGGTTTTGATTTGCATTTCTCTGATGGCCAGTGATGATGAGCAGGAACAAATGCACTTCTTATGCACTGCTGGTGGGAGTGTGAACTGTAAAAATCATGTTGGAAAACTAGCAGTATTTACTGAAGTTGAGCATATGCATAACATATAATCCAGCACTTTTTCTGAGTCTCTTAACATACAGAAATATGAATACGTTGGTACCAAAGACATGTTCTAGGAAGTTCAAAGCAAGAGTATTCATAATAATTCCAAACTAGGCACAATCCAAAGTGTTTCAACAATAGAATAAATAAATATGGTATCACGCAGTGGAAATGCTACACAATAATGAACATGGATTAGATTACGAACGTGGAAGAATGTAACAGTTGAGTGAAAGAAGCCAGTCGCAAAAGAGTACATATTGTTTGAGTCCATTAAATCAAGTTCATAAGTGACAAAACTACTTCATGGCGTTAGAAATCAGGGTAAGGTGGCTGGGTGCAGTGGCTCACGCCTATAATCCCAACACTTTGAGAGGCCGAGGCGGGTGGATCACTTGAGGTCAGGAGTTCAAGACCAGCCTCACCAACATGGTGAAACCCCCATCTCTATTAAAAATATAAAACTAGCCAGATGTAGTGGCGCACACCTGTAGTCCCAGCTACTTGGGAGACTGAGACAGGAGAATCGCTTGAATCCGGGAGGTGAAGGTTGCAGTGAGCCAAGATCGCACCATTGCACTCCAGCCTGGGCAACAAGAGCGAAACTCCATCTCAAAAAAAGAAAAAGAAATCAGGCTAAAGTTTACCCTTGTGGGGAAGGGAGAGACTATAAGAGGGCTTCTAGAGTTCTACTAAGGCTCTGTTTCTCCTTTTTCTTGAGCTGAGGGCCAGTTGTGCAGGTATGCTCATTTTATAAAGTTCATTAAACTATATACTTAGGATTTGTATGCTTTTCAGTATGTATGTTATACAGTCATGTTACTTAATGGGGATACATTCTGAGCAACGTTAGGCAATTTTGTTATTGTGCGAACATCATAGAGCATATGTAACACAAACGTAGATGATATGACCTACTGCATACCTAGGCTGTATGGTGTAGCCTGTCGCTCCTAGGCCACAAACCTGTATAGCATGCGACTGCATTGAATACTGTAAGCAACTGTAACATTATGGTAAGTATTTGTGTATCTAAACATAAAAAAGGTACGGTAAAAAATATGGTATTATCTTATGGTACCACTGTCATATGTGATCTGTGATTGACCAATGTCATTATAAGGTATATGATTGTATACTATTCTTTTTCTTCCTCCTTTTCCTTACATTTATTGGACTTCTTTTCTTTCAATATTCATATTGAAGACTTTGAAGATTATCCAATGAGAATTTTATATGACCTTCATTCAGAAGTTCAGACTCTAAAGGTATCACTCCTACAATATTGATTTATTATTTTTCTGTGGCGAGTAATTTTTTTATCCTAAATAGATTTAGTCAGAAGTTAGAGAAATTAAAATGTACTTTCTTTATTCATAAAAGGATGATGTTAATATTCTTCTTGATAAAGCAAGATTGGAAAATCAAGAAGGCATTGATTTCATAAAGGCAACAAAAGTACTAATGGAAAAAAATTCAATGGATATTATGAAAATAAGAGAGTATTTCCAGAAGTATGGATATAGTCCACGTGTCAAGAAAAATTCAGGTTTGAATAACTTCATTTTATAGCATTTGTTTTAGTATTGAAGAAACAAGGCAGCATGATTAAGACAACTGTAGCCTTGGCTATGGTTTTTAGTTCTAGCTCTGTTGTTATCTGACGCTTATTTGATAAATATTTAGTCAACTCTCACTGTGTGGTGTGCTTTTGGAGTGCTAATCAGGGGTGTAATATAAAAACAGTCCTTGTTCTCCTTTCCAAAATGCCAAATGAAAGCTAGCACAATGCTAGATTTAGCACATTTAGGCTAGATGGCCTATTTAAATGAAAAACTACAAGATAAATCTTCAAAACTTGGGATAGGTGGTTTCTAGTTAGCCCTGCCAATAAAAGCTGAGAGACCTCGAGGCATGTTATTTCATTTTTCTTGTTCACAGTGTTCTCTTCTATAGAAAGAGATATTGGCTATAAAATTTGACGAAGTCCTTTTTTGATTCTAAAATTTTAATGAAGGGCATTCTATCATAGTGGTTTAGAATTTGGAGTCAAAATGCCTGAGTTCAAATCCGTATTCCACCACTTAATAGCTGTATTATTATCTTTGTCAAGTTACTTAACCTTGTGCCTCAGTTTCTCATTTGTAAAGTGGGAATGTTTAGTATATCTATCTCATGAGATTGTATAAGGATTAAATAAGATAAAGTTGCTTACAGCAGTTCCTAGCATGTCAGTCACCCAAGATTAATTATTAACTGTTACTGTTATGCCCATACCTCTGAATGACTAACTTCAGTGTCTTCATTTCTTTTTTTTTTTTTTGAGATGGAGTCTCGCTCAGTCGTGCAGTGGCGCGATCTCGGCTCACTGCAAGCTCTACCTCCCGGGTTCAAGCCATTCTCCTGCCTCAGCCTCCTGAGTAGTTGGGACTACAGGGGCCCGCCACCACGCCCAGCTAATTTTTTTGTATTTTTATTAGAGACGGGGTTTCACTGTGTTACCCAGAATGGTCTCGATCTCCTGACCTCGTGATCCGCCTGTCTCGGCCTCCCAAAGTGCTGGGACTACAGGCGTGAGCCACAGCGCCTGGCCCAGTGTCTTCATTTCTGTTATTAAATTGAACAAGTATGTATTGAGGATGTGTGTGGCAGGTAAGTTAAACAGTCCATGTGAGACGGGCACAGTGGCTCATGCCTGTTACCCCAGCAGTGTGGGAGATTGAGGCAGGAGGATCACTTGAGGCCAGGGCTACATAATGAGACTCTGTCTCTACAAAAAATTCTTTTACAAAATTAGCTGGGCATGGTGGTGCACACTTGGAGTCACAGCTATTCAGGAGGCTGAGGCAGAAGGGATCCCTTAAGCCCACGAGTTCAAGGCCACAGTGAGCTACTATCACGCCACTGCACTCCAACCTGCATGACATAGCAAGACCCTGTCTCAATAAATAAAATACATACATACATACATACATACAAACAACCCATACCACCACCACCACCCCCCACGTGGAATCATAGAATTCAGTTGACTTTGGTGTGAAAGAGCCACAGATTCAAATACGGGCTCCACCAGTTATTACATGCGTGACCTTGGGTAATTTCTCTAAGTTGCTTTTTCCTCACTTATAAGATGGGGATAATAATATCTCCCTATGGAGTAGTGATAATGATGATTTATTAATCTCTGAAATGACAGCACTGTGATAAATACATCAGTAGGTTTTTGGAACTCTTGTAGCAAGAACTTTCTGTTCTCAAAAGTAACAGAAAGCATAATGCCAAAAACAACTCAGTGACTCAGAAGCTCTTCAAAGGAACAAAAACTATGAAATCAAAATATAAAACTTTAGAGATTTAAACTCAAGACTTTTAAAACAAAACAAACAAACAAGAAAGTATATAACCGGCCAGGCACGGTGGCTCATGCCTGTAATCCCAGCACTTTGGGAGGCCAAGGCGGGCAGATCACCTGAGGTCAGGAGTTCGAGACCAGCCTAGCCAACATGGTGAGACCCTGTCTCTACTAAAAATACGAAAATTAGCTGGGTGTGGTGGCGTGTGCCTGTAATCCCAGCTACTCATTAGGCTCATACAAGAGAATTGTTTGAACCCAGGAGACGGAGGTTGCCGTGAGCTGAGATTGCACCACCACACTCTAGCCTGGGTGACAGAGCAAGACTCCATCTCAAAAAAAAAAAAAAAAAAGTATATAACCTATTAATGGTTGAGAAACTGTATATCTTTGAAGTGCTCTCCTATTATTTTTCTCAACTAGGTGTTTTATATAGGTGTTCCAGACTAAGGATACAAACTTATCTTTATATAGCAGTCTTTGCTATTTAGCTGAGGCATCTGGAAGTTACGAATCTAAAATAATATCATACTCTGTGTTAAATCTGGAACACAGTTGATTCCATACTGTCATGAAATTTTAAAATACAGTTTCAGGCCAGGTGCAGTGGCTCACGCCTGTAATCCCAACACTTTGGGAGGCTGAGGCAGGTGGATCACTTGAGCCCAGGAGTTCAAGACCAGCCTGGGCAACATGGCGAAACCCTATCTCTACAAAAAGTACAAAAAATTATCTGGGCATGGTGGCACATGTCTGTAGTACCAGCTGCCTGGGAGGCTGAGGTAGGAGAATCACCTGAGCCCAGTGTTGTGGGTGTGACTAGCTGGGGCTAGTGTCTCAGGTGGTAAAGGAATTTACCAAGACAGTTGTAGGTAGAGAAAGGCAGATTTATTAGCGAAAGTATGAAAATACATTGCAAGGTTGCAATGGGCAGTACAGCAGAGAAGGGGCTGTCTGCAAAGAGGCAGAGGCTGAAGGGAAGTTTTATAGGGTCATGCTGGAGGCGGGCTAGGTACAGAACAAGGTTGTTGTGACCAGGCATGGTGGCTCACATGGGTAATCCCAGCACGCTGGGAGGCCGAGGTGGGCAGATCACTTGAGCTCAGGAGTTCTAGACCTGTCTAGGCAACATGGTGAAACCCTGTCTCTACCAAAAATACAAAAAATTAGCTGGGCATGGTGGTGCGTGCCTATAGTCCCAGCTTTGGAGGTTGAGGCTGCAGTGAGCCGAGATTGCCACTGCACTCCAGCCTGGGGGACAAAGTGAGACCCTGACTCAAAAAATAAAAATAAAAAAAAAAAGGAACAAAGTTGTTGTGCCTGCAGGTTGTTTGTGATTAGCCTTTTCTCAGAACAGTTGTTCATTGTTCGCCCCAACCTGGGGCCTTCCCCCATTGTTGCCTACTTATCTGTGATTGTGCCACTGCACTCCAGCCTGGGCAACAGTCAAAGCTACAGAAAATATATTCTGATGCTCACTGAAGTCTGAGAAAGAAAAAAAAAAAAGAAAGAAAAAATATTATGAAAAACTAGTAAATCACATTAAGGATGTAAGAAAATTGGACTTTTATTTGTGAATATTAATTTTTCATCTTATAACACTTTTAACTTGCTTTCCTTCTCTAATGTATAATCACAATGAGATATGGGTGCACAAGAGATACATGTCAGAACTTTATTAAAGGGACAATTGAAATAACATTTCAGCTGAGTGTGGTGGCTCATGCCTGAAATCCCATCACTTTGGGGGGCCAAGGCAGGAGGATCATTTGAGCCCAGGAGTTTGACACCAGCCTGGGCAACATGATGAGACCCCACTCTACAAAAAAAAATTTTTAAAATTAGCTGAGCATGGTGGCACACCTGTAGTCCCAGCTACCCCAGGGGCTGAGATGGGACGATCACTTGAGCCCAGGAGGTCGAGGCTGCAGTGAGCTGTGATCACACCTCTGTACTCCAGCCTGGGTGGCAGAGCGAGACCCTGTCTCAATAAATACTAAATAAATAAAATGTTTAGACAATTGGAACTTTTGCTGATTTGGGAAATTTCAGATAAGCTGTTTTCTGTTGTTTTTGTAAACGTGAAATTTTCCATTTTGAGTTTGACCAGAATATTCTGATTTTTCCTCCTAGTACACGAGCAAGAAGCCATTAACTCTGACCCAGAGTTGTCTAATTGTGAAAATTTTCAGAAGACTGATGTGAAAGATGATCTGTCTGATCCTCCTGTTGCAAGCAGTTGTATTTCTGAGAAGTCTCCACGTAGTCCACAACTTTCAGATTTTGGACTTGAGCGGTACATCGTATCCCAAGTTCTACCAAACCCTCCACAGGCAGTGAACAACTATAAGGAAGAGCCCGTAATTGTAACCCCACCTACCAAACAATCACTAGTAAAAGTACTAAAAACTCCAAAATGTGCACTAAAAATGGATGATTTTGAGTGTGTAACTCCTAAATTAGAACACTTTGGTATCTCTGAATATACTATGTGTTTAAATGAAGATTACACAATGGGACTTAAAAATGCGAGGAATAATAAAAGGTAAGCAGCTCTGTTAAAAGGCATATTTTATCTAGCTTTCTAAACCTTTTGTATTTATTGATTTTTTTTCCAGAAGAAATAAAATGTTTCAGACATTTTTGCTTTAAAAAGTTTTCAGATATTTATTTATTTATTTTATTTCAATAGGTTTTAGGGGAACAGATGGTGTTTGGTTACATCAATAAGTTTTTTTTTGGTTTTTTTTTTTGTTTTTTTTTTTCGAGACGGAGGCTTGCTCTGTCACCCAGGCTGGAGTGCAGTGGTGCGATCTCAGCTCACTGCAAACTCCGCCTCCTGGGTTCACGCCATTCTCCTGCCTCACCCTCCCGAGTAGCTGGGAATACAGGCGCCAGCCACCACGCCTGGCTAATTTTTTTGTATTTTTAGTACAGACGGGGTTTCACCATGTTAGCCAGGATGGTCCTGATCTCCTGACCTCATGATCCGCCCGCCTGGGCCTCCCAAAGTGCTGGGATTACAGGCGTGAGCCACCGCGCCCGGCCAATAAGTTCTTTAGTGGTAAGGTTTTCAGATACTTTATATTAGAGATCTTCTCAAATCACCAATACTATCAATAAAGTGTGAGCTGTCAGTTTCTTCAGGTGAGAGACTATAGAAGTGATAAGGGCCTGAAAAAAAGATATTTGTAGGGATAGAAGAGGAAATAAGATTAAAGGGGTAAAATTAGTAAGAACTTGTGATTGATTTGCTATGGAGACATGGGAAAAGGGGATGATCTAGGATAAACCCCAAGTTTCTGTTTTGTTGCTTGGGATGATGTTAGAACAAGAAAAGAATACCTGGAGTATGGGGGGATAGGTGATGTGTTTACATGTTGGTTTTGACATTGTTAGTGCCTCTTCATGCTTAGGCATTCTAATATCAGTTTAAAGCTCAGTGAAGAATTCAGTGCTAAACTAGATTTGGGAGTCATTAGCATGGAAATGGTGATTAAAACCGTAAGAGTTACAATGAAAATACCACTTATCAAAGTAGCCAAGCAATGTCTATAGATAAATACTTATCATTAAAAACTGTTACTATTAAAGAAGGATAACAAACATTCCTGTCAAAGAAAAAAACCCCACAACTCTGGGGAAAAAAACACTAAAGATAAAATTTTAATCCAAAAGATTTTTAAAAGAGTAGAATTGATAAACCTAAGAACTGGTCCTTATCTAAACATAAATACAAATAAGAGCATTAAGAACTAAGGACTATATTGTGTGTTTTGTTTGTTTGTTTTGTTTTGTTTTTCAGATGGTCTTGTTCTATCCCCCAGGCTGGAGTGCAATGGCTCGATCTCAGCTCACTGCAACCTCCACCACTGGGTTCAAGTGATTCTCGTGCCTCAGCCACCTAAGTAGCTGGAATTGCAGGCACACACCACTACATTTGGCTAATTTTTGTATTTTTAGTAGAGACAGGGTTTCACCATGGTGGCCAGGCTGGTCTTGAACTCCTGGCCTCAAGTGATCCACCTGCCTCGGCCTCCCAAAGTGCTGGGTTTACAGGCGTGAGCCACTGTGCCTGGCCTATGTTTTTATTTTTCTAAGCTATCAGAAAATATCGTAGGTTATAGTATTGGGAAATTTGAAAATTTCAGATATATTAAAGTTTTAGAAAATAATACAAAATGATAAAAATTGACTTGAAGTAGAAAACCTGGGTAGACCAGTAATCAGAGAAGAAAACTGAAAAGTTATCAGATAACAGGCCAGGCACAGTGGATCGCTTGACATTAGGAGTTCAAGACCAGCCTGGCCAACAGGATGAAACCCTCTCTACTAAAAATATGAAAAACTAGCTGGGTTTGGTGGAGGGCGCCTATAATCCCAGCTACTTGGAAGGCTGAAGCAGGAGAATTGCTTGAACCCAGGAGGCAGAGGTTGCAGTAAGCTGAGATCACGCCACTGCACTCCAGCCTAGATAACAAGAGCAAAACTCTCCAAAAAAAAAAAAGTTATCAGATAACAAGCTCCAAAAAGCTCTGAGCATAGATGGTGTTCTGGAGGAATCCTTTCTAATGTTATGTCATGTCATGTTATTGTTTTGAGACAAGGTCTTGCTCTGTTCCCAGGCTGGAGTGCACTGGGGCAATCTCAGCTCACTGCAACCTCTGCCTCCTGAGTTTAAGTGATTCTCGAGCCTCAGCCACCTGAGTAGCTGGGACTGCAGGCATGAGCCACCACGCCTGGCTAATTTTTCTATTTTTAGTAGAGATGGGGTTTTGCCACGTTGCCCAGACTGCTCTTGAACTCCTGGGCTCAAGTAATCCACCTGTCTCAGCCTCCCAGAGTGCTGGGATTACAGGTGTGAGCTACCACGCCCAGCCTAACATCATTCTTGATGTTCTGGCCAGTGTAATGAGATAGGAAATAAGAAATATTTCTGTGTTGCACTTCTAGGCCATTTTGTACCTAGGCAACTCAAGAAAATCACATGAAAAACGTATAGAAATAATAAAATTCAAGTAAGAGGCTGAAAGAAGATATATATTTTATATAGTTACACAGGGCAACTATTTCTTTCTTTATGTATTTATTTATTTATTTATTTATTTTTAGAGACAGGTTCTTAGTCTGTCACCCAGGTTGGAGTGCAGAGGCATCATCATAGCTCACTGCAGCTTCGACTTCCTAGACTCAAGCAGTCCTCCTGCCTCAGCTTCCCAAGGAGTAGGTGGGACTACAGGTGTGGACCACCATGCCTGCCTAATTTTTTTTTTTTTTTAACTTTCTGTAAAGACAGGGTCTCACTGTGTTACCCAGGCTAGTCTCTAAGTCCTGGCCTCAAGTGATCCTGAAGGTATTTTTGAAGTAAAGATGATTCAGTAAGTTATACTGGAACAATTAGTTAACTGGAAAAAAAATCAAGTCATCTCTGCCTCAAGTCAACATAAAATATAGATAGATCAAAAAGATAAATATTTAGATAAATTATTTAAAAAATAAAAGAAAATATAGATAAGTTATCTGTTTAAACAGTGAAAGCGTATACTGCAATTACCATTATGTTTGTAATTGCAAGAAACTTGTAAATTAATTGACATGATTAGACATCTTAACGATATTTGTTTATTCTATTCAGAAATATGGAAGGGAACATGAGTCAGGCATGGTGATTCATGCCTTAGTTCCACCTGCTTGGGAGGCTGAGCTGGGAGAATCACATGAACCCAGGAGTTTGAAACCAGCCTGCGCAACATAGCTAGATCCCGCCTCTAAAAAAATAAAAATAAAATAAATAGACTGGAACATGAAGCATATAAAGGGCAAAAAATAAACCAAGAAAATAATTGCACTGAGGGCTGTTACACACATACTAATAAGAAACCACTAACACCAAAAGCAGCCTAGGCAATGGACAGGAATAGATACGACTAATAAATATTTTAAAAACAGTTTTGTCTATCAAAATAGTACAAAGCATATTTGTTTTAACTGTTAGAAGAGTACAATGAAACGTGTGTTCATATATCATTGTCAGGAATGTATCATGGAAAGAGTTGATTCTTAACTGTTTAAAACCTTTTACCTAGGTAAATGACTATTTTACCTCTACGAAAACTTAACAAACATTTTGGCACAGTGGTGTTTATTACAGCCTTATTTTAAATGGGGAGAATTGGAAAGAACCAAAATAACTAACAGGAGAAAGTAGATAAATTATGGCATGACATCAAAGCTAGAAATCATACTAAAGAATATGGATAGATTTAATCACATACAAACTTTAAACCACTGTATCATAAAATATTTGACCAATGACGAAGCAGGAAAAGTGTTATAACATGATAAATATATGTGCATATATATGTTATATAGATACATAACAGGTTTTAAAAACCCATATGCAGTAATTAGTGAAAGACAGACATCCCAATTTTTAAAACAAGCAAAGACATGAATTAACAAAAGAAGAGGCCGGGCGTGGTGGCTCATGCCTGTAATCCAAACACTTTGGGAGGCCAAGGTGGGTGGATCACTTGAGGTCAGGAGTTCGAGACCAGCCTAGCCAACATGGTGAAACCCTGGCTCTACTAAAAATACACAAATTAGCCGGGCGTGGTGACGGGCGCCTGTAGTCCCAGCTACTCGTTAGGCTCATAGAGAAGAATTGTTTGAACCCAGGAGATGGAGGTTGCAGTGAGCTGAGATCGTGCCACTGCACTCCAGCTTAGGTGACACAATGAGACTCCATCTCAAAACAAAAAAACCCCAGAAGAAATACAATTGACCAATAAGCATATGAACACTTTTAGCCTTGCAGGTAATGAAGGAAATTCAAATAAAAAAATGAGATGTCATTTTTCAACTATCCAGATGCATATTTGGCTAAAACATATCCAGATGTTTTTATTTCCAAGTTTTAACTAGGCTTATTAATGTTAAGAGAGAGAATACCAAAAAAGACAGGTTATATTCAGTGTTGATAAGACATAAGAAAATGCTTTTATAATGCTGGTGGCCACTGGTGAATCTTTCTTAGGGAAAATTGTCAGTGTATATAAAAGCCTTTATGAAATTTTACTTAAATGAACAAATTCAAGGAAAACAAAGTGTGCATATAGTGTTATATATATAACACTATTATTTCATTTATAGTTCAAAAGTTCAAAAGCACAAAAATTATATTAAGAGTACACAAGTAGTTAAAGTACCAAGCAAATCTAGACAGAAATTTCCCTCTGTAGGGCAGAGATGGGTACCAAGTTGGGAAGCTTCCATAGAGGACTACACAGGTACTAGTAGTATTCTTTCTTTCTTTCTTTCTTTCTTTTTATTTTTAGAGACAGGGTCTCACTGTCATATTTTGGTTCTTTCCAATTTTCCCCTATTATAAATAAGCTGTGATAAATACTACTGTGCCAAAATGTTTGTTGAGTTTTCTTAGAGGTAAAATGACTGGGTAAAAGGTTTTAGACATTTACAAATCAACTCTTTCCATGAAACATTCCCACCACCCAGGCTAGAGTGCAGTGGCAGGATGATAGCTCACTGCAGCTATGAACTGGGTTCGAGTGGTTCTTCCACCTCAGCCTGCTGCGTAGCTGAGGCTACAGGTATGTGCCGCAACTCCCAGCTAATTTTATTTTTTTTTATTTTTTGTAGAGATGGGGTCTTGCTATGTTGCGCAGCCTGATCTCCAACTCATAGCCTGAAGAGATCCTCCCACTTTGGCCCTGCAACAGGCATAAGCCACTATGCCCAGCCCTTTTATTTTTAGAACTTTTGTACAACATATATATTCTTTTGTATATGTGCCATACTGTATACACACTTTTAAAAAAATGTTTTACACAATGACCAGGTGTAGTGGCTCACACCTGTAATCCACACCTGTAATCCCAGCACTTTGGGAGGTCAAGGTGGGTGGATCACCTGAGGTCAGGAGTTCGAGACCAGCCTGGCCAACATGGTGAAACCCTGTCTCTACCAAAAAAATACAAACATTAGCCAGGCGCAGTGGTGTATGCCTGTAGTCCCAGCTACTCGGGAGGCTTAGGTGGGAGAATCACTTGAACCTGGGAGGTGGAGGTTGCAATGAGCCGAGATAGCACCACTGCACTTCAGCCTGGTGGCAGAGCAAGACCATGTCTCAGAAAAAAAAAAAAAATGTTTACACAAGATGTTAAAGACAGCATGGGTCATTATGTTTAAATTCAAAACTGGAAACTTGTAAGTGAAAATCAATCCTGAACTATCTTGTATTCAGTGATATTCTCTTTATAACTATTTTACAGACATCTGTGTAACTGGCTAGGACAATGATAATCATATGACAGGATCAGTCATTTTAGTCTTAAAAAAATGGCAAGTTTTTAATCTATATGTGTACACTGGTTATAAAATTCCACTTTAGGATTTTGAAGTCCCAGGAGTTACATAGTTCCCTTTTTGAACTAATAAGTTGAACTTAGTGGTCCTTAACCTTTTTGTACCATGGATATATATTAGAAAAAAGAAAAGAATTTGTTTCATGGGACTTCTGTACCATAAAGCATAACTGAATGTTTGTCCAAACTTGATATTTAGTAAGGTTAAATTTTTTTCCCAGAGATTGAATGTTAACTTTTTTAACCTTGTAATTTCCCTATGAATCACACCAGTGAGGAGGCCATAGATACAGAATCCAGGCTCAATGATAATGTTTTTGCCACTCCCAGCCCCATCATCCAGCAGTTGGAAAAAAGTGGTAAGTATAAGAATCAAGTTACTTCTCAGGAACATTTTTCCCAAACTATCTTTGAACAAAATTGATTTCATCATCTTAGACATTCTAATAGTTTTCTTCATCTGTTTAATTCCTAACATTGGATTACATTAAGTACCATTTCATTCAGCATGATTTTGTCCAAGAGAAAGAAAATTTTCTGGTATGTTTTTAATACTCTTGATTATGTTCAATATCTGTCAGCTTGTTATTAACATTTTAATTTGAAACTTACATATTCACCAATATTTTGATGTAGAGCCTTAGTACTTTTTCTTTTAACCTATTGATTAGAGTTGTACATTATCTTATATAAACCACGCACGGAATACATCAGCTGCCAATTTAAATTTTGGTTTCTTTTAAATAGCTCAGTAACTTAAAGAAAATTTTCATACAGTGTTTTCATATTTGTCCCAGCAAACATGAAAACATTGGTGTTCATGAAAAAGCAAGATAAAAAAATCCTAGAGTTTTATGATTTTTTTGTTTTGTTTTCTTTGAGACAGGGTCTCACTCTGTTGCCCAGACTGGAGTGTAGTGGCACGATCTTGGCTCACTGCAGCCTCAACTTCCCAGGCTCAAGCAATCCTCTCAAGTATCCGAGACTATAGGCACACACCACGACGTCCAGCTAATTTTTGTATTTTTTGTATAGATGGGGTTTCGCCATGTTGCCCAGGCTGGTCACAACTGTAGACAACTCATTGCAACCTCCGCCTCTTGGGCTCAACCAGTCCTCCCACCTCAGCCCCCACGTAGCAGGGACTACAGGCTTACACCACCATGCCCAGCTAATGTTTGTATTTTTTTGGTAGAGGGGTTTCACCATGTTGCCAATGCTGGCCTCAAACTCCTGGACTCAAGCGATCTGCCCACCTTGGCCTCCCAAAGCACTTCATCCTTTTTAATTGATAAATAGTATTCTACTGTATATATGAGCCATATTCATTTGCTGATTAGGAGGTAGTGTTTTCATTTTTTATTATTATAGGCAGTGCCTTAAGGAAATTTTCCCTTGTGCATATGCGTGTTTCTCATATCTAGGAGTAGAATTGCCAGGTCAAAGGGCATGCACATTTTTACTTATTCTAGAAAATGCTGAATAGTCAGCTAAGAGTAGCTGTTAAGATTTATCTTCTCACTAGTGGTATTGAGTTCCTGTTTCTCCGTCTTTTCCAGTACTTGATGATTTTTAGACTTCAGATATTTTGCCAGTCAGATTGTTTTTCTAACATATTTACCTTTTCTCTTTGTTGTTTTTTAAGGTTGCCTCGATGATACTATGTGTTCTAGATAGCAATTGTCTATATATGCATGGGTCTCTCTTGTCTATATATGCATGGGTCTCTCTTGTTCTTATCTTTAATTTTTCCATCCCTGGTTAATGTTACACTGTTTTTAACTACTGTACCTTTGGAGTAAGTCCTGCCATCTTGGAAGACAAGTGACCTGTTCTCCGTCTTCCTCCTCCTTTGTCAGAAGTTTGATAATTTTCTTCATAAAGGTTTTACACCATTTTTAATAGATATATTTGTAGGTATCTTGTCTTTCTTGCTACTGTGAAAAGTATCTTTTTTCAAATTATATGTGTAATAGTTTGTTGCTTTTATGTTTAATATATATTACAACACAACTATTTGTTATTGTGTATTACTCTTGCATCCTTGCTGAATTTTAGTAGTGCTAATGATAATTACATATGTAAATATGAGATTTTCTTCCTGTCCAGTTAAGCATACTATAGTTATAGTTTTTTAATGACCATTTTATGTGTCTTTTAGATGCCGAATATACCAACTCTCCTTTGGTACCTACATTCTGTACTCCTGGTTTGAAAATTCCATCTACAAAGAACAGCATAGCTTTGGTAACTTTCCATAAAATTGAAAGCCACAGTCTTTCTCCTAAAGACTCAAATACACTACTGCTTGCAGGCTCAAAGAGTCTGTTTAGAAGACATGGATGAATCCAGCTTTTAGGGATGTATTTACAGTGCATTTCTGGAGGGTAGCTTGGCAGCATAAATCAATTGCTCTAAAAAATATTTTTCATACCTTTAAACCATATCTCTGAATTTTTTCTAAGGCAAATTGGGACAAAGATTTAAACAAGTTATAGAGTAAGGAACAGCATTATTTATAAGCACAAAACATGGGAAACAGTATAAATATCGAATGATATCAAAGAACTAAAACACAGCAAGGCATATCCATAAGATCAGGTGTTACATATACTATCATGTTTTGAAAAACAGATGAGAGCATATAAAAAGAATGTTTTCAAGAAATATTAATCATATGGAAAATGATGTGTGTGTATGTACACACACACATATATATACACATATTTTAAGGAAAAAGTGGATAGAAACAGCAGTGTAGTTATCTCTGGGTGATAAATTATGGGTGATTTTGTGCTTTTTTCCCCTAAATTTTACCAACAAATAAATTTAATCAGATTTCATCAAATCAAAACCTTATCCCTCTTTAGTCAGTATGGTCACTTAACCAATGCTATAGAAAACCAATACTGTATTAGGGTATCCAATAGAATTTTCTATAATGATGGAAATGTTTTATAGTCTGCACTGTCCAATATGGTAGCCTCTAATCACGTTATTGAGCACTGAAAATGTGGCTAGTATATCTGAAGAACTAATATTTACTTCTTTAAATTTTATTTAATTTTAATTAGCTTAAAATTTAAAGAGCCCCATGTGGCTGTGGCTACTATATTGGACAGTGCAGCTATGGATGAACACAGGGCTGTGTTATCAGTTGAAGTATCAGGTTATCTGCCTGTTAGTACCTGCCATTTACAATTCATCTACTCCTTATGTTCACGTGGAAGGTACCCTACTGAGGTGACACTCTATCGTCTCTCTCTCTTAACTCTGACCTGAGAGAGATGAAGCGACTTACCCAATTGGCTGATTTAGCATGAATAATCTGCATACTAAACTTACCTCTGATCTGCTTTCTTCCTTTTGGGAGTGCATGTGGTAACATTTGTTCATGCTGTGATTTTCGTCTGACTACACTCACTGTTGCCTGAGATGGGGTGGGAGTATCCATCTAAATCTTTGGTTCATTCTATATAGTTATGACATTAAGCGTTTTTTTGGTTTTTGTTTTGTTTTGTTTTGTTTGTGACGGAGTCTCACTCTGTCACCCAGGCTGGAGTGCAGTGGCGCGATCTTGGCTCACTGCAACCTCCGCCTCTGGGTTCAAGCAATTCTCCTGCCTCAGTCTCCTGAGTAGCTGGGATTACAGGCAGGCGCCACCACACCTGGCTAATTTTTTGTATTTTTAGTAGAGATGGGGTTTCACCATGTTGGCGAAGCTGGTCTCAAACTCCTGACCTCATGATCGGCCCACCTCGGCCTCCCAAAGTGCTGGGATTACAGGCATGAGCCACCACACCTTGCTGACATTAAGCTTTAACTCAGCCTTTATTAGTAATGAGATGATATTTTGTCCTCTGTATGCCATTTGTTCTTGATTTTGTTTAGAACTTGGTCAGAGAAGATGGGGCATATGGGAGCCTATTAGAGACCCCAATAGAAGTAACAAATGATTAACTATTTTTATTTACTACATTATGTTATATTACCATAATTTAATGGTCTATTTTTATTCAATAGGTATCCACAAATTACCCATTATCAAAAACAAATAGTTCATCAAATGATTTGGAAGTTGAAGATCGTACTTCGTTGGTTTTAAATTCAGACACATGCTTTGAGAATTTAACAGATCCCTCTTCACCTACGATTTCTTCTTATGAGAATCTGCTCAGAACACCTACACCTCCGGAAGTAACTAAAATTCCAGAAGATATTCTCCAGGTTATTTTTCCAGGCTATTTTTTTTTTTTTTTGCTGATATTCTTTTCAATATGAAATATTTAAAGACCTGAAACTGCATATAAACTGTCTTATTTATCATTGGGCTAGTGTGCTAATTTTGGTGATGAGAGAATCTAAATTCTGAGCTGTCAGGACCTTATTTTCTAATTCTTGTTCAACTGTGGTTTCCATGTCGATCATGGTTCCATTAGAAGTGTTGCTGGCAAAGTCAGAAAAGTCATTTACCCTACAATTTCCCAGAGCCAGGGTATCATGAATAACATACCAGTGTTTCTTGAACTTGAAACTTCTTGGACCTCAGTTTAAGAAACACTGATTGATGTATGTTAGAATATAGTCATGTGCTGCATAACATTTTGGTCAATGATGGACTGCATATGCCACAGCAGTCATAAGATTATGATACTGTATTTTTACTGTACATTTTCTGTGTTTAGATACACAAGTGCTTATCACTGTGTAGCAAGTGCCTGCACTATTCAGGACAGTTACATGCTGTACAGGTTTGTAGCCTAGGAGCAATAGTCTATACCATATAGCCTAGGTGTGTGGTAGGGTATACCATCTAGGTTTGTGTAAGTACTGTGATGTTCACACATGATGAAATCACCTAATGCATTTCTCAGAATGTATCCCTATTGTTAAGTGATGCCTGACTGTATCTGATTCTTTAGTATTTAACAGCAGTTACCATTGGCCTACTAATGACTTATAACAACTGCCAATTCTAAATAACCAGTCTGATTCTTTGACAGTCCCCCTCCTTAATAGGAGTTACAGTGTTTGGCAATTATTACTTACACGTGTGGAATTCTTTTTTTTTGTTTTTTTTTTGAGACGGAGTCTCGCTCTGTCGCCCAGGTCGGACTGCGGACTGCAGTGGCGCAATCTCGGCTCACTGCAAGCTCCGCTTCCCGGGTTCACGCCATTCTCCTGCCTCAGCCTCCCGAGTAGCTGGGACTACAGGCGCCCGCCACCGCGCCCGGCTAATTTTTTGTATTTTTAGTAGAGACAGGGTTTCACCTTGTTAGCCAGGATGGTCTCGATCTCCTGACCTCATGATCCACCCGCCTCGGCCTCCCAAAGTGCTGGGATTACAGGCGTGAGCCACCGCGCCCGGCCCACGTGTGGAATTCTTAATAGCCATTCTAGAAGTCTTCCTGACTTATGGAGACCCATGAGAAGGATAAATCACTTCGGAAAATACTCAGATGCCATTAGAACTGACTCATGCTAGGATATCAATAAAGTACTTGTTATCCTTTTTTCTCTGTCTTTTCTGCTTTTCTGGAAGATATAATAAATTGCATGAAGAAGGAGCATCTTCTGTCTTTATGAAAATTATATAGTTTCCACTTCCCTATGGTTGCTTCATCTCTCCTTATTTCTTTGTAAAAGGAAGGAAGCCTTATATTTACTATATCACCCCTTTATGCATGAAAAAATTATAGCTGATACTTCATGTTCTCCTTTCATAATTTTTATAATTGATGACCTTCCTTTTGAGCATTCGTTTTACATCTTTCCTTTGTGTATTTTCCCTAACATCTTTGTTAAGGCTTAATTTCCTCTCAGGGATATATTGCTACTTGTTTTCACTAACCTCAGTCAGAATACATTTTAAGCTTTAAAAATCAGTCCTTCACATCCAAGTTAAATTTCTAATATCTCCATCTTTTCATTGCAGTTAGCATGTCTTTTTTTTTTTTTTTTTTAGACCAAGTCTCGCTCTGTCTCCTAGGCTGGAGTGCAGTGACATGATCTCAGCTCACTGCAACCTCCGCCTCTGGGGTTCAAGTAATTCTTGGGCCTCAGCCTCCTGAGTAGCTGGGATTACAGGTGTGTGCCACCACTCCTAGCTAGTTTTTGTATGTTTAGTAGAGACGAGGTTTTACCTGTTGTCCAGCCTGGTCTCAAACTCCTGACCTCAAGTGATCCACCTGCCTTGGCCTCCCAAAGTGCTGGAACTGCAGGCGTGAGCCACCATGCCCGCCCCATAGCTTTTATTGAACATTTTGTAACTTCTTCCAAATTTAGGTTATATTATTCATATGGCTCGATAAAAAGGAATTTCCTTTTTTTTTTTTAGCTTTTATCAAAATACAACTCAAACCTAGCTACTCCAATAGCAATTAAAGCAGTGCCACCCAGTAAAAGGTTCCTTAAACATGGACAGAACATCCGAGATGTCAGCAACAAAGAAAACTGGTGAGTATGTTACCTTTGTAAAGAAAGTTCATGTGTTATTTGAGGAGGACATTTAAAAATTAACATTTGACCATCCTGACCAACATGGTGAAACCTCGTCTCTACTAAAAATACAAAAATTAGCCAGGTGTGGTGGTGCACACCTGTAGTCCCAGCTACTCAGGAGGCTGAGGCAGGAGAATCGCTTGAATCTGGGAGGCGGAGGTTGCAGTGAGCCAAGATCATGCCACTGCACTCCAGCCTGGCAACAGAGCGAGACTCCATCTAAAAAAAAAAAAAAAAAATTAACATTTGAATATTGGTAAAAATTTTGTTTTTAATTGACATTTGCCAGCTTAAGTTAATAGCCTGTCTCTATCTTTTGATATAGAACTTGTGATCCCTGAATCTCAGATTCCCGAATTATCCAGTTTAATGATATCAGTGGGAATCTATCCTCAATTATTTTATAAGTGTAAAATATATAGCCACAGTATTGTGTCATTTGTCTTAATGGCTTTTAATTTTATTAAATTGATATTTGTTATTTGTATCTGTTGCAGAAATTCCAGTGGATCTATCCAACACAGAAACTGAACAAAATGAGATGAAAGCCGAGCTGGACCGATTTTAACATTCACATTGCCCTGCCTCTGTCCCCCTTTAAACGTTGACCCATTTTAAAGACAAACATGAACATTAACATCATAATATGCTTTTTATGAAGTTTCAATAAGGTTTAACCTTAGTCTTGTTGACATGTAGCCCAGTCATTCACTCTTTAAGGATTATTAGTGTTTCATTGATACTAAATTACCCAGCTTAATCAACAGAATGGTTTAAGTAGTACCAGGAAGTAGGACAAGTAATTTCAAAAATATAAAGGTGTTTGCTACTCAGATGAGGCCGCCCCTGACCTTCTGGCCAGAGAGACATTGCTGCCAGCCAGCTCTGCCTTCCCATCATCTCCTTTCAGGACCGTCCCACACCTTTTACTTGCTCAGTGCTGTCTGAAGATGCAGTTGCTGTTTGCAAACAACAGGAACACCAGTTAAACTAATTAGGAAAAGAGGGAGATTTCCAGGCCTGGGTAACTATATACTGTGACCATTGGAGGTAGAGACAGGTCTCAACAGTTGGAACCAGGAACTCTGCTGTCAGGTTGAGAGTTTTGTTTCTCTTCCAGCTTTTCACTGTGTGGGGGTCTTTTCTCTTATGTCAGCTCTTTCTATCACATGGCAGCTGACCTCTCACGCTCCACTCTGCAGCTTGGACACCCAGTAGACCCTGAATTTCACTCTCTCTAAAAGGTTCTGAGGGCTCATCCTGGGCCAGGGGCCCTCCTGTGCACTGTTAGCTATGGCCACGGGAGCCTCCAGAGCTGCCTGGTAGCTTCAGGTTGACCTGCTTATCAGGCCTACGATCCTTCTGATTTAAGTACAGCTGGAAAGTATTATCTAATTAAGTTCATGATAGTGCTTTTGGAGAACTTGTCAAATTACAGCCAATGAGAAAATAAGGACCTAGCATACTGTGGAGAACCATTAAAAATTTGAGAAGAAACAACAAGTATTATGTCAACTTACTTCAAAGGCGTAGTTTTGGGAATTTGATGCAGTAAAGATTACCCTGTTTTATGATTGTTCCTTGAAAGTCAAATGGGGGACCTGTCCATTGTGCTCTATTAATCTTGTCAGAAAACTGTCACCAAAACAAAACTTGAGTTTGTCCTTGTTCTAGGAGTTACTGGGTAGTTGTAAGTATTATTTTTATTAAATATAATGTAAAATAAAATGTTAAGATACTTAGTTTTGTTTTTCAAAGTAAAGCTGTAGTCAGCCTTATGTATGCCATTGACTCTGAAATGTATACCAGCCTTTCACTGTGTACCGTGTGTATATAAATCCACAGAACCGGATGAGCTGCTTAGGGAGGGAATATATTCAAAGTGTACCAAGGACCAAATCCTGGAGTTCTCCCAACTTTAGAGGATGGAAAGGGGCAGAGTAATCTAGCAAAGGAGACTGAGGCCAGTGAAGTAGGAAGAAAGTATTTCAAGGAGAGTGATGATTCTGTGAATATTGCTGAGAATTCAAATAAAAAGAGGACTGAGAACTGACTGTTGGGTTTGGCAAAGTCGATGTTATTGACAACATTGATTAATTTTGATGGAGTGCTGGTACTAGAAGTCTGTAGTGGATGGAAGAGAAAACAGCTGAGGAGGTAAAACAGTGGCTTTAGACAGCTCTTGAGGAGTTTTGCTAAAGAAGGGAGGCGAGAGAAGGTGTAGTAGCTAGAAGAGGTTATGTAGTGAAGAGGTTTTTTAAAGATGAGTGTATTAGTCTGTTCTCACGCTGCTAATAAAGACATACCCAAGACTGGGTAATTTATAAAGGAAAGAGGTTTAATGGACTCACAGTTCCACATGGCTGGGGAGGCCTCACAATCATGGCAGAAGGCAGAGGGGGAAGAAAGACACGTCTTACATGGTGGCAGGCAAGAGGGTATGTGCAGGGAAACTCCCCTTTATAAAACCATCAGATCTCGTGAGACTTATTCACTATTATGAGAACAGCATAGGAAAGACCCGCCCCCGTGATTCGGTTACCTCCCACTGCATCCCTCCCACGACGTGGGAATTACAGGGGCTACAATTCAGGTGACATTTGGGTGAGGACACAGCCAAACCACATCGATGGGCAATAAAGACTGTTAAGCATTTCTGATTATCTGCAAGGGAGCACCATTTGTTTAGTGGTGGCCCCTCAGTTTGTCCAAGTCATATTTCCCTAACCCTTACCACCTCCCTCCTGTAATCCTAGTTTCTGTTTCTTAGAACTGATGCTTCCAGCTTGTCAAGCTTCAAATATTGGGATCTTTCAAGTGTGTCTTCCCACGCCTCTTAAAATGAAATCCAAGATCCTTATTTTGGCTTACATGGCCCTACATGATTTGACCCCAGCTTGCTTCTCCGTCCTGCCCCTTGTGCTCCAGCCACACCACCCTCTTCCACTCCTCCGTACTTCCTGCCCCCGGGCCTCACACAGGCTGCTCTCATCCTGGAATACTTTTTCCCACCCACTGTGCTAACACTCCCTCATCCTTAATTGGTGGACACTTGATGTTTTTGTCTGCCCCCTAACTACTGCCCTTAAGAACTTACAGGCCAGCTCCAGGCTCAACCAAGCAACATCACAACTTCTGACCACACTGGTCAAGTCAGGTCAATGAAAGCCCATTCCGGGACTGGGGAAGTACTGGGAAAGAGCAGCACGCTTCTGGAGATAGAGGTACAGCTGGAGCCGTGAAGGGAGGGATGGCCTGTGGAGGAGCCCTCGCAACAGAGTTGAGGTGGTGTTGGAGCTCAAGGATCAGCTGGGCCTGAAGTCAGCCAGCTCTACCATGGACTTTTCTGTTAAATGATGCATAAACTCCTTGCTCTTGAGCCAGCTGGAGTTTTCTGTTACTTCAGACTTTGAGCCCTGGCTAATATGTCTCAGATTAAATATCATTTTATCAAAGACTTTACCTATTTTCCTGGTTTAAAAGAGATCTTTCCCCCTTAGTTCTTTCTCAGCACCTTATTCTCGTCCTTCATAGTATTTGGTAGAATTTAATTCTATTTAATAAAATATTTGGTTATACATTTATTTAATATTTGTCTCCCCCACTGGACCACAAAAGTTCAGTGAGGGCAAGGACCTTGTTTGCTTACTTTGTCCATTACCCAAGCACCTAGCAGTTTAAAAGGTTTATTGTGTGAATTAGTGATTACATCGAAGAGTTGAGATCTTACGATGCCAGGGATGGTTCTAAATGCTATACATTTATTAACATGTGTAATTAACTCTTTGAGGTAGGTACCTAATTTTTCAAATGGGGAAATTGAGGCTTTAATGATTAACTTTCCATGTCCGATTTCCCATCCCAAGTCTTGTTTGTTGCCAAGCCCTACGGAGGCTCCGTCTTTTAACATCTTTCTACCACTACCCAGATTCTCACCTAGATTATTACAATTCTTTAGAATTATCTGATACTCCTCTTTATCTGGAACTCCTGCCAAAGGTCAGTAGGTGAGTGCTTTACTGATTGTGAGCTCATCGTTTCCTCTTTTGTTCATGCTGTGCACTTTATTGGAGTGTAGATCCTACTCCACTTTTAGGAGTTGAACAGGCTTAAATGCCATCTGTAGAAAACCTTTCATTATCCTACCACAGTTTCAGTAGCACTTCTTTCTTGTGACATTTTTCTGTCCACCTTTTATCAATATTTGCACCTTTTCCTCCTTACTAGACTGTAAGATTTTGAGGAAGGATCTGCATCTGTGTCAAATCTTTGTATTGCCAGGTTCATAGCATCTGGTACATAAAATAGGCACTCATCTAAAATTTTCAAGGATTTTTGAATATCCCTCAGAAGGTTCACTTCATTCTTTGTTTTGTTCTGTTTTGTTTTGTTTTTTGAGCCTCCCTGTGTTGCCCAGGCTGGAGTGCAATAGTGAGATCTTGGCTCACTGCAACCTCTGCCTCCCAGGTTCAAGCGATTCTCCTGCCTCAGCCTCCTGAGTAGCTGGGATTACAGGTGCGTGCCACCACATCTGGCTAGTTTTTGTATTTTTAGTAGAGATGGGGTTTCACCATGTTGGTCAGGCTGGTCTCGAACTCCTGACCTTGTGATCTGCCCACCTTGGCCTCCTCAAGTGCTGGGATTACAGGTGTGAGCCACCGCGCCCAGCCCACTTCATTCTTAAATTGCTCTAACTTCATCAAATTCCGTTTCCTTTTTTTTTTTTTTTTTTTTTTTTGAGACAGTGTCTCGCTGTCGCCCAGGCTAGAGTGCAGTGGTGCAATCTCTGCTCACTGCAACTTCTGCCTCCCAGGTTCAAGCAATTCTTCCACCTCAGCCTCCCGAGTAGCTGGGATTACAGGCATGTGCCACCATGCCTGGCTAATTTTTGTATTTTTAGTAGAGATGGGGTTTCACCGTGTTGCCCAGGCTGGTTTTGAACTCCTCAGGTCAGCTGCCAACCTCAGCCTCCCAAAGTGCTGAGATTACATGTGTGAGCCACTGCACCCGGCCAAATCCTGGTTAAATTTTCTCATGAGTTAGTTGTAACTGGGTTGACATGGTACCATGGGTAGAGCAGGAAATTCTAAACAGCTGAAGGCACAAATTGAAGAGGCTAGAAATACCTTCTTTCTCTTTAAAATAGCTTACCTTTACAGAATATTCACTGCCCACCAGGCTCTCCCCTAATTTCACTGACTCCTCCCCAAGTTTTATGAGGTAGGGATATCATTACACCTTCCTATAATAGTCTGCATTAACATTCCCAGGCTAAGGACTTTTTTGCTTATTGCAACTACTCTTTAGTATTAAAATTACTTTTATGTTTAGCTTATTTCCCCTAAGGATTTCTTAAGGGGGAGAATCCGTGATTTTGTCTTCACAGAATAGTTGCCTAGTCATGATTAATCCTTTCTAACAGAATAAACATAACTTCCTTCAAGCTTGTGCCATTGCAGACTCCAGGAAATTAGTTATTTGCAAAAGCAACCTATATTTAAGTAATAGAAGACAAACCAGAACAGGCAGACATCTGGCTGCTCTTAACACATTCAAAGTGGAAACTATGACCATGTCATATTTTTTTTTTGAGAGGCATTTTGAGTTTAAAAACTGAAGAGGTCTACTTTAGATAACCAGGCAAAAATTGCTACTTGTAGGGAATAACATCACTACAAGAATAGTGTGTCAGTGTAGTGTGGGTGGATGCCAGACTATAAGAAACTGAGTATGAAAGAACATTATTTCTGGAAATGTTTCAACTAATCCTCTATTTTTGGCTACCTAGGTCCAATGCCCCATTTTTGAGCTGTTAAAGTAGCCCCTCAATCTGGGCCTCATTGTCACCTATAAATAGCAACTATAGTCACTGTATCTCAGTTGTGGTTACATGAGGTAATGCTGGTAAAGTTGTTCCTCAGCACAGTATCAATGTTCCTTACTTAGGGGGTCATGTCTGGATAAACTCATCATGAGTTGAAAATATCCTAAGTCAGAAGTGCCCTTTCTACTTATAAGATGTTCAGTTGGCAGCTGGTTTATTGGGATGTAGCCCCATAATAAGCTGAGGACCGTAGTGAATGGCTTATCGCTTATGCGCCACTGCAAAGCTGAAAAATCTAAAGTTGAACTATCATAACTTGGGAACCATCTGTGTTTGGCACAAGTAAACACTTAAATCATAGTTACAAACTTGATTTAGAGTGTTGCCTTCTATTTCACAAAAACAAGTCTGAAATGTGTTTAATTGAACAAGAAAGAGGTGCATCAAGTTCAGCTCCTTATTATGTTCAACTTTAGAGAATTTTAAACCTAGCCTAATAATGTTTCTTTCTACATTCACACCTGCCCCTCACATGCATACAACCGATACCTAAAACATTACCTGAGTCAATGATCAGCTGGGCATAACCGTCCCAGTTTTTGTACACCGTGAAAAACTAAAAAGACATTATAGGCAATATCATGTACTGTAACACATATTCCAAAGGGAAAACGTCAATTCCAAAATACCTAGGAGCAAATGAGGCAACCAGGGCAGACACTAAAGCACTGAGCAAGATGCTGTCATGATGACTACTTATTTATTTCTATTTTATATGCGGGGAAACAGCTCAGTTATTACTCAAAGCCACACTTACCAAAGCCAGAGGTAAACTAGTACAAGTCTTTTGATTCTTAGCATTATATTCAATAAATTCACTAGGTATTCTCTAACTGTACTTTTGATGGGATATTGAAATCTTTAAAGGAGAAATTCCATGTTGGAACCAAGCAAAGGGTGGAATTTGACAAAGCAGCCCAACCACTTTGGCTTACAAAGTCCTTTATTTAGTTCCTACCCTCTTCATCTGCATAGTAAATCATAGGGTTCCCCCCCACCCCCACCACGAATAGCAGTTAATCATGGCTATTCTCCAAAAAGCTAGGTGCAAATTAACTTTATGGCTCCAGTCTATCTAATCTGAATGAATAAACAACCTAAAGGTTTGGGGTAAACCACAGCACAGAAGAAGCACCAGATCTAGGCTCCAGGCTGGTCTCTGCCATTGCTAACAGGGACACCAATTCCACAGAATCATCAGATTTTAAATGGCTGTTTTTGTATGTACCAGATAAAACTAGTGCAATTTTATTGCTGCTGGTACTTTTTTTTTTAAATTTTGGGATATACATTTTCAATTGGCTACTGTAACAAACTAAAGGGAATTTACAATACACTGTCGTACTGTTCATAAACTTCAAAATGAGAGTAGTGCCATGGAAGAAAAGAGATCCAGTTTTAATACCACTTTATGGCCAATAATCAGTATTTATTGTTTCTCATTTGTCAGGCACCATTCTAAGCTCTTTTAAAATATTCAGTCTTAACAATCCTATAGGCCGTTATCTCCGTTTTACAAAATAAAGATTGAAATAATTTATCCAAGGTTGCAGAGTCACTGCTGCAATCAGGACTTCAATGTTCTGCTGCACTGTCTTCATCACTGCTTTACTGCCTCTCAGATCAGATGCACGCCACTACCTAGCACACAAGAGGATGTGTGAACACCTCCTACTCATTCAACCTGACCTTGTCCTTGGCTCTTCTCCCTCGGTCTTAAGATTCCTCCTTCACCCCTCCCTCCATTTGCAGATCTCCAGGGTTAATTAAACCTTTCTACCTCTACCCAAACCCTTGTTTCCTCTGAACTGGTTCCAGCCTTTAAAATGCCCTATTCCCCACATGTTAAAAACTTAAGTGCTCATTGTGTTGCCTGTTCTTTAACCTTTTATGTCATGGTACCCTGATCAAGGCGGGGCAATCTCGTCCAACACAGCTTCTTCAACTTGCCGCAGCTTATTCCAAACTGCCTCTGCTGCCACTTGAGCTCACTCTCACGTGTCCTTTCCAACTGCATACAGCAGTCTACACCACAAACTCATGTTTGATTTCATACAATCCCGTGGCTTTCTTGTTCTGCCCCTTTGGGCTTAACCATACGCTCCTCCACTACTTAGTATAAACCCTGTTCCCAGGCCTCCATTAACTTTCACACTCAGGCTGATTACACACATATATTTAACAGTACAGTTTTACACAGAATGCTAAGAGCACTTTTCTTCATATTTTACAGAAGGGCTTGAAACATACAGACTATTCGTAATCATACAATAGCACATCCAAATCTAACTCCTAAATAGATGATGCATTATAATTTGTTTAGAATTTAAAGGCTTAATGGCAATAATCAGGGGAGGAAGAAGAGTATGTTTATTTTACATAACTGACGGAAAAATAAATTCAACAAATAGTAAATAGAATTTAATATGGTCTCATGCGCCCTGAAGGAGGTGGTGCCCGATTTGGAGGGGTAATTGCTATGTCCAAGTAATCTCCTATCTGGAACTTCTGCGACTGCAGGGTCATGGAATCATCAGTCCCCTTTCTGCCAGACATGGTGCTGCCAATCTCCTTAACTCTGTAAGAAAGAAAATCAACTGTTAATGGATCCAAATCAATGAAACCCAGTATGTACTACAAAGTGAATATGGCACTGGATTTTCTCCATCATTTTATAACACACTTCCAAAATTTAACTACTTTATTAAGCCAAACCACGTATTAATATAAACCCATATTCTCCCACTAACAAGATTCATTGAAGGAGTTATCTGTATCAGTTAAAACATACTAAAAACAAAGAGATTACAGGACTTAAAAATGAGAAGTTACCTACCGATAGCCAGGTCTTTTAACATCTGTAAAAACGATTGCAAAATTGAAGTGAGTGCCCTTCTTTCTAGCTTCTGGGTAGACTTCTTTTACTAAGCTTGTCAGTTCTTTCAAGGTTGCATCCATCCTGGATTTTTTTTAAAAAAGACATTTACATTTGCTTATTAATCAGCAATAATATTAAAAGGGATACTAACAATGAGTTAATTACATATATCTGAGTTGTGATTTACATTAGAAACTGCCAGGGTCTTATACTAGAGATTAATTTTAAAGCAGCTAAAAATACTATTTGCCTCCAAAAACTCCATGTACCAGCCTTACTGCTGGAAATTTCAATTAATTAGACTCTTAGTGCTAAAAGGGACTTCAGAGATTCTATATGCTATCTTCTGTTGCTACACAACACCTTATGGCCTAGTGATTTACCTAAGGGTAACTAGTCCAAATAAATCCAAATATGCAAAATAGATGTATCCCATTAGTTCTAAGACATGTACCCTTCCACATTTTAGCATCTCTGAAATTGGAATGTATCTTAGAATCAATGTACTAGGAAAGCATTTTCATACTGACGTTTTGTTTTTGAGAGAGTCTCGCTCTGTCGCCCAGGCTAGAGTGCAGTGGCGTGACCTCAGCTCACTGCAACCTCCGCCTCCCAGGTTCAAGCAATTCTCCTGCCTCAGCCTCCTGAGTAGCTGGGATTACAGACGCCCACCACCACGCCCAGGTAATTTTTCTATTTTTAGTAGAGACAGGGTTTCACCATGTTGGCCATGCTGGTCTCGAACTCCTGACTTCAAGTGATCCACCTATCTTGGCCTCCCAAAGTGCTGGGATTGATTACAAGCGTGAGCCACTGCGCCCAGCCAGATGTGTTTCTTCTTTCTTAGATAGAATTGTAAGTTTTACAACAGATAAGAGTACTAGAGCCAATGAAATATACAAAAGTTTCTTACAATGAAGCACAGGCTCTTGTCACAATAGTTTCTTACCCTGCAAATATTGACTTGAATCCAACTTTCATATAGTCCCCTGAGCTAATAAGAGAACAATCTGAAAAAAATATTTTAACATATAAGCATCTTAGAAATAACCTAGTATACATTTTTTTGCCAGGTGCGGAGGCTCATGCCTGTAATCCCAGCACTTTGGGAGGCCAAGGCGGGTGGATCACCTGAGGCCAGGAGCTCAAGTTCGAGAGCAGCCTGGCCAACATGGTGAAACCCCGTTTCTACTAAAAATCCAAAAATTAGCCAGGCGTTGTGGCACACATCTGTAGCCTATAATCCCAGCTACTCGAGAGGCTGAGACAAGAGAATCGCTTGACCTGGGAGGCGGAGGCTGCAGTGAGCCAAGACTGTGCCACTGTGCTCCAGCCTGGGTGACAGACTGAGACTCTGTCTCAAAAACAAAAAAACCTGAGGTCACATTGGTTTATCTGTCTCAGAGGTGACCTTTTTTCAACCTGATATTTTGATGTTAACTATTCTGTATCAATTATAGGTTCAGTATCCCTTACCCAAAATACATGGGACTAGAAGCGTTTTAGGTTTTTTCAAATTTTAGAATTTTTGCATATACGTAAGATATCTTGGGGTTGTGACCCAAGTTTAAATAAGAAACTCATTTATGTTTCAAACATACCTTATACACAGCTGGAATACAATTTTATACATCATTTTAAGTAATTGTGTGCATGAAAGGAAGTTTGGTGCACGCCTGTAATCCCAGCTACTCAGGAGGCTGAGGCAGGAGAATCGCTTATACCTGGGAGGCAGAGGTTGCAGTGAGCCGAGATCGCGCCACTGCACTCCAGCCTGGATGACAGAGCAAGACTCTGTCTCAAAAAAAAAAAAAAAAAAAGAGGTCAAGAACTTATGTGTGCAATTTTCCACCGGTGTCACGTCAGCTCTCAAAAGTTTCAGATTTTGTGGCATTTCAGATTTTGGACTTGCGATGCTCAGTCTATATTCTGATACACAGTACATACTTATGATGATATATACCAGAAAGAATTTTTTCCTTTCTAAAAATATTTTCAATATTGTCTTGCTCTTAATTAATTTGGGGGATTTATATCACACCTTTTATCAGTTCTGACAGTGTGAAACCTACACAAGCTTCCCACCTTCTAAGGACTGTCTTTCCAGACCAACAATTGGAGTGCCAAGTGTTGCTTTTTCATCACTAGTCAGAAGCTTGAGGACAGGGTGGGGTTCAGTACTTGTGTCAGCTTGACGAAGCTACAGTCCCCAGATATTCAACCAAACACTAACCTAGGTATTGCTGTGAGATATTTTATAGATGTGACTAAAGTCAACAACCAATTGACCTTAAATTCAGAGGTCTATCCTATATAATCTGGGGAGGCCTGATTCTATTAGTTGAAAGGCCCTAAGAGCAGCCTTTCCTTCCTGAGAACCTGCCCTACAGATTTGACAATTAAGGGCCTAGACAGCCCCCACAATCACGTAAACCAAATTCTTTGCAATAAAGCTTTTTTTTTTTTTTTTTTTTTTTTTTGAGATGGAGTCCCGCTCTGTCGCCCGGGCTGGAGTGCAGTGGCGCTGATCTCGGCTCACTGCAACCTCTGCCACCTGGGTTCAAGCAATTCTCCTGCCTCAGCCTCCCAAGTAGTTGGGATTACAGGCACCCGCCACCATGCCTGGCTAATTTTTGTATTTTTAGCAGAGACGGGGTTTCACCATGTTGGCCAGGCTGGTCTCCAACTCCTGACCTCATGACCCGCCCACCTCGGCCTCCCAAAGTGCTGGGATTACAGGCGTGAGCCACCACGCCCAGCAGAAATAAATCTCTTAACACATCTCTCCCAATTCTGTTTTTCTGGCTGAGCCCTGATTGACTTTGGTGAACACAGCCTGCCTCTACTGGGCTCCTCTGGACTTCCACTCCTGTTTCCATAACTTCTCTTGGGACTGCCTATTTAACCCCACAGTCTACTTCTCCAAATTGAGAATTTCCAGTATATGTTAACTAATTTTCCCTCATTACTATTTCTGGGAATGAGGGCAGGCCTTTGTGTTACCCCCATACCAATCATCCAGTCTTTCAGAATCTTTTCTTTGGCCACCATTTTGAGATGTAACTTAAAGTTGTTCCTTCTTTGTTTGGTTGCAATTTATGGACGGTATAGTTTAGGACAGGATTTTTTTGGTAATTTTTTTTCTTGATTCAGAGTGGAAGGTCTGTGGAACAACCTCACCCTGCCATTTTAACCCTAAAAATCACTCTATTCATCCGCTTTCCCTGATAAAAGGACTTACTACAGGGAGGAGCAGTACCGTCTTGACTTTATACCCTCAGGATCTAAGCACACACAGCACCTGGCAAATAGGAACTCTTGTTGGAAGAAACATACACTTTAATTTCTGAAGAGATTTTCATCAAGCCATTATTCAACAGTTCTTCCATATAAGCTAAATCAACCTTCCTAGAACACTTACCCTTGAGTGATGCTTAAGTACAGGTATCATACTACTACATAAATTTAACAAGCACCTCCAAATAAGACAAGTAAGGTCCCAATCTTCAAGGGATTAGCTCTAGTGTACAGGGCTTAAATAGTTTAAAATTATACATCTTTTGGGGAATATAAAATAGTGCAGCTGCTGTGAAAAAGTTTGGTGGTTCCTCAAAAATTAAACAAAGTTAACATATGACCCAGTAATCCCCTCCTAGGTACATACCCAAAAGAACTGAAAGCAGCGACACAAACACATTTGTATGCCAATGTTCACAGCAGCATTATTCACAATGGCAAAAAAGGTGAAACAACCCAAGTGTCCATCAATAGATGAGTACATATGTGATGCACACATACAATGAAATATGATTCAGCCTTGACAAGGCTAAATGGATGCTACAACATTAACCCTAAAAACACCATGAAATAAGCCAAAATGACGAATACTGTAATGAGTTCACTGAAATGAAATATGCAGAATAGGCAAATTCATATATGGACAGATAATACATTAGAGGCTACCAGGGGATGGGGCAGGGGAGGAATGGGAAATTATTAATAGGCACAGAGTGTCCTTAACAGGGTACCGGCACACTGGGCATGGTGGTGTGTGCCTGTAGTCCCAGCTGCTTGAGCCAAGGAGCTCAAATCCAGCTTGGGGAACAGAGCAAGACTCCGTCTCTTTAAAAATTAAAAAAAGGCAGGATGGGGTACAGGGTTTCTGTTGGAGGGAGGGATAAAAACTTGTAGAAACAGTGGTTGCACAACAATTTGAATGCTATTAATGCCACCAAATTGTACACTTAGAAATGGTTAATGACCAGGTGCGGTGGCTCATGCCTGTAAACCTACCACTTTGGGAAGCCAAGGTGGGTGGATCACTTGAGGTCAGGAGTTCGAGACCAGCCTGGCCAACATGGTGAAACCCTGTCTCTACTAAAAATACAAAAATTAGCCAGGCGTGGTGGCGGGCGCCTGTAATCCCAGCTACTGAGGAGGCTGAGGCGTGAGAATCGCTTGAACCTGGGAGGCAGAGGTTGCAGTGAGCTGAGATCACGCCACTGCACTCCAGCCTGGGTGACAGAGTGAGATTCAAAAAATAAAAATAAATGGTTAACACGGCAAATTTTGTTATATAGGCACACACATATATATTTTGAGACAGAGTCTCGCTCTGTCGCCCAGGCTGGAGTACAGTGGCACAATCTCAGCTCACTGCAACTTCCACTTCCCAGGTTCAAGCGATCCTCCTGCCTCAGTCTCCCAATTAGCTGGGATTACAATTCTGCGCCACCACACCTGGCTAATTTTTGCATTTTTAGTAGAGACAGGGTTTCATCACGCTGGCCAGACTGGTCTCGAACTCCTGACCTCAAGTGATCCGCCAGCCTCAGCCTCCCAAAGTGCTGGGATTACAGGCATAAGCCACCGTGCCTGGCTTGTTATATATCTTTTCATCACAATAAAAAATTTATTTTAGGCTGGGCGCAGTAGCTCACACCTTAATCCCAGCACTTTGGGAGGCTGAGGCAGGCAGATCACTTGAGGTCAAGAGTTCGAGACCAGCCTGGTCAATACGGTGAAACCCCATCTCTACTAAAAATACAAAAATTAGCCAGGCGTGGTGGTGGACACCTGTAATCCCAGCTACTTGGGAGGCTGAGTCAGAAGAATCAATTGAATCCAGGAGGTGGAGGTTGCAGTGAGCCGAGATGGCACCACTGCACTCCAGCCTGGGCAACAGAGCAAGACTCTGTCTCAAAAATATATAGAGAGAGTATATACACATATTTTTCAATTACACACCTTTTACTTATACTAAAAAGCCATTATGGTGTCAATCCAAGGAGTTATGTGCAGCGCTAAAGACAAGCCCACAGTAGTTTGTAGGGAGGTACACCCAAGAGATAAACATTCAGGAACCATCTTCACTAAACACATATCAAAAGCTTTTCCAATAACCCTTAGAGAAGAAATAACTCGGGTTTTGGTAGTTTATTTTTCACTTTTGGTGCTTTGGTACCTAAGGCTTAATATTATGTGGAAATGCTCTTTGAGAATAACAAATACCACTCGACAGCATCACTCTCCCTTACCATGTTGTCCTAGTGCAATTTATTTGACTATGAGTCCCTTTAGGGCAGATACTACAACATATTTATCTACCTATCACTTTTGTACCTAGCAGCCATAACAGTGACAGCAATCTTGGGTCTGTCCATTCTTAACCGCCCAAAAGTTGCAACATTAATCACAAAAGCGTTACAATACGGGCAAATCTCCTTTCACCTAACAACAAAAACTTCTAACTTCCTGAAAGCTGAGTCCGAAGGCCCCAAGTGGAGAAATGAAATTGAAATCAGGGAGAATAACTCTACACTGGCAAAGGCAATTAACTGTTGTTCCAGGTTCCCGGCCCGGGTCCCTGAGGCCACCCCGCCCTCCTCACCAAGTGTAGATCTGCAACTCGCTGGACGGTACATTTCCCCGGGAGAACTCGTCCATTCGGTGGTGGCGGCCGTTATTGGTGGTGAAGACCCGTAGCAACAGTGGGCATGTCTGAGGGAGAGAGAAAACGGAAGGGCAGAAGTTAAAAACACCAGCTGCGAACCCGGAGCTCATCTCTCTTCCCGAGGCGTTGCGGCCTCCGAGCCTCCCCGAGACCAAAAACACCATCTCCTCCAGCACACAGGCCGCGCCTCTGCACCCTGCGGGACTCATCCCCAACCTCTTCCCGGACCCCAAAGCGGAGGGGGCCTTCACCTTCTCGCGGTCGATCGGTTTCTCTGGCTCCTTCTTAATTTCCTCCTGGGTAACGCGCGACTCCACCGCCATCTTCCTCCTACGGCCTGCGAGACGCTCGCCCTGACCTCCGACCCCTGCAGCGAGCATGAGCACTAAGTCTCTCGCGAGGAGAAGCTCGACACTTTATAGTCGGCCAGGGGCTGGGCGGGGCGTCTCCTGGCGCAGGCGCACTTCCGTGCGTGGTGAGCGAGCCGGAGCGCGCCTGCGTGTTGCGACTTCGGGAAAAGGCGGGTGCTGACGTCCGCGGGGAGGAGGTGCTTAGCGTCCGTCGCCTAGCAGTTGGTTGCCGGGATGTTTTTTTCCCTTAAATATTCACAGGCGACATAAGCTTAAGGTGGCGTTTTCATGCGTAATGACGAAAACCTTATTGGACACAAAGCGTTCCTTTATTAGCAAAATATAGATCTTTCTGATGAAAGAACAGGCCCGCGATACCAGCCCCTGAGGTAAGCCGGAAGAGGGGCCGCCAGCGTACGTGGTCATGGAGCGATCCTTCCAGCCACACACAGTTCGGGTGGCTTAGAGACCTGAACGCGTACAGCAAATCCAGAACTTGTAGGAAATAACGTTCTAGAATATCTTCAGGACTTATGGGTGGGAATATATGATACAAAAACAACTAACTTGAAGCAATTGATTTGACTGGGTTACGACAAAAATAATCTGACCTTCAAAATACATAACTCCATGATGAACCCAAAATGCCAAGTATATGACTGAACTTACAAGTGATACCATCTTACGACTGAAGAGTGGGAAATAAAATACATCATAAGAGAGAAGCCACACAGTAGAAATTTGTTACACATATGATTGACAAAGGCAATTATCCAGAATATATAGGATCTAAACAGACAACCCAATCGAAAAATGGATAAAATTACTGAACAGGTGCTTTGGCAATGACAAAATCCAGATAGTCAACAAACATGTAAGGTGCGCAAGCGCATTACGAATCGGGGAAATGCATTAAAACCACGATTAGTTTCAATTGATTGGTTTTTAAACCACACTCACTAGATTGGCAAAAATTAAGAACTCTGGCCGGGCGTGGTGGTGGCTCACGCCTGTAATCCCAGCATTTTGGGAAGCCGAGGCAGGCAGATTATTTGACCTCCTGACTCCCGACTTGAGGTCAGGAGTTTGAGACAAGCCTGGCCAACACAATGAGACCCCGTCTCCACTAAAAATAAAAAAAAAAAAAATTAGCCAAGAGTGGTGGCAGGCGCCTGTGATCCCAGCTACTGGGAAGGCAGAGGCAGGAGAATTGCTTGAATCCGGGAGGCGGAGGTTACAGGTTACAGTGAGTGGAGATCGTGCCACTGCAGTCCAGCAACCTAGATGACAGAGTGAGACTCCGTCTCAAAAAAAAAAAAAAAAAAAAATACGGCTGGTCATGGTGGCCCACCCCAGTAATCCCAGCACTTTGGGAGGTCAAGACGGGTGGATCACTTGAGTCAAGAGTTCGAGACCAGCCTAACCAACATGGTGAAGCCCCGTCTCTACTAAAAATACAAAATTAGCCACTCGTGGTGTCACAAGCCTGTAATCCCAGCTACTTGGGAGGCTGAGGCAGGAGAATCACTTGAACCCGAAGGCAGAGCCTGCAGTGAGCCAAGATCACGCCACTGTACTCCAGTCTGGGCAACAAGGGCAAAACTCCAAAACTCCGTCTTAAAACAAACAAAAAATCTAGGAACTCTGACAGTAGCAGGTGTTTGTAGGCTACTGCGAATTCTCATATACTGCTGGTAAGAATGTAAACTGGAACACCTGCTTTAGAAAGTAGTACTTACCCTAGAGAAAATCTTGCTCAAGTGTATCCAGAGACATTACAAGAATGTTCTTAGCTATATTGTTCATGAGAACAAAAAGCTGGAAACAGCCCAAGTGTCTATCAACAGTAGGACAGTTCAGTGAATTGTGGTGTACTAGACAGCAATAAAACTACCAATCAACAATGGGATACTATAAAGCAACACAAATTTACAAACTACAGTCATATGAAACAATGTGAATCTCACAAACATGATGGTGAATATAAGAAACCAAAGACAAAAATGTATTTACTGTATGAATTCATTTTCAAAACATTCAAAAGCAGGTAATACTAAAAGATATTGTTCAAGAGAATTCCCAGGTGACAAAATTATAAAGAAAATGGAGAAGTAATTATAATTACCAGAAAAGTCTGAGTAGTAATGACCTCTGAGTATAGAAGGAAATTGTAATAAGGGAGGGGTAAATGGAATGCTTCTAGAGTGTTGGCAACATTCCATTTTTTTTTTAACTTAGGTGGTGGTTACATAGCTGTTTTAATTAAAATTACTTTTTTTTTTTTTTTTTTGAGACAGAGTCTCGCTCTGTCACCAGGCTGGAGTGCAGTGCAGTGGCACAGTCTTGGCTCACTGCAACCTCCGTCTCATGGGTTCACGCAATTCTCTGCCTCAGCCTCCCCAGTAGCTGGGATTACAGGCACCCGCCACCATGCCCAGCTAATTTTTTTGAATTTTTAGTAGAGACGGGGTTTCACCATGTTGGCCAGGCTGGTATTGAACTCCTGACCTTGTGATCCACCCGCCTCAGCCTCCCAAAGTGCTGGGATTATAGGCATAAGCCACCATGCCCGGCCTGAATTAAAATTACTCTTTAAAGAGTACATTTATGTTATTATTATTGAGATGGTCTTGCTCTGTCACCCAGGCTGGAGTCCAGTGATGCAATCATGACTCACTGCAGCCTTGACTTCCCGGCTCCAGTGATCCTCTCACCTCAGCCTCCTGGGTAGCTGGGACCGTGTAGCCGGGAACACAGGCACAAGCCACCATGATGGGCTAATTTTTGTAGAGATAGGACTTCACCATTTTGGCCAGGCTGGTCTCAAACTGCTGACCTCAAGCTATCCACCCTCCTCAGCCTCCCAAACTGCTGGGATTACAGGCAAGAGCCACTGTACTCAACCCCATTTATTTTTTATGCACCCCTCTGTACTAATGCTATACCTTGCTATTTTAAAAATACATAATTCAATAGAAAAAATGACAAAAGACATGGATGGGCCAGGCACGGTGGCTCACGCCTGTAATCTCAGCACTTTGGGAGGCTGAGATGGGTAGATAGCTTGAGGTCAGGAGTTCGAGACCAGCCTGGCCAGCATGGCGAAACCCTCTCTACTAAAAATACAAAAATTAGCTGGGCATGGTGGCAGGTGCCTGTAATCCCAGCTACTCTGGAGGCAAGAGAATCACTTGAACCCGGGAAGCGGAGGTTGCAGTGAGAGCCTTAGCAACAGAGCTATACACCGTCTCAAAACAAAACAAAACAAAAAAAAATGGGCATTTCATAGAAGATTAAATAAAGGTAAACATATGAAGATACCCGACCTCAAGAATAGTCATAAAAATGCAAAGTTAAACACAGATAACATTTCACTCTACTAGATTAAACAAAATGTGAAAGTCAGACAACTAAGTGCTCGCAAGGATATGGAGAAAAGGGAATTCTTACAGATTGCTCTCATCCACTTTAGAAAACTGATTGGCATCACCTAGAAAGATTCAATATGTGTACACCTTAAGACTCAGCTATTCTGGCTGGGCGTGGTGGCTCACGCCTGTAATCCCAACACTCTGGGAGGCCGAGGTGGGCGGATCACCTGAGGTTGGGAGTTCAAGACCAGATTGACCAACATGGAGAAACCCCATCTCTACTAAAAATACAAAATTAGCCAGGAATGGTGGTGCATGCCTGTAATCCCAGCTACTTGGGAGGCTGAGGCAGGAGAATCGCTTGAATCTGGGAGGTGGAGGTTGCAGTGAGCCCATATTGCACCATTGCACTCCAGCCTGGGCAACGAGAGCGAAACTCCATCTCAAGACAAAAAAAAGACTCAGCTATTCTATGCCTTATGTGTAGCTCAGAAAAACCGTTGGCCATGAGCACAAGGCAGCAGTTTAAATAATATTATAATGTGTTTAGTCATAATAACTAGAAACAATTCAACTGCCTACCTAGAGTATATTCATAAAATGGAATACTATAAAGACTTGAAAGTAAATAAATGAATCAGTACTCTTTTTTAAAATTTTTTTTATTTTTTATTTTTTTTATTTTTTTGAGACGGCGTCTCGCTCTGTTGCCAGGCTGGAGTGCAGTGGTGCAATCTCAGCTCACTGCAATCTCCGCCTTCCAGGTTCAAGAAATTCTCCTGCCTCAGCCTCCTGAGTAGCAGGGATTACAGGCACACACCACCATGCTTGTTGTGGGAAGCCAGGAACCCCGAATGGAGGGACCGGCTGAAGCCATGGCAGAAGAATGTGGATGTGAAGATTTCATGGACATTTATTAGTTCCCCAAATTAATACTTTTATAATTTCTTACGCCTGTCTTTACTGCAGTCTCTGAACATAAATTGTGAAGATTTCATGGATACTTATCACTTCCCCAGTCAATACCCTTGTGATTTCCTATGCCTGTCTTTAATCTCTTAATCCCATCATCTTTGTAAACTGAGGAGGATGTATGTCACCTGAGGACCCTGTGATGATTGCGTTGACTGCACAAATTGTTTGTAGAGCATGTGTGTTTGAACAGTATGAAATCTGGGCACCTTGAAAAAAGAACAGGATAACAGCAATGTTCAGGGAACAAGAGAGATAACCTTTAACTCCGACCGCCGGTGAGCCGGGCGGAACACAGCCATATTTCTCTTCTTTCAAAAGCAAATGGAAAAATATCACTGAATTCTTTTTCTCAGCAAGGAACATCCTGAGAAAGAGAATGTGTCCCTGAGGGTAGACCTCTAAAATGGCCGCTTCGGGGTGCGGCTGTCTTTTATGGTCGAGCTGTAGGGATGAAATAAGCCCCAGTCTCCCGTAGTGCTCCCAGGCTTATTAGGAGGAGGAAATTCCCACCTAATAAATTTTGGTCAGACCGGTTGTCTGCTCTCAAACCCTGTCTCCTGATACGATGTTATCAATGACAATGCGAGCCTGAAACTTCATTAGCAATTTTAATTTCGCCCTGGTCCTGTGGTCCTGTGATCTCGCCCTGCCTCCATTTGCCTTGTGATATCTTATTACCTTGGGAAGCATGTGATCTCTGTGACCCACACCCTATTCGTACACTCCCTCCCCTTTTGAAAATCACTAATAAAAACTTGCTGGTTTTGTGGCTCAGGAGGCATCACGGAAGCTGCCGACATGTGATGTCTCCCCCGGATGCCCAGCTTTAAAATTTCTCTGTTTTGTACTCTGTCCCTTTATTTCTCAGACCAGCCGACACTTAGGGAAAATAGAAAAGAACCTACGTGAAATATTGGGGGTGAATTTCGGCCCGATATCTCGCTGAATTTTCCCCCGATACATGCCCAGCTAATTTGTGTATTTTTAGTAGAGACAGGGTTTCACCATGTTGGCCAGGATGGTCTCAATCTCCTGACCTCGTGATCCGCTCACCTCAGCCTCCCAAAGTGCTGGGATTACAGGCGTGAGCCACCGTGCCCAGCCTTCTTTTTTAAAAAAGTAGAAGAAGCAAGTCACAGAACACATACGATAGGGTTCAATTTATGCAGTTTATTCAATTTGGGGGGAAAATAGGAACCCCTCACCTAAAAATACTGTTTAGGGAAACAAACATGAGTAGTAAAACTATAAAGAGAAGCAGGGGGAAATAAACACTAAATTCAGTTTAGTGTTACCTCTGAGGGTAAGCTTGGGTGATGCAATTTATGAAGGGCATCCACAGCTTCTAAGATACTGGTAATATACTCTTTCTCACTAGGAGGAGTGTGTTTTTTATTCTTTACATTGTAGCTGTACATCTTAGAAACTCTTTTGTATGTGTGATTTAGATTACTCTTTTAAAATAGTTATTTACTTACTTACTTTTGAGACAGGGTCTGGCTCCGCTGCCCAGGCTGGAATGCATTGGCATAATCTCAATCTCAGCTCACTGCAGCCTCCGCCTCCTGGACTCAAGCAATCCTCCCACCTCAGCCTCCCATGTGGCTGGGACCACAGGCCACACCACCATGCCTGGCTAATGTTTTCTAGAAACGGGGTTTTGCCATGTTGCCTAACTTGTCTCAAACTCCTGGGCTCGGCAGGGTGTGGTGGCTCATGCCTATAATCCCAGCATTTTGGGAGGCTGAGGCGGGCAGATCATGAGTTCAGGAGATGGAGACAATCTTGGCTAACACAGTGAAACCCTGTCTCTACTAAAAATACAAAAAATTAGCCGGGCGTGGTAGTGGGCACTTATAGTCCCGGCTACTCGGGAGGCTTAGGTGAGACTCCGTCTAAAAAAAAAAAAAAAAAATTCCTGGCCTCAAGCAATTCACCGCCTTGGCCTCCCAAAGTGCTGAGGTTACAAGTGTGACTAACCACACCCAGCCATAAAAAATTTATTTTTTCATTGTGCCTAGAATAGGCATGCATGCAGAGTTGCATGCAGGCAATGTTTGTTTTTTCAAAAAGATATTTAAATTTTCTCCCCAGTTCTATGATTCTAGTATATCTTTTTTTTTAAAATTTTATTTTTCTGAATAAAGAAGAATTCTAGGATGATTCTAGTATTATATCTTTTTCAAAACCTCCATAATATAATAATACAGACACATGAGGGCACTCTAATCAATCCATTAAAGGGAAAACATTGAAACTATGAAAATGAAGAACTTCACAACCTTTTATTGGTGATACTGGGGAGGGTTCATTTCTTAGATATAAGCTCTCATTTTGGGACCTTTCCAAATAACCAGCTCTCATCAAAATGAAACTTTCCGACATCTTGAGGCAGTAGAAGTGCATCTATATTTTAGAATACTTGGAATACTTTTTCAGCAGCCCTCATTCTACCTACATGGACTTGTAAAACCAGCTCTGAGTTGCTCCTGAAATTGTAATATTTAAGGGTATGCATCTTTCCTTTCTTTTTAGAATTTACGTGGACAAGTATTACACTTCTAAGTAATATACCCAAGGGAATTGAAAGCAGGGACTCAGGTATTTGTGCACTAGTGTTCATAGCAGTATTATTCACAGTAGCCAAAAGGTAGAAACAATCTGAATGTCCATCAACAGATGGAAAGATACACATAGAATGGAATATTCAGCTTTCAAAAGGAATAAAATTCTGACACGTTACAACGTGGGTGAACCTAGAAAACATTATGCTAAGTGAAATACGCCAGACACAAAAGAACAAACATTGTGTGATTTCATTTATAAGAGGCACATAGAATGAACAGGCAAATTCATAGGCAGAAAGTAAAAGAGAGGCTGCCAGCGGCTGGTGGGTACGTGGGGACTGGGAAGTTATTGCTTAATGGGTACAGAGTTTCTTTTTGAGATGATGAAAAAATTCTGGATATGGATGGTGGGAATGGTTGCACAACATAGTGAACATACTTCAAGTCACTGAATTGTACACCAAAAAATTGTTAAAATGATAACATTTATGTTACATACATTTTATCACAATTTTAAAAATTAAAAAAAGTGAACATCTGAAGTATGTGAAAAATAAGTCATCAGACTCTCTCCACTCTTCTTTTTCTACTCTCTCTCTTTTGTGTGTCCTAGCATTATGAATCTAGGAAAAGGCAGATTCTCCGAATTAAAATCAGAAATATGTAATGAGGAGTTCTAAAGAATATGCCTCAGTCAATCACTGCAACTCCATGGCATTCTCTGCTGTTAATATGAAGAAGAATGACCTTTTAATGGCAGGGAAATAAGTGAACACTATACAAAATTTGTTTCTGGAGAAGATTTAATGAAATGTATTATCCATAGAACTATCTGGTTGTTTATAAAAGTTGTGGATTATAAATTTGAATCTCTAGGGGATTATTAATGCTTTTCAAATTCCTCTCATGACACTCTTTCCTTCAGGTGTATCTGTAGGCGACAAGGGGTACAGCATTTATAAGCACAATATTTACTGGGCTCTGTTTCCCAAAGGGTTGTATGTGAACAGTCTCAGTAAAGCATCTACTTGTTACCAAGAGTAAAGGCTGGGCGCAAAGGCTCACACCTGTAATCCCAGCACTTTGGGAGGCTGAGGCAGGAATATCACTTGAGTCCAGGAGTTCAAGACCAGCCTGAGCAACATTATCAAGACCCCTGTCTCTTAAAAAAAAAAAAAAATTAGCTGGGGTGGGACGTGCCTGTAGTCCCAGGTACTCAGGAAGCTGGAGGTGGGAGGTTTGTATGAGCCCAGGAGGTCAAGGCTGCAGTGAGCCGTGATTGTGTATAACTGTACAACTCTTTTGCTTAGACAACAGAGTGAGACCCTGTCTCAAAAAAGGAGTCGAAAAAATATATAAATTTCCATAACAATCCTAGAAGAATTAAGCTTACAGATAGTACAATTACTACTTAGACTGTACATTTCTTCTCTCTTTCGGTTTTTGAGACAGAGTCTCACTCTCTTGCCCAGGCTGGAGTGCAGTGGCCACCTGGGCTCACTGCAACCTTCACCTCCACACTTCAAGTGATTCTCCTGCCTCAGCCTCCCAAGTAGCTGGCATTACAGGCGCATGCCACCACACCTGGCTAATTTTTATAATTTTTAGTAGAGACGGAGTTTCACCATGTTGGCTAGGCTGGTCTCAAACTCCTGACCTCAGGTGATCCTGCCACCTTCACCCCCAATGTGCTGGGATTACAGGCATGAGCCATGTCACCTGGCCTTCTTATTTATTTATTTATTTTAAGAAAGAAAGTGTCTCACTTTGTCTCCCAGGCTGGAGGGCAGTGGCATGATCACAGCTCATTGCAGCCTCCAGCTCCTGGGCTCAAGGGATCCTCCCTCCTCAGCTTCATGAGCAGCTTGTACTACAGGCATGAGCCACCACATCCAGCTCATTTTTTAATACTTTGTAGAGATTGAGTCTTGCTAGGTTGCCCAGAATGGTCTTGAGCTCTTGGCCTCAAGTGATTCTCCTACCTCTGCCTCTCACAGTGCTAGGATTACAAGCATAAGCCACCAAGCCCAGGTGGTTACTTTTTGCTATCTTAAGAACTCTTTTTTGGTGGCTCATGCCTGTAATCCCAGCACTTTGGGAGGCCAAGGCGGGCAGATCTCAGGGTCAGGAGATCGAGACCATCCTGGCTAACACAGTGAAACCCTGTCTCTACTAAAAATACAAAAAAAAAATTAGGCAGGCATGGTGGCGGGCGCCTGTAGTCCCAGGTACTCGGGAGGCTGAGGCAGGAGAATCGCTTGAACCCAGGAGGTGGAGGTTGCAGTGAGCTGAGATCGCGCCACTGCACTTCAGCCTGGGTGACAGAGCAAGACTCCGTCTCAAAAACAAAAACAAAACAAAAAAAAACCTCTTTTTTTTGGAGGGGGGATGGAGTCTCTGTCTCCCACACCGGAGTGCGATGGCACGATCTCCGCTCACTGCACCCTCTGCCTCCTGGGTTCAAGCAATTGTCCTGTCTCCCTTTCCAAATAGCTGGGATTATGTGCTCACACCACAACACCCAGCTAATTTTTGTATTTTCAGTAGAGAGAGAGTGTCACCAAATTGGTCAGGCTGGTCTCAGAACTCCTGACCTCAGGTGATCCACCTGCCTCAGCCTCCAAGGGTTCCCAAAGTGCTGGTGTCCGGTGGGTTCGTGGTCTCCGTGACTTCAAGAACGGAGCCACGGACCCTCGCGGTGAGTGTTACAGCTCTTAAAGATGGCATAGTGAGTGTTACAGCTCTTAATGACCGCAGGGACCCGAAAAGTGAGCAACAGCAAAATTTATTGGGAAGAGGGAAAGAGCAAAACCTCCACAACCCAGAAAGAGACTGGAGCTGGTTGCAACTGCTGGCGGAAGCAGGGGGCGGTGGAAAAAGGGGGAATGGCCAGCTTTTATTCTTTTATTTGTCCCTGCCCATGTCCTGCTAATTGGTCCATTTTCCAGAGCGCTGATTGGTCCATTTTACAGAGTGTTGATTGGTCCATTTTACAAACCTCTAGCTAGCTACAGAGCATTCATTGGTGCATTTTTACAGAGTGCTGATTGGTGCATTTTACAAACCTCTAGCTAGCTACAGAGCGCTAATTGGTGCATTTTACAATCCTAGCTACAGAGTGCTGATTGGTGCATTTTACAATCCTCTTGTAAGACAGAAAAGTTCTCCAAGTCCCCACTCCACCCAGGAAGTCCAGCTGGCTTCACCTCTCACTGGGATTACAGGCATGAGCCACCAGCCTGGCCAGAACTCTGTATTTTTACAAATGAGCACAAGTGCTTGTTTGGCATCAGCACTACAGGCAATGCTGCCATGAATCAGTCCTGATCCTCCTAACTGTTCTTGCTGTGTCACCCCTACTGGCATTCTTCACGCTATAGCCAGAGGGGTAGTGTTTTAAAAGTCCTAATCCCTTGATTAAAAACCTTCAAAGTATCCATTGTACTTTGGAACAAAAGCTAACTTCCATACTAAGATACTGATGACTCCTCCACCCTCCTCTCCCGCCATCCTCCTAATTCACTGCTCTGCAGCCCTGTGGGCCTTCCCTACCAGACCAGGACGTTAACATTTGCTGCTTCCTCTGCCTGAGACAATCTTCCCCCACACCCTTGTCCCATCCTCAGTCCTCACTCACTCTATTATCAAAGTAATCTCAGAGAGGCCTTTCTCAGCTTTAGTAATGTAGAGTTCTCTCTGCCTCCCTCCTCCATCAGCAATCGCTTGTTTATTTCTCATAGCATCTCTCGTTTCTGATTTATGTGACTTATGTCACCCTCTCTTTATAGAATGTAAACTGCCTGAGGGCAGAGGCTCTGTCTTACCTCTGCATCCCCAGCTCCTAGCCCAGTCCACAGAGCCTACCTAGCACATAGCTAGTGCTCAGTTAATGCCTATTGAATTATATCAATGAACAGTTGGATAAATTACTAGGCTGTTCCCACCAATTAGACCCTAAGGTGTAGGATTTGGAAACCCACTTACTTTTAAGCCAGTGGAACAGAAAAAGGGGTGGCATTGTCTTTTCAGAGAGTTGAAATGTCTCTCATTTTAATCCCTAATTTAAGCATTTGAATGATTAGATGGAAAATGGTTTTCAAACAGACATCTACTTCCTCAAGAGTCTGCAGAGTGTCAGCAACATATTTACCAGAGGCAAGCTGTAGAGGCCTCCTAAAGTGCTGGGATTACACAAGTGAGCCACCGCTCCCAAATAAATGTATAACTGGTATTAAAATATGTGTTACATGGTTAAAGACATTTTAGGGCCAGACGCAGTGGCTCACACATGTAATGCCAGCACTTTGGGAGGTCAAGGTGGGCAGATCACTTGAGGTCAGGAGTTCGAGACCAGCCTGGTCAACATGGCAAAACCCCATCTCTATAAAAAATATGAAAAAGTAGCCAGGCGTGGTGGTGCATGTCTATAGTCCCCACTCCTTGGGAGGCTTAGGTGGGAGGATCACTTAAGTCTAGGAGACTGAAGCTGCTGTGAGCCAGGATTGCACCACTGCACTCCAGCTTGGGTGACAAGATGAGATCCTGGCTTAAAAAAAAAAAATAGATCAGTATCTCTCATGAACACAGAGGCAAAAATCCTCAACAAATATAAGCAAATTGTATCCAACAATGTTGTATTAAAAAACCATAACCAAGTGGGATTTATCCCAGGTATGCAAGGCTGGCTCAATATTTAAAAATCAGCTGATGTTGCTGGGCGTGGTGGTTCACACCTGTAATCCCAGCACTTTGGGAGGCCGAGGTGGGCGGATCACAATGTCAGGAGTTTGAGACCAGCCTGACCAACATGGTGAAACCCTGTCTCTACTAAAAATACAAAACAAAATACAAAAACCCCATCTCCACTAAAAATACAAAAATTAGCCGGGTGTGGTGGCAGGTGCCTGTAATCCCAGCTACTCAGGAGGCTGAGGCAGGAGAATCACTTGAACCCAGGAGGCGGAGGTTGCAATGAGCCAAGATTGGGCCACTGCACTCCAGCCTGGGCAACAGAGCAAGACTCCATCTCAAAAAAATAATAATAATAAAGAAGGAAAATAATATCATATCAATAATATAAAAAAAAGCATTTGACAAAATCAAACGCCCATTCATGATAAAAAAAACTGTCAGCAAACTAGGAATAAAGAGGAACTTCCTCTGCTAGATAAAGAACATCTACAAAAAGCCTACAGCTAACATCATATTCTTAATGGTGAGAAATTAGTCCTCCCCCTAAGATGAGGAACAAGGAAAGGATGTCCCTTCTCACTACTGCTTTTTAATATTGTATTAGAAGTCCTAGCTAATGCAAGATGAGAAAAGAAAAGTAAAGGTAGACAGATTGGGGAGGAAGAATTAAAACTGTTGTACTGGCTGGGCATGGTGGCTTATGCCTGTAATCCCAGAAATTTGGGAGGCTGAGGCAGGCAGATCACTTGAGCCCAGTAGTTTGAGACTAGCCTGGGCAACATAGCAAAACCCTGTCTCTATTTATATAAACTAGTTTAAAAAAAAAAAAAAAGAACTGTTGTAGTTTGCAGGTGACATGATTGTTTATGCAGCTAAATAAAAAACATTGACAATACCAAATGCTGAGGATGTAGAGCAACAGGAAATTTCATTCATTGCTGGTGGAAATGCAAAATGGTACAGCCACTTTGAAAGACAGTTTGGCAGTTTCTTACAGAACTAAACATACTATTATCATACAATTCAGCAATCATGCTCCTTGGTATTTACCCAAATAAACTGGAAACTCGTGCCTATAACCCCAACACTTCGGGAGGCTGAGTCAGAAGGATTGTTTGAGCCCAGGACTTCAAGATCAGCCTGGACAACATAGTAAGACCCTATCTCTACAAAAAAATTTTAAAATTAACTGGGTATGGTAGTGTGCACCTGTGGTCCCAGCTACTTGGGAAGCTAATGTAGGAGGATCACTTGAGCCCAGGAGGTCAAGGCTGCAGTGAGCTATGATTGTGCCACTGCGCTCCAGCCTATGTGACAGAACAAGACCCTGTCTCAGAAAAAAAAAAAAAAAAAGAGAAAGAGAAACACACAGGGCCCTGAAGTGATGCCAAATGAGAAGAGACAGCCTGGAGATCTGGGAGATGGGGCTTGCAGGCAGAAGGTGAGCTCTGGGAAGGGGCTGAGATGGCCCAGGCTGCATGTAGGGAGAATGAAAGCAAGCCAGGCCAGCCACGCGCAGTGGCTCACGCCTGTAATCCCAACACTTTGGGAGGCCGAGGCGGGCAGATCACCTGAGGTCAGGAGTTCGAGACCAGCCTGGCCAACATGGTGAAACCCTGTCTCTACTAAAAATATAAAAAAAATTAGCCAGGCGTGGTGGCGGGCACCTGTAATTCTAGCTACTCAGGAGGCTGAGGCAGAAGAATCACTTGAACCCGAGAGGCAGAGGTTGCAGTGAGCCGAGATTGCGCCATTTCACTCCAGCCTGGGGGACAGAGTGAGACTTTGTCTCAAAAAGGAAAAAAAAAAAAAGAAGCCAGGCCAGGGGCTGGAGCAGGGAGGACAAAGGACAGAAAGGCCAGAGATGTGGGCAGGGGCCAGGTCACCTATCTGAGACCATGACAGGAGTTTGAATTTTATTTTAATTAGAATAAGAGTCATAGCAGTTGGGATTCTTCTTGCAAACATGGAAGGACTCTGGCCAATTTAAGAAAAGGAATGGACTGAAAAAGCAGCTCATAGAACCACCAAGAAGGCTGATCGATTAGGCTTAGAAAAACACACAACCACTCTGTGAGGTTGGGCAGTCAGCAAAACAGGCAGAATCACCTCCCAGAGCTGGTGCAGAGGGCATGCCCCAACCAGAGTGACTATGTTGCCCAGGCTGGTCTGGAACTCCTGGGCTCAAGTGATCCTCCTGCCTTGCCCTCCCAAACTGCTGGGACTACAGGTGTGAGCCACTGTATGGGGCTTCACTCACATTCTTGACAGCCAGATTCAAGTTCTGAAGAATATTTATTTTAATCAACTTTCAAAACTCTTAAGTCCTGATCAACGAAAAGGGAGAAAAAGCAAATAAGTAGGCATGTATTGTATGTGGAAGGTATTTCAAAATGGCCAGCCAGGAGAGAAGACAGTAACTCTAGTGCACACACCATTTCACTCAGGGAAAGTCACAAAAGTCAGCCACAACCCCAGGCTATGAAAGGAGTCAAGGTGGCTGTTACAGGCCAGGTGAACACAACTTTAAATGGCATCAGTTCAAGACCATTACATTGTGGGACTGGAAATAGTTACTAGATTATTTCTGGGAGTAGTAGAAGTAGTGAAGTAGCAATATGAAAACAGTTGAGATGTCCGCCTTATTTAACCCTTAAACCAGAGGTTTTCAATTGTGGCTGCATATTAGAAGCACCTGGGAATCTTAAAACAACAATAACAACAAACAACGGAAACCAACACCTCCAGGGAAAGCCCAGGACCTCAGCTGTTTCGAGGGCTCCCTGGGGTTGGGAATCATTCCCAAAGCTTGGTGCTCACTGACTTGGGAAGGCGAGAGGTTTGAAATTCAAGCAGCCAGGAAATTTCTGTGCAAGGCCTGCCAATGCTTTGGACATCTCTTCATTATTTACAGTTCTGAGTTCAAAGAATTTTTAAGACTTAAAAATTACCAGATCCACACGAGGTCAGGAGATCAAGACCATCCTGGCTCACATGGTGAAACCCCGTCTCTACTAAAAAAATACAAAAAATTAGCTGGGCGTGGTGGCGGGCGCCTGTAGTCCCAGCTACTTGGGAGGCTGAGGCAGGAGAATGGTGTGAACCCGGGAGGCAGAGCTTGCAGTGAGCTGAGATGGCGCCACTGCACTCCAGCCTGGGTGGCAGAGCAAGACTCCATCTCAAAAAAAAAAAAAAAAAAAATTACCGGATCCAAATTTTTGCTTGATCTATTCTGGTGGGTAGTATCACAAGCCTTTATTTTGTTGTTGTTGTTGTTGTTTTACAAATTTACATTTTAATTGCCTTTATTTATTTATTTGAGACGGAGTTTTGCTCTTGTTGCCCAGGCTGGAGTGCAGTGGCTCAATCCTGGCTCACTGCAACCTCTGCCTCCCAGGTTCAAGCGATTATCCTGACTCAGCCTCCCGAGTAGCTGGGACTACAGGCACACACCACCACACCTGGCTAATTTTTGTATTTTTAGTAGAGACAGGGTTTCACCATGTTGTCTAGGCTGGTCTTGAACTCCTGACCTCAGGTGATCCGCCCACCTCGGCCTCTCAAAGTGCTGGGATTACAGGCATGAGCCACTGTGTCCAGCCTGCCTGTCTTTACAAAGAAAAAATAATTAAGCCTTGAGAATTTGTAATAGTTATATTTTTCTTTGTAACCATAATCTTTAGGCTTTTAATAACATCTAGTTTGTAACTCAGCTTAATTTTTTTTCTCTGCTAAGGTATGATGGTAGGGTGTGTAACTGTAAATTTGTAATTTATACTGAGGGTATGAGTTGGGCATGGCAGGGAAGCCGCTGGGACCCTACAGTGGACTATTTGTCATTCTTCAGGACAAAGGGAATGACAGCAGCCAGCGCTTCCTGCCTTGTACTCACACACTGGAGTGTGCTGAAGCGTACTGAGGAGGCAGGGCCGTCTCAGATGCCCCATCCTGCTCCTGACTTCGCAAGCTGCCACTCTGGGCAGTGTGCCAGCACAGGGGGAGCAGACACAAGCTCAGTTGCTCAGCGAGTTATGTGGGCTTTGCAACCATTGGAAACTCCAGAAACCTTAGCTTCACAGCTTGGAGAAAAGGAAAGTTTTGGTTGTCAGCGTACTTAATGGTGGTCCTAAAAAGGCTGCCTGCAGAGAGCACATTTTAGTAGGATTGGGATGGGGCACACCTGGCCTGTGGACCAGGCCCTGAGAAATAGCCTGTCGGGGGGCGGGGGGGGGGGTCAGGAGATTCACAGAAAGAGTGAGTATAATGAAGAGAGCTGAATTCCTGATTAGAAAGAAGTTTTTTGTTGTTGTTGTTGTTTGGTTTTTGGTTTTTTTTGAGATGGAGTCTCGCTCTGTCGCCCAGGCTGGAGTGCAGTGGCGCTATCTCGGCTCACTGCAAGCTCCGCCTCCTGGGTTCACGCCATTCTCCTGCCTCAGCCTCCCGAGTAGCTGGGACTACAGGCGCCCGCCACCATGCCCGGCTAATTTTTCTTTTCTTTTTTTTTTTTTTTTTGTATTTTTAGTAGAGACAGGGTTTCACCGTGGTCTCGATCTCCTGACCTCGTGATCCTCCCGCCTCGGCCTTCCAAAGTGCTGGGATTACAGGCGTGAGCCACCGCGCCCGGCCAGGTTTCTAATGGAGTGTGCTAGACATTAGGGAGCTTTCTCTCCCTCTTTTTATCTTCAGCCACGGTTTATCTCCACTGCCTTCCTCGGAATCCTAGAACTGCATTTCCCAGACCCTCTTGCCTCCAGGGTTCCAGGATTTACATTCTGCCAAGGACCAAGTTTAGGTACTCCTGCATTATTTGAAAGACAAAGGGATGCCGAGGCCGCAAGCAGGGGGCATGTGGGGACCTCAGCACACCTGAGGCCTTGCAGCCACCTCCAGGCACCCGCTGCGAGGCTGCCCCTCCCTGTTGGGCGTTTGAGCATCATGGAGGTTTCTGACCAGGGAACAGGGGGCAGCAATTTCCTAGGTCCCCGTCCCATAGCTGTCATGATGAACCTGGAAACTAACACCTTACTTTCCTGGATTTTTTCATGCTACTTAGCATCTTTCTTCATGCTGTTTTGACAAACTTCCCTGGATTTTTGCTCCTTTAGACCTGCCAGCAGTTTTTACAGTATCTGATTCCGTAATTTAAATCCCTTTCTGCTTAAAATATCTAGAATGGTTTGTTTTTCCAATTGAACACTGCGTGTTTGGTGCCAGAAGTGGCCCCAGGAAACAACTCTCAAATGTGGGTGTCTCAGTCTGTTCAGGCTGCTGTAGCAAAACAGCTTAGACTGCGTAATTTATACACAACAGAATGTCTTGCTCACAGTTCTGGAGGTGGGGAAGTCCAAGATCAAGGAGCCAGGTATTCAGTGTCTGGTGAGGGCCCGTTCCTCTTAGATGGCACCTTCTATGTGTCCTCACATGGCAGAAGGGCAAAAAAGGGCAAACAATAGCCAGGCATGGTGGTGGGTGCCTGTAATCCCAGCTACTCGGGAGGCTGAGGTCTGAGAATTGCTTCAACCCGGGAGGTGAGGTTGCAGTGAGCTGAGATCACGCCACTGCATTCCAGCCGGGTGACAGAGGGAGACAGAGGGAGAGCCAGGTGCAGTGGCTCACTCCTGTAATCCCAGCACTTTGGGAGGTCGAGGCAGACGGATCACCTGAGGTCGGGAGTTCAAGACCAGCCTGACCAACATGGAGGAACCCCGTCTCTACTAAAAATACAAAATTAGCTGGGGGTTGTGGCACATGCCTGTAATCCCAGCTACTCAGGAGGCTGAGGCAGGAGAATCACTTGAACCCAGGAGGCAGAGGTTGCAGTGAGCCGAGATTGCACAATTGCATTCCAGCCTGGGCAACACACCTGTAATCCCAGCACTTTGGGAGGCCGAGGTGGGTGGATCATGAGGTCAGGAGATCAAGACCATCCTGGCCAACATGGTGAAACCCCATCTCTACTAAAAATACAGAAATTAGCTGGGTGTGGTTGGCACATGCTTGTAATCCCAGCTACTTGGGAGGCTAAGGCAGGAGAATCGCTTGAACCTGGGAAGCAGAGGTTGCAGTGAGCAGAGATCACACCACTACACTCCAGCCTGTAACAGAAACAAGGACACTAATCACATTCATGAGGAGTCCATCCTTATGACCTGATCATTTACCAATGATCTCAACTCTCAATACCAACACAGTGGGGACTATTCAACATAGGAATCTGGCAGGGGGCAGGGGACGGGGAGTAGGGGGGAGGGGCGGAGGTTGTGGGGGCGGGGCGGGGAACAAACCCTAAGGCCAAAGCAGTGAGGTTCTGGGGTTGGCTGTCTGAGGTGGTTGGGTTGGAAGGCAGTGGCAAGCTCCTCTTGGTGGAAATGGGATCCTGGAGGGGCATAGCATGCAGTGATCACACAGTGACCTCAATTATTATCTGTGTGTGCCAGGAATAAAGGCAATGCTTTGTGAATGCAGGTGGCCACTGGGAGAGACACAATGGTGGGAATGGTGCCTACTGGGATTGAGGAGGGAGCCTCAGCCTCCCAAAGTGCTGGGATTACAGGCATGAGCCACCGTGCCAGGCCAAATTTTTTTTAAGTATAGGAAAATATCTATAATACAGCTCATAAAATATTATCCATAATGTAAGAAAATGCATAGGAAAAGTGGGAGACATATTCTCTTTTTTTGGACACATATTCTAAGAAAAATATAACATATTGACAAAAGGGCTAATATCTTTTTTTTTGAGACAGTCTTGCTCTGTCACCCAGGCTGGAGTGCAGTGGTGCGATTTCAGCTCACTGCAAGCTCTACTTCCTTGGTTCATGCCATTCTCCTGCCTCAGCCTCCCAAGTAGCTGGGATTAAAGATGGACACCACCATGCCCAGCTAATTTTTTTGTATATTTAGTAGAGACAGGGTTTCACCATGTTAGCCAAACTGGTCTTGAACTCCTGACCTCAGGCAATCCGCCCGCCTTGGCCTCCTAAAGTGTTGGGATTACAGTCATGAGCCACCGCGCCCGGCCAATATCTTTAATATGTAAAGAATTCATAAGAAAAAAACCTCCAACTCCAATGGAAAAAGAAAACAAAAATTGAATTCATCCACTTGATAAATATTTATTGAATACTTCCTGCATTTGAGGCTCTGTTTAGGCTCTGCAGATGTTCAGTAAACAAACGAGAAAAAAACTCTGTCCCAGTGAAGTTTATAGTCATATGAAGAAGACAGGCAATAAAAAGAAGAAAATAAATAAGTGAATAATAGATCATGTTACAAAGCGGCCACGCATGGTGGCTCATACCTGTAATCCCAGCACTTTGGGAGGCCGAGGTGGGCAGATCAGCTGAAGTCAGGAGTTTGAGACCAGCCTGGCCAAAATGGTGAAACCCAATCTCTATTAAAAATTAAAAAACTAGCTGGTGTGGTGGCGCATGCCTGTAATCCCACCTGCTTGGGAGGCTGAGGCACGAGAATCACTTGAATCTGAAAGGCAGAGGTTGCAGTGAGCCAAGATCATACCACTGCACTTCACCCTGGGCAACAGAATGAGATTCTGTCTCAAAAAAAAAAAAAAGAAAAAAAGAAAAAAAAAGATTATATTATGAAGTGATCATTGTGGAAAAGGTAAAGCAGGGTAAGGGGCTTGGAGTGTTTGGGTAGGCATAGATGTTGCATTTTTAAGTGGGGACATTGGCCTGGCATGGTGGCTCACACCTGTTATCCCAGCACTTTGGGATGCTGAGGCAGGTGGATCACTTAAGGTCAGGAGTTCGAGACCAGCCTGGCTAACATGGCAAAACTGTCTTTACTAAAATAAAAAATTAACTGGGTGTGATGCGCATCTGTAGTCCTAGCTACTCAGAAGGCTGAGGTGGGAGGATAACGTGAGCCTGGGAGTTTGAAGTTGCAGAGAGCTATGATCGTGCTACTACACTCCATTCTGGGCGACAGAGCGAATAATCCCACTTCATAAAAATCAATCACCATAAGCAAAGTTAAAAAACAAATGACATGGCTGGGCGTGGTGCATGCCTGTAGTCCCAGCTACTTGGGAGGCTGAGGCAGAGGGGATCACTTGACCCCAGGAGTTCAAGGGTGCAATGAGCCCTGATTGTGCCACATCACTCCTGCTGGATGACAGAGCAAGACCCTGCCTATAAGCAGCAAACAAACGACAAACCAGAAAAAGATACTGGAAACTATGCCACAGACACGGGGCTATTCTAACTTCTTCTTATTATTATTATTTTAATTTCTATTTTTTTAGATTTTTTTGTAGAAACAAGGTTTCACCATGTTGCCCAGGCTGGTCTCGAACTCCTGGGCCCAAGCAATCCTCTCATCTTGGCCTCCCAAAGTGCTGGGATTGCAGGTGTGAGCCAATCTGTCCGGCCCTCTCTGACTTATAAGGAGTTCTTAGAAATAGAAAAGATTAATCCAAATGAAAAATGGGCAACGGACACAGTTTATAGAACAAGAAATGCAAATGGCCCTGGAATCAATGAACGGATGCTCAACCTCTCTCATGTAAGAGAAAAGTAGGCACATTAAAACTTGACGGAAATACTGCTTTCTACCTATTGCATCAGCAAAAACCCAAACGTTGAAGAAACAGGAGCTTTCCTAAGTTGCTGATGAAAATGTAAAATGTTACCACCCCAATAGGGAACACTTTGTCAATGCAGTATTTAATCCAACTTAAAAATATGTTTGACTCTGCAACCCCTTTTCTGAGTACTAATCATTCAGATACACAAACACGTATACAAAAGGCTATGGTTACAAGCTTGACACAACAAAAGACTTTAAACTAAAAAACCCAAATGCTCATCCGTCAGAGTTTGGTTAAATAAACTATGGCCCATTCACAAAAAGGAATATAATGCAGCAGTAAAAAATAATGAGGATATTATCATTGTCCAGGATATACCATTAAATGAACAAAAGCAACGTGCTGAGTATTGTAGACAGAGCGCTACATTTTATTTATAAAACGGGGAGGGGGAGGAGTAAGTAAGCACATTTGCATTGGTTTGTTCATGAATGAACATAGGAAAGGTCCATGAGGAACTAATACAAGTAGAAACCTATAGAGACTGTATACCTTATTTTATGTATGTATATGTATATATACACGTAAATATAATTATTAATATTTTATACTTATTGTACTTATTTTATAAACCTTATATTTACTAATAAAACATTTATTATTAATAAAAATATTTTATTTATTATTAATACAATAAATTATTTAATAATATTAATCATGTAATATATTAATATATAAATAATATATGAAAATACATTTAGTTATATTTTAAAATACTTTTTTTTTTTTTTTGAGATGGAGTCTTGCTCTGTTGCCCAGGCTGGAGTGCAGTGCTATAATCTCAGCTCACTGCAACCTCCGCCTCCTGAGTTCAACTGATTCTCCTGCCCCAGCCTAAAGAGTAGCTGGGATTGCAGGCACACACCATCACGCCTGGCTAATTTTTGTATTTTTAGCAGAGACAGGGTTTTGCTATGTTGGCCAGGCTGATCTCGAACTCCTGACTTCAGGTGATCTGCCTGTCTTGGCCTCCCAAAGTGCTGGGATTACAGGCGTGAGCCACCACACCCGGCCTAAAAATACTATTTTTGAACCATGTAGGCATATTAACCACTCAAGCAAGAAATAAAAACAAAAAATGAAAAAGCAAAGGAATGCTGAGTAAACTGAGATTGTGTTTGAGATTTAGCTTAATTGTTGATAGTTTATGCTCATAAATTATCTCCCCATTTGAAGAGGTCCTGTGTATGGAGGAAAGAAGAGTCCCAGATCACATGGAAGAAACATGAAATTAGAAAAGATAAACCATTGCCTGTGATTGCAAGTCGCAGGACACTTCATCATTCCTTCCTCCTGTACCCACTTTTTTTTTTTTTTTTTTTTTGAGACATGGTCTCATTCTGTCTCCCAGGATGGAGTGCAGTGGCACGATCTCAGCTCACTGTTGGCTCCACCTCCCAGGCTCAGGTGTGTGCCACCATACCTAGCTATTTTTGTATTTTTGTAGAGATGGGACCTCATTATGTTGCCCAGGCTGGTCTACAGCGATCCTCCTGCCTTGGCCTCCCAAAGGGCTGGTATTACAAACATAAGCCACTGCACCCAGCCACCCACAAAATCTTGAATGATGATTTCCTAAATCTTTCAAACTATTCTAATTATTTTTTACCATGTCAGTCTTTCTAGACCAATGCCTGGCACAGAGTTAAGTGGCACTTGCCCAGTGTTCTTTCTTTTCTTTCTTTCTCCAGGATGGTAGGGTCTGTTTTATTTTTCCTGCATCCTAGGGCATAGCTTGTGCCCGAGATCTAACATTCAACAAATGTTGGTTGAAACTGTGTATGAATGAATGAATGAGTGGCCAACAAATTGGTCCTACCTATTACACTTAAGAACATATGGAAAAAGTAAATATGAAGCAAAGGTGGTTACGTTAGTTACGTCTTCAATTAGACTTCTAGGAACAAGGTAAAAATTCTCAAAACTTGATCTATGTTATAAATTTCATATGCGCAGAACTTGTCATTGCTAAGGACATGATGTCATCATAGCTTTATAAATAGAATGGGAATCTTTAAGATCTTCCACTTTAGCTTTGAATATACTACAAAAGGTACAGTAGTTTCTTGACAGTGCTTAAAAGTGTAGTTACAAGGGACAAACAGTAATTATAGATCAGTATCATCAGGCTGTGCCTCGACTGCAGTCCAGCACGGCTCCTGGTGGCCTGCCACAGAGACAAGACAAAGCTGGAATTCCCCAGCTGAAAATGTGGCAGCTGCTAGGGAGCAGCCGCTGGGTGGGAGGGGTGCTGCCTCCCAAACAGAAAGTTCAGTGAAAAATCTCCATTCTTGGGGCGACTGGGTGGTCCCAACTGGTTAGGGCTGAGGTGAGTGACAGGAAATACTGAGCATGGTGTCTTTCCGATTCTTAAATTATGAATAAATACCATGCTGAACTCCCACACTTTTGCTTTCCAAACCCAGGTAATGCAAATGCAGATTCTCAGTCATTTTAATTTTGCTTACATTCACCATTTTTCCACGACCACTTGTGTGGATTTACATAAATTTCAAAAATGTATCTGTTTATAATGCCTATATAAAGATGGCTTTAGGCTTTTGGATGTGTTCATTGAGTGAAAATAAAAATAAGTGAAATAATAAGTAAAAATGGAAATAAGAAACTGGGAGGCACCAGCCTGGGCAACATAGTGAGACCCTCAAAAAAAAAAAAACAAAGGAAAGAAAAGAAAAACCCCAAGACAAACAAACAAAGGAAGCATTGTGTAGTGCTCTGAGGCCAGCTGCCTGGATTTGCTCATGGTTCTCCACTTGCTAACTCTGGGTGACCTTGGGGAATTTACTTAGTCCTGTGGTTTGAATGTGTCCCCTCTAAAACTCAGGTGTTGCCAATGTGACAGTATTAAGAGGTAGGCCTTTAAGAGGTGATTAGACCATGAGGACTCCTTCCTGGTTAATGGGATTAAGGCCCTTATAAAAGAGGCTTCATGTAGCATTTGCCCATTTGCCTCTCTACCCTCTGCCATATGAGGACACAGCATCCCTCCCCTCCAGAGGATACAGCCCTCACCAGATCACCAGATGCCATTGCCTTGACCTTGGACTTCCCAGCCTCCAGAACTGTGAGAAATTCCTTTGTATATTACCCAATTTCAGGTATCCTGCTATAACAGCACAATATGGACCAAGACACTTGGCCTTTTCATGCTTCAGAGTTCTCATCTATAATAGAGAAATAATCATGGCAGCCTCATAAGATTGCTAAGAGGATGCGGTTCAATGAGTTAATATTTGTAGAACACTAACGACAATGTCTGACACTTAGGAAATGCTGTTAAGTGCCATGTGTTAGGTGTGAGGGTAGTGGGGCAACTACTTTTTGTGCTTGTGTGACAGCAGTTTTGTGAGATATGTTTTTAGGAATCTGGCTTTGATTAGTTATTGGCTTTAATATCAGTTTTGTTCTATAAAAAGGCCCACTAACTCGTATGATGTCTGTTGGCCAAAGTAGCAGGAAATGGGAATCTCAGAAAGATTAACTGCAGAGTCAAAGCTTTCCATAGACAGCATAAAAAGCTGCTGCTCATGGTTGTGCAAACTGTGTTTTGCACCACTCTGTGTGAGCCCCGTCCCATTGTAGTTGTCATCAAATAGGACAGTGACTATGACCGTGTCCGGTAGCATGTGGTAAGGGGTCTGAAGAAAGGCTTGCCTTTTTCTTTCTTTCTTTTTTGAGATGGAGTCTCACTCTGCCACCTAGGCTAGAGTACAATGGCGCAATCTCAGCTCACTGCAACCTCCACCTCCTGGGTTCAAGTGATTCTCCTGTCTTAGCCTCCCAAGTAGCTGGGATTACAAGTGTGTGCCACCACACCCAGCTAATTTTGTATTTTTAGTAGACTCAGGGTTTGGCTATGTTGGTGAACAGGTTGGTCTCGAACTCCTGACCTCAAGTGATCTACCTGCCTTGGCCTCCGCAAGTGCTACTATTACAGGTGTGAGCCACCGCGCCAGCTGGCTTGCCTTTTTCTGGTTGAGTAAAAGTGTTGCTTGGCTAGCAAGGAGCATGGAGGAGCATTGGGGTGGAGTAAATGCCCTTGGGCAGAAGCTTCAGGGACTGCAGGGGGATGGGAAGCGGGGAGCAGGACCACAGGGAGGAAGGATAACACAATAGCAACGTGAGGGCTTCCCAGGCTGATGTCAATGCACCCACATGCCTGACCACCTGTAGGGGATGGCCCTGGGTGCTTCTACCAAGGTACTCAGCATCTCTGCAGCCCACTTGCCACAAGACTACATCCCGCAGTATACTTTGAATAAATCAGGAAGTTTGCCAGTAGGCTGAGTCTCCCATGTGATGTGTCACTCTGACCACGCACAGGCTAGCCCATGGCTACCCAAGTGTGCTCTGATGCCTGGCTGGCCTCACGTCCTTGCACCTCATCTCCTTTTTCAGCCTCCCCTTCTAAGCTTCTTTTCTCAGGAGGACCCTTTCTTCAGGGAACACCAGAGGGAGAAGAGATAACCATCACCAACAATGGGCAAAGCCATTATGAGTGTGACCCCTTTCACTGAGTTAACAAAGAACAAAGCGTGAATTGCGACGCTGACTGGATCGTATGGGTCATGTTTCCTTCAAACGTCAAACAACCCTGGGCGTTTTTAAATCGAGGGTGTGACACAGTAGATAAACTAATACCAGTGATATTCCTTGGCCAATAAGAAATCAAGAATTGACAATTAGGTATCTGGGTTTTTAAAAATTGTGGTTAAAAACACCTAACATAGGATTTATCACTTAACCATTGTTAAGCGTACAGTTCAGTAACGTTACGGACATTTATATCATTGTGAAACAGATCTCCAGAAGCTTTCCATCTTGTAAATGGAAGCTGTGCTCATTAAACAAGGCCCCCATGTCCCTCCCCCCAGCCCCTGGCAACCACCATTAGGCACCTCATTAAGTGTAATGATACTGTATTCATCATTTTCTCTCTCTCTCTCACACACACACACACACACACACACACACCCCTATTCTTAGCTCAGGCTGCTATAGCAAATTACCATAGACTGTGTGGCTTAAACAACAAACATTTATTCTCACAGGTCTGGAACCTGAAAGTCAGAGATCAGGATGTCAGCATGGCTGGAGTTCTTGGTGAGGGCCTTCTTCCTGGCTAACAGAATGTTGATTTCTTGTTGCCTCCTCACATGGCACAGAGAGAAAGAGACAGAGACACAGAGAGAGAGAGGAGACGCTCTCTTATTCTCTTCTTATAAGAGCATTAAACCCATTCATGAAGGCGCAATTCTCACGACCTAATTATTTCCTGAAGGCCCCACCTCCTAATACTATGAAAATGGAGGTTAGAATGTCAACATGCGAATTTTGCGGGGCACACAGACATTCTGTCCATAGCAGATATGCATATATTTTGTATATACATGTATAGGAGTCTTCCTCCTTTTTTTCTTCTTTTAATTCTTTAGAGTTTTCTATTGCAGGCCAAGGGGAAAATGCTCCGTTAATGTATTTTACATCTTTGACTTTGTTGGTTGGAGGTACCCCAGGATGGAAACACAGCTTAAGTAATGTCACCTGCTCCAAATGCAATCCATACAAATTGCACCCCGTGTTCAGAAACCAGGCCTTTTGAACCAGCAGGCCACCATCAGAAAAAGAAAAATACGAACCTTAAGCCAAAATGAACTGAAAGATTGCAACACCTTAAAGGAGGCCTATTAAGGATAAAACTAGGCCAAGCACCTGTAATCCTAGCACTTTGGGAGGCCAAGGAAAGTGGATCACCTGAGGTCGGGAGTTTGAGACCAGCCTGACCAACATGGAGAAACCCTGTCTCTACTAAAAATATAAAATTAGCCGGGCATGGTGGTGCATGCCTGTATTCCCAGCTACTCGGGAGGCTGAGGCAGGAGAATTGCTTGAACCCGGGAGGCGGAGGTTGCAGTGAGCCGAGATCCCACCATTGCATTCCAGCCTGGGCAACAAGAGCAAAACTGCATCTCGAAAAAAAAAAAAAAGAAAAAAAAAGAGTCTTTCTGTCTCCTCAGTGCCCCCTTAGCCCCTTGGTGGCAAGGGCAGTGTCTCATTCTGCTTGGTGCTGCTTCCTGCCAGCTCCATCGCCTGCACACAGCTGCTGCGCGGTAAACACAGGGTATACTCAGCGGGGCGGCCTCGAAGGCTTCATCACACCAGGGACTCTCCCCCGCATGTCTAAAGGATGGATGGGGCATCCGTGCTTTCCTCCTGAGCCCCCTGCAGCCACTCACCATTTGTCAACTTTATTCTACTTACCCCTTTAGCCTAACATAGAGGACCAAACTCAAGCAACTTACCACGTGGCTTCCCCCACGTGGCTCAGCACATCCACAGACAGCTAGAAGGGAAACCAGGACTGGCTCAGCCCTGTGGCTGAGCCCTTTCCTCCAAGGCTCCTGTCTCCAGGCCAGTTTCCGTATATAGGCTTCTTTCTGCTTCCCGGTTTTTCTGTGGCCTTAATGGGGGGAACTCATCCTAGCGACCATTCAGTAAAAGTCCAGGGCAAGACAAGTGCAGTGGCTCACGCCTGTAATCCCAGCACTTTGGGAGGCCAAGGCAGGTGTATCACCGGAGCTCAGGAGTTCAAGACCAGCCTGGGCAATATAGTAAGACCTCATCTCTATGTTTAAAAAAGTCCAGGGCAAGGCCGGGCATGGTGGATCACACCTGTAATCCCAGCACTTTGGGAGGCTGAGGCAGGTGGATCACGAGATCAGGAGTTTGAGACCAGCCTGGGCAATATGGTGAAACCCCATCTCTACTAAAAATGCAAAAATTAGCTGGGAGTGATGACACATGCCTGTAGTCCCAGCTACTCGGGAGGCTGAGGCAGAAGAGTCGCTTGAACCCAGGAGGCGGAGGTTGCAGTGACAAAGCAAGTCTCCATCTCAAAAAAAAAAAGTCCATAGCAAAATGTCTACAGTTGAGTCCAAGACTTGGGGAATCTAAGAGATTAAACCTATTTAAGGGTAACAGTAGTGATGAGTGGGGACTTCCATCTAAAACTCCTACACAGTCTATTAAGCAAATACCTACTGTGTTTTAACACACAGGCTACATTGCTTTAACAAGAAGATAGAAAAATAAAGGCCTAAATAATAAAGGAGCTCTTTTTTCTTTCGCGTACAGTCCAGATGTGGTGGCCCAGGCTCGTGGGACAGCTCTGCCATCCTTCCCTGGGGGAAGGCTCTGGTTGTTGACGTTTCCTGCAAAAGAGCAGGAGAAGGGGCAATGGGGGGAAGCCCTCACCGTCATTTGCAAGGACGTTGTCCACGTCACTTCCAATCACATCTCAGTGCAGGAACTCAGTCACAGAGCCACCGTGCACTGTGGGCGAGACTCAGGCTGCATGGCCATGGCCCTGCTAAAATCCATGGCCCTAGCCCCGGTCATTCTTTGCCCTCCCCTTCACACCAAGATACCCTTGTCCCCAGTATAACACATGATATAGTACAGATGCCCCTGACGTTCAACTTAAGATTTTCAACTTTGTGGTGGCGTGAAAGCAACACTCATTCAGTAGGAACCATATGTACTTGGAATTCTCATACAGCCCTTCTGTGTTCACTTTCAGCACAGTATTCAATAAATTGTATGAGATATTCAACACTTCATCACAAAATAGGCTTTGCGTTAGATGATTTCCCCAACTGTAGGCTAATGTAAGTGTTCTGTGGATGTTAAGGTAGGCGAGGCTAAGCTATGATGTTCAGTAGGTTAGGTGTCTGTTTTTTTTTTTTCTGAGACGGAGTCTTGCTCTGTCACCCAGGCTGGAGTGCAGTGGCGTGCTCTCAGCTCACTGCAACCTCTGCCTCCCGGGTTCAAGTGATTCACCCACCTCAACCTCCTGAGTAGCTGGGACCACAGGTGTGTGCCACCACACCCAGCTAATTTTTGTATTTTTAGTAGAGATGGGGTTTCACCATGTTGCCAGGCTGGTCTCAAACTCCTGACCTCAAATTATCTGCCCGCCTCGGCCTCCCAAAGTGCTGGGATTATAGTTGTGAGCCACTGTGCCCGTCTAGGTGTCCTTTTTTTTTTTAAGAGACGGATCTTGCTGTGTTGCCCAGGCTGGAGTGTGGTGGCTATTCACAAGTGTGATCACAGCACACAGCGAACTCCTGGCCTCAAGTGGTCCTCCTGACTTAGCCTCCTGAGTAGCTGGGATGATAGGCTCATGCCACCACACCTTGTTTAGGTTAAGTGTATTAAATGCATTTTTTTTTTTTTGAGACGGAGTTTCACTCTTGTCACCCAGGCTGGAGTGTAATGGCACGATCTCAGCTCACTGCAAACTCCACCTCCTGGGTTCAAGCAATTCTCCTGCCTCAGCCTCCCAAGTAGCTGGGATTACAGGTGTGCGCCACCATGCCCAGCTAATTTTTGTATTATTATTAGAGATGGGGTTTCACCATGTTGGCCAGGCTAGTCTCAAACTCCTGACCTCAGGTGATCCGCCCGCCTCGGCCTCCCAAACTGCTGGGATTACAGGCGTGAACCACCGCGCCTGGCCTTGCAACTGGGATTCATTTGAGAATGCGTGGGGCCCCAGGACAACAGGTGTAAATGGGGCTTGTTCTATGCAAACCAGGTCCTGGTCAGGCTCTCTGGTCACCCTTGCCATAGCCTGGCTCAGGGCTCCCTCCCTCCTGCCTGGTGGACAAGTTTCCTGCCTGGCCTCCCAGGTCCCAGGTTTGCCTTCTCCCTTCCAGTCTCCACACTACAGCCCAGGCATCTGCTTAATCCATCAAGCTAATCATGGCATTCCTGGCTCCAAACCACTCGGTGCTTCTTGGTCATCTTAAACTTTCAATTACATCATTGTCATCACGTCTTAAATCATTAATTACTTTTGCTGTTTGTATTAGTCTGTTCCTGCCACTGTAACAAAATACCTGAGACTAGGTAATTTATAAACAACAGGCTGGACACGGTGGCTCACACCTGTAATCCCAGCACTTTGGGAGGCCGAGGCGGGTGGATCACCTGAGGTCAGGAGTTCAATATCAGCCTGGCCAACATGGCAAAACCTCGTCTCTACTAAAAATACAAAAATTAGCCAGGCATGGTGGCGGGCACCTGTAATCCCAGCTACTCAGGAGGTTGAGGCTGGTGAATCGCTGGAACCGGGGAGGCAGAGGCTGCAGTGAGCTGAGATCGTGCCACTGCACCCCAGCCTGGGTGACAGTGCAAAACTCCATCAAAAAAACAAAACAAAACATAAAAAACACCAGAACTTTATTTCTCACAGTTCTACTTTTTTTTTTTTAACCAATACACTTGATGTCTCAAACTCGATTTCTCACAGTTCTGTGGAGGCTGGGAGGTTAGATCAGGGTGCTGGCAGGTGTGTGGTCTCCGAGGGCGACTCTGCTCCCAGATGCCACCTTGTGGCTGCATCTTCTGGAGCAGGCGGACTCTGCGTCCTCACATGGCAGAAGGCAGAAGAGACAAGACTTGAATGCCATGTGAAACCTTTTTAATAGGGCTCTTAATCCCACTCATTAGGGAGGAGCCCTCATGGTCTAATCACCTTTTAAAAGGCCACCTCTTAATATTATCACATTGGCCATTAAATGTCAACACCTGAAGTTTGAAGGGAACACATTCAAACAGTAGCATTGTTTTAGTTTAAATTATGTGAAGTTCTTCGTGCTGTATCAGTAACCTGTGGCTTTTGGCTAGGTGTGGTGGCTCACACCTGTAATCCCAGCACTTTGGGAAGCTGAGGCAAGAGGATCACCCAAAAGTTCGAGACTAGCCTGGGTAACATAGTGAGACCCCCATCTCTACAAATACTAATAATATTAAATGTTGGCTGGGTGCAGTGGCTCACGCCTGTAATCCCAACACTTTGGGAGGCCGAGGTGAATCACCTGAGGTCAGGAGTTCGAGATCAGCCTGGCCAACATGGTGAAACTCCATCTCTACTAAAAATACAAAAATTAGCCGGGCATAGTAGTGCATGCCTGTAATCCCAGCTACTCCGGAGGCTGAGGCAGGAGAATCACTTGAATCTAGGAGGCAGAGGTTACAGTGAGCCAAGATCACACCCCTGCACTCCAGCCTGGGCAACAGAGAAAGACTCTGTCTCAAAAAAAAAAAAAAAAAAAAAAAGGCCAGGCGCCATGGCTCACGCCTGTAATCCCAGCACTTTGGGAGGCCAAGGCGGGGGGATCACGAGGTCAGGAGATCAAGACCATCCTGGCTAACACGGTGAAACACCGTCTCTACTAAAAGTAGAAAAAAAATTAGCCGGGCGTGGTGGCGGGTGCCTGTAATCCCAGCTACTCAGGAGGCTGAGGCCAGAGAATGGCGTGAACCTGGGAGGCGGAGCTTGCAGTGAGCCGAGATCACGCCACTGCACTCCAGCCTGGGCGACAGAGCCAGACTCGGTCTCAAAAAAAAAAAAAAAAAACAAAACAAAACTTAGCCGGGTGTGGTGGTATGCACCTGTAGTCCCAGCTACTTGGGAGGCTCAGATAGGAGGATATCGCTTCAGCCCAGGAATTCCAGGCTGCAGTCAGCTATGATCATGCCACTGCACTCCAGCCTGGGCAAGGGAGAGAGACCTTGTCTCTAAAAAACAAACAAAAAGACCAGAGTGGCTGCACCATTTTGCATTCCACCAGCAGTGAATGAGAGTTCCTGTTGCTGCACATCCTCTCCAGGTCATAAGTCTGTGCTCTGGATTTGGGCCATCCTAATTGGTGATGTTGATAGAATTAAACTTTGACGATGTCTCTGAAAAGCAACCTGACTCAGACTAGATAAAGGCTGGTAGAAACCTCAGAAAAGGCTGAAGGGATCCCACAGCTCAGGGAGCCCAGAGCTCCTCAGGGCACAAGGGTAGTACAGAGGCCGTGGTAGGTTGAGGCTCCCGAGCATGTGACCCGAGCAGCCTCGTGCTGTCCTGCACACCCTGCATGCCATGGGGAGAGCGCCTGAAGGAGCCTGGGCCCCGTGAAAGGCATGTGGAGGTGGCTGAGAGAGGGGCCTTACGATAGGGACAAGAAGGACTCAGAAAACAGACACTTGGCCAGAGCCCATGGTGGAGCTGGGCTTCCTCTGCTAGGGGCTAGGAACAGAACAGTGAGCAAGACTTAACTCAGGGCTGATGCCTTCTGGTCACAGGGCTGGCTGACCTCCTCAGAAGACATCAAACAAGTAGACAATTGTCATCGGGTGAAAAGCGCTATGCTAGGGAAGTTCAAAGTGTGGGGTTGGGGGAGGGGAACACCAGGGCAGCTTCATGGAATAAATGATTCTACATCGAGACTTAAAGGATAAATAGAGATTGCTGGGGGAAGGTGTGCAGGGCTGGCCTTCAGACAGAGTTGAATATATGTGCAAAGGACAGAGGATGGAATGCTTAGGGGGCTGGCTACAGAGGAGAGTTGGGGTTGGCGAGTGAGCAGGAGCCAGTTATAAAGAACATAGGAAGTCCCAGTAAGAAAGTTGTATGTTATCCCGAGGGCACCGGGAAGCACTTGAGGGATTTATCTATCATCTATTTTTTAAAGTTTCCTGGTTTATTACTTAAACCTACAATGAAACTGCCAATGAAAATTGTAAGATATAAACTAACTGTAAAAACGTGGGCCAGGCGCAGTGGCTCACGCCTGTAATCCCAGCACTTTGGGAGGCCAAGACGGGCAGATCACCTGAGGTCAGGAGTTCAAGACCAGCCTGACCAACATGGTGAAACCCCCATCTCTACTAAAAATACAAAATTAGCTGGGCGTGGTGGCACATGCCTGTAATCCCAGCTACTGGGGAGGCTAAGGCAGGAGAATCAGTTGAACCCAGGAGGCAGAGGTTGCAGTGAGCTGAGATCGCGCCACTGCACTCCAGCCTGGCCAACAAGAGTGAAACTCCATCTCAAAATAAATAAATACATAAAAATTTGCTATATCAAACACCATCAGTTTTTTTGTTTGTTTTGTTTTCTCCTTTTTTTTTTTGCAGAGATAGAGTGTCTCACTATGTTGCCGGGGCTGGTCTTGCACTCCTTGCTGAGCTCAAGCAATCCTCCCATCTCGGCCTACCAAATTGCAGTGAGCCACATGCCCAGCCAACAGCCACTTTGGAAGACAGTTGATGGTTTCTTAGAAAACTAAACATACTGTTACTATACAATCCAGCATTTGTGCTTCTTTGTATTTACCAAAATAAATTGAAAACTTATGTCCACACAAAAACCTGCACATGGAATACAGCAGCTTTATTCACAACTGCCAAAACTTGGAAGCAACCAAGATGTCCTTCTGTAGGTGAATGGATAAACTGTGGTTCATCCAGACAATGGGATGTTATTCAGTGTTAGAATGAACTGAGCTATTAAACCATAAAAAACATGGAGGAACCTCAAATGTATATTGTTAAGTGAAAGCAGCCAATCTGCAAAGGCAACATACTGTATGATTCCAACTCTGACAACCTGGAAAAGCCAAAACTATGAATCACACAGAAAAGGTCTGTAAAAAATACACAAGAAAGAGGAATCTGAGTCCCATCAACAAGGATGGAGAAAGGAGGCGAAGCTTTACCTTCTTCCCCTCTGTATTATTTGAGTTGCTTTTTACAATGGGCATGTAATATCTTTTTCCTGTTTTAATTAAAATTAAATTAAAATTACATTTGTAAGCTGATTTATTGCTTACAACATATTGTGGACATATGCATTTGTAATGGGAGCAGGGTATTTCATCCCAAGGATGTACCAAAAATATTAACTTAGACTCCATTTGATTTGTCTCTAATTTTAAAAATTTCAAATAAGGTGGGAGAAGTATTCTTTTTTTTTTTTTTGAGACAGAGTCTCGCTCTTTCGTCCAGGCTGGAATGAAGTGGTGTGATCTTGGCTCACTGCAACCTTTGTCCCCCTGGGTTCAAGTGATCCTCCTGCCTCAGCCTCCCAAGTAGCTGGGATTACAGGCATGCACCACCGTGCCTGGCTAATTTTTGTATTTTTAGTAGAGACAGGGTTTCACCATGTTGGCCAGGCTGGTCTCGAACTCCTGACCTCAGATGATACACACACCTAGGCCTCCCAGAGTGCTGGGATTACAGGTGTGAGCCACCATGCCCAGCCTGAGAAGTATTCTTTTACATAATCTCTGCATACTGAAACCTTGGTTCTTATCATGGACATTTTCAAATATATGCAAGAATAGAGAGAATAGTACTATGACCCCACAGGTATCTCATCAGGCTTCAACAAGTATCAAGTAGCGGTATGTCCTGGTTCATTTCTACCCCACCTACTTTCCCAATCCCAGATTATTTTGAAGAAATCCCAGAAATAATATACTTTTATCCATAAATATTTCAGTGTCACTAAAAGATAGGATTCTTCTAAAAACATAACCAAAATACCATTATTATACATAATTTTTTAAAACATTAATCCCTTGAGATTACCAAATTGGAAATCAGTGTTTAAATGTCCAATTGTCTCATAAAACTTTTTTAGTACATTTTTTTTTCTAATCAGGATCCAAATAAGAGCCCTATGAGTCCTGGTTGATAAGCTTCTTAATTAGTTTTTTTGTAGCAGCTTGATTGACGTATCATTTCTATTCCATAAAAGTCACCCAACTTAATTTTCTTTTAATCCATAAATTCGCCCTCTCTCTCTTTTTTTCCTCGCAAATTTTCAGATGAAGAAGCCAGGTTGTCTGTCCTGTGGAGTTTTTCGGCTCCTGGACTTTACCAACGGCAGCCTCACTTCAATGCTCACTTGGCAAGTTCCCTATATTTCCCAGAAATTGATTGAGATGCTGCGTCAGATTTAAATTTAAAACTTTTACAAAAACACTTCACCAGTGGTGGTGTGCACTTCCACACAGAACATCTGCTCGGTTTTGTGTGCTTTGTGTGTGTGTGCCATTGGGTAGATCTCACACAAGGGCGGCACGTGGTGGTACTCTCATTTTTCTGTTCTTCATTAATCAGCTGGATTACTTTGTAAATAGGAGCTGCCCCTCTGTCAGCTCTCTGATTACCCAGTAGTACAGTTCATATTGGAAGCACAGAATAAATACTTAACTGCTTTCCTTTTATTTGCTGGTTTTCAAAATTAAACGTTGGTTCCTAGCATTCTTCAAGGGTGAGCAACAAAGTTGTGGTCATCATTGTTTTTAGTCTCTTTTTGAATTCACAGATTTAGAAATTTTCAAATGTTTCCTTAGCCAGTGGCACTTTCAACTCCAGCCAGGGACTCACTGACATGGGCCTGTCAGTGTCTGATGGCTTCCCTGCCGCTTGGCACAAGGAGTTGTTCCAGGCTCATTTACACCCACTCACTCTGAACCCCAATGTGTCACAGACAAAAGAAGGCAGAGGGAAACTAATAAATAAAATTAAAAAAAAAAAAACCACAGCAGCTTAACTGGAAAAAGCACTGGAGCAGGAGTCAGAATTTCTAGGTTTAAGTTCTGACTCTCTAACCTGTTAAGTATTTCATTTTAGATAATTGGTAAACTCTCTTCCTTTTTACTTTTTTCCCATTTGTACTGTTCCAACAGCAGAAACAACACAGCAGTAATAATGATGACACCAGCCACAGTGGGGTTTTGTTGTTGTTGTTGTTGTTTTGTTTGTTTGAGACACAGCGTCTTGCTCTGTCGCCCAGGCTGGAGTGCAATGGCGTGATCTCAGCTCACTGCAACCTCTGCCTCCCGGGTTCAAGTGATTTTCCTGCCTCAGCCTCCTGAGTAGCTGGGATTACAGGCGTGTGCCACCACGCCCGGCTAATTTTTATATTTTTAGTAGAAACAGGGTTTCACCATGTTGGCCAGGCTAGTCTTGAACTCCTGACCTCAAGTGATTCGATTGTCTCGGCCTCCCAAAGTGCTGGGATTACAGGCATGAGCCACTGTGCCCGGCCCCAAATCTCCTTTTTTTTTTTTTTTTTTTTTTTGAGACAGAGTCTCGCTCTGTCCCCCAGGCTAGGTGCAGTGGCCGCGATCTCAGCTCACTGCAAGCCCCGCCTCCCGGGTTCATGCCATTCTCCTGCCTCAGCCTCCCGAGCAGCTGGGACTACAGGCGCCCGCCACCACGCCCGGCTAACTTTTTATTTTTAGTAGAGACAGGGTTTCACCGTGTTAGCCAGGATAGTCTGGATCTCCTGACCTCGTGATCCGTCCGCCTTGGCCTCCCAAAGTTCTGGGATTACAGGCGTGAGCCACTGCGCCCCGCCCAAATCTCCTTTTTAAACTATATTGGCTAGTGCCAGTGAAAATAAGACTGGTGAAGATGGATTTCTGGACATAGCACTAGAAAGCATGTAGGGAAACAGGCACACCCACAGAGTGCCGTGTGGAGGGCAAATCAGCATGACCTTCCGGAAGGTCACTAGACAACTGTAGCAAACTTTAAAAATGTACATTCTGGGCCGGGCGCTGTGGTTCATGCCTGCATCCTCTCTCTTCCTCGCACTTAAGCTACCTGGTGTGTTTGTGGATTGACTGTACTCTGTTGCCTGACTCCTCAAAGCCGAGGCCTCTGTTTGCTGCACCGCCCCTCCCTGGCCTCCAGCGCGGCACCTGCTCCATCAGAGATTTGCTGAATGGGCAAATGAGTGCACAGAGGAGTAAGTCTCTTGGTGGTAGCACCGGTGATTTTCCTTTTCTTCCTTCTAGAAGGAAGTGTGTGCTCCAGTGTGAATGTTTGTGTGACCCCAGCCCCATTCACGTGTTGAAATCCTAACCCTCAGTGTGATGGTAGCAGGAGGTGGGGCCTGTGGAAGGTGATTAGGTCATGAGGGTGGAGCCTCCATGAATAGGATTTGTGCCCTTATAAAAGAAGCCCCAAAGGGCCACAGCTTGCGAGTCGCGGCGGCAGGGTCGAGTGGGTGGCGGCAGCTGACAGGCACTCCTCTCCCGATGGCAGTGGCTGGTGCCCAGCGAGGCGGGCAGCCACCAGCTCGCGTTCCCGCGCCCCAGCTCGCGCTCCCGCGTCCCAGCCCGCGAGGCGCCAGGGCTGCGCCAGGGCATGGAAGAGGGGCTAATGGACGCGAATTAATGAGGGTACCTACCACACGTGCAGCGCTGTGTCTCGCTGAGTTTTCTGAAGTTTCCTCCAAATAGGAAGAAGACCTCGGAAGAGATATTTCAGCACCTGCAGAACATAGTGGACTTTGGCAAAAATGTCATGGAGTTTTTGGGGGAGAACTATGTTCATTGTGGGGAAGTTGTTCAGCCACCTTTAGAGTTTGTGAAACAGCTTCGTTTAAAGATACAATCTGGGCCGGGCGCGGTGGCTCACGCCTGTAATCCCAGCATTTTGGGAGGCTGAGGTGGGCGGATCACGAGGTCAGGAGTTCGAGAACAGCCTGGCCAATATGGTGAAACCCCCGCCTGTACTAAAAATATAAAAGTTAGCCGGGCGTGGTGGTGTGTGCCTGTAGTCCCAGCTACTCGGGAGGCTGAGGCAGAAGAATCGCTTGAACCCGGGAGGCAGAGATTGCAGTGAGCCGAGATTGCGCCACTGCACTCCAGCCTGGGCGACACAATGAGACTCCATCTCAAAAAAAATTAAAAAATAAAAATAAAATAAAGATACAATCTGAAAGACCAGAGTCTCACTGTGACAAGGACCTGGACACTCTCAGTGGTTACAGTATGTGCCTTCTCCATTTAACCAGACTTCAGACCTACCACTTTTCAGAGCACCATCGGCCGATTCTGTGTGTAGAGATTAAGCCAAAACGTGGGTTTATTCCTTTCTCGAGTGATGTCACGCATGACTGTCGTTACTGTGACAGACCTTTTTTTTTGGAAACCGAGTTTCGTTCTTGTTGCCCAGGTTGGAGTGCAGGCTGGAGTGCAATGGCATAATCTCGGCTCACTGCAAGCTCCGCCTCCCCAGTTCAAGCCATTCTTCTGCCTCAGCCTCCCAAGTAGCTGGGATTACAGGCACCTGCCACCACGCCCAGGTAATTTTTGTATTTTTAGTAGAGATGGGGTTTCACCATGTTGGCCAGGCTGGTCTCGAACTCCTGACCTCAAGTGATCCGCCCTCCTCGGCCTCAAGGTGCAGCAGTACTGCATCACCATGACTGCCAAGGACTGCTCCATCATGATTGCACTCTCTCCGTGTCTGCAGGATGCCAGATCTGATCAAAGGCCTGTCATCCCTTCATCAAGGCCCAGGGTTGCTTTCTCCATGTCTGTGGTGGACCTTGACCTCAAGCCCTACGAGAGCATTCCCTATCAGTATAAACTGGATGGCAAGATCATCAACTACTATTCAAAGACTGTACGTGCCAAAGACAATACCATGATGTCGACTCGGTTCAAGGAAAGTGAAGATTGCACATTAGTTCTCCACAAGATCTAACTTTTTCCCTGCAGTGTCTTTGAAACTTGAACATAGAATGTGAAGGTTGAATGATAGAGCTATTTTCTGTTGGGTTGGGTGACCTTTGGTTGTGAATGTTTTTGCTTTTAACCCCTGTTGAGGTGGGATTGCCTCTTGGAGACATGCATTTGAAGAGCACTAGAAACATCTTCCTGGAAAAGAAATGTAGGACATGAGTGCTGTGTCCCAGGAAGCTGCTCTCATTCTTAAAATGGAAGTGTCCGTTAAGCCCTGGGAAGACCTTCTGGGTAGTTCTTCCTTCCCAACCAGTGCTCGTCTCTGATTATCTAATGCGAAAAGCCTTATTCTAAGACCTAAGGTTTGATCTGCTACCACCAGACTCTTAACATAGAAAACTTGACTTGTCACATACATTTTACAGTTTGGACTTTTAAGAAAACATGGATACTACTGGAACTTTCCCCAGCTGAGTTACATGGTCACTTTTTCAGTGCAAGCCACATATCAACACAGGTTTTTAGGTGGTACCTTGCTGCAGAGCATGACCTCACAGTCATGCAGATGCCAGTTCTGAGCAATGTAGACTCAGGGTCCCTGTGGAGGTGCTGAAGCCCACAGCTCCAGGTGGGGCAGCAGGGAGTGCGAGACTCAGGTCAGGATGGACACCACTCATGCGAGCATTGACCAATTTTTTTGCTTTACGATTTTATCTTTCACATGAGGGGGAGATGAGGTGTTCTTTCCCACTGGAAATTGCTGCTGTAGAAGCTGGAGGTGGAGCTGTGACTGGCTGAGCTGCTGTGTCCGGGCAGGACAGTGTGCCCTGACAGCTCACTGCTTTCCTGACACTCCGGTGTTTGGGGTGGTTGAGGAGCTAGTTTTCTCTTCCTCCCAGACCAAGTTCCTCCCTCAGGTTTGCCTTGAAACAAGTTGCGTTTTTGGGCCCCATGGCCTCTCCCTGTCAGGCTGCCACAGGCCCTGCTTCCGGAAGGTGAACAGCTCCTGTCTGCTGCCGAGAGGTTTCTCGTTGGGGTCACCAAAGTGTGCCCGGCTGCTATGAAAAACGTTGGGAAACTTGGTTTCAGTTTTTTACTCTAGGCTAGGTTGTACAGACTGATTATTTATATCATCGTTTTGAGGGACTAGTGGAGGCTTATTGTAACATATAATATTAGTGAAACCATGGAATTATATGAAAATGATACATGAGAAATAAGGAAGCTATTTTGCTGACTGTAAATTTGGGGGGGGGGATATTTTGTGATAACTTGAGAATTATACTTGTTTGAATAAATAAAAAAAAAAAGAGGCCCCCAGAGACCCTCACTTCTTTGGCCATGTGAGGACACAGTGAGGAGAGGGCTGTCTAGGAACCAAGAAGTGGACCCTCACCAGGCATGGAATCTGCCAACCAATGCCTTGCTCTTGGACTTCCCAGCCTCCAGTAATGCCAGAAATAATTTTCTTGTGTTTATTTTGTTATAACAACCAAATGGACAAACACATACTTTCCTTCATTTTCCGAAATGTTTTACAATGATTATATATTGCCATTATAATAATTTTTTCAAGACAGAATAAAGGTACTGTTTGCCTGGGCTGCGAGAACAAAGTGCCATTGTACACGAGGTAGCTTAAACAACGTTTACTTCCCCCACAGTTCTGGAGGCTGGAAGTCCAAGATCAAAGTATGGGCAGGGTTGACTCCTGCGGCTGGGAGGGGAATCCGTTCTAGGCTTCTCCCCCAGCTTCTGGTGGTTGCTGGTAACCTTCGGTGTTGCTCAGCTTGTACAAACATCACCCTGTCTCTGCCTATCTTTGTCCAGATAGCCTCTTTTTTTTTTTTTTTTTTTTTTTTTGTTGTTGTTGTTGTTTGAGTCAGAGTCTCACTCTGTTGCCCAGGCTGGAGTGCAGTGGGGTGATCTCGGCTCACCGCAACCTCCACCCCGGGGCTCAAGCAATTCTCGTGTCTCAGCCTGCCAAGTGCGCCACCATGCCTGGCTAATTTTTTTGTATTTTTAATAGAGATGGAGTTTCACCATGTTGGTCAGGCTGGTCTCGAACTCCTGACCTCAGGTGATCTGCCTGCCTCGGCCTCCCACAGTGCTGGGATTACAGGTGTGAGCCACCGTGCCCGGCCCAAATATCCCCTTCTTATAAGGACACCAGTCATATTGGATTAACCTCATTTTTTCTTGATTACCTCTGCAAAGACCCCATTTCCAAAAGAGGTCACATTCTGAACTTACTGGACGTTAGAACTCCAACCTTTCTGGGAACACAGTTGAATCTCTAACAAAGATATTTCCTTAAATTGAGAAAAAATGATAGATTTCTGACATTTAATTGTCAGAAATGTGTGGAATTTTAACCCGTGCATGAAAATAAGACATTTCCCTGGAAACATGAACAAGTTTTCTTAAGACTGATGCTTTCACTAATGTCTAAAGCTGTCTGAGAAGATTTGGGTCACAAATTCAGGACAGCATGACAGGAAAGCACATCTTTTCAGAAGACGCTTTTCCATTTGCTTTAATTCTCCACCACTGAAGCATCCCGTGCCTGCGGGATGGGCCTCGCTTTCTCTGAGAAGAGCTGAGCCAGGTCACCACCAGAAGGGCCCTCCTGTGCCGTGGGGGCATCAAGGTGTCCAGGAAGCTGGGAGTCCTCAGCAGTCAGTACTTGTCCCTGCACCGCAGCGAGGAGAGGCTTGCTCTGGAAGAGCTACTTGACCTTATTAATGCTTTCCCAGCTAGGGCTGCTGGGAAAACTTTTCTTTTTTCCCTTAGAAGATGCTTTCATTTTCAAGAAAATGTCCTTAATATTACATATATACAGACACAGGCACACATGCCGGTATCTATCTTGAAGTTATCAATACATGCATATTATCTATTTATTTATTTTTTAGAGATGGAGTCTTCCTCTGTCACCCAGGCTGGAGTGCAGTGCCACAATCACGACACACTGTGGCTTCCAACTCCGGGGCTCAAGATCCTCCCACCTCAGCCTCCCAAGTAGCTGGGACTACTGGCACGCACCACCACGCTGGGCTTATTTTTTATTTTTATTTTTTAGACACGCGGTCTTACTTTGTTGCCAGGCTGGTCTCAAACTCTTGGCCTCAAGCAGTTCTCCCACCTCAGCCTCTCAAAGAGTTGGGTTTACAGGTATGAGCCACCGCTCGGCCTTAAATGTATAATTTTATATAATAAATAACATACATATATAACCTTTTCTACAAATATAGAATGAAACTAACTTTTGGTAATCTCCTTTTTAAAAAACTTTTCTTTTCTTTTCTTTTTTTTTGAAACGGAGTTTCGTTTTGCTGCCCAGGCTAGAGTGCAGGCAGGAGTGCAATGGCATAATCTCGGCTCACTGCAAGCTCTGCCTCCCCAGTTCAAGCCATTCTCCTGCCTCAACCTCCCAAGTAGCTGGGATTACAGGTGCCTGCCACCATGCCCAGGTAATTTTTGTATTTTTAGTAGAGATGGGGTTTCACCATGTTGGCCAGACTGGTCTTCAACTCCTGACCTCAAGTGATCTGCCCTCCTCAGCCTCCCAAAGTGCTGGGATTACAGGTGTGATTAAAAAAACTTTTCATTAGAGTATAACATACTACAAAAATAAAAATAAAAAATAAACATAATAACCTCCTTTTTACACAATATATAAAAAACATTTTGGGGGTTTTGTTTGTGTGTGTGTTTGTTTGTTTGTTTCTTTTGTTTTGTTTCAGACAGGGTCTCACTCTCACCCAGGCTGGAGTACAGTGGCACGATCTCAGCTCACTGCAACCTCCGCCTCCCACCTCAGCCTCCGGAGTAGCTGGTACCACAGGCATGCACCACCACGCCGGACTAATTTTTTGTATCTTTAGTAGAGACGGGTTTCACCATGTTGCCCAGTCTGGTATCGAACTCCTGAGCTCAAGCAATCTGCCCAACTTGGCCTCCCAAAGTGCTGGGATTACAGGCGTAAGCCACCGCACCCCTCCTAACAAGCATATTGACATGTCATTAAATCTGCTATAGCATGATGTTTTATAATTCTGTAGTATTCCACTTTGTGCACATACCACCTCTCTAGGCTTCTTCAATTGCCTAAGGTCAAACAACTTTCTGAACAGCCGCCATGAATTTCATTTCATCAGCTGGACCTGTGGCTGAAGGTCCCGTATCTTCTTCCACACCAGTGTATCCAAATTTGTGGTTCTTAGGACTACCTGTATCAGGATCACCTGGAACTCTAAACAAGCATGTAGATTTTTGGGGTTCCCACCTGAGCCTTATTGAACAAGCATGCCAGGGTTTGGGACCCAAAAATCTTTATTATAAGCAAATGTGTCTTGGAAATTCTTATGAGCATTAAAGTCCACTGGCCTTTTGGCATTTTCATGTGAGCATTCCTCCTTGGGGTCTCACCATCTGAAATGATTGAGGTGGTGTCCCACTTGCTTTCATGTTCCTCAGCAGCACCTAGATTGAAGGGTCTCTCTGTCTAATGGGAGGTTGTGTGGGAAGAGAAGCTAGGCTGTAACACCTACTGAGCATCCTTGAGCAAGCCACTTTCACGCCACAGAGCCTTAATTTTCTTATGGCAAAACCATGATGGTGAAAATAATGATCTTACAGCAATACTACAAAGACCACAGGAGAAATGTCTATGAAAGTCTCTCTGCACAACAAAACTTGCTCTAAAATATTATTCTTGTTGTTATTGTTATTACTCACAGCCCAACCCTTTCCCCTCTCCACTAAGGGGGTCCTGGTTAATGGTTGCTTCTAGACTGATGAAGTCTCATATGATAGCCACTAGCCACGTGCCACACGTGGCGTTTGTTTGCTTAAAATGTGGCTAGTCTGGATTTTATTATAGATGTGCTATAGGTTAAAATATATATCAGATTTTGAAGACTTAATACAAAAAACAGGAAGTAAATTAATACTTTTTTGGATATTGATTACATGTTGAAATGATAATTTAGGTTAAATAAAGTATATCCCTAAAATTAATCTCACTCTTTTTCTCCTTTTTAAAAAATGGCTTAATGGGCCGGGCGCAGTGGCTCACGCCTGTAATCCCAGCACTTTGGGAGGTCGAGGTGGGTGGATCACCTGAGGTCAGGAGTTCGTGACCAGCCTGGCCAACAGAGTGAAACCCCATCTCTACTAAAAATACAAAAATTTGGCTGGGCGCGGTGGCTCATGCCTGTAATCCCAGCACTTTGGGAGGCTGAGGCGAGTGGATCATTTGAGGTCAGGAGATCGAGACCAGCCTGACCAACATGGTGAAACTCCATCTCTACTAAAAATACAAAAATTAGCTGGGCATGGTGGCGGGCGCCTGTAATCCCAGCTACTCGGGAGGCTGAGGCAGGAGAATGGCTTGAACCTGGGAGGCAGAGGTTGCAGTGAGCTGAGGTCACGCCACTGCACTCCAGCCTGGGCGACAGAGCAAGACTCCGTCTCAAAAAAAAAAAAAAAAAAAAGGAGAAGGAGAAATGTGTTGACTTGAAGGAGAAATTGGTTCAAGAGAAGGAGAAATAATTGGTCCAAGAGAAAGGGTAATGTTATGATTACATGGGGAGTTTACCTAAATTTCAGGCAGCATGGCTGGCAACCCATGGAATTATAGAAAGCATTTGCCCCAAGAGTTACTAGGAGAGGGTGGAGAGAGTATACAGAGTGCCAGGCTGCATTAAGTCATTTTAAGGAAATCACAGGCTGCAGAGTAGCAAACATCACCAGGGAGCAGGGAAGGTGAGAGGCAGGCTGTGACTAAGGCCAGAGTCCAGCACATGGGCATTATCATGCCAACAGGTGTGAAGATAGCTGTAATTTACTTCATTCATTCATTCATTCATTCATTCATTCATTCAAGGCAGAGTTTCACTCTTTTGCCCAGGCTGGAGTGCAGTGGCATGATCACAGCTCACTGAAGCCTTGACCTCCTAGGTTCAAGTTATTCTCCCACCTCAGCCTCCTGAGTAGCTGGGACTACAGGCATGTACCACCATGCCTAGCTAATGTTTAAAAAATGCTTTATGGAGATGGGTCTCACTATGTTGCCCAGGATGGTCTTGAACATTTCTCCTGCCTTGGCCTCCCAAAGTGCTGGGATTATAGGAGCAAGCCACCATATCTGGCCTTGTAATTTACTTTAAAATATTTCAGTTGTCCAGGCATGGTGGCTTACTGCTGTAACCTCAACACTTTGGGAAGCTGAGGGGGGAGAATCACTTGAGCCCATAAGTTTGAGGTTACAATGAGGTATGATTGTGCTACTGCCCTCCAGCCTGGGCAACATGGCGAGACCCTGTCTTAAAAAAAAAAAAAAGGCTGGGCACGGTGGCTTATGCCTACATTCTCAGCACTTTGGGAGGCTGAGGCAGGAGGATCGCTTGAGGCAGAAGTTCAAACCTGCCATAAAGAGGTCTCTAGAATCAAAATATTTTAAAAATAAAAAACGAAATAAATAAAATACTTCAGTCAACCTTGTGATATCATGTGTGTGCCAATCGGATTCAAATTTAATTATAAGAAGTTCTAACTAACAGTGTGCTATCAGCATAAAAGGAATGAACTACAGATACACACAGTAACATGCCTGAATCTCAAAATGCAGTACGCTAAGTGAAAGAAGCTAGACCCAAAAAGCTACATGCTGTATGATTTCATTAGTATGACATTCAGGGAAAGGCAAAACTATAAAGGTAGAAAACAGATCAGTGGTTGTCAAGGGCTGAAAGTTGGGGCAGTTATTTACTACAAAGTGGCGTGATGGAACATTTTATTTATAAAGCTGTAACATTTAAATATCCTGATGACAAATGGCTTTCCAGAAAGGTAGTCCAAACCTTCAGGACTAACGTATGAGAGTGGCAGCCTCATTTGCCAGCATTAAATGTTCTTCCTTGTTTACAAAAATTACTATATTTTGTTAAATGATTCTTTTTTTTTTTTTTTTTTGAGACAGGGTCTTGTTCTGTCATCCAGGCTAGAGTACAGTGGCACTATCTTGGCTCACTGCAAGCTCTGCCTCCCAAGCTCAATCAAGTTTCCCACCTCAGCCTTCCAAGTAGCTGGGACTACAGGTGGGCATTACCACACCAGGCTGATTTCTGTATTTTTTGTAGAGATAGGGTTTCACTGTGTTGCCCAGGCTGGTCTCAAACTCCTGGGCCCAAGTGATCTGCCCACCTCGGCCTCACAAAGTACTAGGATTACAGGCATGGGACATTTTTTATCAAGGGAAATGCTGTGTGTCTTGATTTTGGTGCCTAACAGTATGTATTTGCCAAAACTCATAGAATTATATGCAAAAAAAGTGAATTTTACCATATGTAAATTATATTTCAATAAACTTTAGAAAAAGACTGCACAGTCCACTGTTAACAGATAACTTTTGGCACATTTAAATTTTAGAGTTTATTTGAGCATTCATCAATTCATGAATTGGACAGCATGAAACCATAAGCGGCTTAGCATTCCCCTGGGAGGGGTGGCAGAGGAAACCTCTATAAAGTGTTCCAGGAAGCAAGACAAAGAAAGCATATCTGATTGGTTAAAGTGTAAAGGCCCTAGTTAGAGGTTAGTTGGTGGTTTCTGATTGGTTAAGTCTCTAGTTCTCTTTCACTCTTTACATTGGGCTTCTGTTTGCTTAGTAGGAACTTAAACTGCTAAGACCCCTCCCCCCCACAATCTAATGGCCTCCCAATTAGAACATTTTTAATACCACATTTCACTGTAGGTAAATTTTACCCCAAAAAAAATCCCGGCCGGGCGCGGTGGCTCACGTCTGTAATCCCAGCACTTTGGGAGGCTGAGGCAGGTGGATCACGAGGTCAGGAGTTCAAGACCAGCCTGGCCACATGGTGAAACCCTGTCTCTACTAAAAATACAAAAATTAGCAGGGCATGATGGCGCATGCCTGTAATCCCAGCTACTCGGGAGGCTGAGGCAGGAGAATCCCTTGAACCTGGAAGGCAGAGATTGCAGTGAGCCGAGATTGCGCCACTGCACTCCAGCCTGGGCGACAAAGCAAGACTCCATCAAAAAAGAAAAAAAGACTGATGAATGGGTGGATGGAGGGATTAGTGGATAGATGTGAGATGATATAAATACAGCAAAACCAGAACCAAGGTCTGCAGTTTTCAAAGTGATGTGCAGGAACCAACAGCATCGGTATCACCTAGAAACTTACTAGAAATGCATTCTTTCCCTGCCGCTGCCGAGTCAAGCGGAGGCGGAGGCTTGGGTGAGATCAAGATTGGGCTTCACCGGTAACCCACCGCCATGGCCAAGGAAGGCATTGCTGCTGGAGGTGTAATGGACATTAATACTGCTTTACAAGAGGTGCTGAAGACCACCCTCATCCACGATGGCCTAGCACGTGGAATTCACGAAGCTGCCAAACCCTTAGACAAGGGCCAAGCCCATCTTTATGTGCTTGCATCCAACTGTGATGAGACTGTGTATGTCAAGTTGGTGGAAGCCATTTGTGCTAAACACCAAATCAACTTCATTAAGGTTGATGACAACAAGAAAGTAGGGGAATGGGTAGGTCTCTGTAAAACTGACAGAGAGGGGAAACCCCGTAAAGTGGTTGGTTGCAGTTGTGTAGTAGTTAAGGACTATGGCAAGGAATCTCAGGCCAAGGATGTCCCTCGAAGAGTACTTCAAATGCAAGAAATGAAGAAATAAATCTTTGGCTCAGAAAGAAAGAAAGAAGGAAGGAAGCTAACTAACTTACTAGAAATGCACATTTTGCCGCGTGCAGTGGCTCATTCCTCTAATCCCAGCACTTTGGGAGGCTGAGGTAGGCGGATCACTTGATCTCAGGACTTTGAAAGCAGTCTGGGCAACATGGCGAGACCCTGTCTCTACCAAAAATACAAAACATTAGCTGGGCATGGTGGTGCGGGCCTGTGGTACCAACTACTCAGGAGGCTGAGGTGGGAGGATGGCTTGAGCCTGGGGAAGCAGAGGTTGCAGGAGCCAAGATGGTGCCACTGCACTCCGGCCTGGGTGGCAGAGTGAAACTCCGTCTATCTCAAAATAATAGTAGCAATAAGAATAATAAAACTTCAAACAAAAATGCACATTTTCAGGTCAGACCCACTGAATCAGAGACTCTGGGGGAGGCCCAGCAATCTGTGTTTTGACCAGCTTTCCAGGTGATTCTGGTACTAGTTAAAATTTGAGAACTCTTGATGTAGCTGGCGGCATATTGGTGTTCATTGTCAAGTTTGCTGTTGAATTTTTGTAATAAAATGTTGGGGCAGAGAGAAGAATGCATAGTGCAGGAGTGGTCAGCTAGCATCTCATCAGAGGGAAGATCCTTTTCAGGTGGTTTTGACTGGTCCCTCTGTTCTCTGTCTCCATCAGCAACCTCAACTTCTCTAACAAGCATACTAGGTATCAAAAATGGGCTTTTATTGATGAAAATAGTGTCTTGTTATTTGGCAAGATAAATGATAGAAATAGGGCACCATTTGGTGAAATTAAAGACATTTGAGTATGGATTGGTCTCTTGCAAAGAGTGGAGAGGCCTGCAAACTGTACTTTTGGGGTCTGGCCTGAGTTGTGAGGGTTACTCAGCCCAGGGGCCAACCTTTGCATCCTAGGAATGTTGTTGCAACTACCACAGCAAGGGTCTGGACAGAGCAACAAAAGAGAGAGAGTGCTAGAACTTCTTTAAGCTTACAGAATAGGTTTTATGAACTGTTTTGTGCTTGCTTTGCTAATAAATGTCTGTCTAGTAACTATCTGTGTGTGTGTGTCTGAATTTGGGCTGAGACTTGCTTTCCTTATAAGCTGGTAGTGAGATACGGGAGAATAGGTAATCCTAATCACTTCAGAATTCTTTGGCAGTTACCATTACCTACCAAAATGAACCTAGGAGCTCTAGGATCTAGATAAGTCAATTACAACAGTAGAAAACAGATTATTTGATATCCAATTAGTTTTGGAAAATTCTTGTGGTTGCTTCACCAGAAGTTCAGCTGTTTACTGCTACTACTTTTAAAATCCGTGTTGTTGTTGTTGTTGTTGTTTTTGACACAGGGTCTCGCTCTGTCACCCAGGCTGGAGTGCAGTGGCACAATCTCAGCTCACTGCAACCTCCACCTCCTAGGCGATTCTCCTGCCTCAGCCTCCCAAGTAACTGGGATTACGGGCACCCACCACCATGCCCGGCTAATTTTTGTATTTTTAATAGAGACAGGGTCTCGCTATGTTGGCCAGGCTGGTCTCGAACTGGCCTCAAGTGATCTGCCTGCCTTGGCCTCCCAAAGTGCTGGGATTACAGGCATGAGCCACCATGCCTGTCCTAAAATCCCTTTTTAAGCATTGACTGCAAAAATATATGGCTTTGGGGGTTTTCTGTTTTGTTTTGTTTTTTTTTTAATCTGGTTAGGATTTATTAAAGCTGTCTTTTGTTAGCCAGACTTCTCCTTTTTTCCAAATTTTTGAAAAATATTTACTGATTACTCCAGAAATGTCATTGCATTTGGAAGGAAACCAAATGACCTGCCATATATTGTAATCATGCCTAATATTCACTTCTACATTAAGCCTTTTACCTTGCTGCCCCTTCATGAAAGGGACACAAGTCTAGGGATTTCTAGCTGAAATTCAGCATTCTCTTTTGTTATGAATGTAGGCAGCACATCCAAGTATATTAGCAGTACCTGTGACTTTGTCTCCCAGAGAAATCGTAGATATTTTCATATGACATTATAATTGTTGTAGTTATTCTTCAAATACCATTTATGGTTAATCTTACTTCAAAACTATGGAAGTTGCTAGATCTCCCATCAGATCCTAATGCATGAATAAAGAAATACACACACACACACATATCACTACATAACCAGATTTTTAAAATGTATGAAGATATGGTTTGGCTGTGTCCCCACCCAAATCTCATTTTGAATTGTAGTTCCCATAATCTCCATGTGTCCTGGGAGGGACCAAGTGGAGGTAATTGAATCATGGGGGTGGTTTCCCTCATTCTGTTCCTGTGATAGTGAGTTCTCACGAGATCTGATGGTTTATAAGGGGCCTCCCCCTTCGCTGGAACTCATTCTCCTTCCTGCCACCCTGTGAAGAAGGACGTTTTTTTCCCCTTTCACCGAGGTTGTAAGTTTCCTGAGGCCTCACCTGTCATGCTGAACTGTGAGTTAATTAAACCTCTTTCTTTTTTAAATTACCCAGCCTCAGGTATGTCTTTATGGGCAGCGGGAGAATGGACTAATACACATGGTCGTGGTTATTTCAATAACATTGGTTTCCTTTGTAATCATATGTATTTTATTTTATGCATTAGAAAATCTTCTGAGAAGCATCCACAGACTTCCCTGGACTGTCAAAGGGGTTCATGGCTCAGAAAAGATTCAGAATCCCTGCCTAGCCAGACTGAGAGGTGTTTTGCTGAAATTTATTTCAGAAGCATGTAAAGATTGGAAACTCCTCTTAAGGATCTGCCAGACAGACTTCAGCAATTATTTTGAATTCAGAGGAGTTGGATGAAGGGATGATGGCAAAGTGCAGGACAATGGAAAACAACAGTTGCTCAAGAAACCAGACCAGAAGAGGAGGCATCTGCCTCAGTTCTTTTCTGTCACCTCCTTCAATGTTCCACCGTGCCTCCCATCTGGACCTGGTGATTTGCTAGTATTTCGTTGTTACAGTAATATCCTTTTCTATTAAAAGAGAATAATCCTCAAATTCCTCACTTTTGGTATGAGCCTCAGTATTTTTGTGGTACCAAAACAAGAGTAGATTTTCCACAAATGTATTGCATGGTTTTCACTGAAGTTCACCTTAGCCGATCACACAGAAATGCATGATAAACTGCTCCTGGGCTGGGCAAGGTGGCTCATGCCTATAATCCCAGGTATGGGCTTCGGGAGGCCGAAGCAGGAGGGCTACTTAAGCCCAGGAGTTCCAGACCAGCTGGGGCAACATAGTGAGACCCCCATCTCATTTAATAAATAAATAAACCCTGCTTCTCCTTTGCTGGCTGTACAACCTAACTGGAAGCTTTTCCACGCTCAAGAGGAACATAATGTGTGTAATAAAAGGAAGGAGAGGGGAGGAAGAAGAGGAGAAGAAGAAGAAGGAAAGAAAAAGAGGCCGGGCGCGGTGGCTCACGCCTGTAATTCCAGCACTTTGGGAGGCCAAGGTGGGTGGATCACTTGAGATCAGGAGTTCGAGACCAGCCTGGCCAACATGGTGAAACCCCGACTCTACTAAAAATACAAAAATTAGTTGGATGTGGTGGTGGCGCCTGCAATCCCAGCTACACGGGAGGCTGAGGCAGGAGAATTGCTTGAACCTGGGAGGCAGAGGTTGCAGTGAGTCGAGATTCTGCCACTGCACTCCAGCCTGGCCGACAGAGTGAGACGCCATCTCAAAAAAAAAAAAAAAAAAAAAAAAGGGCCGGGTGCAGGGGCTCCCGCCTGTAATCCCAGCACTTTGGGAAGCCGAGGCGGGCAGATCACAAGGTCAGGAGTTCAAGACCAGCCTGGCCAAGAAACCAGCCTGGCCAATATGGTGAAACCTTGTCTCTACTAAAAATACAAAAAGTAGCCAGGAGTGGTGGTGGGCGCCTGTAATCCCAGCTACGCGGGGGGCTGAGGCAGAATTGTTTGAACTCAGGAGGCAGAGGTTGCAGTGAGTGGAGATCGCGCCGCTGCACTTCAGCCTGGGTGACAGAGTGAGATTCCAACAAAAGAAAAGAAAAGAAGAGAGAGAGAGAAAGAAAGAAAGAAAGTCCTGTTAACTTTATTAAATGCATTTTAAATTAAAGGTGCTTGCTGATTGACACCCTCTGATTAACTTTTATTTACTATAGTAAGAACATTTAACATGAGCTGTACTCTTAGCAGATTTTCAAGCATGCAATACAGTATTGTTAACCACGGGCACAATGTTGTACAGCAGATCTCTAGAACTCAGTCATCCTGCATAACTGAAACTTTATACCCTTTGAAGGGCAACTCCACATCTCCTCCTCCTGCAGCTCCTGGCAACCACCATTCTACTCTCCACTGCTTTTTTTTTTTTTGAGATGAAGTCTTGCTCTGTCACCCAGGCTGGAGTGCAGTGGCACAATCTCACCTCACTGCAACCTCCGCCTCCTGGGTTCAAGCGATTCTCCTGCCTCAGCCTCCCAAGTAGCTGGGATTACAGACACCCGCCACCGGGCCTGGCTAATTTTTATATTTTTAGTAGAGACAGGGTTTCACCATGTTGGCCAGGCTGGTCTTGAACTCCTGACCTCAGGCAATCCGCCTGCCTCCGGCTCCCAAAGTGCTGGGATTACAGGCGTGAGCCACCGTGCCCACCCCTCTACCCTCCACTTCTACAAGTTTGACCATTTTAGATCCCTCATGTTGTAGAATCATGCCACATTTATCCTTCTGTGACCAGCTTGTTTCTCTTAGCTTCATGTCCTCAAGCTTCATCCATATTGTCATACATTGCAGGATTTCCTTCTTTTTAAAGGCTGAGTGATATTGCATTGTATGTGTGGATCATACTTTATTTATCCATCCATTCATTGATGGACATCAGGTTGTTTCCACATCTTTTTGTTGTTGTTGTTTGTTTTGTTGTTTGTTTTATTTTTGAGAGAGGGGTCTTGCTATATTGCCAAGGCTGTTCTCGTCCTACTGGGTTCAAGCAATTCTCTGGTCTCAGCCTCCCGAGTAGCTGGGATGACAGGCACTGGCCACCATGCCCGGCTCTTTCTCCATCTTGGCTTTTGTGAATAGAGCTGCCATAATGTAAGAGAGCAAATATTTCTTCAAGATCCTAATTTTAACTCTTTAGGATAAATATCCAAAAGTGGAACTGCTGAGTTATATGGTGGTTCTATTTTTAATTTTTTGAGAAACTCCACATGATTTTCCATAGTGGCTACACTATTTTACATTCCCACCAAGAGTGTGGAACAGTTCCAATTTCTCCACATCCTTGCTAATACTTATCTTTTTATCTTTTAAAAAATAGACATTTTTAGCCAAGTGCTAAGGCTCAAGCCTGTAATCCCATCATTTTGCGAGGCCAAAGGAAGAGGATAGCTTGAGATCAGGAGTTCAAGATCAGCCCTGGCAACATAGTAAGACCCTGGTCTATACAAAACAAAAGAAATTAGCTGGGTGTGGTTGAGGCTGCAGTGAGCCAAGACTGCACTACTGCACTCTAGCCTGGGCAACAGAGTGAGACCCTGTCTCAAAAATTAACATAAATAAATAAATAAATAAATAAATAAATAAATAAATAATAAAATAGCCATTCTAACAGCTGCCAGGTGATATCTTACTGTAATTTTGGTTTTCATTTCCCTGATGATTAGTGATGTTGAGCATCTTTTTATGCACCTGTTGGCCATTTGTATGTCTTCTTCGGAGAAATGTCTATTCATGTTTTTCTGGCCATTTGAAAATTAGGTTATTTGTTTTTTTGTTATTGTGTTGAAGATGTTTCTTAAATATTTTTTATATTAACCCCTTATCAAATACATGGTTTGCAAATATTTTCTCCTATTCCATAGGTTGACTTTTCACTGTGTTGTTGTTGATTCCTTTGCTGCATAGAGGCTTTTTAGTTACATGTAGTTCACTTATTTAATGTTGCCTTTGTTGCCTGTGCTTTTGGTGTCATACCTCAGAAATTATTGCCAAGACCAATGTCATGAAGATTTTCCCTATGTTTTCTTCTAGAAGTTTTACAGTTTCAGGTCTAATGCTTAGTTATTTAATCCACGTTGAGTTAATATTTGTGTATGATATAAGTTAAGGGTTCAGTTTCATTCTTTTGCATGAGGATATCCAGTTTTTATAGTATCATTTATTGAAGAGACTATTATTTCCCCATTGTGTATTTTTGGCATCCTTGTTGAGAATCAGTTGATCCTATAAGGGTGGGTTTATTTACAGGCTCTCTATTCTGTTCCATTATACTATATTTATGTCACTATGCTAATACCATGCTATTTTAATAATTGTTTATCTAAAATATATTTTGAAACCAGGGAATGTGATGCCTCCAGCTTTTTTCTTCCTCAAGATTGTTTTGTCTATTCCAGATCCCTTGTGGTTTCATAGGAATTTTAGGATTTTTTTTTTCTAATTCTGTGAAAAACACTATTGGGATTTTGATAAGGATTGCATTGAATCTGTAGATTGCTTTGGGTAGTATGGACGTTTTAACAATATTAAGTCTTCTAATCCATGGTCATGAGATTTTTTTTCCCATTTATTTATGTATCCTTTAATTTCTTTAATCAATGTTTTATAGTTTTCAGTACACAAATCTTTCACCTCTTTAGTTTATTTCTATTTTATTATTTTTGATGCTATTGTAAATGGCATTGTTTTCTTAATTTCCTCTTAAAATAGATCATTGTTAGTGTATAGAAATGCAATTGATGGCCGGGTGTGGTGGCTCATGCCTATAATCCCAGCACTTTGGGAGGCCAAGGCAGGCAGATTACTTCAGGTCAGGAGTTCGAGACCAGTCTGACCAATATGGTGAAACCCCATCTCTACAAAAATACAAAAATTAGGCTGGGCATGGTGGTGTGCACCTGTAATTCCAGCTGCTCAGGAGGCTGATGCAGAAGAATCTCTTGAACTCGGCAGGCAGAGGTTGCAGGGAGCCAAGATCATGCCACTGCACTCCAGCCTGGGCGACAGAGCAAGACTATCTCAAAAAAAAATAAATGCAATTGATTCTTGTATGTCTATCTTTTATCCTTCATCTTTATAGAATTTATTAGTTCTACAGTTTTCTGTGTGTGTGTGTGTTGTGGGTGGGGGGGGGGCCTTTAGTGTTTTCTACATATAAGATTACGTCATCTGCAAACAGAGATAATTTTACCTCTTCTTTTCTAATGTGGATGCCTTTTATTTCTTTTGTGAAGTCCTAATTGCTCTGGCTAGGACTTCCAGTACTATGTTGAATAAGAGTGAGGAGAGTAGGTGTCCTTGCCTTGTGAATTTGATGTTCACTGTGGGCTTTTCATGTATGGCCATTATTATATTGAGGTAATTTCTTTTGTTCTTAATTTCTTGAAAGTGTTTATCATGAAAGGTGCTGAATTGTGGCAAATGCTTTTTCTGCCTCTGTTAAGATGACATGCGGTTTTTACTCTTCCCTCTTTTATTGTGGTATATCACATTAATTGATTTTCATGTGCTGAACTATCCTTGCATCCTAGAGACCAATTCCACTTGGTCATGGTGTATGGTCCTTTTAATGTATTGCTGTATTCAGTTTGCTAGCATTTTGTGGAGGATTTTTGCATCCCTACTCATTAGTGATATTGTTCTGTAGTTTTCTGTTTTTGTAATATCTTTGTCTGGCTTTGGTATCAGGGTAATGCTGTCCTTATAAAATGAAATTGGAAGTATTCCTTTCTCTTCAATTTTTTGGAAGAGTTTGAGAAGGTGTTTATTCTTTAAATATTTGCTAGAATTCACCAGTGAGGCCATCTGATCCAGGGCTTTACTTTGATTCCGATTCACTCTCCTTACTAGTTATAGGTCTGATCAGATTTTCTGTTTCTTCATGGTTCAGTCTTGGTAGATTGTATGTTTCTAGAAAATTCTCCACTTCTAGATTATCTAATTTGTTGGCATATAATTTTTCATAGTAGTCTCTTATGATTCTTTTCATTTCTGTGGCATCAGTTGTAATGCCTCCTCTTTCATTTCTGATTTTGAGTGTTCTCTCTTTTTTTCTAATTTAGTTTAGCTAAACATTTGTCAGTTTTGTTTACCTCTTCAAAAACCAGTTCTTAACTCTGTTATTTTTTCCATTGTTTTAAATTCTCTGTTTCATTTATTTCTGTGCTATTCTTTATTTTTGCCCTGCTTCTGACTTTGGATAGTTTGCTCTTTTTCTATTTCTTTGAGGTATAAAGTTACGTTGTTTATTTGAGATAGTTCTTCCTTTTAACATAGGCATTTATTACTAAAAACATCCCCCTTAGTACTGCTTTTGCTACATCCCATAAGTTTTGGTATGTTGTGTTTTCATTTTCTTTTTTTTTTTTTTGAGACAGAGTCTTGCCCTGTTGCCCAGGCTGGGGTGCAATGGCAGGATCTCAGCTCACTGCACCCTCTGCCTCCCAGATTCAAATGATTCTTCTGCCTCAGCCTCCTGAGTAGCTGGGATTACAGGCACGTGCCACCATGCCCAGCTAAATTTTTTTGTATTTTTAGTAGAGACAGGGTTTCACCATGTTGGCCAGGCTGGTCTTGAACTCCTGACCTCATGATCCTCCCTCCTCGGCCTCCCAAAGTGCTGGGATTATAGGCGTGAGCCACCACACCAGGCCTCATTTTTATTTGTCTCAAGATTCACCTGTTAACTTTGTGTGTCTCAAGATTAATTTTCTAATTTCCCTTTTGATTTCTTCTTTGATCCATTGGTTGTTCAGTAGTATGTTTTTGAATTTTCATACATTTGTGAATTTTCCAGTTTTCCTTTTGCTGTTGATCAATAAATCATTGTGGCTGGAAAAGATACTTGGTTTTCTTTCTTTCTTTCTTTCTTTCTTTCTTTCTTTCTTTCTTTCTTTCTTTCTTTCTTTTTCTCTTTCTTCTTCCTTCCTTCCTTTTTTCTTTTCTTTTTTTGCCAGGGTCTTGCTCTGTCTCCCAGGCTGGTGTGCAGTGGTACAATCTTGGCTCACTGCAACCTCTGCCTTCCCCACTCAAGCCATCCTCCCACCTCTGCCTCCTGAGTGGCTAGGACTACAGGTGTGTGCCACCAGGCCCATCTAATTTTTTTGTGTTTTTCATAGAGACGGGGTTTCACCATATTGATCAGGCTGGTCTTGAACTCAGGTCATCCGCCCACCTCGGCCCCCCAAAGTGCTGGGATTACAGGCATGAGCCACCACGTCCAGTCTTATTGCTATTTTTATATACTTTTTCTATACATGTTTATTCAGATCTTTATGTTTTAATTGGGTTATTTGTCTTTTTATTGTTGAGTTGTAAGATTTCTTATATATTCTGAGGACTAATCCTTACTAAATATATGATTTGCAAATATTTTCTTCCATTCTGTGCTGTCTTTGTGCTTTCTTGACACTCCTTTGATGTACAAAAGCTTTGAATTTTGATGAAGTCTAATTTATCTATGTTTTCTTTTGTTGCTTGTGCTCTTACTGTCATATCTAAGAAACATTACCAAATCCAAGATCACAAAGATTCACCCTTCTGTTTTCTTCTAAGGAGTTTTATACCTTGTGATGGTGAGTACCAAGTGCCAACTTGATTGGATTGAAGGATGCAAAGTATTGTTCCTGGGTGTGTCTGTGAAGGTGTTGCCAAAGAAGACTAACATTTGTGTCAGTGGACTGGGAAAGGCAGACCCACCCTCAATCTGGGTGGGCACAATCTAATCAGCTGCCAGCAAGGCCAGAATAAAAACAAGCAGAGGAACATGAAAAGACTAGACTGGCTTAGCCTCCCGGCCTACATCTTTCTCCCATGATGGATGCTTCCTGCCCTCGAACACTGGACTCCCAGTTCTTCAGCTTTGGAACTCAGACTGGCTTCCTTGCTCCTCAGCTTGTAGACAGCCTATTGTGAGGCCTTGTGATCGTGTGAGTTAATATTCCTTAATAAACTCCCCTGTATATATACATTTATCCTATTAGTTCTGTCCCTCTAGAGAACTCTAATACATAGCTTTAGCTCTTATGTTTAGGTCTTTGATCCATTTTGAGTTAATTTTTGTACATAGTATCAAGGAAGGATCTAACTCCATTTTTTTGCATGTGGATATGCAGTTGTCCTGGCACCATTTGTTGAAATGACTATTTTTTTCTCCAGTGAATTGTCTAGGTGCCCTTATGAAAAATCAATTGGTTGTCCAGGCACGGTGGCTCATGCCTGTAATTCCAGCACTTTGGGAGGCTGAGGCGGGCGGATCACAAAGTCAGGAGATAGAGATCATCCTGGCCAACACAGTGAAACCCCGTCTCTACTAAAAATTCACAAAATTAGCCAGGCGTGGTGGCACGCTGTAGTCCCAGCTACTCGGGAGGCTGAGGCAGGAGAACTGCTTGACCCCGGGAGGCAGAGGTTGCAGTGAGCCAAGATCACGCCACTGCACTCCAGCCTGGGCAATAGAGCAAGACTCCATCTCAAAAAAAAGAAAAATCAATTGGCAATAGATGTATGGATTTACTTGTGGACTCTTAATTTGATTCCATTGATTCTATTCTTTGTTTGTTTGTTTGTTTTTTGTTTGTTTGTTTTTTGAGACGGAGTCTTGCTTTATTGCCCAGGCTGGAGTGCAGTGGCTCGATCTCAGCTCACTGCAACCTCCATCTCCCGGGTTCAACCGATTCTCCTTGCCTCAGCCTCCCGAGTAGCTGGGATTACAGGCAGGTGCCACCACACCCGGCTAATTTTTTGTATTTTTAGCAGAGACAGGGTTTCACCCTGTTAGGCAGGATGGTCTTGATCTCCTGACCTCGTGATCTGCCCGCCTCGGCCTCCCAAAGTGATGAGATTACAGGCGTGAGCCACTGCACCTGGCCCATTGATTCTATTCTTATGCCAGTATCATACTATCTTGATTACTGTAGTTTCGTAGTAGAGTTTGAAATTAATAATTCAACTTTTTTTCTTCAAGATTGTTTTAGCTATTCTGGTCCCTTGCAATTCCATATGAATTTTAAGGCCAGCTTATCCATTTCCATAATTCAAAATTTGGAATTTTGATTGGGTTGCATTGAATCTGTAGATCAATTTTGGAATTACTTTCATTGTAACAATATTAAATTATTCAATCCATGAACAAAGATGTATTTCCATTTATTTAGGTCTATGTACTTTAATTTCTTTCAAAAACGTTTTGCAGTTTTCAGTGTACAAGTCTCATGCCTCTTGCTTTAATTTATCCCTAAGTATTTTACTCTTTTTGATGTTATCAGGTGGATTTTTTTATTAATTTTATTTTCAGATTTGCTATGGTTTGGATGTGGTTTGTCCCTACCAAAATTCATGTTGAAATTTGATTCCCAATGTGGCGATGTTGGGAGGTGAGGCCTAGTGGAAAGTGTTTAAATAATGGGGGAAGATCCCTCAGGAATAGTCTAAGGCCAGCTTATGGGAGTGAGGGAGTTCTTGCTTTCTCAGGAATGGATTCATTCTTATGAGACCAGGTTGTTATAAAATGAGGTTTCTTCTCCTGTTTGGTCCCTTTTCCATACAAACCTCCTCTCCCTTTGACTTTCTACCATGTTACGGTGCAGCAGAAAAGTCATCACAAGAAGCCAGTGCCATACCCCTGAACTTTCCAGCCTGCAGAATCATAAGCTAAATAAACCTCTTTTCTTTATAAATTACCCAGTCTCAGTTATTCTGATATAGCAACATAAAATGGACTAAGATGAGATTGCTCCACTGCTAGTGTATAGAAATACCATTGATTTTTACTTATTGCCTTTCTATCCTGCTACTGGACTCATTTATTAGGTCTAATAGTTTTGTGTGTGTACATGTGTATTATTTAGGTTTTCTATGGAGAAGATCATGTCACATGAAATCAATATAATTTTACTTCTTCCTTTCTAATCTGGATACCTTTTATTTTTTAATGTCCTTATTTTTTAGAAATAAATACTGAAATACAGACAAAAATGATATCTGAGATTTGCTTCAGAATAATGGGGCAGTGGAGGCAGGCAAGAATCATCAGTTGTTAATTGTTGAAGCAGGGTGATGGGCATGTGGGTTCATAATATTAATCTCTTTACTTTTGTGAATGCTTTGAAATTTCCACTAAAGGCCAGATGTGGTAGCTCATGCCTGTAATTCCAGCACTTTGGGAGGCTGAGGCGGGCGGATGCCCTGAGGTCAGGAGTTCGTGAGCAGCCTGGCCAATGTGGCAAAATCCCGTTTCTACTTAAAAATGCAAAAAAATTAGCCGGGCGTGGTGGTGTGCACCTGTAGTCCCAGCTACTCAGGAGGCTGAGTTAGGAGAATTGCTTGAAGCTGGGAGGCGGAGGTTGCAGTGAGCCAAGATTGCATGGCTGCACTCCAGCCTGGGCAACAGACTGAGACTCTGTCTCAAAATAAAATAAAATAAAATAAAATAAAATAAAATAAAATAAAATTTTCACTAAAAATGAAATGGACCTGTCTGGAGCCATCACATTTTTTTTTTTTTTTTTTTTTTGAGATGGAGTCTCACTCTGTCACCCAGGCTGGAGTGCAGTGGCGCAATCTCAGCTTACTGCAAGCTCCGCCTCCCGGGTTCACGCCATTCTCCTGCCTCAGCCACCCCAGTAGCTGGGACTACAGGTGCCTGCCACCAGGCCCAGCTAATTTTTTGTATTTTTACTAGAGACGGGGTTTCACCGTGTTAGCCAGGATGGTCTCGATCTCCTGACCTCATGCTCTGCCCACCTGGGCCTCCCAAAGTGCTGGGATTACAGCCATGAGCCACCGCGCCTGGCCCGAGCCATCGCAGATTTTGTACTCAGAATCTCTGAGATAAGTGATTAAGGAATGTGCTTTTTTAACAAGCTCCTCCGACTATGCCTACAGACAATACCGTTTGAAGATTCCAGCCCCAGTCTGTGAATTACAAATGAACAGAGTTTCTCTTATCCCAGTCTAGGATACAATCAAGGTTTTCACCACCCTGGTGAAAGGTGCCTTTGCTGTCTCATTTGTCAGCTCCCTTTGGGTGAACCCAGACCTGTGTTCAGGAAGTGATGATGAAGCCTTTCCCTTCACCTTCACAAAAAACTGTGATTTGGCACAGTGTTATTTACATATTAACCTATTGTATATTTTGTTTGCTGGGAATGGTAAATTTTATTAATTTACCAGTCAATAATTAGACCACTTCTACAAACAAACAAACAAGGCTGTGAGGTCAAGCATAAATCGTTGAATTGATTTTTAAATTCATATTCCACTTGTTCATACCTTCTGTCTTATCGCTATCAAATACCACAACCTTAAGTGGTAATTTGTCTTCAAACCAAATATCAGTTAACTGTGCAGTCACACAAACTGATTTTTTTTTCTTCTTACCAATAGCAGTTTAACAAAAGCATATTTTTCTTTTTAGAATTCAATAAGAAAAAATATTTATTTCTGCCTTCCAGATTTTGGGGGTGAAATAGCTAGCTCTCTGAAGCTAATTTTTGGGTTGCTATTTTAAAATTATGTTTCCAAGCCCAGGAACCATGCAAACTGTCCACCAGAGCTGCCCCTGAGTTCCTCGTTTGTGATTTCTGTACAGCTGGCCCCATTTGAACTTTAGATTCCAATGGAGCGCTGGATTTCTATATGATATCCTCTGAGCACTTAAGCCCTTGCTTTGTCAGCGTATTACATTGAGTTTCTTGTTGTTCTGTTGCTCTATAAAAGGCATCCTGTCATTACCTCTCTCCTATGGGGGGGCTCTCTCCATCAGTCTATTCTGCTCGTTCACTTCATAGTACAAAAGTGCTCAGTAGATGCTATTGGCTGACATCCAGTCCTAGACAATCTTATTAACTGGCACACCTACAGAAACTAACTATTATATTATTATGGGATCTTGAAGGCATTTTAAAGAACACAGCAACTATATGCCAAAGAGGCTAGGAGAGCTTTCACCCAAATGGCTGTTTTATTACCCCTGCGTTGCCCAGATTTATGCTCAGCATTTAGCACAGAGCAATGAACGCAACTTTAAATACGAGATTTGTTTTCAGCTGAGCAGACAAGTGTTTGTTTTCTACACAAATGAAAGCCCGTACGTCAGTGTTTTGTCATTTGTGCTTTTTTGTAGAACTCACATGTGATGACTTCATTGCAGATTAACGTCCAGCACTGCCAGGGAATTTTCAGGGCTGAGCCCCTCGAACTGTCATTTGTCCTGGGTCAGCCCACTGGCATTTGTGATAATGCCCATTAGATAGGAGGACTGTTTCCTGAAGTGAAAGAGCAAATTCCTCTGAGCATTCTCCGTGGTGTGAGGAATTGCTTCTCAAGGAAGGAATTGAAATCATTTGACCATTTCTCCTCACCCATAGTCTCAGTTTCCTGACATTCTGAGTTTTGCAGTGACACATTCTTTTGGGTATGTGAACTGACCAAACGGGATGTTGCCTCACAGAGCATGTTGCAGGGAGCTGCCTGCCTGAACCACTCTCACCTCTAATTTCCAGCGGAGAGAGAGGCCGTCGTGCACACACACACGTGTGTGTGTGTGTGTAGGTCTTCTCTTGACAAAGGATAGCATGAATTTGATCAATTCAGTTAATTACGTGATGGATGTAAAAACAAACCTCCAAAAAGGGTGAAGTGGTAACATAATACATGGGATACCAGCAAGTTCAAAGTCATCTTCTCGTATTTTCCAGTCTAACCTGTAAATCCTATGTTTCTTCTCTTTGTATGATAGCGTTAAAGAAAAACTAGGATTATCCCTGAACCAGAACCCTGAATTTCAGAGATCCTCCATAATATATTGCTCTATTCTCGCCAAACAAAACACTTTCAGGCCCTAGAATGGCTTAGAATTAATTCCACAGTTGGCAGTGGTGATGTTCAAGTTGTGGTGTTCCTTCCTAAGGTTAGGGAAATTCCATTCAAAGTCCCCAAATTCTTTTAGATTTCTGGCATGTACAGCATGCAGAATTTAATATAGCTAAGTAGTTTTATTTTAAAAACTATTCAATATCAGCGGGATGTTTGTCACAACTATGCCTTACTTAAGATCATCATAAATGCCTTTTTTTAGATGTTCTGTTCACAATCCTAGGAACGCACAGCTATGGGCTTTAATTGGCAGCATATGGTGCCATTACCTTCCGTAGAAATGCATTTCCCTCCCCAAATTTGATGTTAATAATTTGATTCACTAGACTTAAAATTCACAGAAAGGTTATTGGCTTTATCTTTCCTTCTAAAATAATCTTTTCACTCTGTTGATACTTGGTAAGCTCCAGCTCTTCCCAATTTTTCTTTGGATAAAAGGTTTATTTATTCAATGAACACCTACCACATGCCAGGCACTTCACATGTACTACCTCATTTGATCCTCGTATCACTAAGAAACAGATATAAATACCTGCTTTACAAATGAGAAAAACAAGGCTTTGACGTTTTAAGAAACTTGGTTAAGATCTCACAACCAGCGAAATGTGTTGGCTCCAAAGCCCGGGTCTTTCCCAGATGCTCAGCTGCCTCCCAGACCAGAGGCCATATGCTTGCAATATAAGATCAGGAAAGGCTTCCTGAAGGAAGTGGCAGGAATGGGAGGAGTTTTAAGACAAGAGCAATGGGAGCTTTCAGAGCAATAAGTGGGAAAACTATTAAGAATCAAAACCATCTGGAAAATAAACAGAAACACATACACAGCATTCCTGGGCAGCTGAAGGAACCATGAGTTCACGTCACTTGCCTGATTGGTTCTTTAGAAAGTCATTAATTTCAATTGTTCTATCACATTTATTGATCACCTCCTACTTGCCAGGCCCTTTTCTAGGTGCTGGGATGGAACCAAGACTAAAATAATCCCTGCCATGGAGCTGTTGTCAAGTAGGAGGTAAGGCCCTCCGTCCCTCCCCCGCTTCCTTCCCTCCCTCTTTCCTTCCTTCCTTCCTTCCTTCCGTCCTCCCTCCCTCCTTCCCTCCCTCCCTCCCTTCCTCACCTTCACTTATTAATTCATGTAGACTCCCTTTTTCAGTAACCGCAGAAGAGCGTCCTGGAGAGAAGGTTCCAGAGAAGCCTGGCGCAGGTTCCGGCCTGGCGGAGGCTCCCCGGGGTCTTGGAGCTGCGCGTGGGCATCAACACCTGGCTGTCTGTGTCTCCAGCCTGGGTCCAAGATGTGTGGGCCGGGCTTGCAGGCAGTGGTCCAGAGAGGCTGTTGGGAGATGACCATTTCCATCTGAAGGGCTTCGTAGTCTCTGAGGTACCTTTGCTTTCTCATTTGTCGGCTCCCTTTGTTCAGAGTCCGGTTGGCCCTGGGCCTCCGCCTGATGCTGGGCTCGCACGGAAAGCGCCAGCTCGCGTGTTGGTCCCCACCACTAAACCTATGCAGAGAGCACCGCACGCGAGAGGCTGGCTTACTCCTCTCCTGCGGCTGCACACAGGCCGGGGTGCAGGAGGGCTGGATCCGGTTTGAGGGAGAAGGGAGAGCTGGGCCTGGGAACCAAAGGAGGGGATGGCTAGAGAAAGTGCCAAGGCTGCATCCGGAAGACATTCAAAAGGGAAGGCGGGGCCAGGTGCGGTGGCGCGCACCTGGGATCCCAGCACTCAGGAGGCTGAGTCGGGAGTATCACTTGAGGCCAGGAGATAGAGGCTGCAGTGAGCCGAGATTGGGCCACTACACTCCAGCCTGGGCAACAGAGCAAGACCCTGTCGAAAGCGAGAGGGAGAGAAAAGAAAAAGGAAGGAAAGGGAAGAAAGGAGAAAGTTACAGGGAGAAGACAGCAACCAGCCAGCCAGGTAATGCCTGAGATGACCAGGAGACGTCAAGCTAGGAGAAAGGCCTGAAACAGATCCTCCCTCGGCCTCACAGGAGCCCAGCCTACCCACACCTTGGTTCCGGATTTCCAGCCTCCATGAGTGTGAGAGGAGTGAACTCCTGTTGTTTAGGATCCCGATGTTGGCAGAGCTTTCCCTAGCTGACTACCAGGGCCTGCCCTGAGAAGCCCTCACCCTCGGTGCTCAGCTGCCATGGGACCTCGGCTCTGTCTACTTCCGCTTGCCTCTTCCCCACAACTGCTGCTCCCACTCAGTAGCCAGAGTGCGGTTTTGGGGTGTTTTTTTTTTGCTGTTTTTTTTTTCTTTTTACAGGTTCTGGTTCTGTCGCCCAAGCTGGAGTGCAGAGCGGCAATCTCGGCTCCACTGCAGCCTCAACCTCCTAGGCTCAAGCAATCCTTCAGCCTCAGTCTCCCAAGTAGCTGGGACCGGAGGCCCGCACCATCATGCCCGGGGAATTTTTGTATTTTTTGTAGAGATGGGGTCTTGCTATGTTGCCCAGGCTGGTCTGAAATGCGTGGCCTCAAGCGATCTGCCCTCCACTGCCTCCCAAACTTCTGGGATTATGGATGTGAGCCCTGCCTCAGCGTGCTCTTTATTTTATTTATTATTAATTTATTTTTGAGGAGCTTCGCTCTTGTTGCCCAGGCTGGAGTGCAATGGCGTGATCTCAGCTCACCGCAACCTCCGCCTCCCGGGTTCAAGCGATTCTCCTGCCTGAGCCTCCTGAGTAGCTGGGATTACAGGCATGAGCCACCCTGCCCGGCTAATTTTGTATTTTTAGTAGAGACGTGGTTTCTCCACGTTGGTCAGGCTGGTCTCGAACTCCCAACCTCACGCGATCACACCGCCTTGGCCTCCCAAAGCGTTGGGATTAAAGGCGTGAGCCACCGCTCCCGGCCACAGCGTTCTCTTTATAACATCAAGTTTCGCCCCCTTAAGCCTTCCAGTGACTTCCATCCTTCCCTTCTCACAGGGCCTGGCTGGGCCGCCCCCCCACCCCCGGGCCTCCCCTCTCCTCCCTGCAGCCTCAGCCACCGCCCCTCCGCCCCTGCACTGTGCGACGACTGCAGCCTCCACGTGCCCTTCCTCCTGAAGATGTAAGTGGTTTCATGACTTAGTGTCTAAAGGCGAACATGACCCAGACTGGAGTTTTTATTATTATAGATTCAATGTTATCACATTCAATTATTTATTTTGATTTTAAAATAAATGAAAATTAAAACGTTTCCCTGGGCCGCTAGAAGCACCGCGGGCCCAGCACTGGCCTATGGGGAAGCCGCCCGGGCAGGTCCCCACCCCGGGGCGAGGCGGAGGGGTGAGGGTGGAGGAGGGGTGTGGGGAGCAGGGGCCGGAGGGGTCGTGGGGGGGCGCAGAGGGGTGGAGCAGGCGGGAGCCGGAGGGGTGAGGAGAGCGGGGGCGGGGGGAGGAAGGGTGAGAGGAGCGGGCGGGGCGGAGGGGTGAGGAGGGTGGGGGCCGGAGGGGTGAGAGGAGCGGGCGGGGCGGAGGGGTGAGGAGAGTGGGGGACGGAGGGGGGGGGGCGGGGGCCGGAGGGGTGAGGCGAGCGGGGGGCGGAGGGGTGAGGAGAGTTGGGGACGGGCTGGGTCCTCAACTCGCCTCAGCCGCGCAGCCAAGCGGGCAGCCTTGGGGAGAACGCCGCCGCCGGGTCTGCAAAGGCAGCTCGGGGCAAGTCCCCACTCCTCGTCCAACCTAATTGTGGCCCTAAATCACTCCTGCCAGAGCCACCCAGAGGGGGATTTTTGGGCTAAACTATGGGGAGCCGTCCAGCAAGAGCGGACTGGCTCAGGCGTCCACACCGCTTTTGTGAAGCTGGCGCAGGCTCCGCGCCCTGGACACCAACAGCGCGCCCCGCCCGGAGTCGCCGCACCGGCCCTCCCTACGCGCGGGGGTCTTCCGCCACAAGGCCAGTCTCTGCTAGGGGAAACAGACCGCAGGGCACTTCCTACTGCTTCGCAGCAGATATTCGTTTCTGTGATTATTTTATTAGTCTGTCTTCTTTAAACTTTAAGTTTTGTGACGACAGGGTCGTGTCTGCGTTGCCCACCACTATGGTCTCCATGGCTAGCGCTATGCCTGGAATTCAAAACATACGTATTGAATGAATGAATGAAGAAAGGAAAAAAATATACTTATAATTCCAGAAATTGCACCGGAAGAGATTCAGTCCTTTAAACCTTAAAGGCTTTATGTCTCCTGAGGTTCCCTGAAAAATACAAATACTCAGCGGTTATAGTTAAGAGAGAAAATGTTGCCCAGGATGCGGTGGGGACGTAGGAGGAAGGAGGGCTCGATCACTGTTTCCTGCGGATACCATGCCGGGCCAGCCCTGTACTGGGGATGTGGTGACATGGCCTTACCTTCCGTGAAATGATGCCAGGACACACAGGGTACCCCCCAGTCCCTGCTCTTACTTTTGACTCCTCTTGGGGACCACAAATAAAAAAGGAACTGTGCTTGGGAGACTGTGATCTTACTCTATTTTTAACTGTACTCAGTTATTAAAAAATTAAACTGGAGAAGGAAATTGAGAAATCTATTGCCAAGAACCATTCTACGGTAGCAGGGTGGGCGCCCAAAACCTACAGGCCTCTCGTCGCAGGAGCCTCCATGTTCTTTGGTTTCTTCCCCTGCTGGGAGCTCAGCGCTCTCTGCCAGCCCGTTCTGACTCCTTCTGCTCCAGCTGCACGTCTTGGCTTAGCCCTGTTTTCCTGCTTCTTCTTCCCTTCCCAGCCAGACTTCTCCAGATTTCTCCAGCTAAGTTGTGTTCAACATTTGAATAGTTGCACAGTCATTAGGGAGATCTTCAACTCATACACATTTTGAAAAATAATTAGTACACGATTTGTCAGATGGAAGGGCCATCTGCGAGTGTGATGTGGATGCTTAGAAGACAGGCTGGGAAAAACATCTATCATGTCCGATCTCCCCTTAGAAAACGAGCCTGTTAGTTTCACTCTTGAGTTGTGATTTTTAGTGTAGTTTCAGTTGTTTAAAATGTTTAACAAATATTTTCTTTTTGTCTTGACTTCTTAAAGTTCTTTTTTTTTGAGACAGGGTCTCACTCTGTCGCCCAAGTTGAAGCTCACTGCAGCCTCGACTTTCTGGGCTCAAGCAATCCTCACACCTCAGCCTCTATCCTCCCCGCACCCCATCCTCTCCAGTAGCTGGGACTACAGATGTAGGCCACCATGCCCAGTTTTTTTTTTGTTTTGTTTTTGTTTTTTTTAGTAGAGATGCGGTTTCACCATGTTGGGCAGGTTGGTCTTGACTTCCTGCCTCAAGTGATCTGCCCGCATCTGCCTCCCAAAGTGCTGGGATGACAGGCGTGAAACACGCACCCTGCCATTCTATTTATTTTATTTTTTGAGATGGGGTCTCATTCTGTTCCCAGGCTGGAGTGCAGTGGTGCCATCTTGGCTCACTACAACCTCCGCCTCTCAGGTTCAAGTGATTCTTGTGCTTCAGCCTCCTGAGTAGCTGGGATTACAGGCACCTGCCACCACAGCTGGCTAATTTTTCTATTTGTATTAGAGATGGGGTTTCACCATGTTGGCCAGGCTGGTCTCAAACTCCTGACCTCAAGTGATCCACCCACCTCGGCCTCCCAAAGTGCTGGGATAAAGGTGTGAGCCGCCATGCCCAGCCACAGGCATTCTTTTTTTTTTTGAGACAGAGTCTCGCTCTGTCACCCAGGTTGGAGTGCAATGGCTCAAACTCGGCTCACTGCAACTTCTGCCTCCCAGGTTCAAGCAATTCTCCTGCCTTAGCTTCCTGAGTAGCTGGGATTACAGGTGTGTGCCACCACGCCCGGCTAATTTTTGTATTTTTAGTAGAGATGGGGTTTCATCATGTTGGCCACGCTGGTCTCGAACTCCTGACCTCAGGTGATCCATCCGCCTCGGCCTCCTAAAGTGCTGGGATTACAAGCGTGAGCCACTGCGCCCGGCCAAGCAGGCATTCTTATTTATTATTAATTCCTTAAAGTTCTAAGGTCCTCTTCTTTGGAAACACATGAAATATAACTATGTGACAAGAATAACATTTCTTGTTAACAGGAAGTACTCAAATAATTTTGGGGCCACAGACAATAGATAGTAAAGAAATGGCTTCTAATTTCAGAGATAAAATAATAATAACTAACCTGTGGGAAAAGAGAAGAGAAAGGTTGTACCAACTATAGTTATTTTGTTTCTGCCGTGTTTATGGAGGCTTCCATTTGTCCACTTTTTTATGTAAAACACAATTTGTTGAGTGGCTTCTATGTACTAGGCAAGGGGTTGGATACTGTGGCAGCTACCATACCTGCCTACATCCTAACCTCTTACCTCAAAGAGCTAAAACTCTAATAATATGAGACAGGTCTACAAGGAATCATGACACCAGACCATTTCTCAGGGGGCAGAAGTCCCACAGAGCTCCTGGGAATTCAGGAAAAAGCAAAGGGGGCTGTTCCTGGCTAAGATCAAGAACAACTTCTCAGAGACACTGAGTGAGAAGCAGGCCATGAAGGATGGTGTAGTTGTTTCCTGTTGCTGCCGTAACAAATACAGTTTTCCTTCCTTACTTGCAGGGGATACGTTCATCCCCCTGTGGATGCCTGAAACTGCAGATAGCCCTGAACCCTATATAAACTATGTTTTTCCTATACATACATACCTATGATAATTTATAAATTAGGCACAGTAAGAGATTAACAACAATAACTGGTCGGGCACGGTGGCTCACGCCCTGTAATCCCAGCACTTTGGGAGGCCAAGATGGGCGGATCACTTGAGGTCAGGAGTTTGAGACCAGCCTGGCCAACATGGTGAAACCCCGTCTCTACTAAAAATACAAAAATTAGCTGGGCGTGGTGGCGTGCACCTGTAGTCCCAGCTACTCGGGAGGCTGAGGCAAGAGAATCATTTGAACCCAGCAGGCGAAGGCTGCAGTGAACTGAGATCGTGCCACTGGACTCTAGTCTGGGCAACAGAGTGAGACTCCATCTCAGAAAAAAAAAAAAAAGAAAAGAAAAAAAAACTAAAAATAAAATAGAACCATTAACCATTATAACAATATACTGTAATAAAAGTTATGTGAATTTGGTCTCTCTCTCTCCCAAAATATCTTACTGTATTGTACTCACCTATTTTCTGACCTTGGTTGACAGTAGGTAACTGAATCTGTGAAAAGCAAAGTCACAGGTAAGGGGGGACTACTGAACCACAAACTTAGTGGCTGAAAGCAACATAACTTGATTATCTTATAGTCCTGTAGGTCAGAAGCCCAATGTTGATCTTGTTGGACTAAAACCAAGGAGCTGGAGAGCTGCATCCCTTCCTGGAGGCTCTAGCAAAGGGGCTGTTCCTGCTAGTTGGGCTTTTAGCCTAATTCAGGTCTTTGTGGTTTTAGGACTGGGGAGTGTTTCTTGCTGGCTGTTCTCAGCTTCTGGAAGCTGCTGCATCCCTTGACTTGTGGCCTCCATCTTCAAAACTAGCAGCAGGGTCAAGTCCTTCTTTTGCTGTTGCATCTTTCTAGCCTCCCCTTCTGCCTTCTACTGCTTTTAAGGACCCATTTGACTACGCTGGGCCCCACCTGAATAATCCAGCATAGTCTCCCCCGTTTAAGGTTTGTAACCACAACCACATCTACAGCTCCCCCTTTGCCAAGTCAGGTAACACAGTCACTGGTTTCAGTCATTAAGGCATGGACATCTTTGGGGGTGGCTATTATTCTGCCTACTGCAAATGAGAAGGATTTCAACCAAAAGAGAAACTGGGGAGGGGACATCCAGGCCTGGAAAGGCACAAGCAGGGTATGGGGACAGATCCTATGCAGGAAATAGCCATTTCATTGGACCTGGGCTCAAGTGATCCTCCTGCCTCAGCCTCCCAAGTAGCTGGGACTACAGGCATGTGCCACCATGCTGGGCTCTCCGAAATAATTTTTACAGCTTACTCCCCAAGTATTTGTTTGACTGTACATAATCGCAGAGCTGTGCCATCTCATCTGTCTACTTCTTTGTTTACTTCATTTCCCTATTTCTCTAACATCTTCCCTGCTCTCTCAGAAGTCCATTATCTGCATGCCTCAAATACCAGGCTTTCTCTGTGACTTTGTTCTGTCCTTTTCTCCTTCCAAGTATCTTTACCTCAAACATTAGTTCTTCCTCCCACCAATGTCTTTCTGAAGGCTATTAGCTCTAGGACATTTTTCGAGTTCCAACCTCAAACCCAAGAACTCTTTTTGGCCTGGGGTTACCAACTATCAAATACGATCTGCAGAGACTGCATCCTGATTTGTGTAGATTTCCCTTTGCTCTCTGAAATTTGGCAGCCTCTTGGTTACTGGCCGGCTTCCACTTCTGCAGGTGAATCACCTTATCATAATCTCATCATGGTTTTCATTATCAAACCCATTTATCAAGCAGGCAAAGATAACTCATTCGGTTTTTATTTATCAGCTCTGGTTGATAAAGCAAAATACTGAGGGTTTTTTTTTTTTTTTTAGGAGACGAGTCTCACTCTTTCACCCAGGCTGGAGTGCAGTGGCATGATCTTGGCTCACTGCAGCCTCGGCCTCCCGGGTTCAGCAGTTCTCCTGCCTCAGCCTCTGGAGTAGCTGGGACTATAGGCACACACCACCACACCCGGCTAATTTTTTTTTTTGTATTTTAGTAGAGACAGGTTTCACCATGTTGCCCAGGCTGGTCTCGAACTCCTGAGCTCAGACAGTCCTCCCACCTCGGCCTCCCAAAGTGCTAGGATTACAGGCGTGAGCCACCTCGCCCGGCTGATAAAGCAAAATACTGGTCTTAAGGTCAGGCATGGTGGCTCACGCCTGTAATCTCAGCACTTTGGGAGGCCGAGGCGGGATCACAAGGTCAGGAGATCAAGAACATCCTGGCTAACACAGTGAAACCCTGTTCTCTACTAAAAATATAAAAAAAAATTAGCTGGGCGTGGTAGCGGGTGCCTGTAGTCCTAGCTACTCGGGAGGCTGAGGCAGGAGAATGGCGTGAACCCGGGAGGCAGAGCTTGCGGTGAGCTGAGATCGCACCACTGCGTTCTAGCCTGGGCAACAGAGCGAGACTCCATCTCAAAAAAAAAAAAAAAAAAATACTGGTCTTAAAAGGAGCTGTAAAATAACAACCAAAACAACATTTAGTAGTTAATTTTAAATTCAAAGTTTAAAAACATATCATGAAAATGTTTCCTTTACAGTTACACAATTAAATATGTATTGTCAATTTAGATTAACTCAGATGACTTTGAAAATATTAGTTTTGTTATGGAAATGGATTCTTGTTGAGATGAGAGTTTGGGCCTTACCCTGTTGCTCCTAAAGCAAGTTTTACCAATGTTTACTGCAAACGTTTGATAAAAAATTTAAATGGAAGGTTTTGGAGCATATAGAATTAAAACTTCACCTTTTCAATGGGATGTTTCTTTTAATTATAGACAAAGCAGCATTCTGCTCAGGTCTGCAAATGAAATGGAAGTTGCAGCCAACTGTAAACGTAATGAGAAATGAGTAAATAGTTGGTGTTGCTGTCATAGCTCACTCAGCAGACAGAGTAAGCTTTCGGGGGACGTGGTAAGAAAAAAAATTGTTTTAGCAATTCTTCTCTTACTAACGTAAGTGTCAACACAAGAATTCTGTAAATGCAGAATGTGATTTGTATCTTCATAGTGTATCTTTGAGCTTTTCTGGGAATGAATCTTCTCAAATTATTGAGCAATTCTGACTTACGCAACCACATAGTTTATTACTCATCTGAGAAGCAGAGTGGCTATTTGGAGAATGAAGCTACACTTGGAGTCTCTGGAGGTGGCTGGAAAGGGAGGTCTGCGGGGACTGGTCAGGTGGTTGCCCTGGAAAGTTGCTGGAACCCTGGGCCTTCCCTAACTATGCATTAGAGGCTGTTGCTGTATTTTCCTGGAGATTCAGTTTTCCAAAATAGCTAAAAGCAAAGCAATTAGAAATAAATTAAAATCAGAGGAAAATGTACAGTCTCATGATTTTAATATTGGAAAACATGAATAAGAATTGAAATTTAATACTGAAGATTTTCTCCCCTGGTACCCAAATTGTTTTCATAATTGTACAAAATGAGAATTTGTAATGGTTACAATGGTTAAAATGGTAAGTTTTATGTAATGTATATTTTACCACAAATTTAAAAATACGATTTAAATTAAGAAAGAAAACTAGTGGCAAAACCTATTAAATAAAGGCTTTTTAAAAATACAAAATAGGCCAGGTGCGGTGTCTCACACCTGTAATCCCAGCAATTTGGGAAGCCGAGGCGGGTGGATCACTTTGAGCTCAGAAGTTTGAGACCAACCTGGCCAACATGGCGTAACCCTGTCTTTACTAAAAATACAAAAATTAGCCGGACGTAATGGCGCAGGCCTGTGGTCCCAGCTACTCAGTAGGCTGAGGCAGGAGAATCACTTGAACATGGGAGGCAGAGGTTGCAGTGAGCTGAGATTGCACCACTACACTCCAGCCTAGGTGACAGAGTGAGATTCTGTCTCAAACAAACAATAATAATAATAATACTCGTTGGGCGAGGTGGCTCATGCCTGTAATCCTAACACCTCGAGAGGCGGAAATCACCTGAGCCCAGGAGTACGGGACCAGCCTGGACAACATAGCGAAACACAGTGTCTACAAAAAATACAAAAATTAGCCAGGCGTGGTAGCATGCGTCTGTAGTCCCAGCTGCTGGGGAGACTGAGGTAGGAGGATCCCTTGAGCCTGGGAGGTCGAGGCTGCAGTGAGCCGTGATCATGCCACTGCACTCCAGCCTGGGTGACAGACCCAGACCCTGTCTCAAAAAAGCAAAAACAAACAAAACAGTAATACTCCACTTTTCCCTAAATCTGACGTCCAATATTATAAACTCTGTGGAAAATGTCTAGGAAATGAGGGAGCAAAAGGTCTTTTGATAGTTGAAATAGCTGTCAGAAAGTTCTGGTTCTCTGCATAGAAAAAAAGGTTTTAAGGATAAGAAGTTCTATTAGTTTTTACTTTACATATAATTTTAATAAGCTAAGCAATGTTTCTTTGCTAATAGATTAAAAGTTTAAAATTAATAAGGTATGATATATTACTAAAGACTGGATTCTTAATAGCAGAGAAAAAAATAGCTGATTACCTAACAGAGACAAAACAACTCTAAAGAAAAAACCAACTGAGGCAAAAGTTTTTCCTTCTACATTCACATTCAACACTCAACACACTTCTGGTCACCAAAACGTGTGGGTTTTTCCCATCACACACCAACTGGGTGTCCTAGAATAATTCAGTTCAATTCTGACACTATCTACCTGGAGTTAGTGCAGACCCCATAGGTTAAGGGCTCAGTCCTAGAATACTGCCCCCATTTGGGATGCCAATAGTAGGTTGTCACCTAAACTGGTAATCAACTGTCTGTAAATCACTTTTCACTACCCCTTCTCAGGTTTTATTAGTTTGCTAGGATGGCTTATAAAACTCATGGAGGCCGGGTGCAGTGGCTCATGCCTTTGGGAGGCCGAGGCCAGCAGATCACTTGAGGTCAGGAATTTGAGACAGCCTGGCCAACATGGTGAAACCCCGTCTCTACTGAAAAAAAATTAAAAAACAACAAAAATTACCCAGGCATGGTGCCGCACGCCTGTAATTCCAGCTACTCGGGAGGCTGAGGCAGGAGAATCACTTGAACCCGGGAGGCGGAGTTTGCAGTGAGCTGAGATCATGCCACTGCTCTCCAGCCTGGGCGACGGAGCGAGACTCTGTCTCAAAAAAATAAATAAATAAAAATAATAAAACTCATGGAAACACCCGCATTTACAGGTTAATGACAGATACTATAAAGGATACAGATGAACAGAAGAGATACATAGGTTGAGGTCTGGAAGAGTCCTGAGTGCTGGGCTTTCTGTCCCCATGGAGCTGGAGTGTGCCACCCTCCCAGCATGCAGATATATTCATCATCCCAGAAGCTCCTGAACACTGCAGTTTATGGAGGCTTTATGATGTTGGCATGATTATTAACTCAATCACCAGCCCCTCTCCCCTTCCTGGAGGATGGGAGATAGGGCTGAAAGTTCCAAGAGTCTAATCATGACTTGGTCTTTCTGGCAACCAGTCTCCATCCAGGAGCCACCAACAGTCACCTGATTGGAACAAAGATGCTCCTATCGCCCAGGAAATTCTGAGGGATTCAGGAGCTATGTGTCAGGAATTGGGGTCAAAGACCAAATATTAGAACAGAAGATTCTCCTAGCGCCCCTACATACAAGGATATTAAGAGCTCTGTTTCAGGAACTGGAGGCACAGACTAATAGATAAACATTTCATAATAACTAACCACAACAACAACAACAATTCCTCAAAACACAGACAAAGCCTGGTGCGGTGGCTCATGCCTATAATCCCAACACTCAAGACCAGCCTGGGCAATATGGCAGAATAACATCTCTACAAAAAATACAAAAAAATTAGCCTGGTGGGATGGCATACGCCTATGTTCTCCCCCACCCAACAAAAACGAAAAACAAAAAAAAGGCCAAAAAAAAAAAAAAAAACAAAACCCAAAACTGTTAAATTGAATGTATTAAGTGCAATTTTTTTTTTTTTTGAGACAGGGCCTCTGTCACCTAGACTGGAGTGCAGTGGGAGCAATCATGGCTCACTGCAGCCTCAGCCTCCTAAATAGCTGGGACCACAGGCATGTGCCACTATGCCCAGCTAATTTATTTGTATTTTTATGTAGAGACAATGTTTTGCCATGTTGCCCAGGCTGGTCTTGAACTCCTGGACTCAAGTGATCCTCCCACCTCAGCCTCTCATAGTGCTGGGATTACAGGTGTGAACCACCACACCTGGCCTTGAATTTTACCATTAAAATGTTCTTTACATATGGTTTTTGGGGGAGAATATCTTCTCTGTTCTTAAGGAATGCATAATTTAGTTAAGGACATAAACTACTGTATATGGATATAAAACGACTCTAAAACAAATGAAACAAGTCGATGTTCCGTTTTCTTCTCGGTTGTCTGGGTCTTGCATGATCTGATCCTATTCTATTTTTATGCTACTGCCCATAGAGAACATTCTTCTGTAGTTAGGCAGATTTTATTTTATTTTATTTTGAGATAGAGTCTGGCTCTGTCGCCCAGGCTGGAGTGCAGTGGCGCCATTTCGGCTCACTGCAACCTCCACTTCCTGGGCTCAAGCGATTCTCGTGCCTCAGTCTCCTGAGTAGCTGGGATTACAGGCATGTACCCCCATGCCTGGTTAATTTTTGTATTTTTAGTAGAGAAAGGGTTCCGCTACGTTGGCCAGGCTGGTCTAGAACTCCTGGCTTCAAGGGATCCGCCCGCCTCGGCCTCCCAAAGTGCTGGGATTACAGGTGTGAGCCACCGTACCCAGCCATAGTTGATATTCTATAGGAGCCTTAGGGAGAGAACCCCTACACTATCCTGGCTTCACAACTGCAGAGGCCTCACAAGCAAGTGGATTCTCTGTGTCTGCTAGGCCTGGAATCGTTCTCTGCTTTGGTTGAGGCTGGAGACACAAGTCTCTGAGTTCCCCTCTTCCTCACTCCACAAAGTCCATTCCCCTTTCAGAGGAAGTATAAGGGAGTAATTTGTTTTCAGTTTCCTTACTTATGAGTATGTTGTAATCATGTGCCTTTTTTTTTACTTTTTTTTTGAGATGAAGTCTTGCTCTGTTGTCCAGGCTAGAGTGCAGTGGCTTGGTCTCCACTCACTGCAACCTCCACCTTCTGGGTTCAAGCAATTCTCCTACCTCAGCCTCCCGAGTAGCTGGGATTACAGGTGCCTGCCACCACGCCCAGCTAATTTTTGTATTTTTAGTAGAGACAGGGTTTCACCATTTTGGCCAGGCTAGTCCCGAACTCCTGACCTCATGATCCACCAGCCTCAGCTTCCCAAAGTGCTGGGATTACAGGCGTGAGCCACCATGCCCAGCCTCATGACTTCTTGAGATTATCTAGAGAGGGCATTATAATTCAGTGTTTCCAATCTCTGGAGTTAGATCTATGAAGGTCTGAATCTCTGCTCTTTGATCTTGGACAAGTTACTTGAGCCGTCTGCATTTCAGGATCCTTTTTTATAAAATGGGTTGAATAACATGGTCGTTTTGAGAATTAAATGATATAATATACAAATTTAGAGCAATACTTGGTATAGAATAAGGACACACACATACACATATGTATATACTATGTCAGTTAATTTATACACTCCAATTTTGTTACTACTGTCCGCTCTATGCTCAGCTGGTCTTGTGTTGTCTCTTTTTCTCCTCTTCTCAGCTAGATACATTATGTAGATGTGCTTATTTAACTGATTAACTTTAAAACATTTTCTGGACCAGGCATGGTGGCTGAAGCCTGTAATCCCAGCACTTTGGGAGGCCAAGGCAGGCAGATCACCTGAGGTCAGGATTTCGAGACCAGCCTGGCCAACATGGTGAAACCCCATCTCTACTAAAAATACAAAAATTAGCCGTGCATGGTGGAGCATGCCTATAATCTCAGCTACTCCAGAGGATGAGGCAGGAGAATTGCTTGAACCCGGGAGATGGAGGTTGCAAGGTTGCAGTGAGCTGATATCTCACCATTGCATTCCAGCCTGGGCGACAGAGCAAGACTCCATCTCAAAAAAAAAAAAAGAAAAAGAAAAAAAGAAAAAAAATTATGTTAACTATCCTACTATAGAAGTATCAGGAAGTATAAGACAAAACCATTCAGAATCACTACACTACATCCAGAGACTACCACTTTTAACATTTGGCTGTGTAATTTTCTGGGCTTTAAAAATAGTTTAAAAAATATACATGTGTACATAGTTTATTGTATATACATATAAAATAAACTTATATTGTTGCTGTTTTTCCTTTCTTTTTTTTGTTTTTAGTAGAGATGGGATCTTACTCTGTTGGCTAGGCTGGTCTCGAACTCCTGGCCTCAAGTGATCCACCCATCTCAGCTTCCCAAAGTGCTGGGATTACAGGCATGAGCCACCATGCCCAGCATGTGTTTTTCTTGAACACCTCTACCTCTACCACACTATAAACCCCATCAGGGGATAAATCTTATGGTTTTGCTTACCATGTTATCCCAAGTATGATTTATTTTAGCACATGGCTCATAGCAGGTACCAATAACAAAACAAAACAGAAACAAAACAAAACAAAAACCCAAACATGGGTTTTTTAATTTTAGCACATGGTTCATAGCAGGTACCGATAACAAAACAGAAAACAAAACAAAAACCCAAACATACAACAACAAACAAAAATGAGAAGGAATGAATGACTGCATGTTAATAAACACAAATCGTTAATCACAACATTCTTCCATGTGAGCGTGTCAGCTTTCCCAACCAAGCCCCTATCTTGGAAACTTGTTTCCAATTTGTCTGTATTCATATATATATATAAAATTTAAAATTTTTAATGTTTTTTAAAAAAGGCACAAAGAATAGTATAGCACACATTATTGAACCCAACCTCCCAGAACCAACAACTTTTAAGATTTTGAGTTTTATTTCCGTTTTTTAAATAAAAGAAAGCATTGTAAAGTTGAAGTCTTCATTTTTTTTCTCTGCTCAATTTCCCTCCTTCCCTCTAATATAAACAACAGCTGTCATGAATTTGGTGTGTGTGATATTGCATTCTATGTCTATACTTATATAAAGTATGTGATCATTTTAGGTTCTGTGGGATTTTGATTATTTATAAATATGGTATCACAGTGTATATATATAGTTCTGCAACTTGCTTTTTTTCACTCCACAGTGCTTTTGAATTCTTTCTACCATCATTTATCCTTTACAACTACAGAGCTAGTTCATTAACTTAGCTACTGTGTATATTCCATCATTTGGATATCTACCTTTCATTTTCCTACCCCTTGACTGGACATTTGGGGTTTTTCTCAATTTTTCACTACTGCAAACAATGCTGAAATGATCATTGTAACTGCAACATTTTTATTAGGTATTTTATGCACAAATTTTAAGGTCCATTAAATCTATTTTATAATATTTTTCATTCCACAAGTGTTTTAAAAATTATTTTTACATCTTTGAAGGCAGAGCAGGAGCAGGATCTTTAAACACACAACAAAAAAAGATTAGCAGCCATGTGGCTTGGGGTTGGGGTGGAGAAAGTATAGTCAGCTTAAGAGTGAAAAGAAGGCCAAGCATGGTGGTGTGCGCCTGTGTTCCCAGCTACCCTAGAGGCTGAGGCAGGAGGATGGCTTGAGCTCAGGAGTTCAAGGCTGATGTGGGCTGCAGTAAGTTATGATTGTGCCACTGCACTCCAGCGTGGGCAATGGAGTGAGACTCTGTCTCTAAGAAAAAAAGGAAAAAATGTGGAAAAGTACATAGGTAATGCCAGTAGGGCTCAATTGCAGAATATTGGCTGGAGACTTATTTTGCTCCCAGTACTGTGCAAGATATCTGGGTAGCATACAGGATACTATCGAAAAATTAAATTGAATTCTAAGCTGCACGATGATGGTTTCTTTTTTTTTTTTTTGCACACTTCTGCTGGCAGGAAGGGATTACGGTTTGATTATCAGAGCCCAAAGAAGAGAGAAAACAGAGATCTGAGAAGATTCCCTGGAAGAGCTGAGGCCTTAAGAGATTGAAAGAGAGGGAGGGGAGGAGGATGAACCAGGGACTGAAGGCTGGGTGAGACTGTCAAAATAGTGCACAGATAATGACCTTTACTACTGTTTCCCATGAGAGTAAAATTTAAAAATTTCACAAGAGTTTGTCAATTAAAGAGGAAATCGAGTTGACTTTAAACACTATATTGACCCTCAGCATCACTTGCCACAGATATAGGTGGTAGGAAGTATGATGTTAGGAGAGCCAGAAGTAGACTGAGGATTTGGCTTCCAGTCTATTATTTCTACTGTGAATCTTTGCACCATCCCTGCTTCTGTCCCTGTACCAGATCCACAGTCCTCAAATGGATAGTGAAGCTGTTCAAAACCCACGACCTCACTTGCTGGTATATACGGTACTATACTATTCCCTACACCATAAAATACTTCTCAGAAAGAAAATATACATGGGGAGGGGAGGTTGATTAAATTAAATCAGGTTAAATTTGGGTGTGCATCAGACGTTCTTTTTTTTTTTTTTTTGAGACGGAGTTTTGCTCTTCTTGCCTAGGCTGGAGTGCAATGATGCGATCTCAGGTCACCGCAACCTCCGCCTCCCGGGTTCCAGTGATTCTCTTGCCTCAGCCTCCCGAAGAGCTGGGATTACAGGCATGAGCCACCACGCCTGGCTAATTTTGTATTTTTAATAGAGACGGGGGTTTCTCCAAGTTGGTCAGGCTGGTCTCGAACTCCCGACCTCAGGTGATCCACCCGCCTAGACCTCTCAAAGTGCTGGGATTACAGGCGTGAGCCACCGCTTCTGGCAAACGTCCTTCTTAATTGTTTGATTCCACTGTCCCAATAGCCGTCTGTCCTTTTCTGCCCCTATTTTTAGTGTCCAGCCACTAGTTGGTAACTTGGTGGCTCCTTCAGGCCTGCTAACTTTTTTTTTTCTTTCACCAAGACTGGTATGAGATACTTAAGAATAGTGGCTTTAACGACAGTTACCAACTTTTAATACAAATGCAGTCGAGAGGGCAAATACTCAAGTTTGGGGGCAGATAGCAGCCAGTCAAATAGGTCCGAGAGGCCCTGGCGAGCTACCGCAGGCCAGCAGGGAGGCCGTGGGCAGGTGGCGGTCGAGGCCGGAGGCAGGAAGCACGGCCGGGCGGGGCTGGGCGGAGCGGCCGCGGAGGAGCAGGGGCCGCAGGCGCCCCGCCCGGACTGGTATGCGGCCGAGAGTGACGCGGGAGGCGGGGTCACGTGACGCCCGTGGAATGCCAACAATGTAGCGAATGTCCCACTTGGGTCTGCGCTTTGGAACCGCGGCGTGAGCGCCCCGGGAAGATGGAGCAGTCGCCGTCCACGCCACCGCCGCCGCCCGGGGCTCCCCCGTCCCTGCGGGGCCAGCAGCAGCTCCAGCCACCAGTGCCCGGTCTCCCGGCGCGAGAGGCCCGGGAGCCGCCGGCCAGGACGCCCCCGAGGGTGTAGACCGCGCCCCTGGAGGTGAGGGGGCTGGGAGCTGGGGTCGGGGCGGCAGCTCGGAGGGTGGCGAGAGTTTCCGCGAAGCGGTCGAGCCCTGCGGCTCCGCGCACCTACTGTGGTGCCGAGGCTCCGGGAAGGGCGCCCGGCGGGGCGGCCGAGGAAGTTTGTCCGGACGGAGCCCTGCGCCCTGCCCCCACGGTCCGCGCCCGCCCGGAGCCGCCCCCGCCCGGCGGCTCGTAGTCCAGGCCGTACGGAGCCCGCGGAGCCGGTTCCAGAGGAGCCGGGGAAGTTGGAGGCCGGCGTCGGGCGGGGGCAGCGGGGCTGCGCCGCTTTGTTGTGCGGCGACCGGGGCGGCCGGGATCCCGGCGGGGCAGGGGCGGCGCGGGCCGGGGGCGGTGTCCTAGACCCGAAAGGCCGTAGCGCCGGGCGCGCCTCTGCTTCCGCTGTCTCCGGGGGATCGGCTTTTCACTAGACGCCCGGCCGGGCGCCCCTGACAGCCTCGGGACCCCCGGTCCGGCGGCGCAGCGGTCCCACGGATCCGGGGCCATCCTCCCGGCCGCGCCATCGTCCCACGGGCCAATCAGTCCTTCAGAGCCCGCCCTGTTGGCCCCCGCCGGCCGCCCCGTCGTCCCGCGAGCCGACGGACCCACGGCGGTGCCGCAGTCGAGGCCGCGCCGCCCCTCAGCCCCCGGTGGCTGCGCCGCCTCACCCACTGCCGCGCGGTTCCCACCCCGTTCCCCGCGGCCGCGCCGCCGGCTCACGGGCCAGTCAGCCCCTCAGAGGCCACCGGACCCTGGGGGCGCCGTTCCTCCCGGGCTGCGGGCGGCCAGGCCCTGCTCGGCGTCTCCCGGCCGGCTGCCGCGCCAACTCTGCGAGTTTGCTCACGGTCTTGGCGGGACGCGGCCCGAGGCGCAGGAGCGCTTTCGTGGCCACGCGAACGGCGGCCGTTGCATAACACGCCATTCCCGTGCCCTAGTTTAGCGACGTGTGGGGGGTTTGGCTTTCTCTTCTGATGTAAGCTCACCTGCGCTTAGCTCCCCAGCCGGACTCTGGAGATGGGGATTCTGACATCATTCACATCTTGCCATCACATCCTTCAGCCCAACTCCAGAACTTCTGGGGAGCTTTCCCTCGGGGATGGAGTGCGGCCTGGAGCAAACCCGTTTGTGAAATGCAAGTCTCCAGTGTCCCGAGGGTTGGGAACGGGGGGCGAGGCGAGGAATGGACCCTGAAGAAGGTAAAACCCACCCGACCAGGGCGCCAAGCAGCCGGTAACAGGGTCCCGAGTTAGCTCGGCGGCTGGCGGCTGTTCTGAGGCCTTTGGATGAGAAATGCTATTTTGCGAGGATCACCATGAAAGAACTTAACTTGCAGATTTTTTTGACAAAAATGTTGTTATTTTAAGACAAGATCTCGCTCTGTCTCCCAGGCTGGAGGGGAGTGGCGCGATCTCGGCTCACTGCAACCTCCGTCTCCCAGGTTCGAGCGATTCTCCTGCCTTAGCCTCCCACGTAGCTGGGATTACAGGCCCGCGCCACCAGCCCAGCTAATTTTGTATTTTTTAGTAGAGACGGGTTTCGCCGTGTTGGCCAGGCTGGCTCTCGAACTCCTGACCTCAGGTGATCCACCTGCCTCCGTCTCCCAGAGTGCTGGGATTACAGGCGTGAGCCACCGCGCCCCACCTGACAAGAATTTTGAACAAGAACTTTTACATTTTCACGCTTCTCTAGGATGGATATGAGTGTTTTTTGTTGTTGTTGTTGTTGTTTTTTGAGACGTTGTCTTGCTCTGTCGCCCAGGCTGGAGTGCAGTGGCGCGATCTCGGCTCACTGCAACCTCGCCTCCTGGGTTCAAGCGATCTCCTACCTCAGTCTCCCGAGTAGCTGGAATTACAGGCGTGTGCCACCACGCCCGGCTAATTTTTTGTATTTTTAGTAGAGACGGGGTTTCGCTGTATTAGCCAGGATGGTCTCAATCTCCTGACCTTGTGATCCGCCCGCCTCAGCCTCCCAAACTGCTGGGATTACAGGCGTAAGCCACCGCACCCAGCCAAGAGTGTTTTTAATGTAATAGCATTAAAAAAATTATTTCACCTTAACTACTAAGCCATAGAGTATACATTTGGCCGGTAAAAAATTCAAATTAATAGCTGAACAGCTCTTTTCACAAAGTATTCAACAAATACGTACATTTTTAAAGGAAAGTTTGCCCGTATTTTAATAAGAAACAAATATACTGAAATTTGAATGGGAAATCACAAAAATGTGTGTGATCTTGCACAAGTGTTTTGCTTAAAATTTTAACTTAGAAGATGAGGGGCCTTCCCTTAATCATGGAAAAAGTAACTCATGGCTGATTATTAGGAAATTTGTGCTAAATCTTGTTGTATATTTTTGGTAAGCTGCTTTGTATGTTTTTTTTTTTTCTGTAACAACCGTTGTAATAAGGTAGTAACAGAAAAAATATTCCAAAATGAGAACGTATAAACTGTTTATGACGTCTATTTAACTGTAATTAACAAGTCAGTGTCTCACAAAATTTTGTCTCATGCAGGTATAGAAGGCACTGAATATAATAATAGTGTAATGAATATACCAGCATTCCTTTGAATATAAGTTGGTGAACATTTAATAACTTTCCAAATCTCAGGCAGTTTAAGGTATCTGAGCAGAGGCTAGCCTGTCTTGCAAAATTACCAAGGTGAATTACTAGAATCATTGAATTATAGAACTGGAAGGGATTCTTCTGGCTTCTCCATCGAGTTTGAAATAGTTTAAGTGTAAATTGGAGCTGTACATGTTCCTTAGCAAATCACAGGGTTGGTGGGAGGGGCTTTCTTTTGGTGGGAGGGGAATGATTTTACAATAAGATTCCTTGTTATTTTAAATGCTATGTTGTAAATAGCCAGCCTTGGGCTCCTAAACTCCACCAAGGGGTGGGGTAGGGTGGGGATTGAAGCTGATAAATTGACCATAAACAGAGGAAGGATTTCGGGAAGCTGGGGTTAGGGGAGAGGTGTTCTTTTTTGTATTGGAAAAACCATACCAACACCATTTTCGAAAAGCTGCTTTTGTATTTTATTTTGTAGTTAAAATCTTGTGAAACTTCTGAACAGTATTTCTTACTGACTTTTTAAAAACAGTTGGTGTGAAGAAATACAGAAGGTAAATTCAAATGCATTGACTCTGTCTTGACTAAATCTGTTCTAAAAAGTACCGAAATATTCTGATGATCAGAAAGAAGGGTAAGGCTTGATTGAAGTGACTGACTTCTAGCTCTAAACATTCTCTGAATCTTCTTCCTTTTAAAAAGTCTATTGCTTAGTAATTCCTCTAGAAGGAATCGGCCTTCAAATTACACAAGTCCAGGGGCATCGTTCCCATTGTATGCTAGGTCACTGCTGCTCTCTGTAATGGGCTTTATTACATAGAGTGCCCTGTGATGGCCCCAGTGTGAGGGCAGCCCTGCTTGGGATGTTCATTTCACTGTTAGCTGTTCTCTCAGTATTTTAAGGCTAATGTTACATAATGTTACGTGATTTTTATTTTTCATTTTTTTTTTATTTTTGAGATGGAGTCTCGCTCTGTCACCCAGGCTGGAGTGCAGTGGCACAATCTTGGCTCACTGCAAGCTCCTCCTCCTGGGTTCACACCATTCTCCTGCCTCAGCCTCCTGAGTAGCTGGGACTACAGGCGCCCGCCACCATGCCCAGCTAATTTTTTTTTTTTTTTACTTTTAGTAGAGACGGGGTTTCACCGTAGTAGCCAGGATGGTCTCGATCTCCTGACCTCGTGATCCACCCGCCTACAGGCATGAGCCACCGCGCCCGGCCTGTTACGTGATTATTAGTTTTATTTTGAAAGTATGAAAACAGCAAGGTAATATTGGAAATAAAGACATTGGTTATGATGTTAAAATTAGAATGGAAATTTGGCATTGTTTAATGTTTGCCGTTCACCCTGGGAAGACTTTGTTGGTTATCATCTAGATCATGTCAAGTTAATTGTGACAAGTGTTTTAAGTTAATTCACAAATACTTTTTGTTTGTGTGACAATATTTGACATACATGGGAATTTTTCTGGGAGAAAAATGAAAAAATCCCATATTTTGTAGCCATGGTTTGTATTTCTTGTTAACACTGATTGTTAGAATCTTGTAGTGTAGTTTAGATCCTATAGACCCTTGATCAGTTAGGATGGTAAGGATCTTAAGAATGTAAGCTGGATTTTGAAAGGAGTGGGCCTCTGTTTGGAATAGTGAGCCTCCCTGCCTCTAGGCAGTTATCTTGAGCAGGAATGCTAAGGGCCAACATGGTTCATTACTAGTTAACTCCATTCTTACTCGGGAGTCTCACTCATTTTTCTCATTAAATGTACCCGGACGACACCTGCACCCTCCCCAACATTTTTTGGCTGTTTTGTTCATCTTTCTCTCCCACGTTTGAGCCTTTTCATTGGAAGTTCCAGGCTCCAAGAATAGCTTCACACTTCCTCCATCAAATCATAGCCCTTCCAGTCTTTCTAATTTTGGTGAAACATCCCTTTCTCTAAGATACCTTCTCCAAATAATCTCAACACCTTCCTGAAGAATTGTGCTCCTCCATGGAAGTAGGCAGGGATTCTTTGGACAGTCACAGTATTTATTACTTCAGTCCATAGCAGTGATTCTCAAATGGGAGGGGTGTTCTAACTCCCTAGCTGGAGCGTATCCAAAACTTGGAGGGGTGCAGAGGAGGCAAGGCTTTCTTAACGATTGAGAACCCCTGCTGGGCTATGAAATTGAATATAAGATGGCCCATCCTGTTGGGTCGCTTGCTATTAGGAAAGCTGCAAAGAACTAATAATGTATCTGCAACTTGGTCACTCTGTTGTGATATCTTGAGTACAGACTTCTGTAGCTCAATTTTTTTATGCCATTTATATTTGCATAATGTATATCATAAAAATATAATGTACAAAGCTGTCTAATAGAGAATGTGATGGTGTCTTTTTCCCCGAGACTGTAAGCTTATGTAGAAGTGATACTCTGGCTGGGCATGGTGGCTCATGCCCGTAATTCCAGCACTTTGGGAGGCCGAGGCGGGGGGATCACTTGAGTCCAGGAATTCGAGACGAGCTTGGGTGACATGGCGAAACCCCATCTCATGGCGAAACTCCCCCTCAGATCTTGCCACTGCACTCCAGCCTGGGCAACCAGAGTGAGACCCTGCCCCCCCCACCAAAAAAAAAGACCCAATTCTACCTAGGTGAGACCTTATAGTGTCCAGCACAATGCTCAGTACACATATGGCAATGCCAAATTCTCTGAGGCCTTGTGATGATGCTGCTATTGGAGAGTGGGAATTCTTCTAAAGTGTGTTTTCCTGGATCCCCAGAGGAATGCAATCACTGCCTTCCTCAAAGACCCTCATTATGAGAGGTAGCCCTTGGCCTGTGGCTTCCTGGCTTGACAGTGCTGGTGTGGTACATCCACATAGTGGTTTATGATTCTGACATTTAGCATCTGGCTGGAGGCCTGGCCCGTCTGCCTGATTTAGTTTCAGCTTTGCTAGTTAATTATAGTAGGGATATGATTTAAATAATAGCTGGAATTTTAGGTTCAAGAAATCCTGCTTCAGAAAATGCCAACATGTGTCATTAGCGCAGGTCCCATGAGACATTGGTTTGGTTGGTTCCTTGGTTGGTGCTTGATGTGTGTTTGGCAGCCAGTGTGGGTTTGTGAAGCACTAGGATAAATTAGAATAAAAATTCTTGAACATCTGATAGCATTTTCCAGGATTGGATTGAGGGTTGGAATTGGGTTTGGTAGGACCAAATTAAAGGCATGCTTAAAATTTTGCTCTCACATTGTTTACACAGGCCACCTATATTAAGCATGGGATTTAGTAGTTGTCTCAGCTCTGGATTTAGAGAATGAGGTGTTTTTGTTTTGTGAGTTGTTATGGTTTTAAAATTCCAGTGTTTGTAGTTTGTTACTTAAAATGTGTGTGAATCAATTGGTGATGCCAAAGAAATTTCCAAAGTTAGATTTACTTTGCTTGATATCCCCATTTTTTTTAAAGTCCACATCCATGAGGGTCATATTTATAAAACTCTTGATGAAAGAAAAATTTCCCGTATGTGAAGTCTCATTAAAATGGTATAGTAATATGTCAGAGTTGTTCATTTCCAGCTGCAGTCTTGACTGATGAGTATTCTCATGAAAATTCTTTCAAAAGTTCATAATTTGGCCATGAAATCAACTGTCTTCAAACTAAAGCTTAAAATACACTGTCTGAAGCTGAAAAAATGCTTTCATTCTCTATGAAACTGAAGGAACGTTTCATCCTTTCTAAAGTACTCAGGCAAGAACACAGTTTATCCGTAGGTACTATTTTTTCATATTCACTTAAGACAGGGACAGCCCTTGTGGTATCCCTAGACTAGTGCCTCACTATGGTGGGAGATGGAGAAAAAATCAGAACAGCTTGTGGGGTCCTCCCCCTCCCTCCGTACCAAACAAAACCAGGTGGTAGGTTTAGGGATGTCACTGAATAATCCTCTCAACCTTTTTGTATGTTTGACATTTTTCATAAGCAAATGTTGAGGGGGGAATGGAAAAAGAAAGAAAAACCAGGACTCCTGATCTGGCTAGGGACACGGCCACTTAGTATTTCTTTGCTCAGGTATAAACAGACATCGACATAGAAATGTCCAGTCTCGACTGCCCTGGTTGATTTTACTATTTGAATGTTTGTGGCACCCACAGATGCTTAACACCCCAAGTGTCTCTAGGAGCGTGGCTCTGCTGTGAGTCAGTGTCCGTGTGGTGGAGGGCCAGTGGGGTGGGGAGGTGCAGCTGCCCTAGGGTTTGGACTTCACGTGGAGACTTTGCCCTGCTATATCCTACCCAGTCCCTAGGTCCAGTCTTCTCATTGTGTAGCTATGTTTATTTATTTATTTAAATTTTTTTTCTTTTTGAGGTGGAGACTTGCTCTGTTGCCTAGGCTGGAGTGCAGTGGAATGACCTCGGCTCACAGCAGCCCCCGCCTCCCAGGTTCAAGCGATTTCCAGCTAATTTTTGCATTTTTAGTAGAGACAGGGTTTTGCCATGTTGGCCAGGCTGGTCTTGAACTCCTGACCTCAAGTGATCTTCCTGCCTTCCTGCCTCCAGCTCCCAAAGTGCTAGGATTACAGGCATGAGCCACTGCACCCAGCCGTGTAGCTATGTTTAAAAAGGGAGCCATTGTTCAAACACGAGTTTGCTAAATAGGAGTAGTTAGGAGACTTTTTTCCCCATTTTTAAAAATTGAGGAAAAATATACATATTTATCCTTTTAACCATTCTTAAGTATACAGTTCAGTTAAGTGGCATTAAATGCACCATTACTGCAAACATCACCACTGTCTATACATAAGACTTTTTCATCATCCCAAACAAAAACTGTACCCCTTAAGTAAAAATTCCCTGTTCCCCTTTCTTCTGGTAATCTCTCTTCTTTCTGTCTCTATGAATTTGCCTGCTGGAGGTAACTCACATAACTGGAATCATACAATATTTCCTTTTTGTGTTTGGCTTATTTCACTTAGCATAATGTTCTTGAGGTACATCTTTATTGTTGCATATGACAGGATTTCCTTCCTTTTTATAGCTGAATAATATGCCATAGTTCTGCGACTTTTGTTCTGTGTGAACCTCCCTTGGGCCCGTTTCATTTAGACCTGCATGTTAAACTTCAGAGAAGGTGCTGCTGTTGACTGAGGCTTCGTTCTCCTTTATCACCTTAGACCTTTGGGGTGGCACTGGCAGGCTTTGTCCTCAGTGTGGAACTGAGGACGCAGATTCGGTGCTGAGTGACTACCTGTGTCTTTCAACAGATGTTGCGTGGGCCTGTGTGCACATGCCTGGGAGTAGATGGGGGTAAACCAAACAGGATGCTCCTGCCCTCGTGGTGCTATCAGATTCTTCAAGAGGAAGCACACCAGCCAGTGGTGGTGCTGTGGGAAGGGCTGGGAGTGAACATGTATGGTCCCTTAGATTGGGGAGGTCAGGAAGGTCCTTCTGTGGGAGGGGTTCTGGGCTGAGGTTTTAGGAGTAGGAGTGAGCCAGGCAGGTGGGGTTGAGTTGGGCTTTTTTTTTTTTTTTTTTTTTTTGAGACAGAGTCTCACTCTGTTGCCAAGCTGGAGTGCAGTGGCATGTTCTCGGCTCACTGCATCCTCCGCCTCCCGGGTTCAAGCGATTCTCCTGCCTCAGCCTCCCTAGTAGCTGGGACTATAGGTGCGTGCCACCACACCCAGCTAATTTTTGTATATTTGGTGGACACAGGGTTTCACCGTGTTGGCCAGGATGGTCTCGATCTCCTGACCTCGTGATCTGCCTGCCTCAGCCTCCCAAAGTGCTGGGATTACAGGCGTGAGCCACCGTGCCCGGCCCAGCGTTCGGTTTTTCTAGCTGAGAGAAAGGTTTTGCAGGTTGGGGAGGACAGGAAGCATCGGTGCCTTTGACATACACAGGATCACAGAGTCAACCCAGACCTGCTGTTTGAGCCGCAGTCAGCATCTTGAGGCTCAGATGCTGCTCAGAACTGACCAACCTGGCACCTGGCTGCAGGCACGTTTCAGAGAGGAAAGACTTAAGCTTTTCTTCTCTGTGTTTTTCTGTCTTTACAGTTAAAAGAAAGCTACTTTAACTTTCTAAGCATCATTCTCAAACACTGATTTAAAGAGGAGTCACTCGGCTGGGCATGGTAGCCCGCGCCTGTTATCCCAGCTCTTTGGGAGGCTGAGGCAGGTGGATCACTTGAGATCAGGAGTTCGAGACCAGCCTAGGCAACAGGGTGAAACCCCCATCTCTGCTAAAAATACAAAAATTAACCGAGTGTGGTGGTGCACGCCTGTAATCTCAGTTACTCGGGTGGCTGAGGCACGAGAATCACTTGAATCTACAAGGTGGAGGTTGCAGTGAGCTGAGATTGAGCCACTGCACTCCAGTCTAGGTGACAGAGTGAGACTCTCCCAAATAAATAAATAAAAAATAAAGAGGAGTCACTTGGAGCAAGCAACCTGTTTCTGTGTTCAGTTTGGTAATTTTTCCGTGGTCTTATCTCCTGGCCTCATTAAACCTTTTTTGCCTAACTTATTATAAATCTTTAATTAGTAATGGTGATAATTGATCAGTATATCATGCATTACAGATTGAGCCTGCTGTCACACACAGCACCACTGTGATCCTCAAGGCAAGCCTGTCAGGTAGACAGTAGCGGGTGTTAGACCCTTGGTACCGTGCAGGAGCTTGAAACTCAGCAAGGTTAAGTGACAGGCTCAGACCACACGCTCAGTGCCAGAGCTGGGGAAGGACCCAGGCCTCCCACCTCCAGCCACTTTAGCACTGCACACCCAGTTTTCAGTGAGCTTCCCCTCCCTGTGCTTTTTAAACAGGGTCTTGCTCTGACTCCCAGGCTGGAGTGCAGTAGTGTGACCTTGACTCACTGCAGCCTCTACTTCCTGGGTTTAAGTGATTCTCCCACCTCAGCCTCCGGAGTAGCTGGGACCATAGGTGTGCCTCCACACCTGGTTAATTATTTAATTACTTTTAGAAATGCCGTCTGCCTCTGTTGCCCAGGTTGGTCTCCAGCTCCTGGGCTCAAGCAGTCCTCCCACCTTGGCCTCCCAAAGTGCCAGGATTACATGTGTGAGCCACTGGACCCAGCCTGCCCTGTGCTTTTTCACCTTTGGTCACTGCCTTCCTCCTCCACCACTGACACTGCTCTCCTGGTGGGCCGCATTGCCCAGACAGGTGAGGTTTCCTGGCTCAGAGAATGGCACCACCACTGGCCCCATTTTTCAAACCAGAAACTTGGGCTCATCTTTCATATCAGTCCTTTCCAGTGAACATTACTTACTCCTATGGGTTCTACCTCTTAGTGCTGTTGAGTGCACCCACTTTTCTCTATCCTGTAACTGCTCTCTATTTCAGATCCCCATAATTCTTTGGGCAAACTTTCATTGTGACACATACCCTATAGTGTATTTAAATAATTGATTTTCTCCTCTGCCTTCCCATCTTGAGCTATGAGCTCCTTAAAGTCAGAGGCAAATCAGTCTTTCTGCATCCTCAGGACCAAGTAACAGGGTCACCTTGTGTGGGTGTTCAGGTTGTGCACTGCTCAAGGGCCCTACATATAAGAGGGCTTGTCTCACATCACATGTATACACATTTATATGAGGGCATGTGCAGTCTGCTTGGAGACTTTTAGCCACTCACAGAAGACCTGGGTGGCAGTAGAGACTCACCTCCCCTGACACGGCGTATGCGTCACACATCTTCTAGAGGGCAGACATGATCACCCTTCTCTGTGACTTGCACTAAGACCATTTCTTTCTCTCCTATGCCTCAGAGGTCCCGTTCACGCCTTCCATTTGACTCAGCCTTTTCCTGCCCCCCCTCACGTGGCTGTGGTATCATGGCATGTCTATGCGTGGGCCAGGGCCTCTTGCCCACAGGGCTCCAGAAAGCTCCCCAGGGAGAGTTGTTGGTGCTGTACAATAATATAGAAACAAAAAACTTCTTGAGGAAGGGGTGCCTTTTTACAGTCTCTCCAGGGGCTCTGCCAGTCGCTCTTCAGCGTATTTGGCACGGCGATGGTAAGCAAGGCCTTGAGCCGAGCACCCACGCTGCAGCTCCTCACAGCTCTGGGCCTGGAGCCATGGCAACCTGAATGGCAGTGGTGCCATTTGTAATAGCCCAGACCAGGAGTAACCTAAACGTCCATTAGGTAGAATGGATGCATAAGTTATGGTGTATTCATACAAGGGGATATTACGCAGCAATGACAACTGACAGGCTTCTGCTATATATATACTACGTGTATGAATCTGCAAATATAGTGTTGAAAGAAATGTGCTAAACTACAGAGTAGAGATTGCATAATTCCTTGGATATACAGTTCAAAAACTGGTCAGACTAATCCTTGGTGTTAGATGACATGAAGGTGGTTCCCCTTGGTCTGTGGGGGCCTGGAGGCTTCTGGGGTTGTGATAATGATACACTTCTTGATTTGGATGCTATTTACAAGAGTGTGTTCCTTGGTGAACATTTGTCAATCTTACAATCTGTGCAGTTTAAAAAATATATGTTAAATAAGTGGATTGCCCCTACCCCCTCCACCCCCAAAAGCCTTACTGTTCCTCCTGGCTTTCAGCAGCTTTCCATCTATGTATGTATGTATGTATGTATGTATCTATCTATCTATCTATCTATCTGTCTATGAGACAGAGTCTCCCTCTGTCGCCTAGGCTGGAGTGCAGTGGCACAATCTCAGCTCACTGCAAACTGCACCTCCTGGATTCAAGGGATTCTCCTGCCTCAGCCTTCCGAGTAGCTGGACTACAGGGGTGTGCTGTCACACCTGGCTAATTTTTGTATTTTTAGTAGAGACAGCGTTTCACTGTGTTGGCCAGGCTGGTCTCAAACTCCTGGCCTCAAGTGATCTGCCTGCCTCGGCATCCGAAAGAGCTGGGATTATAGGCATGAGCCACAGTGCCCGGCCAGCTTCCCTTCTTTAGAGCAGATTCCAGAGAGAGCTTTCCAGCCTCAGAGTCAACCAGGACCTCCTTCAGCCACCCCCAACTCCCTTTGCTCTGCTCATGTGATGGGGGAGAGGACATCCCTGCATCCTGGCTTTAACATGGAACTTTCTCATGGTTCTTTTTCTTCAGTCTGCAGTGTCTCTTGTGGCTCTTGTCCTTTCATAGCTGAGTGAAAAGCAGCTTGCCCCTTCTGTGCCCTGCTAATGTCACTGCTGGTAAAAAGAGACATATCACAGGTGGCTGCTCCTGTAAGGAATGTGAGTGAGCCGGGAGGGCCTCAGCCATCCACTCACCTGGTAGCTCCATTTCATGGCTGAGCAGGCAGGCCTCTGGCCGGGCAAATGTCCCATATGCAGATGCCAGCACCCCTCCCCACCATCCCCCATCTGTGCCTTTCATTCCAGACCTGAAACCCCTTCCCCTTGCTCCCCGGGGCTGCTGCTCCTCACCCAGAAGTGTTGCACTTGTCCCTTCTAAGCCCACCTTCCACTCAGGCCGTGTCACTCCTTAGCTGAACCATAGGCAGTGACTGCCCATCCTCTGCACTGAGTCCAGACTCAACATGGCTGGGAATTGAGCCTCTGGATACCTCCATGGTTTCATCCCACGAGACACCCCCACTACCCCCGAGTCCTTTGACCTCCTATGTCTCCAGGAAGAGCCTGCATTGCACAGACCTGAATGTGGTGGGTGGAGCCTAAAGGCTTCTTTGCATATGCTGTTCCCTCTAGCTGGAATTCCATTCCTCCTGACACTCAGGTCTAATTATTTCTAGAGCTCTTTCTTTTTTATTCTCCAGGCATCTCTCTTTTTTTGAAGTTGTTTATTTGCCTGCCTCACCCCAGCTTTCACTTGACAGTAAACTTGCTGAAGCCAAGATTTTGTTTTCATTTATCCTATCAGTGCCTGAGATTCAGTAGGTTTTTTTTATTTTTATTTTTATTTTTATTTTTTATTTTTTGAGACGGAGTTTCGCTCTTGTTGCCCAGGCTGGAGTGCGATGGTGCGATCTCGGCTCACTGCAACCCCCGCCTCCCTGGTTCAAGTGATTCTCCTGCCTCAGCCTCCCAAGTAGCTGGGATTATAGGCACCCGCCACCATGCCTGGCTAATTTTTTATGTTTAGTTAGTAGAGACAGGGTTTCACTATATGTTAGCCAGGCTGGTCTCGAACTCCTGACCTCAGATGATCCGCCCGCCTTGACCTCCCAAAGTGGCTGGGATTACAGACGTGAGCCACCACGTCCAGCCTTGAGTAGGTATTTAATAAATGTTTGTATGGTAGGTAGAGGGTGGATGGGCTAGATGAGTAGATGGCCGAGTGAATGTATTTTGAGCATGAAGAAACTCTCTGCGTATTGTCAGGCCCTCCCTTGCATTGATTGTTCTTGTGAAGATAGTATGGCTGTGTTTTCTCTATTTTAGTTTTCAAAGAAAGGGAAGAAAACTTAAGATTGGAAACAAAGTGATTTGTGTGAATTCCTATAGGAAAAGAAAGAACTCTACTGCCTCTTCCCAGACATACCGAGTCACTTCTAGGATCCTCCATACTGCTTGGCATCACCTTGAGAACCTCTCCGTTTTTGTCGGAATGTGAAGTTACGGTTTTACAAAGTTAGGTATTTCAAAACAGATGCTTAGAGCACAAAGTCACTGAAATGAGTGTGGCTGCAATATGCCCCATTTTACACCAATTAAGCAGAGCTCTAGGCTTCTGATATGTGGCCAGTACAGGCCCCAGGGGATCTGGGCTGTCCCTGGATCTAATAGCTCAATGTCTGCACAGTCTTACAGTCATTTCAGTGACTTTACTATATTATATTGTGTATTAAAATAGGGATTTCATGTTGAGAAATTTATTTAGTCTCTCTCTTATCTTCTAAATGGAATCTTCTCACAATTACATTGAGAAAGGGGATAGTTAAAACGCTTACAATCCCCTTCCCATCTAAGCAAGGACTAGGAATTCAAATGTCATCTCTTAGTGTTTGCTATTGCATATGGTTGTGCAATAGATCTATGTAAATTAATTCTTTGAACCGCACCTGACACATAGTAAGGCTGGGTGAATATTAGCTATCCTTTTTTTTTTTTTTAATCCACTTGAAAAAGTCTGTGAAGCAGGGTCGCGGTTTACAGTTATAAAGTTCCTTACGGAAGCTAAACATCCAGATCCCTCTGCCCATCCCCGTTTAGAGGGTACTCTTTTTGGATCAGTTGTTCTTCGTTTATTAAAACTCAAAATGATTATCCTTCGAAATCTGCTCATTGAGTTCTGTGGAGTAAGGGGGAGTGGGTGAGGGAAGGGGCAGCCACTAAGGGCTTTGGCACGGTGTGGGGTGCTGGCCCTGCCTTTCCCACCAGCGGGCACCTTCCCTGGGTTAGAGCAGCTGGTTATATAAACATTCATCACGGGGTGAAGAATAGGGAGGATGTTGTGTGTTCCAAGTACTGCAGGGCCTGGTACCCTTGTCATCTGACCCGGTGCTCACCACTGTCCTAAGCATCCGTCTCTATTACATAGCAGGGAGTGGGGCTGAGGGAGGCGAAGGGACTGGTCCAGGGTCACCCAGCCTTGTGACAAGTGACCTGTGCTGGCTGCTGAGGGCGGTGTTGACTTGGACTGGATTTTCCTTTCTGAATCAAAGAACAGCAGAGTAGGCCGTGAACGAGGCCTGGGGTAGGTAGAATTTACTATTGGAAAATGCCTTTGTGACATCGCGTTCCATGTAACGAGGCCATTTCCATGCTGCAGTTGTAGTTCTGTAGTAATAACTCTTACCCACATGATCATTTGATGTTCATGTGGCCATGGTGCACTCTGAGAAGTTGCCTACATGCTGTTACCAGTCCCCTTCCATGTCAGTATCAATTGCTACAAGAAAGATATTTTAATTTTACTATTTAGGTCAAAATGCTGGTAAGTGGCCACCTTGTAAAAAACAAAGGAAGTAGTTACCTTCAAAGTCTCATAATGTGTGTGTGGAAACTGCAATTGAAACATTTGCAACATGGGACAGTTTTAATGTGACAGGCTTTGTGGTGTCTTTTAGGAAAATTGGGAGGGTTTTATAAGGAAAAGTTCAGAAAGTTTTCTAAAGATATGGAAGGACCACATCTCATGTGAGGGGGGAGAGGTTAGTAAAGCCATGGGGATGAAGGACAAGGAGTGGATTGGTTATTAGGAACAAGCCAGAAATCCAAGATCCCATGTAGAAAATTTAAATACTCCTCAAGCTGTGGGTTTCAAAATAAAATTTTATTATAATGAAGTATTTTAAATGAGCTGTCAGTTGTTAATACTACTGTTCTTGCCCTGAGTTGAATATTTATAGCAATTTACTTTATTGCAGATTACGTATTACAGGAAGCATTTTGGGACAGCCGTAGATGTCATGTGCTCTAACCATGGTTGAACAGTATTTTTGTCATTTCTGAGAGGTGATGCGTTCTTTCTTTTCTTTCCAAGCGGTATATTTCCACGATCACTGTTTATTTCTGAAAAGTAGCATTAACGTTGCGTGAAAATGACAAATGAACATTTCTCTCCCATTTATTTTCTTTTTCAGAGAGTGATAATCTTCAAAATGAAGACTTTGGAAAATTTTAGGTTCTCTATAGGAACTACAAAAATGGAAGGAAAGAACATTTTCAAAAGGAAATTATTTTGAAAGTATGTTTACAACAAACTGATACTATTGACAGTTTTTTTTTTTAAATAATAAAACACTTTAAGAAGATTGTATTTATGGTAAAAGGAAACTGGACTAACAATGAGGCCAAAGACTTTTCCTGCCACGACTTATTCTGGAAATAGCCGGCAGCGACTGCAAGAGATTCGTGAGGGGTTAAAACAGCCATCCAAGTCTTCGGTTCAGGGGCTACCCGCAGGACCAAACAGTGACACTTCCCTGGATGCCAAAGTCCTGGGGAGCAAAGATGCCACCAGGCAGCAGCAGCAGATGAGAGCCACCCCAAAGTTCGGACCTTATCAGAAAGCCTTGAGGGAAATCAGATATTCCTTGTTGCCTTTTGCTAATGAATCGGGCACCTCTGCAGCTGCAGAAGTGAACCGGCAAATGCTGCAGGAACTGGTGAACGCAGGATGCGACCAGGTGGGTACAGACCTCTGCAGGGCCATGTGCAGAGGCAGCTATGGGACAGCTGGGGCAGTCAGAATGGTTTGGCAACTACTTGAAGGCTTTGAATTGGTTACTACTTATACAAGTGTTTCTAGGTTAAAAACCCAAGGCCCTTTTAACACATAATTGAACTCACAATTGAAGGTTCTCTACCTTCTCTCTAAAATGGTCTTTTGAGCTGCTTTTCCTTTTCAGGCAAGTTCCAGAAGTTGCTGAGGTCTCCTGAAATTGTAATGTGTATTTTCTGATCTGTTCTTGTGGAGATGAAAAGGGCTTTCGTGCTTAGCCCCTTTTTTTGGTGTTTATTCGGGTTATTCTGAGCTATCGTGGAAAGAGACTGGCTTCCCTTTTCTTGTTTTGGTTTGTGCATTTTTTTTTTCCTAGAAATGGGAGGGTTGAGCAACATGCATTGGCTATTCTCTGACTCGGTTTTCTCCTATTTAACAATTAGTGTATATGCTGTTACAGGGGGTGTAACTATTAACATGTTCAGGAAATGGGAAAAACTAGAAAGAAAAAGCTTGAGAAATCGTCAAAATTGTGGCAACACAGTCTCACTTTTCAGTTGTTTAGGATTAAAGGATACATTAGTGGAGGTGGCACCAGTTATACATTAATACACAGCTTACAGAGATGAGTGTGGTGGCTCATGCCTGTAATCCCAGCACTTTGGGAGGCCAGTCAAGAAGATCACTTGAGGCCAGGAGTTTGAGACCAGCCTGGACAACATAGCGAGACTCCCCATCTCTACAAAAAATAAAAAGCTGGACGTGGTGGTGTGCACCTTGTAGTCCCAACTACATGGGATGCTGAGGCAGGAGGGATCGCTTGAGCCTAGGAGTTTGTGGCTGCAGTGAGCTATGATAGCCACTGCACTCCAATCCTGGTTAGCTGAGCGAGACCCTATCTCTATTTAAAACACACACACACACACACACACACACACACACACACACACACACACACACCCCTACACCTCATAGCCATACATTTATGATCTCTTAGCAATTCGTATACCTGAATACAATCCAAATTGAGGGACAGGACCATATAAAATGGAACTAGTGTCCAACCAGGTAAAAATGTAATTAGTGAAATGTAACAAGTAAAACATAATTGCATTATGAAATGATTCATGAAAGCCAGTGTTTTATTACAATCTGTCATCTTAAAAATTACAGTTGCATGAAGCGGAAATAAGCTAAGTATTTTTGGTACCTTGGAAAAGTAGTAAGATTTCATGCTCAAAGCACATCAGAATGGCCTGAGCACTTCTGGTTTCTTAGAAATAACCTAATTACATACTCCTGGTGTTGCAGTCATAGGAAAAGGCTAACAGTGTTATTTGTTATTTCCAAAACCACTCTCAATCCTCTTGTAGTTTATTACCATAGACCTTAAATAGAGAATTTACATTTCTCAGAGGAGATGTTTGTGAAATGAATCCTGCTGTTTTATAGAGGGCTTCCTTGATAATTTGGGCCATACTGGGATTAACTTGTATATAGTGAGGATTGTTATGTCGAGCTGCTTTGATAAAGCACAGGGTTGTGAGTAATGTGGTGCAGAGTGTTTCAGCAGTGAAGCTGACAGCAAAGGCACAGACATTCTTATTGTGAAAGCATGAAGTTAAATATGCTGCCAAGCATTATCCCTTGACGTACAGAACCCAGCAGTTTTGAAAGTAGGGAAGGAGCAGTCCTGGGGAAATCTGGAGTAAGATTGCAGAGAAACTTTCAGGCCAACAGCAGAGCTTAAAATCTTCTCCTGTAAATCACTTGCAGACAAAGGAGGCAAACCAAGCCCCTGTGTTCTTTGCGGTTGTGTTTCAGCTGTGAGAAAAAGAAACAAGTCAAGCAAATAATCCCAAATACAGGTGGGATCTTATTAGGGTAAAATCCATTAGTGATAATTATAGTGCAAGAAGTAATAAAGCCAGTGCTGTTTCCAATACAGAAACACAAATACACTAAAAGTAAGGATCATGACACCGATGAAGTTTCCATCAACATTTAATTTATGTTAATTGCTAGCAGAAAGGCCTCCATTTACCATATTTAATGCCCTTGAAATAATTCATTCAGTTTGGTGTGTGGTGTTACTTTATAACTTAAAACAGCTGTGCCTCCACCTTTCCCCTCCAACTCACACTTTTCTTGGCCTAGATAAAAAATGTATTTGCGTTCAGAAAATTCAGGTAGGAAAGTCATTATGTGAACCCAAATAATAAGAGAAAAAGATAACCGTACCTTTAGAGTTGTATGCATCAGTTTGTTAAAAAGATGATTTGAATTCAGTATAATAGAGTTCTTTTTTTTTTTTAGACGGTGTCTTGCTCTGTTGCCCAGGCTGGAGTGTGGTGGCGTCATCTTGGCTCACTGCAACCTGGGCTCCTGGGTTCAAGTGATTCTCCTGCCTCAGCTTCCCATGTAGCTGCGATTACAGGCACGCAACACCACGCCTGGCTAATTTTTGTATTTTTAGCAGAGACGGGGTTTCACTATGTTGGCTAGGCTGGTCTCAAACTCCTGACCTCAAGTGATCTGCCTGCTTCGTTCGGCCTCCCAAGGTGCTGGGATTACAGGCGTGCGTCACCACGTCTGGCCGAGAGTTCTTATTGTTGCAGCTTTACCCCTTTCACTCCTACTGTTTTTTGTTTTTTGGTTTTTTTTTTGAGACGGAGTCTCGCTCTGTGGCCCAGGCTGGAGTGCAGTGGCGCAATCTCGGCTCACTGCAACTTCTGCCTCCCAGGTTCAAGCAATTCTCCTGCCTCAGCCTCCTGAGTAGCTGGGATTACAGGCACCCACCACCACGCCCGGCTAATTTTTTGTATTTTTAGTAGAGACGGGTTTCGTGTTAGCCAGGATGGACTCAATCTCCTGACCTTGTGATCCGCCCTCTTAGGCCTCCCAAAGTGCTGGGATTACAGGCGTGAGTTACCATGCCCAGCCACTCCTACTGTTTTGTCTGTTTAAGAGGGTTTTGCTCTGTTGTACAGTCTGGAGTGTGGTGGTGAGGTCAATGCTCACTGCAGCCTCGACCTTCCAGGCTCAAGCAATCCTCCTACCTCAGCCTCTGAAGTAGCTGGGACTACAGGCGTGCCACCACGTCTGGCCAGTTTTCAAAATTTTTTCTAGAGATGGCATCTCACTATGTTACCCAGGCTGGACTGGAACTTCCAGACTCAAGCGGCCTTAACCTCCAAAAGTGCTGGAATTATAAGTTCAAGCCACCACACCCAGCCTTAACTTTTAATTAAAGTAAAATTTACTTTAAAAGTGCACAATTTCTAAGCACACAGCATAGTGAATTTTTGCATATTAAACCCACCCATGTAACTAGCATGTTTGGGTATATTTTTAATTAAAATACTTTAAAATGGAAATTTCTGGAAAAAGTAAAAGACTCAAGGGTATTTTCTGTGTAAGGATATAATGTGTATGTCAAATGATATGTTTATTAGTCTTTTGCACATAAATTACTGAAAACTTACAAAAATTCCTGTAGAAAAAAACTAGGCCACTAGATTAATATTTCTTATGGGAGGAGCTGCTCTTTAAATATAGATTTAAGGAATTGGAAAGGTAAGTTTTTTGGTTATGAGTATCATATTTTGAGCATTGGATAGTTATTGGCATAAGTGATCATTTAAGTTTGCATTTAAATATGCAAAATATTTCTGTTCTGCGGAAGCCTGGGACTTGTTTTCTCTCTGGTTGCAGTGGGTTATAGGGGGAACATCTGCATGGTGTGGGTAGGTGGGGGTGTCGTCAGCTCACTGCACTCACTGTTCTTAATTATAGCACTCAGGATGGTGCCTATGAGTCCTGTGAGGGTGAGGTTCCAATTCAGTAACTCCCAGGGGAGGCCCATGGCCCCCTGGACCCCTTAGAATAGCAAAGCACTTTATCACATGGTGTCCCCTCTAGGAAGACTTATGTGAGAACTTTGTTTGGATGCGAGTGCTAGGAAAGGGTTCTGCTTTCCTTGAGAAACTGGCATGGGCTTTTTCTCTGTGGATGACCTGTATCCTGCCTGTCCACCCTCCCTCTGATCTGCTGAGGGGTGCCCAGTCTGTGGCTCAGCATTGATACATTTTCCTGGTCCTGAATATTGTGTCAGCTGTAATTTCCTAATCCTGATTAATCCAGTTCTTTCCCCCCACTTTATCATGTTTAAGTGATTTAAAACTTTAATGGAATGAGGTTAGGGAAGAAATGTAAACAAACAAACTGATAAACTGATTATATTAGATCAAATAAGGAAGGGCATAAAGAAGACAGCCAGTGGTCAGGATGTGCACTGAGAGGCAGCCTTCCTGAGAACAGTGTCCACACCAGCTGCTCAGTGAATCAGGGGCCATCTGCTTAATAAGAAAAGGGAGTGGGCCAGGCGCGGTGGCTCACACCTGTAATCCCAGCACTTTGGGAGGCCAAGGCGGGCAGATCATGAGGTCAGGAGGTCGAGACCATCCTGGCTAACATGGTGAAACCCTGTCTGTACTAAAAATACAAAAAATTAGCCGGGCATGGTGGCGGGCGCCTGTAGTCCCAGCTACTCTGGAGGCTGAGGCAGGAGAATGGTGTGAACCCAGGAGGCGGAGCTTGCAGTGAGCCCAGATCGTGCCACTGTACTCCAGCCTGGGCGACAGAGCGAGACTCTGCCTCAGAAAAAAAAAAAGGTGAACACATGCCTCAAGGGGGAAGTAGAATGTGATTGTTCTCTCAGTTTAATGTCTCTCTGGGCCTAATAATTTAAAAGGACTCAGATTCCTCAGATAAGAATTCTTTTCTCATTTCCATCCTCATAGGGGTTGCTTCTCCTTTCCCTCATGTCTGTGGGGCATGGAGTTTATCAGGGTCCCTCTCCCCTCCTCTCATTCCCTGGGCATCCATACATGGCTGCCCCCCACGTCCCTGGCAGCTGGCCAGCCTGACTCCCACCTTGGCTCTGCTGCAGCTCCTGGGGCCTCCCAGACCCTGGTCTTATCCTCCCCACATGCTCCCCTCTACAGAGGAGCTCTCTGCAGTGTCTCAGCCACACAGCATGGCCTCCCAGACAGCTCTTCCCGCTTGCTTACTTTGGGTCTCTCTGACATATGATTTCGTTGGTTGGAAGTATCACCACCTATCTGGATTCTAGTAGCTTCTGTGATTCCACTCAGATTCCTTTTTACACAGGCTCTTCCTGGTTCTTCCACCTGGATCGAGCTGTTCCTATTCAAACTTCCACAGCAAAGACATTTCTTTCTTTTTCTTTTTCTTTCTTTTTTTTTTTTTTTGAGACAAGGTCTGTCGCCGAGGCTGTAGTGCAGTGGCGCAATCTCGGCTCACTGTAGCCTTGACCTGGGCTCAAGCAATTCTCCGCCTCAACCTCCAAAGTAACTGAGACCACAGGCGCACATCACCATGTCTGGCTAATTTTTCTATTTTTTGTAGAGACGGGGTTTCACCATGTTGCCCACGGTGGTCTTGAACTCCTAGTCTGAAGCGATACGCCTGCCTCAGCCTCCCAAAGTACTGGGATTACTGGCGTGGGCCACCATGCCTGGTCAGAAATTTCTTTCTTTCTTTTTTTTTTTTTTGAGATGGAGTTTCGCTCTTATTGCCCAGGCTGGAATACAATGGAGCTATCTCGGCTTACTGCAACCTCTGCCTTCCGGATTCAAGTGATTCTCCTGCCTCAGCCTCCCAAGTAGCTGGGATTACAGGCATGCGCCACCACGCCCAGCTAATTTTGTATTTTTAGTAGAGATGGGATTTCACTATGTTGGTCAGGTTGGTCTCGAACTCCTGACCTCAGGGGATCCACTCACCCTCAGCTTCCTAAAGTGCTGGGATTACAGGTGTGAGCTGCCTTGCCTGGCCTCAGAAATTTATTTCTAACCCCAAGGATGCTCCATGCATTGGGCATTGTGTTGGCAGATTGTCATGTTCCCGTCTTGCTCTCCCTGTCTTAGGCAGTGTCTCTGGAGGCCTGGATCTTGGGAGTTTATCCCTCTGTGCCCACAAGGCCTCCCATGTTGCAGAGCATGTGCTCAATCAGTGCTTGCTCACCAGTGAAAGTTCTGTGTACTAGTCCAGCCAAAACCCTCACCTCAGTTGTCAGACACTGGAAAAGATGCTAACCAGAAATGCAGATCTCCTCGGGATATTTATTTGGCTTAATTCTAACAATATGCATCACCAAAAAAGCTATAGAGAAATGGTAACACTAATCTCCTAGCCCTTTGTCTTGGTGACAAGATCCTGCCACAGGATTCTTCATTGTACTAAAGATATTTTGCTAATGAAAAAGATAAAAGGAATTTAGATAACATGTACATTTCCTCTTTCTCACTTCCTCTTGAAAGGGAACCACCGTTTGGTGTTACTGAACACGCGTGCTGAAATATTAATAAGAGGAGAAGGAAGAAAGAAACACTTAAGTTTAGGAATGTCGGTCATGTAACAGGAAATTGTATTACAATGGCTTTTGGGTGTAGCAGTTCCTTGCCTTTTCCCCTTTTTTTTTCTTAGTGGCTTTCAAATTAAATTTGGCTCTTCCAGAAGGCACACCACATACCTTTTTAATGTAGGAATTTAAATTACTTTGACAAGACACAAGCAAAGCATACCCCTCTGTGTCATAATCCCCTCTCCCCTTAAGCCTTGCTCCTAGTTTTTGTTTTTGTTTTCTTGAGATGGAATCTCACTCTGTGCCTAGGCTGGAGTGCAGTGGGGTGATCTCAGCTCATTACAACCTCCGCCTCGCGGGTTCAAGCAATGCGCCATGCCTCAGCCTCCCGAGGAGCTGGGATTACAGGCATGCACCACCACGCCCGGCTAATTTTTTTGTATTTTTAATAGAGACGGGGTTTCTCCATGATGGTCAGGCTGGTCTAGAACTCCTGACCTCAGGTGATCCGCCCGCCTCGGCCACCTGGTAAGACTGCTGTTAACATGTTGGTATAAAACTGCACAACTTTTTTCTAATTACAAAAATAGATAAAGCTTTGCACAGTGGCAGTGTCATAGCCAATGAAGTTTGTCCAAGGTGCGATTATTGCTAATTGGAAACTTTCCAATACCCCACCATAACAACTTGAAATGTAGTCAGCACTGGCGATTTTTGACAGTCTCTACAGAGACTGAAAAGAAAGAGAGAGATAAAATAGGTGGGGTGCAGTGACTCACACCTGTAATCTCAACAGTCTGGTCGGCTGAGGCAGGAGGATTGCTTGAGCTTATAAGTTCAAGGCCAGCCTGGGCAACAGCAAGACCCTGTCTATTTTTTTAAATTAAAAAAAAAAGATGGAATTATATATTAAACTATATAATACATATACCACACACACACTTTTTGTGTAACAGAATTGAGGTCCTGTAGCCCATCAGATCACCCCAGTCAGTTCTCCTCGGAAGCACCTCATGCACTGGCCTCTCCTGCCCCCGGTACAGGCTCCACCTTTGCTCCTGGGATCTTGGTGGCTCCTGGTTGCCCCTTCTGCGTCTTTCTCCGGCCTTCCCTGCACAGTACCCTCCTCAGTCTGATTTGTTTTGTTTCGGTTTTTGAGACAGGGTCTTGCTTTGTCACCCAGACTGGAGTGTGGTGGCATGATCATGGCTTACTGCAGCCTCGACCTCCTGGGCTCAAGCGGTCCACCCAGGTAGCTGGGACTACAAACGTGGGCCACCGTGTCTAGCCCCCCTCATTCTGAAAAGGGAAGATTCTGTCATTTCCCTTCTGGAAACCTTTTCTCTGGCCTCAGGATGGTGCCTGGGAGTTGGCGGACAGGACCCACCTGTAGCTGCAGGATCCCAGCTGCTGGCAGGCCCACCCTGGCCCTACCCGCCCTGGTCCTGACCACCCTGGCCCTGCCCACTCTGCCTGTCTCTCAGGCTGCCCAGTGCTGGCCCTGCTGCGGGACCAGGCCCACTTCTCCCTCAGGGCTCATCTTTGGGTCTGTGATTCAGAAAAGCCTTTTCTGAGCCTCCAGTCAAAATTAGGTCCCTCGTTCTCTCCCGTGACACCATAATTTTCTCCCCCAGTGTTTATCAGAATCTGCTGTTAAGTAGTTTGTGCGTCTCCCTTTGTAGATTTTAAGGCCTGTGAGACAGTGGCTTTGTTCTAGTCGCCACTTTCTAAGACCCAGAACTGTGCAAGCTCTCAAAAACACCTAACAGAGAAGCACAGAGACAAGCATTACGTCATAAACATTTTCATTCCATTGAATAGTCTTTTAAAATATGATTTTTAAAATTATTATGATTTTTGAGATGGAGTCTTGCTGTGTTGCCCAGGCTGGAATGCAATGGCATGATCTGGCTTACTGCAACCTCCCCCTCTGGGGTTCAAGCGATTCTCCCCCGTCAGCCTCCTGAGTAGCTGGAATTACAGGCACCCACCGTCATGCCTGGCTAATTTTTGTATTTTTGTAGAGATGGGGTTTCACCATGTTGGCCAGGCTGGTCTAGAACTCCTGACCTCAGGTGATCCACATGCCTTGGCCTCCCGGAGTGCTGAGATTACAGGCCTGAGCCGCCACACCCGGTCCTAAAATATGATTTTTAACATTTGCATTGTATTCCATTGTTCAAATAGATGTCCCATAATTTATTGTAAAGAGCTGGTCATGAACATTCTTCTACACACCTTCTTATGGATATTACTGACTTCCTTAGAATACATTTTAGGAATGGAATTACTAGCGTAAATGTTGAGAGCATTTTTACCATTCTTATTTGTATTGCCAAGTGGGTTTTTAAAAATCATTCAATTGAATTTATACTTCCAACCCTGCTAACGATGAATATTATCACTACTACTACTAAAAACTAGAAGCAACTGTCAGTTTAATAGTTGGCTTTTTTGTTGTTGTTTTTTGTTGTTGTTGTTGTTGTTTTGAGACGGAGTTTTGCTCTGTCGCCCAGGCTGGAGTGCAGTGGTGCCATCTTGGCTCACTGTAACCTCCGTGTCCCAGGTTCAAGCAATTCTCCTGCTTCAGCCTCTTGAGTAGCTGGGATTACAGGCACGCGCCACCATGCCGGGCTAATTTTTGTATTTTTAGTAGAGACGGGGTTTCACCATGTTGGTGAGTCTGGTCTTGAACTCCTGACCTCGTGATCTGCCCACCTCGGCCTCCCAAAGTGCTGGGATTACAGGCGTGAGCCACCGCAAGGGCTGGGCTTTGTGTTCTTAATTGCAGTAATGGATGTGTGTGATAATAGAAAGTGGTAATAGTTCTCCACTTTTAAGTACTAGAAAGCTCTCATTTTGGCGGTGAGTAGGGAGGCTCTTATTAAGTGCCTGAGACTGGACCCACTTTCCTGTTAAAATGGGCTTTTGGCCAGGCACAGTGGCTCACACCTGTAATCCCAGCCCTTTGGGAGGTTGAGGTGGTTGGATCTTGTCAGGTCAGGAGTTTGATAATAGCCTGGCCAACATGATGAAACCCTGTCTCTACTAAAAATACAAAAATTAAGCCAGGTGCGGTGGCTCACGCCTGTAATCCCAGCACTTCGGGAGGCTGAGGGGGGTGGATCATCCGAGGTCGGGTGTTCGAGACCACTCTGGCCAACATGGTGAAACCCGTCTATTAAAAATACAAAAATTATCCAGGTGTGGTGTCACACGCTTGTAGTCCCAGCTACTCAGGAGGCTGAGGCACGAGAATCACTTGAACCTGGGAAGCAGAGGTTGCAGTGAGCCAAGATCGTGCCACTGCACTCCAGCCTGGGCGACAGAGCAAGACTCTGTTCCCCGAAAAAAGGGGAAGGGGGCTTTTGAGGAAATGCCTTTTCTCTGCTCCCTGAATGACTTACCTTTGTGAGTGGCGCAGGTCCTAGGTGGGCTCTAGGAATCACTGGCTACTTGCGTGCTGTGGTGTTGGTCCCTGCAGCCCTTTGGGAGCTGGGTCCCTCCACTGCGAGCAACCTGCTCTTCTATCCCAGTGTGCAGTACAGATATTAGCATTTTTTATGTGGGCTATAATGTGAAAAATATTGGAGATCATAAATATTGTTCACTTAATGCCTGTTGTGTCACACCAAACGTTTACTGCTGAGATTATTTGCTGTCATGTGGTTGTAGAGATCTAGGCGGGAACTCATGTACAGTCTAGATTGATGGTTTTTGTTGCCTGGAACCCCAATTTTGCCTGGCTTGATGGATGGGGCCCTGGGAGAGGGGCTCCGAGTTCTGGGTCTCCAGTCTGCATGCAATTCTGTGTGGGGGCTTCATTTAAACTGTTTCTGTCATTGCCAAACCATTTGTGGATGTAAATAGAGAAAACCAACAAGGATGTAAATAGGGGAAAAACCAACAAGGAAATAGAATGTTTTATGGCATTTAACAATGCTCTCTTTTAGAACTATTTTTACTAGGGTTATGATGAATTTCAAAATTAAAAAAAAAATGCCACATCCATTATCATAGTCACTACCCAGCTTCTCTTTATTTTGGCCTTAAAATTTACTTGCCAGAAATTCATAGCTCTTGAATTAAAGCCACATTCATCATGCAATTTTTTATATATTAGGTTTTACTCGTTTTAGATTTCTTTTCTTGCTTTTTTGTTTTGTTTTGGTTTTGTTTGGTTTGTTCTTGTCAATAGAGATGGAGTCTTGCTATGTTTCTCGGGCTGGTCTGAAACTCCTGGCCTCAAGTGATCCTCCCGCCCTGGCCTACCAAAGTGTTGGGATTACAGGCATGAACCACTGTGCTCAGCCCCATCTTAGATATATTTTGTAGTAGTGTATTTAGAGGGGAGATTTTTTTCATAGTTAAATTTTTACAATTTGTAATCTTCTATAATTGACTTATTTGTTAGCGGATGCCTTTTTTTTCCTAAGAGTTCTTGATGACTTTCCTGTACTGTGGGAAACGGCAGGAAATTCTTCTCCCCTCTGTATCCTCCCCCAGCAACGAGCCTAGCTGTGTAGGCTCGGCAGCGGCCCCAGGTGTCAGAAGCAGACAAGCACTAAATCAAGCTACTGGTAGCTGATCCCACTGCAGAGGCCTAACCCCCAGAGGCAGAGTAAGAAGGATGCTGAAGATGAGCAGGCTGTGGTGGCACGGCAGTCCACAGTGTCATCAGGAATAGGCACCTTCTCTCTCTATCTGCCACCCTTAGCAAGTGACTCCGTCTTGGCGTGCACCAGACGGCACCTCTGCAGTGGTGTTCCAGGTCTGAGCCAGGGAAGGACGTGCCGGCTCTGGCTCTGGCTCTTTTGTCAAGGAGCTTCCCCAACACCTCCCCGGTCAGGACCCAGTTACTTGGTCATGGGGGTTTAAGCAGCCTTGGAAATGTGTACTTCACCTGGGCACGTGGCCACCCCAATGCAACTGGGCACTGTCAGTAAGGAAGAAAGGGAAGCTGGACCTTGGTTAGAAAGCCATAGTGTAGCCATGTGTCACCTTGGCTGTGTCAACCAGGGCATACCATGCACCTTCTGAGCCTCAGGAGTCCTCATCCACACACTTGGGATGATAATTGCTCCTATGTTATGAGTTTTCCCGCTGACCAGAAAGAATGTAAAGTAACTGGCCCGTGGTTGGTATGCAGAGGTGGCAGTCTGACCACAATGCCATGTGTCATTAGTGCTCAGAAACTTGTAAAGTTGCTGGAGAGCTGGGCTTCCTGGTGCTGTGACGTGCTTTACTTAATAATAAGATCGTTGTCCTACCAGCCTGGGTGCGACTGGTCCCCTGTCCCACAGAAATCACATGGAGAAGATTTGCTCAAACTTGTGGAATGTGTGTGTCCTTGTGGTTTTGATATATATTTGGGTGGTTATGACATTAGAAGAATTATTAATCATGTAATAGAAATAAAGGTTGTTTTGTACAAAAGTAAATGATTAACAGTGACAAATTTCTCCAGCCAAGAAGTACACATTTAATGTAAATTGGAAGCAACTTCATTTGGCTTATAAAAGCTGTTAGTCAGCAGAGAGCTGTTGTAAAGCTAGTGGCATTTGGCATCTAGTAGGCCCAAGAATGTGGCCAAGTGTAGTGGAACAAATTGTACTCTGTGCCGTCTGTCAACCTTGGAGACGCTTACAAGAGCCTTCAGCGATACCGTGTGTGTCTGTCACCTTCTCCATGCCAAGTGGCTTAATTCAACTCTCCTGCTTTGGTGTTTCCACTATTTTTCTGGCATTTTAGGCTGGAACTGTTAGAGTAAGAAGCCCCACCCTGTGACTGGGTATTTCTGTATTGAACTCGGTGTGTTTGTTTCCAGTCTTCCCGTGCACATCTCTACCTCTCTGTCTGAGGTCACAGTAGAAAGAGAAACCAAGTCAGCAGGGACTCAGCTGACTCCTCCTTTCAGGATTTCCTTGGTAGTTTCCAAATTCTTTCCTCTACACCAGGAGCGTGTGTTCTCTCGCCCCTCTACCCCCTATTCTCTCCCATCCTCCCTGTTTCTCTTTCTTTCTCAACCAGGTCTGGTCTAACAAAGGTTCCTAGCTTACATTGTCTTTGGCTCTAGGCTCCACTTCCAGTCTTTCTGTTAATGAGTACTTTCTCCGGTGGCCTGCTATTTTTTTTTTTTCTCTTAAGTGTCTTTGCTGCTAACACCCTGCTCTACTATACCTGGATTCTCCCTGACCCAGTAATTCCCCGGGTGGACTTTTCCTGAATGGCAAGTGTCTTGGTAGCCACTGTCTTCACCATCCTCTTCCAATCTGATCTCCACTTATTTCTTGTACCGGCCCAGCCTTCCTGTTCTCATTGGGTCTGCCCTCTGCACCTCCCCTGCCACCAGGCTATGAGGTTTTCTCCCACACTGGGTTCGCTCATGCTGTCGCCCCCTGAAGTGCATTCCCCAGCCAGCCGTGGTCCACCCTTCGAGTCCCACTTCCACGACCCATCCTTGTGGCCTTCTACGGCCATTCATCCCAGTGCCCGCTAAGTTCTTTCTTTTCTGAATTCCCATTTGTGTCGGTACCATCCAGGGAACCATGGTAGGCCTCTCAGGGTCTTAGGGATTATTTAGGGGTGTCCAATCTTTTCCCTGGGCCACATTAGAAGAAGAATTGTCTTGGACCACACATAAAATGCACTAATACTAATGATAGCTGATGGGCTTAAAAAAGAACGAAAAAAAAAGGCTGGGTGCAGTGGCTCACCCCTATAATCCCAGCACTTTGGGAGGCTGAGGTGGGCGATTGCTTGAGGCCAGGAGTTCCAGACCAGCCTGGCCAACATGGCGAAAACCCGTCTCTACTAAAAATACAAAAATTAGCCAGACGTGGTGGTGGGCGCCATAATCCCAGCTACTCAGGAGGCTCAGGCAGGAGAATTGCTTGAACCCGGGGGAGGCAGAGGTTGCAGTGAGCCAAGATCGCGCCATTGCACTCCAGCCTGGGTGACAGAGCGAGACTCTGTCTCAAAAAATAAAATAAAAAGTGGTAAGCCATAAGAACAGAGTAGAAATCAGTTTGTATGTGAATTTAGTCAAATTGCAGCACATAGCTCTTACCTATAAAACAGAGTACCTAACCCATTAGAATGCAGTGTTGCTGCAACGTATTATCAACAGTATTGTTTTTATCCATCATTACTGCACATGGTAAGAAAACGGAAAGTGAAACCCTTAGGAACTAAGGCAGTCAATAGCACCAGGAGGAACCAGATGTTGGCTTTACCAGACAGCACATTTAAACAGCTATCATGAAATGGTTAAAATGACAAATTTTGTTAGTTTTTTAAACAATTTTTAAAAAGCTATTACAAATATATTCAGACAATGAAAGGGAAATGTGTCAGAATTAAGAGAAAATACAGGGTTAGTGATGCACAGACAGAAAATTTTTTTTTAGTCGAGGTCTTGCTCTGTCACCCAGGCCGGAGTGCAGTGGGTGCCATCACAGCTCACTGCAGCCTTCCCGGGCTCAAGCAATCCTCCCATCTCAGCTTCTGAAGTGGCTGTGACTACAGGCACACTTCGCCACGCTCAGCTCACTTTTTAACTTTTTTATAGAGACAGGGTCTCACTATTTTGCCCAGGCTGGTCTCGAACTCCTAGGCTCAAGTGATCCCATGCTCCCCCTCCCCAACTTCCCAAAGTGCTGGAATTACAGGCATGAGCCACCACACCCAGCCCCAGACAGGAAATCTTTACAGAGAAATGGAAACTACAAAAATGGAAACTCTAAACTGAAAAGCAAAATAGGTGAAAAAATTTTTATTGGCTACATGGTCTCAACATAACATTAGGTACGGCAGTAGAAAGAACCAGTAAACTGAAATATAAATTAGTAGAAATTACCCAATCCAAAAATCATAGAAAAAAATTGAACAGAAATCTCAGTGACTTGTGGGATGATATGAGGTTGTCCAGTATATGTGAAATTGAAATCCAAGAATAGAAAGGAAATACCTAAACATTTGACACAGTAATAGCTAAAAACTTCTCAAATGTGGTGAAAAGCATTCATGTACAGATCTAAGAAGCTTAATAAACCAAGAGCAGGATGAACACAGAGGAAACAACTCCTAGGCCTATCATATTTAAGCTAATGAAAGCCAAAGATAAAGACAAAATCTTGAAAGCACCCAGAGAAAAATGATGTTACATACAGAAGAAAGATAAGATTAAAAGCTGACTTCTCATTAGACAGTATAAATGCTGCATATATTGAAATGACACAAAGTGCTGAAGAAAAAAATACACCGAGAATTTTATATCTAGCAAACTGTCTTTCTGAAATGAAAGTGTCGTAAAGACATTTCCGGGGGAACAAAAATCTGAGAAAATTTGTTACCAGGGGACCTGTATTAAAAGAAATATTAAAGGGGTGGGTGTATGGGGGGAAAAATGCTAAAGGATATACAGGAAGGAATGAAGAGCACTAGAAACAGTAGATATCAATAAGTATAAAATACTAATTTATTTTTTATTTTCTTTCTTGTAATCTCTTTAAAAGACATCAATATTTAAAGTAAAAACAATACTTTATTGATAGGTTTATCATACCTATAGATCTGATATACAACACTATGAGTTGGGGGAGTTAAATGGAAATATATTATTGTAGAGTTCTTTTTCTTTTTTTTTTTCTTTTTTTTTTTTTTTTTTTTGAGACGGAGTCTCTCACTCTTGTCGCCCAGGCTGGAGTGCAGTGGTGTGATCTCAGCTCGCTGCAAGCTCCGCTTCCCAGGTTCACGCCATTCTCCTGCCTCAGCCTGCCGAGTAGCTGGGACTACAGGCGCCCGCCACCACGGCTGGCTAATTTTGTGCATTTTTAGTAGAGACGGGGTTTCACCGTGTTGGCCAGGATGGTCTCGATCTCCTGACCTCGTGATCCACCCGTGTCGGCCTCCCAAAGTGCTGGGATTACAGGTGTGAGCCACCACGCCCGGCCAGCAGAGTTCCTTTTCTAGTGTAACTCAAAATTAACATTTAAGTAGATTGTTGATATAGTTTGGATATTTGTCCCCACCCAAATTTCATGTTGAAATGTAATCCCCAGTGTTGGAGATAGGGTGTAGGGCATGGTGGGAGATGATTAGACCATGGGGGTGGATTTCTTTTTTCCTTTTTTTTTTTGAAGTAGAGTCTAGCTCTTTTGCCAGGCTGGGGTGCAGTGACTCAATCTCAGCTCAGTCCAACCTCCCCCTCCCAGGTTCAAGCAATTCTCCTGAGTCAGCCTCCTGAGTAGCTGGGATTACAGGTGCATGCCACCATGCCCTGCTAAGTTTTGTATTTTTAGTAGAGACAGGGTTTCACCATGTTGGCCAGGCTGGTCTTGAACCCCTGACCTCAGATGACCTGCCTGCCATCTCCTGACCTCATGATCCACCCACCCTGGCTTCCCAAAGTGCTGGGATTACAGGCGTGAGCCACTACGCCCATCCCCAATATCTTTTTTTTTCTTTTTTGAGACAGAGTGTCGCTCTGTTGCCCAGGCCACAGTGCAGTGGTGCAATCTTGGCCCACTGCAACCTCTGCCTCCCGGGTTCAAGTGATTCTCCTGCCTCAGCTTTCCGAGTAGCTGGGACTACAGGTGTGCACCACCACACCCGGCTAATTTTTGTATTTTTAGTAGCAATGGGGTTTCACCATATTGGCCAGGCTGGTCTCGAACTCCTGACCTCGTGATACGCCTGCCTTGGCCTCCCAAAGTCCTGGGATTACAGGCATGAGCCACCGCACCCGACATTCCAATATCTTTTATAAATGCAATATAAATCCAAACATCCTTACCAAAATATTAGTAAATGGCATTTGGTAAGAAGATGATACATCAGGATCAACTGGGATATATCCCAGATATACAAGGTTAAACATTAGAAAATCAATATAATTAATCATATCAACAAAATAAAGAATAAAACCATTTCATCATCTCAATAGATAGAGTAAGCATTTCAGAAAAATCCACCAGCCATTTGTACCAAAAGCTATCACCAAACTAGGAATAAAAGGCAACTTCCTCAACTTGCTGAGGGGTACCTCTGTAAAATCCACAGGTAACATCAACATGTAATGGTGAAAAACCAAATAACTTGCCTCTAAGATTAGTAATACAGTGTGATGTCCTCTTTCATCTTCTGTTGGAGGTCCTAGCTAGTGCAGTAAGGAAAGAAAAAAGAAATAAAAGTACACAGATTGGAAAAGAAGTATAACAATTTGCATTTGACATGATCCTTTTTATAGAACACCTTAAGGAATCTATTTTTAAAAGTTACCAGAACTAATAATTTCCTCTAATAATTTAGCATGGTCACAGGATACAAGGTCAGTATGCAAAAATCAGTAGTTTTTTTGTGAACTAGCAATGAACACTTGAAAGTTGAAATTTGGCCGGGTACGGTGGCTCACACCTGTAATCTCAGTACTCTGGGAGGCCAAGGCGGGTGGATCACAAGGTCAAGAGATCGAGATCATCCTGGCCAACATGGTGAAATCCCGTCTCTACTAAAATACAAAAATTAGCAGGGCGTGGTGGTGCATGCCTGTAATCCCAGCTAATTGGGAGGTTGAGGCAGGAGAATTGCTTGAACCCGGGAGGCGGAGGTTGCGGTGAGTCAAGATCGCGCTACTGCACTCCAGCCTGGTGACAGAACGAGACTCCAGAAAATTGAAATTTAAGATGCAGTTTCATTTACAGTAGTATTTAGAAATACAAAATACTTAGGGATAAATTTAACAAAATATGTGCAAGATCTGTACACTTAAAACTGCAAAGCATTGCTGATCACATTAAATATCAAAATAAATTACTGGGTATATACCCAAAGGACTATAAATCATGCTGCTATAAAGACACATGCACACATATGTTTATTGCGGCACTATTCACAATAGCAAAGACTTGGAACCAACCCAAATGTCCAACAATGATAGACTGGATTAAGAAAATGTGGCACATATACACCATGGAATACTATGCAGCCATAAAAAATGATGAGTTCATGTCCTTTGTAAGGACATGGATGAAATTGGAAATCATCATTCTCAGGAAACTATCGCAAGGACAAAAAACCAAACACCGCATGTTCTCACTCATAGATGGGAATTGAACAATGAGAACACATGGACACAGGAAGGAGAACATCACACTCTGGGGACTGTTGTGGGGTGGGGGAAGGGGGAGGGATAGCATTAGGAGATATACCTAATGCTAAATGACGAGTTAATGGGTGCAGCACACCAGCATGGCACATGTATACATATGTAACTAACCGGCACATTGTGCACATGTACCCTAAAACTTAAAAGTATAATAATAATAAAAAATAAAAAATTAATAAATAAATAAATGGAGAGAGTATGTTCACAGATCAGAAGACTCAATACTGTTAAGACGGCAGTTCTCACAGTTATCTGTGGATCCAGCAGAATCCAAATACAATCTCAGCAGGTTTATTTATTTTTTTTAATTGAAATTGACAAGCTGATTGTGAATTCATATGGCACTGCAAAGTACCTAGAATAGCAAAAGCAATGTTTTAAAAAAGAACACAGGTAGAGTCCTTAAACTACCTTACTTTCAAAACTGCTAGACCTGACTTTGGACCAGACTATTGTGGGTAGTCTCTAAAGCTAAGCAAGACAGTGTGGCATTGGCATAAGACTAGATAGACAGGTAGTGGAACAGAGTACAAAAATAGACCCACACTTACATGGGACTTACTACAATTGATTTTCAACACAAGTACCATGAAAATTCAATGAGGAAAAGGGCGGAGGTTGAGGGTTTTTGTTTGTTTTTTCAGCAAATGGTGCTGAGACAATTGGATAGTCTGATGAGTCAAAATTAACATTTACTCTGACCTCACACCATTCACAAAAATTAAGTCAAAATGGATTGTAGAACTAAATATAAAACAGCTAAAAACTTTGGGGAAAAAAGCATAGGATAAAATCTTGCAACCTTGAGAAAGGCAAAGATCTCTTAGATCCAACACAAAATTCATGGGACGTAAAAGGAAAACTGGTAGATTGGATGTTTACAAAATGAAAAGTCTTTACTCTTTAGAGGACATTAAAACAACAAAACTCAATCCACAGAATGAGAAAAAATATTACTGATACATATATCTGACAATGGACTCACATTTGGAATATATAAAGAACTAGAATTCAATAATAAAAAGGCAAACCTTTAAAAATGGGCAAAAGATTTGAGTAGACACTTCACAAAAATATAGAGGAATGTCAAATAAGCACATGAAAAGATAAGCAACATCATTCATCATCAGAGAAATGCAAATTAAAACCACAATGAGATACTACTATATACTCATTAGAAAGGCTAAAGTATAAAGGTCTGATAATACTAAGTAGTGGTGAGAATGTACAGCAATTGGAATTTTCTTAAAATTCACATAGAATTGTAAAGCAGTTTATTTACTAATGTTTTTTAAATTAAAAATTGACATGAGGTTTTGCTATGTTACCTAGGCTGGTCTCCATCTCCTGGGCTCAAACAATCCTCTTGCCTCTGTCTTCCAAAGTGCTGGGATTATAGGCATGAGCTATGGTGCCAGGGCAAAACAATTTAAGTCAAACATACCTACCGTATGTCTCAGTCATTCCTCTCCTATATATCTACTTAAGAGAAATGAAAACATGTCTACAAAAAGACTTGTACACAAATATTTATAGTAGTTTTATTTGTAATAGCAAAAAACTAAACAACCCCAGTGTCCATCAACAGTTGAATGGATGAATTTTGGCACATCCCTACAATAGAATGCTACCAACCAAAACAAAGAAACCCGAGGGACCACTTATACAACAGCATCAATGGGCTTCAAAATCATGCTGCACGAAAGATGCTGAACACAAAAAGTACATACTGCACAGTTTTATTTATTTAGTAGTTTAGAGAATGGTTAACTCATAGTGACAAAAAGTGGATAATTAGTTACTTAGGGTGGGGTGGAGGGAGGGAGTACTATAAAGGGGCACTAAGAAAATTTGGGGATTGATGGAAATATTCTGTATCTTTGGTGTGATGGTGATTTTACTGGTGTATACATCTTTCATACTTGAACGGTCCAGTTACAGTGGATGCAAATAATTCGTTTCCTTCTCTTCTTTCTTATGCCTAGAGGAGGGTGGGGCATCCGATGGGTATTCCAGGGATTGGTGTTGATTTCATGGGCAGCCCTCTTTATGGCCAGTGCTTTCAGAGGTGGCTTAAAGATGGTCAGGCTAGGTCTTGGGTGGAGAGTCTCTTGCAAAACATCAGGCAAAATCAAGGCCAAAACCAGGCTGTACTTTAAACAAACCTTATAACAGGGGTCCCTAATCTAGTCCTAGTCAGAGAGTCACGGTTGGTGAAAAAATCAACCCAGACGTACAGGGCCGTATGGCCATCAGTAGCATCTCCACAGCTCTGCTTTTTTCTAGCCTGGAACACTGAGGGGTCACAGCAATAATTTCACTTCCTCCTCCGTGCAGAGGACAGGAGACCTCACCATGTATGAACCAGCTGACCAGCATACATTTAGTATGTCCAAATAATGTTGTGAGCAGTGTCAGGCAAGATCTGAACCTGTCTGGGTCAATGAGTGCAGACCTAATGACGATGAGACAGAGTTTCATAGCATACTACCTCACGTGTCATGAAGAGGAATAAAACCTAAGTGATCCATCCTGCATGACACCAAAAGGTAGAGTTATTGAATAAGCTGGTACTGTTCCTTTCAAGAAACCCTCCACAGGTCTTCCAGAAAATGATCCCATGTCCGTGTCCGACCCCCTCAGGTGCCAACCAGAAACTCTTCCTCACTCATGACCATAATTTTTTTTTTTTTTTTTTTTTGGAGACGGAGTCTCACTCTTGTCGCCCAGGCTGGAGTGCAGTGGCATGATCTTGGCTCATTGCAACCTCTGCCTCCCGGGTTCAAGCGATTCTCCTGCCTCAGCCTCCCTAGTAGCTGGGATTATAGGTGCTTGCCACCATACCCGTCTAATTTTTGTATTTTTTTTTTTTTTTTTAGTAGAGACGGGGTTTCGCCATGTTGGCCAAGCTGGTCTCGAGCTCCTGACCTCAGGTGAGCCACCGCACCTGGCCCCGTGACCATAAATTATACCTCATTAAAGGTGTCTTACAGACTTCATGGGAGTAGCAAGTAGTAGATCAGCCATAAAGGAATACTGATTATAATTGATAGTAACCTGTTAAATATATAAAAATCAATGAATCAAAAAACAAAACCAGGCAAAAAGTTATGGGGGAAGCCTGGTCTGCAGGGCTGTACATAAATGTGCGTGTCTCTGGGCCTGGCTGAGCCTGTGGGGACAGCCCCAGGCCATGCGTGGCTTTGGAGGCCTTGAGATGGGGCTCATCTCAATTGAGGTGTGCAGTGAGTATAGGATACACACCCGATTTGGAAGACATAGTGCAAAAAAGAGAATATAAAATGTCAGTATTTCTAACATTGCTTACTTGTTGAAATGTTAATATTTGGATGTATTGGGTTGAAATATACATCTTTTAACATCAGTACTTTTTTTTTTTTTTTTAATGTGGGTATAAGACAATGGAAAATTCCACATGTGGCTCGAGTTACATTTCTGTGGGACAGCACGGTGCTGGTCAGTGATGACCGTCAAAGTGAGATGTCATCCGTGAGGCGCTATGCAGGAAGAGCTCCCGCAGGGCCATACTCAACTTTTAGATATGCCCTGGCGAGAACCGCCACTGAACCCCACTGAAAGTCCAGCCAACCTAAAAAGGGTTAACTTTTATATTATTTATTATCATTTATTATTATTATCATTCAGAGTCTCACTCTGTCGCCCAGGCTGGGGTACAGTGGCGCGATCTCGGCTCACTGCAACCTCCGCCTCCCAGGTTCAAACAATTCTCCTGCCTCAGTCTCCTCAGTAGTTGGGATTACCAGGCATGTGCTACCACACCCAGCTAATTTTTTTTTATTTTTAGTAGAGATGGGTTTCACCATGTTGGCCAGGCTGGTCTTGAACTCCTGACCTCAAGTGATCCCTCCCCCTCAGCCTCCCAAAGTGTCTGGATTACAAGTGTGAGCCACTATGCCCGGCCCATTCCTGTTATTTTTCAAGCTGTTTTTTCTTTTTCTTTTTTTTTTTTTTTTTTTTTTGCACAGCGAGACACTTTAACCTTTCTGGGGAAGGTCTGTAAACTCCCTGGGGGGCCCTTCCCGAGGATGCCTGCTTGTTTTCCAAAGCCCCCTGAGTTGTGTTTTGTTTTGTTTTTTCTTGAGAGGGAGTTTCACTCTTGTTGCCCAGGCTGGAGTGCAATGGTGCGATCTCGTCTCCCTGCTACCTCTGCCTCCTGGGTTCAAGCGATTCTCCTGCCTCAGCCTCCTGAATAGCTGAAATTATAGGCATGCGCCACCATGCCCAGCTAATTTTGTATTTTTAGTAGAGACGGGGTTTCTCCAGGTTGGTCAGGCTGGTCTTGAATTCCCGACCTCAGGTGATCCACGCGGCTCAGCCTCCCAAAGTGCTGGAATTACAGGCGTCAGCCACTGCGCCCGGCCGAGGTTTGTTTTTTTTTTTTTTTTTTTTTTTTTTTTTTTTTTTTTAAAGCCAGTCATAGAAAATGTGTCATTTGGTGGACCTCCCTCCCATCCTTTTGAAATCCTAAGACCTTGCTGTGTTATTGACCATCAATCTCAGACACTGTCTGGGCTCTCCGGCAGCGTGGAGAGTCCTGGCCCCGCCTCGAGAACAGAGGCCAAGGACGGGAAGTGCAGGGGTCCGTGTACTTGCAGTTGGGTTCTATTCTACCCACACGGTGTCTTACAAGTTTTTTAAAAATGTCTTTCCAACTTTTAAGAACCAAGAGCTTTCACACTGAAAATTGGGCCTGGAGAGGGGGCGAGCGCCTGTGGTCCCAGTGTGTCAGGAGACTGAGGCAGGAGGATGGGACGTAGTGAGACCCTATCTCTAAAAAGAAAAAAAAAAAGGAATTAAGAAAATTGGGTTTTTAGCATTCCTAGAAATGTAGAAGCCCTGAGCTGCGTCTCCTGTGTGGGAGCTGGTCCCACTCCCCGGCCTTCGGAGCCCTCGGAGCCCGGAGCCCTCGATGCAGCGCTATGGATGCCGGGAGCGATCTTTGGAAAGGAGTCCCCGGCTCGAGCGACACTGCCCCCCTGGGGCTCTGCAGGTGCATGCAGTGGGATTGCTGGGCTGGACTAGAGGGTGAGGGTGGCTTCCCCCACACCCCCTTTCCTGGCTAATCAGAGAAAATCAAAACACCCTTGCCCAAGCGTCCAGCTGGAGAGTGAAGAAGGGGAGTCTATTGCTTATTTGTATATGATGAAGATTATAGATGTGTTCTAGGAAACATGATTATTTCCTTTAAAGCAGGAAATAATCTGCAAAATCCCTTTATGAACATAATGAGGATCTTTTATTCTCTCGCAGGGTGGATAGCTCTGTTTATACCCACTCCAGTATTATAAAAACACATAAATCCCCACTCTCATATCTAAATTGGCCTTGTGTGTGTTTGCTTCATAGTCCTCATCTCTCTCCCCCTTCAGTATTACATTTCTGTGGCTCAGGCAGTAAACGCGGGATTCCTAAAAGCACTCTGACAATAAACAAAAAGCTTTCCTCTGACTTTGGTACAGTTCATTTGATCTTTTCAAACATTTTGAATGAGGGACAAGGTGTGTTTTGCGTGGTTAGAACAAGGGCCAGTGGGTCCAAGGTCCACCTGGACCAATCTTTGCAGGATACAGGAAGAACCTTCTAACCGTGCAGTACAAAAGTGAGATGTCAGGGATTTTAGGCTTTCGGGGCTAGTGGGGGTTGTGTTTGAGGAACTTGAGGCCATCTAGGTGCATGCATGGCCTTGAGCAATGGTTCTCAGTCCTGACTCAGTACATGCACTTAGGCATATACAGATATTCACACACATGCACACTCACACACACATGCACATACAAATACATGCACACGCACATATGCATACGTCCACACACATAGGCACACATGCATGCACATATTCACACACTTACGTAGTTGCACACATGTACACATGTATGCACACACAGGCATACATACACATCTGTTAGAAGTTCTGATTTAATTGGTCCAGGGTGGATTCTGGGCATTGGTATTTTTCAGAGCTCCTCCACAAGTTTGAGAACCCACGAAAATAGTCTTTTCTCCTATTTCATCTTTCTATTTCACCCAGGGCCCACTATACTTTCAGTTCAGTCACAAAAAAAAAATCAGCTCCTCTAACGAAGAAAGTGTGGAAACAGATAGTCTAAGTAAAGATTTTTGGTTTTTCTCTGTCAGAACAGCTTGAGAAGTCTGAGGAGCTTTCACCCTGTGCTGCTTGGTGACAGAACTGGTCTCTGTGGCACTGTGAAAGGTGCCCTGGGGCTCTGTGAGGGCTACAGTGCATAACTGCAGTGTGGACCCCAGGAGCAGCACTGTTCACAACAGACTGGACCAAGGGCATGCTCTTAGCCTCGCTGTTCTCTGCAGATTCACTTCATTATCTTTAAGCCACACATCAGTGGTTGGGAAGGTGTCCTCAATTCTTCAAAAATTAAGCTGCTGACCATGGGCAGCTTTGAGCAATGCTGACAAGAAACCTGAACGTCTTAACAATGTGAAATTTAAACACACTGGAGTAAGAACTTGGCAAAGGGTTTTGTTTTCTCCAGAAACTTAAACGTGCATATCAGAAATGCCTTTTACAAAGCTTTTTTTTTTTTTTTTTTTTTTTTTTTTTTGAGACAGAGTCTCACTCTGCTGCCCGGGCTCTGGAGTGCAGTGGCACAATCCCAGTTCACTACAACCTCTGCTTCCCAGGTTCAAGCAGCTCTCCTGCCTGAGACTCCTGAATAATTGGGATTACAGGCACGCACCACCACACCCGTCTAATTTTCCTATTTTTAGTAGAGACAGGGTTTCACCATGTTAGCCAGGCTGGTCTTGAACTCCTGACCTCAAGTGATCCACCTGCATCAGCCTCCCAAAGTGCTGGGATTACAGGTGTGAGCCACTGCACCTGACCAAGAAAGCTTTTAATTATGGAAAATGTTTAACATATTCACAAGTAAACAATGAAATAATGAACTCCTAGATACTCACTGACCAGTTTTGACAGTGACCCACACACGGCCTGTCTTGTTTCATCTATAACCCTCCCACCTCTCTTCCTCTCAGACTCTTAAAATAAATCCCAGACAGCATATCAGGAGATGCCTTTTGATTTTTGAAGAATCAAGGACACCTTCCCAACCACGGATGTGTGGCTTAAAGATAATAAAGTGAATTTGGAGAGAAGAGAAGGCTAAGAGTGTGTCCTTGGTCCAGTCTGGCGTGGCTACACTGCATTGTGACGTAGTAGGTGTGCTCATCTGTGCCACATGACAGCAGGGATGGAGGTGCCTTTGGGAGAGAGGCCTGCTTGCATGACGGGGTTGCCTGTTCCATGTAGGGTAGTTGTCAGCTTATGTCCCCACAGCCTTCCTAGTGGAAAAAAGCCATTTTCAACCTTTTAGCCCCTGGACAGTGTCCCTACATGGAGAGAGGCAGACCTGGCCTGGCTGTTTGATGGATGGCAGGAATTCTGACTACATGCAGGCAGTCTGAAGTCCTGTGTTTTAAGCAGGACAACATTTATGGCCATCTAGCTGTACTCGAGAGGAATTAATGTGATTTTTTTCCCTTAACATTTCCTTAGTAAGTAGATGTAAGGTCTTGTAAATTAAAAATGCTATTTTGGTTACAAAAGTTTACTTCCTGGCCTAACTTTCCTGGGTAAATTGCCCTGTGCCTAGAGGCAGTGCGGTGAGGCTTTGGCTTTCTTTCTGGTTGTATTAGGTTGGTGCAAAAGCAATTGAGGTTTTTGTCATTACTTTTAATGGCAAATAATAGGATAATAATAGAATTGTTCGTGCAAGCTCTGAAAGGGGGCGTGTACTTTCAGATATTCACTTGGCTGATGTAGTGGAGAGCTAGACTTGCTCACGTCAGAAGCTCCTTGCTTTGATGAAGAATCTTGCCAGGCTTCCCTATGTCACAGTGGGAATTGGTGTGTTTTCAGGTATATTTTATGTGAACTGACTGACTTTAGGAGCTGTCTAGAAAGGAAAGGATGTACATCCACTCTCCTTCAACCACTTTCGTAAAGTGGGGAGCCATTTGCATGAAAATGTGTTCCCTGTTCTCTAGAAAAGTATGCCAATGAGAAGACAAATGAGTTTAGGGCTTTTTTTTTTTTTTTTTAGATGGAGTCTCACTCCTGTTACGCAGGCTGGGGTGCAGTGGCACGATCTCAGCTCACTGCGAACTCCACCTCCTGGGTTCAAGCAATTCTCCTTCCTCAGCCTCCCGAGTAGCTGGGATTACAGGAGTGCACCACCACCCCCAGCTAATTTTTGTATTTTTAGTAGAGATGGGGTTTTGCCATGTTGGCCAGGCTGGTCTCGAACTCCTGACCTCAGGTGATCCACCCGCTTCGGCCTCCCAAAGTGCTAGGATTACAGGCATGAGCCACCACGCCCAGCCGCCTTTTTTTTTTTTTTTTTTTTGAGAGATTAAAAATAATAACAAATCCAGCTGGATGCGGTGGCTCACACCTATAATCCCAGCACTTTGGGAGGCTGAGGCAGGCAGATCACCTGAGGTCAGGAGTTCGAGACCAGCCTGGCCAACATGGTGAAACCCTGTCTCTACTAAAAATACAAAAATACAAAAAAAAAAAAATTAGCTGGGCGTGGTGGCGTGCACCTGTAGTTCCAGCTACTTGGGAGGCTGAGGCAGGAGAATCGCTTGAACCCGGGAGGCAGAGGTTGCAGTGAGCTGAGATTGCGCCACTGCACTCCAGCGTGGGCTACAAGAGTGAAACTCTGTCTCAAATAATAATAATAATAATAATAATAATAATAATAATAATAATAACAAATCCAAGTGAGAATACAAAGTGATTTAATATGTACAGTTCATTTTTTAAAACCTTTCAGCTGTATGTTGTGACTATATAATAGCTAACATTTACTGGGTGCCTACCAGGTAACAAGCACTGTCTTACGTGCTTAAGATGTATTAAAAATTAGGTACACGGGAGGAAATGGAAATACAGAGTAATTAGGGAACTCCCTTAGACCACATAGGGAGAAAGCAGCTGGTCCAGGATTCAAACTTAGGATGTCTGGTTCCCACGTACAGAGCTACTGGGCCATTTACAGGACAGGGGCGTGAGAGAGTGGCTGCAGAAAAGTAGAAAGGAAAATTAGTCGTAAAGAGGGACTCGGGTCCAGGCACAGTGGCTCACACCTGTAATCCCAGCACTTGGGGAGGCCAAGGCAGGCGGATTATTTGAGGTCGGGAGTTCAAGACCAGCCTGGCCAAAATGGTGAAACCCTTTCTCTACTAAAAATACAAAAATTAGCTGGGCATGGTGCTGCATGCCTATATACTCAGGAGGCTGAAGCAGGAGAATCACTTGAACCCAGGAGGTGGAGGCTGCAGTCAGCCGTGATCGAGCCACTGCACTCCAGACAGGGCGACAAAGCAAGACAACGTGTCAAAAAAAAAAGAGGGACTCTGAGAAAAGAAGGCTCGGAGAGTCTTGGTATGAAACAGCATGTCACTCTCAGGCACCTGGGTGAAGGACATCAGGGAAGCGACCACAGTCTTCCTGGACCTGCTGCGCAAGCAGGGTGTGGTCTGCCAGGGTGGTCCTGCTTGTCCTTTCATCAAAGGCCAGGTGGACCCAGCTGGAGCCAGCCCTTCCCCTTCTGAACTCTAGCTGCCTCATGCAGTACTTTTCATCTGCCCCAGGGCAGAATTTTGTTTTTCCATGTCAACCCTTGTCTCCTCATCTTGCCAGATGGACAGTAGCATGCCCCTCAGTATTGCCACATACCTCGCCCAACACCCACGTCACAAATGTCCTGTGTAGGGTAGTGTGGTCTGTCCCAAGTCTGAAGGAAACTTGCCTTCACTTATTTTCATACAGTATTTTTTAATTAAGTGTTTACTTTCTAAGTGAATTCTAAGTATTTTACACCTGCCTGAAGGAATGCCTTAGGTTTTAGAGACCTCCTTGAACTGTCAGTTTACATGTATTCTACCTAAAAGTCTCAGATCAAAACTAGCCAGTGATCCTACGTGTTACTGAAGCTGAGTGACATTGATTCAGAAGAATGAAACTAAATTGGCCTCACATTTCCCACTTCCATATGGTAGCTTTAAATTTGGAGGATATAAAGAAAACCATGGCACCTAATTGAAGGGATAGTCTCACATTATTAGTATGAAGAAATGAATCAGGCTGGACATGCTGGTTCACGCCTGTAATCCCAGCACTTTAGGAGGCCAAGGCAGGCGGATCACCTGAGGTCAGGAGTTCAAGACCAGTCTGGCCAACATGGTGAAACCCCATCTCTAGTAAAAATATAAAAATTAGTTGGGTGTGGTGGTGGGCGCCTGTAATTCTAGCTACTTGGGAGGCTGAAGCAGGAGAATCACTTGAACCCCGGAGACGGAGGTTGCAGTGAGCTGAGATGGTGCCACTAACCCCAGCCTGGGTGACAGAGTGAGACTCCATCTCAAAAACAAAAAAAAAAAAAGAAAGAAATGAGTCATCTTTTGAAGGGAAGGCACTGGTTGCTGATGACACCCAAGCATTTTTTAGTGAAGTGGTTTTCAGACTACACAGTAAGATCCTTGAGTAGATCAAATAATCAGTTTTGTGGGTTGCACATAACAATGTAAAGAATCATCCAGGTGTGGTGGCTCATGCCTGTAATCCCTGTACCTTGAGAGGCCGAGGCTGGTGGATCGCTTGAGGCCAGGAGTTTGAGACCAGCCTGGGTAACATAGCAAGACCCCATTTCTACAAAAATTAAAAACAAAAAAAAGAAAAAGGATTGCATCACCTCTATGTAAGGGAAGTGTTTTTATGAAATTGTGAGTCATAGTACAAAAGAAAAAAACTACCAAACATCAGTAAAACACAGCTCTAGATAGAATGCTAACTTTTTCTGCACAGTTGGATGATTAATGGCTATCGTCCGTTTTATTTCACTGTGCTGGCTGCCATTCAAGTGCCAGGCGCTTTGTTCATGGCTGGTCACCTCCAGTAACCACCACTGGGATGCTTCCCAGTCCTTAGAAATCTGGGTAAGAAGCACTAATGAAGATGAATTTGTTTCCGGTTCTGCCATATTTTCCTCTGTGGGAGTTGTTATGAATGTTTTTTTCTCATAAGTGATTTGATGCTGTAATCCCTCTTATGTCTGAGAACAGATGCATGGCCATGGATCGGGCAAGTTGGTTTTACTTATCTTTGGGGAACCGGACTTAACAACAGGAACAAGGTAGGCAGTTAAGGACTCTGCCGTGATAAAGAGAGTTAGTTCAGGTGTTGTGTGGAGTTTTATTAGTGAGAGGTTTTCTGATGAATTTCACAGTGGGAAATTAACAAATCAGTTGCCTGCCCTTGGTTTGGAAAAGCACTTGGTTTTTGCTCTGGGTTGCCTGAGAGGCTGCTCTTGGCGCCTTGGTATTTGCAGCAGAGAGCTGCTGTTTCCTGGGGGTTGGCTGGGGTGAAGTGTAAGAAATTTCATATCAAGTCTCTTAGAGAGCTTTCTGGCCGTTTTTAAAGGAATGAACTGGCTGAGCATGGTGGTTCATACCTGTAATTCCAGCACTTTGGGAGGCCGAGGCAGGCAGATCACTTGAGGTCAGCAGTTTGAGACCAGCTTGGCCAACATAGTGAAACCCTGTCTCTACTAAAAATACAAAAATTAGGCATGGTGGTATGTACCTATAATCCCAGTTACTCAGGAGGCTGAGGCAGGAGAATTGCTTGAACCTGGGAGGCTGAGGTTGCAGTGAGCCGAGATCACGCCACTGTACTGAGCCTGGGTGACAGAGCAAGAGTCTGTCTCAAAAAAAATAAAAATAGGCCGGGTACGCTGTCTCATGCCTGTAATCCCAGCACTTTGGGAGGCCAAGGTAGGTGAATCACCTGAAGTCAGGAGTTCAAGACCAGCCTGGCCAACATGGTGAAACCCCGTCTCTACAAAAATAAAAATTAGCTGGGCATGATGGCGAGTGCCTATAATCTCAGCTACTCGGGAGACTGAGGTGAGAGAATCGCTTGAACCCAGGAGGCGGAGGTTGCAGTGAGCCGAGATCATACCACTGCACTCCAGCCTGAGTGACAGAGTGAGAGTCTGTCTCAAAAAAATAGGCCAAGCGTGGTGGTTCACGCCTGTAATCCCAACACTTTGGGAGGCCGAGGTGGGCAAATCACCTGAGGTCAGGAGTTCAAGACCAGCCTGACCAACATGGTGAAACCCCATGTCTACAAAAATACAAAAATTAGCTGGGCATGATGCTGGGTGCCCATAATCCCAGCTACTCGGGAGGCTGAGACGAGAGAATCGCTTGAACCTGGGAGGCGGAGGTTGCAGTTAGCAGAGGTCGCGCCATTGCACTCCAGCCTGGGTGACAGAGTGAGACTCCGTCTCAAAAATAAATAAATAAATAAAATGAGGGATGAACTGATATAAAGAGGTAAATGGAGCTTTTTGCAAACTGCTGGTTGTAAAAAATCAAATTAATTTTTCACAGTTCCCCAAATCCTATTTAAAACAACTACCTAGGAAACTTTTAAAAGTTGGGCATTAGTGAAGCCAAATTATTTTGCTTATCTTCTTATGACAAGTTTATGAGTAAGTTTTCCTTGGGTTTTGTGGTGAATCAGTGTGTGTAGTATGGATAATTATACAGTTAGCTGTTCTTAACTATGTATTGGACATGTCTTTAAATACACAGCAGAAATTGTGCCACAAGGGAGTATGATGTCCAGTCCCCACTAGGGTCCTGGTCCTTCGTGTGTCTGCAGTGTGAGCCTTCTTCCAGGGCAGGATCCTGACAGTCACAACAAAACAGCCCAAATCCCACTCACACCAGAGGCTGATGGCAGAACCCTTCAGAAAAAAAGATTTGATGATGGAAGAAGAGTAAGAAAATGTGTATCTAACCATTCATGAGAAAGTACAGGATAGCTCATTTCAATAGGAATCTAAATATTACTGGACCAAGAGAGTTATACAGTTTCCCTGGAACACTGTGCATGTGACACTCAAGAAGAATTCTGTATCAGTGTTAGTCATTGCCTCAGCCCACACGTGAGTGCCAGCAGTGCCAGGCCATGTGTTGGACCCCAGGGATACGGCGGTGAGCGCACTAGGCCTGGCCTGCCCTCCCGGAGCTCACAGTTGAGGCTCATCAACCTGCCAACAAACATGCTGTCAGTACCTCCTTTCAAAACTAACGTGTCATAAAGCAGACAAGATCTTAGAATAGTTTAAATCATCCCAGCTGGAAAAAGAAGGTTGCATGGTATTTGTGAGTTTTGAGAAAGGAGTTTCCATTTGGTTGAATCTGTAAACTTAAACCACTCAACAAACATTCTTTTTTAAAAAGGTATCATATTTCTTCTTTCCTTGACCCTGTGATGTTTATTTTTGTTGCTCACATTGGACTTTCAGGCTGATGGCAGCAGTGCTGGCTGCATAAACAGATTTTTCCACTTCAGTGAAATCAGCAGAGCTTGTTTCAGTTGCTGCATGGATGGTCAGCGTCGTTCCTTCTCATGTCCTCCTAGCATCCATCCTCAGCATTGCCATAAAACCTTCCTGGTGTGTAGTTTTCTAAAAAAATATTATCTAGCATATACATTTCACTCAGAAATACTTCCTTTATGGCAGTTCCTTAGCCAAGGCCGTGCTTTATTCATACTTCAGGATCAGCTAAGCCAAACCACGGTGGCAGTGAGGAGTGGGTCCTTTGGTTTGTTGACCCTGGTTGTCAGGGCTGTCTTTGGCTCATGTGTCTCTGTATTGAGATGTGGTTTAGCCTGAGAGAGTGGCCGGCTGCAATGCTAATTGTCCTCCCTGGTTTGCTGGCATCTGTGGGAGAACAAGAAGAAAAGGCCTTGGGTTTGGGAGAGCCCTGTCATCCATCTGGAGTGACCTGGGAGTGACCTGCGCGCCTTTCCCCCTGCCCCCGACTCATATTACCCTGTTCTTGTTCTTTTTAAAAATACTTTTATCTGTTTTTCCTACATTCTTTGGCATTTTAATCTCCCTCCCTTCCTTTCCTCCTTCCTTCCTTCCCTCTCTTTGTTTCTCTCTCCTTCTTCCTCCTCCTCCTCTTCCTCCTCTTCTCTTCCTCCTCTTCTTCTTCTTCTTTCTTCTTCTTTTGTTTTCAAGTTGGGGGTCTTGCTCTGTTGCCCAGGCTGGAGTACAGTGGTGCAATCATAGCTCACTGCAGCCTCAATCTCCTGGGCTCAAGCGATCCTCCCATCTTAGCCTCTTGAGTAGCTGGGACCACAGGCATGTGTGGTCACACCTGGCTAATTCCTTTTTAAATTGTTTTGTAGAGACGGGGTCTTGCTGTGTTGCCCAGGATGGCCTCAAACTCCAGGCCTCAAGTGATCCTCCTGCCTCAGGCTCCTTAAGTGCTGGGATTGCAGGCTCGAGCCGCTGCACCTGGCCCTTATTTTATTTTTAAGTGATCTGTACAAATTTATTGGGAGGACAAGAAAAAGGACATTTCAGAGAGTAAATAAAGAGAACGTTCCAACATAAACGGGAAAGGGATGTAGATAACATGGAACTCTGTCAAGCCCTTTAAACAAAGGCCAGGACTTTCTACCTTGCTGTGTGCAGCCTTCCAAGTAACCCTACCATTGCCTTTCCTGGCCGTTTGGATCTTCTCTACAGAAAATTGGACTTTTTCCACAGACTCTGGAATCAGCAAACACTAATTTTTACTTTTATAAGGTATAATCATTAATATTCCCTCATGCACATTAGTCATAGTCCAAGAAATGAGATTATTATTAGGCATCGAGCCAGGATAAGTACTGAGCCAGGACAGCTGTCAGGTCCAATTGGGCAGAACATGCAAGGCTGTAACTGGTGAGCAGCTGTTGGTAACCTGGGAGGCAGCCTGCTTCATGGTCACCATAGCGGATGGGCCTAACTCACCTAAGCAGGCAAGCACATGAGAACCTTCATATACAAGAACCTACCCCAGCACCAGGGTGGCATGCCCATGAGCACAGGGATGTTCATCTGCTCTGTCACCACTGCATCCCCAGTGCTTAGAACAGAGCCTTACACTGCTTGGTATTCCTCAGCACTGAATGAAGGAAATATTACATCAGAGACCATGAAGTTACTGAGTTGGAAAAGGTCTCAATACCTTAACTAATTGCTTTGCAATAGAAACAAGTACTTGGAGCATTTTCTCTTCCCACCTCCTTACCTCTCCTCTTTCATCCATGTTATCTTTGTAACTTTAGGTAAAAAGCTAATCTATTTTAGCCTCAGTTTGTTCATCTTTGAAATGTGGTTAGGAACCCTTATTTCCTAGGAGGTGGGGGGGGGGTGTGATTCACCCAATCACCCACAGCTTCTCGCACAGCTCCCGCCCTGTGCTAGCGCTGTTCATTCCATCTTCCTCTCTTTCTGCTCGTTCCCTTAAAAAATCTGCAAAGCGCTTATACCATACTTGTTTACCATCCAACAAAGCCATGAATAGCATTTTCTAGGAGAAAAGAATCATAAGATAGGAACACTACTAGGTAGAAAATTTGACTAGAAAAGGTCCTAGTGAATGAAACACCTGGTAATAAATACAGTCAAGTGCCGCATAACGATGTTTCGGGCAACCACGGGCCACATGTATGATGATGGTCCCATGAGATTGTGATGGAGCTGGAAAATTCCTATTAGCTAATGGCTTTGTAGCTGTAACTTCATAGTCCAACTCTTACTTACGCATGTGTGGTTTATGTTGGTGTAAACAAACCTACAGCACTGGGCACTGCTGGTCTTTTAAAGTGTCCAGTAATGTCCTAGGCCTTGACATTCCCTCACCACTCACTCACTCACTCACCCTCCACAACTTCCAGTCCCTACAGGCTCCATTCATGTTAAGTGTCCTATATAGATATGCATTTTTTTTAATCTTTTATATGATATTTTTACATTATCTTTTCTATGTTTAGAGATGTTTAGATAAACACTATTCTGTTACAGTTGCCTACAGTATTCACTACAATCTCAGGCTGTGCAACAGGTGTTTGAATAACATGCTTCATTTAAGATCATTTTGTTATAGCGTTGATGAGAAAAAAAAATGATTCCTGGCCAGGGCCACTGTGTGGAGTTTGCACATTCTCCCTCTGTATGGTAAAATTGGTTTTGTTAGACATCATTTTGCTTAAACTTGCAGGTTTCCAAGAACATAATGATGATGTTAAGTGAGGACTGTACTGGTTTGTAGCCAGGAACAATATGCTATACCATCTAGCCTAGGTGTGTAGGGGGCTGTAGCATCTAGGTTTGTGTAAGTACACTCTATGATGTTCACACAACAACGAAATCACCTAATGATGAATTTCTCAAAAGATATCCCCATATTTAAGGAATGCATGACTGTATTAATACATTCTATCATTTTTGAAACTCTGTTAAGTCTACAACAGCCAGCTGGTATTTTGCCCCTATATTTTCCAGAGTCAGGAAAGAAGCAGAATAGATTTTTTAAATTCCTAGGCCAAGGCAAAGTCTCCACCAGTAGCATGTGATGAGAACACTGTTCAGTCATCCATCACATGGTGTCACTCAGCCATGCAAAATTACCATTTTCTCAGAGAAAGTGTTGCTGGACCTGAGGAACTGTAAAGTATATTTTCTGCTTTTTAGTTTCCTAGCTCTCTGCCACTTGTGGGTACAGTGACCAGTTTAAAAACAGGAGTTTCCTAGCATGAGAAATATATGTCTAGATCATTTGTAGCAAAGTATCAGAGTCCAGATTTCATGGAGGTCTAAGGCCTGTGGATTGGGTGGAGGGGACCTGCGGATCCCAACTTTCATCCAGAAGTTGATACATACTCACCTTCTTTAGTAGCTAGTTTCAGTTTTTGATTCAGGACAAGTGAGGAAAAGCAGGTATTTCAAAATACTGCCAAGAAAGAGATGAGAGGAGGTAGAAACGGCCATGGTCCTGATATAAGATGATTTGATGGTTAATTGGCATGCATTTCTGCAAAAATCAACATGCCACCATCACTATGAGGTAGCTACCATTACCATGTTGATATATGTGTGAACAAAAGTTTTCTGGAAAGGAATTTAAAAAGACTTTACTCCAATGAGCAGTTTGCAAACCAGGGAGCTGCAGCCTTCAATGTAAACTGAAGGTACATTCCAGAGAATCTAAGGAGTGTTTGTGTTTTATAAAGTTTCTGTCCATGTTCTCACTCAGGTCCATTTATGCAAATGAAGGAGTCAAACTTGCTTAGTTCTGATTGGTTGATGTTTGCTGAGCTCTGATTGGTCAACATAAGTCAGACCTTATGATTGGTTCAGGCAGGGTAAACAGGAACAGGCAGCTATGAAAGTCCCCAAGTTAAGCAGAGGTATGGGTTTTCCAGGAATTCAAAGTACATGTGTGACGACTAGTCAGCAAATGGCCACTTGGTTCTAATTTCAACTAAGGCCCAGTTGGCTGCTCAGGATTCATCTTGAGGGATTGGCTCTTCCAGAGTTCACAGTGTCTTTGACAGTGCTTTTTTTACTGATGTAATTTTATGAAAACACAGTCATGTTATTTGCACTATTTGATTTTTTGTTTGTTTGTTCCGGCTTTGTTTGGAAAACTTCCTTGAATATTCAGCACTCTTGGCTCTTCATGTTTGGGAGTGATGTACTAAAAGCTGATTGGAAGGACTATAGGGTGGGGCCTGTAGAGTGGGGGCTTTGCTGTAGGGTGACCAGGTGGAGGACTGGGGGTTTGTCCCTGGGGCCTTTCGGTTTTACCAGAAGAGATCTTCAGATCTGCAGGGTGTGTGGGGGTTGGCAGGGGAGGAGAGTTGAAGCCAGTGTGGTTGATTTAGTACTTCCATGCTCACTTAACTCTCTGTGTTATTCCTTTGTGGGTTTTTTGTTTGTTTGTTTGTTTGTTTTTTTGACAGAGTCTAGCTCCATGGCCTACTCTGGAGTGCAGTGGTGCGATCTTGGCTCACTGCGACCTCTGCCTCCCAGATTCAACCGATTCTCGTGCCTCAGCCTCCCGAGTAGCTGGGATTTCAGGCACACACCACCATGCCCGGCTCATTTTTGTATTTTTAGTAGAGACAGGGTTTCATCATGTTGGCCAGGCTGGTCTCGAACACCTGACCTCAGGCAGTCTGTCCACCTCGCCCTCCCAAAGTGCTGGGATTACAGGCATGAGCCACCACGCCTGGCCCTTCTGTGTTATTTCCTTGCTGTCTGCTCTCACTGTGTTGTAGTCTGATTTGGTGTTGGGGCGGGGGCCTGGGGACACCTAAGGACCCAGGTGATCTCATATAGACCTCCAGGGAGGCCTCTTTTTCCACCCATACCTCATCCTCACTGCCCTGTGGGCTCACAGCATGTACTTGGTGTATTGTCGTCTGTTATGTGGAGGTAGCAGCTGTTCCTCCATCTGGTTTCTGTATTTTAAAAGGTATTGAATTTTCTTCTTATGCTGTGATTGTTATGTAACAGCTATGATGAAAAATTAAGAATAGTAAGAGTGATTTGGTGTGGCTAATGCACCACATATACCTGGAAATCCCACATATATGTGTTTGTTACCTACATTTTTGTTGTTGTGTTTTTACTTAACAGTCTGTTAATTGTTTTAGCTTACCCTTAGGATAAGTATAAATTCCCAGACATGACTTGCTGGGCCCAAAGAGTATGGGAATTGTTTGGGACCAATGATCCAGCAGCAAATTGGAACCAGTTTGCAGGAATAGTTTCTGCAAAGCTTCTGAGAGGAGAGGAGAGGAGCAGGTGTCGGGGAGAGATGGCTGTTCAGCACTTTGCAAAGTGCTCCAAGGCTCCGGGTTGAATGTGCAGCATGCTTGCTCCTGCCTTCCAAGAGCTGACCACGTGGTGGGGGAGCCAAGGCACAAAAGAGCTGTACCTTTGCACATCTGCTTCTTTATTCATTCATTCATTTGTTCGTTTGTTCATTCATCACTCACCACACGTGACTGAGCGGTTCCTATTTGCCAGACACAGTGAATATGCACTCAGTTCTGGCCCAAATCGCTGGCAGGACAAGGGGGCAAGACTGTGAAGAAAGAGCATGGGCAGTGGGACGAACAACCTGGGCCTTGTTGTACTGTTAAAACACTATACAACGTGATTTTGCAACGTGCTTTTTTCATTCATTATGGGTTTTGTGATTTCCTGGTGATGGACATTTAGATAGTTTCCAGTTTTCCCCTACAGACATAAGTACAGTGAGTATTCTTTTTTATGTCTCCTCTTGCAAAGGTGGGGAACTTATCTAGGGGGTGGAAGTGGAATCTTGGTTGTAGGATTTCAGCATCTTTAACTTTACTAGATATGGTCAAAATATTCTCCTGTGTGATTGTACCAATTTACACACCTTTCCTCAGTTTATCAAAATGCAGCATCTCTCTAACTTTGCCAACACTTGCTGTTGTCAGATATTTAAAGTATTTGTCAATCTAATGGGTGTGAAGTGCTCTCTTATTTTTTCAGTGAAGTTCTATGATTGCTGGTGACATTGGACTTCTTGTGACTATTTAAGTTTTGAATTCAGACTTTACCACTGCCTTTATGAACTTGGGAAATGTTCATAAATGTTCATAATGTTCAGGAGACCAAACCAGTCTCCTGGTTTGGTGAAACATAAATACCTACATTTAGCGTTATTATGAGAAGGAGGGACCACACGCATGGCTCCTGGCTGTTTGTGTCTCAGTCTGAAGTCATTCTAACAACACCACCCAGCGGGCTGCCCCTCCCCACTGAGGAGACCCCACCCCACCCCACGCCCAAGGCTGTAGTCTGGAGCAGCAAGAGCCAAAGAGGTCCTGTGAGAGCAGGGGGTGCCTCTTGAGAACCCCAGCAGGAGTCCCAGGAGAGCCGCCCACCCCTGGATGCGGTGCCCGAGTGTCTGTCCTACAGTAGTAGCTGGCAATGCAGCAGCGAGCACCACTGCGCCTCTGTGCCATCCTACTGGCCTGTCAGCTCCTCGTCCACCTCTGCCCTCATACCTGGCTCCCCACGGTGGAGCCAGAGTGGGCCTTTTAAAACAGAAGTCAGGGCTGGGTACGGTGGCTCACGCCTGTGATCCCAACACTTTGGGAGGCTGAGGTCGGTGGATCACTTGAGGTCAGGAGTTTGAGACCAGCCTGGACAACATGGCAAACCCTGTCTCTACTAAAAATACAAAAATTAGTCGGTTGTGATGATTCGCATCTGTAATTCCAGCTACTCAGGAGGCTGAGGCAGGAGGATCGCTTGAACCGGGAAGGTGGAGGCTGCAGTGAGCCAAGATTGCGCCACTGCACTCCAGCCTGGGGCCACAGAGCAAGACTCCATCTCAAAAAAAAAAAAAAAATATATATATATATATATATATATACTATATATATATACTATATATATATATATATACATACTATATATATATATATACTATATATATATATACACACTATATATATATACACACACTATATATATATATATATATACACTATATATATATATACACACTATATATATATATACTATATATATATATATATATATATATATATATATATATATATACTATATATATATATCCATCCCCTACGACTAACTACTCCTTCCCTTATCCTTGGCTCTGATTGGAAGAAACCTGATTATTGGCCGAGCCTCCTTATATCTTCTCAGTGCCTGGAAAACAGGCTGTGGTCTGTAGACACAATTTTTGGCATTTAGAAAGAAAATGCCTGTTGGTTTATAATCAGTATGGAGGATGCATGTCCTGACATTCCACTGTCAGAAACATGGACTAAAAGAAGAAATTCCAATTGGTAGGGTAACAGCCAAGTTTTAAACAAAATGGTTGGATTTTAAAGCATTGTTGGAAAATGGAAACTTGTTACAGAGATTCTGAGCCTTTGGAAATATAACTTAAAAATTAAACCCATAATATGTATATATTTCAAAGTTACACTGTAACTTTTTCAGAAAAATACATAAAAACTGCATAGCCAGGGAATTTCAGTTTTTGCTACCATACTTCATAACTAAAATATTTGTATACTTTACCGAATTACCTTGTCAGTGACTCTTTGAGGGCACTTTGTGAAAGTAGCAGATTACTGTCTTCCTTCTTGGGTGAACCTATAATTTGCCAGATCTTCCAACCTACTTGACAGCATTTAAAAAATAACCACAGGGAAGCAAGCTCTGTTCAGTCTGCATCCAAATGTCCCTTTCCCTGGGCACTCACGGGCTGCCTGTCCCCAGCAGAGCGAGCTGTGGGAGGCACGGAGAGCCCCAGAGCCCCCAAACATGCACAGCTACTCTCTTAAAAAGTCCCAAACACACACAGCTACTCTCCTAAAGCCCCACAGTCGGAGACAGGTGTGTGCAGTGAGGCACGCCTATGTGCCATTGTCGAGTAAGTGGATCTTTTTGATGGAGACAGCGGCAGAATTTTCCAGGCAGCCTTTGTCTGGAAGTGAAGAGCAGAGTCTTCACACATATTCAGCCTACTTAATTTCAGGAGCCAGGAGTGGCTTGGAGCCCAAACAGAAAAAGTCTGCTCTTCCGGAGTCACATTTAATCTGTTCATGCTTCAGCTCTGATGATCTGGCTTATTTTTTGGCTATTAATGCTCAATTGTGGCACAAGTTAGTCCTTTATAAACTCAGTCTCATCATAGCATATAACTTAGGTGCCACAACGAGTCTCCGCAGGGCTAAGCTGGCTGTCTGCTCACTTTTTTAAGGGATGTACACAGTGGGCGCTGGGGACCAGGGCCAGAGAGTGGCCACCTGTTAGAGCTGCATGTGTGTCTTGGGCCTGGTCTTCTTTCTCTGCTCACTAATGACAGCTGTCCCAGCCTCTTGCAGGCTCTGGCCCACCACCTTGCTTGCTGTGATTTTTTTTTTTTTTCCTCACACATGATAAGCTGAGGCAGAAAGTGAATCCTTTCCTTTTTCCTTTTCTTTCTTTCTTTTTTTTTGAGATGCAGTTTTGCTCTTGTTGCCCAGGCTGGGGTGCAATGGCATGATATTGGCCCACCGCAACCTCTGCCTTCCGGGTTCCAGCGATTCTCCTGCCTCAGCCTCCCGAGTAGCTGGGATTACAGACATGCGCCACCACTCGATTACAGACATGCGCCACCACTCCCGGCTAATTTTGTATTTTTAGTAGAGACGGGGTTTCTCCATGTCAGTCAGGCTGGTCTTGAACTCCTGACCTCAGGTGATCCACCAACCTCGGCCTCCCAAAGTACTGGGATTAATAGGCGTAAGCCACTGCGCCTGGCCTCCGTTTTTTTTTTTTTTTTTTTTATAGAGTAGGGGTCTCACTCTGTCACCCAGGCTGGAGTGCAGTGGCACAATCATAGTTCACTGCAGCCTCCAACTCCTGGCCTCATGTGTTCCTCCTGCCTTGGCCTCCCAAAGCACTGGGATTACAGGTTTTCCTTTCCTTTATGAAGACCTTTTTCCTCCTAAGGTAGTGTTCCCAGCAAGAGTGCGAATTAAAACCCCAACTAATTCTTTTCTTAATTCTGCTGCTAGAGCTCCAGCAGACAGGGCTTTGTCTTACCCATATCTTATTACTCTTCCTGTCAGAAAAACACTGGAAGTTCAGAATGAAGCTTGCAGAGGAACTTGGCAAGCCCTTTTTTGACCCTGGACCTGAACCTACCTTGGAAGGCAGAGAAAGCCCCACTTCTGCCTGGGTCAGTGTAGCCCTGGCCAGCATGAGCCCTGCCCAGTAGGAGTGCCAGAGGCCGGCTCTGGGTCCCAGCATCCCTCTGGCTTACGCTACACCCTGTCAAGGTCAAGTGATTTTCTTTCTCTGATTTCTCTGTGTGCAATCTTTTCTGTTCACCAGACAGTTTTTCGAGCCTCCTTTTGAGTTCTACCCCAGCCCCAGCCCTGACCATCTTCAGCTCATTCTTTTAAAGTGGGTTTCTCTCTAACTTAGTGTTGGGCTGCCTTTTTTGTGTTGGGAAAACATGGGCCTCTACCTAGTCATGACACCAAGCCCTCTTGACTAATGGTTCCCAGATTTTTCCTAGAATTGCATCTTCTGTGGGACCAACATGGTCCTTCCCATGAAGTGCCCCATTCCTGTGCTCTCTGCTGAAGGCTTCCTGGCTATGCTGCTTTCCCCAGGCATTTAGAACGCCGGGGCTGGTCTCTGTCCCTTGGAGTCATGCTCATGGCCTGGCACATGATGACTCCCCCTGTGGATTTTGTGTAATTACTTATTTTCCTGGTGACTTGTACAAACCAAATTTTAGTGTACCTGTTGTCCTTAAAAACAGCAATGTCTTGGTTGGTGTAGGTTTTAGAAGGAGACAGAAAAATCTTTCCTCATGAAGCTCTTTTGCAGTCTCACATTGGGCTTGGCTCTCAGACCCCTTGGATTCGGGATACTGTTGAACAGCCCCATGGTGCTATTAGAGCAAAGCGCTTCCTGCCAAAGCAGATGTGTGCCTGCCAGGTTGGAGGCAGGGGGCCAGGAAGCCCACTGCATTGCTGGTTTCCTACGCCCAGAACAGCATGCTGTGTGCACTCGCAAGTTCATGCTGACACACACGTGTGCTGGTCAGTGCCCAGTAATGCTATACAAAACACTAGGACTGAACAGGATGTATACTGTTAAAATTTGATTCTCCCTTGCATTACAGAAGCTTTTTTTTTTTTTTTTGAGACAGTGTTTCGCTCTTGTTGCCCAGGCTAGAGTGCAATGGCGCAATCTCAGCTCACTGCAACCTCCACCTCCTGGGTTCAAGCGGTTCTCTTGCCTCAGCCTCCCGAGTAGCTGGGATTACAGGTATGCACCACCATGCCCAGCTAATTTTGTATGTTTAACAGAGACGGGGTTTCACCATGTTGGTCAGGCTGGTCTCAAATCCTGACCTCAGGTGATCCACCTGCCTTAGCTTCCCAAAGTGCTGGGTTGGTGAGGCGTGAGCCACTGCACCCAGCCACCGTTACAGAAGCATTTTAAAGTGCTTTTGAATGTTATATTCTTTTGTATGTTATATTCATTTTAAAGTTCTTTGTGTGCTGCTTTTTAAAATTGGCGTATGTTTTTCTCACAGGGAGATTTGACCTAGTAATGATAGCCATAGCTAAGAGTTTAGCACACTTTAAGAACAAAAGCATTTAAACATTAATAAAAGTAATTTTGTAGTCAAATATTAACCCAACCAATTATTTACTTTAGGGCCTTAAAAGATATAAGATTATTTAAAAAGACACTCCTGGCCAGGCGCAGTGGCTCATGCCTGTACTCCCAGCACTTTGGGAGGCTGAGATGCACAGAGTGCTTGAGCCCAGGAGAGACCAGCCTAGGCAACATGGTGAAACCCTCTCTCTACCAAAAAGACAAAAATTAGGCCTGGTATGGTGGCTCTCGCATGTAATCCCAGCACTTTGGGAGGCCGAGGTGGCTGGATCACTTGAGATCAGGAGATCAAGACCAGCCTGGTCAACATGGTGAAACCCCATCTCTACTAAAAATACAAAAATTAGCCGGGTGTGGTGGCGAGGCACCTGTAATCCCAGCTCCTTGAGAGGCTGAGGCGGGAGGACTGCTTGAGCCCAGGAGGTGGAAGTTGCATTGAGCCAAGATTGTGTCACTGCACTCCAGCCTGGGCAACAGAGCAAGACTCTGTCTTTAAAAAAAAAAAAAGGAAAAAAAAGAAAGACAGACAAAAATTAGTTGTGTGTGGTGGCGCACCTGTAGTCCCAGCTACTCAGGAGGCTGAGGTAGGAGGATCGGTTGGACCTAGGAGGCAGGGTTTGCAGTGACCAGAGATTGGGCCACTGCACTCCAGCCCGAACTCTGAGCGATAGAGCAAGACCCCTCTCAAAAATAATAATAATAAATTTAAAAATACATATTTATTTAGGTTCTCAAAATTCACTGATCACACCAGCAATCAATAATGGAACAGTCTCATTTTTTGAAGAATTATTATTTCTAAGCATTTTGTTAAATCTTTGTGTTAATTATTGTCATCTTACCTATTTGAAAATTTACCTTTTCAGAAAACTTGATGATCTTAACAGCAATTGAGTTTATTTGGACAAAAACTGAGGAGACCAAACCATTCAAATTTTAAGATAAAATAGGCCAGGTGCAGTGACTCATGCCTATAATCCCAACACTTTGGGAAGCTGAGGTGGGGAGGTTTGCTTGAGGCCAGGAGTTTGAGACCAGCCTAGGCAATATAGTGGGACCCTTTCTCTAAAAATGAAAAAGAAATTAAAGAATAAAGTTAGCCAGGTGTGATTGCCTGCACCTGTAATCCTAGCTACTTGGGAGGCCGAGGCAGGAAGTTTGAGCCCAGGAGTTAGAGGCTGGAGTGAGCTTTGATTGCACCACTGTACTTCAGCCTGGGTGACAGAGCAAGACCCTGTCTCTAAAAAATAAATTATAAATTAAAACAAAAAAATAGCCAGGCACCATGGCTCACACCTGTAATCCCAGCAGTTTGGGAGGCTGAGGCAGGCAGATTGCTTGAGCTCAGGAGTTCCAGACCATCCTGGGCAACATGGCGAAACCCCATCTCTACTAAAAAATACAGAAAATTAGCTGGGTGTGGTGGTAACGCACCTGTAGTCCCAACTACTCTGGAGGCTGAAGTGGGAGAATCACCTGAGCCTGGGAAGTCAAGGCTGCAGTGAGCTGTTTTCACACCACTGCACTCCAGCCTGTGCAACAAGAGTGAGACCCTGTCTCAAAAAAAAAAAAAAAAAGTTAATTAATTAGTTAGTTAATTTTTTAAAAGATGGGCATATTTGTCCAGATTATACATAGCAGACAGCAAAGTAGAACCAGTTATCAATTATCTACTGTTGTGTAACCAACCATCTTAGACCATCCCAGAATTTTTAGTGACTTAAAAATAATGGCTTTTTGGCCGGGCGCAGTGGCTCACACGTGTAATCCCAGCACTTTAGGAGGCCAAGGTGGGCGGATCTTGAGGTCAGGAGATCGAGACCATCTTAGCTAACATGGTGAAACCCCGTCTCTACTAAAAATACAAAAAATTAGCCAGGCATGGTGGTGGGCACCTGTGGTCCCAGCTACTCAGGAGGCTGAGGCAGGAGAATGGCGTGAACCCAGGAGGCGGAGCTTGCAGTGAGCCGAGATAGTGCCACTGCACTCCAGCCTGGGCGACAGAGCGAGACTCCGCCTCAAAAAAAAATGGATTTTTAAAATTTGTTATTATTTTATTATTACTATTTTTTTGAGACGGAGTCTCACTCTGTCGCCCAGGCTGGAGTGCAGGGGCGCTGTCTCGGCTCACCGCAACCTCCATCTGCCAGGTTCAAGCAATTCTTCTGCCTTAGCCTCTGGAGTAACTGGGACTACAGGCACATGCCAGTGAAATAATGGCTTATTATTTCTTATGGCTCTGTGGGTTGGCTGTGCTCAGCTGGGCAGTTCTTCTGCTCCAGTGGTATCTGCTGGGGTTCCATGTAGCTCATTCCACTGGGAACTCAGCTGGGGCTGAATACCCAAGAGGGCTTCACTCATGGGTTAGAACTGCAACACAGTTAACTGGATCTGTCTCCAACCATGGTGCGATCTGAGGACTGAAAATGGAAGTAGCCAGCCTTCTTGAGGGTGAGGCTCAGAACTGGCACAGCAGCACTTCTGCTCATTCCATTGATAGAGAAAATCACAGGCCAGCCAATATTCAAGGGGAGGGGAAGTAGATTCCGCTTCACACTGGGGGCTGCAGCCCGTACATACAGGGATGGGAGAAATTTTTTAGTGCCCATTTTTTGGTAGCACTGTTACACATGAATAGAAATATAGGATCCAGGACCCCTGAAACCATGCCATGTGTGTGTACTAATAGGGAACTTTGAGTATATTAAGTTTCTGTGGAATGTGCTTACCTCTGTTCACCTATCTCCATTGTGACAAAAGTCTTATTTTAGCAAACATTCCTCAAAATCCTGGAATTTTACAGATAAAAGGAACTTTGGGATTAGCTTGTATATTCTTATCTTGCCATTTTATTGGACACAACTGTGATCTGGAGAATTTTTGTGATCTGTCCACAATTATGTAGCTAGATAGTACAGGCAGTTTTGTTTTAATGGAGTCTGATACATGTGTAAGCATGTTATTGTCATGCTCTCTTTAACAAATCGAAATTACTGTTCTTTCAACATAAAATTAAGTCATACTTTAATTTTTTTCATGTTCTAATCAAGCCCTTGTTCATAGGCATAACTGATTTGTGTACATAGTTACTAAGAGACATAACATTTTATACAATCAGCATTTTTTCATGTTGTTTACACTATTGAAAGTTGCCTGTTTTGTTTTTGCTTATTTTTGCTACATACCATCTAGAACAGTGGTAGATTTGTTAGAGTTTTACTTATAGAAAGTATTATTTCTGGCTGTGGTAAGTGTATTCTAAGGACTATATTAATTATAATTATAGTTTAGTAGTGGCCATGTGGCCTCTAACTCCCATCCCACACTTTCCTATTTGAGGGGCTGATATATTATACCTAAATCTGACAGACATCATTATGGAAATCAGTTTTTTAAAACTGAATTATTTTAGCCTGAGGATAAATTTCAAGAAGTAAAATCATTAAATCGGGATAAAAAAAACTTAATAACTTTTGATAATAAATATTCACCCCTGAATATTTTTGGTTTATACATGACCAAGAATAGTTTTACCAGCACATTTATCTTTATTATTATTATTATTATTATTATGACAGAGTCTTGCTCTGTCACCCAGGCTGGAGTACAGTGGTGCAATCTCGGCTCATTGCAACCTCCACCTCCTGGGTTGAAGTGATTCTCCTGCCTCAGCCTCCTGAGTAGCTGGGGCTACAGGCGCATGCTACCACTCCCGGCTAATTTTTTATATTTTTAGTAGAGACAGGGTTTCACCATGTTAGCCAGGATGGTCTCGATCTCCTAACTTTGTGATCTGCCCGCCTCGGCTTCCCAAAGTGTTGGGATTACAGGCGTGAGCCACCACGCCCGGCCTATCTTTATAATTTTTTATTTTATTTTGGTGCTAACAATAGTTGTAAAATGCTCTTTATTTTATCAGTGTTTCTTTGTTTTGTTTTGTTTTTGATGGAGACTTGCTCTGCTGCGTGATCTTGACTCACTGCAACCTCCGCCTCCCAGGTTCAAGTCATTCTTCTGCCTCAGCCTCCCTAGTAGCTGGGACTATATAGGTGTGTGCCACCACGCCTGGCTATTTTTTTTTTTTTTTTGTATGTTTAGTAGAGATGAGGTTTCACCACATTGTCCAGGCTGGTCTCGTGATCATTGGCAAGGCCAAGGATTTTTCATGTTCATTTTATTTTATAACAAATTTAAGGCCAGGCACCCTAGCTCATGTCTGTAATCCTAGCATTTTAGGAGGCTGAGGCAGGAGGATGGCTTGGCCTCCGGAGTTTGAGACCAGCCTGGGTTACAGTGAGAGCCCATCTCTACAAAAAAATTTTTTAAAAAATTAGCCAAGCATACTGGCTCCTGACTACAGGAGGCTGAGATGGGAGGATTGCTTAAGCCGGGCAGTGCCAGGCTGCAATGAGCCCTGATCGAGCCACTGTACTCCAGCATGGGTGACAGAGCAAGACCCTGTCAAAAAAAAAGAAAAAGAAAAAGTGCTCGCTTCTGCAGCAGATATGAAAATTGGAACGATACAGAGATTAGCATGGCCCTTAAAAATACACAAAACAAAAACAAAACATTATGCCAAATTTCTTCTTCATTCGTTTCAAAAAGACGTATGGTTTGTACCTGTATGTGCCGAGCAGGTGTCTTCCGGGCGTGTGTCTGGTTTACCAAGGTTCGGGGGCCTGCGGCGCCACCAGCGGTCGGAGGCGGCCACGGCTGGGGCTGGAGCTTCTGCTGCATCCGCGCAAGGTGGCGACTCATTTTCTTCAAGCACACAGACATTTAAACTCCAAAGGCCACTACTTCCATTTGTCCTCCACCTGTTTTCCAGTCATAATTGGCTCGCACACGGCACGTGCTGCGCCTGCCCAAGGTCACCGGGGCCCCTGCCTCGCGTGGACAAGGTTGTGGACCAGGTCGCCAGAACCCCCGCCCTGCGTGCACAAGGTCGCGGGGATCCCTGTCCTGCGTGGACAAGGTCGTGGAAAAGGTCACCAGGGCCCTTGCGCCGTGTGCGCAAGGTCACCGGGACTCCTACCCTGCGTGGACAACGTCGCCAGGGCCCCCGCCCCGCGTGCACAAGGTCGTGGACAATGTCGCAGGGCCCCCACCCGGCGTGCACAATGTCGCTGCGGCCCCCGCCCCGTGTGGACAAGGTCACGGGGCTCTGCCCCACCAGCCCAAGGTTGTCGGGCCCCGCCCCGCCTCGCCCCGCATTGACAAGGCCTTGGGGCCCCACCTGCCCAAGATCGCCGGGAGCGCCGCGCTCAGGGGAGGGGCACGCAATGGTGGGGCGGTTAGAGGAGGCCTGGGCCCGGAGGGCCTCATTCTTCCAGGGGCCTTTCCGTGGGGGTGGGGTTGGAACACCCTTTGGAAATTCCAGCTCCTCGGCTCCTGTGTTCTCATAAAAAAATCTAGGCCTTTGGGTCAGAGATTCTTTTGAAGACCACCCTGCTGGCAATCCTCCAAGCAAGCACAGGATCCCGCCAGAGACAGTGCAGCCTCCTCTGCCAGCCAACTGGCCCCTCTCATCCTCTTCTCTCCCTCAGTCTTTGTTTTTTCTTAATTTAATTAATTAATTAATTTTTGTTTGTTTGTTTGAGACAGGGTCTCTTGCTCTGTCTCCCAGGCTGGAGTGCAGTGGCATGATCTCAGCTCACTGCAGCCTCCACCTCCCAGGTTCAAAGTGATTCCTGCCTCAGCCTCCCATGAAGCTGGAACTACAGGCACCCACCACCATGCCCAGCTAATTTTCTCACTTTTTACAAACATGCGGGTCTTGCCCAGGCTGGTCTTGAACTCCTGGCCTCAAGCGATCCTACCTTGGCCTCCCAAAGCCCTGGGATTACAGGCGTCAGCTACAACTTAAGTGGAAGTTACCTGAGAAAGCCTGAGAGACAGGCAGACACAGACAGAGGCCCACGCAGACACGATAGGGCCAGAGTGCTCCGTTTCTACTTTTTCAGCCAAACCTCATAGTTGGAATGTTAAAACTTTAGGATATGGTTTTGCTAAGGCTTGAAAAATGCTTCCTTACCAGGAAGGGCTGAGTGGGGGAGGATCTCCATAGGAAATTCCTTCCCTCATACATAATAATTGTCACTGCATTTAAATTACTTGCATTCACATGGCAATGCACGTGAAATACTTCTGCTGCTTAGACATTGCAAGCCCAGCTCCTGCCTTGCTAAGAGCTGAGCGGTAGATTGAAGGAGTGTCTTCCAGTTCCCACCCGTCCTCGTAAGCCCTGTGCTTAGTAGAAGGGGACCAAGCCAAGAGAGCAGAGGGTGTGTCAGGAGCCCATGCTAGGCTGTCTGGCAGCTGGTCAGCAGCTGGAGAGCTGGGTGAGGCCAGCTTCCCCGAGGGACAGCAGAGAAGATCATTAAATGGTGATGTACCTGCAACAGAGGCCTGGACCATCCCATGGGGAGGTTTGGAGCTGGGGTGTGGTCCTTGCAATTGAGAGGACCAGCCTCAAGATACTGGCAGGGCCTGATACTGGCAGGTGTCCCACCCCTCAGCCACCTCGCCGTTTTGTTAAAGTGCCTCTTTTGCAGTCCTTTCTATATCAGATAGCATATGGGCAAATCTCACATTTTCCAGGCTTCGTAGTGGTTAGGTCCAGTTTTAAGCGAACATCAATTTGTTGACAAAATGTAAGAGGAGAAATCTCTTGGGAAAGATACCTAAGGTACAGATGTTCAAAACTGCTTTATTCATGTGTAATTCACACACCTAAAGTGGAGTTTTACAAGAGCTGTCAGTAGCAGCAGTAAACCAGTGAAACCTCAGTTTGTCTTGCCCTTCTCAGTCCCTCCCCAATCTCTTAGTTTTAGCCATGAGGCAGAAAACCTCTTGAGGAGCTCTGCTTTAATGGAGTGGGAAGAATTCCTTCTATCTGGTCCAGGGCCACCACCCCAAGCTGAGACTAGCCCACTGCAGTGCATGTCACCGCTCTCCAGAAGAGACGAGGCTGCCAGGCCCCTCGGGGTGTCTGTCCTTTGTGCCATAGTATTTAGCCCTACTAGCTTCTATTCTACAGCCAATCTGACAAAATAATTTTTCATTTAATATTTATGAATCTGCAAGAATAGCCCAGAGGGTAGCAGATAAGGGCTCCAGGTAAGAGCCCGTCAGACTCTTATTTTGTAACCATTGTGGCTCCCCAAACTGTGAGGCATAGAGTTTATGCCATGTCAGGTTTTGCTGAATTTGATATGGAGTGTGAATAATAGTATCAGTTCTGCCTTCAAAGTATCCAGAATCTTCTATCAGCCCAGGCACGGTGGCTCACACCTATAATCCCAGCACCTTGGGAAGCTGAGGCAGGTGGATCACCTGAGGTCAGGAGTTCGAGACCAGCCTGGCCAACATGGCAAAACGCCACCTCTACTAAAAATACAAAAATTAGCCAGGTATGGTGGTGGTTCATGCATGTAATCCCAGCTATTCGGGAAGCTGAGGCAGGAGAATTGTTTGAATCTGGGAGATGAAATTTCAGTGAGCCAATATTACGCCACTGTACTCCACCCTGGGGGACAGAACGAGCCTCTGTCTCAAAAAAAAAAAAAAAAAAATCTTCTACCACTCTAATGTAGGTAGAAAAAAAATGCTTCTGGACTGGATGTGAGATGTGAATGAAATCTCAAAGTCAAGATGCTTCCAAGGTTGGGAGCCCTGAGAGAACTGGTAAGTTAGAGGCAGGAGATTGGGTTTTGCACATGTTGAGTCATCTTACTCTTGCAGCAGGTGGCATGGAGTGGTCACTGATGAAGGAAGTGTTGAACACTGCAGGTATCTTGTGCCAAATCTGGTGCTCATATGATGGCTTCAACTCCAGCATTGAGATCTGTCTAGAAGAGAAGGCTTAATTTATGGGCGTGGTAACCAACTTCAATGGATTAGCATCCTTTTTCTATGAGACATTAGCCCAATCCTAAATTAAGCTTTCCTAAATTAAGCTTTCTTGAGGGTTTTAGGAGAAAAATTTAGTGTGTGAGGGATTTTCTTGTTGCACGTGGCTAGGTGACTGACACAAAGTCATCAAAGTCTTGTTAGCCTACCACATTACTCTGTAAATAATTAGTAATTGGTAAATAGTGCATGATACACACATTCAAAGAGCATTAAGATTTTGTGAACTTCTGTAGAAGAGGCTGTCCTGAAGAATGGCACGTGTGCAAACTAGATAATGGAGTAAAACTTGGAAGTTGCTGCTGTTGATAATGTTGATTTGAAATTCCCTTTAGCCTGTGCCTTGGTGCATCTCTGCTGTGTACCTTATCTCCATCTTCCACACACCAGGGCAGCCTGCCCAGTGGAACAGACAGTATCTTCTTACTCCCTGCTTGCAGCTCTTTCTTCCTTTCATCTATCCTATGTCACAGTCTAACTCAGTCACTCACTCAATCATTCATTGAACAGATATCTGCTGATCTCTTTCTACACGCTAGACACCAGAACACATACCTGAACTGTCCTCGCCTTCAGTTGGCTTGCAGCTGAACTCTTGCTTTGGGGCAGGGCTGCTCACCCTTTCCACATCTTGGCATGCATAGACGTGGATAATGTTTACACAGCAGCCTGAGGTAAGCTGGAAGAGACTGGAGGTGTCTATTGAGGCTTGGGGAAAAGAACTCATTACATTTCTTTGTATAATTATTGTAAGAAGAATACACAGTAAAACATTAGAGCCATTAAATATCAAACATGCATAAAATCTACAATTACAGTTTTTATGTTTTTTTTTCCCAGAAACACATAAGATACCTTTGTGAACTGTAACAGCTAACCCTTAAGTGATGCTGATGCCCAAGCATGACATCTCCTTTCATCCCTAGAGCAACCTATTAGCCTTATTTCCCAGATGAGGAAACGGGCACTCAAAGTAAGGAAATGATTTGCTGAAAGTTACACAGCTGCTAAGCAGCAGAGGGGAGGGGTGAACCTAGGTGTGTGGCCTCCCTATCTGCGCCCTGTACCACTGCGCCATCCTGCCATCTTTTGGAATAGCCACCTACGATTCTAGATAAGGACCCTTAAATGATGATCTTTATACATTCTTCTTTTAAAAAATATTTTATTCTATTTTTTTTTTTTTGAGACACATTCTTACTTTGTTGCCCAGCCTGCCCTACTTCCTGGACTCAAGCAATCCTCCTGCCTCAACCTCTTCAGTAGCTGGGATTACAGGCATGCGCCATCAACACCCAGCTATTTTTGTGTAGAGACGGGGTCTCACTGTGTTGCCCAGTCTGGCCTCAAACTCCCGGGCTCAAGCAGTCTTCCTGCCTCAGTCTCCCAAAGTGTTGGGATTATAGGCATGAGCCACCACATCCAGCTTGGTCTCCATACATGCTTAAGAAAGGAAGGTGAGTGGCCAAGCTCCTCGGCCAGGCTTCAGCTGCATCTCTCTGACACACTCCTCCCGCATCCTGGCTCCGACCTCTTGCCATTCCCCCGACTGTGCACTTGTCTTCACTCTGTGACTCTGCATGTACTTTGTGCCCAGAGGCCATGTATTTCTGATGGATTTAGAAGTGGATTCCCATTTCCTTCAGTGTTTAAAACATAGCTCTATGTATATGTACAGTAGCATCTTCTGAGATTTAATGTACAGATAGGAAGTACTTACTTGCTAAAGAAGGGTTGATGGACAGATAACAAGGGCAAGCCTCAAAGGACATGGGTTATTTGAAGGGTTTATTTATAAACAAGCCGGCTCATGAGTACGGTTCACTTTTAGGACTTGAAACTCCCTTCTGAACATGAGTCTTCACTTGTGGTCTCCTTGCTGATTTTTCTGAGTTCCTAGATTTGATGCACAATAAACATACACATCTTGAGTAGTGGGTGCTCCATAAACAGGGAGGGAATTTGAGAACATCCACATTGACCTAGTCTGTCCTGGAGCTGTCCCTTCCTTGGCAGTCAACAGGTACTGGGTTAATGAGCACAGGCTGGTGATTCACCCTGCAGGAGACAGAGCGTTGGTCACGTTTCAGATGAAGCAATTGAACGGTTAGTGCTGATGGAAAGGCTTGTGGTTAGAGTCAGCCCCAATTGGCACATTTTTTTAATGGGCGCCAAAAGCTCCAGGGTGATCCCACAAAGATGTGGTCTTATATCGTGTCTTCCTCCAAGCTGTTGAGTCTTCGTAGACGTGATCTCATCGCATAGCTCCCGAAGTAGGCGGTGGTGGGAGTCTTATCTCCTGTCCCAGGTGGGGTCAGGAAGCACTTCCCTTCTGAACCACCGCTGCCTTCTCTCTGCAACTCTTCCAGGTTGTAAACACTTGCCCTTTCTGGTAGTCCAGGCGCCACTTTAACAAACAGGTCTGTTCTTATTACCATTTTCCAATCTGTCACTTCATGTCCCATGTCCCACATGGGCAGGCAACATGGCCTGCCCATGTGGCGGCACCTCCCCAGGCCTTCCACCTCGTGCTCCTCTGCAGCCCCTTGCCTGTCCCTGCCATCTTGCCATGCCCACGCCTGCATTGCTAAGAACACAGTTTACAGCCTGTGTTTTTTGTGCTGCCATTCTGCTGGCATATGGCCAGGACTGGAAAGCTTGATTCAGTATTAGACCATCATATATGGACAATAAGTGCTTAATTTGTTCTAGGCACTGTGTTAAGGGGGCAGAAGCAACCATGAGTAACATGGATTCAGGCCCTGCCAGGTTCTTCTTGTCCTAAGGGAACCACAGACACACAGCTGAGTGCGATTCAGATCATGGGCACCACAATGCCCTATCCAGAGGTGGGGGACACTCAGTGCTGCATCTCTCTCTGCGGAGTGGCTCTGTGACCATGGCCAGGCTTCCTGCTGCAGAGCAGCCCTGCACGGCCTCCCCCACTGTCCGGGGTCTTTCTGTATCTCCACCCCCCCATTTTTTTTTTTTTTTTTTTTTTTTTTGGAGATGGAGTCACACTTTGTCGCCAGGCTGGAGTGCAGTGGCGTGATCTCGGCTCACTGCAGCCTCCACCTCCCAGGTTTCAAGCAATTCACCTGCCTCAGCCTCCTGAGTAGCTGGAACTACAGGCACACACCACCATACCCAGCTAATTTTTGTATTTTTAGCAGAGACGGGATTTCACCATGTTGGCCAGGATGGTCTCGATCTCTTGACCTCTTGATCCACCTGCCTCGGCCTCCCAAAGTGCTGGGATTACAGGCGTGAGCCACCACGCCCAGCCATCTCCACCCCTTTCTTCTCTGCTGTCTGGGTAACTGTGGACTCCTTTCCGGAGCTCCCCGTTCTACATTTTCAGTTTCCTCCTGCCTGGTTGCCCTCCTCGTTGACCTTCAGAGTGCTCAGCCTTTCTTCTTCTGCTGAAGCCCTTTTTGTGGCCTTTGCCTGTTTTTGCCCTTGTCCCACAGCCAGCCTCAACGGTGTTCTTTTCTCTCTGCTCACCCTCCCTGTTTGCCTACAGCTCTGCGGAGCTGTCCTGAAAGGTGAAGGGGGCGCCTTCATCAGAGCCTCACCGCCCCGCGCCACTGGGCTGCATCTCTTCGGTACCCTCCTGCCTATTCTGTCTCCCCCATCTGAGTGCCTCCAGCTCTGCACCCACAGCCGCCCCCAGCCTGACCTGCTGATGCCGTATGTCCCAGTTTGAAAGCTTCCTCGAATGCCTGCAGACAGGAGCAAAACCCTGGAGAGCCTGGCCCCCATCTGTGGGTCCATCCCCCCATCTCCACCTACCCTTGCGTGCTGCTGCCATGGGCCCATCTTTCCCCAGGCTTCTGCTCTGGCTGTCCCATCTGCCAGGAATGCCTTTTCTCTCCCAGGGCTCTCCACCTGCCCAAAGTCTGGAACAGCTAGCCATGCCACCACCTCATCTTTCGGGTGGAAGGAGGCTTTCTCCTGTGGCCCTCATCCATTTTACCTGCCCTCTCCCGTGGTGGCCACCAGTCCCTGTGTTCTTCCCACAAGCAGTTTGAGCTACCTGTCCTGGACCGGTGTGGCTCCATGGGCCCCTGTTTTGTCTCCTTTCTTTCTTCTACGAGTCAGATCTCTAAGGGCCAGTCCTCCGCTGCTATAGCCAGCATGGGGCATTGTAAACAGTAGGCGTGTAATATATGACTCTTCGGCAGCTGCACCCTCTCCCTGGGGACAGGTTTCCTAGTCCCAGAGTTAGCCTGGAGGTGAGCTGAGGTTAAAGCCAGGTTCCCTGACTCCCACAGTTCTTCCCCTTAAATGTTTCTAGTTTTAGGTTCATCCTGAACTCACCAGTCCAACCACAAAAGTTTTCTGAGGAGAAGCAGAATTTAAGTCTCTTTCAGGCCCATCATCAAAATTCCCATATGTCCTTGACATAAGGCTAAATAGTCTATGGTGTGGCTTGTGCTAGGCTTTTGCCATCAGGTACCTGCAGGGCACACAGCCACCTGCACTCATTCTGAGGGTCTCCTGCAGCATATCGCAGGTTCTCAGCAGTACAGAGGCGAAGTGTCCCAGCACAGTCCAGCACGGAGTGGGGATGGGAGTCTTTGGTGGCTTTGTTTTAGGATGACATGCACTTACCTCTCCTTTACTTCCCTCCCAGGAGATGGCTGGCCGAGCTCTCAAGCAGACTGGCAGCAGGAGCATCGAGGCCGCCCTGGAGTACATCAGCAAGATGGGCTACCTGGACCCGAGGAATGAGCAGATTGTGCGGGTCATTAAGCAGACCTCCCCAGGTGAGCCCAGGCCTGCAGCATAGTGGGCAAAGATGGTTTGTGGCTTAAGGACAACAAAACCACGTGCAGAGGGGTCCAACCTGGCCTGGCCTGGCCAGAGCCAGTCTCCTGGCACATTGCCTCATTCAGTTAACAGGCAAGCTGAGCCTGCCCTGCCCTGACAGAGTCAGGCCCTGGCGGGAGCAGCCCCAAGTGGTAGACCGTGGGACACGCCTGGCGCTTGCCCCATCCAGCCTTGTCTGAAATTACCTTAGTACTTCCTACCTAGGGGAAGGTGTGTGCTTGTTTTATGAAAGATCAAAAAAGTCAGCAAAGCGGGCGTAAAAATGGTCTTTTCACTTTCTCTTGGGCCTGTGGAGGGATCTTTGACAAGGGTGGCTTCTTTCCTCAATTCTAAAACACACCTCTCTCACATCGTAGCTTCTGAGAGTGGGGGTTCAATGGCAGGCAGTGTGGGCAGAGCGCTGGGCCCCCCTCAGCATCCCCTGTGATGGGCCTGAGGCACCGCACCAAACCCCTGCTTTTTACTGGCTATGGATGAATGTTACTTTCCCAAGATGGAGCACATGGGCCCTGTGATTGGTACCTGAGGCCCCTGGGGTGTGATAAAGGATTCATGGCCAGGCGCAGTGGCTCAAGCCTGTAACCCAACACTGTGTGGCCTGGTTTTGTTTTGCTTTGTTTTGTTTTGTGTAATCCCAACTCTTTGGGAGGCTGAGGCCAGAGGATGGAGGCAGGAGTTGGAGACCAGCCTGGGCAACAGAGGGAGACCTCGTCTGTATTTAAAAAAAAAAAAAAAAAAAAAAAAAATCCTAGTAATTAGCAAGAGTTTTCCCTATTTTGTGGAAGACCTTGGATAAAACCTACTTCATGTGGGTGAGAAAAATCTCACCTTTGTAAGTTATATCTCCATTGTTAAAAGGACACACATTTTTGTTTTCTTCTTAAGAGAAGGAACTTCCTTAAATAGCCCCCAGCTGGCCATCCATGTCAGAATTCTTCCAGTTTTGAGGCCTTAGAGCACAGCTCAAAGGGAAGGCCAGGCCCATGTTCCGTGCTGATTTCCCTCTGCACTTGCCTTTGGTGTGTCTCTTCACTGACGTCTTCTGGGCCCAGGGAAAACAAAGCCTTGGTGTGCCTGTGACCTTTGTTCAGTGCCAGGCTGTCAGGGCCTTCACTCTGCCAGGTATCGGGGTGGTCTTCCTGTGGGCAAGGCCCAGCCTTTCCACCCTTCGGCACCCTCTGCTAAGCCGAGCCAAGTGGAGCAGTTGGCCTGAAGAAATGAAAGGAACCTTTGTCCTTCCTTCCGGTGTCTGTTTCAGATGAGATGTACAAAATGGAGGTCAGGATTAAGGTAGCAGCAGATGAAATCAATCTGGATATTTGTAGAGGGGTTTTGTGTGGTTTTTATTATTGTGTATATATTGCTTTGTTTTAATATAGACAAAAAAAACTAGAAAGTCTTTTAATTTGGAAAAGAGGTGAAAGAGAAGTGGAGCAGCTGCTGCACAGTGGATACAGTTCTGCCCTTTCTGTGAGGGAGCAGCGCTTTGGGAACCGTGTGTCGGTAAACTCAGCCCCCCACAATTTGGGCATGATAGGGTTTTGAAAAAGCAAAGCTGGCTATGCAGACGGCTCCCTAGCCTGACAGGAGAGTGACCCCAGTGTGGTCCCCAGGGGGCAGGGACGCACCTCGGGATGTGGACGCAGTCTTCTCTTCTGCCCTTGGCCCTCCCATGTGCCCTTCAGCTTGTCTCCACTCTGCTAACACATTAGGGCAACTGGTCCTGCTGGCAGGGCAGAGGGGAGTCCACTGACCCTGTGCTGGGCAGAATGCAGCACGTCAGGGCCCAGGGTTCAAGACCCTCAGCCCCGAGGGCAGCGCTAGAGTGGGGACCAGCCTGGAAGTGCCAGAACCCACTGATCACACCCACTCTGATGCTGTCTTCCTGTTTTTTCCACTGCAGGAAAGGGGCTCATGCCAACCCCAGTGACGCGGAGGCCCAGCTTCGAAGGAACCGGCGATTCGTTTGCGTCCTACCACCAGCTGAGCGGTACCCCCTACGAGGGCCCAAGCTTCGGCGCTGACGGCCCCACGGCGCTGGAGGAGATGCCGCGGCCGTACGTGGACTACCTTTTCCCCGGAGTCGGCCCCCACGGGCCCGGCCACCAGCACCAGCACCCACCCAAGGGCTACGGTGCCAGCGTAGAGGCAGCAGGGGCACACTTCCCGCTGCAGGGCGCGCACTACGGGCGGCCGCACCTGCTGGTGCCTGGGGAACCCCTGGGCTACGGAGTGCAGCGCAGCCCCTCCTTCCAGAGCAAGACGCCGCCGGAGACCGGGGGTTACGCCAGCCTGCCCACGAAGGGCCAGGGAGGACCGCCAGGCGCCGGCCTCGCTTTCCCACCCCCTGCCGCCGGGCTCTACGTGCCGCACCCACACCACAAGCAGGCCGGTCCCGCGGCCCACCAGCTGCATGTGCTGGGCTCCCGCAGCCAGGTGTTCGCCAGCGACAGCCCCCCGCAGAGCCTGCTCACTCCCTCGCGGAACAGCCTCAACGTGGACCTGTATGAATTGGGCAGCACCTCCGTCCAGCAGTGGCCGGCTGCCACCCTGGCCCGCCGGGACTCCCTGCAGAAGCCGGGCCTGGAGGCGCCGCCGCGCGCGCACGTGGCCTTCCGGCCTGACTGCCCAGTGCCCAGCAGGACCAACTCCTTCAACAGCCACCAGCCGCGGCCCGGTCCGCCTGGCAAGGCCGAGCCCTCCCTGCCCGCCCCCAACACCGTGACGGCTGTCACGGCCGCGCACATCTTGCACCCGGTGAAGAGCGTGCGTGTGCTGAGGCCGGAGCCGCAGACGGCTGTGGGGCCCTCGCACCCCGCCTGGGTGCCCGCGCCTGCCCCGGCCCCCGCCCCCGCCCCCGCCCCGGCTGCGGAGGGCTTGGACGCCAAGGAGGAGCATGCCCTGGCGCTGGGCGGCGCAGGCGCCTTCCCGCTGGACGTGGAGTACGGAGGCCCAGACCGGAGGTGCCCGCCTCCGCCCTACCCGAAGCACCTGCTGCTGCGCAGCAAGTCGGAGCAGTACGACCTGGACAGCCTGTGCGCAGGCATGGAGCAGAGCCTCCGTGCGGGCCCCAACGAGCCCGAGGGCGGCGACAAGAGCCGCAAAAGCGCCAAGGGGGACAAAGGCGGAAAGGATAAAAAGCAGATTCAGACCTCTCCCGTTCCCGTCCGCAAAAACAGCAGAGACGAAGAGAAGAGAGAGTCACGCATCAAGAGCTACTCGCCATACGCCTTTAAGTTCTTCATGGAGCAGCACGTGGAGAATGTCATCAAAACCTACCAGCAGAAGGTTAACCGGAGGCTGCAGCTGGAGCAAGAAATGGCCAAAGTAATTTCACACTTCATTTTTACTATTTGTTCCCGGCTCATCCCTCTACTGGCAATAGGAAGCACGCACAATCCCTTTTCTGTTTCGACTGTATACCCCTTATCATCAAAACGGCTAATGGGCGACAGTCTGGTTCTGGGGCCAACAACTTGGAGAAGTTGCAAATGGTGTGACCTCCCTTTCGCCTTTCCCCTTGACTCTTCTGAAGAATCAGAGATAGCTGTGCATAATGTAGCCAGCGTAATGTAGGTAATCTACAATTTACATTGTAGGTAAATTAGCAAATTAAGTTTTAGGGTATGTCCTCGCTTAACAAAATTCATCATGGATTAATAATAGAACATTTGAATGAGTAGAAACAAAGTTTAAGGTTTTGTAAATTGAGATTGTGGGATTTTGGAAGAAAAATGTATCTAGTAGTGATTCCATTTATTCTTTTAAGTGTTTAGTTAGTAACTAATGATTTAAATATACCTTAGTTGACACTGAAGTGCTGAAGAAGGTAATTATTGATGAAACTATTTAAATTAAAATGTAACAGATTTAAATCACACAAAGCCAATAATTCCAAAGCCTGAAAACCAGATTTGTGTTCTTTTCAGTGTCCCGTATTCACTGATTTTTTTACAGATATACTTTTCATTTGTGTTTTTTTTATTTTTATTTTTTATTTTTTAATTTATTTTTAGACGGAGTCTTGCTCTGTCACCCAGGCTGGAGCGCAATGGCGCGATCTTGGCTCGCTGCAACCTCTGCCTCCTGGGTTCAAGCGATTCTCCTGCCTCAGCTTCCCGAGTAGTTGGGGTTACAGGTGCCTACCACCACGCCTGGCCATTTTTTTGTGTTTTTAGTAGAGACGGGGGTTTCGCCATGTTGGTCAGACTGGTCTCGAACTCTTGACCTCAGGTGATCTGCCCACCTCGGCCTCCCCAAGTGCTGGAATTACACGTGTGAGCCACCACACCCAGCCGTTTATTTTTTATTTATACATAGTATTTGTAGATTTGTGGGGAACATGTGATATTTTGTTACATGCATAGGATATGTAATGATCAAGTCAAGGTATTTAGAGTATCCATTGCCTGGTGTATTTATCATTTCTGTGTTGGAAGCATTTCAAGACCTCTCTTCTAGCTATTTTGAAATATTGAATACATTTTTACTAACCATAGTCATACTAGTTAGAGTTTGTTCCTTCTATCCAGCTGTATGTTTGCACCAATTAACTTCTCATCTCCCCTCAACACACACACACCCTTTCCCACCTCTGGTAACTATCATTCTACTCTCTACCTCTATGAGATCAATTATTTTAGCTCCCACATATCAGTAACAGTGTGTGGTGTTCTAACCGAACTTCTGTTCCTGGCTTATTTCACTTAACATAATGACCTCCAGTTCCATTCATGTTGCTCCAAATGACAGGATTTCATTCTTTTTTATGGCTGAATAGTATCCCATGGTGTACACAGACCACATTTTCTTTATCTGTTCATCAGTTGATGGACACTTCAGTTGATTCCATGTTTTTACTGTTGTGAATAGTGCTGCAATAAACATGGGGTGCAGGTATCCCTTTGATATACTGATTTCCTTTCCTTTAGATAAATACCCAATAATGGGTTTGGTAGATTGTATGGTAGTTCTATTTTTAGTTTCTTTTTTTTCCTTTTTGATAATAGTCGTTCTAACTGGGGAGAGATTATATCTCATTGTGGTTTTCATTTGCATTTCCCTGATGGTTAATGAGCATCTTTCCATGCACCTCTTAGCCATTTGTGTATCTTCTTTTGACAAGTGTCTATTCAGGTCATTAGCTCACTTTTTTTTCTTTTTGAGACAGAGTTTCGCTCTTGTTGCCCAGGCTGGAGTGCAATGGCACGATCTCAGCTCACCACAACCTCCGCCTCCCGGGTTCAAGTGATTCTCCTGCCTCAGCCTACCGAGCAGCTGGGATTACAGGCATGCACCACCACGCCCAGCTAGTTTTATGTTTTTGTAGAGACAGGGTTTCACCATGTTGTTCAGGCTGGTCTCAAACTTCCGACCTCAGATGATCCACCTGTCTCAGCCTCCCAGGGTGCTGGGATTACAGGTGTGAGCCACCGCGCCTGGCCTTATTTTATTTATTTATTTTTTAATTAAGACGGAGTCTTGCTCTATTGCCCAGGCTGGAGTGCAGTGGTGAAATCTCGGCTCACTGCAACCTCTGCCTTCTGGATTCAAGCTATTCTCCTGCCTCAGCCTCCTGAGAGCTGGGACTACAGGTGTGCGACACCATGCTCAGCTAATTTTTGTATGTTTAGTAGAGACGGGGTTTCACCATGTTAGTCAGGCTGGTCTCAAACTCCTGACCTCAAGTAATCCGCCTGCCTCAGCCTCCCAAAGTGCTGGGATTACAGGCGTGAGCCACCATATCTGGCCTTTTGGCTTACTTTTTAATGGGATTATTTGATATTTTTTTTGCTGTTGAGTTGAGTTCCTTGTATATTCTGAATAATAGTCTTTTGTCAGATGAATAGTTTGTGAATATTTTCTCCTGTTCAACACAGGTATCCTCTTTACTCTGTTGTTTCCTTTGCTCTGCAGAAGCTTTTTAGCTTAATATAGTCCCATTTGTCTACTTTGGGGTTTTTTTGCCTGTGCTTTTGAGATTTTAGCCATAAAAATCTTTGCTCAAACCAATGTCCTGGAGTATATTTTCATAGCCTCTGGTCTTATTTCTAGGTCTTTAATCTGTTTTAAGTTGACATTCCTATATGGTGAGAGATTGGGGTCTAGTTTCATTCTTCTGCATATGGATATCTAGTTTTCCCAGCATGTCTCTTTTTCAGTGTACATTCTTGGCACCGTTGTCAAAAATCAGGTGGCTGTAAATACGTGGACTTATTTCTGGGTTCTCTATTCTGTTCCATTGGTCTATGTGTCTGTTTTTATACCAATACCATGCAGTTTCAGTTACTCTAGGCTTGTAACATATTTTGAAGTCAGGTAACAATTTTGTTCTTTTTGCCTAGGATTGCTTTGAGTATTTGGGCTCCCTGTGAATTTTAGTATTGTTTTTTCTAGTAATGTGAAAAATATCATTGGTATTTTGATAGGGATTGCATTTAATTGGTAGATTGATTTGGGTAGTATGGTCATTTTAACAATATTAAATCTTTCTGTCGGTGAACATGGGATCTCTTTTCATTTGTTTGTGTCCTCTTTAGTTTCTTTCTTCAGTGTTTTGTAGTTTTCTTTGTAGAGCTCTTTCACTTTTTGGTTAAATTTACTCCTAGATTTTTTTTATAGCTGTTGTAAATGGCATTCATTATTGGTGTACAGAAATCCAGATATCCATATGCAGAAGAATGAAACTAGACCCTATCTCTCACCATATACAAGTCTATCTAATGTATGCTACTGATTTTTGTATGCTGATTGTTGACTTTTCTTCCTGCTTTCCCATTTTCCCTGAGTTACTGAAAGATTAGATGGCTCTTGGAGTTCTAGGAATGCTGTGGTCCCCTTTTCCACAGATTTGTGTTAATAGAAGTTTCCCTTAGTTTTTAGAGCCAAAAGTATCCTAGAGAAAGAACTTTCTTTTTTATCTTAACTTTTCATTCCATATTCATGTCTATATATGGATATAAAAAAACAAAACTGGCCGGGCACAGTGGCTCAAGCCTGTAATCCCTGCACTTTGGGAGGCCAAGGTGGGCAGATCACCTGAGGTCAGGAGTTCAAGACCAGCCTGGCCAACATGATGAAACGCTGTTTCTACTAAAAATACAAAAATTAGCCAGGTGTCATGGTGGCGGGCACATGTAGTCCCAGCTACTCGGGAGGCTGAGACAGCAGAATCGCTGGAACCCAGGAGGCGGAGGCTGCAGTGAGCTGAGATTGTGCCACTGCACTCCAGCCTAGGCGACAGAGCGAGACTCTGTAGTATATGAGACCCATTCTTCTCTGTTCTCCTTTCTGTAAAATGAGCTAGGTTCCTCTCAGTTCCAGGGCATCCCCATCCCAGTCATTTGTTATCATGGGACTTCTCTAATGTGATTCTTCCTCCTTCCTTTTCCTTCTACACAGGCTGGACTCTGTGAAGCTGAGCAGGAGCAGATGCGGAAGATCCTCTACCAGAAAGAGTCTAATTACAACAGGTTAAAGAGGGCCAAGATGGACAAGTCTATGTTTGTCAAGATCAAAACCCTGGGGATCGGTGCCTTTGGAGAAGTGTGCCTTGCTTGTAAGGTGGACACTCACGCCCTGTACGCCATGAAGACCCTAAGGAAAAAGGATGTCCTGAACCGGAATCAGGTGGCCCACGTCAAGGCCGAGAGGGACATCCTGGCCGAGGCAGACAATGAGTGGGTGGTCAAACTCTACTACTCCTTCCAAGACAAAGACAGCCTGTACTTTGTGATGGACTACATCCCTGGTGGGGACATGATGAGCCTGCTGATCCGGATGGAGGTCTTCCCTGAGCACCTGGCCCGGTTCTACATCGCAGAGCTGACTTTGGCCATTGAGAGTGTCCACAAGATGGGCTTCATCCACCGAGACATCAAGCCTGATAACATTTTGATAGATCTGGATGGTCACATTAAACTCACAGATTTCGGCCTCTGCACTGGGTTCAGGTGGACTCACAATTCCAAATATTACCAGAAAGGTATTGTCTGAAGTGTGCCACATGCACTTTCTATGTGTAGATGTCACTAACCCCATTGCAAGCAACTAAATTTCCCATCCTAGTGGCTCCTAATCATTTTGAAATTTTTATCTGTCACTCCATTATTTTATAAATTGGTGTGACATCCTTCCCTTCCAAAAGGAATAGTGTGATATGCATTTTTTTTTAAGGTAGTGGATTTCAGGTTTACTTTTTTTTTTTTTTTTTTTTGAGACAGAGTTTCGCTCTTGTTGCCCAGGCTGGAGTGCAATGGCGTGATCTCGGCTCACTGCAACCTCTGCCTCCTGGGTTCAAGTGATTCTCCTGCCTCCAGCCTCCCGAGTAGCCGGGATTACAGTCACGCACCACCACCTCTGGCTAATTTTGTATTTTTAGTAGAGACGGGGTTTCTCCGTGTTGGTCAGGCTGGTCTCAAACTCCCAACCTCAGGTGATCCGCCTGCCTCCGCCTCCCAAAGTGCTGGGATTACAGGTGTGAGCCACCGTGCCTGGCCTACTATATTTTTAAGACAGTAGGCTACAAGGTGTCACGGGGCCTTTGTGGGGAACCATCACCTGCCTCATTAAAGCAAGCCTTAAAAAATAAAAGATTTGGCTGGGCATGGTGGCTCACGCCTGTAATCCTAGCACTTTGAAAGCCCAAGGTGGGCGGATCACCTGGGGTCAGGAGTTCGAGACCAGCCTGACCAACGTGGAGAAACCCCGTCTCTACTAAAAATAACAAAATTAGCCGGGCGTGGTGATGCATGCCAGTAATCCCAGCTACTGGGAGGCTGAGGCATGAGAATCGCTTGAACCCGGGAAGCAGAGGTTGCGGTGAGCTGAGATCGCGCCATTGCGCCCCAGCCTGGGCAACAAGAGCGAAACTCTGTCTCAAATAAAATAAAATAAATAAAAGAGTCACAGCCTCCCAAGGAGCCCTCTCTTATAGCCAACCTGCATCTATGTAGTGTATCATTGAACTCCATTTCCTATAGTTCTGCCATTTGGAAAAGCCAAAAACAGCTGATTATTATCTTCTTTATGGCTGAGATTCTTGAAGTAGTTATTTTAATATCATCACTTAGTCTTTTTTCTCTAACTCAAAACTAACTCTAAATCATTTAATTCATTCTCATTTTCTGGCATTGAAGTAACCTTTGTTCATGTTGTTTAAATCCTCCTAAGTTTTCCATGCTCATCTTAAAACATGTGTCAGGCAGTTGTTACCTTTTGATTATGGCCTAAGCGCTAGGAGTGCTGTCCCCGCAGTTCTTCCAGCCTCTCCTGCCTGCAGTGCCTTCCTGCCAGCTCAGCACGGTGCATGGTGTCCTGTGATTCTTCACCGTCATTTCTACCTTGGTGCTAGCGCCAACCTCACCACGTGTGTCTCCAAACTAGGAACAGCAGGCTGCCCCTATGGAGCAGCTCAGCGGGGATTCTCTGTCCTGATATGTCAGGAGCTGATTGGAATGACTTTGCTGTTTTAAGCTGTGGATCTGTTGAGTTATTGAAGAGTGAAAATTCACTTTATATTTTGTTCTTTTCTTTCACTATCCCTGATTCCTGGGTGAAGGGAGCCATGTCAGACAGGACAGCATGGAGCCCAGCGACCTCTGGGATGATGTGTCTAACTGTCGGTGTGGGGACAGGCTGAAGACCCTAGAGCAGAGGGCGCGGAAGCAGCACCAGAGGTGCCTGGCACATTCACTGGTGGGGACTCCAAACTACATCGCACCCGAGGTGCTCCTCCGCAAAGGTACATGCGCCATGGCCAGCCACCCCGCAGGAGGTCTCCTTCCCTTCAGACGTGAGCTGAGTCTCGCTGGCTCTAGCTTTCCAAGGACCTAATGCTTCCAGTCATATTTTTGTCCTCATAGAAGCCTGAAAGCTACTAATTTCTGCAACATACAAGCCTCCCTCCTGTCCTGGAAGTGCTCTTGCTTCAGGGGGTTGGAAGACATGCACCATTAGACCAGTGTCTGCTGGCCCTCGGGCTCTACCTAGACCCAAGGGAATGACTCCAGCCCTGATTTTCACAGTCAGATGATGGAAACCACTCTGAGGGCCACAGGACCTCTGCTCAGTCTGCCCAGACCACACATTTCCGGGCTCTAGCTTTAACTTCTGTCTCAGGCTCCTGGCTGAGTTGTGCCGTGTGCAGCTGGGTGCTTATGTGACAGCGTTGGAAGATCCTTTTTCTCTCATTCTCCCTGCTAGACCATAAGCAAAAGTGGCAGGTGCCAGTTGTGTAAAATGACTAGTGCTCATAACATTTGCCTCCTGGATGGATGCTTCATTCTGTCAAATGCAACATCTGGTTCAGTATAGGAGGAATCCTTCAGTGATCCTGCATGGTCCACAGTGACAATGGGGTGTAATTAATCCAGAGACAGGCAGCCCCTGCCATCACATGTTGTTTAAAGTCCTTTGGAGCCAGCCAGACTCAGTTCAAGTCTGGGTTTTCTTTGCTAGCTGTGGTAATCCAGCACAAGTTACTTAACTACTCAGACCACAGACATAGCAATAACGACCTTGAGAGGTTGTGAATAACCTTGGTGCCCAGTGAAGGTCTACTTCCCTCTACCACGTGCAGCATTCTCAAGAAACCATTGCTTGGGGTTTTTCTGCAGCCTCTGTTGCCAAACTTGGACAGGAAGAGGTGGGACGGAGAGATAGCAGAGGGGCCTGAGGGGGCTACCCTGGCATATGCAGCTGCAGGCACCCGCAGACTGACCTCTTAACATCCCAGTTTATACTTAGCAAGGATTAGGTGACATGAAGACGATCCTGGCTTGATGGGTCATGAGGCTCTGAAGGAAAAGTGGGAGAAAATAAGAGGTAAACGAGCCTAGCCTACAGCCTCCCAGAGGCCAGCCCTGACCCAGCACAGCTGGGAGCCCCGTGAGGAAGGCCCGGCTCCGTAGGGGCCTCACACAAGGAGTGTTTGGCTTACAGTGAATTGTCCGGTGGGTTTTGCCCACCTCCTCCTCATCTCCGTATTCTTCAGCTTCATCCAAAACTGACTTAGAAGCCTCCCTTGACCCTCACCTGACTATTCACAGGTTATAGCACTTTATGTTTTTCAGTTCTGTTATTTTAATTGGTGCCTCTGTTTGTGATCTTTAAGAACATAAAATTCTGGCTAGTAACTATTTGCTAACAATAAAAATAATCTTTTTAAATTAAAAAGTATTTTCTTATTACAATGATTAAAAATACAAAAACCTAAGCGGCCATGGCCACCGCCCCCCACCACCCCACCCAGTAGTATCCAGGTACTTACATAGGTCCATCTTGCGCACAGTGCGATGCTTCAACGCGCTTTCCCACTTAACAGGAAATCTGTATGTTCAGCATCTTAATGAAATTCACCTCGGAGGAGAATTCATGCCTGTGTAGGGATTGAGTGAACTTTGTCTTGCAGGGTACACTCAACTCTGTGACTGGTGGAGTGTTGGAGTGATTCTCTTCGAGATGCTGGTGGGGCAGCCGCCCTTTTTGGCACCTACTCCCACAGAAACCCAGCTGAAGGTAATGTGAGAGGAACCACGCATCTGCTTGCTGTAGACATCTGATTTGCTCATGTACCCATGAATCTTTGGTCAGCATTTGCCCTCTTATTCTGAGTAGGGTAGGAATGGCAGTTGTATAGGATGGGATTTTTAAAAATAATCTCATTATTTTTTAAATTATCTATTTTTAAATTTTCTATTTTGATAAGCAAAGCCATGGAATTGGACCCATTTTAATATCTGAAATTCTATTAAACCCTTGGCCATCTGCCACCTTGCTATTTCCAGGCAAGAACAGTGAGGATCAGCAAAGGTGTGCTGCTGATCCACTGTCTCCCCCACCCACACCTGCCCTGCAGAGAACACACGGAACTCCAGGAACTATAGTTCACCCCTCAGCAATGAGGGGTTTGGGGTGCCAAACCCCCTGCACAGTCAAAAATCTGCATAACTTTCAACTCCCCAAAAACTTTACTAATAGCCTGTTGACTGGAAGCCTTACCAGTAACATAGCGTCAATGAACACATATTTTGTATTTTATATGTATTAGATCCTGTATTCTTACAATAAAGCAAGCTAGAGAACAGAAAATGCTGGCCAGGCGCAGTGGCTCATGCCTGTAATCCCACTACTTTGGGAGGATCATAGGCTGGGCGCAGTGGCTCATGCCTATAATCCCACCACTTTGGAAGGCCAAGGTGGGCAGATTACCTGAGGTCAGGAGTTCAAGACCAGCCTGGGCAACATGGCGAAACCCGTCTCTACTGAAAATACAAAATATTAGTCCATCATGGTGGTGTGCACCTGTAATCCCAGCTACTCAGGAGGCTGAGGCAGGAGAACCACTTGAACCCAGGAAGCAGAGGATGCAGTGAGCCGAGATCACACCACTGCAGTCCAGCCTGGGTGACAGAGTGAGACTCTGTCTAAAGAAAAAAAATCATAAAGAAGAGAAAATAGGTTTACTATTTTAATAATTGAAAGTGGATCATCATAAAGGTCTCCATCTTTGTCATCTTCATGTGGAGTGGGCTGAGGAAGGGGAGGCATTGGCCTTGCTGTCTCAGGGATGGCAAAGGTGGAAGAAAATGCTAGTGTAAGTGACCCTCAAACTGTGTTGTTCAAGGGTCAACTGTATCTAAAGAAAGCAGTTTCTTTATTTGGATATTATATCATTGTTCGCAAACTGTCAGCTATGTGGTCAGGCTAGTTGTGCATATTCCTAATATTCATTCAAAGTAGTTAAATAATTGTCAGTCATTTAATACTAAATTATTAGTTTTAAAATGACAGCCATTTGCTTTCTGAAATGAGTTACTAAGGGTTGAACTGAGAATTGAAATTAAGAATCTGCAGTCTTCTGTGGACATACCAACTGACACACAGTCCTTGGAATTTTCACATGCCCTGGTGGTCATGTGAGCCACCAGGGCATGTGGTTATTAGGCCAGGGAGCCTAAATTAATAACTTTAATTAGAAAATCTGTCTAGTAAGGTTGGGCGTGGTGGATCATGCCTGTCATCCCAGCACTTTGGGAGGCGGAGGCGGGCAGATTACGAGGTCAGGAGATCGAGACTAGCCTGGCCAACGTAGTGAAACCCCGTCTCTACTGAAAATACAAAAAATTAGCCTGGCATGGGGGCGGGCGCCTGTAGTCTCAGCTACTTGGGAGGCTGAGGCAGGAGAATCGCTTGAACCCAGGAGGCAGAGGTTGCAGTGAGCCGAGATCACGCCACTGCACTCCAACCTGGATGACAGAGCGAGACTCTGTTTCAAAAAAAGAAAAAAGAGAAATCGAAAAACCCTAAAGTAAGGCTTAGTTTCACTCTAGGAACAGTAAAATTGGAATCTGGCATTATCTGCGCCCTAATTGAATGGCTGAGCTACTCACTAAATTGCCCACATGATAATTCAGATTTTTTTATTCTGGTAAAATATACATAACATAAAATTTACCATCTAATTATTTTAATGGTAAATTAAAATTTACCATCTAATTATTTTAATGGTAAATTAAAATTTACCATCTAATTATTTTAATGGTAAATTAAAATTTACCATCTTAATTATTTTAATTACCATTTATTTAATAATTATTTTAATTATTTACCATTTTTAATTATTTTAGTGTATAATTCAGTGACATTAAGTACATTCACAATATTGTGCAACCATCACCACCCTCTATTTTCAAATGTGTTAATCGTCCCAAACCCATTAAACAGAAACTCCCCACTCTCCTTTTCAGCACCTGCTCGCCTCTCTTCTGCTTCCTGTCTCTGTGAGTTTGGTTATGCTTAGGACTTTTTTTTTTTTTTTTTTGAGACAGGGTTTTGCTCTGTATCCCAGGCTGCAGTGCAGTGGCACAATCTTGGCTCATTGCAACCTCTGCCTTCCGGGTTCTCATGCCTCAGCCTCCCAAGCAGCTGGGATTACAGGTGCCTGCCACAACACCAGCTAATTTTTGTATTTTTAGTAGAGATGTGGCTTCATCATGTTGGTCAGGCTGGTTTCAAACTCCTGACCTCAAGTTATCCACCCACCTCAGCCTCCCAAAATGTTGGGATTATAGGTGTGAGCCACTGTGCCTGGCCTCGGGACTTCTTGTAAGTGGAGTCATGCAGTATCTGTCTTTTTGTGTCTAGTTTATTTCACTTAGCGTAATGTCCTCAGGGTTCATCCATTGTTGTAGCTTCCTTTTTAAGGTGGAATAATAATTCCACTGTATGAGTCCCTGCTTCCGGTTCTTTTGGATATAAACCAGAAAGTGGGTTTATATCCCACTGGATTATATGGTCGTTCTGTGTTTAACTTTTTGAGGAACTCCCAAACTGTTTGCCATAGTGGCTGCACCATTTTACATTCCCACCAACAGTGACTGAGTGTTCAGTTTCCCTACATCCTCAATAAGTATTTTCCTGTTTTTGTTTTTTTTAAGTAGTAGCCACCCTAGGGGATGTAAGGTGGTATCTCATTGTGGTTTTGAGTTGTATTTCCCTAGTGTTTAATTATATTGAGCTTATTTTCATGTCCTTATTGGTCATTTGTATATCTTTGGAAATATCTCCTCAAGTCCATTACCCTTTTTAAATCAACTTATTTGGTTTTGTTATTGTTGTTGAGTTGTAGGAGTTCTGTATTTTCTCTGGGTACTAACCCCTTTTCAAATACATGTTTTGAAATCTGTTCTCCCATTTTGTTGCCTTTTTGCTATCAGTAATGTCCTTCGATGCACAAAAGTTTTAAATTTTTATGCAGTCCAATTTATTTTTTCTTTTATTCCCTGTGCTTTTGGTGGCATGTCTAAGAAATCATTGCCAAACTCAGGTTCATGAAGATTTCACCCTATGTTTTCTTCTAGGAGCTCTACAGTTTTAGCTCTATGAAAACAACTACTTAGGTTCAAACCAAGCCTACCACCCACACACCCACTAACTTCCATGCCTTATCCGCTGTCCCATCACCCCAGCTGGTAGCCAGTCATGTTGGCCTTGTTTCCTCCTGATTCTAAGTGTAAACAATAAAGAAGTCCCCTAGGTTTTGTCTTCACAGTAGACACATCTCTACAACAAGTGCATTTACTGAACGTCCAGATGGCTGGTTTGTGCAGTTGAGCATGTAAGGTCACATGGGGTCAGTCAGCTTTATTCTTCCCTATGAAGTTTTTCCTGTTTGTTTTTCAAAACCCCAGTTGGCCGTTTTTTGACCGCAATAAGTATTTGAATGAGCGTCATGATGGTTTGCAGAAAGCCATTGCCATAGCTAAAGAAATAACTTTAGCTGATCACCTGAGGTCAGGAGTTCAGGACTAGCCTGGCCAACGTGGTGAAACCCTGTCTCTACTAAAAATACAAAAATCAGCCGGGTGTGGTGGCAGGCGCCTGTAATCCCAGCTACTCGGGAGGCTGAGGCAGGAGAATCGCTTGAACCCAGGAGGCGGAGGTTGCAGTGAGCCAAGATCGCACCACTGCACTCCAACCTGGGCAACACAGCGAGACTCCATCTCAAAAAAATAAAAAGAAAGAAAGAACTTGTAGACCATCATTCTCTTCATTTTTGTGGAAAGCACAAAATTCTTTGGCTAAACAGTATTTCTGATAGAAGAAAATCAGTATCTTTTTGTCTGTATTTGACTGGTCATCCTGGCCTCAGGCTGTGAGCCATCGACTGAAATGACACTGACTTTTTGTGGCTGCTGAGATCAACAACTGCTGCTTGTGTCTATTCTAACTCCTCTCCTATTGTGAAACTAAACATATTTGAAAGTCACGTCATCACACGCTGTCCCAGAACTGCCCAAGATGTGAGGAGAAACTAACCTGTTGGCTCTGTTGTTTCCTCAGGTGATCAACTGGGAGAACACGCTCCACATTCCAGCCCAGGTGAAGCTGAGCCCTGAGGCCAGGGACCTCATCACCAAGCTGTGCTGCTCCGCAGACCACCGCCTGGGGCGGAATGGGGCCGATGACCTGAAGGCCCACCCCTTCTTCAGCGCCATTGACTTCTCCAGTGACATCCGGAAGCAGCCAGCCCCCTACGTTCCCACCATCAGCCACCCCATGGACACCTCGAATTTCGACCCCGTAGATGAAGAAAGCCCTTGGAACGATGCCAGCGAAGGTAGCACCAAGGCCTGGGACACACTCACCTCGCCCAATAACAAGCATCCTGAGCACGCATTTTACGAATTCACCTTCCGAAGGTTCTTTGATGACAATGGCTACCCCTTTCGATGCCCAAAGCCTTCAGGAGCAGAAGCTTCACAGGCTGAGAGCTCAGATTTAGAAAGCTCTGATCTGGTGGATCAGACTGAAGGCTGCCAGCCTGTGTACGTGTAGATGGGGGCCAGGCACCCCCACCACTCGCTGCCTCCCAGGTCAGGGTCCCGGAGCCGGTGCCCTCACAGGCCAATAGGGAAGCCGAGGGCTGTTTTGTTTTAAATTAGTCCGTCGATTACTTCACTTGAAATTCTGCTCTTCACCAAGAAAACCCAAACAGGACACTTTTGAAAACAGGACTCAGCATCGCTTTCAATAGGCTTTTCAGGACCTTCACTGCATTAAAACAATATTTTTGAAAATTTAGTACAGTTTAGAAAGAGCACTTATTTTGTTTATATCCATTTTTTCTTACTAAATTATAGGGATTAACTTTGACAAATCATGCTGCTGTTATTTTCTACATTTGTATTTTATCCATAGCACTTATTCACATTTAGGAAAAGACATAAAAACTGAAGAACATTGATGAGAAATCTCTGTGCAATAATGTAAAAAAAAAAAAAGATAACACTCTGCTCAATGTCACGGAGACCATTTTATCCACACAATGGTTTTTGTTTTTTATTTTTTCCCATGTTTCAAAATTGTGATATAATGATATAATGTTAAAAGCTGCTTTTTTTGGCTTTTTGCATATCTAGTATAATAGGAAGTGTGAGCAAGGTGATGATGTGGCTGTGATTTCCGACGTCTGGTGTGTGGAGAGTACTGCATGAGCAGAGTTCTTCTATTATAAAATTACCATATCTTGCCATTCACAGCAGGTCCTGTGAATACGTTTTTACTGAGTGTCTTTAAATGAGGTGTTCTAGACAGTGTGCTGATAATGTATTGTGCGGGTGACCTCTTCGCTATGATTGTATCTCTTACTGTTTTGTTAAAGAAATGCAGATGTGTAACTGAGAAGTGATTTGTGTGTGTGTCTTGGTTGTGATTGGATTCTTTGGGGGGGGGGAACTGAAACATTTGTCATATACTGAACTTATATACATCAAAAGGGATTAATACAGCGATGCCAAAAAGTTTAATCACGGACACATGTCCGTTTCTGTAGTCCGTATGCTCTTTCATTCTTGGTAGAGCTGGTATGTGGAATGCCATACCTCTGACCCTACTACTTACCTTTTTACTGACAGACTGCCCACACTGAAAGCTTCAGTGAATGTTCTTAGTCCTGTTTTCTTCTGTTACTGTCAGGAAACTGAGTGATCTAATGGTTCTCTCACTTTTTTTTTGTTCTTTTAGTGTACTTTGAAGTATCAAATCTTAACTTGGTTTAAACAATACATATTCCTAACCTTTGTAAAAAAGCAAAGATTCTTCAAAATGACATTGAAATAAAAAGTAAGCCATACGTATTTTCTTAGAAGTATAGATGTATGTGCGTGTATACACACACACACACACACACAGAGATAAACACAATATTCCTTATTTCAAATTAGTATGATTCCTATTTAAAGTGATTTATATTTGAGTAAAAAGTTCAATTCTTTTTTGCTTTTTAAAAAATCTGATGCTTCATAATTTTCATTATATTATTCCACATATTTTTCCTTGAAGTTCTTAGCATAATGTATCCATTACTTAGTATATATCTAGGCAACAACACTTAGAAGTTTATCAGTGTTTAAACTAAAAAAATAAAGATTCCTGTGTACTGGTTTACATTTGTGTGAGTGGCATACTCAAGTCTGCTGTGCCTGTCGTCGTGACTGTCAGTATTCTCGCTATTTTATAGTCGTGCCATGTTGTTACTCACAGCGCTCTGACATACTTTCATGTGGTAGGTTCTTTCTCAGGAACTCAGTTTAACTATTATTTATTGATATATCATTACCTTTGAAAAGCTTCTACTGGCACAATTTATTATTAAAATTTTGAATCCAAATCCCGTAGTTGGTGTCATGTCTTACTGGAGTTTGTAAGTCCTTGCCTCTCTCAGCATGTTGTAACTCCCCCATGCTTCCCCTGTGACACATGAGCCAGGGTTGCACAGCACAGACAGGGCTGTCTCAGGAATGTCTTGGGGTGTGGAAAAGTAGGCTTTCCAGGTAGACACATGAAGTCCAAATCAGGCTGTGGTTCTGTGACCAACTTGCGTAAAATGGGAACAAAATATGCCTCATTAGGATTACTGAGTGGCTTAAGTGGGATGTCAAATAAATATGGTGGGTGATCAAGTAAATCATGAATAAGAGCTAATTCCCCAGCATAATATGTTAAACTGAGAGGACAGTTAGAGCTCCTGACCTTGCATTTTAAATTGTTGATGAGGCCTGGTGCGGTGGCTCACACCTGTAATCCCAGCACTTTGGGAAGCTGAGGCTGGTGGATCACCTGAGGTTAGGAGTTCAAGACCAACCTAGCCAACATGGCGAAACCCTGTCTCTACTAAATAACTAAATATACAAAAATTAGCTGGGTGGGGTGGTGGGTACCTGTAATCCCAGCTACTCGGGTGGCCGAGGCAGGGAGAATTGCTTGAACTTGGGAGGCAGAGGTTGCAGTGAGCTGAGATTGCACCACTGCACCCCAGCCTGGGCCACAGAGCAAGACTCCGTCTTAAAAAAATAGACTGGGTGCAGTGGCTCATGCCTGTAATCCCAGCACTTTCAGAGACCAAGGCGGGTGGATCATCTGAGGTCAGGAGTTCGAGACCAGCCTGACCAACATGGTGAAACTGTCTCTACTAAAAATACAAAAAAATTACCGGTTGTGGGTGGTGTATTCCTGTAGTCCCAGCTACTTGGGAGGCTGAGGCAGGAGAATCACTTGAACCGAGGAGGTGGAGGTTACAGTGAGCTGAGATCATGCCACTGCACTCCAGCCTGGGAAGAAGAGACAAACTCTGTCTCAAAGAAGATAGATAGATGATAAAGATTGATGGTATTAGAAATCTGGAAAATATAAGAGTTTGTATACTTTAAATAGGTACAGTCACATGGTTTAGAAATCAAAACATACTGGCCGGGCACGGTGGCTCACACCTGTAATCCCAGCACTTTGGGATGCTAAAGTGGGCAGATCACCTGAAGTCAGGAGTTTGAGATCAGCCTGGCCAAAATGGTGAAACCTCATGTCTACTAAAAATACAAAAATTAGCTGCACATGGTGGTGTGCACCTGTAATCCCAGCTACTTAGGAGGCTGAGGCAGGAAAATCGCTTGAACCCGGGCGGCAGAGGTTGCAGTGAGCTGAGATTGTGCCACTGCATTCCAGCCTGGGAGACAGCAAGACTCTGTCTCAAAAAAAAAAAAAAAAAAAAAATCAAAACATATAAAAGTGATATACAAAAAAAGTCTCCTTCACTTCCAGTCATTCAATTCACCTCCCCACAGACAACAAATGATATTATTAACAATATACTGGGCATTCTTAGAGGAATGAAAGTTTATGTACAAGAAAAAATATATATGTGTACCTTTTGCCTCTTACAGAAATGAGGGAATATTATGCATATTTTTCTGCATTTGTTTTCTTCACTTGACAATATTTCTTGGCACTCTATATAGCAGCACATAAAGAAATTTTTTTATTCTTACTGCATAGTATTCCATTGTGAGGGTATTATAATCAAACTGGTCCCATATGGCTAGACATTTAGTTGTTTCTGACCTTTTCCTATTATAAACAATGTTAGAATAAATAACCTCTTATAACCATCATTTGTGTAAGTGAAAGTAATTATGTGGGACAGATTCCTAGAGGTGCAATTCTTAGGTCAAAAGTAAGGTGTATTTGCAAGGTTTATTGCCACATTTCCCTGTGCAGATGTGAGCAGTTTCTCCCCAGCTCCCTCGTGCACACTTTGCTGAATATGCCAAGAAGGCAAGGCCTGACTGCTCTTTATCTGAGCCATTTCTCAGGATTGGATTTGTAGTGAGCAGCTTTAAGGGGTAAGATGATGTCTCTCTCCAAGACAAAGAGCAAGTTTGCTTGCTGCTTGGTATCAAAAAGATTCTCCAAGCTTAGTATACCTCAGCAGAACCCATCTGGGTCTTCCACATTGCCCCGGTGGGACTAGGGAACAAGGGGAAACTGATGCAAACATGCTGCTTGCTGTGCTATGAAAAATAAAGTCCTTTGTCTCTGATCCAGGAATCTTTGTCTTAGTCCAGCATCCATTAAAGCAGGGGTCCCCAACACCCAGGCTACTGACTGGTACCAGTCCATGGCCTGTTAGGAATGGGGCTGCACAGCAAGAGGTGAGTGGTGGGTGAGTGAGCATGACTGCCTGAGTTCCACCTCCTGTTAGATCAGCAGTGCATTAGGTTGTCATAGAAGCACAAACCCTATTGTGAACTGCACATATGAGGGATCTAGGTTGATCTCTGCACTCATGAGAATCTAATGCCTGATGATCTGAGGTGGAAGACTTTCATCCTGAAACCATCCCTTCCCCGTCCATGGAAAAATTGTCTTCCACAAAACTGGTCCCTGGTGCCAAAAAGGTTGGGGACCACTCCACTAAAGAACAGGCTAACTTATTGCCTTGTAAAAGTAGGGAAGGCCAGGCACCATGTGTCATGCCTGTAATCCCAGCACTTTGTGGGGCTGAGGCAGGCGGATCGCCTGAACCCAGGTGTTCGAGACCAGTCTGGGCAATATGGGGAAACCCCATCTCTACTAAAAATACAAAAATTAGGCCAGGCGTGTTGGCTCACACCTGTAATCCCAGCATTTTGGGAGGCCAAGGCAGGTGGATCGCCTAAGGTCAGGAGTTCAAGACCAGACTGGCCAATATGGTGAAACCCAGTCTCTACTAAAATACAAAAATTAGCTGGGTGTGGTGGCACACACCTGTAGTCTCAGCTACTTGGGAGGCTGAGGCAGGAGAATTGCTTGAACCCTGGAGGCAGAGGTTGCAGTGAGCTGAAATCGTGCCATTGCACTCCAGCCTGGGCTACAGAGTGAGACTTCGTCTAAAAAAAAAAAAATTAGCATAATAAAAAAATCTTCGATATTAAGTCAATATTCGTAAGTAGTACTCTGCTGGTTTTTTTTTTTTTTTTTTTTTTTTTTTTTGAGAGGTTCTTGCTCTGTCACCCAGGCTGCAATGCAGTAGCATGAACATGGCTCAGTGCAGCCTTGACCTCTTGGACTCAAGTGATCCTCCTACCTCAGCCTCTCAAGTAGCTGGGTAGCTGGGACTACAGGTGTGCACCGCCATATATATATATATATATATATATATATATATATATATATATATATATATATATATATTTTTTTTTTTTTTTTTTTTTTTGTAGATACAGGGACTCCCTATGTTGCCCAGGCTGGTCTTGAACTCCTGGGCTCAAGTGATCCTTATGCTGATATTATTAATCCTGTTAAATCTTTTTCCATCAGTAAAAAAAGCTTTTCCTTTGTAAGAGAATTTTCCATTTCCAGCAGAAGCCTACACTGAATGGACAAAATGAGCTTATTCACCTTAGAAAAGAAAAATCTTATTGGACACTGGGATGAAGTGCATATGGGTCATTGTGAGTTTTTTCCTAAGTTCACATCAGATGAGTCATGTGCCAATGTAACAAAGTTTGAGGGAGGCACCTCCCATATGAGTGTGAAAACCCAATGGTCATGCTTAAAAGGTACAAAATGATTGGAGGCTATTGTCACAGAGTGAAAACCACTCGAATGGTTTTCTTTTTCAGTGTTGTTCTTTTTCAGTTCACATCAGACACATAATTTTTTTGTTTTGACTATCAAACATTTAAGAAAACTCAAGAGAAGGAAGGTCTGTCATATTAACTGATATTTTTGCTTACCATGTTCTTTCTTTTCTTCCTGATGTGCTAAGGCTTTTTCTTTTTATCTTTTTCTTTCTTTTTAGAGAACCTCCTTTAGCCGTTCTTTTAAGGGAGGTCTATTGGTGACATTCTCTTAGGTTTCCTTCACCTGAAAATGTCTTCATGTCCCCTCCCTTCCTGAAGGGTATTTCCACTGGCTACAGGATTCTAGATTGATAGTTTTCTTTCAGCACTTGAAAAATGCTGTGCCACTTCCTCCTGCTCTCCGTGGTTTCTCAAGAGAATCTGTAGTCATTCTAATGATTTTCCCCTATGGATAGATAAGGTGTTTTCTCTGGCTGCTTTCAAGCTTTTCTCTTTGCATACTTTTCAGAAGTTGAATTAGGAGATTCTTGGCTTAGATTTATTTGGGTTTTTACTGTTTGTGGTTCACTCAGCTTCTTGAATCTGTAGGTTTATTTTTATGGCCAAATTTGGGATTTGGGGAGTTTTCAGGCATTATTTCCAGAGCTTTTTCATTCACACCTCTCCTTTCGAACTCTACTTCTATGACTCTACTGATACAAATACTAGATCTTTTGTTATAATTCTTACGCTTCGGCTCTCCCACCTCCACATTCCCCTCCATTTTTCTCTGTAAAAATGGATACATCTGTTTACATTGGATAATTTCTATTGTTCTAGCTTCCAGTTCACTAATTCTTTCCTTGGACCCTTTTATTCTTCTCTTGAACCCATTCACTGAGCTTTTCATTTCAGTTACTGTATCTTTTAGTTTTTTAGTTTAGTTTAGTTTTTTTTTTTTGAGATGGAGTTTCCCTCTTGTTGCCCAGGCTGGAATGCAAGGCGCAATCCCAGCTCACCGCAACCTCCACCTCCTGGGTTCAAGCTTTTCTCCTGTCTCAGCCTCCCAAGTAGCTGGGACTACAGGCACATGCCACCACACTGGCTAATTTTTTTTATTTTTAGTAGAGTTGGGGTTTCATCGTGTTGGATCAGGCTGGTCTCGAACTCCTGACCTCAGGTGATCCGCCCACCTCAGCCTCCAAAGTGCTGGGATTACAGGCATGAGCCACCATGCCCAGCAATCTTTTAGTTCTAAAGTTTCCATTTTTGGAGCCGATCGTGGTGGCTCATGCCAGTAATCCCAGTACTTTGGGAGGCTGAGGCGGGCAGATTACTTGAGGTCAAGAATTCGAGATCAGCCTGGCCAACATGATGAAACTCCATCTCTACCAAAAATACAAAACATTTGCCAGGCGTGGTGGTGCGCACCTGTAATCCCAGTTACTTGGGAGGCTGAGGCACAAGAATTGCTTGACCCAGGAGGCAGAGGTTGCAGTGAGCCAAGATGGCATCACTGCACTACAGCCTACGCGATAGAGTAAGCCTTAAAAAAAAAAAAAAAAACAAGAAGAAGCCAGAATACAGGAGTTGGGGTAGGTGGGAGGAAAAGCAGTTTTAACTGGAGAGCCAGCAAACAAAGAAGATGGCAATAGCATTCTAAAGTACCGGCTTAAATTTTAAAATTTACCACGGGGTTTTCAAAGGGAAACTTGGTATGGGAAACATGCGGGAATGGTGCAGGGTGCAGGGTCCTGTGTGTCTTGTTCTGGTGGCTATCTTGGGTAATCACCTGTCCAAAGGTATGATTGGCGTTATCTTGACTTCAGCCTGGTGATGGTGGACTAATTGTCATGACTCCCCCTAAACGGGAGGATTCTGCAGTGGGGGCTTCATGCCTGGTTTGTTTGAGATTAGCCTCTGGGATTTCTTAAGCAAGAATGTAATTAGATAAACATTCATTGCCAGAGGGGAGTGTAGAGAGGGAAGGAATGAAGGGATGAGAGGGGAAGGAAGGAAGACAAAGAAAGTGAGTGATTAAAATATATTTTTAAAACTGAGGTACTTGGTTACGGGGGATCGCTTGAGCCCAGGAGTTCAAGGCTGCAATGAGCTATGATTGCACCACTGTACTCCAGACTGGGCAACAGAGTGAGACCCTTTCTCAAAAATGAGACCCTTTCTCAAAAAAAAAAAAAAAAGTAAAATTTCCATTTATTCCTTCTTCTAGTTTCTGTTTCTTTGCTGGCACTTTTTATCTTTTGTATCAGGAGTGTTTGTAATTGCTCATTAAAGTCTTTCTGTTATGGCTGACTTTAAATTTTAGATAATTCTAACATCTCTATCATCTCAGTGTTGGCTTCTATTGGGTTTTTTTTTTTAACTTAGTTTTGAGATCTTCCTAGTTCTTGGTGTGATGGATGATTCTTGATGGAAACCTGTATATTTTTGATCTTTTGTTGTAGCTGACTTTTGTTGACATTGCTTTGGCAGGGAAAGTGGACATGCTGCCTCATTATTCCCTAGGAAGGTAAAGTCCCCACTCAGCCTCTTTGGATGTTCAGGGTCAGGGGAGGCTGCTTGTTAATGCTGAGCCAGGGTAGGAGTGCCTGCTTTCCATGCTGTGTTCACCCCATGGGGTGGCCTCATTGCCAGTGGGCAATGGTCAGTGAAGTCCTGACTCTCCTAGGCCCCCTCTGCTGCTGCCCTAGCAGTGAGTGGGAGGGGCATCTCATAGCTACCGGGTAGACTAGAAGTCCAGGCTCCCCACAGGGCAGGAAAGATATCACCAGCCAATGGGGAGGAAAATCCCAGCTCCCTACCAGGAGTTCTCTGACATCACTTAGGCAGGAACATCGGGGTGCTTCATTGTAGCCTTACAAGGATGGAATCCTACTCCTCACTCAGTCATTGCTGGCACAGGTTGGGTGGAGCCACAGTTTTCTCTGTGGTGATTGCCTGGAGTACAGTAGTAATTGTCCAAGAGCTGCCTGGCTACTCTACCTCTTTCCTCGTCCTTTGGCTAGAGAAAGTCCTTCATGGGGACATTTTTGTCTGCTTGTTGCTATCTCTGATTTTCCAGTTTCTCTATTCGAAGTCTGGGATATTGAGGTAAAAAGAAATTACACGGTGGAGAGTGTTCTAGAAGGAAAACTCTCCACCATGTACTTCCTTAGCTACTGAGGTTCCTAAATGGTCTGCCTTCTCTCCACCTTTCAGTGAGAGGTTTGTCTTATATGTAATATCCAGGAGTTTTAGTTGTACTTAGCAAGAGAAATAAGGAGCAGTACACGCACTCCATTTTCCTGGAAGTGGAAGTGGGTCTCAATTTCAATTTCAATGGCAATTATTAATAATTAAAATTCAAAATTCAGGCCAGGCATGGTGGCTCACACCTGTAATTCCAGCACTGTGGGAGACCAAGGTGGGTGGATCACTTGTGGTCAGGAGTTTGAGACCAGCCTGGTCAACATGGTGAAACCCCATCTCTACTAAAAATACAAAAATTAGCCAGGTATGGTGACGCATGCCTGTGATCCCAGCTACTCAGGAGGCAGAGGTAGCAGAATCGCTTGAACCCAGGGGGCAGAGGTTGCAGTGAGCTGAGATCACCCTCCAGCCTGGGCAACGAGCCAGACTCCATCTCAAAATAAATAAATAAATAAAATAAAGGCCAGGCATGGTGGCTTACGCCTGTAATCCCAGCATTTTGGGAGGCCAAGGCAGGTGGATCACAAGGTCAGGAGTTAGAGACCTGCCTGGCCAACATGGTGAAACCCCGTCTCTACTAAAAAATACAACAATTAGCCAGGCGTGGTGGCACTCCAGCCTGTAGTCCCAGCTACTTGGGAGGCTGAGGCAGGAGAATTGCTGGAACGCGGGAGGCAAAGGTTGCAGTGAGCCGAGATCGTGCCACTGCACTCCAGCCTGGGTGACCAAGTGAGACTCTGTCTTGAAAAAATTAATTAATTAATTAATTTAATTTAATTCAAAATTCAATTCTTCAGTCACACCAGCCACATTTTACATGCTCAGTGGCTACATGTGGTAATGGCTACCATATGGGATAGCACAGGTATGGGAGGGTAATTGTCAAGTTTTGCATGAATCCTTGCACTGACAAACATCTTGCTGAATTCTGGGACTCATGTAAGTAGTCTTCATCTCTCCCTTATGTGTCATGTTACGCTTGGGCAATGGAGAGAACACTGCATTCCTTAGGGATCAGAGTCGGCAATACCTAGGATGTGTCAAGCACTGCTGGCTCAGCAGCCTCACTGCTGTAGTCCTTTCCTGCCTCACTGCTCTGACTCTATGGTACCTACTAGAACCACCTGTTTCTGATTGTCTCTTTAGGCTGGTGACTAACGCCTCCAAAAAGATTGTCTCAGTCTGTTTCACACTGCTATAACAAAATACCACAGACGGGTCAGTTATAATGAACAGAAACTTGTTTTCTTATAGTTCTGGAGGTTGAGAAGTCCAAGATCAAGGTGCCAGCATCTTGTGAGGGCTTTGTTGCTGCATCCTCCCATGGTGGAAGGCAGAAGGGCAAAGGGGCCAAAGGAGACTGAACTTGCCCTTTCATAAAAGCATTAATCTCACCCATGAGAAAGGTGCCTTCATGGCCTAATCACCTCCCAAAGGTCCCACCTCCTAAAACTGTTACCATGGCAGTTACATTTCAACGTAAGTTTTGGAGGGAATGAACATTCAAACAAGAGTCATGACTGCTTATAGATTTAACAAGAATAGCAGATAGTGGTATGCCTGCCAAAATGCCTCCTCTCTATTAAGACAGCAGCACTCAATCAAGGCACACATTCTGGCTGAACCCAGATTCAGCCTCAAAATCTAACTCAGCACATCAAGCAGTTCTTCTCAATTGATCAAGCTGAGCATTTGAGATAAAACCTACTTGCTACTCCTGGCATAATCATGCCAACTTGTTAACTTTCTCTCTTCCTCCTGTGACCCTATTATCTCCCATTTCCTGTGAAAGCCTCAACTTCTTTTCACTTTCCCCGACTCCTACACCAATACGATCAAAGGTACCCATATTTGTCCTGTCCCTTAGTTTTCACTGACGCCTTTGTCCCCTTTGTTTTTAAATTCCTGAAGCAGAACCATATAAGAGAAAAAGTCCCGGATGAGGAATCCAGGGCCTTGATTCTAAGCCCCACTTTGCACAGGTTGAGTGCCCCTTATCCAAAATGCCTGAGACCAGGCCAGGCGTGGTGGCTCATGCCTCCCAAAGTGCTGGGGAGGCCAAGGCAGGCAGATCATTTGAGATCAGGAGTTCAACACCAGCGTGGTCAATGTGGTGAAACCCCGTCTCTACTAAAAATAGAAAAAAAATGAACCAGGCATGGTGGCGTGCGCCTGTAACCCGAGCTACTCAGGAGACTGAGGCACAAGAATCGCTTGAACCCGGGAGGCTGAGGTTGCAATGAGCCAAGATGGCGCCACTGCACTCCAGCCTGGGTGACAGAGTGAGACCCTGCCTCAAAAAAAAAAAAAAAAAGAAAAAGAAAAGAAAAGGCTGGAACCAGGAGTGTTTTGGATTTGGGCTTTTTCCCCCCAATTTTAGAATATTTGCATCATACTTGTTGAGCATCCCTAATCCAAAAATCCAAAATCCACAATGCTTCAACACTCATTTCTTTTGAGCATCATGGCTGTGCTCAAAGAGTTTCAGATTTTTGGAGCATTTCAAATTTCAGATTTTCGGATTTGGGATACTCAACCCATGTAACTTTGGGTAAGTTCAAACTCATGTTGGATTTAGTAGCTACAATGGGGGCAGAGGGAATCTGAATAGGTTAATCTTCAGAGTTGGTGGTTTCTAAGAACTTGGGGGATGCTGGGGTTGAGCTGTGCTCTTATTCTATTAATACATAGATTTTCCTGGGGGGAAAAAGCATTCCGCTAACAAAACAAGTTTGAAAACCATGGTTTTGATGATTGGTATGTCTTTTTTGTTTAAATTTTTTTTTAATTTTATAAACATAATAAATATACAGTTTTTTCAAGTTAGATTACTAAAAAAAAGTAGTCTCTGTGCATCCCTTGCCATTTCCTGCTCTGCAAACACAAACACTCTCATCTCTTCAGAGTTATTTCTTCTGGCATCTTCACTATAGGCATTTATTGATATTTCTTGATTTACTTATTTTAAATATTTTATATTATCTTCATATTGTGGTCATTCTCTTTTTTTTTTTTTTTTTTTTAATGAGACGGAGTCTCGCTCTGTCACCCAGGCTGAAGTGCAGTGGTACGATCTCCGGCTCACTGCAAGCTCCGCGTCCCGGGTTCGCGCCATTCTCCTGCCTCAGCCTCCCGAGTAGCTGGGACTACAGGCACCCACCACCACGCCCGGCTAATTTTTTGTATTTTTAGTAGAGATGGGGTTTCACCGTGTTAGCCAGGATGGTCTCGATCTTCTGACCTCATGATCCGCCTGCCTCGGCCTCCCAAAGTGCTGGGATTACAGGCGTGAGCCACCGCGCCCAGCCTGTGTTCATTCTCTTATATTCCCTGCCCCAAGTTCATTTCCCTATGTAGTTCTATCACAATTTTTAGTTAAGTCAGTTGTCAGTGTAAATATTATTGACTATGCTAAAGTACTCTTTGAGCCAAATCATAGATTGTGATTATAGTTTCTCATTTGTACAAAATTTGTTTCCTCTTGGACTTTTTACCTTATTTCTTATATATTTTTTTTTTTTTTGAGATGGTGTGTCTTGCTCTGTTGCCCAGGCTGGAGTGCAATGGCACAATCTCAGCTCACCACAACCTCCGATTCCCAGGTTCAAGGGATCCTCCTGCCTCAGACTCCCAAGTAGCTTGGATTACAGGCGCCCACCACCACGCCTAGCTAATTTTTTTGTATTTTTTAGTAGAGACAGTGTTTCTCCATGTTTGTCAGGCTGGTCTCAAGCTCCTGACCTCAGATAATCCACCTGCCTCAGCCTCCCAAAGTGCTGGGATTACAGGTGTGAGCCACTGCGCACGGCCTCCCTTATTTCTTTCATTTGCTTTGTTTTCTTTTTTTTTTTTAGAAACTGATGTTTATTTTCCATCAACCATTTTTCCATGCTGCTTAAGAGCCTATGCAAGAACAGCTTAAGACCAGTCAGTGGTTGCTCCTACCCATTCAGTGGCCTGAACAGTGGGAGCTGCAGACCAGTCTTCCGTGGCAGGCTGAGCGCTCCAGTCTTCAGTAGGGAACTGCTGAATAGGCACAGAGGGCACCTGCACACCTTCAGACCAGTCTGCAACCTCAGGCTGAGTAGCAGTGAACTCAGGAGCTGGAGCAGTCCATTCACCCTGAAATTCCTCCTTGGTCACCGCCTTTTCAGCAGCAGCCTGCTCTTCTTTTTCAATCTCTTCAGGATCTCTGTAGAAGTAGAGATCAGTCATGACCTCCCATGGGTGTTCACGAGAAATGGTGCCACGCATGCGCAGAACTTCCCGAGCCAGCATCCACCACATCAAACCCACTGAGCGAGCTCCCTTGTTGTTGCATGGGATGGCAATGTCCACATAGCGCAGAGGAGAATCTGTTACACAGAGCAATGGTAGGTAGGTTAACATAAGACGCCTCCGTGAGAGGCTGGTGGGTCAGCCCTGGGGTCAGTAACCACAAGAAGCCGTGGCTCCCGGAAGGCTGCCTGGATCTGGTTAGTGAAGGTTCCAGGAGTGAAGCGGCCAGCAATTGGAGTGGCTCCAGTGGCCGCAGCAAACTTCAGCACAGCCCTCTGGCCAGTATTCCTGGAGGATATAACACTGACATCAGCAGGGTTTTCAATGGCAACAATAGCACGAGCTGCCAGCAGAAGCTTCTCCCAGGTCTTCTTCAGATTTATGATATAGATGCCATCACTTTTCCTTTTATAGATGTACTGTTCCATCTGGAAGTCAAGATTGGTGCCACCTAAGTGGGTTCCTGCTGCAAGGAACTTAAGGACATCCTCCTCCTTCATTTGCAGGACATCAAGGGCTCCGGACATTGTGAAAGTTTCCCTTTAAGTTACGACCGGAATCCAGAACAACGCCCTATGGACCCCTCTGTAGGTAGCGCGGAAAAGCGCTTTGTTTTCTTTGAACCTACAGAGGTTTTTTTCTTTCTATTTTCTGCAGTGGATCTGTCAAACACCAGGCTGTTTGTTTCCTGGACAGCAAATGCCGTCCGCCCTCTCCTGCAGTCTGGACTGGCAGCTCTCCAAACCTGACAGACAGCTGTCACCTTGGGAGTTCTCTTTGTCACTTTCCTGTATTGGAGTGCATTTTTGTCAAATGCTGTATCTTCCTTTTTCGTGATTTGCTCTTGGAAACATTTTGAGTTCTTGCTTGTATGAAAATGTTCCTCTTCTACTTGACTGAAAATATGAGAGGGCATAAAGTTCTAGGATAAAAACTAGCCCTGCATTTTGAAGTTACCAGTGCTTTACTTACCTGCTTCCAGTGCTTCTGTGCGAGTCGAATGCTGTCCTGACTCTCAAGCCTGTGTGAGCGATCCCCCCGCTCTTTTTTTTCTAGAAGCAGTTAGGATCGTTTCTGTATACCCAGTATTGTACATTTCATGATGATGTTCCTTGATACAGTTTGTTTTCATTTATTGTACTCATCACTCTCAAAGCTTTCAACCTAGAGACTTGTGGACTTCAGTTCTGGGAAATGTTCTTCTATTACTTCTTTAACCATTTCCCCACACTGTTCTCCAATCCCTGTCGGTTATATTGGATCTCCTCAATGGACCCGCTGGTATTTGTTTATATCCTATCATCCATGTCTCTTTTTATTCCACTTTTTGGAAAGTTTCATTGACTTTTTCACTCAGGTTTTTTTTTTTTTTTTTTTTTTTTTTTTTTTTTTTTAGACAGAGTCTTGCTCTGTCACCCAGGCTGGAGGGCAGTGGCATGATGTCGGCTCACTGCAAGCTCCGCCACCCGGGTTCACACCATTCTCCCGCCTCAGCCTCCCAGTAGCTGGGATTACAGGCGCCCGCCACCATGCCCGGCTAATTTTTTTTGTATTTTTAGTAGAGACGGCGTTTCACTGTGTTAGCCAGGATGGTCTCGATCTCCTAACCTCGTGATCTGCCCGCCTCTGCCTCCCAAAGTGCTGGGATTACAGGCGTGAGCCACCGCGCCTGGCCTTCACTCAGGTTTTATATTAAACTTTTAGGTGCAGGCATTATCTTCTTAGTTCCCAAGAGCTCATTCTTGGTCTCTAATCAATCTGTTTTTTTATGTCTTCAATATTTGTCTTTATTTCTCTGAAGTTATTATTTCAAGAGTTTTTTTTCCTTCTACTTCCTAAATTGTACTTCCTCTGGATTGCTTTTTGTTATCTTTGTTTTTTCTGCTTGTTTGTTTCAGACTTTCTCTTTCATGTTGCAGGCTTTCCTTAAGTGACTCTGACCATATTTATTTATTTACTTATATAATTTTTTTTTTTTTTTTAGATGGAGTCTCGCTCTGTTGCTCCAGCTGGAGTGCAGTGGCACAATCTCTGCTCATTGTAACCTCTGCCTCCTGGGTTCAAGAGATTCTCCTGCCTCAGCCTCCAAGTAGTTGGGATTACAGGCGCCCGTCACCATGCCTGGCTAATTTTTTTTTTCTTTTTTTTGAGACGGAGTTTCACTCTTGTTGCCCAGGCTGGAGTGCAATGGTGTGATCTCGGCTCACTGCAACCTCCGCCTCCCAGGTTCAAGTGATTCTTCTGCCTCAGCCTCCTGAATAGCTGGGATTACAGGCACCCATCACCACGCCCAGCTAATTTTTTGTATTTTAGTTGAGATAGGGTTTTACCATGTTGGGCAGGCTGGTCTCTAACTCGTGATGTCAAGTGATCCGCCTGCCTCAGCCTCCCAAAGTGCTGAGATTACAGGCGTGAGCCACCGCACCCGGCTTATTTTTATTTAAATAATAGTTTTATTGATATTAATTCACATATCATAAAATTCATCCATTTAAAGTAATACAATTCAACAATTTTTAGTAAATATAGAGTTGCACAATCTAGAACAATTTTAGAACATTTTTATCACCCTGAAAGAAATTCTGTTTTTCTTTTTTCTTTTTTATTTTTAGTTATTTATTATTATTATTGTTGTTATTTTTTGAGATGGAATCTCTCTCTGTCGCCCAGCCTGGAGTGGCGTGATCTCTGCTCACTGCAACCTCCATCTCCTGGGCTCACGCCATTCTCCTGCCTCAGCCTCCCGAGTAGCTGGGACTACAGGCGCCCGCCACCACGCCCGGCTACTTTTTTTGTATTTTTAGTAGAGATAGAGTTTCATTGTGTTAGCCAGGATGGTCTCGATCTCCCGACCTCATGATCCGCCCACCTTGGCCTCCCAAAGTGCTGGGATTACAGGCGTGAGCCACCACTCCTGGCCCGAAATCCTGTTTTTCTTTAACAATCACTCCTCATTGTCCTGGCACGGTGGCTCATGCCTGTAATCTCAGCACTTTGGGAGGCCGAGGCGAGTGGATCACAAGGTCAGGAGATCAAGACCATCTGGCTAATACTGTGAAACCTCGTCTCTACTAAAAATACAAAAAATTAGCCGGGCGTGGTGGCAGGCACCTGTAATCCCAGCTACACAGGAGGCTGAGGCAGGAGAATCACTTGAATCTGGCAGGCAGAGCTTGCAATGAGCCGAGATCATGCTACTGCACTCCAGCCTGGGCAACAGAGCAAGACTCCATCTCAAAAAAAAAAAAAAAAAATCACTGTTCATTTCTTATCCCCACCCCTATTGTCCACCTTAGGCAACCAACTAGTCAATTTTCTGTCTCATATAAATAGAACCATATTCTATGTGGCCTTTTATGCCTGGCTTTTTTTTTTTTTTTTTTGAGATGGAGTCTTGCTGTCTTGCCCAGGCTGGAGTCCAGTGGCTTGGTCCTGACTTACTGCAGCCTCCGCCTCCTGGGTTCAAGCGATTCTTGTGCCTCAGCCTCCTGAGTAGCTGGGATTACAGGCGCCCCCCACCACACCCAGCTAATTTTTGTATTTTTAGTAGATGTGGGGTTTCACCAAGTTGGCCAGGCTGATCTTGAACTCCTGACCTCAAATGATCTGCCCGCCTCAGCCTCCCAAAGTGCTGGGATTACGGGCCTGAGCCACCGTGCCCAGCCTCTGAGAGGCCTGGCTTATTTCACTTAGCACAATGTTTCCAAGGCTCATCCTTGTTGCAGCATGTGCTCACACTTCATTCCTTTCATGGCCAAATAATATTCCCTTGTATGGGTATGACACGTTTTATTTGTCCATTCATCAGTTGATGGACATTTGAGTTGTTTTCACTTATTGGCTATTATATTATTTTTTGGCTATATTATTTATATGTTATATATGAGTAATATTGCTTGAGAATTCATGTCCAAGGTTTTGTATGGACATATGTTTTCATTTCTCTTCGGTATATGCCTAGTAGTGAAATTGCTGGGTCAAATGGTAACTCTATATTTAAGCTTTTGAGGAACTGCCAGACTGTTTTCCAAAGCAACTACACCATTTTACATTCCTACCAGCAGTGTATGAGGGCTTCAATTTCTCCACATCCTCACCACACTCGTTCTCTTTTTTTTTTTTTTTTTTTTTTGAGATAGAGTTTTGCTCCTGTCCTCCAGGCTGGAGTGCAATGGTGGGATCTCAGCTCACTGCAGCCTCCGTCTCCTGAATTCAAGTGATTCTCCTGGCTCAGCCCCCCTCGTAGCTGGGATTACAGGCATGCGCCACGACGCCCAGCTAATTTTTGTACTTTTAGTAGAGACAGGGTTTCACCATGTTGGCCAGGCTGGTCTCAAACTCCTGACCTCAAGTGATCCACCTGCTTTGGCCTCCCAAAATGCTAGGATTACAGGCATGAGCCACAGTGCCCGGCCATAATTTTTATATTTTTAGTAGAGGCGGGGTTTCACCATGTTGGCCAGGCTGGTCTCAAACTCCTGACCTGAAGTGATTCACCCGCCTCGGCCTTCCAAAGTGCTGGGATTACAGGCATGAGCCACCGCTCCTGGCCATCACACTTGTTCTTATCTGTCTTTTTTATTATAGACGCCCTAATGGTTGTGTAATGATATTTCATTGTGGTTTTGGTTTGCATTTCCCTAAAAGACTAATGATGTTGAGCCTATTTTCATGTGCTTATTGGCCATTTTTGTATCTTCTAAAAAAATGTCTCTTCAAATCCTTTGCCCATTTAAAAAATTGGATTATTTGTTTTTTGCTATTGAGTTGTAAAAGTTTTTGTATATATTCTGGATATAAATACCTTATCAGAAATATGGTTTGCAAATATTATCTACCATTCTTGGGGTATATTGTGTTCTCGCTGGGTTTTTTTTGTTTTTTTGTTTTTTTTTTTTTGAGACAGAGTCTCACTTTTTCACCCAGGCTGGAGTGCAGTGGTATGATCTGGGCTCACTGCAACCTCCAGCCTCCCAGGTTCAAGAATCAGAATGGCTTTATATTTAACACTACAGAACAATAAAGCAAGGCCTTAAAGATGTGTAAAGTTAATTGTTTTTGACTCAAAATTCTATACCCAGACAAGTTATTAATTAAGCGTGAAGGTAAAATAAAGACATTTTCAGACATTCCAAAATTCAAAACATTTTCAGGAAGCTATTGGAAGATGTACTCCACCAAACTAAGAGATTAAACCAAGAGGCTTTTGCAGATGCCAGCACCACCCAGAGCCCCCTGTCAGCAGTCATGGTCAACCCCACTGTGTTCTTTTTTTTTTTTTTTTTTTTTTTAAGACAGGGTCTCACTATGTTGCCCAGGCTGGTCTTGAACTCCTAGGCTCAAGTGATCCTCCCACCTTGGCCTCCCAAAATACTGGGATTAGAGGCGTGAGACACTGCACCTGGCCAACCCCACTATATTCCCAGGCATTGCTGTCAAGCCCTTGGGCCTCATTTCCTTCGAGCCGTTTGCAGACAAAGTTCCAAAGACAGCAGTTCCAATGATATAAGGAGAAAACTTTCGTGCTCTGAGCACTCGAGAGAAAGGATTTGGCTATAAGAATTCCTGCTTTCACAGAATCATTCCAGGGTTTATGTGCCAGGATTTATGACTTCACACACCATCATGACACTGCTGACAAGTCCATCTACAGGGATTTTTTTTTTTTTTTTGAGACAGAGTTTCGCTCTTTCACCCAGGCTGGAGTGGCATGATCTGGGCTCACTGCGACCTCCACCTCCCGGATCACCTGAGGTGGATGGATCACCTGAGGTGGGGAGTTCAAGACCAGCCTGACTAACGTGGAGAAACCCAGTCTCTACTAAAAATACAAAATTAGCCGGGCGTGGTGGTGCATGCCTGTCATCCCAGTTACTTGGGAGGCTGAGGCAGGAGAATCACTTGAACCTGGGAGGCGGAGGTTGCGGTGAGCTGAGATCACACCATTGCACTCCAGTCTGGGCAACAAGAGTAAAACTCTGTCTCAAAAAAAGAAAAAAAAAAAAGAAAGAAAAGCTAAATAACAATCAACAAACAAACCAAGCTGGAGGAAGACATGAGGTCCAAGAAAGAAATGGTATCCAAGAGAAGAGGAAAGCATCCCGATGGTGCTGTGGGGGCAATTCAGAATAACAGCTTTGCACCTCTGGGAGGTGGCGAGCCATTCACATACGGTGTGATGCAGGCTGTAGGAGAGAACGCTTCACCAAAAGCATTTGGTGATTTCACCAAAATTATGACAGCACTATATTAGGAAGACAGAAGGATGGGAACAGCAAGCTCGAGTACTGGGGGCAGAGGGTTTAAAAGTTAAAGTTGGCCAGGCGTGGTGGCTCATACCTGTAATCCCAACAATTTGGGAGGCTGAAGCGGCAGGATGATTTGAGCCCAGGAATTCAAGACGAGCCTAGGGAACATAGTGAGACTCTTGTCTCTACACAAAAAAAAAAAAAAAAAAAAAAATTACATGGGTGTGGTTGCATGATGTGCCTGTGGTTTCAGCTACTAGGGAGGCTAAGGTGGGAGGACTGCTTGAGCTGGGGAGGTCAAGGCTGCAGTGAGCCGTGATCACATAACTACATAACTGCACTCCAGCCTAGGTGACAGAGTGATTCCCTGTCTAAAAAAAAAAAGTTAAATTCTTTCCTCGTATAGTGGGAGACACTGTAATGAGATCATGCCTAAGATGGAAAACTCAACATGTTGCATTACCAGCATGCAAGTTGAATACAGGTTCTTCGTTAGATGCATGTTTTGAGACTATTTTATTGAATTTGCTTAATGATATCTTTTAAAGAGCAGAAGGCTTTGATTTTGAGGAAACTCAATTTATTATTTTTCTCTTTTTTATTTTTTATTTTTTATTTTTTTTGAGACGGAGTCTTGCTCTGTTGCCAGGCTGGAGTGCAGTGGCGCGATCTCAGCTCACTGCAACCTCTGCCCCCCAGGTTCAAGCGATTCCCCTGCCTCAGCCTCCTAAGTAGCTGGGACTATAAGTGCACGCCACCAAACCCGGCTAATTTTTTGTATTTTAGTAGAGACGGGGTTTCACCATGTTAGCCAGGATGCTCTCGATCTCCTGACCTGTGATCTGCCCGCCTTGGCCTCCCAAAGTGCTGGGATTACAGGCGTGAGCCACCACACCTGGCCCATTTTTCTCTTTTACAGTGAATGTTTTTGTGTTCTTGTTAAGAAATCTTTTCCTACCCTAAGATGATGAAGAAATTCTCTTGTGTTTTCTTCTAGAAGATTTTTGGCTTTTGCTTTTATATTAGATCTAAGACTCATGTCTAACAAATGGTTGTGTTTTGTGATCTTTGTTAACTGACGTGTCTTACTTCTCATCAACTCCCCAGTGCCGAGCGCATGGTAGGCACCCATAGTTTCTGCTGAATTCTGTGTTCCTCTCCATGCTCTTCGAGCCAGGCCTGTGTGTTCCAGACATTTGTTTTCTTCTCACTCTTCCCATCACTCAGCGCCCAATGCTATGTTATACATAATAATAACCCTCAGTAAACAGGTGTCCAAAGATGGCCAGGTGTAGTGGATCATGCCTGTAATCCTAGCACTTTGGGAAGCAAAGACAGGTGGATCACTTGAGGTCAGGAGTTTGAGACCAGCCTGACCAACATGGCAAAACCCCGTCTCTACTGAAAAAAAAATACAAAAATTAGCCAGGTGTGGTGGTGGGCGCCTGTAATCCCAGCTACTCGGGAGGCTGAGGCAGGAGAATTGCTTGAACCTGGGAGGTGGAGGTTGCAGTGAGCCAAGATCGCGCCACTGCACTCCAGCCTGGGCGACAGAGCAAGGTCTCCATCTCAAAACAAAAACAAAACACACACACACAACCAAAAAACAAAGAGGCTGAGAGCAAATGCCACTACCGTGTTTCCCCCTCGCGCCTGTGGAGCCAGAACGAGGCTCTCTGGACCTGGAGGTGGGTTCCTGCAGATGAAAGGAGGGCCTCGCCCTGCACTGGCGGCACGCACCGGGAGCCATGGGACGCGGGCCGACGTCAGCCTTCTGGTCCTGTCTTCCTGGGATCTTGCATATTGCCCAGAGAAACTCATTGCTGCTGTTTGTTTGGCAGGCTCTGAATTTTAAAGGCAGTTTAGCCTGTAGGCTGAGGCCATTTCTTTTCTCCCTGGGAACCCTTTGATCTTAAATCTTATCTCATAGTCGCATGGAGTGTCTTTTCAAAGTAAACACCACCTTGCTTTGGGAAGGACACACAAAGTCAATAATTAGTTGGACACAAACTTTTTTTTCCTTAATCTACCCAAATACCAGGTAAAAAATCAACTACCATCATGTGATGCAGCCGTCAGCTTCCTGCTGAGAAAAAACAAACAAACAAACAAAAAGAACACATATCCTTTGGCTCCCGTCACAGCTCAGCAAGGACAGGAATTGGAGGGACACCGAGGCGGAGCCGGGGAGCAGACACAAGCTCTGCCACACCCCTGGTGTCCTTGGGACACTGGGAACAGGGGACTCAGGCAGGCTTGCAAACCACTATGTGTCCTTGTTTGGTGCCTCTTATTTTCACCTCCTGCAAGAAGACACGACAGGAGAAACCCCAGGAAGGAGCATGGGGTCTCCACGGTGTGGGGGTGCTGGGCCGGGGGGCACTTGCTCCGGGGCCCACAGCTGCCTCCTCCACTGCAGGCCCAGCTGCGTCCCTTCTTGGGACTGTTGCCCCAAGCTGAACTCCTTTTGCATTCCTTCAGGAAACAGCTCCAACTTGGGCAAATCAGTCCCGATAGATGACTTCCGTGGGGTTCCAGCGCCTAAGAGGTCAGGGAGCAACTCCTCGGCCCCGCGTTGGTGCCCCGCGATCCTGCTCCAAGTGCCTCACCTCGGTGGCATCTGAAGCCTGAAGGTGTGTGACCTTGGGAGTTTTTCTTAACCAGAGGCTCGGTGTTCCTAATATGAAATGAAGACAGCAGGCGAGGCTCGGTGACTGACACCTGTAATCTCAGTGCTTTGGGAGGCCAAGACAGGAGGATTGTTGCCATAGCCCAGGAGTTCGAGACCAGCCTGGGCGAGACCACCTCCCCAAGCCCCGCCTCACAACTGTCTATACTAAAAATTACAAAATTAGCTGGGCTGGTGACACACACCTGTGATCCCAGCTACCAGGGGGCTGAAGCAGGAGCATTGCTTGAGCCCAGAATTTCAAGGCTGCAGTAAGCTAAGATCGTGCCACAGCATTCTCGCCAGGTGACAGAGCAAGACCCTGTCTCTGAGAGAGAGAGAAAGAGAGAGAGAGAGAGAGAGAGAGAGAGAATACAACAGAAGCATTGTGAGAATTCAATGAACAATATAGGCCAAGTGCTTGAGACATCTTAGACGCTCCACCACAGGGAGTCAGCTTCCCTCCCTTCCATCCCCTGCCCTCTCCCACACACCTGTGCTCTCGTCCATCAAAATAATTCAGCAATCCTTCAGACTCCCATTCCTCTGCATACGTTTTGCATACGTTTCCTTCACCTCAAATACTGTTCCCTCCACTTTTTCACCTTGAAAACGTCTGCATGCGCTTAGACATGCAGCTCAAGGGCTGTTTTGGAGACGAAGCCTCCCCATCCATCCATCCCTCAGAAGTCCCCCCCCGCATGCTCAGTGGCAGCACCTGCAAAACACTAGTACAGCACTAATCACATTGCATTGAAATTGAGGACAAGCCAGTTGCTCCTCCTACACTGCCAGCTCTTTGGGGGCAAACATGCAGTTCTGTTTATGTATGTCCAGGATCTAGTACAGTGTGGCAGTGGGAGGCACTTGAGAAATGTTATCTGAATAAATGAATGAAAATTAATCATTGTTAATTGCTCCTCCACCCTAGAGTCAGAGAGGAGGTCCCAGCCCTTATTAAATATAGTGTTGGCTGGGCGCGATGGCTCACTCCTATAATCCCAGCACTTTGGGAGGCCAAGGTGTGTGGATCACAAGGTCAGGAGTTCGAGAACAGCCTGGCCAGCATGATGAAACCCCATCTCTACTAAAAATACAAAAATTAGCTGGGCATGTTGGTACTTGCCTGTAATCCCAGCTACTCGGGCAGCTGAGGCAGAGAATCACTTGAACCTGGGAGACGCAGATTGCAGTGAACCGAGATCACGCCACTGCACTCCAGCCCGGGTGACAGAGCAAGACCTTATCTCGAATATATATATGTGTGTGTATATATATATATTATATGTTATATATATATATATATATATATATAATCTTAATCTCTTTGCACTTCAGTTTTGTTATCTATACAATGGAGATGATAATAGTATCTATTTCATAGGTTTTATAGGTAAGGGCTAACTGACACACTACAGGTCATGCACTCAGCCAAGTGTCTGGCTCACTGTATCCTTTTAAACTGTTAGTGATGACCGGGCATGGTGGCTCACGCCTGTAATCCCAGCACTTTAGGAGGCCGAGGCGGGCGGATCATGAGGTCAGGAGTTCAAGACCAGCCTGGCCAACATGGTGAAACCCCATCTCTACTAAAAATACAAAAAAAATTAGCCAGGCTTGGTGGCAGGCACCTGTAATCCCAGCTACTTGGGAGGCTGAGGCAGGGAGAATCACTTGAACCTGGGAGGCAGAGGTTGCAGTGGGCTGAGATCACGCCACTGCACTCCAGCCCAGGTGACAGTGCGAGACTCTGTCTCAAAAAAAAAAATTTTAAAAAGTGTTAGTGACTATTACCACCAAATCATTTTACCATGGGTAAGTCACATAACTGGTCCCACCTCAGTGTGCTCCTCTGTAAAAGGACAGAGTAGGACCAAATCACTGTGACTCTAAAGCTATTCCAGCTCTCAAGGTTTTTTGTTATAAGATTCCATGATACTCTTGAAGAGACATTTGCATACCCATGTTTATAGCAGCACTATTCATAACAGCCAAGAAGCGAAAACAACCCAAATTTCCATTGACAGACAAATGGACAAACAAAATATGGTATATACATGCAATGGAATACTTAAAAAAAGAAATCCTGTCTCATGCTACACATAGACGAAACTGAAGGACATTATGCTAAGTGAAACAAGCCACTCACAAAAACACAAATACTACATGATTCCACTTATATGAGGTTCTTAAGTTAGTCAAAATCAAAAAGACAAAATGTAGAGACAGAAAGTAGACAGTCTTCATTCAAAGCAAACTAACCAATAAGACTGGTTACCAGGGGCTGGGGAAAGGGCGGGGAAGAGGAGTTGTTTAACGGGTTCGGTTTCAGTTTTGCAAGATGAAAAAGTTCTGGAGATTGGTTGCACAACAATGTAAATATACCTAACCCTACTGAACTGTGCACTTAAAAATGGTTAAGATGGGCCAGGCGCAGTGGCTCACGCCTGTAATCCCAGCACTTTGGGAGGCCGAGGTGGGTGGATCATGAGGTCAGGAGATCAAGACCATCCTGGCTGACACGGTGAAACCACATCTCTACTAAAAATATAAAAAATAGGCTGGGCACAGTGGCTCACACCTGTAATCCCAGCACTTTGGGAGGCCGAGGTGGGCGGATCAGGAGGTCAGGAGATTGAGACCATCCTGGCTAACACGGTGAAATCCCGCTCTACTAAAAAATACAAAAAATTAGCCGGGTGTGGTGGCGGGCGCCTGTAGTCCCAGCTACTCGGGAGGCTGAGGCAGGAGAATGGTGTGAACCTGGGAGGCGGAGTTTGCAGTGAGCCGAGATCGCGCCACTGCACTCCAGCCTGGGCAACAGAGCGAGACTCCATCTCAAACCAAACCAAACCAAACAAACAAACAAACCAAACAAACAAACAAACAAGGTTAAGATGGTAAATTTTATGGTTTTTTTTTTTTTTTTTTTACCACAATAGAAAAGATTCTGGCCGGGTGCGATGGCTCACGCCTGTAATCCCAGCACTTTGGGAGACTGAGGCAGGCAGACGACGAGGTCAGGAGTTGGAAACCAGCCTGACCAACATGGTGAAACTCCATCTCTACTAAAAATACAAACAACAACAAAAAAAATAGCCAGGTATGGTGGCACGCGCCTGTAATTCCAGCTACTTGGGAGGCTGAGGCAGGAGAATTGCTTGAACCCAGGAGGCGGAGGTTGCAGTGAGCCGAGATCACGCCATTGCACTCCAGACTAGGAAATAAGAGCGAAACTCTGCCCCCCACCAAAAAAATTTTATCTTTCTGCCCGTGGATACCACCAAAGAAGCATCATGAAAGCCTCTTTTCTCCCTGCCTTCATGTCTAAGTCAGAGTCTCCTAAAGAGCCTGAACAGCTGAGGAAGCTCCTCTTTGGAGGGTTGAGCTTTGAAACAACCGATGAGAGCCTGAGGAGCCATTCTGAGCAATGAGGAACGCTCCTGGACTGTGAGGTAATGAGAGATCCAAACACCAAGCACGCCAGGGGCTTTGGGTTTGTCATCTATGCCACTGTGGAGGAGGTGGACGCAGCCACGAATGCAAGGCCACACAAGGTGGATGGAAGAGTTGTGGAACCAAAGAGAGCTGTCTCAAGAGAAGATTCTCAAAGACCAGGTGCCCACTTAACTGTGAAAAAGATATTTGTTCGCCAGGCGCAGTGGCTCATGCCTGTAATCCCAGCACTTTGTGAGGCTGAGGCGGGTGGATCACGAGGTCAGGAGATCAAGACCATTCTGGCCAACACAGTGAAACCCTGTCTCTACTAAAAAAAATACAAAAAATTAGCTGGGTGTGGTGTCGGGCGCCTGTAGTCCCAGCTACTTGGGAGGCTGAGGCAGCAGAGTGGTGTGAACCCGGGAAGCAGAGCTTGCAGTGAGCCGAGATCACACCACTGCACTCCAGCCTGGAAGACAGAGTAAGATGCTGTCTCAAAAAACAAAAGAAAAAAGAAAGAAAAGAAAAAGATATTTGTTGGTGGCATTAAAGAAGACACTGAGGAACATCCCCTCAGAGATTATTGGTTATTTGGAACAGTATGGGAAAATGGAAGTGATCGAAATCACGACTGACCGAGGCAGTGGCAAGAAAAGGGGCTTTGCTTTTATAACCTTTGATGACTATGACTCCGTGGATAAGATTGTCATTCAGAAATACCATAACGTGAATGTCCACAACTGTGAAGTTAGGAAGCCTTGTCAAAGCAAAAGATGGCGAGTGCTTCATCCAGCCAAAAAGGTCGAAGTGGTTCTGGAAACTTTGGTGGTGATCATGGTGGTGTCATGGGAATGACAACTTTGGTTGTGGAGGAAACTTCAGTGGTTGTGGTGGCTTTGGTGGCAGCCATGGTGGTGGTGGATATGGTGGCAGTGGGGATGGCTATAATGGATTTGGTAATGATGGAAGCAATTTTGGAGGTGGTGGAAGCTACAATGATTTTGGCAATTACAACAATCAGTCTTCAAATTTTGGACCCATGAAGGGAGGAAACTTTGGAGGCAGAAGCTCTGGCCCCTATGGTGATGGAGGCCAATACTTTGCCAAACCATGAAACCAAGAAAAATTGTACTCTTCAGGTGGCTATGGCGGTTCCAGTAGCAGCAGTTAGCTATGGCTGTGGCAGAATATTTTAATTAGGAAACAAAGCTTAGCAGGAGAGGAGAGCAAGAGAAGTGTCAGGGAAGCTACAGGTTACAACAGATTTGTGAACTCAGCCAAGCACAGCGGTGGCAGGGTCTAGCTGCTACAAAGAAGACATGTTTTAGACAAATACTCATGTGTATGGGCAAAAATCCTGAGGACTGTATTTGTGACTAATTGTATAACAGGTTATTTTAGTTTCTGTTCTGTGGAAAGTGTAAAGCATTCCAACAAAGGGTTTTAATGTAGATTTTTTTTTTTTGGCACGCATGCTATTGATTGCTAAATGTAATAGTCTGATTGTGACCCTGAATAAATGTGTTTTTTTTAATGTGCAAATAAAAAATTTCCTTAAATGCCTACAGAATACAGAAAACAACTTTTCAGGTATTAACCTGATATAACTGGCCATTCGCTTTTATTGCAGAGAACTTCTCCACATCTGCTTCTACCATGAATTAACCAACACAAATCATATGTTCCATTGGTCGTAATGGCTGGTCACAAAAATCATAACAGTTTTACATGAGGTGAGATTTTTCAGTTTACAAATACTTTTATGCACATGATCTCGTTTTATATTTGCCACAAACCTGAAAGATAGTAAATATTGACATCTCATTTTACAGTTGAAAAACTCAGGGCTGAGAGATTTGCCTCATAAAACTCACATGCCACCTCTATGCTCTGAACCCAAATCTTCAGATTCCTGTTCATAGCAGCATCATTCACAACAGCCAAAAGGTGGAAGCAGCACAAGTGTCCATCAGTGAATGAATTATTACACAAAATGTGGTGCATCCATACAGTGGAATATTATAGAGCCTTTAAAAAGAAGGAAATCGGCCAGGTGCAGTGGCTCATGCCTGTAATCCCAGGACTTTGGGAGGCCGAGATGGGTGGATCACGAGGTCAGAAGTTCGAGACCAGCCTGGCCAACATGGTGAAACCCCATCTCTACTAAAAACACAAAAATTAGCCAGGTGTGGTGGCAGGTGCCTGTAATCCCAGATACTTGGGAGTTGGGAGGCTGAGGCAGGAGAATGGTTTGAAACCAAGACATGGAGGTTGCAGTGAGCCAATATCATGCCATTGCACACTCCAGCCTGGGCGACAGGGCAAGACTCTGTCTCAAAAAAAAAAAAAAAAGAAGAAGAAAAGGAAATTGCCCGGCATGGTGGCTCCCACCTGTAATCCCAGCACTTTGGGAGGCCAGGGTGGGTGGATCACCTGAGGTCAAGACCAGCCTGACCAACAAGGCATAACCCCATCTCTACTGAAAATACACAAAGAAGCTGGGCATGGTGGAGCTTGCCTGTAATCCCAGCTACTCGGGAGGCTGAGGCAAAGAATCACTTGAACCCGGGAGACGGAGATTGCAGTGAACCGAGATCACGCCACTGCACTCCAGCCTGGGCGACAGAGCAAGATTCTGTCAAAAAAAAAAAAAAAAAAAAGAAGGAAATCCCATTACATGCTACAACATGGATGAACCTCCAGGCCATTATGCTGAGTGAAATAGGCCAGTCACAAAAGTACCAATACTGTGTGATTCCACTCATATGCCATATGTAAAGCAGGCGAATTCATAGACACAGAAGTGTAAGTGTGATACGGCGCTGCGGGAGTGGGAACCGGGAGTTAGTGTTGAACAGGTGGCAGCTGCTGCACAGGCCGATGAAGAGTTCTAGAGGTGGACAGTGGTGATGGCCACACAGCGATGTGAATGCTCTCGATGCCACTGAACTGTGCACTTAAAAATGGGTAAGATGGTATTTAATGTTATGTCCTTTTTACCACAATTTGAAATAAAACAAAGAGCTCTCCAGGGGCTTCAGGTGTGTGGTCACATAGCCCGGTCCCGTGTCGCTGTTACCAGGAGACTTCGGTGCGGCGAGCTCGGGTGCCAGGAACCCCGTTCCGTGTCGCCCTTTCTGTTGACCGCTAACTGCGGGGGATTTCGCCCGTCCTGCCTGCCCCGTGAACGGCCAGGCCCTTCAGGAGCTGCGGACCGCCAGGTCCTACCGCAGCGGCACGGGGCGCACTAGCCTCTTAGGCGCCGGGTGCTCCAGAGCCTCGCAGAGGACTCCCGATCTCTTCACACCCTCTCCAACTGCACTTGCAGCCACATCTCCCCCTCCCTCCCCTCCCTTTGGTCTTGTGAGAACGCAGTTTTCCGGAGCCCTCCCCGTCTCTCCACCGTTTCTCCATCCCCCCGGGGTTCCTCTAGCACGTGCTGAGCCCGCATCCTCCAGGCTAGCTCTCGTGGTGGGTGCCTGAGTGAAGAGAGCATTTCCCCTTTCTCAACAAAAGTAGTACAAAAGACGTCAAATCCAGGATGTTGTGGTTCAAATTTTAAATCTGCCACTTGGTTCTATATTCGGCAAAATCCTATTATTATCTGTGTTTTTTATTTTTATTGAGACAAGAGTCTTGCTCTGTAGCCCAGGCTGGAGTGCAGTGGCGCTATCTCGGCTCACTGCAAGCTCCGCGTCCCGGGTTCATGCCATTCTCCTGCCTCAGCCTCCCGAGTAGTTGGGACTACAGGCGCCCGCTACCACTCCCGGCTAATTTTTTCTATTTTTACTAGAGACCAGGTTTCACCTGCGTTAGCCAGGATGGTCTCGATCTCCTGACCTTGTGATCCACACGCCTCAGCCTTCCAAAGTACTGGGATTACAAGCGTGAGCCACCGCGCCCGGCCTATCTGTGTTTATTTTACGAGGTTTTGAGGATCCTGTTAAAGGGCTCAGCATTCTCAGTTCGGTTCTACAAATGTTTAATGAACACCTAATATATGACTGGCACTATCCAAGAAGAGATATCTTCTCTCCCTTCCTCTGTTCCTTCATTAAATATATTTTGTGTACCTGCTGTGTGCCAGACACTGTACTGTGTATTGGGGATACCCGTGAAGAAGGTGGACATGCTTCCTTCTGCCCAGGACTCACAGGAGGGGAAAGCATTTAGAAAATTATAATACAATAGTCTCAAAGGTATGATGGAGAAGTGGAGGAAGCTGCTGCTGGAGCACCCAGGAGAGGACGCGATCCAGACTGGGGAGGTCATGGAAGGCAGCCCAGCGGAAGTGATGCCTACCTGAAACCTACTATTAGGCAGCAGAGGCCGGAGAAGGGGCACACATGGTGTGGGGGATGTCGCCATATGTCTGGAGCTTCACAGTGCCTGAAGAAGATTTGAGGCTGGAGGCACAGGCAGGGCCCAGGTAGCGAAGGGCCGTATGAGTCTTATTAAGGAAACTGGGCAAGATTAACCAAGTTGGTTATCTGTTGCTTGCAACTAAAGAACTCAACCAGACTGAAATAGAATCACAGAATCGTGTATTTCGAGTCTCGCAAGGAACTCCAGAGACAATCTGATTTGGAAACAAACCTCTGGACAGTTAAGGATTATCAGCCCTCTCTTGTAAGTGGGGTGGATCACTCAGGTTAGGAAACAGAAGTAACCCCACAGTGTCACAGTGAATATGTGCTAGAGTGAAAACACCCACACCTCCTGTCTCTCAGGGTGGAGGGGCGCATTCCCCACCACCTCTTTGTTTATCCCACGTGGTATCTAGTATAACACCTTGCTTTGAGAGAGAACCATTTTAGTAGAGATAATAATACCCAATTTAAGCATATCAGTTAAAAACAATGAGAAGGAAAAAGCTACATTAAGCTGGTAAGAGAGTAAAGGTGCCATATAGTACTTCTTCCAGTATTCAGACCAACTCTTTTAGATTTTTTTTACCAACCTCCTATGTTAAATATACTTTTTTTTTTTTTGAGACGGAGTCTCACTCTTTCGCCCAGGCTGGAGTGCGGTGGAGCAATCTCGACTCACTGCAACCTCCGCCTCCCGAGTTCAAGCAATTCTCTGCCTCAGCCTCCTGAGCAGCTGGGATTACAGGTACCTGCTGCCATGCCCGGCTAATTTTTGTATTTTTAGTGGAGAAGGGGGTTTCACCATCTTGGCTGTGCTGGTCTCGAACTCCTGACCTCGTGTTAGACCCGCCTCGGCCTCCCAAAGTGCTGGGATTACAGGCGTGAGCCACCACGCACTGCCAGTTCTATTCTTTCTTAACTTCCCTTTTCCTTGAAATAATCCTCCCCTTACCCAACTGACTCTTTTCTCCTCTTTTTTTTTTTTTTTTTTTTTTTTTGTTGTTGTTGTTGAGATGGAGTCTTCCTCTGTCGCCCAGGCTGGAGTGCAGTGGCATGATCTCGGCTCACTGCTACCCCTGCCTTTGAGGTTCAAGCAGCTCTCCTGCCTCAGCCTCCCAAGTAGCTGGGATTACACGTGCCCGCCATTATGCCCGGCTAATTTTTGTATTTTTAGTAGAGACGGAGTTTTGCCAGGTTGGCCAGGCTGGTCTCAAACTCCTGACCTCAGTTGATCCGCCTGCGTCGGCCTCCCACAACTGACTCTTTTCTTATGTTGAACAAAATAAAGTTTCCCTGAGTGCCCTGAGCAGCTAGGGCGCCATCAAGGAATGAAGCGTCCTGAATGGATCCTTCTAGAAAAGGCTGGGGGTGGGAGCCACCTGGTGGCCAAAGCTGTGCAGACCACAGCTGTGTAATGAGGCAAGTTGGTTTAAAAAAGGAACAGGCTGCAGAGCCGAAGTATTTGTCAAAGTAATAAAAACGTTTAAATGAGTCATTTGGTTTATAGCAACTCCTAGGAAACGCTTTTCCAAACAATTTAGTCTGTTGAGCGCACACAGTACTGGTTTCCGCTAGAGTCTTGTTCATGTAATTGAGAAATTCGCAACTTAGACTTGAGCAGCAGTTCTCAAAGTGTGGTCTGTGGACTTCAGGGACACACGAAGTCCCCCTTTTCAATTGTATACCTGGGGGGTGCTGGACTTCCCCATCTACTTCAAACAAAACATATGGTAACAGGTCAAATGTGGAAGCAGAAATAAAAACTCCACCATCTGCGACCGGATGCGATGGCTCACGCCTGTAATCTCAGCATTTTGGGAGGCCGAGGTGGGCAGATCACTCGAGGTCAGGAGTTCAAGAGCAGCCTGGCCAACATGGTGAAACCCCGTCTCGACGAAAAATACAAAAAATTAGCTGGGCATGGTGGCGCACGCCTATAAATCCCAGCTACTCGGAAGCCTGAGGCGCGAGAATCGCATGAACCCGGGAGGCAGAGGTCGCAGTGAGCTGAGATTGCACCACTGCACTCCAGTCTGGGCAACAGAGCGAGACAATGTCTCAAAAAAAAAAAAAAAGAGAATTCCACTATCTGATATTAAACCCGCTATTCAAGAGGTTTGCAAAATGTAAACCAATGCCACTGATGCCACTAACTGTTATTTTGGGAAATATAGTTATTTTGCATAAAACACATTATTTGTGTTAACATGTAATTGGTTTATAATGGCCACTTTTCCATCTATAAATATTCTTTATTTTTTTCCATTTTAATTTTTAATATGATAAATATTGATAGATAGATAGATATGGATATAGATATACCTCCTTTCTGTCCCCTCACTTCATATATATGAATTTGTCTGAAGTTCTCAATAATTTTTAAGAGTATAAAGGGATCCTAAGCTCAAAAAGTTCTAGAACCACTGGACTAGAGCAATGTGTCAGCTGAGCATTAAAAACAGTACAGAATTTGACATTCCCCTGGAGGGGTTACTGTGTGATGATTTGAATCAGGTACACTTGCAGATGTGTTTCCATCAACCTCTGTATTGAAGGCCCAGTTATCTCTACTTACCTTGTTGCTCGTGTAAACACCTCTTAAGTACCACTCCAAATCTTTGGACACCGTTGGACGCTTACTCCACCCTGCTGCCACTGCAGAAACCAGCTGTCTGTGGACACTGCCAGCTCCATGTGGCATCCCAAATGGCACCCACCTCACAGGACCCCTGGCCCCTATGCTTGAGAAACCCACAATAAGTCAGAGAAAAAAGTAAGTGCAGAGAAATTGAAGCTTGTGGGGCGAATCTTCAACCAATGAGCTTAGGAGCAAACAGATAACGTTTTTTTCCTCTCCTACCTGACACAGTGTGCTGAGATCCAGGCCCCTCCAGAAACAGTCCCAGAAGCCCAAACAATCAGTTGTCAGATGCCCAATGGTGACCAGCTCCTCAGCCCAAAACTCTAGCACTCCGTAAGTTAAGGCTATGCATAGTTTACCATTTCACCATATTCTCAGCATCTACAAACTATAAACAGCCTTCAAAGAACAGTAGTAGCATTTTCATAACATTTATTTTGTGTCTAATCCGACTCTATGTCATAAGAATTAAAGAAGTAGCTTCTAAAATCTCAGTCTCCTGAAAATGAAGCTTTAGAATTGTTTCCTAAAATAACATTATTTTATATTACCCATTACCATTATTAAAAATGGTAATACTCGACCAGGCATGGTGGCTCACACCTGTAATCCCAGTACTTTGGGAGGCCGAGGCCAGTGGATCCTGAGGTAAGGAGTTCAAGGCCGGCTTGGCCAAGATGGTGAAGCCCTGTCTCTACTAAAAATACAAAAAATTAGCCGGGCGTGGTGGCAGGTGCCTGTAATCCCAGCTACTCAGGAGGCTGAGGCAGAGAATTGCTTGAACCCAGGAGGCGGAAGTTGCGGTGAGCCAAGACTACCCCACTGCATTCCAGCCTGGGCGACAGAGCCAGACTCTGCCTCAAAAAAAAAAAGTAATACTCTGATTCTAGAAAGGTTACACTGAAATAGACACTCTCATGTTGTTGATAAAAATTGTTATAACTTTTCTGGAACAAAATTTTGTTTTGTTTTGTTTTTTTGTTTGGTTTTGTTTTTTGAGATGGAGTCTCCCTCTGTTGCCTAGGCTAGAGTGCAGTGGTGAGATCTCTGCTCACTGCAACCTCTGCCTCCTGGATTCAAGCAATTCTCCTGCCTCAGCCTCCCGAGTAGCTGGGATTACAGGTACGCACCACCATGCCCAGCTAATTTTTTGTATTTTTAATAGAGAGAGGGTTTCACCATGTTGGCCAGGCTGGTCTTGAACTCCTGACATCAAGTGATCCACCCACCTCGGCCTCCCAAAGTACTGGGATTACAGGTGCGAGCCACCGCACCTGGCTGGAACAAAATTTGGCAACAATTTCTACAGAAACAATTTAAAAATGGGACAAACAGTTATGCACAAAAGTATTTCCCTTAGCACATCTATACTATAGTATCTTTAAACGCAATTACACATTCAATACTATGATGACGGTTACAAATATTTTATGACTCTATGCCATACTGTCACATTTTATGTAATCAATAAAAATTCCATATTCAAAAAGTTTTTAATAAAAAGCAAAATTATCACTATATAATGTTAAGTAAAGGGTGAAGGATACAAACTGTACGATCTCAGTTTTTTGTAGCAAGAAAAAGAAAAAAATAAATATATCAAAAATTTTACATGTCTGAAAGGAAATACGGCAAAGTTTTAAAAAATGGTGACCTCTTGTAGGTGATACAATTGTGGGTGATTTTTTTCTTCCTGATTTTTTTTTTTTTTTGAGACTGAGTCTCAGTCTGTCGCTAGGTCAGATTGCAGTGGCGCGCGCCACCACGCCCAGCTAATTTTTTGTATTTTTAGTAGAGACTGGGTTTCACCATGTTGGCCAGGCTGGTCTCGATCTCTTGACCTTGTGATCTGCCCACCTCAGCCTCCGAAAGTGCGGGGATTACAGGCATGAGCCACGGTGCCCAGCCTTTTCTTCCTAATTTTAAACATCTTCTGTATATTTCCAAATTTTCTACAGTGTAAGTGTGATATTTTACAGCACGATTATTAGAAGGTAAAAATGGGTGAGGCTCTAGGATTTCGAAGGTCACTTTCAGCTCTAAAATTCCTTAATTCACACAGCTCTTATCACTATGGTTTGTTTGTTTTTTGACTTTCCACTGATAGTAACAGAAGAGTATATTACACATTTCCTAATAGCAATGTTATGCATGTCATTGCCTGAGATTCCTAAATCTTGTGCAAGATTTCAACATTATCTGTAGAACTTAAGTGCTAGATTGTGATCTTTTATGAAGTTTTTGAGTGTTGTCAACAGACTGAGTGTTCAGATGAAAATGCCGGGAGAGGACAATACTCGTAAATGTGCATTTCTACATTTAGATATAGCACATTAGTTAGTGCTTCATCATTCAAGAGACATTTAAATTTTACTACATTATAATAACATTCTTAAGAGTTTCCTTAAGACAAGGAGATAAACTCAGTTATTGCTAAGCAAGAATCTGCTGAAACAGTAAACAAACAGGTATAAACAAGTGCATTTGAGTGTGTGGCCACATGCCTGTCACTCCCAAATTCTTGTCCTTTGTTCCCAGCTGGGGAGAAGGTAAACAGAAATGGAGAATGAGGAGTCTCAGCTCCTGGCCTCCGGCCTGCTCAAGCGAAGGGGTAGGAGATCATCCCGCCACTTGCCAGGGATATTTTGGGGATATATCTGACACTGGGTCACATGCACTAGTTGGCCTGCAACAAATCTCAGTCTCCCAGCCAGTCGGCAGCAGATCAGGCACTCCTGTCTTTGAGCCACTGTGGAAGGAACTAGCCTGGGCAGCTCCTCAAAGGGGCTCTTGCTCACATCAAAGCTGGACAGTCAGCCCCTGGTGGGCTTCAGATTCAAAGACCCCTTCTGCCCCCCATCCTTGACTGTTGCCCCTCACAGTGGTCTCACTCTTTCCTTCTTAATCAAGTATGTGGGGCCCCTTTTGGGACAAGCATCCTGGATCAGGACCCAGGCTTTTGGTGACCCAATCCAACGATTCCTGACTCATCGCCTTCTGTCCCATAGGCTTGCATTCCTCCATGAGAAATCCCCTTTGCGTCTTCTTTCAGAACTAAACTTTAGATAACTCCTTAAAACCAGAACCCAAATCTTAGCACTATCACCCACTCCCCGCAAAGGGTTACTCTCTACCCCTGAGCAAGGATGGCTTGGTCGGGGGGCATGCCCCTTGCTTTATGGTGGATTGTTACTTTTCATGCAGGGAAAAAAATAAAACGAAACATTAGTGTTTTCATTTAAAAACAAGTTGAACAGTCGTCTCCTGTAAGAGAATCCTGGAGCCCCAGACACACCTAGAAACACAAGTCTGTGCAAAAATACAATGTGTAGATTTATGGAAATGCACATGATGTGAAAAGTCCCTAACGGATGTGTATAAAAATTCGACTTTTTTTTCTTTGAGTCTCACTCTGTCACCCAGGGTGGAGTGAGTGCAGTGGGGCAATCTCGACTCACTGCAGCCTCCGCCTTGTGGGTTCACACGATTCTCTTGTCTCAGCCTCCTGAGTAGCTGGGACTACAGGCGCACGCCACCATGCTTGGCTAATTTTTATATTTTTAGTAGAGACGGGGTTTCACCATGTTGGCCAGGCTGGTCTCAAACCCCTGACCTCAGGTAATCCACCCACCTCGGCCTCCCAAAGTGTTGGGATTTACAGGCATGAGCCACCACGCCCGGCCCAAGTCTTTTTATTCAACACCTCATTTTATTCTTATGCACTGAATGCCACATTGGTTTCTTTTTTCTCTCTCTCTCTCACTCAAAGCACTATTATTAAATCCATGATGCAGCTTACTTTCAACATTATCTTCAAATTTAGGAAATACCATTGTATCATAAGCAGTGGTAATTCCCGTCTGCCAGGTGTCTACCGGGTGAAGGGGTCTTGCTCTGTGCTGGGTGCTCAGAGCCATCCCTGCCCATCTTCGTGCTAATGCCTGGAGGCAGCCACATTAGCTCCACCTCCTGGCTTGGGAGCTGAGGCTCAGAGAGGACAACTAATCAGCCCAAGGTCCCAAGCTAATATGTGGCACACGGAGATCTCAAACCCAGCATGAGGTAGGTACTGTGACCCCTATTGCACAGATGAAAAACAGACATACCGAGATGACGGGAACTCACTCAGGGCACACAAATGATAAGTGGCAGAGAAAAGATTGGAATCAAAATCCTACAAAAATCCTACAAAATTGAGGTGAGGCACAGTGGCTCACACCTGTAATCCCAGCACTTTGGGAGGCCGAGGTGTGTGGATGATCACTTGAGCCCAGAAGTTTGAGACCAGCCCGGGCAACAAAGTGAGACCCCTGTCTTTACAAAAAAATTTAAAAATTAGCCAGATGTGGTGATGTGCCTCTGTAGTCCCAGCTACTTGGGAAGCCAAGGCAGGAGAATCTCTTGAGCCAGAGAGGTCAAGGCTACAGTGAGCTATGATCACACCACTGCACTCCAGCCTGGGTGACAGAGCGAGACTCCGTCTCAAAAAAATAAAAAAAGAAAAAAATAAATAAATAATTAAAAAAAAAAAAAAAAAAAAAGTCTGGGTGCGGTGGCTCACGCTTGTAATCCCAGCACTTTGGGAGGTGGAGGCGGGCAGATCACGAGGTCAGGAGATCGAGACCATGGTGAAACCCCATCTCTACTAAAAATATAAAAAATTAGCCGGGTGTGGTGGTGGGCGCCTGTAGTCCCAGCAACTCGGAGAGGCTGAGGCAGGAGAATGGCATGAACCTGGGAGGCGGAGCTTGCAGTGAGTCGAGATCACGCCACTGCACTCCAGCCTGGGCAACAGATCGAGACTCCGTCTCAAAAAAAAAAAAAAAAAGAAAATTTAGGACACTTTGAAAACACAGTGAACAGACACCTATAGTAATCATTTTCCCTGTCACTAAAACTCATAAAACAATGGCTTTGAATGGCTATATGATATTCCATTATGATGATATAGCCCAAATTAATTAACCATTTACTTGTTATTGGAAATTTAGGTTATTTCCTATTTTAAATAATTTAAAATGTAAATATACCTTGTAAATAACATCATATTGCATATCTTTATACATGATCTTTTTCTTTTCCTTGTATAAGCTTTATCATGAGTACATAATCTTTTTCTGCATCTTTAATTATATTCTTAAGAACATTTTTAATGCTCTTGTTATATATTTCCAAATTGATTTCCAGTGTATACTCCCAGGAGAGGGTTAATTTCATGGTTCCTCTTGTGAATGTTATCTTTATTTTATTCTTTAAATATTTCTTTTCTGTATTTTGAATAAATGTACAACAGAATGTTATGTGGATTTTCTTTTTTCCCATGTTCCAGAATTGCAGCTGAAACCAAAAGCCCTGGACAAAAAATGTGAAGTGTCTGGGAACCTTAGAGACCCCTCTGGGCTTTCCGAGAAAGGCAAGATCCGCAATCAGCTCTCCAGCCTTCTCACCTCCCCAGCCAACAGAAACTCTTCTGTCTCCTGGTTGGACTTGGGCTCAGCCTCAGCTGTTGATTAGGACAACTGTGTCCCCCAAGCAGGGGAAGAAACCTTGGAAGAGATGAAGAACAGGGAGTGAGTAAGAGCGTGTCAGTTGAGTGACCGTGAAGACAGTGGGAATGGAGGCAGCTTACCCATGTCGGGCAGATCCACTCCTCCCAGAACCCTCCCAAAAGCCCCTCCACATGCACCTATGGAAGTTCCAGTATTTGAGGGGTCGCCTCACATAGCCCATGTCAGTTAGCATTAGCCACAGAGGCAGGGACACTCACAAGAACCTTGCTGCCAGCTTTGCACAGGGAACTTACCATGAGGTGATGAAGTTTAAGCTCAGTGCCCTTCACCTGGATAATCTATGTTAATACTCAAAGGTGTCCAACATTTTTTTGAGACTAAGTCTTGCTCTGTCACCCAGGCTGGAGTGCAATGGTTGTGCGATCTCAGCTAACTGCAACCTCTGCCTCCCGGGCTCAAGCAATTCTCCTGCCTCAGCCTCCCAAGTAGCTGGGATTACAGGCACCCACCACCACGCCTGGGTAATTTTTTTTTTGTATTTTTAGTAGAAATAGGGTTTCACCATGTTGGCCAGGCTGGTTTCGAACTCCTAACCTCAAATGATCCTTCCGCCTCAGCCTCCCAAAATGCTGGGATTACAGGTGTGAGCCACCATGCCCGGCCTTTTTTTTTTTTTTTTTTTTTTTTTTTGAGACAAGGTATCACTCTGCTGCCCATGCTGTAGTGCAGTGATGCGATCATAGGTCAATGTGGCCTCCACCTCCTAGCCTCAAGTGATTCTCCTGCCTCGGCCTCCCAAAGTGCTGAAATTACAGGCATGAGCCACTGTACCTGGCTATTTTTTTCACTCTCTCTATTTTTTTTTAGACAAGAGTCTTGCTCTGTTGCCCAGGCTGGAGTGCAGTGGCACGATCTCGGCTCACCGCAAGCTCCTCATCCCAGGTTCACACCATTCTTCTGCCTCAGCCTCCTGAGTAGCTGGGACTACAGGTGCCCTCCACCACGCCCGGCTAATTTTTTGTATTTTTAGTAGAGACGGGGTTTCACCATGTTAGCCAGGATGGTCTCGATCTCCTGACCTCGTGATCCACCTGCCTCGGCCTCCCAAAGTGCTGGGATTACAGGTGTGAGCCACCACGCCCGGCCCTTTTTCACTCTCTTGCCTAGGCTGGAGTGTGGTGGCACAGTCATAGCTCACTGTAACCTCAAACTCCCAGGCTCAAGTGATCCTCTTGCCTCAGCCTCCCCAGTAGCTGGGGACTACAGGTGCATGCCATAAAGTCCAGCTAATTTTTTTTAGGTTTTGTAGAGACAGGCTCTTGCTACATTGCCTGGGCTGGCCTCCAACTCCTGGCCTCAAGTGATCCGCTTGCCTTCACCTCCCAAAGTGCTGAGATTATAGGCGTGAGCCACCACTCCTGAGCCCAACATTTTATACATATTTATAAGCTTCAAGTCTGGATCTTGGATGTGCAGTTGGCAGGCAGTCACATAAGACCTCTGTCTCCCATGCTCTTATTATCATTATTCAGGGCATACATGTGCATGTTTGTTACATGGATATAACGTGGAATGGTGAGGTTTGAGTTTCTAGTGCACCCATCACTAAAATAATGAATCTTCTATGCAATAGGTCATTTTTCAACATGAAATCCCTCCCATCCTCTCCCCCTTTGGAGTCCCCCAGTGCCTATTATTTCCCTTTCCATGGTTTTTTTTTTTCTTTCTCCAATACCAGAAATGTCAGGAAAGACGGAAAAGTGAAGCTGACACCTCCATCCCCTACTGCAGATGATAAGGCACTAGTGCAAATTGCATTGAAGGTTAAAGAATCTGCAACAAAATGTCTTCAGTGGACTGGCTACGCAATGGGAAAGGGTAGTTTGGGTTTTGTTTGTTTGTTTATTTCCCCTCTGCACAGTCCACTGGAAAGGGGTACTTTGATTGTAGAACATTTTGGGACAAAATGATTGGGGGGAACTATTTATGTCATGCTTTTTCACAATGGGCTGACTCCTCAGCTAGATTCAAAAGTTATAAAAAGTTATACAGCTGAGGTTCTCAAACTGTGTGCCAGGGTGGCTTGGGAACAGCAAATTCACAGGGGCACTGTGGGCTGTTTCAAATATTTGAGGGAAACAGCTATGTCAGTTACACACCACTCTAACTACAGTATTAGCACAATTTTGACATTAGAACACACTATATCCCTTGCATTAACATATTATCTTTGCAAAGCTGGGGATAAAAAGCATTGACTGTGAAAGTCAATGTGGAATGGGAAATGAGAGGGGTGGCAGCGGCCAATTTTTTTCCAGGGTTTGAGGAGTTGTGCAGTGCCCAACAGGCACACATATCCCATTAGCAACTGTGGCTATTTAAGAATGAAATAAACTGGGCACAGTGCCTCACGCTTATAATCCCAGCACTTTGGGAGGCTGAGGCAGGCAGATCACCTAAGGTCAGGAGTTCGAGACCAGCCTGACCAACACTGTGAAACCCCGTCTCTACTAAAGATAGAAAAAAAAATTAGCCAGGCTTGGTGGTGGGCGCCTGTAATCTCAGCTACTCGGGAGGCAGAGGCAGGAGAATCCCTTGAACCCAGGAGGTGGAGGTTGCAGTGAGCCACACCACTGCACTCCAGCCTGGGTGGCAGAGCGAGACTATGTCTCAAAAAAAAAAAAAAAAGAAATAAAAATAGCATTTTTCGGCTGGGCACGGTGGCTCACGCCTGTAATCCCAACACTTTGGGAGGCCGAGGCAGGCAGATCACGAGGTCAGGAGATTGAGACCATCCTGGCCAACATGGTGAAACCCCGTCTCTACTAAAAATACAAAAATTAGCTGGTTGTGGTGGCACACGCCTGTAGTCCCAGCTACTCAGGCGGCTGAGGCAGAAGAATTGCTTGAACCTGGGAGGTGAAGGTTGTAGTGAGCTGAGACCACGCCACTGCACTCCAGCCTGGGCAACAGAGCAACACTCCATTTCAAAAAAAAAAAAAATAGCATTTTTCAATTTATATGAACTTTTAAAAATGGCTATTAGGGGCCGGGTGCAGTGGCTCACGCCTGTAATCCCAGCACTTTGGGAGGCCGAGGCGGGTGGATCATGAGATCAGGAGTTCAAGACCAGCCTGGCCAAGATGGTGAAACCCCATCTCTACTAAAAATACAAAAAAACTTAGCCAGGCGCGGTGGCAGGCGCCTGTAATCCCAGCTACTCGGGAGGCTGAGGCAGGAGAATCGCTTGAACTCGGAAGGCGGAGGTTGCAGTGAGCCCAGATCGTGCCACTGCACTCCTGCCTGGGCGACAGAGTGAGACGCCGTCTCAAAAAAACAAAAACAAACAAAAAAAATGGCTATTAGGTATTTAGACACAAATACTTAGGTTGTAGATGTTGGAACTAGCTACATAATAAATGGAATGTAATCAGGAAGGTAGTTCTTTTGGTCTGGGTGCACCAAGAAAATATGACTGAGATACTACGAGCACGTGGACTGAGAAGGTCTGGGACCCTAGAGTGTGCAGTAGTAAGCAGGACTGTATCCTCCTGTCAGGGAAAAAGTATGCTTCCCAGTAAGCCCAGAGAGGTCTTGAAGGCTCCAGAAACACAGAATGTGGAGTTCTGAATGTCTTTTTCTAGAGCTGTGTGTCTCACCCACAATTCTGGAGCACGAAAAGAAAGAACACCTGCATGAAACATGTACATTTATTCAAAGTACAGAAAGGAAATAATTAAAAAATAAAATAGGCCAGACATGCTGGTTCACACCTGTAATTCCCAGCACTTTGGGAGGCCAAGGTGGGCGGATCACCTGCAGTCAGGAGTTCCAGACTAGCCTGGCCAACATGGTGAAATCCCATCTCCACTAATACTACAAAAATTAGCCGGGCTGGGTGGTGGGCGCCTGTAATCCCAGCTACTCTGGAGGCTGAGGCAGGAGAATTGCTTGAACGCAAGAGGCAGAGGTTGTAGTGAGCCGAGATTGTGCCACTGCACTCCAGCCTGGGCAACAGAGCAAGACTCTGTTGGGAGGCCGAGGCGGGCAGATCACCTGAGGTCAGAAATTCGAGACCAGCTTAGCCAACATGGAGAAACCCCGTCTCTACTAAAAATACAAAAATTAGCTGGGCGTGGTGGCAGGCACCTGTAATCCCAGCTACTCTGGAGGCTGAGGAAGGATAATCACTTGAACCCAGGAGGCAGATGTTGCAGTTAGCCGAGATCACACCATTGCACTCCAGCCTGGGGTACAAGAGCGAGACTTCCTCTCAAAAAAAAAAAAAAAGAATAAAATAAAGATAACAGGGCTACACAGACCAGTGGCTCACGCCTGTAATCCCAGCACTTTGGGAGGCCAAGGTGGGCAGATCATGAGGTCAAGAGACCGAGACCATCCTGGCTAACACAGTGAAACCCCGTCTTTACTAAAAATATAAACAATTAGCCAGGCGTGGTGGCAGGTGCCTGTAGTCCCAGCTACTCGGGAGGCTGAGGCGGGAGAATGGCGTGAACCCAGGAGGCGGAGCTTGCAGTGAGCTGAGATGGCGTCACTGCACTCCAGCCTGGGCGACAGAGCCAGACTCCGTCTCAAAAATAAAATAAAATAAAATAAATAAAATAAAATAAAATAAAATAAAATAAAATAAAATAAAAAAGATAACATTTTTCCCCTCCACTGAGGCAATCGTAGATACTAGTTTCTTGTATGTCCTAGAAATATATATTAATAGCTAAAATTGATTGAACATTTAGTTTGTGTCAAGCACTATTCTAAGTCCTTTGTACTTAATGAATTTAATCCTGTATGATGCAGTTGCTATTATTATTCCTTCTTTGTAGACAAGTACACTGAAGGGAAGAGAGGCTAAGTAGCTGCCCCAATCCACGCAGACAGTGGTGGCTTCAGGGTCTGAGTTCTTAAACCTACTTTATATTACCTTTGTGCAGAGTTTAGATATTATCTTTATTTATTTTATTTTATTTATTTATTTTTTTGAGACAGTGTCTCACTCTGTTGTCCAGGCTGGAGTCCAGTGGCGCGATCTCAGCTCACTGTAGCCTCTGTCTCCCAGGTTCAAGCGATTCTCCTGCCTCAGCCTCCCAAGTAGCTGGGACTACAGGCATGCATCACCATGCCTGACTAATTTTTTTATGTTTAGTAGAGACAGGGTTTCACCATGTTGGATAGAATGTTCTTGAATTCCTGACCTCAGGTGACCCGCCTGCCTTGGCCTCCCAAAGTGCTAGGATTACAGGCATGAACCACCACACCCGGCCTGCCTTTATTTTTTAAAATCTTTGTGTATTTATTTTTTTAGAGCCAGCATCTCACTCTGTCACCCAGGCTGGAGTACAGTGGTGTAATCATAGCTCACTGCAACCTCAATCTCCTGGGCTCAAACCATCCTCCCACCTCAGCCTCCCGAGTAGCTGGGACTATAGGTGCAAGCCACTGTGCCCAGCTTATCTTTAAAAACATGTCAATTTGAGGCCAGGCTTGGTGGCTCACACCTGTAATCCCAGCACTTTGGGAGGCCGAGGTAGGTGGATCACCTGAGGTCAGGAGTTCAAGACCAGCCTGGACAACATGGTGAAACCCCATCTCTACAAAAATACAAAAATTAGCTGGGTATGATGACAGATGCCTGTAATCCCAGCTACTCAGGAGGCTGAGGTGGAAGAATTGCTTGAACCGGGAGGCGGAGGTTGTAGTGAGCCGAGATCGCGCCATTGCACTCCAGCCTGGGCGACAGTGAGACTCCATTTCAAAACAAACAAACAAACAAACTAAGGCCAGGCATGGTGGCTCATGCCTGTAATCCCAGCACTTTGGGAGGCCAAGACGGGCAGATCACCTGAGGTCAGGAGTTTAAGACCAGCCTGGCCAACATGGCGAAACCCCGTCTCTACTAAAAATACAAAAATTAGGTGGGATTGGTGGCACACACCTGTAATCCCAGCTACTTGGGAGGCTGAGGCAGGAGAATCACTTGAACCTGGGAGGTGGAGGTTGCAGTTAGCTGAGATCGTGCCATTGTACTCCACCCTGGGTAACAAGAGTGAAATACCATCTCAGAGAAAAAAAAAAAAAGTGAAAAAACAGCCAGACATAGTGGATCATGTCTGTAATCCCAGCACTTTGGTAGGCCAAGGCAGGCAGATCACCTGAGGTCAGGAGTTTGAGATCAGCCTGGTCAACATGGTGAAACCTCATCTCTACTAAAAATATAAAAATTAGCTGGGCGTGGTAGGACGTGGCTGTAATTCCAACTACTTGGGAGGCTGAGGCAGGAGAATCTCTTGAATCTGGGAGAAGGAAGTTGCAGTGAGCCAAAATCGCACCACTGCACTCCAGCCTGGGTGACAGAGCGAGACTCTGTCTCAAAATAAATAAATAATAAAATGTTAAAAAACAACAAATGCTGGTAAGGTTGCGAAGAAAAAGGAACACTTTTACACTGTTGGTGGGAGTGTAAATTAGTTTAACCATTGTGGAGGACACTGTGGTGATTCTTCAAAGATCTAGAGGCAGAAATACCATTTGACCCAGCAATCCCATTACTGGGTATATACCCAAAGGAACAGAAATCATTCTGTTATAAAGATACATGTATGAGTATGTTCATTGCGGCACTATTCACAATAGCAAAGACATGGAATCAACCCAAATGCCCATCAATGATAGACTGGATAAAGAAAAGGTGGTACAGGCTGGGTGTGGTGGCTCATGCCTGTAATCCCAGGATTTTGGGAGGCTGGGGCGGGTGAATCACCTGAGGTCGGGAGTTCAAGACTAGCCTGACCAAACTGGAGAAACCCCATCTCTACTAAAAATACAAAATTAGCTGAGCATGGTGGCGCATGCCTGTAATCCCAGCTACTCAGGAGGCTGTGGCAGGAGAATTGCTTGAACCTGGAAGGCGGAGGTTACGGTGAGCCCAGATCGTGCCATTGCACTCCAGCCTGGGCAACAAGAGCCCAACACGAACTCCATCTCAAAAAAAAAAAAAAAAAAGAAAAAGAAAAAGAAAGAAAAGAAAAGAAAAGAAAATGTGGTACTTACACACCATGGAATACTATGCAGCTGTAAAAAGAAATGAGATCATGTCTTTGCAGGGACATGGATGGAGCTGGAAGGCATTATCCTCAGCAAACTAATGCAGGAACAGAAAACGAAACACCACATGTTCTCACTTATAAGTGGGAACTGAATGATGAGAACACATGGACACATGGAGGGGAATAGCACATACTGGGGCCTGTCAGTGGGAAGGGGCAGAGCATCAGGAAGAATAGCTAATGAATGCTGTGCTTAATAACCAGGTGATGGGATGAACTGTGTAGCAAACCACCATGGCATGGGTTTACCTATGTAACAAACCTGCACATCCTGCACATGTACCCAGAACTTAAAATAAAAGTTGAAGAAAAAAATAAATTAATAAAAACATGTCAATTTAACAGAGAAAAATCCCAGTTGTTTGGATATTAGTGAACTTAAACATTTTTCATATGTTAATCAGTCATTTATATTTATTCTTTCTATGACTTTCCTTCTATGTGAACATTTTTCAGCTTTTAAAATGTCACCATGTTCTAAAGTTGTCTCTACAAAATTAATGTGTTAATTATTTTGAAGCATCCAGTCAGGCAGAAAGGGTAATTATTGTGCTAACTGGAATCTTCTACTCTAAATTTTAGTAGGTCTATGGGTGCGGTGGCTCACGCCTGTAAGCCCATCAATTTGGGAGGTTGAGGTGGGCAGATTGCTTGAGGTCAGGAATTCAAGACCAGCCTGGCCAACATGACGAAATCCTGTACCTGCTAAAAATACAAAAATTAGCTGGGTGTGGTGGTACGCACCTGTAATCCCAGCTACTCAGGAGGCTGAGGCAGGAGAATCACTTGAACCTGGGAGGCAGAGGTTGCCATGAGCCGAGATCATGCCACTGCACTCCAGCCTGGGAGACAGAGTGAAACTCTGTCTCAAAAAAATAAAATACAGGCCAGGCATGGTGGCTCATGCCTGTAATCCCAGGACTTTGGGAGGCCAAGGTGGGCGGATCATCTGAGGTAAGGAGTTCGAGACCAACCTGGCCAACATGGTGAAACCCCATCTCTACTAAATACAAAAAAATTAGCCAGGCATGGTGGTGGGCACCTGTAATCCCAACTACTCGGGAGGCTGAAGCAGGAGAATCGCTTGAACTGGGGAGGCGGAGTTTGCAGTGAGCCGAGATCACGCCACTGCACTCCAGCCTGGGCAACAGAGCCAGATTCTGTCTCAAAAAAATAAAATAAAATAAAATAAAATAAATACATAAGTAAATTTTAGTAGGTCAAATATATTTTTAAAACTTTATAAGTTTAGGCCAGGTGTGGTGGCTCACACCTGTAATCCCAGCACTTTGGGAAGCTGAGGTGGGAGGATCAACTGAGCCCAGGAATTCAAGACCAGCCTGGGCAATGTAGGGAGACCCCATCTCTATAAAAAATATTTTTAAAAATTAACCAGGTGTGGTGGCACACACCTATGGTCCCAGCTACTCAAGAGGCTGAAGTAGGAGGATTGCTTGCACCCAAGAGGTTGAGGCTGCAGTGAACTATGATCGCATCACTGCACTCTATCCTGAGCGACAGAGCGAGACCCTGTCTCAGGGCAGCGCAGGGCAGGGAATCAATCTCACACTTTTACCTCATCATTTATAGATGTAAATGATATTTAGGAAAAATAAAAGAGAAAAATTTCCTTAGCTCATCAAAAAGCCTTATAACGTTTAGTCCTTGGACAATCAGAGATTTCAAGTGCTATAGGAATCAATGTGATTTTTAAATTTTTAATTACATTTTAAATTTAATTAATTTTAAGTAGTTTTTAAATTTAATTAAATTTTAAATATTTTTTAAATTTAAATTTTTAAATTTAATTAAATTTTAAATTTTTCATGTGATTAAAAAAATTTTAACAACAAGTGATTGTTTTTTCAAAGTCTGAAGAAGAAGCTAATGTTATGTGACATTTTCTTGTGTAAGTTTCAATGATGTTTACAATTTGTCTTTGATGATTGTGCTTTATTTCTCCACGTGGGGATCTTGTTCCTTATCTTAGTGAACTGAAAAGAGTTTGAATTGGTATTGTCAAGGCATAGATTTAGTAAACCCCAGCTTCTCAGTTCCAGTAGAGAAAGTGAGCAAATGAGGAACTCAATAACTGGTGCTAAAGATAAAAATAATTTAAAGAAATTTCCCTCAAAACATTATTATTTTAGGCCGGGCATGGTGGCTCATGCCTGCAATCCCAGCACTTTGGGAGGCCAAAGTGTACGGATCACTGGAGCTCAGGAGACCAGCCTGGGCAACATGGTGAAACCCCATCTCTACAAAAAAAAAAAAATACAAAAAATTGGCCAGGTGCGGTGGCTCACGCCTGTAATCCCAGGACCTTGTGAGGCCGAGGTGGGTGGATCACGCAGTCAGGAGATCGAGACCATCCTGGTCAGCACAGTGAAACCCTGTCTTTACTAAAAGTTCAAAAATTAGCCAGGCGCGGTGGCGCACACCCATAGTCCCAGCTACCCAGGAGGCTGAAGCACGAGAATCATATGAACCCAGGAGGCGGATGCTGCAGTGAGTTGAGATCGCACCACTGTACTCCAGCCTGGGTGACAGAGCAAGACTCTTGTCTCAAAAAAAGAAAAAAAAAGTTAGCTGGTCATGGTGGTGCACACCTGTGGTCCCAGCTAGTGGGAAGACTGAGGTGAGGATTGTTTGAGCCCAGGAGGTAGAGGTTGCAGTGAGCCGAGATTGTGCCCCAGCCTGGCAACGAGATTGTACTCCAGCCTGGGCAACAGAGTGAGATCCTGTCTTAAAACAACAACAACCAAGAAAACACACATACATTATTATTTTAATTTTTTTTTTTTTGAGACGGAGTTTCGCTCTTGTTGCCCAGGCTGGAGTGCAATGGCATGATCTCTACTCACTGCAACCTCTGCCTCCCAGGTTCAAGCGATTCTCCTGCTTCAGCCTCCCAAGTAGCTAGGATTGCACCACCATGCCCAGCTAATTTTGTATTTTTTTTAGTAGAGACAGGGTTTCTCCATGTTGGTCAGACTGGTCTCGAACTCCCGACCTTGGGTGGTCCGCCCGCCTCAGTCTCCCAAAGTGCTGGGATTACAGGTGTGAGCCATGCCCAGCCTATTATTCATTTTTTTAAAGAGACACTGTCTTCCTGTCACCTAAGCTAGAGTATAGTGGTGCAATCATAGCTAACTGTAGCCTCAATATCTTGGGCTCACCTCAACCTCCTGAGTAGTTAGGACTACAGCTGCACCATCGTGCCTGGCTAATTTTCACATTTTTTGCTAGAGATGGGATCTTACTATGTTGTCCAGGATGGTCTCAAACTCCTGACCTCAAGTAATCCTCCTGCCTTGGCCTTCCAAAGTGCTGGGATTACAGGTATGAGCCACCACACCCAGCCAAAACATTAGTTTTAAACTATCCAGTGGATGCCCATTTTTCATATAACAGTTTCCTCTTATTATATTACTGATTAATTCAGATAACTAACCTGTAGCACTAACAATAACATAGCAGCTGTTATTGATACAGGAGCTAGAAAGAAATTATTTAGGCAGATAGTGAGGGTAAGAGTCCTCAGCAAGGCTTTCCTTTTAATGAAAAGCAGCCCCCAAATCGTTTGTTTCCTAACAAAGAGCAGCCTGTAAAATTGAGCTGCAGACATAGACAAGCAAGCTGAAAGCTTGCACAGATGAATCCCTGCAGCTGTGCTAATAGGAGAAAGCTACCTGGGGGCCAGGCATGTGCAACATGGAGGATCCATCTTCTCTTTTCTTTGTCAACCATGTGTGCAGTAAAGAAGCAGGCAACAACGTGGTGCTGGCCAGGTAGAAACCTCATCTTCATGATAAAAGATTAGGGTGAGATGGTCAGCTTCTTCACACACTATGCTGATTTAAATGATTCAGAGATCATTTCAATTTTGCAAATGGCACACCTGGTTCAAGCAATCTCTTGTGCTTATGTTTGTTTGAGACGGAGTCTCGCTTGGTCGCCCAGGCTCGAGTGCAGTGGCGCGATCTCGGCTCACTGCAACCTCCACCTCCTGGGTTCAAGCAATTCTTCTGCCTCAGCTTTCCGAGTAGGTGGGATTTCAGGCGCCTGCCACCACGCCCAGCTAATTTTTGTATTTTTAGTAAAGACAGGGTTTCACCATATTGGCCAGGCTGGTCTCGAACTCCTGACCTCGTGATCCGCCCGCCTTGGCCTCCCAAAATGTTGGGATTACAGGTGTGAGCCACCGCACTCAGCCCTCTTGTGCCTATGTAAATCAGACATTGCCTCCTCAAGCTCGTCCATAAAACCCCACACATGGCCAGCCGCGGTGGCTCCCACCTATAATCCCACACTTTGGAAGGCCGAGGCGGGCAGATCACGAGGTCAGGAGATTGAGACCATCCTGGCCAACATGGTGAAACCCAGTATCTACTGAAAATACAGAAAAAGGAAAAAAGGTTTTAGAACTCCCTGAATGGAATTTAGTTGTTCTGCTCTCTTCCATGCATATCTTTTTCAGAGATCAGTTAAATTTTGTTGAGTAGATTTTTTTGCATGTTTCTCTTCTAGGTCACGGGAGTTTATACTATATAAATGTAAATAGATAACTGTTGCAAGTCATTTCTTTGCAATAACAGGTTACATGATCATAGTTGAAACAAAAACAGATACTAAAACAATAAGAGAGCATGCAGAAATATTCTGATGCAAATGTATTTGATGATTTGATTTCCTTCACTCTGGAATATACTACAGAATGTACTAATATAAATGTGCTTGCCTATGTCTAATCTAGAATATAATTATCCTGAACTCTACATGGTATTTTAGTCTAGAAAGTACTGTAGCTTCTCTGAGTTCTAAATCAAACCAGGAAACAGCAGAGGGCGCTGGTGCTGTGCTTTTGCAAGTGAGATGTGTGCTCATTTCAAGGGTCCACAAAATTTTCTGGCATGCTGTTTCCATGGAGAGGAAAGTAGGTGTTTTCTTTTTCTTTTTTTTTTTCAGTCAAGCCACCTGCAAACTGCAATGTGTTCTTTTAGTGATTTCTTTTTATATCTATGTTTTCCAGGAAGGTTCTGTTGAGCCTACGCAGTCACTTAGAAACAAGAAATATTTGAGAAATTTCTATGAAGTCAAATATGCATTATGTCTCCCACTCTCCAAAATATAACAAAACAAAACAAAACAACTAAACACCCTTGAATGGTATGGCTTACTCTGTTCTTGAACCATATGAGCACCTACTGTTTGTTGATTCCATGTTAAACCAACAAAAAGATACTGAGCAGGCTTATGTTCAATGTATGTATTGAGCACCATTTTGCGCATATCAAATGCTTGAAACTGAAGCTTGAAATGTCAGTAAACTCCACAAGGGGTCTCTACATAAACTTTTTTTCTTTCTTTCTTTTTTTTTTTTTTCAGATGGAGTGTCGCTGTCGCCCAGGCTGGAGTGCAGTGGCACGATCTTGGCTTACTGCAAGCTCCACCTCCCGGGTTCACGCCGTTCTACTGCCTCAGCCTCCCAAGTAGCTGGGACTACAGGCGCCCGCCACCACACCCAGCTAATTTTTTGTATTTTTAGTAGAGATGGGGTTTCACTGTGTTAGCCAGGATGGTCTCGATCTCCTGACCTAGTGATCTGCCCGCCTCAGCCTCCCAAAGTGCTAGGATTACAGGCATGAGCAACCGCTCCCGGCCTGGTCTCTACATAAATTGATCACAAGTTTTTGTAGAATAACAGTATAAAAAATAGTATAAAGCACATAGGATTATCTAATTCAGTTATGTTCTACAGGTCATTATTATATACATCCATCAAACTTGAAATCTATACGATTTACCTTCCAGATTTAGAAGAATTTTTTTTTTTTTTTTTTTTGAGACAGAGTCCTGCTCTGTTGCCCAGGCTGGAGTGCAGTGGCGCAATCTCGGCTCATTGAAACCCCTGCCTCCTGGGCTCAAGAGACTCTCCCACCTCAGCTTCCCGAGTGGCTGGGACTACAGGGATGCACCACCACGCTCAGCTAATTTTTCTATTTTTTGTAGGAATGAGGTCTCACCATGCTGCCCAGGCTTGTCTTGAACTCCTGGGCTCAAGCAATCCTCCCACCTCGGCCTTCCAAAGTGCTGGGGTTACAGATGTGAGCCACCACTTACTGGCTCAGTAACAAATTATTTTAAGGCTACAGAAAGAACATGGTGTTGCTTCAAATATGACACTTCCTTTTAATTAAAAGTGTAGTAACAGAGCCAGAAGAGCTGCTAAGGGCAGTCTCTGAGAAGAGAGAGGCTTGAGCTTTGTTGGGAGAGAAATCAGATAAAAATTCTTGCAGGAGGCAGGGATGGTGTCACAGGGTGGGGGCCAGAGTGCAGCTGTTGTGTCTGGTCTCTGGGGCAGTGGAGCCAGCCCTGCTGAGGCAGTGCTTGACTTCTGTAGTTAACAAGCAAATGAACGCGCTTTTGGCAAATGCCGTGCTCCTCACTAGATGGAAGAATCAGAAGATACCCTTCCAAGTCAATGAGCCGTCTGCTACAGTGGTTCTCAAAGGTTTTGTTTTGGAACTCCTTACACTCTTAAAAAGTAATAACAAGGGACCTACTGAAAGCTGAGCCTCTTTCTCAGCCTGCAGGTTATGCTTGGAAGCCATCAGGTCAGGTGGGGAGTTTTTCCAGCTTCTGTTCTGGGGGTCTTGTGTGGATGCCCAGGGACAAGCCAGGCAAGGAGGCTGCTTTTGCCCTCGCCCTGTGGCTGCCAGACTGACTGATCCCGTTGGCATCAGATTCACACTGAAGAAACTGTGCTTTGTCCTGTGAATAGAAAGCCATGTCCAGAAGGCTCTAGTGTGTATAACCCACTTTCCCAGGAAGCACTGCAAAAGATAAAGGATGTCAGGGACAGAAGAAGAAAAAGTAGAAAGTATCAGAAAATCTCTAAGAGTTGCCTAGTAGACACGTCATACAAAAAGCCTAGTCTGGGCCAGGCGCTGTGGCTCACGCCTGTAATCCCACCACTTTGGGAGGCCAAGGCGAGTGGATTGCCTGAGGTCAGGAGTTCGAGACCAACCTGACCAATATGTTAAAACCCCATCTCTACTAAAAATACAACAACATAAATTGATCACAATTTTTTGTAGAATAACAGTATAAAAAATTATAAAAAACAGTATAAAAAAAGTTAGCCCAGCATAGTGGCTTGCACTGGGAGTCCCAGCTACTTGGGAGGCTGAGACAGGAGACTTGTTTGAACCCGGGAGGCAGAGGTTGCAGTGAGCTGAGATCACGCCACTGCACTCCAGCCTGAGCGACAGGCCATCTCAAAAAAAAAAAAAAAAAAAGTCTTGTCTGTGTTGCAGGTCTGTCTCAGTGCCTAGCTGACCCAGTGGTTTTAAAAGGACCAGAGTATTTTGGGAAATTGGATGAAATAAGTAGAGTTGCCATCAATAGTAGCACACTATGTTCAGGCTAGCTGTTGTCCCCGTGCCCATACTCACATCATCTCTAGCTCTCAGGGCCACACTGTGTGAAGACAACGTGTGGAGATGGTGGAGCACTCAGGCATTTCTAGGCTCAACAGAACCCTGCAGCTGAAGATTAAACACCACCTGCATCTACTCAACTCACAGGTCAGAATGGCCGCTTCACAAAAGAAAAATCGCTCGCAGCTGAACACCAAGAATATGAACAGCAGCTACTTCAAGAATTCTATACATTAAATCCCAATTATCTCCATCTCTCCATGGGTTTAGATGATAGGAATAAGATCCAAATGATACCACTGCAGAGCCCAACTGACAAATGGCTTTGATTCTCCCAGAGTAGGGAGGAATGACAATTTCCACAGACATCTAACAGGGACAGACCTTCACCACCCACTGGTTTGCCCAAATCCAGCCCAGTCATTCCTGTCCGTTCATCTGGTCACAGTGAACAATTGCCTTCGGAAGGGGCAGGGGCAGAGTCACAGCTACTATTCTTGGACAACCCAGCCCTGTCCTGGATCCCCATGTCATCCAAGGACTGCCCCATACCACCAGACCCAAGCACCTCCTCCATCAGTCACTTGGCACTGTCATTCTCAAGCCATTGGACTTTGGTTTTTCTCAACAGCCAGAGGATGTGCTGGGCTTTGATGTCTTCGATGCTGTTTGGAAAGCCTTAGCAGGCCTGACTGAGATGGAGCTGCCAGGCCAGGCGTGAGCCTTCCCATCCATGTCTCTTCAGCAGGTCCTCCTCACACCCCACTGCTGCCCTTGGTCCAGGCTCTGAATTGCAGCCACCTGCTGCACCAACCAATGCCCACTCTTTCCACAGCACCCCTCCAGTCTTGCCACCGAGGCCCCCTCAATTCCAGCAGCACCTCACAGTGTATGAGTCATTTTTTTTTTCCAGGCTAGGCAACTCTTAGAGATTTGTGAGAATCTGTCTCAAAAATAAAATAAAATAAAATAAAATAATTTTTAAAAATGAAAAAGACTTTGAGAATCTGTGAATAACTCACACTGCCAAGTTGTTATGCCTGCAGGATTTGTCTCAGAAATATCTTAAAAAATGAGCTTGTTTATCACAAAATCAAAAATGTTTAATTTGATGGATACCTTACATTACTGAGTTTTTTGTTTGTTTGTTTTTGTTTGTTTTTCTGTTTGTTTGTTTTCTTGTGATGGAGTCTTGCTCTGTCACTCAGGCTGGAGTGCAGTGGCACGACCTCTGCTCATTGCAACCTCCGCCTCCCAGGTTCAAGCGATTCTCCTGCCTCAGCCTCTGGAGTAGCTGGGATTACAAGCGTACACCATCATGCCTGGTTAATTTTTGTATTTTTAGTAGAGACGGGGTTTTACCATGTTGGTCAGGCTGGTCCCGAACTCCTGACCTCATGATCTTCCCACCTTGGCCTCTCAAAGTGCTGGGATTACAGGCATGAGCCACCGCGCCCAGCCAATATCGAGCTTTATAAGGAAGGTAGAGTTTCACCATATTGGCCAGGCTGGTCTCGAACTCTTGACTTCAAGTGATCTGCCCTCTTCGGCCTCCCAAAATGCTGGGATTACATGCATGAGCCACCGCCCAGCCGGCATTCCCTTCTTTTTAGCAAGGTGGATGGATAGATTAGAGATCCATCAGGATTCTTGACTCTATTTCCCTTGTGACCCACAACATTGCATTGACAAAACGAGTAGCTGGGTTTAGAGTGTGTAGATTGTGGCTATAGACACAGTGGGATTATAACACTTGCTGGAAGGCACCTGATGAGGTGATGTGCACATGGCGGGGCTCACAATCACAGTTGCAGTGCATCCGATGATGGCAGCTGGCAGCCAGTCCCAAGTGGCTTTTTCCCAGGCTTTTCCTGCACCTGGAGTGACTTTTTTTTTGTTTTCTTTTTTGAGACGGAGTTTCGCTCTCATTGCCCAGGCTGGAGTGCAATGGTGCGTTCTCGGCTCACTGCAACATCTGCCTCCGGGGTTCAAGCGATTCTCCTGTCTCAGCTTCCCAAGTAGCTTGGATTACAGGCAGGCGCCACCACGCTGGGCAAATTTTTTTGTATTTAATAGAGACAGGATTTCACCATGTTAGGCTGGTCGCAAACTCCTGACCTCAGGTGATCCAACCGCCTTGGCCTCCCAGCGTGCTGGGATTGCAGGCATGCGCCACCTTGCCTGGCTGGGATCACATTTAATGTTCAGTTCCTGTCACTCCCTTTATTTTTCAAGAGTGCATGTTTCAGTATAATGTTTTGTTTTAATCATTTGAAAATGTGGCATTTTAATTATTAGTAAGTGCATCTAATAACTAATTTCAGCATTTAAAAAATTAAAATGGGCCAGGTGCGGTGGCTCACGCCTGTAATCCTAGTACTTTGGGAGGCTGAGGTGGGTGGATCACCTGAAGTCAGGAGTTTGAGACCTGCCTGGCCAACATGGTGAAACCCCATCTCTACTAAAAATACAAAAATTAGCCAGGCGTGGTGGCGGGTGCCAATAATCCCAGCTACTCGGGAGGCTGAGGCAGGAGAATCGCTTGAACCTGGGGAGCGGAGGTTGCAGTGAGCCGAGATTGTGCCACTTCACTCCAGCCTGGGCGACAGAGCAAAACTCCATCTCAAAAAAAAAAAAAAGAAAATTATGTTCCCCTAAATATTAGGGACATTAACAATAAAACATTAAATCAACTAAAATAAAAAAAACCCTCAGACTTTATTATGACCCTAAAGACTTTAAAAACCCAAACCTTATTATTACCCTAGAAGACTTTTCTACAGCATATGTGGATTTTATTTATTCGTACTTACTGTATTAAATAAAACATTTGAAATATGTTTTAATTCATAGAGTAAAAAACTGATTACAAGTTAACATATTTTTATGAAAATAAGTATTTTTAAAACAAAAAATTAGGGCAGGCTCTGTGGCTCATGCCTGTAATCCCAGCATCTTGGGAGGCAGAAGTGGGCGGATCACCTGAGGTCAGGAGTTCAAGACCAGCCTGGCCAACATGGTGAAACCCCATCTCTACTAAAAATCATACAAAAAATTAGCCGGGTATGGTGGCGCACTCCTGTAATCCCAGCTACTCGGGAGGCAGAAGCAGGAGAATCGCTTGAATCCGGGAGGCAGAGGTTGCAGTGAGCTGAGATGGCGACATTGCACTCCAGTTTGGGCAACAAAAGCAAAACTCCATCTCAAAAAAAAAAAGAAAAGAAAAAATTAGTGAGAGGAGCGGCATTGTTTCACATTTTTACAAATTTCTTAGTTTCCTTTTCTTTTGAGACAGAGTCTTGTTATGTTGCCCAGACTGGTCTGGAACTCCTGGCCTCAAGAAGTGATCCTCCTGTCTCAGCATCTGAGTAGCTGTAATTTTAAGTGTGTGCCACTAGCCTGGCTAATTTTTACAAGTTTCTTTAATATCTGTCTTCCATTTTTTTTTTTTTTTTTTTTTTTGAGACGGAGACTAACTCTGTCGCCCAGGCTGGAGTGCAATGGCGTGATCTCGGCTCATTGCAACCTCTGTCTCCCGGGTTCAAACGATTCTCCTGCCTCAAGGAGAATCAAGCGATTCTCCTGCCTCAAGGAGAATCAAGCGATTCTCCTGCCTCAAGGAGAATCAAGCGATTCTCCTGCCTCAAGGAGAATCAAGCGATTCTTCTGAATAGCTGGGATAACGGGCGCCCACCACCATGCCTGGCTGATTTTTGTGTTTTTTAATTTTTATTTATTTTATTTTAATTTAATTTTATTATTTTTTTGAGACAGAGTCTCGCTCTGTCGCCCAGGCTGGAGTGCAGTGGCGCGATCTCGGCTCGCTGCAAGCTCCGCCTCCCGGGTTCACGCCATTCTCCTGCCTCAGCCTCCCGAGTAGTTGGGACTACAGGTGCCCGCCACCACGCCTGGCTAATTTTTTTTTTTTTTAAGTAGAGACAGGGTTTCACCGTGTTAGCCAGGATGGTCGCGATCTCATGACCTTGTGATCTGCCTGCCTCGGCCTCCCAAAGTGCTGGGATTACAGGCGTGAGCCACCGTGCCCCGCCAATTTTTGTGTTTTTAGTAGACATCGGGTTTCACTATGTTGGCCACCCTGGTCTGGAACTCCTGACCTCAGGTGATCTGTCTGCCTTGGTCTCCCAAAGTGCTGGGATTACAGGCATGAGCTACCGTGTCCGGCATAATGTCTGTCTTAACAGAATGTCACTGAATTTTCATATGTGTCTCTACATTCAATCTATTGTGATATAACATACCATGTAGCCTCTGGAAAACTCTAATATTAACTGGAGAAAGAGAATGAAAAGGCCAATATTATCTTAGATTTATTATGAAAACATATTTTTCTTTCTTAAAACAATTTCTTTTTTCTTTGAGACGGAGTCTTGCTCTGTCGCCCAGGCTGGAGTGCAATGGCCCAATCTTGGCTCACTGCAACCTCTGCCTCCTGGGTTCAAGAGATTCTCCTGCCTCAGCCTCCTGAGTAGCTGAGGCCACAGGTGTGCACCACTACACCTGGCTAAATGTTGTATGTTTAGTAGAGATGGTGTTTTACCACATTGGCCAGGCTGGTCTTGAACTCCTGACCTCAAGTGATCTGCCCGCCTCGGCCTCTCAAAGTGCTGGGATACAGGTGTGATCCATGGCTCCCAGCCAATCCCCTAAATCATTCTGAAGTATGCAGTTCAATACTGTTAAGTATATTCAAATCGTTGTGCAGCAAATCTCTAGGACTTTTTCATCTTAGAAAACTGAAATTCTGGCTGGGCGCAGTGGCTCATGCCTGCAATCCCAGCACTTTGGGAGGCTGAGGCGGGTGGATCATGAGGTCAGGAGTTCAAGACCAGCCTGGCCAAGATGGCGAAACCCCGTCTCTACTAAAAATACAAAAAATTAGCAGGGCATGATGGCAGGCGCCTGTAATCCCAGCTACTTGGGAGTCTGAGGCAGGAGAATCGCTCGAACCCAGGAGGCGGAGATTGCAGAGAGCTGAGATCGGACCACTGCACTCCAGCCTGGGTGACAGAGTGAGGCTCCATCTCAAAAAATAAAAAAGGGGGAAAAAAAAAGAAAACTGAAATTCTACATCCATTGAATAACTCCCCATCCTGTGGATGGCAACCACCTTTCTACTTTCTGTTTTTATGAGTTTGACTACTCTAAGGGCGTCATGTAAATGAATGCAGCATTTTATCTCTATGTGACTGGCTTATTTCATTTACTATAATGTTCTCAAGGTTTGCTCAGATGTAGCATATGTCATAATTTCTTTCCTTTTTAAGGCTAATATTCCACTGTATGTAGAGACCACATTTTTCTATTCATCCCTCAATGGACATTTGGGTTACTTTTGCCTTTTGGCTATTGTGAATAGTGGTGCTGTGAATGCGAGTGTACCAGTGTCCTTCCGTTCTTTTGGATATATATCCAAAAGTGGGATTGCTGGATCATATGGTCATTCTATGTTTAACTTTTTGAGGAACTGCCAAAACTGCCCAGCTATTTGCCACAGCAGCTGCACCATTTTATATTCCCACAAATGGTGTACAAGGGTTCCAATTTCTCCACATACCCATCAACACTTGTTTTTTTATTTTTTCTTTTTTTGGGGGGATGGAGTCTTGCTCTGATGCCCAGGCTGGAGTGCAGTGGCGTGATTGTGGCTCACTGCAACTTCCATCTCCCGGGTTCAAGCAATTCTCCTGCCTCAGCCTCCGAAGTAGCTGAGATTACTGGTGTGTGCCACCACACCTGGCTAATTTTTGTATTGTGCATTTTTAGTAGAGATGGGGTTTTGCCATGTTAGCCAGGCTGGTCTCGAACTCCTGACTCCAGATGATTTGCCCTCCTCAGTCTCCCAAAGTGCTGGGACTACAGGCGTGAGCCACCGCGCCCGGCCAAGACTTTTTTTTTTTCTATTTTTTTCATACTGGCCATACTAATAGGTGTGACACAATAACTCATGTGGTTTCTTTATTTTTTATTAAAAATTTTTTTTAGAGATGGGGTCTCACCTTCTGCCTCTACCTCCCAAGTAGCTTGGACTGTAGGTGCATGCCGCTCTGCTCAGCTCTCGTGGGTTCGATGTGCATTTCCCTAATGATTAGTCATGCTGAGCATCTTATCATATGCTTGTTGGCCATTTTTATATCTTCTTTGGAGGAAGGTCTATGCAAGTCCTTTGTCCTTTATTTATTTATTTAGAGACAGAGTCTCCCTCTGTCACCTATGCTGGAGTGCAGTGGTGCTATCTCAGCTCACTGTAACCTCCACCTCCTGGATTCCAGTGACTTTCCTGCCTCAGCCTCCCAAGTAGCTGGTACTACAAGTGCGTGTCACATGCCTGGTTATTTATTTATTTTTTTTGTATTTTTAGTAGAGACAAGGTTTCACCATGTTGATCTGCCCACTTCAGCCTCCTAAAGTGCTGGGATTACAGGCGTGAGCCACAATGTCCGGCCTATTTATTGATTTTTTGATACAGGGTTTCACTCTGTTGCTCAGGTTGGAGTGCAGTGGTGCGATCACGGCTCACTGCAGCCTTGACCTCCTAGGCTCAGGTGATCCTCCCACCTCAGCCTCCTGAGTAGCTGGGACTACAGGTATGCACCACCACACCCTGCTAATTTTTGTATTTTTTGTAGAGACCAAAAAAACAAAAAAGGGCTTTGCTATGTTGCTCAGGCTGGTCTTGAACTCCTAGGCTCAAGCGATCCACCCACCTAGGCCTCCCAAAGTGCCGGGATTACAGGCATGAGCCACCGTGCTCAGCCCCTTTGTCCATTTTTTAATCAGGTTATATATTTTTTGTTGAGTTGTAGGAGCTCTTTATATATTCTGAATATTAACTGCTTATCAGACATATGATTGCAGATATTTTCTCGCATTCTAGATTTTTCACTCTGTTGATTTTGTCGTTTGATGCACATTGTTTAAACTTTGATAAACTTTGATATAGTCCAATTTATCTATTCACTTTTTAATGTTTTTTTGTGTGTCTTATCTAAGAAATTATTGCCAAGTCCAAGGTCATGAAACTTTCTCCTTACGTTTTCTTCTAAGAGTTTTATAGTTTTAGATCTTAAATTTAGGTCTTTGAACCATTTTAAGTTTTGCATATGGTGTAAGGTTAAGGGTCCAACATCATTCTTTTGCATGTGGACATCCAGTTTTCCCAGTATCATTTGTTGAAAACACTGTGATTTCCCCATTGAATGGTCTTGGCACTATTGTCAAAAATCACTGGACCGCCGGGTGCGGGTGGCTCACTCCTGTAATCCCAGCACTTTGGGAGGCCGAGGCAAGCGGATGACGAGGTCAGGAGATCGAGACCATCCTGGCTAACATGGTGAAACCCCGTCTCTACTTAAAAAATACAAAAAATTAGCCAGGCGAGGTGGCGGGCGCCTGTAGTCCCAGCTACGCGGGAGGCTGAGGCAGGAGAATGGTGTGAACCCTGGGGGGCGGAGCCTGCAGTGAGCCGAGATCGTGCCACTGCACTCCAGCCTGGGCAACAGCGAGACTCCGTCTCAAAAAAAAAAAAAAAAAAATCACTGGACCATGTATGTAAGGACTCATTTCTGGGCTATTTGATTCTATTGGTCTGTCTGTCTTTATACAAATTCCCCACTTTTATTACTGTAGCTTTGTAATAAGTTTTGAAATCAGAAGGTGTGAGACCTCCAATCGTGGTCTTCTTTTTCAAGATTGTTTTAACTATTCAAGATCCCTTGAGATTCCATATGAATGACAGGATAGATTTTTCTATTTCTGCAAAAAATGCAGTTGGGATTTTGATAGCAATTGCATTTAATCTGTATATCACTCAGGTAATGTTGACATTGTAACAATATTAAGTCTTCCAATCTATTGACATGAGATATCTTTCCATTTAGTTGTGTCTTCTTTAATTTCTTCCTGCAATATTTTGTGATTTTCAGTGCATAAGTCTTCCTTGGTTAAGTTTATTCTTTTTTTTTTTTTTTTTTTTTTGAGACGGAGTCTCGCTCTGTCACCCAGGCTGGAGTACAGTGGCGCAGCCTCGGCTCACTGCAAGCTCCGCCTCCCGGGTTCACGCCATTCTCCTGCCTCAGCCTCTCCGAGTAGCTGGGACTACAGGCGCCCGCCACCACGCCCGGCTAATTTTTTTTTTATTTTTAGTAGAGACGGGGTTTCACCGTGGTCTCGATCTCCTGACCTCGTGATCCACCCGCCTCGGCCTCCCAAAGTGCTGGGATTACAAGCGTGAGCCACCGCGCCCGGCCTAAGTTTATTCTTAAGTATTTTATTTGTTCTGATGCTATTGTGAATGTAATTGCTTTCTTAATTTCTTTTTTGTATGGCTCATTGTTAGTGTATAGAAACACAACTAATTTTTGTATGTTGATTTTATATCCTGAAACTTTGCTGAATTCATTTATTTGTTCTAACAGATTTTTGTGTAGGGTTTCCTACATATAAGATCATGTCAGCCGGGTGCAGTGGCTCATGCCTATAATCCTAGCACTTTGGGAGGCCAAGGTGAGCAGATCACCTGAGGTCAGGAGTTCAAGATCAGCCTGGCCAATATGGTGAAACCCCGTCTCTACTAAAAATACAAAAATTAGCTGGGCGTGGTGGCAGGTACCTGTAATCCCAGCTACTCCGGAGGCTGATGCAGGAGAATTGCTTGAACTCGGGAGGCAGAGGTTGCAGTGAGCTGAGATTGCACCATTGCACTCTAGCCTCGGCAACAAGAGTGAAACTCCATCTCAAAAAAAAAAATCTCGTCTTCTGTGAACCGAGATACTTTTCCTTCTTCCTTTTCAATTTATTTTATTTATTTTTCTTGTCCATTTGCTCTGACTAGGACTTCCGGTACTTTGTTGGACAGAGGTAGTGAGAGTGTGCATCTTTGTCTTTCTCCTGATCTTAGAGGGGAAGCAAGCTTTCGGTCGTTTACCACTGAGTATGGGGTTAGTTGTGGGATTTTTTCATATATGGCCTTTATTATGTTAAGGTAGTTTCCTTCTGTTCTTAATTGGTTGAGTGTTTTTATCATGGAAGGACATTGAATTTTGTCAGACACTTTTTCTTCAACAATTGATGTGATCGTGTGGGTTTTTTCCCCTTCATTCTGTTAGGTAGTGCATGACATTATGTTTCAGGAATAAATTCCACTTCATCATAGCATCTTTTTAACATACTTGAGTTGTTCGCTAGAATTTTGTTGAGGATTTTTGCATCAATATTCATCAGGGAATTGGTCTATCATTTTCTTTTCTTGCACTGTCTTTGGCTTTGGTATGAGGGTAATACTGGCCTCACAGAATAAGTCTGGATATGTTCTCACTTCTTAAATTTTCAAAAGAGTTGAGGAGGCTTGGTGTTAATCCTTCTTTCTTTCTTTCTTTTTCTTTCCTTTTCTTTCTTTTTTTTTTTTTTTTTTTTTTTTTGAGAAGGAGTCTCCCTCTGTCACCCAGGCTGGTGTGCAGTGGTGCAATCTTGGCTCTCTGCAACCTCTGCCTCCCAGGTTCAAGCGATTCTCCTGCCTCAGCCTCCTGAGTAGCTGGGACTACAGGTGCCTGCCACCACGCTCAGCTAATTTTTGTATTTTTAGTACAGACGGGGTTTCACCATTTTGGCCAGGCTGGTCTTGAACACCTGACCTCAAGTGATCTGCCCGCATCGGCCTCCCAAAGTGCTAGGATTATAGGCATGAGCCACTGCACTCAGCCTCTCCTTTCTTTCTTTCTTTTTTTTTTGAGACAGAGTCTCATTCTGTCTCCCAGGCTCCAGTACAGTGGCATGATCTTGGCTCACTGCAAGCTCTGCCTCCTGGGTTCACGCCATTCTCCTGCCTCAGCCTCCCGAGTAGCTGGGACTACAGGTGCCCAACACTGCACCTGGCTAATTTTTTTGTATTTTTAGTAGAGTCGGGGTTTCACCATGTTAGCCAGGATGGTCTCGATCTCCTGACCTCGTGAGCCAGCTGCCTTGGCCTCCCAAAGTGCTGGGATTACAGGCGTGAGCCACCAGGCCCAGCCTTCTTTTTTTTTTTTTTTTTTTTTTTTTTTGACACAAGGTCTTGCTGTGTCACTCAGGCTTGAGTACAGTAGCATGATCTCAGATCACTGCAACCTCTGCCTCCTGGGCTCAAGCGATTCTCCTGCCTCAGCCTCTTCAGTAGCTGGAACTACAGGCACACATCAGCATGCCTGGCTAAATTTTGTATTTTTTGTAGAGATGGGATTTCACCATGTTGCTCAGGCTGATCTCTAACTCCTGGGCTCAAGCAATCTTCTCACCTTGGCCTCCCAAACTGCTGGGATTACAGCTGTGCGCCACCATGCCTAGCGGGGTTCTCTCTTTTATTTTTATTTATTTATTTTTTTGAGATGGTGTCTCACTCTGTCACCCAGGCTGGAGTGCAATGTCGCAGTCTCGGCTCACTGTAACCTCTGCCTCCCGAGTCCAAGCGATTCTCCCACCTCAGCCTCCCGAGTAGCTGGGACTACAGGCACCTGCCACCACACCCAGCTAATTTTGTATTTTCGGTAGAAATGGGATTTGGCCACTATGTTGGTCAGGCTGGTCTCAAACTCCTGCCTCAGCCTACCAAAGTGCTCGGATTACGGACATGAGCCACCACGCCCACCCAGCCTATCTCTTTTTTATTCTTAATCTAGTTAAGTTTGTCAATTTTGTTGATCCTTTCAAAGAACAAATTCTTGGTTTTATTGATTCTCTCTATTGGTTCCCATTCTCGATTTCATTTATCTCTGCTTAATGTTTATTTTTTTCCTTCTGCTAGCTTTAGGTTTAGTTTGTTCTTCTTCTTCTAGTTCCTTAAGGTATAATGTTAGGTTGTTGACTTGACAACTTTCTTCTTTTTAAATGTGTTTGTTGTTGCTGTGGACCCTATCCCTGTTGGACTGAACAAAGGATGACGAACTTGGGAATAAAGATAAAGGCAAAAGAGTATATTTGGAAGAAGGGGTTGGGAGGAGGCGGTCCTTGCTTCTAGTGAACAAGGGCCCTGAGCTTTAGAGCCCTTCGCATTTTATTGAGTAAAGGACACAGGGAGGAGGCAGTGGTTGGTCAGCAGCTTGATTTACAGCTGGCTTGCAAGACTGCATTCTTCAAACAATAAGCTCTAGATGTCCCAGTAGATAACCTCAATGAGCACAGCACCAGGGAGTGATTGCCCTCAGCAAACCTTCTGGCGGTAGGCACAGTCGCTGAGTCTGCCCACATCCTGCATTCATGATAAACAGTTGGCTGTTTGATCATATAGCCTCCAGTGGAATGCTGAGTTGGTCACGATCCCTTTGGTCTTTTCGGCTCCCAACATTTATAAATAAATTTCCTCTTAGTATTGCTTTTGCTGCATCCCATAACTTTTGGTATGTTGTGTTTTTATTTTGATTTATCTCAGGATATTTTCTAATTTCCCTTGTGATTTCTTCTTTGACTCTTTGGTTGTTTAAAAGTGTGTCATTTGGGAGTCTCTCAGAGTCTATTCTTGTTTGGGGGCTGCCCAAGTTTTTTCTTTTTTTTTTTTTTTGAGATGGAGTCTTGCCCTGTTGCCCAGGCTAGAGTGCAGTGGTGCGATCTCAGCTCACTGCAACCTCTGCCTCCCGGGTTCAAGCGATTCTCCTGCCTCAGCCTCTGGAGTAGCTGGGACTACAGGCCCGCGCCAACGTGCCCAGCTAACTTTTTTTGTATTTTTAGTAGAGATGAGTTTTCACCATGTTGGCCAGGCTGGTCTCAAACTCCTGACCTCAAGTGATCTGCCCATCTCGGCCTCCCAAAGTGCTGGGATTACAGGTGTGAGCCACCATGCCCGGCCAGGGACTGCCCAATAAAAAAAAAATAAAAAATAAAAAAAAAGCAAAAAAAAGGGGAAAAAATAGAAAAAAAAGTTACAGTGTGTTGTTTAATTTCCACATATGTACTAATTTTCCATTTTCCTTATGCCATTAATTTCTAGTTTTATTTCACCATGATTAGAAAAGAAATTGTGTGATTTCAAATCCCATTTCCACCGGGTGCGGTGGCTCGCGCCTGTAATCCCAGCACTTTGGGAGGCAGAGGCAGGCAGATCACGAGGTCAGAGATCAAGACCATCCTGGCTAACATGGTGAAACCCCATCTCTACTAAAAATACAAAAAATTAACTGGACATGGTGGCGGGTGCCTGTAGGCCCAGCTACTCAGGAGGCTCAGGCAGGAGAATGGCGTGAACCTGGGAGGTGGAGCTTGTAGTAAGCCGAGATCGCGCCACTGCACTCCAGCCTGGGCAACAGAACGAGACTCCGTCTCAAAAAAAAAAACAAAAAAATAACAAATCCCATTTCCACTATTTCTGAAGCAAGTTACTGAACTGTTGTACACCTAAAAGTTTTCATCTGAAATTTGGGATAAATAGTAGTATTCATCTCACAGGGTTGTTGTGAGGATTAAATAAGTTAATAGATGAAAATGTTCTTCATATGGTAGTTGTGGTGTAAACATTAACTACCATTATTGTAGTAGTCTCAAACTGATTAGACTATTTACTATTTGTATCAACTTCTTGCATATACCAACAATCCATATGTTGGTGTGTGATTCTCTAAAACAAATGAATGAGTGTCCTACAGTTCAATTCAATTCTGACACTATTCACTGTTACTGCATACCCCACAAATTAAAGAATCAGTCCCACAAGACTGTCTTCAGTTCAAATGCTAGTCACAAATCCTGGGGAACACTCATACTGCTGATCCACTGGTTATAATTTGGGGGTTTCATGATCTCCTGCTTACATTTGATAATTTGCTAGAACTCCAGAACTCAGGAAGCTTAAATTTACCAGTTTATTACAAAGAATGAACAGGCTGATGAAGTGGTACACACAGTGAGGTCCAGAAGGGTCCCAAGTGCAGAAGCCTCTATCCCCCGTATTGGGATGTGTCCCTGCACATACATGCATTCACCATCCCGGAAGCTCAGTGAATCTTGAATCTCATTGTTGCAGTTTTGAGAACTCAGTCACCAGCACCCCTGCTGCTCCCCAGAGGCCAATGGGGCAGAAAGTTCCAACCGTCTAATCACTTGTGCTTTCTGGCGACCAACCCATTCTGAGGCTATCTAGGGAACCCACCCTAAGTTACCTCATCAGCTCAGGTATGATTGAAAGTGGCTTGTTGAAACTAACAAAAAAGATTTCTACCACTCAGGAAATTCCAAGGGTTTTAGGTGTTCTGTGCCAGGAATAAGGAATCAGAGACAAAGACCAATTTTTTTTACAGTACAGTTGGAAAAAAGTGAGGGAAGTAACAGAAAATGAATTAACTGCTATTCTTTTAAATGCATTAGTCTCATCTTTTCAACTAGAACTCAAATTCTCAGGAAGCAAAGGCCATGACTTCAATTCCAGTGACTCTTATAGCATCAAACACTGTGCCAGGTAAGTACTCAATCAACTGCCACACTATCATAACAGTATTACCTTGCATTCATAGACATTACATTTTTACAAAGTTATCTCAAGTGTATTATCTACCTTGAATCTCACGCCCTTGTGATAATTTCCACTTTATACAGGGTCAAACTGAGGTCCTGAGACGTTATTTACTCAATAAACACTGTTCATAAGAAGCAGAGATGCAATACAAATCCAGTTCTTCTGATGTGAATTCCAGCCTTTGTCCACTTTACCACAAAAGATGTCTAACTGCAAGACAGGTGACTGTCTTGGTCATGGATTACTTAATTTCTCTGGGTCTTAATTTTTTCATCTGAAAAACAGAATCCTTAATGTATTTTCAGTTCCAACATCTTAAGACTGTATCAGCTCTATATCTCTTCTAGTTTTAAAGTATCACTATCTGTTATGCACAACTGTTGGCTTTTCCTTTGTACCAGTATGTCAGCAGTAACTATATTTTTGTTTTACAAAAGTTCCTGGAGAGCCACTAACTTAGGAAAAACAGATAATATAAAGTTGGTTATAAGGCAAATCCCACTGGTTTCCATTTTAAAAGACCCACAAAACCAAACAACCCTATGTTTCCAAGGAAAAATATATAATATACTCACTCAACAGATCACTTTTTGTGAAAAATAAGTAGGAATGATTTTGGAGCCCATAGCATCACAGTTGTAAAAGGAATACTCCAAAAGCAGGGGGATCTATTTGTAAGATGTTCTTGTTTCAGGAACATTTTAACCAGGCATCTACCTTTTTCTAAACTATAAACATTTCTTTCATGCCTAGTGAGAAATTATTTGAATTTGAACAACATTCTCCTCCTCTTCTATTT